>NC_000001.11:13004384-14269310 GCF_000001405.40 Homo sapiens
GAATTCCTTGTTAGGAAGTGTGTTTAAAGTTAATATGATAAAAAAGAGGCAACAGAGGGGAGGGTGTAAAAGAAGAGAAAGTGCACCAAACCTGTGCGTTTCACAGAGGAAGCTCTGTCCTCACAGCTTAGTGAACATGAATGATCCTCTCTCTGATTCCCTGTCTGTAAAAGGTTGTTTTGAACTCCAGGAAAGGTAAGTGACATGGGAAATGCGTGCTTCTGGGATGGAGGTGAGGGAGTAGGCACGAGAGTGGTACAAAGTGACAGGTGGTTTGCAGATGTGGCCATGTCAGGGAGCCTCTGAAAGCAGGTAGCCCTAGCTGATGTCCCTAGACCTTGCTCAGGTCAGTTCTTTGGGCATCTCTTCCACTGGGCTCCTGTGGCCCAGAGATGAAGCTTTCTGCTGGAAGATGAAGAAAAAAGGCTTTAGAGTTTTTATGGCCTTGAACCAATCACACCAGTGATGGTGAAAGGACTGAGCCTAAAATGGGACTGCCTCTGAATGATCCAAGTCCTCATCAGGCAGCACCTTGCGGGAGGACCATGATTAGATGATGAGAACAAACTTGTGTTTGGGCAAAACAGGCTCTTCCCTTGACGTTATTTTCTACCACCGTCCTCTAACTGGTGCCATTGCCCAGTACTAACTTCTTGCTCTCCCCAGGTGCCTCAGGAGCCCGTTGGAGACATTGGCATTAACTTATGGCTTCCTAGAAGAAGAGGACTTGAAATGCCTGCCCCGGTACCCAAGTCTCAGTCAACTGAAGCAGCTGAATCTGAGTCATGGTGCACTGCGCTTCATCCGTCTTGAGCCCCTCCGAGCTCTGCTAGAGAAAGTTGCTGCCACTCTTCAGACCCTCTTCTTAGTGGACTGTGGGATTGGGTACTCCAAACTCAGGGTCATCCTGCCTGCCCTGAGCCGCTGCTCCAACCTCACCACTTTCTGTTTTCACGGCAATGACACGTCCATGGATGCTCTGAAGGACCTGCTGCGCCACACAGGCAGGCTGAGCAATTTGAGCCTGGAAACATATCCTGCCCCTCGGGAGAGTCTTGACAACAGGGGTCGTGTCATTTTGGAGCTCCTCACCCCACTTCAGGCTGAGCTGATGCGTATACTGAGGGAAGTAAGGGAGCCCAAAAGGATCTTCTTTGGTCCGGTGTCCTGCCCTTGCTGTGGCACTTCGCCCACTGAGCAACTGGAGTTCAATTTTTGCTTGTGGGGAAGGCCTGCCTAGTGGGGTGGAGGTATAAAAAGCTTTTTCTCCAGGCACTTGGAAACTAAAATCTGGGACATAGATGTCTTTTATTTTTCTTTTTCCTTATTTTACAATTTTACAGCTTTTATTTAAAAATTTGAGACAGGGTTTCCCTATGTTGTCCAGGCTGGTCTCAAACTCTTACGCTTAAGGGAGCCCCCTGCTTGGCCTCCCAAGATTCTGGGATTACAGGCATAAGCAGCTGTGCCGGGTCTATAGGTGCATTATAAAGGGAACAGAGAAACCTCTGTTTCAGGCATGTGCTTTCTGTGAGTGGAAAACAAAAAACAAAAAATCCCAGCAGGGGGCAGCACTGGGGAAAAAGTTGAATGGAGTCACTGAGACTCAGGGATCTGTGTCCTAGACAGTCAGAAATAGAAAGCTGAAGTTCTAGAGTGAGGGAGTTATCTCAGCAAGGATGGATACAAAGAAACGTCGGAAGTAGAGGGAACCTAAATGGAAACTCTCTGCTGTCCTTCATGATTGATTAGCCTGTTTCAGCAATTTATACATCAGAAATCTTTAGTTCCTGATGAATTAAAAAAAGAGGTACTAGTTCATCTGTGATTTAGTTTCATCTGCAGGAAATAAAGGAATCAAAATAAACTTCATGTTGTCGTTGTGGTTTTTTTTTCTTTTTTTTTTTGTTTTGTTTTAGACGGAGATTCGCTCTTGTTGCCCAGGCTGGAGTGAAATGGCATGATCTTGGCTCACCACAACCTCCGCCTCCTGGGTTCAAGCGATTTTCCTGCCTCAGCCTCCCGAGTAGCTGGGATCACAGGCATGCGCCACCATGCCCAGCTAATTTTGTATTTTTATTAGAAACGGCATTTCTCCATGTTGATCAGGCTGGTCTCGAACTCCTGACCTCAGGTAATCTGCCCACCTTGGCCTCCCAAAGTGCTAGGATTACAGGCATGAGCCACAGAGCCTGACCTGTTTTGTTTGTTTGTTTTGTTTATTTGATGGAGTCTTGCTTGGTCACCTAGGCTGGAGTGCAGTGGTGTGATCTTGGCTCACTGCAACCTCCAACTCCCAGGTTCAAGGGAATTTGTGTTTTTAGTAGAGACGGGGTTTCACGATGTTGGCCTGACTGGTCTCAAACTCCTAACCTCAAGTGACCTCAAGGAAGCCTCCCAAAGTGCTAGGATTACAGGCGTGAACCAACGTGCCTAGCCTAAACTTTGATTAATTTATGCCCATTCTTTACCTCTCCAGTCATCTCTTCCTTACTTTCTCCTGTGGTTATTTACTGGGTTCATCCACAAAAGATGCATGCCTGGGACCTGGAACATTCTATGTGGGCAGTGATGATGAACCATTGAGTCAACCCTCTTCTTGTCAGGGGCCCTCACTGCTCCCCAGATACCGAGACCCTGCTCACTCCTAATGGGCAGATCTGGGAGAATCTGTTCCTGATCATTGGCCATGTCAGGAAAGGGCTTCACTGCACAAGGTGCGGCCCCCTGCCTTGGGAGGGAATGGCCATACTGTGTACTAGCGGGAGCCTCATGGCATCACCAACCCTTGCCTGTCCTCATGGTGGCTAGTGGGTTTTACTGAATTAACATAATTGTGTGTAGTAAAGATGTCCAATTTCTCTTAGAAGAATAGTAAAATCATTTAGGTAGATGACACATTCTAAATATTTCTAGCCCACATCAATATGCATCCTTTTGGAAATTAACTCATTTCAATGAGACATCTTCCTGTAACACCTCCCTTCTCTCCTTATCAAAAAACGGGAAAACCAGGGCACTGACCTGTCCTCATGGTGACTAGTGGGGTTTACTGAATTAAAGTGATTGTGTCCAGTAAAGATATCCAATTTCTCTTAGAATAATGCTAAAATCATTTAGGTGGATAATACATTCTAAATATTTCCAGCCCATATTAATGGAAATATACATCCTTTTGGAAACTAACTCATTTCAATGAGAGATCTTCCTATCACACCACCCTTCTCTCCTTATCAAAAAACAGGAAAACCTGGGCTTGACCTAGCTAGCGCTCCTACACTGCCATGAGAATCCCTTTGGGACTTTCCCCATTTGGGACTGGCAGCACTCTTGTGGTTTACTAAAACTTAGGTAAACCTGGGCTTAAGCCACCACCTGGAGCCAAGAAGGAAGCAGCAACCTAGTGGTGAAGATTCACTAAGGGAATGTATTCAGTCCAAACCAAAGCAAGCCAGACAGAGAAAACTGGAGTAAATCATTCTTCCTTCAGTGCAAAAATACAGATCTATATCTACAAGAAACTAGAGCAAACAGGAAACTGTGACCTCCCCAAAATGACAAAGCAGAAATCTAGTGGGTGACTCTAATGTGATGGCTATTTGTCAGGTCTCTAACCAATCACTGAAAATCGCAGGTTTTCAAACTTGTATTTTAGTTCCAGGAATACAGATGCAGGTTTGTTCTATAGATAATAGACAAACTATCAGATAAATAATTTTGGTAGCTTTTGTTTATTTGTTTGTTTGTTTGTTTTTTGAGGTGGCGTCTCACTCTGTCACCCAGGCTGGAGTGTAGTGGCATGCTCTCAGCTCACTGCAACCTCTGCCTCCCAGAGTCAAGCAATTCTCCTGCCTCGGCCTCCCAAGTAGCTGAGACTACAGACTTGCATTACCACGCCAGGCTAAGTTTTTGCATTTTTAGTAGAGACAGGGTTTCACCATGTTGGACATGGAGAACTCCTGACCTCAAATGGTGCACTGCCTCAGTGCTGGGATTAGAGGTGTGAGCCACCATGTCCAGCCAGTTTTGGTAGTTTGTTGATACCCACTCCCCTTCCACCCTCCACTCTCCAGTAGTCCCGGGCGTCTATTGTTCCCATTATTATGTCATGTATACTTAATATTTGGCTCTCATTTATAAGTGAGAACATGTGGTGTTTGGTTTTCTGTGCCTGCTTTAGTTTGCTTAGCATAACGGCTTCTAGCTCCATCCGTGTTGCAGCAAAAGGAGGATGAGGACTTAATGAAAGGGCATTATCTTGTTCTTGTTTCAAGCTGTGTAGGTTTCCATGGTGTATCTGTACCATATTTTGTTAATCCAGTCCACCACTGATGTGCATTCCAGTGGATTCCATGTCTTTGCTGTTGTGAATAGTGCTGCGATGAGCATCCACATGTGACCACTCCCACTCAACATGTGCTAGAGTCTCACATTACTGGAGTGTCTCTATATTACCCGGGCTGGTCCAGAACGGCCAGGCTCAGGCAGGGCTCCAATCTTAGCCTTACAAAGTATTGGGATTACAGGCATGAGCCACCACACATGGCTCTATTTTATTATAACATATATTTCTAGGCCGGGTGTGGTGGCTCACGCCTGTAATCCCAGCACTTTGGGAGGCCAAGGCGGGTGGATCACGAGGTCAAGAGATGGAGACCATCCTGGCCAACATGGTGAAACCCCGTCTCTACTAAAAATACAAAAATTAGCTGGGCATGGTGGCACGTGCCTGTAATCCCAGCTACTCAGGAGGCTGAGTCAAGGAGAATCGCTTGAACCCGGGAGGCGGAGATTGCAGTGAGCCGAGATCGTGCTGCTGCACTGCAGCCTGGGCAAAGAGTGAGACTCCCTCTCAAAAAAAAAAAAAAGCTATAATTCTATAGGCCAAGCAAGGTGGCTCACGCCTGTAATTCCAGCACTTTGGGAGGCCGATGTGGGTGGATTGCTTGAACCAAGGAGTTCTAGCCTGGGCAACAAAGCAAAATCCTGTCTCTACTTAAAAAGGAAAAAAAGGATATATTTCTGTAGCTTATGGCCTGTAGGCTCGCCATGCCTCAGGCTCGAAAGTGCAGCTTTCAGAAAAGATCCTTCACTGGTATTTCCAGGGAGGAAGTGATGAGGCAGGAATTTATGCTGAGTGGGTTGGCCAAGTATACACACTCAACAGGTCATGAAATGGGCTATGAGTATTCTTGAAGGGGGCCTAACACATGCATACTGAATAAACATTCATGTGGCTTATGTCCCATGTTCACTTTGGGGTGGAGACTTCACATTTCTTTTTCTTTTTGAGACAGAGTCTTGCTATGTCACCCAGGCTGGACTGCAATGGCACCGTATCAGCTCACTGCATCCTCCACCTCCCAGGTTCAAGCGATTCTCCTGTGTCAGCCAAGTAGCTGAGACTACAGGTACATGCCACCACACCTGGCTACTTTTTTTTTTTTTTTTTTTTTTTGAGATGGAGTCTTGCTCTGTCACCCAGGCTGGAGTGCAGTGGTGCAATCTCTGCTCACTGCAAGCTCCACTTCCCGGGTTCACGCCATTCTCCTGCCTCAGCCTCCCCAGCAGCTCGGACTACAGGCACACGCCGCCACGCCCAGCTAATTTTTGTATTTTTAGTAGAGACGGGGTTTCTCTGTGTTAACCAGGATTGTCTCGATCTCCTGACCTTGTGATCCGCCCTCCTAGGCCTCCCAAAGTGCTGGGATTACAGGCGTGAGCCACCGCGCCTGGCCCACTTTTTCTATTTTTAGTAGCGATAGGGTTTCACTATGTTGGCCAGGCTGGTCTGGAACGCCTGACCTCAGGTGATCTGCCGCCTCGGTCTCCCAGAGTGTTCCAAAGTGCTGGGATTACAGGCGTGAGCCACCGTGCTGCGCCGAGACTTCATGTTTCAATGCATTGCAGCTAGACCCCCCCATATCAAATGGTTCATCAGGGACATGAAGACGCTCGCGTGCTAAGTCTCTTTCAAGTGGCCAGAAGCAGTCAATGCTCAGAGGCCTCTCATCAGCAGAAAGTTACTGGAATCAATCTCTTGTCCAATCAAAGCTGGAGTCATGGCTTGTGGAACAGGGGGTCAGTTAGTCAGAATCTGGGATGGATGAGCTGCAATCATTTCAATATTGCTTATCTTAGGGCCAGTGCTTGTTCAGCTGCTAGAGAGAGAAAAACCCTGTGGCAGTTAGAATATAGTTCATTCAGCTGGGCACAGTGGCTCTTGCCTGTAATCCCAGCACTTTGGGAGGCTGAGGCGGGTGGATAATGAGGTCAGCAGGTCAAGACCAGCCTGGCCAACATGGTGAAACCCTGTCTGTACTAAAAATACAAAAAATTAGCCAGGTGTGGTGGCATGCACCTGTAATCCCAGCTACTCGGGAGGCTGAGGCAGGAGAATTGCTTGAACCTGGGAGGCAGAGGTTGCAGTGAGCCAAGATCATGCCACTGCACTTCAGCCTGGGCTACAAAGCGAGACGCTGCCTCAAAAAAAAAAAAAAAAAAAAGTATATAGTTCATTTTTTAAGGGTAGGGGCCCTTGACTTAACCCTTGCCTGGTAAGACCTTAGGTCCTGTATATAACTTGGTATCTTATTACCCTAAATAGTCAATTCAGTCAGCCTTATAATCTCTATTTTAACATGAATGCTGGTCAGTTTTTGTGTCTCAACCATGAAAGGAAGGAAGTAAAATGAGACGTGTCTATCCTCCCATCCTGCCATGGCCAGGAACTCAGTTTTAAAGATTTCTCTGGGTACACTTGGCCGAGAGGGAATCTGTTCAGTTCATAGGGGGAGCTTAGGATTTTATTTTTAGTTTTCAGAACGAGGGATGAATAATCATGGAGGCTTCTGCTGGGAGGGAAAAAGTAGAAAAAATGCATTAATTTCACTCTTCCTGTATGCCAGGCCCTATGCCAAGCCCTTAAGTTGCCCCATCTCATTCGATTCTACCAGGGTCACACAGGTGGTGGACATCATCATCCTCATTTTTCAGGAAAACTGAGGCTCTCGCCCAAGGTTCCTGCCCAACAACACCAGGCCCTGAGTTCTCAGCATGGTCCTCACTCAGATACTCTTTGTGTAGGGTTTCTTACCTGAGTCCTCAGCAGGGTCCTCACCTGGATGCCGTTTGTGTAGGGTTTCTCATCTGAATCCTCTGCAGGGTCCTCACTCGGATGTCCTTTGTGTAGGGTTTCTCACCTGAGTCCTCAGCAGGGTCCTCACTTGGATGCCCTTTGTGTAGGGTTTCTCATCTGAGTCCTGAGCAGGGTCCTCACTCAGATGTCCTTTGTGTAGGGTTTCTCATCTGAGTCCTGAGCAGGGTCCTCACTCGGATGTCCTTTGTGTAGGGTTTCTCACCTGAGTCCTCAGCAGGGTCCTCACTTGGATGCCCTTTGTGTAGGGTTTCTCATCTGAGTCCTGAGCAGGGTCCTCACTCGGATGCCCTTTTTGTAGGGTTTCTCATCTGAGTCCTGAGCAGGGTCCTCACTCGGATGTCCTTCGTGTAGGATTTCTCACCTGAGTCCCCAGCAGGGTCCTCACTCAGATGCCCTTTGTGTAGGGTTTCTCACCATAGGGAAAGTCACTCATCACCCACAGGCACTTGACTATTATCTGCCCTCGAAGGATGTGCGATTCCAAAACACGCTTGCTCTGAGAAAAACCAGGGCCGTATCATTTTCCCCGCCAAACCGGAAAGGAGCCAAGAGATCAAAGGATGACTCAGATGAGCCCAGCTTGGCAAATAATGAGTTGATTAGGATTCACATGCAGGGCACTCCAGGGCAGCAGCAGCACAGCCCCAAAGATCTGTGCCACCTCCTGTCTCTAAACTGCTTTTAAGTGAATTTTCTGGCTCTTTGTCCACTGATTTTGAGCAATCAGCCTCTTCTGCCTGGTAGGTTCTCAGATACTGTCTGGGATGTTTGGGTTCTCGGGGACACCTGCTTCTTGGCTGGGCACAAGAGACTTGGCTTCCCACCTGGCCTTCAGGGTTCAGGCAGGGGACATGCACCCTTAAGTAACCTGATGGGACATGCCACACCAGAATTCTATACACTTGAAGTGGGGCCAGCCTCTCCACACCTGTGGTTACTTCTCATCAGGTGGGATGAGAGACTGAGGAAAGAAATAAGACACAGAGACAAAGTATAGAGAAAGAAATTGGGCCCAGGGGACCGGCGCTCAGCATACGGAGGACCTGCACTAGCACTGGTCTCTGAGTTCTCTCAGTTTTTATTGATTACTGTTTTCACTATCTCATCAAGGGGAACGTGGCAGGAGAGCAGGGTGATAGAGGGGAGAAGGTCAGCAAGAAAACATGTGAGCAAAGGAATCTGTGTCACAAATAAGTTCAAGGGAAGGTTCTATGCCTGGATGTGCACATAGGCCAGATTTATGCTTTTCTCCACCCAAACATCTCAATGGAGTAAAGAGTAACAAAGCAGCATTGCTCCCAACATGTCCCACCTCCTGCCACAAGGCGGTTTTTCTCCTATCTCAGAATGGAACAAATGTACAGTCGGGTTTTATACCAAGACATTGCATTCCCAGGGGCAGGCAGGAGACAGAGGTCTTCCTCTTATCTCAGCTGCAAGAAGCCTTCCTCTTTTACTAATCCTCCTCAGCACAGACCCTTCACGGGTGTCGGGCTTGGGGACGGTCAGGTCTTTCCCATCCCATGAGGTCATATTTCAGACTATCACATGGGGAGAAACCTTGGACAATACCTGGCTTTCCAGGGCAGAGGTCCCTGCAGCTTTCCACAGTGCATTGTGCCCCTGGTTACTTGAGAATGAAGAACGGCGATGACTTTTATCAAGCACACTGCCTGTAAATATTTTGTAAACAAGGCACATCCTGCACAGCCCTAGATCCCTTAAACCTCGATTCCATACAACACATGTTTCTGTGAGCTCAAGGTTGGGGCTAAAGTTACAAATTAACAGCATCTCAGGGCAAAGCAATTGTTCAGGGTACAGATAAAAATGAAATTTCTTATGTCTTCCTTTTCTACATAGACACAGTAACCGTCTGATCTCTCTTTCTTTTCCCTACATATCCCCCTTTTCTTTTTGAGAAAACCGCCATCATCATCATGGCCCGTTCTCACTGGTCGCTCTCTCTTTGGAGCTGCTGGATACACCTGTAGACTAACAACAGACAAAACAGATATACCAGGATTAATATGAAATTACAACAGTTGAATTTCTGATGGTTTTAACCCAAGTGACAGGGTTAAGATTTGTGAGGCCATCAGCAACTTTCATGATTGCCTCAGTTTCTGGCACCAAATTTAAATGGGCTTTTGATGCCTCAAAAACTTGTTCTTTTAATTTTAAAATATCTAAAGTAAGATTATCTTCTCTTCCTTGTAGTTGGCGTCATGTCCCAGTGATGCTCAGACTCATTATACGCTTGGGGTTTAATACAAAAATCTGACATATTCCAGTCATACTGTAACTGAAAAAGATATTCCAAGCTCATGAGCCTATCTCCCATCCAAATGACAGTTTGTCTAAGATCATTAATTTGGTTTGCCAATTTTTGATCTATTTGGGTCTGAGAATTCCACAATTTTGAGGAATTCTTTTGCCAATTATTTACATATTCTGCAGTTTGAACAGAGAAGTGTAAAGCAATTCCAGCAGCCACAGCAGTAGCTGTGACTGCAATAAGACCCAAAATCACTGCAATCAAAGTAAAAAAGAATCTTTTGGATCTAGTTAGAACTCCTTTCAATACTTCTGTTAAAATATGGACAGATGGGGAAGCCTCCCACTGTCAGTCCATGGACACAGGGATCCCCATGCCCTCTCTTGCCCTCACCAGCAGAATACGGTGCTGCCAATCAAAAGTCGAATCAATGCAAGTAAACAATCTACTGTTTTCACAGGTTATAGTTTGGGAATCTGGTTTAATAACTATGTTTCCTACAACTAGCATATAAGGGGGTTTTACACAACTTTGCAAAGGAATTGTCGGATTGGAATTTAAGTTAATAGTATAATATGGCTTACGATCTCTTGTTCCTATAGCTTGATTTTCAGACCAAATTCTAATGTGGTGTGAGGCCACAGTAAGCTTTCATAATTCTGGATGTTCAGGACCAGTAACAGGACTAACTAACTTTGGTCGAGGTGATGAAATTCGCTTTTCACCCCATTTCCATGGATAGGGTGATTGTAACTTTCTATAAACCTGATCCAGCCTTTCAGTTAAATCACTCTCATAGGCCAGATTAATGGGCCAGATGGATGGGGCTGTGAACATGAGAGAGTCTGGCCTGTACAATTATAATAAAATTGGCCTCGAGGGGCCCGGTCTATAATAGTTCTAAATTCATTGTTTTGTAATACCACCGCAGTATCAGCCACACATTCTTCCCAAACTGAAACTTTTGGACCTTTTGATTCTTTGGGAATTTTCTTGGGGCAAGGCTTCCCCTTAGGCCTAAATTTTAATGATCTTTGATAAGAAGAGTCCTGTAAATTATTTTATCTGTGGCCCGAGTGACATCCCACTTACTATGTGATAAGTAAATCTACTGGTGGCACTGACAGTAGGTACTTCTACCAACCAATTTGGGGTTGTAGGCATTAAATATCCTGGCACCTTCCCTTGGCAAATAGGAGGATAATGATACCCAGTGGAAATATTTATCATCAATTCTTTTTTAGGTTGGGCAGGGCAACGATCATCTGTGAGGCCTGGTACCCATGCACTATTATTAACATATACTTCAATAGGATTATCCATCCATGTGACTGCCTGAATTAAGGGCGGGAAAGGCACACAGTCCCGGTAAGTATGATTAGTTGTGGCTGCTCCTGCAGTCACAGGGAGACTTACCACCGTTGATACAATCATCAAAGCTGCAGGCAGCATGTTCTCTGGAGTTTGTGTTACCCTTTTTGTTCTTCAGGCTTTTTTCAGCTAACTGTGTCAGCTTCTTTAATTGGGCCCAGGTCAGTGGCCCCACTTTCTTGGTGGATGGCAGCTTCATCTGTTCTTCTGATATCACCATTTTGTTCACCCGGTGAGTCGATGATGCTCGATTGCGGGTTTTCCATCTCCGTGGTGGCGCTTCTCTTTGCATCTCCGATGGGTTCATTGTAGAACTTTAAATGTCTAGTGGGTATCCAAACAGGAAGCTGATTTTCTCCTGGTGAAACACAAGCAAAACCTCTCCCCCATGTTATCATTTTCCCTATTTCCCTTGTCTTATTTTTGTTGTCTTTCCACCAAATCAGTTTTCCTTCATGTGGGCTGTTCTTTTTACCAGTAAAATGTTGCTCTGCAGAAGTAGTGGTCTGATTTCTATAAATGTTTAAAAAATTTAAAGTATAGAGTGCTAAATTAAGTTGCATCTGGGGAGTGTTATACTGCTTAATGTCTTTTTCCTTTTTTTGTTTCACCAATTCAGCTTTGAGTGTTCTATTAGTTCTTTCAATTATGGCCTGTCCTTGGGAATTATAGGGGATTCCTGTTGTATGTGTAATTTGTCACTGATTTCACAATTTTTAAAATGTTTTACTACAGTATCCTGGCCCATTACGTGTTTTAATTTTTTTTTGGAACTCCCATGACAGCAAAACAAGATAATAAATGTCTTTTAACATGGGAAGTACTTTCTCCTGTCTGGCAGGTTGCCCATACAACATGCAGATAAGAATCAACTGTCACATGGACAAACGACGATTTTCCAAATGAAGGTACATGTGTGACATCCATTTGCCATAATGCATTAGGACATAGACCTCTGGGATTAACTCCTGCCTCCTGAGTGGGCAGGTGTAGGACTTGACACTGGGTGCAATGTTGTACAATATTTTTTGCCTGTTTCCATGTGATATCAAATTTATTTTTTAGTCCTGTTGCATTTACATGAGTCAAAGCATGAAGTTCTTGTGCTTCTATGAATGCAGATGATACTAGCAAGTCAGCTTGTTCATTTGCTTTAGTTAAAGGCCTTGGTAAATTAGTATGTGCTCATATATGAGTAATATAAAATGGGAGATTTCTTTTTCTTACAATTTGTTGTAACAAATAAAAGGACTGGTTTAACTGATCATCCATACTATATTTGGTTAGGGCTGTCTCAACATCCTTTGTAGCTGTACTACATATGCAGAATCTGATTTTCAATGACTCATTCTTTCGGCCTGGTGTAAACCACTTTTCCATTGCTGGAACCATCAGTAAACACAGTCAGAGCATTTTCTAAAGGTTTATGTCTGGTAATTTTAGGTAAAATTCAAGTAGTCAATTTTAAAAACTGGAAGATTTTTGTTTTTGGGTAATGGTTATCAATAATTCCCACAAAATCAGCAAGAGCAATCTGCCATGCAGCAGAATTGATAAAGCCTTGTCTAAACTCTTCCTTGTTTAAAGGAACAATGATTTTATCTGGGTCACTTCCACACAATTTTATTATTTGTAATCTTGCCTGACCAATTAATGTAGCCATTTGATCCAAGTACAATGTAAAAGTCTTAATCGTACTGTCAGGAAGGAAAGATCACTCCACAAGATCTGTATTTTGAACAATAATGCCTGTTGAGAATATGCAGTAGCAAAAATCAAAAGTTGGAGTGGGGCGAAGTGATCTATTCTATTTACTTGTGCTGACCGAATTTTTTCTTCAATTAATTCAATTTCTTTAGTTGCCTCTGGAGTTAATGTTCTTTTACTATTCAATTCTGGATCCCCACTCAAGATAGAGAACAAATTTGACATGGCATAAGTAAGGATGCCTAGAATTGACCAAATCCAATTAATATCTCCTAGCAATTTATGAAAGTCGTTTAATGTTTTTAATGTCTTTTCTTATTTCTATTTTTTGTTGTTTAAATTTTCTTTCCTCTACCTGCATTCCCAAGTAATGGACAGGAGTAGAGGTTTGAATCTTATCAGATGCTATTGTCAGTCCTGAGTTTGCAACCTCTGTCTGCAGAAATGTGTGACAGTCAATTAATGTGTCTCTCGTTTCTGCAGCACACAAAAGATCATCAACATAATGAAAGACGTAGTCTGAAAACTTGTCTCTAACTGGTTGAAGAGCTTCAGCTACAAAAATCTGACAAATAGTTGGACAATTAAGCATTCCCTGAGGCAACACTTTCCACTGAAACCTGGTGGCTGGTTCTTTATTATTTATGGCTGGTATAGTAAAAGCAAATTTTTCAAAATCCTGTTTTGCTAGAGGAATGGTAAAAAAGCAATCCTTCAGATCAATTATAATTAAAGGCCAATCTTTGGGGATCATGGCCAGAGAGGGCAACCCAGGTTGGAGAGCCCCCATAGGTTGAATTACAGCATTGACGGCTCTTAAGTCGGTTAACATGTGCCATCTGCTGGATTTTTTCTGAGTTACAAACACAGGAGAATTCAAGGCGAAAATGAAGGCTCAATATGTCCCTTTGCTAATTGTTCTTTTGCCCGTAAGTGTAAAGCCTCCAGCTTTTGTTTTGGTAGCAGCCACTGATTTACCCATACAGGTTTTTCTGTTTTCCAAGTTAATGGAATGGGTTTTGGGGGCTCTACAGTGGCCACTCCTAAAAAGGATATCCTATTCCTTTTCTTTCTTGATTTCCCTCAGCCTCAATTGGGATTTTAATGCCATCTCCATTTTTCCCTAGTCCTTTGCCAGGGAGATACCCCATTTTAGTCTGATTTTTTGACTCGTGGGGCTGTATAAGGAGGCTGGGATAGTCATCTCTGCATGCCATTGTTGTAACAAGTCTCGGCCCCATAAATTAATTGGAATAGCAGTAATCATAGGTTGAACTGTACTTTCTTGATTATCAGGTCCTAGACAATGTAAAATCATGGTGCTTTGATACACTTTTGAGGCGCTGCCCACACCGACAAGTCCTGTAACAGGCTTTTGTTTAGGCCAATTTTTTGGCCATTGATTTAAGGCGATAATGGAAACATCAGCATCGGTATCCAATAATCCTATAAACTGCTTTCCCTGAATAGTGACTGTACACACAGGTCTATTCTCTGAGACCTGACGAGCCCAATGAGTGGCTTTTCCGGCAGAGTTGGTACTTCCAAACCCTCCTGTCCTTTCCGTTTTATTTTCCCCAATTTTAATATAAGGCAAAAGCAATAATTGAGCAATTCTATTACCTGGATTGGCACTCCAGGGAACAGTGGAGCTGATCACTAACTGAATTTCCCCTTTATAATCTGAATCAATTACCCCAGTATGAATTTGGACTCCCTTCAAATTTAGACTTCATCTCCCTAAAATGAGGCCTACTGTCCCTCCTGGCAGTGGGCCATATACCCCTGTAGGAATCTTTTGCGGGGTCTCTCCAGGGAGTAAAGAAACCTTTTGAGTGGAACATAAATCTACTGCTGTGCTGCCTGCTGTGGCGGGGGACAGCTGTTGTATTGTTGTAATTGGCTGATTCCCTGAAGTGGTGGTATTTGCTGTGGTGGTTGCTGTCCCTGAAAACCCTGAAGAACAAACGGCTGAATCGGGAATGCCCCAGTTTGTTGTTGGGACTGAGGCTGGCCCCTCACCCCTTTTTCTGACAATAGTTGCCCATTTTTATCATATTTAGAACGACATTGATTAGCCCAATGTTTTCCTTTTCCATGTCTTGGACACAGGCCAGGTGGCTCTTTATTTTTACTCTGTTTATTTAAGACTGGGCAGTTCTTTTTTAGATGACCGATTTGACCACAATTATAACATTTCCCCCCAAATGCTCTAACTATCCTCCTAAAGTGACTCCGGTCATTGCTTGAGCCATTAGCATTGCCTTACGCATAGCTCCTCCAATCCCATCACAAGCTTTCACATATTCCGTAATTACATCAACTCCTGCTGGACCTTTTCCTTTTAATGGCTTTATGGCTGGTTGAAATTCTGGATTTGACTTTTGATAAGCCATTATTTCTACAATAACTTTTTGAGCATTATCATCCGAAACAGATTTTTCAGAGGCATCTTGCAACCTTGCCACGGAGTCTGCATATGGCTCTTTGCAGCCTTGTCTAATTGAATTAGAAGAAGGGCAAGCGGTGCCTGGGCAAGTGATGCCTGGGCAAGTGGTGTGTGGGGCACCCAGGTGCCTGGGTCCTGAATTTTTTCCCAGTCCCTGAGGCAAAGAGCCCTTAGATATTCAATACCCTCATTCTGCATTACTGACTGTTGGCCAATTGTACTCCAATTTGGACCTGTTCCTAGCAATCGATCTGCATCTATATTAACAGCGGGATAAATAGCCTGACTTTTCGTGCCTGTTCTTGTACTCCATCAATCCACCAGGTTTTAAATTGTAGGAACTGAGAGGGTGAAAGGGAAGATTTAGCCAACATTTCCCAATCATAGGGAATAAGTCTATTTCCATGAGCAATGGGATCTAATAAAGTTCTCATATAAGGGGAGTTGGGTCCATATTGTTTAACTCCTTCCTTCATATCTTTTAACATTTTCATGGTGAAAGATTCATATCTAGCCTCAGTTTGGACAGACGCTCCAGCTTGCCCCCCTTTCCCAGCTGGTATTGGTTGTAAAATTACAAGGAACTGCCATGCCTCAAGATCTCCCTGTTTTCTGGCTTTATCAATGATTTCATGCAGTGTACTACCTTGTCCACTAGGTGGTGATGTAGGACTAAACACCGCTGGGTTGCTGGTGAGGTGCCGTGCTATGTGGCACGGGACACACAGCTTGAGGTCTGTATTGAACCTCCGGAGACGGCCCATACTGAAGCTTAGCTGGCGGCCAGTATTGATAAACTACCGGTGGTTGGGTCTTATTTTCTACCAGCTGATATTGTGGATACTGTATCTGAA
The DNA here is from genome assembly GCF_000001405.40 of Homo sapiens. Lineage (NCBI taxonomy): Eukaryota > Metazoa > Chordata > Mammalia > Primates > Hominidae > Homo > Homo sapiens. Next base: position 13,020,203 of record NC_000001.11, read on the forward strand.
TTGGCATGGCCGGGATAGAGACTCTATCCTTTTCTACATGATATTCTCTTGGGGTTTGCACTTGTCTAACCTGCATTTGAGGTTGTAATGTTACAGGCATCTGAACCACTGGAGGAGGAGTTGATGGCCATTGTGGTTTAGGCTCTGGTAGCCCCAATAATTCTGGACCTCCTTCCACCAGTTTTGATGATTCAGGATATATTACCTCCTGTAACTGATTGTAGTCAACATTTTGCGTTGACTGAGCCATTACAGACTCTGTTACATTTTACAATGTGAACTTTCCATTAATTTCCGGGATTTTGTCTCTGCCTCTTCTTCACAATCTACTACACAGCTTTCAGGGGCATCAGAAATTGAAAGGCTATCTTTTTCTATTTGAAACGGTTCTAAAGTTGTTTTAATAATGGGCCAATCATTCCATACTGTAAGTGGGATGATTTTATCTTCCCTACTTGCTTGTTTTAATTCTTTGCCAATTTTCCCCCAATCTTTTAGATCTAAAGTCCTTGTTTTGGAAACCATGGGCAGAATTGTTCTATTGTTTGAAATAGCATAATTAGATTTTCTGTAGAAGCTCTAACTCCCCATCTTCTTAGAAGAATTTTAATGAAGCTGAGATAAGAGGCATATTTACTTTCAGTTTGTCCCATTGTTACCCTGGGTTCCTCTGAGCACACAAGCTTACCGCATGGCTGACCGTGGAAGTACTTGGGAATCTCTCGTTGACTGTCTTCAATGCTCACGTTTTTAGCGTACCTTCACCCTAGAGAAAGGCCCACGTTGGGCGCCAGGTGAAGGGGGTCAGCCACTCCACACCTGTGGGTATTTCTCATCAGGCAGGACAAGAGACTGAGAAAAGAAATAAGACACAGAGACAAAGTATAGAGAAAGAAAAATGGGCCCAGGGGACTGCTGCTCAGCATACGGAGGACCCACACCGGCACTGGTCTCTGAGTTCCCTCAGTATTTATTGATTACTATTTTCACTAACTCAGTAAGGGAAAAGTGGCAGGAGAGCAGGGTGATAGTGGGGAGAAAGTCAGCAAGAAAACATGTGAGCAGAGGAATCTGTGTCACAAATAAGTTCAAGGGATGGTACTATGCCTGGATGTGCACATAGGCCAGATTTATGCTTTTCTCCACCCAAACATCTCAATGGAGTAAAGAGTAACAAAGCAGCATTGCTGCCAACATGTCTCGCCTCCCACCACAGGCAGTTTTTCTCCTATCTCAGAATAGAACAAATGTATAATCAGGTTTTATACTGAGGCATTCAGTTCCCAGGGGCAGGCAGGAGACAGAAGCCTTCCTCTTATCTCAACTGCAAGAGGCCTTCCTCTTTTACTAATCCTCCTCAGCACAGACCCTTAATGGATGTCAAGCTGGGTGGAAGGTCAGGTCTTTCCCATCCAATGAGGTCATATTTCAGACTATCACATGGGGAGAAACCTTGGACAATACCTGGCTTTCCAGGGCAGGGGTCCCTGAGGTTTTTCACAGTGTATTGCACCCCTGGTTACTTGAGAATGGAGAATGGTGATGACTTTTATCAAGCATACTGCCTGTAAACCTTTTGCTAGCAAAGCACATCCTGCACAGCCCTGGATCCCTTAAACCTTGATTCTATACAACACATGCTGCTGTGAGCTCAAAGTTGGGGCTAAAGTTACAGATTAACAGCATCTCAGGGCAAAGTCAGGGTACAGATCAAAATGAAGTTTCTTATGTCTTCCTTTTCTACATAGACACAGTAACCGTCTGATCTCTCTTTCTTTTCCCTGCATACGCTAGTCTTCTTCTTTAGTCTGCTAGGTATGGGAAGGGTGTTAAGAAAGGATCTCTCATCAATATGACCTGGCCCCCAAAAAGCATGCTTGATTTTTGAATGTGGTAAAGAAATATTTAAACCATGTTTTATGTCTATATGATTATTAGTATTTATATGTTATTTTCTTTTGTTTTGTTTTGTTTTTGAGATGGAGTCTCACTCTGTCATGAGGCTGAAGTGTGGTGGCACAATCTCAGCTCACAGCAACCTACGCCTCCTGGGTTCAAGCAATTCTCCTGCCTCAGCCTCTCTAGTAGCTGGGAGTACAGGCATGTGACAACATGTCCAGCTAATTTTTGTAGTTTTAGTAGAGATGGGGTTTCACCATGTTGGCCAGGATGGTCTCGATCTCTTGATCTTGTGATTCTCCTGCCTCAGCCTCCCAAAGTGCTACTATTATAGGTATGAGCCAACAAACCCAGCCATATTTATATATTGTAGGCAGTATTTTGCTAAAAGGGAATTTTGATATCTTTATAAGACACAACTAGTTTAATTAAGGAAGGAGCACTGCCCACCATGACGACAGGTATGGGTTGGTGATGCCCTGAAGCTCCAGGTAATCAATGATGTGAATGTCCCCTTCCAAAGCAGGGGCCATGCCTTGTGCAGTGAATCTCTGTCCCAGCACAGCTAATGGTCAGAAATGGATTCTTCTCAATCTGCCCATTAGGACTGAACAGGGTCTCAGCATCTGGTTAGCAGGGAGGGACCTGAGAAGGGGCTTTACTTGAGTGACTCACACTCTTTGCCCACATAGAATGTTCCTGGCCCTGTGTGTGCATCTTGTGGGTATTCACCCACTGATCAGCCACAGAACAAAGTCAGGAGGTAACAGATTTGTAAAGAGAAGTAAAGAACAGGAGGGAATTGATAAAAATGAGGAAATTTCATTTGGATGCCTGACTTCCTGGGGCAGGACCTCATTAAAAACACAGCTCGGTGCTTCTGATTTTCTCTTTTTCTTGTCTCTTTTTCCTGAGACGGAGTCTTGCTCTATTTCCCAGGCTGCAGTGTAGTGGCTCTATCTCAGCTCACTTAAACCTCTGCCTCCTGGCTTCAAGTGATTCTCCTACCTCAGCCTCCCAAATAGCTCGGACTACAAGTGCCTGCCACCATGCTCAGCTAATTTTTTTTTTGGCCCCGAGTCTCGCCCTGTCGTCCAGGTTGGAGTGAAGTGGCACGATCTGGAGATCTCAAGTACATGGACCGGGGAGGCTGCAGGAATTTGTTTATCTTGGGCTGGGGGTGCATGGGAAGTAGGTAGGGCTCCTGTGACCACAAACCCAAGGCCTCTGGGATCAGAAGGCAACAACAAGGGCCAGGACCTACCCCGGGGCCTGTGCTTGCAGGGACCCTGGCTCTCATTTGTATGTGGGGTGCCTGAGTGATTTCAGATTCCTCACCCATCCCCATTGGCTCTTCTAGGGGAGATGCAACCATAACACCTGTAGGTGACCCTGTGTAGGAAAAGACTGCAGAACCCACACGGGCCCATGCTGAGTGAGGCTTTCTCCAGGTGGGCACAAAAACCCCTAGCTCCCCAGCCACTGCCAGAGCTTGGGGTTGGGGGCCTTACATGGAGGCAAATGCAGGGAGCATTGGCAGAGGCAGGGCTGAGTGAAAGGAGAAGAAGAGCACATGGAAAAGACACAGGGGTCTCTGACAGTTCCAGGGCCAGAGGCACTTGGGAGTGGGAGAGGCATGACTGGGAGATAGGTCCAGAGCTTTTTCTGAGCCCTGAGGCCCCAGCAGGTTTACTTCCCTTCGAAGATCTCTCTGGGCTATTGTGCCTGGGAGTCAGGGCTGGCTCTGCTGCAGCCCTGTGGGAAGGGCATAGATCCCTCAGGGTCTAAGGTTCAACTTTACTCTTATCCTCAAATGAGGGCTTTTACCCAGGGACCTCTTGTCCGCAGATTCCACGTCTTCTTGCTGGACTCCCAGAGGAAGTTGTCCTACCAGGGACATGGGATGTTATACTTTTCTCTTCCATGGAACCAGCTCTGTCAGGTAGAGTTGTGCCTTTCTAGGTGGCCACACACACACACACATACTTACCATGTGGACATTGCAGTGATGCCCACTGGGCTTCGGGTTCTTCCATAGCACCCAGCTGAAAAAAGCCTCACCTAAGGCTAAGAAGAGACCTGGCTTGGACAAAAAAATACTTAGTGCATTCCAGGTGCATCCTTATCAGCTCTAAGGCTGGGCCAGGGGAACCTGGGAAGGGATGGCCCCTGCGCTGGGACCTGTCCAAGGCTCTGTCATCATCCTGGCAGCCTTGGAAGACCAGAGGGGTCAGGTCTTCCTCTGCAAGCCAGGCAGTGTCACCACCCAGAAGTCCAGGGTGCCTCTTTAGGTCCAGAGCAGCAGCTGTGGAGTTTCCTGCTTTGTGCCTTGCCATGTTCACCAACATCACTCAATATAAACTGGGGAAAATTTCTTAATTACTGCTGGGTCTCTCTGCATTGTGGCCATGTTCTGAAGTCCAGGAGAGATGGGCTGATGGCCTTGGGATGCATAAAGTGACGCCGGCCCCATCAGCTCAGGCTGAGGGAGAAAACAGAGGCTCAGGAATATTCTAGAGAGCCTAAGCAAGGGCCTCATAGGAGCTTTGGAATCCCAGTGTGGATTCTGGGAGTGGAGAATAGGTCAGGTCGTTTCCTGAGATGGGTTTCGAAGGTTGCTCTGAGCTTGGCAGCAGATGAGCACCTCGAGAAGAACTGGTGACAGAACATGGTAGAAAAGACCCCAAGTGCAGGATTCTCACTGGGGTCCTGGGGGTGCTACTGCACCCCTTGAAATGGGCAGGAAGAGGGAGTCAGTTAGCCAGTTCTTTCCAATATTTAGCTTATTGAACACCTTGGGGGTTCCACTGAGCCCCTCACCTGAGGGGTTTGCCAATCATTTGCTGCCAGAACATGGGAAGATTTTTCTCTGGCCAAATCTCAGGTTTATCAGGTTAGAAATGGGGAAAATAGCAACGTGCCTTAGATTCTCCATGAAGAAGAGCTGAGGTCCGGGATGATCAGTACCAGCCGTCTGTTGTGCCTCGTGGATGCTCAGTGAACACAGATTCTCACAACCATTATTGGTGTTGAGCTCACCCTCAGCCTCAGGTTTACAAAGTGGGGCGTGGGAAGTAGAAGCCTCACTGGGCTCAGGTGATCCTCCCACCTCAACTTCTTGGGCAGCTTGGCCTACAGGTGCACACTGCCTCCCCCCAGCTAATATCTTGTATTTTTATTAGAGACAGGGTTTCATCACATTGCCCATATTCCTCACAAACTCCTGAGCTCTAGCACTCTGCCTTTCTTGGCTTCCCAAAGGGCTGGGATTAGAGGCCTGAGGTCTTTCTTTCTTTTCCTTCCTTCCTTCCTTTCTTTCTTTCTTTCTTTCTTTTTTCTTTCTTTCTTTCTTTCTTTCTTTCTTTCTTTCTTTCTTTCTTTCTCTTTCTTTCTTCTTTCTTTCCTTCCTTCCTTCCTTCCTTCCTTCCTTCCTTCCTTCCTTCCTTCCTTCCTTCCTTCTTTCTTTCTTTCTTTCTTTCTTTCTTTCTTTCTTTCTTTCTTTCTTTCTTTCTTTCTTGCATGCTTGCTTGCTTTTTCTTTTGTTCTTTTTTGACAGTGTCATGCCATCACCCAGGATGGAGGGCAGTGGCGCCATCTCAGCTCACTGCAACTTCACATCCTGGGTTTAAGCGATTCTCCTGCCTCAGCCTTCTGAGTAGCTGGGAGTGCAGACATCTGCCACTATGCTCGGCTAATTTTTTGTATTTTTAGTAGAGACGGAGTTTCACCGTGTTAGCTAGAATGGTCTTGATATACTGACCTCATGATCAGCCCACCTTGGCCTCTCAAAGTGCTGATGTTACAGGCATGAGCCACTGTGCCTGGGTCTGAGCTTTCTTTGTAGGCCTAATGTTGATGCTCTGATAAGAATCTCTATGTTCAATATTAGCGACAGGAAAGGACTCTAAGAAGGAGGAAACATGAATTATCAAATTAGAGTAGGAAGGGAGTGGGTGAGATTAAGATTTGGATGAAGGGTCCTGGAAAATGACTGGGGCCAATGGTTGCTGGGAAATGTTCCACTGTGGGAAGATCCCAGAGTCTAAAGGAAAGGTTTCCAGATGATAGAACAATGATGGACATATGGACCCTCGTTCATTTCTCTCTCACATCCTGTAGAGCCCACAGTTTCTACCTGGGTGGCTTCCAGCTTGGGAGAGCCTCCCTTCCCAGGTCTGGCCCCAATCTTCTCTCTGGCCTCTGCTCCAGTTCACATTCTTAGATTCCATCTTTGCAAGCTGGTTTTCTGAGAGGAGCCCATCAGTTTTGTGAGTAAACACCCTTTACCTTCTAGTAGGGCCAAGACTATACCTGCCCCCTGTGTTTTCAAAGTGAATGTTATGGTTTAAGTCTGCCCTATCTCTTTTGATGATTCTCCTTTTAATTTCTGAACTCAATCTAGGGTGGGTGAGATGGCTGATGCATGTTATCCCAGCCTTTTGGGAGGCCAAGGTGAGGAGATCACTTGAGGTCAGGAGTTTGAGACCAGCCGGGCCAACATGGTGAAACCCCATCTCGACTAAAATACAAAAATTAGTAGGGCTTGTTGGAGTGCACCCGTAATTCCCAGCTACTTGGGAGGCAGAAATGAGAGAATCACTTGAACCAGAAGGTTGAGGCTGCAGTGAGCTGAAATCGTGCCACTGCACTCCAGCCTGAGTGACAGATGTAGGCCCAGTCTGAAAATCAAACAAACAATCAATAAATAAACTCAATCTTGACAAAAGACTTTGAGTCCTGACATCTAGATGCCCACAAGATAACCGCCATGTTTTACATTGTCTTGTTTCCTTTGCAGGTTCCCATTAGAACACCTAGTCTCATTCCGCTCAGTCCCCACCTCACTTGGTCACTTTGTCCTGATTTCCTTCAGTGAAGCCTTGACTTAGTCTTGAGATAGATCACACTCTCAGTGGTTCCTTTCTTCTACCTGAATGTGCATATGATCTGCTATGTTAGATAGCATAAAACACAGGTGACCATTCGATATACACAGCTTTTTATTCTGTTTTCTTGGGAATGACATCACTATCTTCTTCAGGCTATTGTAGCTCTGAAACATTTTGACAATTTTGATGTGGCCAAACATCCTCCAATAAGGACACCTTAAGGTTTTTTTTTTTTTGGTCTAATATCAGGAACAGATTAATCCCTTCCCTACATCACTACGAAAGTCGTGTATTAGCCAAACTTCATCAGTATTTGGGGAATAAATGAACGAATGAGTTTTAGACTTTCACCCTATTATTTATTCTTTTACTTCCATAAATGTGTATCTAATTCAATCGATTAGTCAGAAGAAAGCTGAAAACTCAATCAGGATTAACTGGGTGTGACTGCAAGATCTAATCAGGTATCACTTTCTGATTGGAAGCTGGTGATTGAGAAGGGAAGGGTGGGGTTAGAAAGGTCTATAAAAGCTCCTGAGGGTACCCAGAAGAGACCCACAGCACTCATTCCTGGAGCTACTGCTTGGTTCCCTGAGAGGTCCCAGAACTCTGCAAAGTGAGTCCAGCGCTGGTAAGTCACCACCTGCTTAGGGTCATGCCCATCTGATCAGCAGCCAGCCAGTCAGGGACGGTGACACACATCCCAAAGTGGCACACAATATTTTTCTGTCTGTTTCGTGAGATGAACAGATTTAGGCTTTCATTTTTCCTCTAAATGTAGTTTTGTCTTCATCCATCAAATTGTGATTTGTGCTTGGTTTTTGTCATTTTAAAATTCTTATCGAAGCAGGTTTTTAAAAAATATATTAAAAATTTACAGTGACATGAATTTTTATTTCTTGACATTTGAAGTTATCTGTTTTTGTGCCCTTCAATTACAGTTCATAGACTTGGTGTTATTGTGATTCTCCAAGTATGCTTTCATTTTCATAAAATCCTTAAAGGTATCCCACACACCAATCTCAAGAGTGCAGTTTTGCTCAGATCATGGGATTTATCTTTGCCCCTAGGATCCATCAAAAAGTGGGTAATTGTGAGTATGTGGAAGTGATGTCTATAGGAACCTTCATCTCAGAGTTACAGTGCTCTAGAATAGCATGGTAGCACTTTTACAGTTTTTGAGATGGAGTTTCCCTATTGTTGCCCAGGCTGGAGTGCCATGGTGTGGTTTGGTTCACTGAAATTTCTGCCTCCTAGTTACATGCGATTCTCCTGCTTCAGCCTCCTGAGTAGCTTGGATTACAGGCACTCACCACCATGCCCAGCTAATTTTTGTATTTTTAGTAGACACAGGGTTTTGCCATGTTGGCCATGCTGGCCTCAAACTCCTGACCTCAGGAGATCTGCCCCCCTCAGACTCCCAAAGTGCTGGGATTACAGGAGTGAGCCACCGCGCCCAGGTACAGTTAGCATTTCTATACATACCTTCCAAATGCTGTGGAATACCATCACACCACTTTTACAGTTCCAGTGAATTATTTTGTTTTTTTTCTGCGATGTACTCTGAGTGTGTCACCCAGACTGGAGTGCAGGGCCCTGAGCTGGGCTCCCTGGAAACTCTGCCTCTGGGCTTCAAGTGATTCTCCTTCCTCTGCCTCCAGAGTAGCTAGGATTACAGTCATGCATGACCACACCTGGCTAACATTTTAATTAATTAATTTATCAATTTGTTTTTGTTTGAGTCGGAGTCCAACTCTGTCACCCAGGCTGGAGAGCAGTGGTGAGATCTTGGCTCTCTGCAACCTCTGCCTTCTGGAGTCAAATGATTCTTAATTTTTTTGTATTTAGTAGAGACATCGTTTCATTATGTAGGCCAGGCTGTTCTCGAACTCCTGACCTCAAGTGAACTGCCTGCCTTGGTGTCCAGCAGTGTTGGGATTACAGACATGAGCCACAGCACCTGGTCCATTTCTGGTAGAAAATTTTCAAAATAAAAAATAATGGCATCGATTTTAGGGAGTCCCTTTAGTGTTCCCCCAGCATGTTTATGGTGTAAACTGAGAATGGAGGCTGTCTGGGGCCACAGGACACTCTCATTCTCATTGCTTTAGGGTGGTAAGTGACAAGAAATTTTTCCTCAAAGAGGTAGAGCTTGGCTTTCAGGATCCTCAGTGGCACTGTCCGGTGGTTCTGGGATTCAGTGGAGCAATGGATGAAAATTAATAAACCAGTGGTCTCCTTGACCCCTCCCTCCTTGGTGTTTGGAAGACATTCTTCCTGGTACCAGTAGAAGCAGATGATTGTGTTTGCCATGAGAGTGATACATTTTCCCTGGATTTGTCTTCTAGAGATTTTCCTTGCAGATCTATCAGGATGAGCATCCAGGCCCCACCCAGACTCCTGGAGCTGGCGGGGCAGAGCCTGCTGAGAGACCAGGCCTTGTCCATCTCTGCCATGGAGGAGCTGCCCAGGGTGCTCTATCTCCCACTCTTCATGGAGGCCTTCCGCAGGAGACACTTCCAGACTGTGACGGTGATGGTGCAGGCCTGGCCCTTCACCTGCCTCCCTCTGGGATCACTGATGAAGACGCTTCATTTGGAGACCTTAAAAGCATTGCTGGAAGGGCTTCATATGCTGCTTACACAGAAGGATCGCCCCAGGTGAGGTGACCCAGGAGGGCTGGTAGATAGGGCTCAGGTGTCCAGGGAAAGAACAGCAGGGTCAGGCAGAGAAGTAGCCCAAGTGTAGCCCAGAGTCTTCTGATGGTGTTGGCGAGGAAGATCAGGGAGGCTTTGGCCATTGTCCAGATCCTCAGAGAAAGGACTGCTCACCATACAGGGTCCACTGTGGGAACAGAAACCTGCCTTTTCTCAGTGGAAGGTAAAGGGAATAGAAGTGGGGACCACTCAGAATCCAAAGGGAAAAGGGATCAAGAAAAGACAAAGAGAACAGGGAGCACTGAGGACATGAGCAGCTGATTTATGGGATGACAATGAAAGCAAAGGTCAGGGATTTGTCCTTCTAAATTCTGAGCCTCTCCCTTATTTTACCCACAGGAGGTGGAAACTTCAAGTGCTGGATTAGCGGGACGTTGACGGGAATTTCTGGGCCAGATGGCCTGGAGCCTGGGCCCTGTCCTGCTTCCCAGAGACCATGAGTAAGAGGCAGACAGCAGAGGACCGTCCAAGGATGGGAGAGCACCAGCCCTTAAAGGTGTTCATAGACATCTGCCTCAAGGAAATACCCCAGGATGAATGCCTGAGATACCTCTTCCAGTGGGTTTACCAAAGGAGAGGTTTAGTACACCTGTGCTGTAGTAAGCTGGTCAATTATCTAACGCCGATTAAACATCTCAGAAAGTCGTTGAAAATAATATACCTGAATAGTATTCAATAGCTGGAAATTCACAACATGTCCTGGCCACGTCTGATAAGAAAGCTTCGTTGTTACCTGAAGGAGATGAAGACTCTTGGCAAACTCGTTTTCTCCAGGTGCCATCATTCCACGTCAGATAATGAACTCGAAGGACGGTTAGTCACCAAATTCAGCTCTGTGTTCCTCGGGCTGGAACACCTCCAGTTGCTTAAAATAAAATTGATCACCTTCTTCAGTGGGCACCTGGAACAGCTGATCAGGTGAGGAAGGATCATGCATTTTTTATGCAGACCACAGCATAGCCTTGTTCTCTTACAGCAAACATTAGAAGGCGTGTACTGTGTGCCAGCCAGTGGCAACGTCACAGTGAAGGGGACACCAGAATGTCAACACATTGTCCCATTCAGTGTTCCATGTCCTGGAGTGGCTATCACAGGATCGCTCCAATAAGGGCAGAGGGGTCACCTGGGGTAGAAGCTAGAGAGGGACATCATGTACAAGCTAGTTAGTGGGGGTTTCAGCTCTATTGGGGGTGCACGTGTGAATTTCCTGTTACAAAGTGTGTTTCAAGTTGATATGATGTCAAAGAGATAATAGAGGAGGGTATGAAAGGAGGGAAAGTGCATCAAACCTGTCCATTTCACAATAGAACGTCTGTCCTCACCGGCTTAGTGATCACGAATGATCCTGTCTCTGATTCCCTGTTTGTAAAAGGTTGTTTTGAACTCCAGGAAAGGTAACTGACATGGGAAATGCGTGCTTCTGGGATGGAGGTGAGGGAGTAGGCGTGAGAGTGGTAAAAAGTGACAGTTGGTTTGCAGATGCAGGCATGTCAGGTAGCCCCTGCCGACATGTAGCCCTAGCTGATGTCCCTAGACCTTGCTGAGTTGAGTTCTTTGTTCACATCTCCCACCGGGTACCTGTGGCCCAGAGATAAAGTTTTCTGCTAAAAGATGAAAAAAAAAAAAGGCTTTAGAGATTTTATGGCCTTGACCCAATCACACAAGCAATGGTGAAAGGGCTGATTCTAAAATGGGACAGCCCCTGAGCGATCAGGGTCCTCATCATGCAGCAACTTCCATGAGGACCATCATCAGATGGTGGGAACAAACTTGTGTTTGTTTGACGCAGGCATTTTCCTAGATGAAGGCACTACCTTCATCTAACTGGTACCATTGCCCAGAACTAACTTCTTGATCTCCACAGGTGCCTCCAGAACCCCTTGGAGAACTTGGAATTAACTTATGGCTACCTATTGGAAGAGGATGTGAAGTGTCTCTCCCAGTACCCAAGCCTCGGTTACCTAAAGCATCTGAATCTCAGCTACGTGCTGCTGTTCCGCATCAGTCTTGAACCCCTCGGAGCTCTGCTAGAGAAAATTGCTGCCTCTCTCGAAACCCTCATCTTGGAGGGCTGTCAGATCCACTACTCCCAACTCAGTGCCATCCTGCCTGGCCTGAGCCGCTGCTCCCAGCTCACCACCTTCTACTTTGGCAGAAATTGTATGTCTATGGGTGCCCTGAAGGACCTGCTGCGCCACACCAGTGGGCTGAGCAAGTTAAGCCTGGAGACGTATCCTGCCCCTGAGGAGAGTTTGAATTCCTTGGTTCGTGTCAATTGGGAGATCTTGACCCCACTTCGGGCTGAGCTGATGTGTACACTGAGGGAAGTCAGGCAGCCCAAGAGGATCTTCATTGGCCCCACCCCCTGCCCTTCCTGTGGCTCATCACTGTCTGAGGAACTGGAGCTCCATCTTTGCTGCTAGGGAAGGCATGCCCAGTGGGGTAGAGAAATCCAAAGTTCTCTTCCAGGCACTTGGACACTAAAATCTACTATGTAGGTGCAAGCTATTTTTCTCTTTTCTTATTTATTTCATTTTTTAATAATTCCAAAATTTTTATTAAAGACAATTTGAGACAGGGTTTCTCTGTGTTGCTCTGGGATCCTCCTGCCTCAGCTGGGCTTATGGGATCCTCCTGCCTCAGCTTCCTAAAGTGCTGGGATTACTGGCATGAGTGACTGTGTCCAGGCCACATGCAACTTAAAGGAAGCACAGGGAAGTGCTCAGTGTGAGGGAGAAAACATAACAGCAGGGGGCAAGGCTGGAGGAAAATGTTGAGGTGACATCAATGAGAACTTCAGGGACCCGTGTCCTACAGAGTCGGAAAGAGAAGCTAAAGTTCTACAGTGATGAGAATGTTATCCCTGCAAGGATGGTTACCAAGGAATATCAGAAATAAAGAGCACCTGAATGAAAACTTTTAACGTGTTGTAGCAATTTATCCACCAGAAATATCTAGTTATTGAGTTACTGATGGAAAAATAATGAAATACTACTTTGTCTGTGATTGAGTTTCAGCTGTAGAACATCAAAGCAACCAAATAAAATTTGATCATTTTAAGTATTTCCCACCCATTCTTGTTCTTTGTTTTGTTTTGGAGACAAAATCTCAGTTTGTCATTTAGGCTGGAGTGCAGTGGTGCAATCTGGGCTCATTGCAATCCTTTCCTTCAGGGCTCAAGTGATTCTTGTGCCTCAACCACTCAAATAGCTGGGACTGCAGGCACGTTCCACCAAGACTGGCTGATTTTTGTATTTTTAATAGAGATGAGGTTTTTCCGTGTTGATCAGCCTGGTCTCAAGATCCTGGCTTCAAGTGATCCACTGACCTTGGCCTCCCAAAGCGCTAGGAAAACAGGCATACAGATGATCTCCACCCATTCTTTACTTCTCTTCAGTCATCAGTTTTTTTCTTACTTTTTTGCCCACGGGGAGCAGCTCGGTCAGGCGCGAAGGGACGGGCAGAGAGGGGCCCCAAGGAGAAGATAGGAATGGGGTGGTGCCACGCTCGCACAAGATGTGCGGATGCCAGGCCCAGAAGGCATAGCTGGGGCCATCCATCAGGGGGCCAGGGTGAGAAGCAGAAATGGCACCTGCTTCAAGGACCTGGCCAGCTATCTGGTCACTGTGCCCATCCTGCTAACGGTGTCAAGCTCCCAGGTCTTGAAGGGAGGTTCTATGCGGATCCACCCCAGGCTGTGTTTCCGAGATCCGCCCCCCATAGGGGTGACCAGCCCGATTGCTGGGCCTGGAACCATGAACCACTCCTGGAGGCACTCCCCTTGACTGGGTCATGAGCCAGGCCTGTGCTCCATTTCCCTGAGGCAGCCAACTGTGCCACCCACACCCTCTCATCGCAAAATGGAACCTTGTCCCAGGTCTGGAGTCTCCACCACAGCCTCTACTTCACTGCTCACTGCCTGCTGTTAGCCTGCAAGCTCCTGGATGATAGTGCAGTTGGGGCTGGTTAAACCACACCCAGGAGCATTGGGTTTGTTTGTGCGGGGTTGGTCAGAGCTGCTGTGTATCTGCTTCTCAACTGTCACTTCTGCAGGGAAACACAGAGAAAGGGCACATCCAAGGCTGCGTACACTTCAGAGCTGATGGGAGCCTGGGACAAGAGGGAGTCCTGGTCCTCCTGAGTTGGCAGGGCAGTAGCTCCAAAGACGCAACTGAAGTTGTCCAGGTCACAGTTACCAAATGAGGTCCCCCAGTACTCTCGAGGGTCCAGGAGATCCCCCCTTCTCCTGCAGCTTGGGGGTGTCCGCTCTCACTGCCTCATCTCTCATGGCACCTGCTCTAATTTTGGAGTGTGGTTGTGGTCAAGCCCAGATGCTGTCGCAGCCCAGGTGGGTCTGTGCACACTCGGGTCAGTGCTGATGCACCATCCCACTGCTGTCTTGAACCCTCTGGACTTTGGGCCTTGATGAGTGTAGGAGGGAGGCTGAGGGGTGTTGCGGACTGATCAGCACTGGTCTTTGGATGCTCCTTGGTACAAGTGACCTGGGCTCCATGGTTGGTGGTGGGAGGCAGACAGAATCCTGGACAGGAAGGTGAGGGTCACTGGTGAAGCTCCACCTTCTGATCAAGGAGGGCCTGAAGCCCATGGGCTGGGCCACCAGTCCTATGGACCAGAGTGGGAACATGTGTTGCCTTTTCTGTGCCTGCTCATGGCCACCTATGACCCAATGAGTGCATACTTTCTCCTGTCTGATGTCAAAAAAACCCCAGACTCAGGGAGAACATTAGGAAGACCAGTGGCAGAGAGGAACTACCCACTGTGGGGATGATTTTCCTGTAGAGACAAGCAACCCCCTCCGGGTCCTTTTCTCTGCTGAGAGCTGTAGAGATGATGAGATGACTTTCCTGCAGAGAGCAGCAACCCACTCCAGGGCCTTCTCTCTACTGAGAGCAGTGGTGATGATGGAATAACCTGCCAGGAGGGAGGGGTCACCCACCCAGGGCCTCCTCTCTGCTCAGTACTAAACACTCATCAGGACGCCCTGGCTGCAGAAAGAAGTTACCCACTGTGGGTCTCTGAGCTGTTCTATTGCTCAATAAAGCTCCTCTTTATCTCACTCACCCTCCACTTGTCTGCATATTTCACTCTTCCTGGTCACAGGACAAAAACTTGAGACCCGCCTAATGGTGGGGTAAAAGAGCAATAACACAAATAAAGCTGAAACATGCCCCTTGCTCACCAAATTGTAGGTGAAGAGAAAAAGAGAAGAGCGACTACTCTTCCAGGAGCCCAGATGTGGGAGCTTCCTGAGCCAGGGCTGTGACTCCCTTTTGGGGGTTCTGCAGTTCCTGGCATTTCCAAGCTTTCAGTGTTGGTGTCACTGTGTATTCCAGTGACAACCATGGAAGCTGTTTGTGCTGTGCCTGATTCATTTGCAGCCTTGCAGAAATCTGGCACACATGCTGACACCTGGAGCTGCCCAACCCACTGCTGCAGCAGCAGCAGCCGGTGACCGTCCAAAGTGGCCAGACCCCCTGCTCACTCACACACCCCTCACCACTCCAGCCCTGACCCGCCCTTAATAGGCATGTGCTCCAGGCTTGAAACATGAGCCAAGCATAGTCTACCAGGCTGCATGGGCAGAACGAACCCAGTGAACCCCATCAAAACTCTGGCAAAGGTGCCCCCAGCCACAGAGGTTTCTGGCCAGAAGAGTCACATTCTAAGTATTCCAGAAGAGAAAATTACTTAAACACAAAGAAAGACAATAAGAAAAGGATGGAAGAGAGAAGTCTCTAAACAACCAAAAAACAAGAAATGAAATGGGAGCACTAAGCCTTTATCAATAAAAACAATGAATATAATTTATCTCAATTCTGCAAGTGAAAGGCATAGGGTCTTTGAATGAGTAAAAACATAAAACCCTACTATATGCTGTTTTCCAGAAACTTAATTCACCTATAAACATACATGTAGATGGAAAGTGAATGGGTAGAATAAGATATTCCATGCAACTGGAAACCAAAAACAGCAAGAGTAGCTGTACTTATATCAGGTAAAATAGATGCCAAATCTCACAATGCACTCAGATAAAACAGAATACAAATCTGAGCTTGTAAAATAATAGACTACGCTTACACAAACTATGCCTAGAAAGAACATACATCAAAATAATAGAAGCCAAAAATGACAAATCCACATGCAACATCATATTGAATGAAGAAACGTTGAAAGTATTCCTGCTAGGAACTACAAGCAGACAAAAATCCTCACTTTATCCACTTGTAATCAACATAGGACTGAAAATTTTTGTCAGAGCAATCTGGTAAGCAAAAGGAATAAAGTATAATTAAATTGGAAAGAAGGAAGTGAAACTACCTGTGTTTGCCAATGATGTGATCATATGTGCTTAGAAAACTGGAAAGATTCCACCAAGACTCATAGATGCGATAAGTGAATTCACTTAAATCTCAGGTACAAAATCAATATGTACAAATAAGTACCACTGTTTGATACCAACAACAAGCAAGCTGAGAATCAATTCAAGAACTCCATCCCTTCACAATAGTTGCAAAACAACAACAAAAACAGTGACAATAACAAAAACAACCTAGGAATACACTTAACCATTAGGTAAAGGATCTCTATGAGATGAACTACAAGACACTGCTGAAAAAAATCATAGACAACAAAAAAGTAGAAAAACAGCCCATGCTCACGGATTGACAGACACAATATTGTGAAAATGACCACACTGCCCAAAGCAATCTAAAAACTGCAAACATCAAACATCAATCTAAAAACGTCAGTCTAAAAATTTCATACACCAAAATACAAACACCATTTTCACAAGATTAAAAAAAGAATCCTAAGATTCATATGGAGATGAAGAAGAGCCTGAAGAGCCAAAGCAATCCGAAGCAAAATGAACAAATATGGAGACATCACATTACCTGACTTCAATTTATACAGTAAGGCAATAGTAAGCAAAACTGCGTGGTGCCAGTATGAAGGTCGAGACATAGACCAATGGAATGGAATAGAGAACCCCGGAATAAAGCCGCATACTTACAACCCAGCGGTAGGACTGCTGCTTCTCAGTTTGTGCTGAGTGATGCCCCTTGGGGATATGGGGCCAAAGTTACTGGATTTTTCCCCCAAGAAAACCAGAGAGTGAATTGTGATATCCTGTGTGATTTTTAGACTGACTATTGCCATAGTGCTTAGGTCGTCTCCAGGTGCCCAGAGACTCAATCACCAACCAGTGTCCACATTCTTGTCACCGCTGCAAGAAAGAGTTTAGGAAGTAGGCAGAATGAAGCAAAAGGCAAGAAGTGTCTATTGCAAAGCAAAGGAACACACTCAAGAGAGGGCTTATTCAGGAGAGCGAGTCAGGTACAAGAGAGTTTGGGTTTCTAATTTTATAGGATCTGTAAGGAGAGGTTGAAATAATCATTAGGATTTTAAGAAAAAATGGTGAAGTTTTCTTAGAACTGAGGTGTCATTTATTTATTTATTTATTTATTTATTTATTTATTTATTTATGTTTTGAGATGGAGTTTCGCTCTTGTTGCCCAGGCTGGAGTGCAATGGCGCGATCTTGGCTCACTGCAATCTCCGCCTCCCGTGTTCAAGCAATACTCCTGCCTCAGCCTCTGGAGTAGCTGGGGTTACAGACATGCACCACCACACTCGGCTAATTTTGTATTTTTAGGAGAGACGAGATTTCTCCATGTTGGTCAGGGTGGTCTCAAACTCCCGACACCAGGTTATCCGCCTGCCTCAGTTTCCCAAAATGTTGGGATTACAGGCATGAGCCACTGCACGTGGCTAGGTGTTAACTATTTTTATACTAAATATGGGCATTCTCAGAACCGTCCTGGCGCTGGTGTGTGACTTACTGTCATAATAGGTGTATAATTAGGCCTGGGGTAGGGCAAGGGTCAAACCCAGTGCCATGTCTGACCAATTCAGTGTCAGCCAGCTTAGCCCCTTCCTGCTTGTTTGGATCTTATGGGTCAAGGCTTATCCTTATTCTTGCAGCTAATTTTACAAGCTCTTTTCTTGCTGCTATATGAAATCACTGCTTGATATTTTCATGCTTCTCCTGTGACCAGCCAGCTTTCCTATTTTATGGGTATTTCTTTTCTTCTCCCTTCCCTTCCCTTCCCTTCCCTTCACCTCCTCTCCCATCCCCTCCCCTCCACTGTCTTTTCTTTTCCTTTCTTTCTTTCTTTCTTTCTTTCTTTCTTTCTTTCTTTCTCTCTCTCTCTCTCTCTCTTTCCTTCCTTCCTTCCTTCCTTCCTTCCTTCCTTCCTTCCATCTTTCTTGCTTCATCTCTTTCTTTCTTTCTTTCTTTCTTTCTTTCTTTCTTTCTCTTTCTTTCTTTCTTTCTTTCTTTCTTTCTTTCTTTCTTTCTTTCTTTTTTTCTTTCTTTCTTTCTTTCTTTCTTTCTTTCTTTCCACTTTAAGTTCTGGGATACATGTGCAGAACGTGCAGTTTTGTTACATACGTATACACATGCCATGGTGGTTTGCTGTACCCATCAACCCGTCATCTACATTAGGTATTTCTCCTAATGCTACCCCTCTCCTAGCCCTCCACACCCCGAGAGGCCCTGATGTGTAGTGTTCCCCTACCTGTGACCATGAGTTCTCATTGTTCAACTCCCACTTATGTGGTGTTTTGGTTTACTGTTCCTGTGTTAGTTTGCTGAGAATGATGGTTTCTAGCTTCATCCATGTCCCTGCAAAGGAAATGAACTTATTTTTTATGACTGCATAGTATTCCATGATGTATATGTGCCACATTTGCTTTATCCAGTCTATCATTGATGGGCATTTGGGTTGGTTCCAAGTCTTTGCTGTTGTGAATAGTGCTGCAATAAACATACTTGTGCATGTGTCTTTATAGTAGAAGGATTTATAATCCTTTGGATATATACCCAGTAATGAGATTGCTGGATCAAATGGTATTTCTGGTTCTAGATCCTTGAGGAATTGCCACACTGTCTTCCACAATGGTTGAACTAATTTACACTCCCACCAACAGTGTCAAAGCATTCCTATTTCTCCACATCCTTTCCAGCATCTGTTGTTTCCTGACTTTTTAATGATCACCATTCTAACTGGCATGAGATGGTATCTCACTGTGGTTTTGATTTGCATTAGAGAAATGCAAATCAAATGACCAGTGGTGATGAACATTTTTTCATATGTTTGTTGGCTGGATAAATGGTTTTTTTGGAGAGTTGTCTGTTAGTATCCTTCACCCACTTTTTGACAGGGTTGTTTGTTTTTTTCTTGTAAATTTGCTTAAGTTCCTTGTAGATTCTGGATATTAGCCATTTGTCTGATGGATAGATTGCAAAAAATTTTCCCATTCTATAGGTTGCCTGTTGACTCTGATGATAGTTTCTTTTGCTGTGCAAAAGCTCTTTATTTTAATTAGATCCCATTTGTCAATTTTGGCTTTTGTTGCCATTGGTTTTAGTGTTTTAGCCATGAAGTCTTTGCCCATGCCTATGTCCTGAATGGTATCACCTAGGTTTTCTTCTAGGGTTTTTATGGCTTTAGGTCTTACATTTAAGTCTTTAATCCATCTTGAGTTAATTTTTGCATAAGGTGAAAGGAAGGGGTTCATTTGCAGTTTTCTGCATATGGCTAGCCAGTTTTCCCAACACCGTTTATTAAATAGGGAATCCTTTCCCCATTGGCTGTTTTTGTCAGGTTTGTCAAGGTTCAGATGGTTGTAGATGTGTGGCATTATTTCTGAGTCCTCTGTTCTGTTCCATTGGTCTACATATCTGTTTTGATAACTGTACCATGTTGTTTTGGTTACTGTAGCCTTGTCGTATAGTTTGAAGTCAGGTAGCGTGATGCCTCCAGCTTTGTTCTTTTTGCTTAGGATTGTGTTGTGTATACAGGTTCTTTTTTGCTTCCATATGAAGTTTTAAGTAGTTTTTTCTAATTCTGTGAAGAAACTCCATTACAGCTTGATGGGGATAGCATTGAATCTATAAATCACTTTGGGCAGTATGGCCATTTTCATGATATTGATTCTTCAGACCCATGAGCGTGGAATGTTTTTCCATGTGTTAGTGTCCTCTCTTATTTCCTTAAGCAGTGGTTTGTAGTTCTCCTTGAAGAGGTCCTTCACATCCCTTGTAAGTTGTATTCCTATGTATTTTATTTTCTTTTAGCAATTGTGAATGGGAGTTCACTCATGATTGGCTCTCCGTTTGTCTATTGTTGATGTATAGGAATGATTTTGATTTTTGCACATTGATTTTGTATCCTGAGACTTTGTTGAAGTTGCTTATCAGCTTTAGGAGATGTTGGGCTGAGATGATGGGGTTTTCTAAATATACAATCATGTCATCTGCAAACAGAGACAATTTGACTTCCTCTCTTCCTATTTGA
This sequence comes from Homo sapiens, assembly GCF_000001405.40. NCBI lineage: Eukaryota > Metazoa > Chordata > Mammalia > Primates > Hominidae > Homo > Homo sapiens. Next base: position 13,040,090 of record NC_000001.11, read on the forward strand.
ATACTCTTTATTTCTTTCTCTTGCCTGATTGCCCTGGCCAGAACTTCCAATACTATGTTGAATAGGAGTGGTGAGAGGGGGCATCCATGCATTGTGCTGGTTTTCAGAGGGAGTGCTTCTAGCTTTTGCCCATTCAGTATGATATTGGCTGTGGTTTTGTCATAAATGGCTCTTATTATTTTTACATACGTTCCATCAATACCTAGTTTATCTAGAGTTTTTAGCCTGAAAGGGTGTTGAATTTTATCGAAGGCCATTTCTGCACATATTGAAACAATCATGTGGTTTTTGTCATTGGTTCTGTTTATGTGATGGATTACGTTTATTGATTTGCGTAAGTGGAACCAGCCTTGCGGATCAGGGATGAAGCCGACTTGATATTGGTGGATAAGCTTTTTGACGTGCTGCTGGATTCGGTTTGCCAGTATTTTATTGAGGATTTTTGCATCGATGTTAATCAGGGATATTGGTCTCAAATTCCCTTTTTTTGTTGTGTCTCTGCGAGGCTTTGGTGTCAGGATGATGCTGGCCTCATAAAATGAGTTAGGGAGGATTCCCTCTTTTTCTATTAAGTGGAATAGTTTCAGAAGGAATGGTACCAGCTCCTCCTTGTACCTCTGATAGAATTCGACTGTGAATCCATCTGGTCCTGGACTTTTTTTGGTTGGTAAGCTATTAATTATTTCCTCAATTTCAGAGCCTGTTATTGGTCTATTCAGAGATTCACCTTCTTCCTGGTTTATTCTGGGGAGGGTGTATGTGTTGAGGAATTTATCCATTTCTTCTAGATTTTCTAGTTTATTTGCATAGAGGTGTTTATAGTATTCTCTGATGGTAGTTTGTCTTTCTGTGGGATCCGTGGTGATATGCCCTTTATCATTTTTTATTGCATCTATTTGATTCTTCTATCTTTTCTTTATTAGTCTTGCTAGCAGTCTATCTATTTTGTTGATCTTTTCAAAAAACCAGCTACCGGATTCATTGATTTTTTGAAGGGGTTTTTGTGTCTCTATTTCCTTCGGGTCTGCTCTGATCTTAGCTATTTCTTGCTTTCTGCTGGCTTTTGAATATGTTTGCTCTTGCTTCTCTAGTTCTTTTAATTGTGATGTTCGGTTGTCAATTTTAGATCTTTCCTGCTTTCTCTTGTGGGCATTTAGTGCTATAAATTTCCCTCTACACACTGCTTTGAATGTGTCCCAGAGATTCTGGTATGTTGTGTCTTTTTTCTCATTGGTTTCAAAGAATGTCTTTATTTCTGTCTTCATTTCGTTATGTACCCAGTAGTCATTCAGGAGCAGGTTGTTCAATTTCCATGTAGTTGAGCGGTTTTGAGTGAGTTTCTTTTATTATTATTATTATGCTTTAAGTTTTAGGGTACATGTGAACAACGTGCAGGTTTGTTACATATGTATACGTGTGCCATGTTGGTGTGCCGCACACATTAACTCGTCTTTTAGCCTTAGGTATACCTCCTAATGCTATCCTATGCAGCCATAAAAAATGATGAGTTCATGTCCTTTGTAGGGACATGGATGAAGCTGGAAACCATCATTCTCAGCAAACTATCACAAGCACAAAAAACCAAACACTGCATGTTCTCGCTCATAGGTGGGAATTGAACAATGAGAACACATGGACACAGGAAAGGGAACATCACACACTGAGTGAGTTTCTTAATCCTGAGTTCTAGTTTGATTGCACTGTGGCCTGAGAGACAGTTTGTTATAATTTCTGTTCTCTTACATTTGCTGAGGTGTGCTTTACTTCCAACTATGTGGTCAATTTTTGGAATAAGTGCAGTGTGGTGCTGAGAAGAATGTATATTCTGTTGATTTTGGATGGTGAGTTCTGTAGATGTCTATTAGGTCCGCTTGGCGCAGAGCTGAGTTCAATTCCTGTATATCCTTGTTAACTTTCTGTCTCATTGATGTGTCTAATGTTGACAGTGGGGTGTTGAAGTCTCCCATTATTATTGTGTGGGAGTCTAAGTCTCTTTGTAGGTCTCTAAGGACTTGCTTTATGAATCTGGGTGCTCCTGTATTGGGTGCATCTATATTTAGGATAGTTAGCTCTTCTTGTTGAATGGATCCCTTTACCATGATGTAATGGCCTTCTTTGTCTCTTTTGATCTTTGTTGGTTTAAAGTCTGTTTTATCCGAGACTAGGATGGCAACTCCTGCCTTTTTGTGTTTTCCATTTGCTTGGAAGATCTTCCTCCATCCCTTTATTTTGAGCCTATGTGTGTCTCTGCATGTGAGATGGGTTTCCTGAATACAGCACACTGATGGGTCTTGACTCTTTATGAAATTTGCCAGTCTGTGTTTTTTAATTGGAGCATTTAGCCCATTTACATTTAAGGTTAATATTGTTATGTGTGAATTTGATCCTGTCATTATGATGTTAGCTGGTTATTTTGCTCTTTAGTTGATGCAGTTTCTTCCTAGTATCGATGGTCCTTCCAATTTGGCATGTTTTTGAAGTGGCTGGTACCAGTTGTTCCTTTCCATGTTTAGTGCTTCCTTCAGGAGCTCTTTTAGGGCAGGCCTGGTGGTGACAAAATCTCTCAGCATTTGCTTGTCTGTAAAGGAATTTATTTCTCCTTCACTTATGAAGCTTAGTTTGGTTGCATATGAAATTCTGGGTCAAAAATTCTTTTCTTAAGAATGTTGAATATAGGCCCCCACTCTCTTCTAGCTTGTAGAGTTTCTGCTGAGAGCTCCGCTGTCAGTCTGATGGGCTTCCCTTTGTGGGTAACCCGACCTTTCTCTCTGGTTGCCCTTAACATTTTTTCCTTCATTTCAACTTTGGCGAATCTGACAATTATGTGTCTTGGAGTCGCTCTTCTCAAGGAGTATCTTTGTGGCATTCTGTGTATTTCCTGAATTTGAATGTTTGCCTGCCTTGCTAGATTGGGGAAGTTCTGCTGGATAATATCCTGAAGAGTGTTTTCCAGCTTGGTTCCATTCTCCCCATCACTTTCAGGTACACCTGTCAGACATAGACTTGGTCTTTTCACATAGTCCCATATTTCTTGGAGGCTTTGTTCATTTCCTCTTATTCTTTTATCTCTGAACTTCTCTTCTCGCTTCATTTCATTCGTTTGATCTTCCCTCACTGATACCCTTTCTTCCAGTTGATGGAATCAGCTACTGAGGCTTGTACATTTGTCACGTGGTTCTCGTGCCATGGTTTTCAGCTCCATCAGGTCCTTCAAGGACTTCTCTGCATTGGTTATTTTAGTTAGCCATTCATCTAATTTTTTTTCAATGTTTTTGACTTCTTTGCCATGGGTTCGAACTTCCTCTTTTAGCTCAGAGTCGTTTGATCATCTGAAGCCTTCATCTCTCAACTCATCAAAGTCCTTCTCCCTCTAGCTTTGTTCCATTGCTGGTGAGGAGCTGCGTTCCTTTGGAGGAGGAGAGGAACTCTGATTTTTAGAGTTTCCCGTTTTTCTGCTCTGTTTTTTCCCCATCTTTGTGGTTTTATCTACCTTTGGTCTTTGATGATGCTGATGTACAGACTGGGTTTTGGTGTGGATGTCCTTTCTGTTTGTTAGTTTTCCTTCTAACAGTCAGGACCCTCAGCTGCAGGTCTGTTGGAGTTTGCTGGAGGTCCACTCCAGAAGCTGTTTGCCTGGGTATCAGCAGCAGAGGCTGCAGAACAGTGGATATTGGTGAACAACAAATGTTGCTGCCCGATCGTTCCTGTGGAAGTTTTGTCTCAGAGGAGTACCTGGCCATGTGAGGTGTCAGTCTGCCCCTGCTGGTGGGTGCCTCCCAGTTAGGCTACTTAGGGGTCACAGACCCACTTGAGGAGTCAGTCTGTCCATTCTCAGATCTCCAGCTGCGTGCTGGGAGAACCACTACTCTCTTCAAAGCTGTCAGACAGGGACATTTAAGTCTACAGAGGATTCTGCTGCCTTTTGTTTGGCAATGCCCTGCCCCCAGAAATGGAGTCTGTGGAGGCAGGCAGGCCTCCTTGAGCTGCAGTGGGCTCCACCCAGTTCCAGCTTCCTGGCTGCTTTGTTTACCTACTCAAGCCTCAACAATGGCAGGCTCCCCTCCCCCAGCCTTGCTGCCGCCTTGCAGTTTGATCTCAGACTGCTGTGCTAGCAATGAGTGAGGCTCCGTGGGCATAGGACCTTTTGAGCCAGACACGGGATATAATCTCCTGGTGTGCCATTTGCTAAGACTGTTGGAAAAGCGCAGTATTAGGGTGGGAGTGACCGGATTTTACAGGTGCCATCTGTCACCCCTTTCTTTGACTAGGAAAGGGAATTCCCTGACTCCTTGCACTTCCCAGGAGAGGCAATGCCTCATGCTGCTTTGGCTCATGCTCGGTGCACTGCACCCACTGTCCTACACCCACTTTCTGACACTCCCCAGTGAGAAGAACCTGGTACCTCAGTTGGAAGTGCAGAAATCACCCGTCTTCTGCACCGCTCAGGCTGGGAGCTGTAGACTGGAGCTGTTCCTATTTGGCCATCTTGGCTCAACCCCCTAGTTAATTTTTGTGTCTTTAATAGAGACAGGGTTTCATCATATTGGCCAGAGTCGTCTTGAACTCCTGACTGAAGTGATCCACCCACCTCAGTCTCTGCAAGTGCTGGGATTACAGATGTGAGCCACTGTGCCTGGTCAATTGCTGGACGTTCATGATACACCTGGAGTATCCACAGTATCACAAGGGCCATTTTTTTCCATAATCCAATTTATTTATATTATTGGTAGTGAGCTAATGTTGATGTCCCCAAGGTAGCAATTTAGTGACTATACCCATGATAAACGTTTCCATGCATCACGTGGTCAACAGCATTTGCTACCAAGTGCCACGTTCCATGCTCAGCAGTGGGAACACAGGATGATGGAGACAAAGTTCCTGACCTTTAGCAGCAATATCGAACAAGTGAGATTGTCAAGAAAGAAGAAATAATTGTAAAACATACCATACCCCTACAATTCCGTAATCATGCTCCTGGATATTTAATGAAGTGAGTAAACCCACACCTGGATGTTTACAGCAACTTACTCATAATCGCCAAAACTTGGAAGCTAGCAAGTTGCCCTTCGGTCAGTGACTGGATAAGCAAACTGATCCATCCAGTCAGTGAACTATTATAAAGCTGTAAAAAGACATGAAAAATTCCTAAATGCACGTTATTGTACAAGTGAAAGAAGGCAATCTGAAAAGACTCATCCTGTTAGACATTCCAGAAAAAGCTTTTGCATTTTTCTAAGGAGACAGTAGAAAGCCCAGTGGATGCAAGGGGTTGGGAGCACAATGGGATGAATGGGAAGAGGACAGAGGAATTTTAGGGAAAGAAAACTACTGTCCATGATGCTCTAATGGTGGATACATGTCATTATCCCTTTGTTAAAATCCATAGAATGTACAAAACCAGCAATGATCCCTCATGTGAACTATGGACATTGGGTGATAATGATGTGTCCCTGTGGCTCATTGGTTGTGATGAATGCTCTGTGCTGGTGTGGGTGCTGATCCTGTGGGGGTGCTGTGTATTGAAGGGGGAAGAAGGTAGATGAGAACTCTGCAGTTTCTGCTTAGTTTTTCTGTGAATCTAAAACTGCTGTAAAGGAAAAAATAGGCTGGGTGTGGTGGCTCACGCCTATAGTCGTAGCATTTTGGGAAGCCGAGGCAGGTGGATCACCTGAGGTCAGGGGTTCCAGACCAGCCTAGCTAAAATGACAAAACCCTGTCTCTACTAAAAAAAATAATAATAATAATACAAAAATTAATCAGGTGTGGTGTTGCATGCCTGTAATCCCAGCTACTCTGGAGGCTGAGACAGGAACATTGCTGGGACCCTGGAGGCAGAAGTTGCAGTGAACAGAGATCGTACCTCTGCACTCCAGCACGGATGACAGAAGGAGACTCCATCTCCAAAATAAATAAATAAATAAACTCAAGGCTGGGTGCGGTGGCTCATGCCTATAAGAGCTCACTCCCAGCAATTTAGGAGGCCGAGGCAGGTGGATCGCTTGAGCCCAGAATTTCAAGACCAGTCTGGGCAACATGTTGAAGCCTGGTCTTCACTAAGAATACAAAAATAAGTCAGGCATGATGGTGCATGCCTGTTGTTCCAGCTACTAGGGGGACTGAGGCAGGGAGATCACCTGAGCCTAGGAGGTCAAGGCTGCAGTAAGCCGTGATCATGCCACTGCACTCCAATCTGGACAACAGAGTGAGACTTTGTCTCCAAATAAAATAAAATAAAATAAAATAAAATAAAATAAAATAAACTCAATATTTTTTAAAACTGTAATGTTTCCTTTCAAAGCTAAAATTGTATTATTCTAAATATATTTTAAAGAAGAAATGATTATTGTTCAGTGTCTTTAAAATTAGTTTTTAAAATCTCATTTGTTTTGACATTTCAAACCAAGTTAAGTATTCTTTTTCTCACCCTCCTTGAGACGGAGTCTTCCTCTTTCACCCAGGCTGGAGTGCAGTGGTGCATTCTTGGCTCACTGCAACCTTTGCCTCGCAGGTTCAAGCGATTCTCTTGCCTCAGCCTCCTGACTATCTGGGATTACAGGCACCTGTCACCACGCCAGGCTAATTTTTTGTATTTTTCGTAGAGACCGGGTTTCATCATGTTGGCCAGGCTGGTCTGGAACTCCTGACCTCGTGATCTGCCCACCTCGGCCTCCCAAAGTGCCAGGAATACAGGCATGAACCACCACACCTGGCCATTAACCATTCTTGAAATATCACGTTGCATTCTTTAAAAGTTCTAATCTTTCATATACATAAATTACAACACAAATATTTATACTCTAATAGTATTCACATTATAGTAAATTTTTTTTCATGCTCTGTCGCCCAGGCTGGAGTGAAGTGGTGCAATCTCGTCTCATTGCAACCCTCACCTCCCGGGTTCAAGTGATTGTCCTGCCTCAGCCTCCTGAATACCTGGGATTACAGGCGAATGCCACCACTCCCAGCAAATTTTGTGTATTTTTAGTAGAGATGGGGTTTCACCATGTTGGCCAGGCTGGTCTCAAAATCCTGAGGCTGCCTTGGCCTCCCAAAGTGGTGGGATTAGAAGTGTGAGACACCATGCCCGGCCATAATAATAAATTTTATTTTATCTTTTTTTTTGAGATGGAGTTTTGCTAGGGTTGCCCAGGCTGGAGTGCAATGGCTCAGTCTGAGCTCACCACAACCTCCACCTCCAGATTCAAATGATTCTCCCGCCTCAGCCTATCGAGTAGCTGCAATTACAGACGTGCGCCACCACGCCTGGCTAATTTTTTGTATTTTAAGTAGAGAAGGGGTTTCTTCATGTTGCTCAGGCTGGTCTCAAACTCCCAACCTCAGGTGATCCACCTGCCTCAGCCTCCCAAAGTGCTGGAATTACAGGCGTGAGCCACTGCACCTGGCTCATAATAGTACATTTTTGAAAACACCATAAAATATAATCCTTGCAACACTCAATTATACCATCTGGTCGGATCTATCAGCAGATGGCACCCGAGACATACGGATTGGAAATTTTGATCTTATTATGAATGAATCCAGTCCAGAAATGCCCACCCTGCCCCCTGCTGGCTCCTGGGGCTCTGCTCTTTGGGGGAATCATGATGAAATTGTGGCAGAGAGTAGAAGTTGAGCCCCATTGCATGCCCTGAGTTCTTGTTGCCTCTCTATTATCAGGAAAAGGAGGTGAGATTGAAAGATGAAAAGTGCTGGGACTTCTGCTGAGAAGAGAAAAAAGAACAAGATGTATTGATCTTACTGTATGCCAGACCCCATGCCAAGCCCTAAACATGAACCATCTCATTGGATCCTACCAAGGTCCCATAAGCTGTTGGACATCATCATCCTCATTTTACAGGAAGCTGAGGCTCTAGGCTAACATCCCTGACAGCAACACCAGCCCCTGAGTACTCAGCAGGATCCTTCACTTGGGTGCCCATTATGCAGAATTCCTCAGCACAGGGAAGGTCACTCATCACCCACAGGCCCTTGATCGTTATCCACCCTTTGATGCTGTCAGATTCCAGAACACGCTGCACTAGTACTAGTCTCTTCCTTCATAGGGAGAGAGGGGAGGTGTTATGAGAAAATCTCTCATCAATCTGACCTAGCTCCCCAAAAAGATGTAACTTTTAAAATGTCAGATGGAAATATTTAAAAAGTGTTACATGCCTGTATAGTTTTAGTATTTTACTTAAAGGGAATGTGGCTGTCTTTACTGGCTACAACCAGTTTAATTCAAGAAGGGCTGCTGGTCATCAGGAGAACAAGCAAGGGTTGATGCTGCCCAGAGTCTCCAGCTAATACACAATATGGACATCCCCTTCCAGGGCAGTGGGAAGAGAGTGGGTCCTTGTGCAGTGAAGCTGACATCCACCAAATAAGGCTTCTGGAAGCATGTGGAGACTCACAGGGAGTGGGCAGGGTCTCAGCATCTGGCTAGCGGTGAAAGACCCTGAGAAGAAGGTGCTGTCCGTGTGGATTGGCTCACTGTTCTTGCCCAGTAATGTTCCAGGCCTTTGGTGTCCACCTAGTGTGTATTAACCCACTGAACAGCCACAGAAACTAACAAGGAGTTAACAGACATCTAAAGAAGTGAAGAACTAGAGGAGGCCAACCCAAGCGTGGTGGTCCACGCCTATACTCCCTGCATTTTGGGAGGCCAAGGCAGGAGAATCACAAGCTCAGGAGTTCCAGATCAGCCTGGGGAAGACAGCGAGGCCTTGTCTCTACTAAAAAGAAGTATCCAGGTGTGGTGGCTCACACAGCTGTAGTCCTAGCTACTCAGGAGGCTGAGGTGGGAGGATCACTTGAACCCAGGAAATTTAGGTTGCAGTGAGGTATGATTGTGCCACTGCACTCTAGCCTGAGTGACAGGAGACCTTTAAAAAACAAAAACAAAAAAAAGCCTGACACAGTGGCTCACACCTGTAACCCCAGCACTTTGGTAGGCCTACTTGCTTGAATCACCCAAAGTCAGGAGTTTGAGACCAGCCTGACCAACATAGTGAGGAAACCCTGTCTCTACTAAACATACACAAATTAGCTGGGCATGGTGGTGCATGCTTGTAATCCCAGCTACTTGGGAGGCTGAGGCAGAAGAATCATTTAAACCCCAGGTGGAGGTTGCAGTCAGCTCAGATGGCACCATTGCACTCTAAACTCCAGCCTGGGCAACAAGAGTGAAACTCTGTCTCCAATAAAAGAATGGGAGGAAACTGATTACAATAACCAAATTTCATTTAAATGCCTTGATTTTCTTGGGCTGCATCTTATTGATTGGACAACTCAGTCAGTGCCTTTTGTTTTTTCCATCAATAACTGAAGATTCCTGAGGCTTAAACTGGAAAACAGGTTACTTAATAATAGAGGGCACCAGACAGATTCTGCTCAGTTTTCCTTTATTTCTGATTGTTTCTTTACAACCATCCATGCAAGAGTAACTCCCTCATGTATTCTCAAGCCTGAACTCCACTCTAGACATTCAGATTCCCATTTTCGACTCTACAGGATACAGGTCCCCAAAGTCCCATCGAATCCATGGCAACATTTCCCCCAAGTCCTGCCCCTGCTTGATCAGCTTTCCTTTCCCACTTTCAGAGCCTATGTGTGAAATGATGGGTTCTGTGCTCCCTTTAGGATGTACCTAAGACCTAGGTTTTAGTTTCCAAGTGTCCAGAAGAAAGCGTTTGACATACCCATCCAAATAGGCAGGCATTCAACAGCAGTATTGATCTGCCTCCAGGTCATAAAATGACCTGTTGCCACAGTCAGGGCAGTTATCAATACAGAAAAAGATCCTCTTGGGGTGCCTTAAGTCCCTCACTCTGTTCATCAGCTCAGCCCTAATTTGAGCAAATCTGTTCCAGCAGAGAGTACCATCAGCACCATAACTCTCCCGCGGGGCAGGATACACCTCCACGCATAAGTTTTTGAGTATGATTGTGTGGCTCAGCAGGTTCTCCAGGGTGGCCATGGAGATGGGATTTCCACAGAAGCTGAAGGCATTGAGCTCAAAGCAGCGGCTCAGGGCAGGCAGGATGGCGTTGACTTGGGAGTCTATGATGCCACAGTCATCTAAATCCAAGTACTCAAGGGTGGCTGCAACTTTTTCTAGGAGAATTTGGAGAGGCACAAGACTGTAATTGGTCAGTCTGATGCCACTCAGGTCCAGGGTCTTTAGTTGACTGATACTCGGGCACTGGGATAGATGCTTCAAGTCTGATTCCAAAAGCACACAGTTAGTTATTGTGAGGACCTTTAACGAGGTCTTCAGACAGCTGGGGAGAGAGAGCAAGAAGTTAATTCTGGGGAATCATAGGGGTGAGTGGAGGGTGGTGGGGAATGGCTTCAAGGTAATGGATGGAGACCATTTTGCCCAAGTCCAGGGTCATTCTGATGGCCTGATGGTCAACACTTAGAATGATGTGTGATGAAGAGCTTTGCCACCGAGGTCAATTCCACCTTAGAGCCGGCCCAGTAACTCACACCTGTAATCCCAGAACTTTGGGAGGCTGAGACTGGTGGATTCCTTGAGATCAGGAGTTTGAGACCAGCCTGCTGAACATGGCAAAACCTCCTCTCTACTAAAAATCCAAAAATTAGCCAGGTGTGGTGGGGGGAGCCTGCAATTCCAGCTACTTGGGAAGCTGAGGCAGAAGAATCGTTTGAACCCAGGAGGTGTAGGTTGCAGTGAGCAGAGATCATGCCACTACACTCCAGCCTGGGTGACAGAGAGAGACTCTGTATTAAAAAAAAAGAAGGAAAAAAAATAATTCCATTTGAGGCTGAGTCATTTCACCATCATTTATAGGAATGGATCAAGTTCACAGAATCCCTAAAGCTCCCTTTCCTCATCTGTCAGGCAGAAAACCACATCCCTGGGCCACAGAAGCCCAGTGGAGATTCAGGCATAAAGGACAAACCCAGACAGGATCCTGCAACATCAGCTGGGGTGGGCGGGCTGTAGGCGTCCCTGCCATGCCTGTATCATCAGCAAACCATCTATCACTTTCACCATTCTTTGTGCCTGCTCCCTGACCCTCTGTTTCAGAATCATGCATTGCCTAGGTAATTAATTTACCTGGAGCTCAAAACACTTTTACAACAGGGAATTAGAGATGGGATCATTCATGTTCACCAAACTATGGGGCACAAAGCTGATTTTCTGACATGTGCAGGTTTGCTGAGCATTCCCCTCTTCAGTGCCCACTTCACTTCCCTACTTTACATCATCTGCTTAAAAATTATCTTGTTGGCTGGGCGTGGTAGCTCTCGCCTATAATCCCAGCACTTTGGGAGTCCAAGGTGGGCGGATCACCTGAAGTCAGGAGTTGGAGAATATCCTGGCCAACATGGTGAAACCCTGTCTCTACTTAAAATATAAAAATTAGCCAGGTGTGCTGACTCATGCCTGTAATCCCAGGCACTCAAGAGGCTGAGGCAGGAGAATCGCTTGAACCTGGGAGGCAGAAGTTGCTGCGAGCTGAGATGTCACAAGTGCACTTTACCCTGGATGATCAAAGTGAAAATTCATCTCAGAAAAAAAAAAAGTTATCTTGTTTGTTTTTACTTTTATTTCTTCACTTCTGACAGGGGTCTTGGGATGTTACCCAGACTGGTCTTAAACTCCTAGGCTCAAGCTATCCTCTTGCCTCAGACTCCCAAAGTGATAGGATTACAGGCATGAGCCACCGCCCCTGGCCTATTTTTCATCATCTTAACTTAGACACACGTCCTCAGGAAGAATTCAGAAAGGCACCCTCACTAGATCTGAACCCCCCAGTAGCTAGCTTCCTAGTATGACAACCTCTCTATAGCATCTCCCCTAGCTGATCCCTCTGCCTCTATTGGGATGGTTGCATGATACCCATTTCAGGACAGGGCCGCCAACAGGACAATGTATGGACATTCTAGTGTCCCCTTCACTGTTACATCCTCATAGGCTGGCTCACAGTAGATGCCCACTAGCGTTTAGTGAAACAGGCTCTGCTGTGGTCTGCAGAGAAAGCTCACCACCCTCCCTCACCTGAGCAGCTGGTCCAGGTGGCCTTCGAGGAAAGAAACAGAGTTCATATAAAGCTTTTGGAGGCAGTGCAGCTTGAGGAACTGAGTGGTGAACTGGGTAACAATCTCCTTCTTCTGCTCTGGGGAAACGTAGCGAGAGACATCCATGTGAGAGAGAACGAGCTTCTGAAGATTCCTCATGTGGCCCAGGTATGGGGTAAACTGTGTCAGGATGGGCAGTACCCACTTGCAATTCACTTCCACCTCCTGGATACAGTCTAGGTTCACCATTTTCAGGATGCTTCTGATATTGCGGAAGGGCATTCCCAAAATTTTCAGCTTCTTACAGCACAGGTGTAGTAAATCTTTCCTCTGCTTGACCCATAGAAGGAGGTAGGTGAGGTATTCATCCAGAGTCCTGTTCTTGAGCCAAAGTTCTACGAACACAGTCAAGGGCTGCTGTCCTCTCATCCTTGGACAGTCCTGCACTGGTGTTTTGTTCCTCTTGGCATTGAGGAAGGACCCACGGGCCATAGCTTCAGACCAAACCATCCAGAAGTTCTCACAGACATCCTGTAAATCCAGCACTTGAAGTTTCCACCTCCTGTGGGAAAATAGAGGTGAGACTGAGAATTTAAGAACTCATTTCTGAATTTAAACTCCACATCCTGGATAGCAGCTCCTCCCCTCCCTGCTTCTTGTCCCTCTCTCTGACTTTTCTTCACTCTGTTCTCCCCTTGGATCCTACCCACTTCCACATTTTTTTGTTTTTTTTTTTGAGACCAAGTCTCCCTCTGTCGCCCAGGCTAGAGTGCAGTGGTGTGATGTCACCTCACTGCAACCTCTGCTTCCTGGGTTCAAATGATTCTCCTGCCTCAACCTCACAAGTAGCTGGGATTACAGGAGCCCACCACCATGCCCAGCTAATTTTAGTATTTTTAGTAGAGTTGGGGTTTACCATGTTGGACAGGCTGGCCTCCAACTCTTGACCTCAGCCTCCCAATGTGCTGGGATTACATTGTGAGCCACCGTGCCCGGCCCAGTTCTCACTTTTCATGGTGCCTTTCAGTGCCATTAGAGGAGAGGTTCCTGTTACCTCCATGGACCTTGCGTGGTGAGCAGTGCTTTCCCTGAGGAGCTGGTGAATGGCCAAGTCCTCTCGGCTTCCTCACCACCACCATCCCCCTTGGGCCTCCTCACTTCACATGACCCAGCTGTTCCTTCAGTTGGACACCTGGGCCCTCCCCACCAGCCCACCTGGGCCACCTCACCTGGGACAAACCCCTTGGGTAAGCAGTGCATCAAGCCCATCGAGCACAGCTTGGAAGGCCTCCAGACAAGGCATCTTTATCAGAGGCCTCAGAGGGAGGCGGCGGAAGGGCCAGGCCTGCACCATCAGCTTCAGGGCCTCACAGCATCTCCTGCTGAAGGCCTCCATGAACAGTGGGGGGAAAAGTTCTGTGGGCAGCTCCTCCAGGGTGGACATGGCCAAGGCTTGGTCCCTCAGCAGGCTCCGCCCCGCAAGCTCCAGGAGTCTGGGTGGAGTCCGGATGCTCATCTTCATGAATCTGCAGGGAAAACTTCCAGAGGACAAACCCAGAGAAAAGGCATCACTCTCAGGCCAAGCCCATGCAATCTCATCTTCTCCTATGGCCAAACTCACTGCTCTGGCAATGGTGAAACAGCCCTCAGTTTACTCCAATTCTGCCCTGTACTCAGTGGCCATTAAGCCAGCATTGTGCCTCTGCTGCATCAGCATGAGCGTCTCCGAAGCAGTGAGGAAGCAGGGTCACCACGAGCCCTTCCTTTCTATCCAGTGCTCCATCCAGTGACTAGTGAGTGTGGAGGAACCTGAAAGTGAACCCCTCCTACCATTGGGGGAAATTACTGATTACTCAAGGTTCTAAAACAATGGGAATGGGAGTGTCACAAGCCTACATGCCCACATTTTCAGTTCCTACAAATAAGTTTGTTGGGAACATTCATGGGACATCCCTAGAACAGGTTCTATTTGTTTTCTTTTCATTATTTAAGCTTGCTTTCTCTTTCTCTCTCTTTCTTCTTTCCTTCTTTCCCTCTCTCCCTCCCTTCTTTCTTTCTTTCCCCCTCTCTCTCCCTTCTTTCTTTCTTGTCTTCTTTCCCTGCATCCCTTCTCTCATTCTCTCTCTCTTTCTCTCTCTCCCTCTCTCACTCTTTCTGACAGGGTCTTGCTCTGTCACCCAGCCTGGAGTGTAGTGGTGGGATCTCAGCTCAGTGCAGCCTTGACCTCCCAGCTCAAAGGATTCTTCCCCCTCAGCCTCCCAAGTAGCTGGGACCACAGTTATGCATCACCACACCCAGCTCATCTTTTATGTTTTGACTTTTTGTAAAGACAGTGGATTTCGCTATGTTGTCCAAGCTGGTCTTGAACTCCTAGTCTCAAGCAATCTACCCCTCTTGGCCTCCCAACATACTGGGATTATAGGTGTGAGCCTCTGCCCCAGCCTCGTTATTGAAAATTTCAGTGAGAAGCTTTGAAAGCTATGTGACACTGTTATGCATCATTCTCAAGATAGATGTTTCCAATGCACACCTCTTACACATATTCAAACTGAACCACTTTGGCTGGGTGCAGTGACTCACACCTGTAATCTGAGCATTTTGTGAGGCCGAGGCAGGTGGATCATCTGAGATCAGGAGTTCAAGACGAGCCTGGCCAACATGGTAAAACCCTGCCTCTACTAAGACAGCAAAAATTAGCCAGGTGCAGTGGTCTGCGCCTGTAGTCCAAGCTACTAGGGAGGCTGAGGTAGGAGGATCACTTGAACCCAGGAGGCAGAAGTTGCAGTGAGCTGACATTATACTACTCCACTCCAGCCTGGGGAATAGGCTAGATTGAACTGAGAGACAGAGAGAGCTACATTTGACTAGACTTCTTAATCTCTACCCAGTTAATCCTTATTGGATTTTTGGCTTTCTTAAAGAATAACTGATCGAATTAGATATTAATCCATCAAAATGAAAGATTTAGGGATAGGGTGAAAGTCCAGGACTCATTCACCGATTCCCTTCACAAACATGGACTTCCACTAATATGTGTCCTTCAAAGTCCTGAGTGTGAGACAGGGAAGGGTTGAATCTCTTCCTGATATTAGACAGAAAGAAAGAAAACTTGAAAGTATCTTTGTTGAGGGATCCTTGGCCACATCAAATTTATCAAAATATTTCAGAGTTAAAACAGTTTTCAAAGACAGAGATGACAGTCCCTAAGAAAACACAATAGAAATCTTCATGTATCCGATGATCACCTGGGTCATATAATTTTTTTTGGTGCTGAGGGAGCTGAGTCTCACTTCGTCGCCCAGGCTGGAGTGCAGTGGCACCATCTTGGCTCACTGTTACCTCCAAGATTGCCTCCAAGATTCAAGCAATTCGCATGCTTCAGCCTTCCACGTAGCTGGGACTACAGGCAGGCACCCCCCACAGCCATGTCTCCATTTGGGTGGAAGAGGATGTGATTGGTTTAAAATTAAGGTCAAAGATCCTTTTTGATTGATTTTGTTTTTGTTTTTGGACAGAGTGTCTCTCTTTTGCCCAGGCTGGAGTACAGCAGTGGTGTGAGCATAGCTCACTGCAGCCTCAATCTTCTGGACTCAAGTGATTCTCCCACACCAGCCACCCAAATAGCTGGGACTACAGATGCATGGTGACTCACAGCTGTAATCCCAGCACTTTGGGAGGCCAAGGCAGGTGGATCACTTGAGGTCAGGTGTTCGAGACCAACCTGGCCAGCGTGGTGAAACCCCACCTCTACTAAAAATACAAAAATTAGCCAGGCATGGTTTCAGATGTCTGTGACACCAGCTTCTGAGGATGGAGACTGAGGCATGAGAATTGCTTGAACCCAGGAGTTAAAGGTTGCAGGGAGTTGAGATCGTGCCACTGCACTCCAGTCTGGGCAACACAGTGAGACTCCATCTCCACCCTCAAAAAAAACGTTGTGTAGAGGAGGGTTTTTGTCATGTTGCCCAGGTTGGTCTCAAACCCCTGGGCTGAAATGATCCTCCCACTTTGGCCTCCCAAAGTGTTGGGGTTAAAGGCGTGAGTCACTGCTCCCTTCAAGAATTTTAAAATGGCATCAACCAAAGCACAATCAACTTTTTTGAAATAAAGACAGAACTGCATTTAGAGGAAAAAATTCAAAGCTTCAAATTGTTCATATATATATATAAAAAAGGACAGGATATAGCTCTGTGCCATCGTAGGCTGCACTGTCACCATCCCAGACTGACTGACTCTAGGTCAGATGGGAGTGTCCTTACAGAAATTAGTGACTTACCAGATCTGGATGTAGTTTAGAAGGTGCTCAGACCTCAGGAAGAACCAGGCAGGAACTCCAGGCTTGAAGACTTTGGGTCTCTCCTGTGGGTCTTTAGAAGCTTTTATTGACCTTTCTAATCACAACTCCCACCCACGCCCTTCCACGTGTGCACTGCTAGCTTCCAATCAAAAAGCCATATCTGATTGCATTTCTGAAGCTCCACCCAGTTAATCCTGATTGGGTTTTTGGCTCTCCCCAGATTAATGGATTGAGTCAGATATCCATTCATATCACATATCTATATTCAGTTCGTGAAGCAAGAAATTGACAGTGTTAGGGATAAGGTAGAAGTCAAGAATACATTGATTCACTGGTGGGCAAGGTGGCTCATACCTGTAATTCCAGCACTTTGGAAGGACAAGGTGAGTAGATCACCTGATGTCAGGGGTTCAAGACCAGTCAGGTCAAAAAGGTGAAACCCCGTCTCCACAAAAATACAAAAATACAAAAATTAGCCCGGCATGATGGCAGGTGCCTGAAACACAGCGACTCAGGAGGCTGAGGCAGGAGAATTGCTTGAACCCAGGAGGCAATGGTTGCAGTGAGCCAGAATTGTGCCACTGCACTCCAGTCTGGGTGACAGAGGGAGATTCTGTCAAAAAATAAAAAAATCATTCATTCATGAACTCCACAAACACTGATTTTTTTTTATTAATATGTGAACTTCATAGTCTTGAGTGTGAGGCAGGGAAGGATTTGATCTGTTTACGACATTAGACAGAAAAATAAAATCTGAAAGTAGTGTTGTTAGGAGATCTTTGGCCACATCAAAATATAAAAATGCTTTCTACTTTAAAACTTTTTAAAAACAGAGGAGTCGTCCCTACGAAATCAGAATAAAAATCTCAATGTACTGAATGGTCTTTGGGATTTTGTATAACCTAAGGTAGCAGATTACATGCTCGTTCTGGTGGAGGAGAGGTGCCACTGAGGGCGTGAGTGGTCTCAGGGCTTAGGTTAAGGCTTCTTTGGAAGAAATTGAAACCACATCTCTAAAATTTATAAATTTAATCAGTGAAGAAGGGAGGGAGAGAAACAAAAATAAACCAAGCTTGCAACACATTCAGCATTCATCAGGAGGTCTTCTTGCTCTCTGACCTGGTTCCTCATGGTTGCCGCAACCTACTGTTCCAAAATCATATAGACCTTAGATTACAGTTCCCCTTAACTTCCCTGCAGACAACCATTTAAGCATTGTAAAACATTAACTTTTTCATCTGAGATATTCTTTCAGGTTCTGCATGTCAGTGAAACTGCTGATGCCAGCTGATCTGAAGGGCCATGCAATGCACCAACTCACCAAAGAATGCAGTTTCTACATCCTGTTGACTTCTTCCCTCTTACCGCTACCCCAACTTTCTGGCCCCTTGCTATCCAGGATCCACTGGAAACCTTCAGTACTCCTTGGGGAGATGAATTTGAGGATCTCCTCCTAGCTTCTCATTCAGCCACCTTGTGATCATTAAACTCTCTGCTGCAAACCCTGCTGTCTCAGAATATTGCTAAACTACTGTGCAGCAGGCATAGGAACCTGATGGTCCTTTAATAAAGTCATGTCAAAATTACAAATGGAAGTGAGGGTGGAGCTGGTCAGGGTTGAGCTGGGTTTTTAATGGGAACCTGGGAGTGAAGCAAGACTTGCAGGTCACATTGGGCAGGCTTCCAAATTCACCACCTATGGAAGGTCTTTCGCTTGGCTTACATCCTGTCCCTGAGTAAAGAGTCTGATCATGAGTTCATGAGTGCTTCAAACTCTACAAGTATTGATGAAGGCTTCCACCCACTGACAGTGAGAAGGCACTGATTTGATGCTGATCATGAAGTTCTGCTGGTTGTCTTGCAAGGAATATGTTTTATTCTTTTATCTTGTCATCTAAAGCCAATGATTGTAACCTCTGTTTGTCCCTTCCAATGGAAAAAACAAAAACAAAAAGTCAACTCTATTTGAGCCTTGTCAGGTCTATAAAACAAAAGAAAATTTAAAAAAATAATTGATAGGAGGAGTCCCATTCCCAGCCTGGGCAATAGAGTGAGACTCCATCTCAAAAGGAAAAAAAAAAAAAAAGGCCGGGCACGGTGGTGGCTCACACCTCTAATCCCAGCACTTCAGGAGGCCAAGGCAGGTAGATCACGATGCCAAAAAATTGAGACCATCCTAGCCGACATGGTGAAACCCTGTCTCTGCTAAAAATACAAAAATTAGCTGAGCATGGTGGCGCCCACCCATAGTACTAGCTACTCGAGAGACTGAGGCATGAGAGTCGCTTGAACTCAGGAGGAGGAGGTTGCAGTCAGCCAAGATTTCACCACTGCACTCCAACTTGGTGACAGAGCGAGACTCCGTCTCAAAACAAACAAACACAAACGAACAAACAAACAAAGAAAAAAGCTGGAAAAATAAATTCTGAAAGAATTTCCATCTCTATGAATTCATCTTCAGAAGTGATAGCATTTCCTGCTTGGCATTTTTTGCCTACATTTTTGGCATAAGATCTAACAACAAAAAGTATGAGCCCAGGTTTGTGTAATGGAATATCTTAAACATCAATAGGAGGAGTCAATAGTTCTGATGCCACACACACACACGTATGGTCTTCTCCATCATCAGAAAATGGCAACAAAGTGGTAGAGTTATGCAGAGTGTAGCATTTGAAATGGAGATTTGAAGGTGACAAGGAAAGGATTTTGTAAGACATTAGTGTACAAGTTGAGCAATGTTGGTTCCTGTCACAATATTTTTATTGATTTATTTATTTTATTCATTTATTTTTTGAGATGGAGTCTCGCTCCGTCACCAGGCTGGAATGCAGTGGCACGATCTCAGCTCACTTCGACCTCTGCCTCCCCGGTTCAAGCAATTTTCCTGCCTTAGCCTCCTAAATAGCCGGGACTACAGGTGCATGCCACTACACCTGGCTAATTTTTTGTATTTTTAGTAAAGACGGGGTTTCACCATGTTAACTAGGATGGTCTCAATCTCCTGACTTCGTGGTCTGCCCGCCTCGGCCTCCCAAAGTGCTGGGATTACAGGCCTCAGCCACCATGCCTGGTCGGTTCACATCAAAATTTAAGAGGTATTCAATTGCATATGAAATTTGTAGGCAAAGTTTATTTCTTTTTTCTTTAAAGCATTAATTAATTTATTTATTTATAATGTATTTATTTATTAATTTTTTTTTGAGATGGAGTTTCACTCTTGCTTTCCAGGCTGGAGTGCAATGGTGCGATCTCGCCTCACTGCAACCTCTGCCTCCCGGTTCAAGTGATTCTCCTGCCTCAGTCTCCCAGTTAGCTGGAATTACAGGCACAGGCCACCACACACAACTAGTTTTTGTATTTTTAGTAGAGACAGAGTTTCACCATGTTGCCCAGGCTGGTCTGGAACTCCTGACCACAGGTGATGCACCCACCTCGGCCTCTGAAAGTGCTGAGATTACAGGCGTGAACCACCGTGCCCGGCCTAAACTCATCACTTTTAATACTTTCTACATCACATGAGGAAGAAGAGCAGAAACACTTGAGTACTTCATGAAGGTCAAGGTTGGTATGAGTTTGGGTTCTAATATGATCAATTTCTGCTTCTAGGGAACCAAGCAGTTCAGGTTAAGGAAGGTCAGGAAGCTATTTTAACTATAAAGCATTTTTAAAATATTGATGTGGCCAAAGATCTCCCAACAACACTATTCTCAGGTTTTATTTTTCTGTCTAATGTCCAGAACAGATCAACCCCTTCCCTGCCTCACACCCAGGGCTATGAAGGTGACATATCAGTAAAATTCCATCAGTGCTTGTGGAGTTCGTGAATGAAGGCATTCTGTTGTTGTTGTTGTTGTTGTTGTTGTTGTTGACAGAGTCTCCCTCTGTCACCCAGTCTGGAGGGCAGTGTGCAATCTCGGTTCACTGCAACCTCAGCCTCCTGGGTTCAAGCAATTCTCCCACCTCAGCCTCCCAAGTATCCGGATTACAGGCAGCCGCCATCATGCCCGGCTAATTTTGTATTTTTGTAGAGACAGGGTTTCACCATATTGGTCAAGCTTGTCTTGAACTCCTGACCTCAGGTGATCCGCCTGTCTTGGCCTCCCAAAGTGCTGGGATTACAGGCATGAGCCAACTCAGCTGGCCTTAAATGAATGAATTCTTGATTTCCACTCTATCCCTAATGCTGTCAATTTCTTGATTCATGAAATGAATATGGGTATGTGATATGAATGGATATTTGGTTCAATCCATTAATCTGGGGAAAGCCAAAAACCCAATCAGGATTAGCTGGGTGGAACTTCAGAAATGCAATGAGATATTGCTTTTTGATTGGAAGCTAGCAGTGCATACATGGAAGGGCGTGGGTGGGAGTTGTGATTAGAAAGGTCAATAAAAGCTTCTAAAGACCCACAGGAGAGACCCAAAGTCTTCAAGCCTGGAGTTCCTGCTTGGTTCTTCCTGAGGTCTGAACACCCTGCAAACTGAGCCCAGATCTGGTAAGTCACTAATTTCTGTAAGGACACTCCCATGGGACCTACAGTCAGCCGATGTAGCATGGTGACAGTGCAGCCTACGACAGAGCAGAGCTATATCCTGTCTTTTTTTTCTTTTTTTCATATGAACACTTTGAAGCTTTGATTTTTTTTTCTAAATGCAGTTTTGTCTTTATTTCAAAAATGTTGATTGTGCTTTTCTTTACGTCATTTCAGAATTCTTGTTGGGAGCCATTTTGTGAAGAGACGAAGACTGAGCTGGTTTGGCTGCATTTCTGGCCTCGAGCCGCAGTCAGCTTCTCCACGTAGAACCCGGCAGTAGGAGACTTAGAATCGAATCTCTTCTCCCTCCCGCCTCCTGTTTTTGGCTTTTTGAGAAACCTTATCATCCAACACAATGGCCAGCAACGTTACCAACAAGATGGATCCTCACTCCATGAACTCCCGTGTGTTCATTGGGAATCTCAACACTCTTGTTGTCAAGAAATCGGATGTGGAGGCGATCTTTTCCAAGTATGGCAAAATTGCGGGCTGCTCTGTTCATAAGGGCTTTGCCTTCGTTCAATATGATAAGGAGAAAAATGCCCGGGCTGCTGTAGCAGGAGAGGATGGCAGAATGATTGCTAGCCAGGTTGTAGATATTAACCTGGCTGCAGAGCCAAAAGTGAACCGAGGAAACGCAGGTGTGAAACGATCAGCAGCAGAGATGTACGGCTCCTCTTTTGACTTGGACTATAACTTGCAACGGGATTATTATGGTGGGATGTACAGTTTCCCAGCACGTGTACCTCCTCCTCCTCCCATTGCTCTGGCTGTAGTGCCCTCGAAACGCCAGCGCATATCAGGAAACACCTCACGAAGGGGCAAAAGTGGCTTCAATTCTAAGAGTGGAAAGCGGGGATCTTCCAAGTCTGGAAAGCTGAAAGGAGATGACCTTCAGGCCATTAAGCAGGAGTTGACCCAGATAAAACAGAAAGTGGATTCTCTCCTGGAAAACCTGGAAAAAATTGAAAAGGAACATTGCAAGCAAGGAGTAGAGGTAAAGAATGCTAAGTCTGAAGAGGAGCAGACCAGCAGCTCCTCGAAGAAGGATAAGACTCACGTGAAGATGGAGTCTGAGGGGGGTGCAGATGACTCTGTTGAGGAGGGGGACCTACTGTGTGATGATGATAATGAAGATCAGGGGGACAACCAGCTGGAGTTGATCAAGGATGATGAAAAAGGGGCTGAGGAAGGAGAGGATGACAGAGACAGGGCGAATGGCCAGGATGACTCTTAAGCACATAGTGGGGTTGAGAAATCTTATCCCATTGTTTCTTTACCTAGGTGCTTGTCTAACATCAAATTTTTCACCAGATCCTCTCCCTTAGCATCTTCAGCACATGCTTACTGTTCTCCCCATCCTTGTCCTTCCCACATTCATTAATTCATATTGCCCTGCACCTAGTTCCATTTTCACTTCCCTTGATGCTCCTAGAAGTTTTCTTAAGTCTTACCCTGCAATTTTTGCTTTTAATTTAGATACCTCCTTATGACTTAACAGTAAAAAGGATGTATGGTTTTTATCAACTGTCTCCAAAATAATCTCTTGTTATGCAGGGAATACAGTTCTTTTCATTTATACATAAGTTCAATAGTTGCTTCCCTAACTGCAAAGGCAATCTCATTGAGTTGAGTAGCTCCTGAAAGCAGCTTGGAGTTAGAAGTATGTGTGTTACACCCCATGTCAGTGTGCTGTGTGGGGCAGTTCAACAAAAATCTAACAATGTATTTTTGTGAATGAGAGTTGGCATGTCAAATGCATCCTCAGAAAAATAATTAGTGTTATACTCTTAAAATGTGTTTTCTAAAGTTGATACTGTGGGTTATTTTTGTGAACAGCTCCATGTTTGGGACCTTTTTTCCTCAAAATAAACAAGTCCTTATTAAACCAGGAATTTAAAGAAAAAAATTCTTGGTGGGAGCAGTGACTCATGCCTACAATTCCAACACTTTGGGAGGCCAAGGCAGGAGGATCATTTGAGCCCAGGGGCTCGAGACCAACCTGGGCAACATGGCAAAACCCTATCTCTACAAAACATTTGTTTTGAGGGGTGGGGATGGTATCTGGCTCTGTTACCCAGGCTGGAGTGCAGTGGCATGATCTCAACTCACTCCAACCTCTGCCTCCCAGGCTCAAGCGATTCTCATGCCTCAGCCTCCTGAGTAGCTGCGATTATAGCCACCCGCCACCATGCCTGGCTAATTTTTATATTTTTGGTAGAAACAGGGTTTCACCATGTTGGCCAGGCTGGTCTTGAACTCCTAACCTCAAGTGATCCACCTGCCTTGGCCTCCCAATGTGCTGGGATTACACCAGTGAGCCACCAACGCCCTGCTTCTTTTTTAAAAAATTAGCCGGGCATGGTGGCATGGATCTGTAGTCCCAGCTACTTGGGTGGCTGAGGTGGGAGAATCCCTTGAGCTCAGAAGATTGAGGCTGCAGTGAGCCATGTTCACACCACTGCTGTACTCCAGCCTGGGCAACAGAGTGAGACCTTGTCAAAAAAAAAAATCTTAACCAAACAGTTTTTTAAGAAAACCAATTAATTGTAATCAGTAGGCAGATCCCAAATTCCCCAAAAAAAGAAGAGAAAGAGAGTTTAGAAGGCTCTACGTGCTAGCATCCCATTCAGACTGTTTAATCCTACAATTGTGGTTTTGTAAGAAAAACAGTCTTAAAGATTTCCAATAATTCCCACAATGGCCATAAATTATCCTGGGTGTCATTTTCCCATCAATTTAAAAAGGCACATGAGAGGCCGAGTGCAGTGGCTCAGGCCTGTATTCCCAGCACTTTGGGAGGCTGAGGCGGGTGGATCAGCTGAGGTCAGGAGTTCAAGACAAGCCTGGCCAACATGGAGAAACTCCATTCCTACTAAAAATACAAAAAAGAGCCAGGCGTGGTGGCGGGCACCTGTAATCCCAGGTACTCAGGAGGCCGAGGCAGGAGAGGCACTTGAACCCAAGAGGTAGAGGTTGCAGTGAGCCGAGATCATGCCATTGCACTCCAGCCTGGCCACAGAGCCAGACACTATCTCCAAAAATAATAATAATTATTATAACAGCATGTCTATTCTCTCCAAAGTGTCTGGGACTGGACAATTAATTGTGAGGTCCTCTTCTGTAGCACCATACGCTATAACATATATGTGGATTTAAATAAATACACATACAAAATGCAAGTATATAGTCTATATGCTTTCCATATACTTATGTTCCATGAGGTCACAAGCAAATTCAAGGCTAGGTCAAAGAGTAGAGTGGCTGTCTATGGAAAGGAGAGTGGAAGTGAATCATGGTAATAAATGGAAATAGATACAGATATGAATAGGTAGACATACACACATATAGCTGCAAGAAACGGGGTTGTCGTGGACCAATGATGTCAGTGAGCCATGTAAAAAGGCTACAATTCTTGTGATTGTGTGTCCGTTTTCAGGATGGGTTGTAGATTACCTTTTTAGAAAGGCTGATGCCACAGTCATAGTCAAAAAAAATGATTATAAAATTTGCTTCCTTTCTGGAGCATCTCTGGAGAAATCTCCAATGGGAGGAGAACTCAGTTACTGGGCAGGTTATCACACAGGTAAGATTTTACTGATCCAATGGCACTAATATTAACTTCATTATCCTTCGTATTCTACAAAGGTTGAGTGAACAAACTGTATCTTGAAACTAAAATTAGCTGAACCAATAAAGGAGACTGCATTCTTTTTATTTTTTGTTTAGAGACAGAGTCTCTGTTGCCCAGGCTGGAGTACAATGGTGCTACCTTGGCTCACTGCAACTTCTGCATCCTGGGTTCAAGTGGTTCTCCTGCCTCAGCCTCCTGAGTAGCTGGGATTACAGGCACATGTCACCACACTGAGCTAACTTTTGTATTTTTAGCAGAAAGGGGGTTTCTCCATGTTGGCCAGGTTGGTCTCAAACCTCTGACCTTGGGATCTGCCTGCCTCAGCCTCCTAAAGTGCTGGGATTATAGGCGTGAGCCACCATGCCTGGTTGAATCTTTTTTACTTTTCTCAAGCATGGTGTCATAGTATTGGGTTCTATGCACTTAGAAGAGTGAGCCCATCGTTCAGTAACAATATGAATCAATACTGCAAGACCTTGATGCAGTATTTGAAAGACTATTTCCACTAGGTGAAGGAGGCTTTCAGTGATGCTTAGACCTTCATGCCCTAGCATTTGGAGATTGCATCCTTTAGAAATGACACCAAGGGAAATCTGCCCATGAACAGCATTGGATGGGACTGTACCAGATGACTTAAACTTAAGGATATCTGAGGAAAAGCCTTCCCTAGAAGCACACATCATCACCTGGTAGACAGCTTTTCCAAGACAATGGAACAAGACTCCATTTGATCTTCTTCCATTGACTGAGACTTGGTTTTGTTTTGTATTAACACAAAATTATCAAACCTATATTTTATGTTGTTAGGTACTTTCACCACTCAAACCAAACACTTTCTAAGATCTTCTGTTCAAAATGTAGCCACTCTCACTAACCAAAGCAATTGCTGGCTATGGAGTCATTTAGATGAAAGGGAAGGATCACACTTAATACTACAACCTGCTTTCGTACACAGTTGGGTAGCAATTGAGGATGCTAAATTCATGATAAGATTTGTTATCCTTCCTTTGGTAGGTTGGTTAATATTGATAATTAAATGACTTGGCATTGAGAAGAAGCTATAGGTGCAAATGAGTGGTCTATGACTATTATTGATTTCATTACTGGTAACTTATCTCTATGCATAGAAAACATTAGTGTAACTGGGTCTAATCTAGATGGTGTGCCAGACTCACACTAGAATAAACTCTGGTTTGATGCATATTATGAAGGCTGGAACGCTATAGTTATCGACATAGACACAGAATCAGAACATGACCATGTTACCCTCTGCCATATAATCAGAGAAACTTACTGAAACTAGATATTGGTTCATTGGAGATTCTAGAGGGAAATAGAATGCATCTATAGCTCTAGTATATGAAATAAATATTAGTTTTGTTTATTGGGTGCATCAATACTCAGGACATATTTGGAGAGGAACCTACTCATTCTTCTATGGAGATGACATGCAAGGATTACTTTATAAAAGACATAGAAATATTTTTTCTTCCCACCCCAATTCAAACCATTACCATACAACCTTGTGTCAATAGAAGATAAGGCTGTTGAGGTAGAAATAATTAACGAAAGCTTCACTGGAAGCTAAATGTGAGGATTGACCTGGAAGACACACACTGACAAAGTGGGTGTTTTCCAAAGTCTGTTACAAGTTGGAATGCTTTTGTAAGAAAGGTTAAAAGAAGGGAATGGGACTCCTCCTATCAGTTTGTTTTTAAATTTTCTTTTGTCTTATTGACCTGGCAAGGCTCAAATAGAATTGAGTTTTTGTTTTTGTTTTTTTCCATTGGACGGGACAAGACAGAGGTTACAATCATTGGCTTTAGATGACAACATAACAGGATAAAACGTATTCCTTGCAAGACAACCAGCAAAACTTCATGATCAGAATCAAATCAGCGTCCTTCTCACTGTCAGTGGGTGAAGCCTTCATCAGTAGTTGTGGGGTTTGAGGCACTCATGAACTCATGATCAGACACTTTGCTCAGGGACAGGATGTAAGCCAATCGAAAGACCTTCCCACAGGTGGTTAATTTGGAAGCCTGCCCAATGTGCCCTGCAAGTTTTCACTGGCAATATGCAGGTGCAGATATGACAAGGAATAACCATGGCCTTTACATCACCCCCAGCTGTTGAGGAATGGGATCCTTTTGACCCTTTCTGTCCATAGAACCAGGTTACTCATCTTGTGTGGCAACAAAATATATGGTCTACTTAACAGAGAAGAGGACTCTGTAAAAAAAAAAAAAAAAATGTATTATGAAGTAAGCAAAGAAATGGGAATAGATGTGAGATTATTCGGGGAGATAAAGGAAGTTGAAGGTTTTGAAAGGAAATATAAGGAGGATTATATAAATTGTTTTGAAAGACTCATACTTGGTCATAAGGATCAAAACCAAAGGGGCATCCATGCAATGTTGGATAGATTCATCCTCCACCCACTCAATAACCCCCAACATGTTCAGCAAGTCTTGGTTCACTCCCAGGTTCCCATTAAAAACCCAGCTCAACCCTGACCAGCTCCACCCTCACTTCCATTTGTAATTTTGACATGACTTTATTACAGGACCATCAGGTTCCTATGCCTGCTGCACAGTAGCTTAGCAATATTGTGAGACAGCAGGGTTTGCAGCAGAGAGTTTAATGATCACAGGGTGGCTGAATGAGAAGTTAGGAGGAGATCCTCAAATTCATCACCCCAAGGAGTACTGAGCATTTTCAGTGGATCCTGGATAGCAAGGGACTGGAAAGTTGGGGTAGCGGTAAGAGGGAAGAAGTCAACAGGATCTAGAAACTGCATTCTTTGCGTTAGTGCCTTGCAGGGCCCATTTAGATGAGCTGGCATCAGTAGTTTCACTGACATGCAGAATCTGAAAGAATATGTCAAATGAAAAAAGTTAATGTTTCACAATGCTTAAATTGTTGTCTGCAGGGAAGTTAAGGGGAACTGTAATCTAAGGTCTATATGATTTTGGAACAGTAGGCTGCCAGCAACCATAAGGAACCAGGTCAGAGAGCAAGCTGACCTCCTGATGAATGCTGAATGTGTTGCAAGCTTGGTTTATTTTTGTTTCTCCCCCTCCCTTCTTCACTGATTAAATTGATGAAGTTTATAGTTGTGGTTTCAATTTCTTCCAAAGAAGCCTTAACCTAAGCCCTGAGACCACTCACGCCCTCAGTGGCACCTCTCCTCCACCAGAACGAGCATATAATCTGCTACCTTAGGTTATATAAAATCCCCAAGACCATTCGATAAATTGAGATTTTTATTCTGATTTTGTAGGGATGACTCCTCTGTTTTTATAAAGCTTTTTAAAGTATAAAGCATTTTCATATTTTGATGTGGCCAAAGATCTCCTAACAACACTGCTTTCAGATTTTATTTTTCTGTCTAATGTCGGGAACAGATCAAATCCTTCCCTGCCTCACACTCAAGACTATGAAGTTCACATATTAGTAAAGTTCCATCAGTGTTTGTGGAGTTCATGAATGAATTAATTTTTTTATTGTTTGACAGAATCTCCCTCTGTCACCCAGACTGGAGTGCAGTGGCACAATTTTGGCTCACTGCAACCATTGCCTCCTGGGTTCAAGCAATTCTCCTGCCTCAGCCTCCTGAGTCGCTGTGTTTCAGGCACCTGCCATCATGCCGGGCTAATTTTTGTATTTTTGTATTTTTGTAGAGACAGGGTTTCACCTTTTTGTCCTGGCTGGTCTTGAACCCCTGACATCAGGTGATCTACTCACCTTGTCCTTCCAAAGTGCTGGGATTACAGGTATGAGCCACCTCACCTGGCCTTGAATGAATGTATTCTTGACTTCTACCCTATCCCTAACACTGACAATTTCTTGCTTCATGAACTGAATATAGATATGTGATATGAATGGACATCTGATTCAATCCATTAATCTGGGGAGAGCCAAAAACCCAATCAGGATTAACTGGCTGGAGCTTCAGAAATGCAATCAGATATCACTTTTTGATTGGAAGCTAGCAGCGGATACGTGGAGGGGCGTGGGTGGGAGTTGTGATTAGAAAGGTCAATAAAAGCTTCTAAAGACCCACAGGAGAGACCCAAAGTCTTCAAGCCTGGAGTACCTGCCTGGTTCTTCCTGAGGTCTGAGCACCTTCTAGACTACATCCAGATCTGGTAAGTCACTAATTTCTGTAAGGACACTCCCATCTGACCTACAGTCAGCTGGTCTGGGATGTTGACACTGCAGCCTACGATGGCACAGAAGTGTATCCTGTCTTTTTTTTTTTATATGAACAATTTAAAGCTTGAATGTTTTCTTCTAAATACAGCTCTGTCTTTATTTCAAAAAAGTTGATCGTTCTTTGGTTGATGTCGTTTCAAAATTCTTGAAGGGAGCAGTGACTCATGCCTTTAACCCCAACACTTTGGGAGGCCAAAGTGGGAGGATCATTTCAGCCCAGGGGTTTGAGACCAACCTGGGCAACATGACAGAAACCCTCCTCTACACAACGTTATTTTTTTTGTGAGGACGGGGATGGAGTCTCACTGTGTTGCCCAGACTGGAGTGCAGTGGCACGATCTCAACTCACTGCAACCTTTACCTTCCAGGTTCAAGCAATTCTCATGCCTCAGTCTCCATCCTCAGAAGCTGGTGTCAGCCATCTGCCACCATGCCTGGCTAATTTTTGCATTTTTAGTAGAGCGGGTGTTTCACCATGCTGGCCAGGTTGGTCTCCAACACCTGACCTCAAGTGATCCACCTGCCTTGGCCTCCCAAACTGCTGGGATTAGAGCCGTGAGCCACTGGTGCTCGGCCTCTACTTTTTTTTTTTTTTAATTAGCCGGGCATGGTGGCATGCATCTGTAGTCCCAGCTATTTGGGTGACTGGTGTGGGAGAATCACTTTAGCCCAGAAGATTGAGGCTGCAGTGAGCCATGCTCACACCACTGCTGTACTCCAGCCTGGGCAAAAGAGAGAGACCCTGTCCAAAAAACAAAAACAAAATCTTAACAAAAAAGGATCTTCGACCTTAATTTTAAACCAATCACATCCTCTCGGTAATTCTTCCACCTGAATGGAGACATGGGTGTGGGGTGCATGCCTGTAATCCCAGCTACGTGGAAGCCTGAAGCATGAGAATTGCTTGAATCTCAGAGGCGGAGGTTACAATGAGCTGAGATGGCGCCGCTGCACTCCAGCATGGGGCAAAAAGTTAGACTCAGCTTCCCCCACACCAAAAAAATTAGATTATACCACCCAGGTGATCACTGGATACATGAAGATTTCTATTGTGTTTTCTTGGGGACTGTCATCTCTGTCTTTGTAAAACGTTTTAACTCTGAAATATTTCGATAAATTTGATGTGGCCAAGGATCCCTCAACAAAGGTACTTTCAAGTTTTTTCTTTTCTCTAATGTCAGGAAGAGATTCAACCCTTCCCTCTCTCACACTCAGGACTTTGAAGGACACATATTAGTAAAACTCCATGTTTATGGAGTGAATCACTGAATGAGTCCTGGACTTTCACCCTATCCCTAATTCTTTCACTTCGATGGATGAATATCTAACTCAATCAGTAAATCTGGAAGAAAGCCAAAAATCCAATCAGGATTAACTGGGTAGAGTTTAAGAAGTCAAATCAAATGTACAAATGTAGTTCTCTCTCTCTCTTTTTTCTTTTTTTTTTTTTTTTTTTTTGAATCTTGCCTATTTCCCAGGCTGGAGTGCAGTGGTGTATTGTCAATTCACTGCAACCTCTGCCTCCTGGGTTCAAGCGATCCTCCTGCCTCAACCTCCCTGGTAGCTTGGACTATAGGCACAGACCACCGCACCTGGCTAATTTTTGTAATTTTGGTAGAGGTAGGGTTTTACCATGTCGGCCAGGCTTTTCTCAAACTCCTGACCTCAGATAATCCACCTGCCTCTGCCTCCCAAAGTGCTGGGATTACAGGAGTGAGCCACCTCACCTGGCCTTGAATGAATGTATTCTTGACTTCTACCCTATCCCTAACACTGTCAATTTCTTGCTTCATGAAGTGAATATAGATATGTGATATGAATGGACATCTGATTCAATCCATTAATCTGGGGAGAGCCAAAAACCCAATCAGGATTAACTGGCTGGAGCTTCAGAAATGCAATCAGATATCACTTTTTGATTGGAAGCTAGCAGCGGATACGTGGAGGGGCGTGGGTGGGAGTTGTGACTAGAAACGTCAATAAAAGCTTCTAAAGACCCACAGGAGAGACCCAAAGTCTTCAAGCCTGGAGTTCCTGCCTGGTTCTTCCTGAGGTCTGAGCACCTTCTAAACTACATCCAGATCTGGTAAGTCATTAATTTCTGTAAGGACACTCCCATCTGACCTACAGTCAGCTGGTCTGGGATGGTGACAGTGCAGCCTACGATGGCACAGAGCTATATCCTGTCCTTTTTTTTTTTCATATGAACAATTTGAAGCTTTGAATGTTTTCCTCTAAATACAGTTCTGTCTTTATTTCAAAAAAGTTGATTGTGCTTTGGTTTAGGTCATTTCAAAATTCTTGAAGGGAGCAGTGACTCATGCCTTTAACCCCAACACTTTGGGAGGCCAAAGTGGGAGGATCATTTCAGCCCAGGGGTTTGATACCAACCTGGGCAACATGACAAAAACCCTCCTCTACACAACGTTTTTTTTTTTTTGAGGATGGGGATGGAGTCTCGCTGTGTTGCCCAGACTGGAGTGCAGTGGCACGATCTCAACTCACTGTAACCTTTACCTCCCAGGTTCAAGCAATTCTCATGCATCAGTCTCCATACAGAGAAGCTGGTATAACAGTCATCTGAAACCATGCCTGGCTAATTTTTGTATTTTTAGTAGGGGCGGGGGTTTCACCATGCTGGCCAGTTTGGTCTCAAACGCCTGACCTCAAGTGATCCACCTGCCTTGGCCTCCCAAAATGCTGGGATTAGAGCCATGAGCCACTGGTGCTCGGCCTCTACTTTTTTTTTTTTAATTAGCTAGGCATGGTGGCATGCATCTGTAGCCCCAGCTATTTGGGTGGCTGGTGTGGGAGAATCACTTTAGCCCAGAAGATTGAGGATGCAGTGAGCCATGCTCACACCACTGCTGTACTCCAGCCTGGGCAAAAGAGAGAGACCCTGTCCAAAAAACAAAAGCAACATCTTAACAAAAAAGGATCTTTGACCTTAATTTTAAAGCAATCACATCCTCTTCCACCCAAATGGAGACATGAGTGTGGGGGTGCATGCCTGTAATCCCAGCTACGTGGAAGACTGAAGCATGAGAATTGCTTGAATCTTGGAGGCTGAGGTAACAGTGAGCCGAGATGGCACCACTGCACTCCAGCCTGGGCAACGAAGTGAGACTCAGCTCCCTCAACACCAAGAAGAATTATGCCACCCAGGTAATCACTGGATATATGAAGATTACTATTGTGTTTTCTTAGGAACTGTCATCTCTGTCTTTGTAAAACTGTTTTAACTCTGAAATATTTTGAGAAATTTGATGTGGCCAAGGATCCCTCTACAGATACTTTCAAGTTTTCTTTCTTTCTGTCTAATATCAGGAAGAGATTCAACCCTTCCCTGTCTCACACTCAGGACTGTGAAGGACACATATTAGTAAAACTCCACGTTTGTGGAGTGAATCAGTGAATGAGTCTTGGACTTTCACCCTATCCCTAAATCTTTCATTTTGATGGATGAATATCTAATTCAATCAGTTAATCTGGAAGAAAGCCAAAAATCCAATCAGGATTAACTGGGTAGAGATTAAGAAGTCTAATCAAATGTAGCTCTCTCTGTCTCTCTTTTGAATCTAGCCTATTTCCCAGGCTGGAGTGGAGTGGTATAATGTCAGCTCACCGCAACTTCTGCCTCCTGGGTTCAAGTGATCCTCCTGCCTCAGCCTCCCTAGTAGCTTGGACTACAGGCGCAGACCACTGCACCTGGCTAATTTTTGCTGGCTTAGTAGAGGTAGGGTTTTACCATGTTGGCCAGGCTCGTCTTGAACTCCTGATCTCAGATGATCCACCTGCCTTGGCCTCACAAAATGCTCAGATTACGGGTGAGTCACTGCACCCAGCCAAAGTGGTTGATTTTGAATATGTGCGAGAGGTGTGTATTGGAATCATCTATCTTGCGAATGATGCATAACAGTGTCACATAGCTTTCAAAGCTTCTCACTGAAATATTCGATAATAAGGCTGGAGTGGAGGCTCACAACTATAATCCCGGTACTTTGGGAGGCCAAGGGGGGTGGATTGCTTGAGACTAGGAGTTCAAGACCAGCTTGGACAACATAGTGAAATCCACTGTCTTTACAAAAAGTCAAAACATAAAAGATGAGCTGGGTGTGGTGATGCATAACTGTGGTCCCAGCTACTTGGGAGGCTGAGGAGGCTTGGGAGGCTGGGAAGTCAAGGCTGCAGTGAGCCAAGATCCCACCACTGCACTCCAGGCTGGGTAACAGAGCAAGACCCTGTCAGAAAGAGTGAGGGAGAGAGGGAGGGAGAGAGAGAATGAGAGAAGGGATGCAGGGAAAGAAGACAAGAAAGAAAGAAGGGAGAGAGAGGGGGGAAGAAAGAAAGAAGGGAGGGAGAGAGGGAAAGAAGGAAAGAAGAGAGAGAAAGAGAAGGAAACCTTAAATAAAGAAAAGAAAACAAATAGAACCTGTTCTAGGGATGCCCCATGAATGTTCCCAACAAGCTTATTTGTAGGAACTGAAATTGTGGGCATGTAGGCTTGTGACACTCCCTTTCCCATTGTTTTAGAACCTTGAGTAATTAGTAATTTCCCCCAATGGTCGGAGGGGTTTGCTTTCAGGTTCCTCCACACTCACTAGTCACTGGATGGAGCACTGGATAGAAAGGAAGGGCTAGTTGTGGCCCTGCCT
This sequence comes from Homo sapiens, assembly GCF_000001405.40. Taxonomy (NCBI): domain Eukaryota; kingdom Metazoa; phylum Chordata; class Mammalia; order Primates; family Hominidae; genus Homo; species Homo sapiens. The sequence goes on from NC_000001.11 coordinate 13,073,477, forward strand.
CCTCACTGCTTCGGAGACGCTCATGCTGATGCAGCAGAGGCAGAATGCTGGCTTAATGGCCACTGAGTACTGAGTAGAATTGGAGTAAACTGAGGGCTGTTTCACCATTGCCAAAGCAGTGACTTTGGCCCTGGGAGAAGATGAGATTGCATGGGCTTGTCCTGAGAGTGATGCCTTTTCTCTGGGTTTGTCCTCTGGAAGTTTTCCCTGCAGATTCATGAAGATGAGCATCCGGACTCCACCCAGACTCCTGGAGCTGGCGGGGCGGAGCGTGCTGAGGGACCAAGCCTTGGCCATGTCCACCCTGGAGGAGCTGCCCACAGAACTTTTCCCCCCACTGTTCATGGAGGCCTTCAGCAGGAGACGCTGTGAGGCCCTGAAGCTGATGGTACAGGCCTGGCCCTTCCGCCGCCTCCCTCTGAGGCCTCTGATAAAGATGCCTTGTCTGGAGACCTTCCAAGCTGTGCTCAATGGGCTTGATGCACTGCTTACCCACGGGGTTCGTCCCAGGTGAGGTGGGCCAGGTGGGCTGGTGGGGAGGGCCCAGGTGTCCAACCGAAGGAACAGCTGGGTCATGAGAAGTGAGGAGGCCCAAGGGGCGATGGTGGTGGTGAGGAAGCTGAGAGGCCTTGGCCATTCACCAGCTCCTCAGGGAAAGCACTGCTGACCATGCCAGGTCCATGGAGGTAACAGGAACCTCTCCCCTAATGGCACTGAAAGCCAGCATGAAAAGTGAGAACTGGGCCGGGCACGGTGGCTCACAATGTATTCCCAGCACATTGGGAGGCCGAGGTCAAGAGTTGGAGGCCAGCCTGTCCAACATGGTAAACCCCAACTCTACTAAAAATACTAAAATTAGCTGGGCATGGTGCTGGGCTCCTGTAATCCCAGCTACTTGCAAGGTTGAGGCAGGAGAATCCTTTGAACCGGGGAAGCAGAGGTTGCAGTGAGGTGACATCACACCACTGCACTCCAGCCTGGGTGACAGAAGGAGACTTGGTCTCAAAAAAAAAAAAAAAAAAAAAAATGTGAAAGTGGGCAGGATCCAAGGGGAAAACAGGGTGGAGAAATGTCAGAGACAGGGACAAGAAGCAGGGAGGGGAGGAGCTGCTATCCAGGATGTGGAGTTTAAGTTCAGAAATGAGTTCTGAAATTCTCAGTCTCACCTCTATTTTCCCACAGGAGGTGGAAACTTCAAGTGCTGGATTTACAGGATGTCTGTGAGAACTTCTGGATGGTTTGGTCTGAAGCTATGGCCCGTGGGTGCTTCCTCAATGCCAAGAGGAACAAAAAACCAGTGCAGGACTGTCCAAGGATGAGAGGACGGCAGCCCTTGACTGTGTTCGTAGAACTTTGGCTCAAGAACAGGACTCTGGATGAACACCTCACCTGCCTCCTTCTATGGGTCAAGCAGAGGAAAGATTTACTACACCTGTGCTGTAAGAAGCTGAAAATTTTGGGAATGCCCTTCCGCAATATCAGAAGCATCCTGAAAATGGTGAACCTAGACTGTATCCAGGAGGTGGAAGTGAATTGCAAGTGGGTACTGCCCATCCTGACACAGTTTACCCCATACCTGGGCCACATGAGGAATCTTCAGAAGCTCGTTCTCTCCCACATGGATGTCTCTCGCTACGTTTCCCCAGAGCAGAAGAAGGAGATTGTTACCCAGTTCACCACTCAGTTCCTCAAGCTGCACTGCCTCCAAAAGCTTTATATGAACTCTGTTTCTTTCCTCGAAGGCCACCTGGACCAGCTGCTCAGGTGAGGGAGGGTGGTGAGCTTTCTCTGCAGACCACAGCAGAGCCTGTTTCACTAAACGCTAGTGGGCATCTACTGTGAGCCAGCCTATGAGGATGAAACAGTGAAGGGGACACTAGAATGTCCATACATTGTCCTGTTGGCGGCCCTGTCCTGAAATGGGTATCATGCAACCATCCCAATAGAGGCAGAGGGATCAGCTAGGGGAGATGCTATAGAGAGGTTGCCATACTAGGAAGCTAGCTACTGGGGGGTTCAGATCTAGTGAGGGTGCCTTTCTGAATTCTTCCTGAGGACGTGTGTCTAAGTTAAGATGATGAAAAATAGGCCAGGGACGGTGGCTCATGCCTGTAATCCTATCACTTTGGGAGTCTGAGGCAAGAGGATAGCTTGAGCCTAGGAGTTTAAGACCAGTCTGGGTAACATCCCAAGACCCCTGTCAGAAATGAAGAAATAAAAGTAAAAACAAACAAGATAACTTTTTTTTTTTCTGAGATGGATTTTCACTATGATCGTCCAGGCTAGAGTGCAGTTGTGACATCTCAGCTCGCAGCAACTTCTGCCTCCCAGGTTCAAGCGATTCTCCTGCCTCAGCCTCCTCAGTGCCTGGGATTACAGGCGTGGGCCACCACACCTGGCTAATTTTTATATTTTAAGTAGAGACAGGGTTTCACCATGTTGGCCAGGATATTCTCCAACTCCTGACTTCAGGTGATCCGCCCACCTTGGACTCCCAAAGTGCTGGGATTATAGGCGAGAGCTACCACGCCCAGCCAACAAGATAATTTTTAAGAAGATGATGGGAAGTAGGGAAGTGAAGTGGTCACTGAAGAGGGGAATGCTCAGCAAATCTGCACATGTCAGAAAATCAGCTTTGTGCCCCACAGTTCCGTGAACATGAATGATCCCATCTCTAATTCCCTGTTGTAAAAGTTTCTTTTGAGCTCCAGGTAAATTAATTACCTAGGAAATGTATGATTCTGAAACAGAGGGTCAGGGAGCAGGCACAAAGAATGGTGAAAGTGATAGATGGTTTGCTGATGATACAGGCGTGTCAGGGACGCCTGCAGCCCGCCCACCCCAGCTGATGTTGCAGGATCCTGTCTGGGTTTGTCCTTTATGCCTGCATCTCCACTGGGCTTCTGTGGCCCAGGGATGTGGTTTTCTGCCTGACAGATGAGGAAAGGGAGCTTTAGGGATTCTGTGAACTTGATCCATTCCTATAAATGATGGTGAAATGACTCAGCCTCAAATGGAATTATTTTTTCTCCTTTTTTTTTTTTAATGCGGAGTCTCTCTCTGTCACCCAGGCTGGAGTGTAGTGGCATGATCTCTGCTCACTGCAACCTACACCTCCTGGGTTCAAGCGATTCTTCTGCCTCAGCTTCCCAAGTAGCTGGAATTGCAGGCTCCCGCCACCACAGCTGGCTAATTTTTGGATTTTTAGTAGAGAGGAGGTTTTGCCATGTTCAGCAGGCTGGTCTCAAACTCCTGATCTCAAGGAATCCACCAGTCTCAGCCTCCCAAAGTTCTGGGATTACAGGTGTGAGTTACTGGGCCGGGCCTAAAGTGGAATTGACCTCGGTGGCAAAGCTCTTCATCACACATCATCCGAAGTGTTGACCATCCGGCCATGAGAATGATCCTGGACTTGGGCAAAATGGTCTCCATCCATTACCTTGAAGCCATTCCCCACCACCCTCCACTCACCCCTATGATTCCCCAGAATTAACTTCTTGCTCTCTCTCCCCAGCTGTCTGAAGACCTCGTTAAAGGTCCTCACAATAACTAACTGTGTGCTTTTGGAATCAGACTTGAAGCATCTATCCCAGTGCCCGAGTATCAGTCAACTAAAGACCCTGGACCTGAGTGGCATCAGACTGACCAATTACAGTCTTGTGCCTCTCCAAATTCTCCTAGAAAAAGTTGCAGCCACCCTTGAGTACCTGGATTTAGATGACTGTGGCATCATAGACTCCCAAGTCAACGCCATCCTGCCTGCCCTGAGCCGCTGCTTTGAGCTCAACACCTTCAGCTTCTGTGGAAATCCCATCTCCATGGCCACCCTGGAGAACCTGCTGAGCCACACAATCATACTCAAAAACTTATGCCTGGAGCTGTATCCTGCCCCACGGGAGAGTTATGGTGCTGATGGTACTCTCTGCTGGAGCAGATTTACTCAGATTAGGGCTGAGCTGATGAAGAGAGTTAGGGACTTAAGGCACCCCAAGAGGATCTTGTTCGGTACTGACTACTGCCCTGACTGTGGCAACAGGTCATTTTATGACCTGGAGGCAGATCAATACTGCTGTTGAATGCCTGCCTATTTGGATGGGTATGTCAAACGCTTTCTTCTGGACACTTGGAAACTAAAACCTAGGTCTTAGGTACATCCTAAAGGGAGCACAGAACCCATCGTTTCACACATGGGCTCTGAAAGTGGGAAAGGAATGCTGATCAAGCAGGGGCAGGACTTGGGGGAAATGTTGCCATGGATTCGATGGGACTTTGGGAACGTGTATCCTGTAGAGTCGAAAATGGGAATCTGAATGTCTAGAGTGGAATTCAGGCTTGAGAATACATGAGGGAGTTACTCTTGCATGGATGGTTGTAAAGAAACAATCAGAAATAAAGGAAAACTGAGCAGAATCTGTCTGGTGCCCTCTATTATTAAGTAACCTGTTTTCCAGTTTAAGCCTCAGGAATCTTCAGTTATTGATGGAAAAAACAAAAGGCACTGACTGAGTTGTCCAATCAATAAGATGCAGCCCAAGAAAATCAAGGCATTTAAATGAAATTTGGTTATTGTAATCAGTTTCCTCCCATTCTTTTATTGGAGACAGAGTTTCACTCTTGTTGCCCAGGCTGGAGTTTAGAGTGCAATGGTGCCATCTCAGCTGACTGCAACCTCCACCTGGGGTTTAAATGATTCTCCTGCCTCAGCCTCCCAAGTAGCTGGGATTACTGGCATGCACCACCGTGCCCAGCTAATTTGTGTATGTTTAGTAGAGACAGGGTTTCCTCACTATGTTGGTCAGGCTGGTCTCAAACTCCTGACTTTGGGTGATTCATGCAAGTAGGCCTACCAAAATGCTGGGATTACAGGTGTGAGCCACTGTGTCAGGCTTTTGCTTTTGTTTTTGTTTTTTAAAGGTCTTCTGTCACTCAGGCTACAGTGCAGTGGCACAATCATACCTCACTGCAGCCTCAATTTCCTGGGTTCAGGCGATCTTCCCACCTCAGCCTCCTGAGTAGCTAGGACTACAGCTGTGTGAGCCACCACACCTGGATACTTTTTTTTAGTAGAAACAAGGCCTCGCTGTCTTCCCCAGGCTGATCTGGAACTCCTGAGCTTGTGATTCTCCTGCCTTGGCCTCCCAAAATGCAGGGAGTATAGGCGTGGACCACCACGCTTGGCTTGGCCTCCTCCAGTTCTTCACTTCTTTAGATGTCTGTTAAATCCTTGTTAGTTTCTGTGGCTGTTCAGTGGGTTAATACACACCAGGTGGACACCAAAGGCCTGGAACATTACTGGGCAAGAACAGTGAGCCAATCCACACGGAAAGCACCTTCTTCTCAGGGTCTTTCACCGCTAGCCAGATGCTGAGACCCTGCCCACTCCCTGTGAGTCTCCACATGCTTCCAGAAGCCTTAGTTGGTGGATGTCAGCTGCACTGCACAAGGACCCACTCTCTTCTCGCTGCCCTGGAAGGGTATGTCCATATTGTGTATTAGCTGGAGACTCTGGGCAGCACCAAACCTTGCTTGTTCCCCTGATGACCAGCAGCCCTTCTTGAATTAAACTGGTTGTAGCCAGTAAAGACAGCCACATTCCCTTTAAGTAAAATACTAAAACTATACAGGCATGTAACACTTTTTAAATATTTCCATCTGACATTTTAAAAGTTACATCTTTTTGGGGAGCTAGGTCAGATTGATGAGAGATTTTCTCATAACACTTTCCCTCTCTCCCTATGAAGGAAGAGACTAGTGCAGCGTGTTCTGGAATCTGACAGCATCAAAGGGTGGATAACGATCAAGGGCCTGTGGGTGATGAGTGACCTTCCCTGTGCTGAGGAAGCCTGCATAGCGGGCATCCAAGTGAAGGATCCTGCTGAGTACTCAGGGGCTGGTGTTGCTGTCAGGGATGTTAGCCAAGAGCCTCAGCTTCCTGTAAAATGAGGATGATGATGTCCAACAGCTTATGGGACCTAGGTAGGATCCAATGAGATGGTTCATGTTTAGGGCTTGGCATGGGGTCTGGCATACAGTAAGATCAATACATCTTGTTCTTTTTTCTCTTCTCAGCAGAAGTCCCAGCATTTTTCATCTTTCAATCTCACCTCCTTTTCCTGATAATAGAGAGGCAACAAGAACTCAGGGCATGCAATGGGGCTCAACTTCTACTCTCTGCCACAATTTCATCATGATTCCCCCAAAGAGCAGAGCCCCAGGAGCCAGCAGGGGGCAGGGTGGGCATTTCTGGACTGGATTCATTCATAATAAGATCAAAATTTCCAATCCGTATGTCTCGGGTGCCATCTGCTGATAGATCCGACCAGATGGTATAATTGAGTGTTGCAAGGATTATATTTTATGGTGTTTTTAAAAATGTACTATTATGAGCCAGGTGCAGTGGCTCACGCCTGTAATTCCAGCACTTTGGGAGGCTGAGGCAGGTGGATCACCTGAGGTTGGGAGTTTGAGACCAGCCTGAGCAACATGAAGAAACCCCTTCTCTACTTAAAATACAAAAAATTAGCCAGGCGTGGTGGCGCACGTCTGTAATTGCAGCTACTCGATAGGCTGAGGCGGGAGAATCGTTTGAACCTGGGAGGTGGAGGTTGCGGTGAGCTCAGACTGAGCCATTGCACTCCAGCCTGGGCAACAGTAGCAAAAGTCCGTCTCAAAAAAAAAAAGATAAAATAAAATTTATTATTATGGCCGGGCATGGTGTCTCACACTTCTAATCCCAGCACTTTGGGAGGCCAAGGCAGCCTCGGGATTTTGAGACCAGCCTTGCCAACATGGTGAAACCCCGTCTCTACTAAAAATACACAAAATTTGCTGGGAGTGGTGGCATTCGCCTGTAATCCCAGGTATTCAGGAGGCTGGGGCAGGACAATCACTTGAACCCGGGAGGCGAAGGTTGCAATGAGACAAGATCGCGCCACTGCACTCCAGCCTGGGTGACAGAGCATGAAAAAAAATTTACTATAATGTGAATACTATTAGAGTACAAATATTTGTGTTGTAATTTATGTACATGAAAGATTAGAACTTTTAAAGAATGCAACGTGATATGTTAAGAATGGTTAATGGCCAGGTGTGGTGGTTCATGCCTGTATTCCTGGCACTTTGGGAGGCCGAGGTGGGCAGATCACGAGGTCAGGAGTTCCAGACCAGCCTGGCCAACATGATGAAACCCCGTCTCTACGAAAAATACAAAAAATTAGCCTGGCGTGGTGACAGGCGCCTGTAATCCCAGATAGTCAGGAGGCTGAGGCAAGAGAATCGCTTGAACCTGGGAGGCAAAGGTTGCAGTGAGCCGAGAATGCACCACTGCACTCCAGCCTGGGTGAAAGAGGAAGACTCCGTCTCAAGGAGGGTGAGAAAAAGAATACTTAACTTGGTTTGAAATGTCAAAACAAATGAGATTTTAAAAACTAATTTTAAAGACACTGAACAATAATCATTTCTTCTTTAAAATATATTTAGAATAATACAATTTTAGCTTTGAAAGGAAACATTACAGTTTTTAAAAATATTGAGTTTATTTTATTTTATTTTATTTTATTTGGAGACAAAGTCTCACTCTGTCGTCCAGATTGGAGTGCAGTGGCATGATCACGGCTTACTGCAGCCTTGACCTCCTAGGCTCAGGTGATCTCCCTGCCTCAGTCCCCCTAGTAGCTGGAACAACAGGCATGCACCATCATGCCTGGCTTATTTTTGTATTCTTAGTGAAGACCAGGCTTCACCACGTTGCCCAGACTGGTCTTGAAATTCTGGGCTCAAGCGATCCACCTGCCTCGGCCTCCTAAATTGCTGGGAGTGAGCTCTTATAGGTATGAGCCACCGCACCCAGCCTTGAGTTTATTTATTTATTTATTTTGGAGATGGAGTCTCACTCTTTCACCCAGGCTGGAGTGCAGTGGTACGATCTCAGCTCACTGCAACCTCTGCCTCCAGGGTTCAAACAATTCTCCTGTCTCAGCCTCCAGAGTAGCTGGGATTACAGGCATGCACCACCACACCTGATTAATTTTTGTATTATTATTATTATTATTTTTTAGTAGAGACAGGGTTTTGTCATTTTAGCCAGGCTGGTCTCGAACCCCTGACCTCAGGTGATCCACCCGCCTCGGCTTCCCAAAATGCTACGACTATAGATGTGAGCCACCACGCCCAGCCTATTTTTTTCTTTATAGCAGTTTTAGATTCACAGAAAAACTAAGCAGAAACTGCAGAGTTCTCATCTACCTTCTTCCCCCTTCAATACACAGCACCCCCACAGGATCAGCACCCACACCAGCACAGAGCATTCGTCACAACCAATGAGCCACAGGGACACATCATTATCACCCAATGTCCATAGTTCACATGAAGGATCATTGCTGGTTTTGTATATTCTATGGATTTTAACAAAGGGATAATGACATGTATCCACCATTAGAGCATCATGGAGAGTAGTTTTGTTTCCTTAAAAGTCCTCTGTCCTCTTTCCATTCATCCCATTGTACTCCAAATCCCTTGCAACCACTGGGTTTTCTACCATCTCCATAGAAAAAGGCAGAAGGCTCTTCTGGAATGTCTAACAGGATGAGTCTTTTCACATTGCCTTCTTTCACTTGTACAATAACGTGCATTTAGGAATCTTTCATGTCTTTTTATGGCTTCGTAATAGTTCACTGACCAGATGGATCACAGTTTCTTTATCCAGTCACCCACTGAAGGGCATCTTTCTTGCTTCCAAGTTTTGGCGATTATGAATAAAGCTGCTATAAACATCCAGGTGTGGGTTTACTCCCTTCGTTAAATACCTGGGAGCATGATGACTGAATCGTAGGGGTATGGTATGTTTTACAAGGATTTTTTCTTTCTTGACAATCTCACTTGTTCGATATTGCTGCTAAAGGTCAGGAACTTTGTCTCGCTCATCCTGTGGTCCCACTGCTGAGCATGGAACGTGGCACTTGGTAGCAAATGCTGTTGACCACATGATGCATGGAAATGCTTATCATCAGTATAGCCACTAAATTGCTAACGTGGGGACGTCAACAGTAGCTCACTACCAATAATACAAATAAGTTGGATTATGGAAAAAATAGCCCTTGTGATACTGTGGATACTCCATGTGTATCATGAAAGTACAGCAATTGGCCAGGTGCAGTGGCTCACATCTGTAATCCCAGCATCTGGGAGGCCGAAGTGGGTGGGTCACTTTAGGTCGGAAGTTTGAGACAAGCATGGCCAACATGATTGAAATCCTGTCTCTATTAAAAATACAAAAATTGACTGGGCGTGGTGGTGCATAGGTGTAGTCCCCACTACTGGGGAGACTGAGGGAGGAGAATTGCTTGAACGCAGGAGGTGGAGGTTGCAGTGATCGAAGATCATGCCATTGCACCCCAGCCTAGGCAACAGAGTGAGATACCGTATCAAAAAAAGAAAAAGAAAGAAAGAAAGAGAGAGAGAGAGAGAGAGAGAAAGAAAGAAAGAAAAACAAAATGAAACAAAACAAGAAAGTCCAGCATGGTAGGAGGTACATAGAGGTACATGAGGGCGAGCTTCATTTGTTTTTCATCATTTTTCCCTTCTCTGGACAGTATTCTGAATGCAAAACATTCCAAAACCACAGAGCAAACATCTCCTATAATCTTCCCCTTATCCCAGACTTCTCTTCACAGTGTATGTGCTAGTGTCTTCCAGACTTTTGTATGACTTGCTATACAGAAGATCAGATCAAATGGGCATGTCCCTAAAAAGTGGTGACTTGCCAGTTCTGGACTCACTTTGCAGGGTGCCGGGACCTCTGTGAGAATCAAGCAGTAGCTCCAGGAGCCAGGGCTTTGGGTCTCTTCTGTGCACCTTCAGGAGCTTTTATTGACCTTTCTCACTACAACCCCCTTCTTGACTACCAACTTCCAATTCGAAAACGACATCCAACTGGATCGTGAACTTCCACCCAGTTAACCCTGATTGAGTTTTCAATTTTCTTCTCATGAAGTGATTAAATTAGATAGGCATTTATGAAAGTGAAAGAAGTAATAACAGGATGAAGGTCTAAAACTCATTTATTCACTTATTCCACAAACACTGGTAAAGTTTGACTAATATGTGACCTTCATAGTGATACAGGGAAGGATTTAATCTGTTTCTGACATTAGAATATATATATATCTTTATTGGAGAATCTTTGGCCACATCAAAAGTATCAAAACATTTCAGCATTAAAGCAGCTTTAAGAAGACAGGGATGTCATCCCTAAAAAACACAATAAAAATCTCTGTGTATCCACTGGGCACCTGGGTTTTATGCTACCTAACATGGTAGATCATATGCCCATTCAGGTGGAAGACAGGAACTACTGAGGGTGTAATTTTTCTCAAGGTTAAGGTCAAGGTTTCACTGAAAGAAATCAGGCCTACATTACAAAGTAAGGTGAGGGCTGGGCTGGATGGGACTAAGTGTTCTAATGGGACCCTAGGAGGGAACCAAGACAACATAAAACATGGCAGGTATTTTGTGGGCATCTGGACAAAAGGATTGAAAGACTTTTTTTTTTTTTAGATTGGGTGTCACCCAGGGTGGTGTGCAGTGTTGCAATCTTGACCTACTGCAACCTCTGCCTCCCAGGCTCAAGCAATCATCCCCTCTCAGCCTTCTGAGTAGCTGGAACTTCCAGCATGTGGCAGCATACCTGGCTAATATTTTGTATTTCATGCAGAGAAAAGATTTTACCACATTTCCTGGGCTAGTCTCAGAATTCCTGGACTCAAGTGAACCATGGTGCCCAGCAATGTTATTGTGATTTTAAATGACAGATTTTGCTTTGTTTTTAAGAAAACCACAGAGATATTCCATATGCTATTTTCTTTTCTTTTTTTTTTTTAATTTTGAAATGAAGTCTCACTCTGTCACTCAGGCTGGGGTGCAATGGCATGATCTCAGCTCACTGCAACCTCCACCTCCCAAATTCAAGTGATTCTTCTGCCTCAGCCTCCTGCGTAGCTGAGATTACAGGTGCGAGCCAACACACCCAGCTAATTTTTGTATTTTTAGTAGGGTTGGGGTTTCACCATATTGGCCTCACTGGTCACGAACTCCTAACCTCAGATGATCCACCTGCCTTGGCCTCCCAAAGTGCTGGGATTACAGGCATGAACCACCATGCCCCATCATATATGCTATTTTCTATTAATTTTTTTAATAGTGATGGGGTCTTGCTTTACTACGTAGTCTGGTCTTGAGGCAGAAATTTAAACACAATAATAACAATAAATACTACATTCATTTACTCCAAGAAAAGTTACAGACAAAGCTATAAGAAGGTCATAGTGACCTAGTCTGAGAAGTAAAAGCCAAGGCCCAGAATGTGTCAGGCAAAGGTAAAACAAACAAACAAACAAACAAAAAACAAGTTTTCCTCTGCCTAGCAAGCTCATTTCAAGGACAGTTATAAGATAATGCTGTTGGAGAAGTTGAAAGAAAGGAATAGGCTCCAGACACCCACTGCTCCAGAGCAAGGGTGATTAAAAAAAAGAAAGAAAAATGGCAAATGTCTGTATTTAGCCAGTTCTTCTTTTTTCTTTTGATGCAGCTACAAGGCCACCAGCTATGCAAGGCCACAGTTATGTAATAGATTACATTACCTGTCATTGTATGATTAACTGCCATTGTTTTGCTTCTGTAAGCCTGCTTATAAAAATCCTGCTCAGTCTTTGTTCAATGCTCAGCTTTTTGGATATGAATCCACTGAGCCAGTGTGTACCTTAAAAAAAAAAATCCTCCTGTTTTCCCATATCAGTCTCTCTGGTCCTCAGTTTCTCAGAACTTTTTGGTGAGCCAGACAGGAGGAGTGGAGATGACAGGTTTACTTTCTCCTTTTCTTGTGGGGCTGGAGCCCAGGGTCAAGGGAAAGAAACCTGTGACCCCAGGCGCTGCTGGAAGAACTTCAGCCCAGAGGGGAGATCGGCTCTCCTGTGACCTGGTGCCCCCACCCAGCAGCACAACAGAACCTGAGGGGCTACAGGATGATTCCAGGAGCAGTGTGATTTCTTCAGGACTGCAGTAAAGTTTTGGGACCAAAGACAGGATCCGTCCCATAAGGACGGAAGGGGAGCCTGATCACCTCCAAGGGTGTAACTAGTAATCTGACCCAGAGAGGCTGGAGGTGGTGACAGAGGCTCGCCAATTCAGATGAATCTCACACCCTACCTGGCACACAATGCAAGAGTGGCTCCCCAAGTCGGTTAGGAAAAGAAAACTGGAGGTGGTGAGAGTGGCTCACAACCCCAATTAGGAACACACGAACTGGGAGTGGGGAGGTGTGTGAAAGTGTGTGAAAGATACAGTTCAGGGAGGAACCAATGTGGGAGTGGCATGGGGAGTCACAGATCTCTTAGCATGGTCTGTGTGCTCCAAGCCAAGTGTGGGGCCAACCTGCACTAGTGGCGAACCGCATACAGCTAATAGGAGCTGCCCCACATCTCAGAGTTATGGTGGGAATAAAACCCTTTCTTAAGCCAAGTGGCATCTGAAAACTCCCATAATAGGAGATGATCTGGTGGGTCTGAGGCAAAAGGAAGAGTGGGTGTGCTGCATCGTAAAGCGAGGAAATAGGAGGAAAGTCATCAAAACACACTCCATTGGGTGCATGTTAGAGAACTTTAATAAAGGTTTTGCAGGAGATTATGGAGTTACGCTAACCTCCTAGAGGTTGAGAACTCTCTGTGAATTCAAATGGCCTTCTTTTGGTGTTGGATGGCCAACCAAAGGAACTATAGATAGGGAAATAATTGACCGTGTATTTAAGGTGGTGACAGGGGTTGGAGGACAGCCTGGGCACCCAGATCAATTTCCTTATATTGACTTATGGTTAAATATAGCACAGACAAGACCAGCATGGTCCAGCTCTGTTTAGCCAGTTAGTGCAAAACACTTGTGGCCAGAGCCGTGCCAAAAATGAAAGTAAGAACAGCTTCACCGGCAGACACAGAGTTAAAGGCAAAGTCCCAGAGGGAGCAAAAAAGCCAGTTTTGCAGGATCCACCAGAGGGAATAGAGATTCCTACTCCATATGTCCCAGCCTAGCCTTCTTTACCGAGGCCAACAGTCCCCCAGGAACCAGATTCAGGAGCTAGCACACCCAAAGTCTCACCCCAAAGGAAGGATCAGAGGCTTGAGAGGCCAGGGAAGGAAGTCAAGATGGTTAAGCCGGCCATCTCAGATCTAGCCATGCTTGAGTTATGCAAATGCATCTCAGGGAGATGGGAGGACCCATTTATTATGATGACCAAGGCCAAGTCAGGTGGGGGGAATGGACTTTCATCTATCATCCCTTTTCAACCATTGATCTCTTGAACTGGAAACACCATACTCCCTCCTATATGGCAAAGCCCCAAGCTCTTATAGATCTGATGCAATCCATCTTTCTGACACACAATCCAACCTGGCCAGACTGCAGGCAGTTTTTTCTCCCACTGTTTAACACTGAGGAGTGTCGGAGAGTAACACAGGCAACTCTCTGCTGGCTAGAAGCCCGCTGTTCTCTCTCTACACTTTGTCTCTGTGTCTTATTTCTTTTCTCAGTCTCTCACCCCACTTGATGAGGTATACCCACAGGTGTGGAGGGGCTGGCCCCCTTCCTTTAGGGGCAGCAGGATTCTGCCACATCTGGATTCCAAATTTTTCAGTGATGGCTAAGACATTATATGAAGCCACAAAATCGGAGAAAAAGAGCCCCTCCTTTGGGAAACTAATCAGGAAATAGCATTCAAACAGCTCAAGGAAGCTTTAGGTCAGGCCCAACCTTAGGACTACCAGATATAATTAAGCCTCTCTTTCTATGTATTCATGAATGAAAAGGAATGGTTATAGGGGTTCTGACTCAAATTATAGCATCATGGCATTGCCCAGTGGCGTATTTATACAAACAACTGGACTCTGTGGTGCTAGGATGGTCTCCTTGCCTTAAGGCATTAGCTGCCACCATCTTGTTAACACAAGAAGCTAGCAAATTAACTCTGGGACAGCAGCTAACTGTGCGGGTGCCACACTCAGTTATAACTTTGATGGACCAAAGAGGGCATCTTTGGTTATCAAACCCAAAAATGACTCAGGTCTTCCTTGTGAGAACCCTTACATTATTTTAGAAACAGTGAACACCTTAAACCTGGCTCCTCTGCTCCCAGTCTAACCGGGGGCTCCCCTCCATGACTGTGTTGCAACAGTAGATGAGGTGTTCTCCAGTCGGAAAGATCTTGCAGACAGACCTCAGAGACCCGGCTTTTGAATACTTCACAGATGGAAGTAGTTTTGTGCTAGAAGGGGTTCAAGATGCCAGGTATGCAGTAATAACATTGGACTTAGTAGTAGATGCTCTGCCTCTGCCTACTGGAACATGAGCTCAAAAGGCAGAATTAATAGCCCTGACAAGAGCACTGTTTCTAGCAAAAGAGAAGAAGGTCAATATTTACACTGATTCTAAGTATGCTTTTACTACATTGCATGTACATGAAGTTATAGACAAAGAGAAAGGGCTTTTAACAGCTGGAGGCAAAGAAATCAAGTACAAAGAAGAGATTCTACAGCTCTTAGAGGCTGTATGGCCTCCAGGAAAAGTAGCTTTAATGCACTGCAGATGGCACCAAAAGTCAGGGACACCAAAAACCAAAAGAAACAGAAAGGCAGACAGAGAGGCAAAGAGGGGAGCAATGATTGCATCACATTTTAAAGAGGAAGCCTTAGCTATGCTTCTCCTCCCAGAAGCTCCTCTCCAAGAAGATCCAAGTTCTACTCCAAATGAAAGAGCCTGGTTTGCTCAAGAAGCTGGAAAATATATTAAAGGAGGGTGGTGGAAATTCTTCAATGGGACATTAGCCATTCCAGAAATGTTAGCTCCTACGTTTCTGAAGCAAATTTATCTAGGAACTCATATGGGAAAAAATGGCACTGGAAACATTACTGAAATGCTGTTTCTATGTGCCGTGGCCATCATTTGAGCTGTTTGTAAACAATGTTTAACCTGTGCTCAGAACAACCCGTGACAGGGGCCCACTCAACCCCCAAGAATTCAGGAAGTAGGAACCATGCCTTGTGAAAACTTTCTTGTAGACTTTACCAAACTACCCCATGCCGGAGGCTATCAGTATATGCTGGTGCTTATTTACACCTTTTCAGGATGGGTTGAAGCTTTCCCCACCAGAACAGAAAAAGCATGAGAAGTGACTAAAGTACTGCTAAGAGACATCATCCCCAGGCTTGGACTGCCTCTAACTTTAGGGTCCGTTAATTGCACGGCATTTGTAGCTGAAATAGTGCAAGATTTAACAAGACTGTTAAAAATAAAATGGAAGTTACACACAGCCTATCAGCCGCAAAGTTCAGAAAAAGTGGAATGCATGAACCAGACACTCAAGGAGCTTCTGAAGAAATATTTCCAGGAAACCTATCTGAGATGGGATCAGGTCTTGCCTATGGTCCTCCTCTGAGTCAGGTGCACCCTCACCAAACAAACTGGGTATTTGCCCTATGAGATTTTGTTCAGTCAGCCTCCCCCAATCATAAGTCAAATTAAAGGTTATCTCCTTGAACTAAGAGAATTAACCTTAAGAAAGCAAATGCAGGCATTAGGGACAGACTTGCAAAGTGTCCATGGGTGGGTACAGGAAAGAATGCCTGTAAGCCTGACAGACCAGACACACCCCTTTAAACCTAGTGACTCTGAGTTAAAAAGTTGAATTAAATTCTCTAGGACCCATATGGGATGGGCCCTATACTGTAACCTTTTTTTTTTTTTTTTTTTTTTTTTTTGTTGATGCAGAGTCTTGCTCTGTCCCCCAGGCTGGAGTGCAGTGGTATGATCTCAGCTCACTGCAAGCTCTGCCTCCTGGGGGTCGCACCATTCTCTTGCCTCAGCCTCCCAGGTAGCTGGGACTACAGGTGCCCGCCACCATGCGTGGGTAATTTTTGTATTTTTTTTTTTAATAGAGATGAGGTTTCACCGTGTTAGCCAGGATGCTCTCCATCTCCCAACCTCGTGATCCACCCGCCTCGGGCTCTGAAAGTGCTGGGATTACAGGCATGAGCCAACACACCCAGCCCTATACTGTAATCTTGTGTACTCCCTCTGCTGTTAAAGTTGCAGGTGTTGTGCCTTGGATCCACCACAGCTGGCTGAAACCGAAGCTCAGGACAAGTGGACCAGCCAGCAGGACCCAGATCACCCACCTGATCCTGAGATGAGACACAGCTGATCCTGAGATGAGACCAAGCTGATGCTAAAGATGACTGCCCTGCTCTGGTCACTCCAGAAGCTGACCAGTCTACGTACAGCTGAAGGTTGAGGAGACAACAAGCCCTGCTCTAGTCACACACTGGAAGCTGACTAGTCTACGCACGGCCGAAGCTTGAGGACTCATCAAGCAAATAAACATAGTTAGAAATCTTAGGACTAGTAGTTTTCCTTGTAATACTGTTTTCCTATTGTTCACTGAAACCTCTGCTTCCTCAGTTCAAGCAATTCTCCTGCCTCAGCCTCCCAAGTAGCTGGGACTACAGGCACAACACCACACCCAGCTAATTTTTCTATTTTTACTAGAGATGAGGTTTCACCATATTGGCCAGGCTGGTCTCAAATTCCTAACCTCATGATCCACATGCCTCAGCCTCCCAAAGTCCTGGGATTACAGGTGTGAGCCACTGCGCCCAGCTGTCCTGCTTCTTTCTCAGTGGGGATCTGCTCCCCACACATTCTCCTCTGTGTTCCTCAGACCACGAATATCTCTGAGGTCCATCAGTGTGAGGTCTCTTGCAGGTGCCATTCCTTCCTTTCTCTCAGGACTTTTTTTATTGGTGTGTCTCTGTGCCATAAGGAATGTGTGCCTGTGAAGAACAGGCTAGACTCTGCAGCAGGACACAGAGGCCCTGGAGAGGCAGACAGTGGAGCAAGCAGGGGCTGAAGTTACCTCGTTTTTACCCAAAGGAGGCTCCTAACCACTGTCGCCACTGACACAGTGGCTCCAATAAAAAGAAAATAGGGGATGACTCCACACATTTCCTTGAGCAGCTAGAAAAAAAAATCCCTGTTGATATTCATATTAGTACAGTACTTTTGGTAGTGTTAGCACTTGTATTAGTAGTAGTACTAGTATTAGTGTCAATACCTACATTAGTATTAGTAGTGGTCTTGTTTAGCTGATGAAAGCTTGTTTCTCTCTCCTTCTGGGATAAAAACTCAAGACACCCTGGGGATCTCGAGTGCATGGACCAGGGAGTCTGAAGGAGTTTGTTCTTTGGATGTGAACCCATGGGAAGTGGGTGTGTATTCTGTGGCCAAAGTCGCTGACCTCTTTGATTAGAGGAGACACAGGGGGCTAGCACCCACCCCCAGGCCTGTGCTTCCAGGAACACTTCTCTCTCTTTCCATGTGTGTGCCTGAGAGGGTTCCTGGTCCTCACCCATCCCCATTGGCTCTTCTACAGGTGATGTGTCTACTGTACACCTACAGGTGACCTTGTGTAGAAAGAAATCCAAGAACACACATGGGGCCACATAGAGTGAGACTGCCTCCAGGCAGGCACAGGGACCCCGAGCTTCTGAGGCACTGTGAGCGCCTGAGACTGGGGCACTCTCATGGAGACAAATGCATGGGGCTTTAGAAAAGGCTGGGTTGGAGGGAGCAGAGGAGGGCATGGATGGAATGCAGGGGTCCCTGGAAGCTTCAGGCCAGAGGCACTTGGGAGTGGGGAAGGCATCATGGAGAAAAAGGTCAGGGCTCCTTCCATGCCCTGAGGTCACAGCGGGTCTCCCTCTCTCCCAGCTTCTCCCTGGGCTCTTGTGTCTGGGAGTCAGGGCTGGCTCAGCTGGGGTTCTTTGGTGAGTGGGAAGGACATAGGGCACTCAGCGTCTCAAGTGCAAATTTTAACATAATCCTCAATGAGAGGTTTCGCCCAGTAGCCTCCTGTCCACAGATCCCATGTCTCCTTGCTGCACTCCTGAGGGGGTTGCCCAGCCAGGGACACGAGGCGTTTTACTTTTCCCTGCCAAGTGAAAAACCATGTTAATCTGTGAGGCCAGCTCTGTCCTGGAGAGTTGTCACTTTCTAGGTGCTCACACCACACACATGTATATATATATATATACACATACCATGAGGTCATTGACACTTACCAAGGGGGCGAACCAGGGATGTCAGGATCCACGGGGCCCCACCCAGGGGCTGCTGGGAAGGCACTTTTGTCCAAGGAGGTACCCCGGCCTGAACCTCCGCTGTTCCCTTTTTTTTTTCCTTCCACAGGTGCCTCTACCTCCCCTTTCAAGCCTTATCATCCTTTCTGGGCCTTCTTGCCCCATTGGGGTAAAACCGCGAGTGTGACATGCACCGTGGGTGAGCACCAGGGACGCCAGGATCACCAGGGCCCTGTGCAGGGTCTGCTGGGAGGGCACTTTCATCTGTGGGGGGACCCAGGCACCCCTTCTCTGCCTCGCCATTTTTTTTCTTCCACAGGTGTCTCTACCTCCCCTTTCTAGCCTTATCTTCCATCCTGGGACTTCTTACCACTTTGGGGTGCCCCCCATGGGTGTGACATGCACCTTGGGTGTGAATCAGGGATGGAACTAACCCCGGAGCCCTGTGCAAGTGCTGCTGGGAAGGCACTTTAGTCCATGTGGGGACACAGGCCCCCCTCCTCTGCCGCACGTATTTTTTACCTTCCACTAGTGCCTGTTGCTGCTTTGGGTTTCCCCCCAGTGGGAGGGACAGGCATCGTTGGGGCGAACCAGGGACACCAGTATCCCCAGGACCAAGCTCAGGAGCTGCTGGGAAGTCACTTTCATCCATGGGGGGACCCATGCCCACCTCCTCTGCCGTGCCGTTTTTTATTCCTTCCACAGGTGCTTCTACTTTAAGCTTCAAGCCTTCTCTTCCATTCTGGGCCTTCTTGATGCTTTGGGGTGCCTCCCGCAGGTGCAACACGCACTGTGGGTGTGAACCAGGGATGCCAGGATCCCCCGGGCCCTGTGCAGGGTCTGCTGGGAGGGCACTTTCATCCGTGGGTTGACCCAGGCCCCCCTTCTCGACTGCGCCATTTTTTTCCTTCCACAGGTGCCTCTACCTCCCCTTTCAAACCTTATCTTCCCTTCTGGGCTTTCTTGCCCCTTCCGGGTGCCCCCACCACCATGACAGGCAACGTGGGTGTGATCCAGGGATGCCAGAAATCCCGGGGACTCCGTAGGGGCTGCTGGGAAGGCACATTCTTCTGTGGGGGGACCCAAGCACCCCTCCTCTACGGTGCCCATTTTTTTCCTCCACAGGTGCCTCTACCTCCCCTTTCAAGTCTTGTCTTCCTTTCTGGGCTTGCTAGAAGCTTTGGGGTGCCCCCCATAGGTGCGATATGCAGCGTGGGTGTGAACCAGGGACGCCAGGATCCCCGGGGCCCAGTGCAGGGTCTGCTAGGAAGGGACTTTCGTCTGTGGGTGGACCCAGGCCCTCCATCTCAGCCCCACCATTTTTTTTTTTCCTTCCACAGGTTCCTCTACCTCCCCTTTCTAGCATTAACTGCCATTATGGGCCTTCTTGGAAGTGCTGGGAACTGCAGAACCACAAAAAGGGAATCACAGCCCTGGCTCAGGAAGCTCCCACGTCTGGGCTCCTGAAAAGAGTAGTAGCTCTTCTCTTTTTCTCTTCACCTACAACTTGGTGAGCAAGGGGCGTGTTTCAGCTTTGTTTGTGTTACTGCTTTTAGCCCCACCATTAGGCGGGTCTTGTCCTGCAACCAGGAAGAATGAAATATGCAGACAAGTGGAGAGTGAGCAAGATAAAGAGGACCTTTATTGAGCAATAGAATGGGGAAGGGGGGACCTCCTGGGCCCTCGAGAGCACTAGGGGACCTTGTTTGGTAACTGCAACCTGGGCAGCTTCAGTTGTGCCTTTGGAGCTACTGCCCTGCCAACTTGGGAGGACCAGGACTCCCTCTTGTCCCAGGATCCCATCAGCTCCAAAGTGTGCACAGCCTCAGCTTTGCCCTCTCTCTGTTTCCGTGCAGAGGTGACAGGTGAGATGCAGGTTCACAGCAGCTCTGGTCAACCCCACAGAAACAAATCTGAAGCTCCTGGGTCCGGTTTAATGAGCCCCAACTGCGCTCTGATCCAGGAGTTTGCAGGCTAACAGCACAAAGTGGGGAGTGAGGTCGAGGCTGTGGTGGAGACTGCGGACCTAGGGGCAAGTCCCGTTTAGCCGTGAGAGGGTATGGGTGGCACAGTTGGCTGCCTCAGGGACATGGGGCACAGGCCTGGCTGACAACCCAGCCAAGAGGTGGTGCCTTTAGGAGTGGATCGTGGTCCACAGGCCCAGCAATCGGAAGCATCAGGCTCTGTGTTCACCCCTCTTGGGGGCAGATCTTGGAAATGCAGCCTCAGGAAGATTCACACAGAACTCCTTTTTAGACCTAGGAACTTGATACTATTAGCAGGGTGGGCACACAGTTGATGCATAGCTGGCCAGGTCATTGAACTTGGTGCCATTTCTGCTTCCCAACTCGGGGCCCTGGAGCATGGCCCCAGCTCTGCCTTTGGAACCTGACAACCACACTTCATGTGCAAGCACGGCACCACCCCAAGCCCATCTTCTCCTCATGGCCCCTTTCTGCCTGTGCCTTTGTGCCCGACCGAGCTGCTCCCCACAGTCGAAAAAGTATGAAAAAACAGATGACTAAAGAGAAGTAAAGGATGGGTGCAGACCATTCGCACACCTGTAATCCCAGCACTTTGGGAGGCCAAGGTTGGCGGATCACTCAAAGCCAGGAACTCAAGACCAGCCTGGTGAACAGGGTAAAACCCTGTCTCTACGAAAAATACAAAAATTAGCAGGCTTGGTGGCACGTGCCTGTACTCCCAGCTACTTGAGTGGTTGAGGCACGAGAATCACTTGAGCCCCACAGGAAAGGATTCCAGTGATCCCAGATTGCACCACTACACTCCAGCCTGAATGACAAAGCAATATTTTTGTCTCCAAAAATAAAAAAATAAATAATGAAATAAAAGAACAAGAATGGGTGGGAATTACTCAAAATGGTCTAATTTTATTTGGCTGCTATGATGTTCCGCAGCTGAACCTCAATCACAGACAAACTAGTGCCTCGTTATTTTTCCATCAGTAACTCAATAACTAGAGATTTCTGATGTATAAATCCCTAAAACAAGTAAATCAATTACAGAGGACACCAGAAAGTTTTCACTGAGGTTCTCTATTTCTGATATTTCTTGGTAATCATCCTTGCAGGGATAACATTCTCATCACTGAAGAATTTTAGTTTCTCTTTCTGACTCTGTAGCTCTCATTGACTCCACCTCAATATTTTCCTCAAGTCTTGCCCCCTGCTCTTAGGATTTTTTCCCTCGCACTGAGCACCTGTCTGAAACAGAGCTCTGTGCTTCCTTTAAGTTGCACATGTGGCCTGGGCACAGTCGCTCATGCCTGTAATCCCAGCACTTTAGAAGGCCGAGGCAGGAGAATCCCATGCGACCAGCAGTTTGAGACCTGCTGGGGCAACATAGTGAAACACTTTCTCAATTTTTTTGTAATAAAAATATTGGAATTATTAAAAAAGGAAATAAGAAAAGAGGAAAATAACTTGCACCTACATACTAGATTTTAGTGTCCAAGGGCCTAGAAGAGAACATTGGATTTCTCTACCCCGCTAGGCACGCCTTCCCTAGCAGCAAAGATGGAGCTCCAGTTCCTCAGACGGTGATGAGCCACAGGACGGGCAGGGGGCGGGGCCAATGAAGATCCTCTTGGGCTGCCTGACTTCCCTTAGTGTACACATCAACTAAGCCCGAAGTGGGGTGAAGATCTCCCAATCGACATGAACCAAGGAATTCAAACTCTCCTCGGGGGCAGGATACATCTCCAGGCTTAACTTGCTCAGCCCACTGGTGTGGCACAGCAGGTCCTTCAGGGCTTCCATAGACATGCAATTTCTGCCAAAGTAGAAGGTGGTGAGCTGGGAGCAGCGGCTCAGGCCAGGCAGGATGGCACTGAGTTGGGAGTAGTGGATCTGACAGCCCTCCAAGATGAGGGTCTTAAGAGTAATTGCTGCCTCTCTCGAGACCCTCGTGTTGGCAGAAACTTTCTCCAGCAGAGCTCCGAGGGGTTCAAGACTGATACAGAACTGCAGCATGTAGCTGAGATTCAGATGCTTTGGGTAAGCGAGGCTTGGGTACTGGTAGAGACACTTCAAGTCCTCTTCCAATAGGTAGCCGCAAGTTAATTCCAAGTTCTCCAAGGGGTTCTAGAGGCACCTGTGGAGATCAAGAAGTTAGTTCTGGGCAATGGTACCAGTTAGATGAAGGTAGTGGGGAATGAACTCAAGGAAAATACCTGCTTCAACCAAACACAAGTTTGTTCCCACCATCTGATGATGGTCCTCATGCAAGTTGCTGCATGTTGAGGACCCTGATCATTCAGGGGCTGTCCCATTTTAGCCTCAGCCCTTTCACCATTTCTTGTGTGATTGGGTCAAGGCCACAAAATCTCTAAAGCCTTTTATCTTCATCTTTTAGCAGAAAACCTCATCTCTGGGCCACAGGTACCCGGTGGGAGATGTGCACAAAGAACTCAACTCAGCAAGGTCTAGGGACATTAGCTGGGGCTACCTGCCGGCAGGGGCTCCCTGGCCTGCCTGCATCTGCAAACCAACTGTCACTTTTTACCACTCTCACTCCTACTCCTTCACCCTCCATCCCAGAAGCATGCATGTCCCATGTCAATTGACTTTCCTGGAGTTCAAAACAACCTTCTACAGACAGGGAATCAGAGACAGGATCATTCATGATCACTAAGCTGGTGAGGACAGAGCTTCTACTGTGAAATGCACAAGTTTGATGCACTGTCCCTCCTTTCATACCCTCCTTTGTTACCTCTTTTACATCATATCAACTTGAAACACACTTTGTAACAAGAAATTCACACGTGCACATGCAGTAGAGACAAAACGCCCACTAAGTACCTTGTACATGATGTCCCTCTCTAGCCTCTACCCTAGGTGACCCCTCTGCCTTTATTGAAGTGATCCTGTGATAGCCACTCCAGGACATGGAGCACTGAACGGGACAATGTGTTGACATTCTGGTGTCCCCTGCACTGTGCCGTCGCCACTGGCTGGCACACAGTACACGTCTTCTAGTGTTTACTGTAACAAAAAAAAAGGCTGCGCTGTGGTCTGCAGAGAAAGGGCACGATCCTTTCTCACCTGATCAGCTGTCCCAGGTGCCCTCTGTGGAAGGTGACCATATTCATTTTAAGCAGCTGGAGGTGTTTCAGCCTGAGGAACATAGAGCTGATTTTGGCGACTGAGCATTCCTCGCGGTAATTGACGTGTAAGGATGGCACCTGGAGAAAAATGAGTTTGCGAAGATTCTTCATCTCCTTCAGGTAACAATGAAGCTTTCTTATCAGATGTGGCCAGGACACATAGCAAATTTCCAGCTCCTGAATACTATTCAGGTGGATTATTTTCAATGATCTTCTGAGATATTCAATCGACGTTAGATAATTCACCAACTTACTACAGCACAGGTGTACTAAACCTCTCCTTTGGTAAACCCACCGGAAGAGGTATCTCAGGCATTCATCCTGGGGTATTTCCTTGAGGCAGATGTCTATGAACACCTTCAAGGGCTGGTGCTCTCCCATCCTTGGACAGTCCTCTGCTGTCTGCCTCTTACTCATGGCCTCTGGGGAGGAGGACAGGGCCCTGGATTCAGACCATATGGCCCAGAAATTCTCATCAACATCCCGCAAATCCAGCACTTGAAGTTTCCACCTCCTGTGGGTAAAGTAAGGCAGAGGCTCAGAACTTTGAAGGACAAATCCCTGACCTTTGCTTTCATTCTCATCCAATAAATCAGCTGCTCCTGTCCTCGCTGCTCCCTGTTCTCTCTGAGTTTTCTTGGTCCCTTTTCTCTTTCAATTCTGACTGGTCCCCACTTCTATTCCATTTACCTTCCACTGGGAATAGGCAAGTTTCTGTTCCCACAGTGGACCCTATATTGTGGGCAGTTCTTTCCCTGAGGATCTGGGCAATGGCCAAGGCATGCCTGAGCTTCGTCACCAGCACCACCAGAAGACACTGGGCCATCCTTGGGATACTTCTTTGCCTGACCCTGCTGTTCTTTCCCTGGACACCTGAGCCCCATCTACCAGCCTTCCTGGGTCACCTCACCTGGGGCGATCCTTCTGTGTAAGCAGCATGTGAAGCCCTTCCAGCAATGCTTTTAAGGTCTCCAGATGAAGCGTCTTCATCAGCGATCCCAGAGGGAGGCGGGTGAAGGGCCAGGCCTGCACCATCACTGTCAGAGTCTGGAAGTGTCTCCTGCTGAAGGCCTCCAGGAAGAGTGGGAGGTAGAGCTCCCTGGGCAGCTCCTCCAGGGCAGAGATGGCCAAGGGCTTGTCTCTCAGCAGACTCTGCCCCGCCAGCTCCAGGAGTCTGGGTGGGGCCTGGATGCTCATCCTGATGAATCTGTAAGGAAAAACTCTAGAAGACAAATCCAGAGAAAAGGCATCACTTTCAGGCCAAACACAATCACCTCATCTTCTCCTAAGGCCAGTAGCATTGCTCTGGTAGAGGTAGAAAAATTACCACTTTACCCCAATTCCACTCTGCACTTGGTGGCCACAAATCTATATTTCTGCTTCTGCTGGTACCAGGAAGAATGTCTTCCAAACACCAAGGAGGGAGGGGTCAAAGAGACCACTGGCCCATTAATTTTCATCCATGGCTCCACTGAATCCCAGTACCACTGGAAAGTGTCACTGAGGATCCTGAAAGCCAAGCTCTACCTCTTTGAGGAAAATTTTCTTGTCACTTACCGCCCTAAAGCAATGAGAATGAGAGTGTCCTGTGGCCCCAGACAGCCTCCATTCTCAGTTTTCACCATGAACATGCTGGGGGAACACTAAAGGGACTCCCTAAAGTCAATGCCATTATTTTTTATTTTGAAAAATTTCAACCAGAAACTGACCGGGTGCTGTGGCTCATGTCTGTAATCCCAGCACTGTGGGAGGCCAAAACAGGCAGATCACTTGAGGTTAGGAGTTCGAGAACAGCCTGGCTTACGTAATGAACTCTGTCTCTACTAAATATAAAAAAATTAAAAATCATTTGACTCCAAAAGGCAGAGGTTGCAGTGAGCCGAGATCCCACCACTGCACTCCAGTCTGGACAAAAGAGTTAGACTCTGTCTCAAATAATAATAATAATAATAATAATAATAATAATTAATTAATTAAAATGTTAGCCAGGTGTGGTGGTGCAGTCCTATAATCCTAGCTACTCTGGAGGCAGAGGAAGAAGAATCACTTGAATCCCGGAGGCAGTGTTTTCAGTGAGCTGAACTCAACACCCTGCCCTTCAGCCTGGGTGACAGAGTGAGACTCCATCTCAGAACAAGAGAAAAGAATTAACCAGAAACTAAAAGCGACGTGATGGTATTCTAGAGCATTTGGAAGGTAGGGATAGAAATACTAACTCTAGATGAGGCACAGTGGCTCACTCCTGTAATCCCAGCACTTTGGGAGTC
Organism: Homo sapiens; assembly: GCF_000001405.40. Classification (NCBI taxonomy): domain Eukaryota; kingdom Metazoa; phylum Chordata; class Mammalia; order Primates; family Hominidae; genus Homo; species Homo sapiens. Next base: position 13,099,042 of record NC_000001.11, read on the forward strand.
CAAGGTGTGTGTTTTTATTTTGAAAAACTGTAAGAGAAATTATAAAAGCAGTGTTGCAGTAGTCTAGAGCACTTGGAAGGTAGAAATGGAAACACTAAGTCTGAGGAGAAGGATCCAATACACATCCCTTCCACATACTCACAATCACACACTTAGGGACAGAGTCTAAGGGAAGAGATAAATCCCAGGTTCGGAACAAGTCTCTTGAGAATGGTGTACGGGAGATCTAAGATTTCTGTAAAATGAAAGCCTGACTAATAAAATCACAATACCGCTAAGTGTGTGAACTATAGCTGACAGGCACAGAAACCAACAACTTCACATGTCAAGACATAAACATCCATCCAACTGTAAATTTTTAATATTTTTTTTTTAAAAACTGCTTCAATAAGAATTTTGAAATGAGGAAAATGAAGCACAAATCAAAATTTGAGGGATGAAGTCAAAACTATATTTGGAGGAAAAATCAAAACCTACATCTGTTTAATCTGAAAAAACAGACAGGAAATTCTCTGTGCCATTTTGGGCTGTGTGTCACCATCCCTGACTGGCTGGCTGCAGATTAGACGGGCATGTTCCTAAGAAGGTGGTGACTTACCAGATCTGGACTCAGTTTGCAGGGTGCTGGGACCTCTCAGAGAACCAAGCAGTAGCTCCAGGCACCAGGGCTTTGGGTCTGTCCTGTGCAAACTCAGGAGCTTTTGTTGATGTTTCTAACCACACCCTCCCCTTCTCAATCACCAGCTTCCAATCAGAAAGTGATACCTGATTAGATCCTGAAGTTCCACCCAGTTAATCCTGATTGAGTTTCACACTTTCTTCTGATTCATTGATTAAATTAGATGTGCATTTATGAAAGTGAAAGAATAAATAACAGGGTGAAAGTCCAAAAGTCATTAATTCATTTATTCCCCAAACACTGATGAAGTTTGACTAACATGTGACCTTCATAGTGACATGGAAGGTTTAATCTGTTCCTGGCATTAGAAAGAAAAAACAAAACCTGATGATATCTTTATGGGAGAATATTTGGCCACATTGAAATTATCCAAACGTTTCAGAGCTAAGACAGCTTTAAAAAGACGGTGATGTCAACCCTAAGAAAACAGAATACAAAGCTCTGTTATCCAACAGTTACCTGGGTTTTATGCTTCCTAACGGGGCAGGTCATATGTGGGTTCAGGTTGAAGAGGGGAACCACTGAGGGTGTTATTGATCACAAGACTAAGGTCAAGGCTTCACTGCAGGAAATCAGGACAGAATGACAAAGTGAGGTGGGGGCTGGGCAGGATGGGACCGGGTGTTCTAGTAGAACCCTGGGAAGGAACCAAGACAGCATAAAACATGGTGGGTATTTTGTGGGCATCTCCACAGAAGGATTGAAAGACTCTGTCTGGATTGAGTTTAAAAATTAAAAAGGGAATAGTTACAGAAGAGACAGTGCAGACTCTTCAAACACAACATTGTCTTTGAGGGCAGAGAAGGCAGAAACAGTCTTGGCCCCTACTAGAAGGGAAAGCGTGTTTACTCCCAAAAATGATGGGCTCGCCTCAGAAAATCAGCCTGGGAAGATGGAATCTGAGAATCTGAGCTGGGGCAGATGCCAGAGAGAAGCAGTGTGGCCAGACCTGGGAAGGGAGACTTTCCCAACCTGGAAGCCATCGAAGGTGGGAGCTGTGGGTTTTGCAGGATGTGGGAGAAAGTGAACAAGGGTCCAAGTCTCTGTCATGGTGCTATGGTCTGGAAACCTTTCTTTTAGACTCAGGGATCTTCCCACAGTGGGACATTTCCCAGCAACCCTCACCCACAGGTGTTTCCCAGGGCCCCTCATCCTCATCAATACCCTCGTGCCATTCCCCAGCATATTTTGATAATTAATGTTCTGCCATCCTTAAAGTCCTCCCTTGTCCCTGATATTGAACAGAGAGATTCTGATTAAAGTGATACCATTAGGTATACAAAGAAAACTCAGGCCATGTGTGGTGGCTCATATCTCTAATTTCAGCACTTTGGGAGGCCAAGGCAGATAGATTACTTGAGCGCAGGAGTTTGAGACCTGCCTGGGCAACATGGAAAATTCTGTCTATAAAAACTATATACGAAAAATTAGCCAGGCATGGTGGTGTGCACCTGTAGTCCCAGCTGCCCAAGAAGTTTAGATGCGAGGATCACCTGAGCCCAGGAGGTTGAGACTGCAGTGAGCCATCATTGTGCCACTGCACTCCAGCCTGCTCAACAGAATGAAACCTTGCCTCAAAAAAAAGGAAGGAAAGAAGGAAGGAAGGGAGGGAGGGAGGGAGGGAGGGGAGAGAAAAAGACAGAAGGAAACAGAAAGAAAGGTGGAAAGAAAGAAAAAGAAAGAAGAAAGAAAGTAAGAAAAAGAAAGAAAGAAAGAAAAAGAAGGAAAGAAGGAAGGAAAGAAAAAGAAAGAAGAAAGAAAGAAAGAAAGAAAGAAAGAAAGAAAGAAAGAAAGAAAGAAAGAAAGAAAGAAAGAAAAAGAGCGAGCCTTCTTGTCTTTAAGAGCAGCGCATATATACTGTTATATTGGGTGCACACCTAAAATACATTTCCCCCACAAAACCTGGAAGCTCTATTTCATGTTGAAATATCTGCTAAGTTCACGGATGGCTCCCATCCTAAGAGGGATCACACAGTGATTCTTCCGATGTTTTAGGGCACAAAGTAGCAAGAACCTCCCCTGCCTCCAGAAAGTCCTCCAGGCCTTTCTCTCCCATTCTATATGAAAACCAAACAGCTCTGAGATGCCACTGGCCTCCAAAACTGGAGTACTTTGAAGGGTGTTCTCTATCTTGAAATGTTTCTGTAAATGTTCTTTCTCCACATTTCTGACCTCACTGTCAATGCCCTGCTATGTGTGCAATTGAGTTAAACTGAAATGTGTTCAGTGGGGCTTCTACTTTGCCTGCCCTCACTTTGTGAGCCTGAGGCTGAGGTTGAGCTCAGCACCAAGGGTGATCGTGAGTGTCTCTGGTGACTGAGCATCCACGAGGCACAGCAGGGGCTGGTATCATTCATCCAAGATCTCAGCTCTCCCTCACAAATAATCTAAAGCATGTTGGTGACCCTGAGATTTGGCTAGCAAGAGGAATCTGCCCATGTTCAGACAACAAATGATTGGCAGACCCCTCAGGTGAGAGGCTCAGAGGATCCCCTAAGCAGTTCAACAACCTAAATGTTGGAAAAAACTGGCTGACAGACTTTCCATTCTTTCCCAATTCAGAAGGTCCAGCAAGTAGTGGTTGGTCTCAGGAAGATGGAAAATCACAAACAACAGTTAAAAAAAGAAACTAAGCAAAGGAACACTGGCAAGACACTGTGCCAGTGCCCCCCCCTTTCACCAAGAAGGAAGGCCTCCCACTCCTGAGCCCACTGCGCCCAAGCTTCCACAAGGCCTACATACCCCTAGGCTGCCCAGAGTAGAGAAGAAAGGGTGCAAGACCTCAGGATGCAAGACCCTCCCTTGGCTGCCCGTATGAGGCCTAGAACTGGGATACAAATGTCCCTGAGAGAGCAACAGTATACTGGAGTAGACGAGGATGGGCTTATGGTGGAAAGACGTGCCTTTGTGTACCAACCCTTCACCTCTGCCCATCTCCTCCATTGGAAAACAATACCCCATCCTATACCGAAAAGCCTCAAGCTATAATTTATTTGCTCCAAACTGTTATCCAGACCCACAACCCCACCTGGGCTGATTGCCACCAGGTGCTCATGCACCTCTTTAACACAGATGAAAGGTGGAGAGTGCTCCAAGTGGCAACTAAGTGGCTGGAAGAACATGTTCCAGCTGATTACAAAATCCCCGAGGGTATGTGAGGATCCAACTAGCAGGAACAGACCCCCAGTGGGACCCAAATGAAAGACAGGGTATGCAAAGCCTAAACCAGTACAGGGAAGTCCTTCTGGAAGGATTACAGGCGTGAGCTGCCTCACCCGGCCTTGAATGAGTGAATTCTTGACTTCTACCCTATCCCTAACACTGTCAATTTCCTGATTCATGCAATTAATATGGATATCTGATATGAATGGATATCTGATTCAATCCATTAATCTGGGGAGAGCCAAAAACCCAATCAGGATTAACTGGGTGGAGCTTCAGAAATGCAATCAGATATCACTTTTTGATTGGAAGCTAGTGATCCGCCTGCCTTAGTCTCCCAAAGTGCTAGGATTGCAGGCATGAGCCACTGCACCTGGCCGGTATTTTCTGTTTTGTACAAGATGTTCCAGAAAGAAAGGCAAATATGGAAAGTTGTCTAATTCATTTCATAAGAGAGCAGTAACCCATATTTTAAAAATGGCTAAGGATATTAGAAGGAAAGTAAATTTAAACTTATTTGGCAAAAGTTTTTTTTCTTTTTTCTTTCTTTTTTTTTTTTTTTGAGACAGAGACTCACTCTGTCATGCAGGCTGGAGTGCAGTGGCACAATCTCACCTCACTGCAACCTCTTACTCCCAGATTCGAGCAATTCTCCTGCCTCAGCCTCTCTAGTAGCTGGGATTAGAGCCACATGCCACCACATCCAGCTAATTTATGTAGTTTTAGAAGAGGCAGAATTTCTCTGTGTTGGCTAGAACTCCTGACCTCAGGTGATCCACTTGCCTCGGCCTCCCAAAGTGCTGGGATTACAGGCATGAGCCACCACGGTCAGCCAGAAAAAAGTACTTAATAAATTATCAGTTAACTAAATGCAACACTGCATTAGAAAGTGATAGACAGGCCAGGCTCCGTGGCTCATGCCTGCAATCCCAGCACTTTGAGAGGCCGAGGCAGGTGGATCACCTCAGGTCTGGAGTTCGAGACCAGCCTGACCAACATGGAGAAACCCCATCCCTACTAAAAATACAAAATTAGCCAGGTGTGGTGGCGCATGCCTGTAATCCCAGCAACTCAGGAGGCTGAGGCTGGAGATTTGCTTGAACCAAGAAGGTGGAAGTTGCAGTGAGTCGAGATCATGCCATTGCACTTCAGCTTGTGCAAAAAGAGTGAAACTCCACCTTAAAAAGAAAAAAAAAAGAAAAAAAGAAAGCAATATAGTGATATATAATGGCCATTCCAGGAATGCCAGCCAATCACAGGAAAATCTAAGTGTAATTCAGCATACTGACAAACTAAAGGGGGAAAAGCAAGGTTCCTACAAAATGCAGAAAAGAATTGCAGAAAAATCAAATTAAATTTATCATAACATAACTGAACAGCTTAATGAGTTGACATTCTAGCATCCCATTCCCTGTGACATCCCCAGTGGATGGCACACAGTAGATGCCCACTAACGTTTACTGTGAAAAAGAACAAAACTATGTGTTATGGTCTGCAGAGAAAGCCCACCATCGTTTCCTACCTGAGCAGGTGCTCCAGGTGCTCTTTGATATTACTGACCTTTCTTATATAATGCATCTGGGGGTAGTACAGGCACAGGAATGGCCAATCCAAGTCAGGAATGAACTGCCATTGGCCGCTCACGTATAATTCAGGCTCATAACCGAAGGCTAAAAAGTTTGCGAAGATTGCTCATCTGGCTCAGGTAAGGGGCAAACTTTCCCGTTTTATTGAGAGAGCACTTTTTCCAGACTTCCAACTCCTGGATACTGTCTGGGTATATCCTTTCCAATAGATTTCTGAAACTTGAAGTGGGCATTGAGTAATTCTGCACCTTACTACAACACAGGTGCACTAGGCCTCTTCTGTAGTGGATCCACCTTCAGAGGTAGCTCAGGCATTCATCCAGTGTACTTTCCTTCAGGCAGAGGTCTATGAACACCTTCAAGGGCTGGCACTCTCCCATCCTTGGACAGTCCTCCACTGTCTGCCTCTTACTCATGGCCTCTGGGGAGCAGGGGAGGACCCTGACTCCAGACCATATGGTCCAGAAATTCTCATCAACATCCCTCAAATCCAGCACTTGAAGTTTCCACCTCCTGTGAGTAACATAAGGGAAAAGCTCAGAATGTAGGCGAGGACCGACCCTTGACCTGAACTTTCACTCCACATCCAGGACATGAGTCAGCTGCTCCTGTCCCAGTGCTCCTCCTTCTGTCTTTTCTCCATCCTGTTCCCCCTTGGATTCTGCATGGTACCCACTTCTAGTACCTTTACCTTCCACTGGGAGGAAGCAGGTTCCTGTTTCCTCAGTGGACTCTGTATGGTGAGCAGTCCTTTTCCAGAGGATCTGGGCAATGGCCAAGGCCTCTCATGGGTACCATCAGAAGCCTCTGAGCCACCCTAGCTCCCACACACTGCCACTCCTCCTGAGCCAGCTGTCCCTTCCCTGGATGCCTGGACCCTTCCCACCAGGCCACCTGAGTCACCTCAACTGGGGCAAACCTTCTGGGACACTAGTGTATCAAGTCCCTTCAGCACAGCTTGCAAGGTCTCCAGATGAGTTGTCTTCATCAGGGATCCCAGAGGGAGGTGAAGGGAGGACCAGGCCTGCACCATCAGCTTCAGGGCCTCACAACATCTCATGCTGAAGGCCTCCATGAACGTCAGAGGGGAGACCTCCCTGGGCAGCTAGTCCAGGGTGAAGATAGTCAAGAACTGCTTCCTCATCAGGCTCTGCCCTGCCAGCTCCAGGAGTCTGGATGGGGTCTGGAGGCTCATTCTGACAAATCTACAAGGAAAAACTCTACAGCACAATCCAGCAAAAAGGCAAGTTCCTCCGACCAATCCCCTGCAACCCCCAATTCTCCCAGGGCCCAAGTCATTTCTCTAGCATGTGTGAAAGAGCCCTCAGTTTACTCCAGTTCCTTTCTGCAATAAGTGGCCACAGAGACATAGTTCTACCCTTCTGGTACCATGAAGAATGTGTCCCAACTTCTAAAGAGCAGGCAAGATCCCTCGTAGTCCATGAATTATTAGCCACTGATCCACTAAACTCATAGCACTGGCAAATGTTACCGAGGATCTCTGAAGCTCAGATCTCGTACCCAGCTAATCTTTTATTTTTTGACTTTTTGTAAAGACAGTGGGTTTCACTATGTTGTCCAGGCTGGTCTTGAACTCCTAGACTCAAACAATCCACCCACTTTGGCCTCCCAAAGTGCTGGGATTGCAGGCATGAGCCTCTGCCTGGTCTCATTATTGAAAATTTCAGCAAGAAGCTTTGAAAGCTATGTGACAGTGTTATGCATCATTGGCAAGACACAGATGTTTCCAATACACACCTCTCACACATATTCAAAATGAACCACTTTGGCTGTGTGCAGTGACTCACACCTGTAATCCCAGCCCTCTGGGAGGCAGAGGCAGGTGGATTATCTGAGGTCAGGAGTTTGAGACCAGCCTGGCCAACATGGTAAAACCCTACCTCTACCAAAATTAGAAAAATTAGCCAGGTGCGGTGGTCTGCGCCTATAGTCCAAGCTACTAGGGAGGCTGAGGCAGGAGGATCACTTGAACCCAGGAGGCAGAGGTTGCAGTGAGCTGACAATACACCACTGCACTCCAGCCTGTGAAATAGGCTAGATTCAAAAAAAAAAAAAAAAAAAAGAAAAGAAAAGAGAGAGAGAGAGAGAGAGAACTACATTTGATTCGACTTCTTAAACTCTACCCAGTTAATCCTGATTGGATTTTTGGCTTTCTTCCAGATTAACTGATTGAATTAGATATTCATCCATGAAAGTGAAAGATTTAGGGATAGGGTGAAAGTCCAGGACTCATTCACTGATTCCCTCCACAAACATGGAGGTTTACTAATATGTGTCCTTCATAGTCCTGAGTGTGAGATAGGGAAGTGTTGAATCTCTTCCTGATATTAGACAGAAAGAAAGAAAACTTGAAAGTATCTTTGTTGAGGGATCCTTGGCCACATCAAATTTATCAAAATATTTCAGAGTTAAAACAGTTTTCAAAGACGGAGTTGACAGTCCCCAATAACACACAATAGAAATCTTCATGTATCCAGTGATCACCTGGGTGGTATAATCTAATTTTTTTTGGTGTGGGTGAAGCTGAGTCTCACTTTGTCGCCCAGGCTGGAGTGCAGCGGCTCCATCTCAGCTCACTGTAACTTCCGCCTCTGAGATTCAAGCAATTCTCATGCTTCAGCCTTCCATGTAGCTGGGATTACAGGCATGCACCCTCACACCCATGTCTCCATTCGGGAGGAAGAATTACAGTGAGGATGTGATTGGTTTAAAATTAAGGTCAAAGATTCTCTTTGGTTAAGGTTTTTTGTTTGTTTGTTTTCGTTTTTGTTTTTAGCAGGGTCTTACTCTGTTGCCCAGGCTGGAGTACAGCAGTGGTGTGAGCATGGCTCACTGCAGCCTCAATCTTCTGGGCTCAAGTGATTCTCCCATGTCAGCAAACCAAATAGCTGGGAATACAGATGCATGCTACCATGCCTGGCAAATTAAAAGATATATATATTTTGTAGAGGCTGACCACCATTGGCTCACGGCCGTCATTCCAGCACTTTTGGGGGCCTAGGCAGGAGGATCACTTGATGTCAGGAGTTTGAGACCAACCTGGCCAGCATGGTGAAACCCCACCACTACTAAAAATACAAAAATTAAGCAGACATGGTGGCAGAGGGATGTAATACCAGCTACTCAGGAAGCTGAGACATGAAAATTGTTTGAGCCTGGGAGGAAGAGGTTGCAGTGAGTTGAGCTCTTGCCACTGCACTCCAGCCTTGGCAACAGGGTGAGACTCCATCCCTGCTTCAAAAAAAGAATGTTTTGTAGAGCTGCATTTTTGCCATGTTGCCCAGGTTGGTCTCAAACCCCTGGGCTCAAATGATCCTCCCGCTTTGGCCTCCCAAGGTGTTGAGGTTATGGGCATGAGTCATTGCTCCCATCAAGAATTTTGAAATGACATAAACCAAAGCACAATCCAATTTTTTGAAATAAAGACAAAACTGCATATAGAGGAAAAAATTCAAATCTTCAAATTGTTCATATATATATATATAAAAGACAGATATAGCTCGGTGCCATCATAGGCTGCATTGCCCCCGTCCCAGACCGGCTGACTATAGGTCAGATGGGAGTGTCCTTCCAGAAATGAGTGACTTACTAGATCTGGACTGAGTTTGCAGAGTGCTTAGACCTCAGGAAGAACCAAGCAGGAACTCCAGACTTGAAGACTTTGGGTCTCTCCTGTGGGCCTTCAGAAACTTTTATCGATCTTTCTAATCACAACTCCCACCCACACCCCTCCATCTATCCAGTGCTTGCTTCCAATCAAAAAGTGCTATCTGATTGCATTTCTGAAGCTCCACCCAGTTAATCTTGATTGGGTTTTTGGCTGTCCCCAGATTACTGGATTGAATCAGATATCCATTCATATCAGCTATCCATATTAAGTTCATGAATCAAGAAATTGACAGTGTTAGGAATAGGGTGGAAATCAAGAATTCACTCATTAAAGGCCAGGTGAGGTGGCTCACACCTGTAATCCCTGCACTTTGAGAGTCCAAGTTGGCTGGATCACCTGAGGTCAGGCGATCAAGACCTGCAAGGCCAACATGATGAAACCCCATTTCTACAAAAACACAAAAATTAGCCTGGCATGATGGCAGGTGCCTGTAATCCAGCTACTCAGGAGGCTGAGGTGGGAGAATCGCTTGAATCCAGGGGGCAATGGTTGCAGTGAGCCAAGATTGCACCATTGCACACCGTTCTGGGTGACAGAGGTAGACTTTGTCACAAAAAAAAAAAAAAAAAAAAAAAAAAAGAATTCATTCATTCATGAACTCCGCAAACACTGATGGAATTTTACTGATATATGACCTATATAGTCCTGAGTTTGAGGCAGGGAAGGGTTTGATCTGTTCTGGATAGTAGACAGAAAAATAAAACCTGAAAGTAGTGTTGGGAGATCTTTGGCCACATCAAAATTATAAAATTGTTTTATAGTTAAAACAGCTTTATAGAAACAAAGAAGTCATCCCTACAAAATCAGAAAAAAAACTCCATGTATCGAATCGTCTTGTGGGTTTTATATCACCTAAGGTAGCAATTTATTTGCTCATGCTGGTGGAAGAGAGGTGCCACTGAGGGCTTGAGTGGTCTCAGGGCTTAGGTTAAGGCTTGTCTGGAAGAAATTGAAACCGTATTTCTAAACTTTATAAATTTAATCGGTGAAAAAGAGAGGGGGAGGAACAAAAACAAACCAAGCTTGAAACGCATTCAGCATTCACCAGGAGGTCAGCTTGCCCTCTGACCTGCTTCCTCATGGTTGCTGGCAGCCTACTGTCCCAAAATCGTGTAGAACTTAGACTACAATTCCCCTTAACTACGCTGCAGACAACAATTTAAGCATTGTGAAACATTAAGTTTTTCATTTGAGATATTCTTTCAGGTTCTGCATGTCAGTGAAACTACTGATGCCAGCTGATCTGAAGGGCCCTGCAAGGCATCAACTCACCAAAGAATGCCGTTCTGACATCGTGATAACTTCATACCTCTTATTGCCATCAAACTACACCAACTTTCCAGCCCCTTGCTATCCAGGATCCACTGGAAACCCTCAGTACTCCTTGGGGAGATGAATTTGAGGATCTCCTCCCAGCTTCTCATTCAGCCACCCTGTGATCATTAAACTTTCTGCTGCAAATCCTGCTGTCTCAGAATATTGGTAAGCTACTGTGCAGCCGGCATAGGAACCTGATGGTCCTGTAACAAATTTATGTCAAAATTACAAAGGGAAGTGAAGGTGGAGGCTGGTCAGGGTTGAGCTGGGTGTTTTAATGGAATCCTGGGAGTGAACAAAGACTTGGTAAATGTGTTGGGGGTTATTGAGAGGGTGGAGGAGGAATCTTTCCAACACTGCACTGAGGCTCCCTTGGTTTTCATACTTGTGACCAAGAATGAGTCTTTCAAAAAAATTTATGTAATTCTCCTCATTTTTCCTTTCAAAACCTTTGTCTTCCTTTACCTCCCCGAATAATCTCACATCTATTCCCATGGCTTTGCTCATTTCATAATAAAAATCCTTTTTTTTTTCCTGTGGAGTCTCTTTCTCTGTTAAGTAGACCATATATTTTGTTGCCACACAAGATGAGTAACCTGGTTTTATGGAGAGAAAGGGACAAAAGAATCCCAATCCTCATCAGCTAGGGGCGATATGAAGGTCAGGATTATTCTTTGTCATATCTGCACCTGCATATTGCCAGTGAAAACCTGCAGGTCACATTAGGTAGACTTCCAAATTGATCATCTGTGGAAGGTCTTATGATTGGCTTACATCCTGTCCCTGAGTAAAGAATCTGATCTTGACTTCATGAGTGCCTGAGACTCTTCAAGTACTGATGAAGGCTTCACCCAGTGACAGTGAGAAGGACACTGATTTGATTCTGATCGTGAAGTTTTGCTGGTTGTCTTGCAAGGAAAATATTTTTGCCTGTCATGTTGTCATCTAAAGTCAATGATTGTAACCTCTGTATTGTCCCTTCCAATGGAAAAAACAAAAACAAAAAAGCTCAACTCTATTAGAGCCTTGCCAGGATAAAACAAAAGAAAATTAAAAAAAAAAAACAACTGATAGGAGGAGTCCCATTCCCTTCTTTCAACCTTTCTTATAAAAGCATTCCAACTTGTAACAGACTTTGGAAAACGCTCATTTTGTCAGTGTGTGTCTTCCAGGTCGATCCTGACATTTAGCTTCCAATGAAGCTTTATTTAATTATTTCTGCCTCAACTGCCTTAACGTCTATTGACAACAGGTTGCACGGTAATGGTTGGAATTGGGGTGGGAGGAAAAAATATTTCTGTGTGTTTTATAAAGTAATCCTTGCATGCCATCTCCATTGAAGAAAGAATAGTTTCCTCTCCAAATATATCCTGAGTATTGATGCATCCAATAAATAAAACTATTATTTCATACAGTAGAGCTATAGATGCATTCTATTTGCCTCTAGAGTTTCCAAAGAACCAATGCCTAGTTTCAGTAAGTTCTCTGATTATATGGCAGAGGGTAACATGGTCATGTTCTGACTCTATGTCTATGTCGATATCTATAGCATTCCCATCTACATAATGCATGTCAAACCAAAGAGTTTGATTCTAGTGGGAGTCTGGAACACTATCTAGGTTAGACCCAGTTACACTAATGTTTTCTAGGCATAGAGATAAATTACCAGTAATGAAATCAATAATAGTCATAGGCCACCCATTTGCACCTATAGCTTCTTCTCAGTACCAAGTCATTTAATTATCAATATTAACCAACCTTCCAAAGGAAGGATAACAAACCTTATCATGAAGTTAGCATCCTCAATTGCTACCCAACTGTGTATGAGAGCAGGTTCTACTATTATCTGTGATCCTTCCCTTTCATCTAAATGACCCCATAGCCAGCAATTGCTTTGGTTAGTGAGAGTGGCTACATTTTGAACAGGAGACCTTAGAAAGTGTTTGGTTTGAGTGATGAAAGTACCTAACAATATAAAATACAGGTTTGAGAATTTTGTGTTAATACAAAACAAAACCAAGTCTCAGTCAATGGAAGAAGATCAAATGGAGTCTTGTTCCATTGTCTTGGAAAAGCTGTCTACCATGTGATGATGTCTGCTTCTAGGGAAGGCTTTTCCTCGGATATCTTTACGTTTCAGTCATCTGGTACAGTCCCATCCATTGCTGCTCATGCGCAGATTTCCCTTGGTGTCATTTCCAAAGGATGCAATCTCCAAATGCTAGGGCAGGAAGATCTAAGCATCACTGAAAGCCTTCACCTACTGGAAATAGTCTTTGAAATTCTGCATCAAGGTCTTGCAGTATTGATTCATATTGTTACTGAATGATGGGCTCACTCTCCTGAGTGCATAGAACCCAATACTATGACAACATCTTTGAGAAAAGAAAAAAAGATTCGGCCAGGTGTGGTGGCTGACGCCTATAATCCCAGCACTTTAGGAGACCGAGGCAGGCAGATCCCGATGTCAGGGGTTCAAGACCAACCTGGCCAAAATGGTGAAACCCCGCTTCTGCCAAAAATACAAAAATTAGCTGGGTGTGGTTGTGTGTGCCTGTAATCCCAGCTACTTAGGTGGCTGAGGCAGGAAAACTCCTTGAACCTGGGAGGCAGAGGTTGCAGTGAGCCAAGGTAGCACCACTGTACTCCAGCCTGGGCAACAGAGACTCTGTCTCAAAAATAAATAATAATAATCCAGTTTTCTTTGTCAGTTTAGCTAATTTTAGTTTAAATATACCATTTGTTCACTCAACCTTTATAGAATACCAAGGATAATGAAGTTAATGCTAGTGTCATTGGGTCTGTAAAATTTTATGTGTGATAACCTGCCCAGTAAACTGAATTCTCATACCATTAGAGATTTCTCCAGAATTGCCCAGAAAGGAAACACATTTTATAATCACTTATTTGCTATGACTGCATCATAAGCCTTTCTAAAAAGGTAAGCTACAACTCATCCTGAAAATGGAAACACAATCACAAGAATTTTAGCCTTTTTACACGGCTCACTGTCATCATTGGTCCATGACAACCCCCTTTCTTGCAGCTATATATGTGTATGTCTACCTATTCATATCTATATCTATATCTATCTGTTTCCTTTTATTACCATTATTCACTTCCACTCACCTTTCCATATATTGCCACTCTACTCTTTGACCTAGCCTTGAATTTGCATGTGACCTTATATAATATAAGTATATGGAAAGTATATAGCATATATACTTGCATTTTTATGTGTATTTATTTTAATCCACATATATGCTATAGCGTAGGGTGCTAGAGAAGAGGGCCTCACAATTAATTGTCCAGTCCCAGACACTTTGGAGAGTGAATGGACATGCTGTTATAATTATTAGTAGTATTTTTTGGAGATGGAGTCTTGCTCTGTGGCCAGGCTGGTGTGCAAAGGTGCTATCTTGGCTCAATGCAACCTCCACCTCTCGGGTTCAACTGTTTCTCCTGCCTCAGCCTCCCAAGTACCTGAGATTACAGATGCCTACCACCACGCCCGGCTATTTTTTGTATTTTTAGTAGAAATGGAGTTTCTCCATGTTGGCCATGCTGGTCTCAAACTCCTGATCTCAGGCGTTCCACCTGCCTTGGCTTCCCAAAGTGCTGGAATTACAGGTGTGAGCCACCGTGCCCGGCCTCTCACGTGCCTTTTTAAGTTGATGGGAAAATGACACCCAGGATAATTTATGGCCATAGTGAGAATTATTGGAAATCTTTAAGACTGTTTTTCTTACAAAACCACAATGGTAGGATTAAACAGTCTGAATGGGATGCTAGCATGTAGAGCCTTCTAAACTCTCTTTCTCTCCTTTTTTGGGGAATTTGGGATCTGCCTACTGATTACAATTAATTGCACTTTTTTAACTGTTTGATTAAGATTTTTTTTTTTCAACAGTCTGACTCTGCTGCCCAGGCTGGAGTACAGCACTGGTGTGAGCATGGCTCACTGCAGCATCAATCTTCTGGATTCAAGGGATTCTCCCACCTCAGCCACCCAAGTAGCTGGGACTACAGATGCATGCCACCATGTGTAGGGAAAAGAAAGAGAGATCAGACTGTTACTGTGTCTATGTAGAAAAGGAAGACATAAGAAACTCCATTTTGACCTGTGCCCTGAAGAATTGCTTTGCCCTGAGATGCTATTAATCTGTAACTTTGCCCCAACCTTGAGCTCACAAAAACATGTGTTGTATGGAATCAAGGTTTAAGGGATCTAGGGCAGTGCAGGATGTGCCTTGTTAACAATATGTATACAGGCAATATGCTTGGTAAAATCATCGCCATTCTCCATTCTCGATAAACCAGGGGCACAATGCACTGTGGAAAGCCACAGGGACCTCTGCCCTGGAAAGCCGGGTATTGTCTAAGGTTTCTCCCCATGTGATAGCCTGAGATATGGCCTTGTGGGATGGGAGAGACCTGACCATCCCCCAGCCCAACTCCCGTGAAGGGTCTGTGCTGAGGAGTATTAGTAAAAGAGGAAGGCCTCTTGCAGTTGAGATAAGAGGAAGGCCTCTGTCTCCTGCCTGTCCCTGGGAATGGAATGTCTCGGTATAAAACCCAATTGTAGATTTGTTCTATTCTGAGATAGGAGACAAACTGTCCTGTGTTGGGAGGTGAGACATGTTGGCAGCAATGCTGCTCTGTTATTCTTTTCTCCACTGAGATGTTTGGGTGGAGAGAAGCATACATCTGGCCTACATGCACATCCAGGCAGAGTACCTTCCCTTGAACTCATTTGTGACACAGATTCCTTTGCTCACGTTTTATGCTGAGCGCCGGTCCCCTGGGCCCCCTGTTCTTTCTCCATACTTTGTCTCTGTGTCTTATTTCTTTTCACAGTCTGTCATCCCACCTGATGCGATATACCCACAGGTATGGAGAGGCTGCTCCCCTTCAACCATGCCCATCTAATTTTTTAAAAAAGAGGCAGGGCATTGGTGGCTCACTGGTGTAATCCCAGCCCTTTGGGAGGCCAAAGCAGGTGGATCACTTGAGGTTAGGAGTTTGAGACCAGCCTGGCCAACATGGTGAACCGCCGTCTCTATCCAAAATATAAAAATGAGCTGCTCATGGGGGTGGGTGGCTATAATCCCAGCTACTCAGGAGGCTGAGGCATGAGAATCGCTTGAGCCTGGGAGGCAGAGGTTGGAGTGAGCTGAGATTGTGCCACTCCATTCCAGCCTGGGTAACGGAGTGAGACTCCATCCCGCCCCTCAAAACAAATGTTTTGTAGAGATAGGGTTTTGCCATGTTGCTCAGGTTGGTCTCGAACCCCTGCGCTCAAACGATCCTCCCACCTTGGCCTCCCAAAGTGTTGTAGTTACAGGCATGAGTCATTGCTCCCACCAAGAATTTTTTTTCTTTAAATTGCTGGTTTAATAAAGAGTTGTTTATTTTCAGGGAAAAGGTCCCAAACATCAAGCTGTTCACAAAAATAACCCACGGTATCAACTTTAGAAAACACATTTGAAGACTATAACACCAATTATGTTTCTGAGGATGCATTTGACATGCCAACTCTCATTCACAAAAATACATTGTTAGATTTTTGTTGAACTGCCCCACACAGCACACTAATATGGGGTGTAACACACATACTTGTAACTCCAAGCTGCTTTCAGGAGCTACTCAACTCAATGAGATTGCCTTTGCAGTTAGGGAAGCAACTACTGAACTTATGTATGAAAGAAAAGAACTGTATTCCCTGCATAACAAGAGATTATTTTGGAGACAGTTGATAAAAACCATACATCCTTTTTACTGTTAAGTCATAAAGAGGTGTCAAAATTAAAAGCAAAAATTACAGGGTAAGACTTAGGAAAACTACTAGGGGTGTCATGGGAAGTGAAAATGGGACTAGGCGCAGGGCAATATGAATTAATGAATGTGGGAAGGACAAGGATGGGGAGAACAGTAAGCATGTGCTGAAGATACTAAGGGAGAGGATCTGGTGAAAAATTTGTTGTTAGACAAGCTCCTAGGTAAAGAAACAATGGGATAAGATTTCTCAACCCCACTATGTGCTTAAGAGTCATCCTGGCCATTGGTGCTGTCTCTGTTATCCTCTCCTTCCTCAGCATCTTTTTCATTATTCTTGATCAAATGAAGCTGGTTGTCCCCCTGATCTTCATTATCATCATCATCCAGTGGGTCCCCCTCCTCAGCAGAGTCTTCTGCACCCCCCTCAGACTCCATCTTTACATGAGTCTCATCTTTCTTCATGGAGCTACTGCTCTGCTCCTCTTCTGACTTAGCATTTTTCACCTCTACCTCTTGTTTGCTCTGTTCCTTTTCAATTTTTTCCAGGTTTTCCAGGAGAGAATCCACTTTCTGTTTTATCTGGGTCAACTCCTGCTTAATGGCCTGAAGGTCATCTCCTTTCAGCTTTCCAGACTTGGAAGATCCCCGCTTTCCACTCTTAGAATTGAAGCCACTTTTGCCCCTTCGTGAGGTGTTTCCTGATATGCGCTGGCGTTTCGAGGGCACTACAGCCAGAGCAATGGGAGGAGGAGGAGGTACACGTGCTGGGAAACTGTACATCCCATCATAATAATCCCGTTGAAAGCCATAGTCCAAGTCAAAAGAGGAGCCGTACATCTCCGCTGCGGATCGTTTCACACCTGCGTTTCCTCGGTTCACTTTTGGCTCTGCAGCCAGGTTAATAACTGCAACCTGGCTAGCAATCATTCTGCCATCCTCTCCTGCTACAGCAGCCCGGGCATTTTTCTCCTTATCATATTGAACGAAGGCAAAGCCCTTATGAACAGAGCAGCCCGCAATTTTGCCATACTTGGAAAAGATCGCCTCCACATCAGATTTCTTGACAACAAGAGTGTTGAGATTCCCAATGAACACACGGGAGTTCACGGAGTGAGGATCCATCTTGTTGGTAACGTTGCTGGCCATTGTGTTGGATGATAAGGTTTCTCAAAAAGCCAAAAACAGGAGGCGGGAGGGAGAAGAGATTCGATTCTAAGTCTCCTACTGCCGGGTTCTACGGGGAGAAACTGACTGCGGCTCGAGGCCAGAAATGCAGCCAAAACAGCTCAGTCTTCGTCTCTTCACAAAATGGCTGCCAACAAGAATTCTGAAATGATGTAAAGAAAAGCACAACAACATTTTTGAAATCACGACAAAATTGCATTTAGAAAAAAAAATCAAAGCTTCAAAGTGTTCATATGAAAAAAAGAAAAAAAGACATGATATAGTTCTATGCCATCGTAGGCTGCACTGTCACCGTTCTAGACCGGCTGACTGTAGGTCACATGGGAGTGTCCTTACAGAAATTAGTGACTTACCAGATCTGGTTGTAGTTTAGAAGGTGCTCAGACCTCAGGAAGAGCCAAGCAGGAACTCCAGGCTTGAAGACTTTGAGTTTGTCCTGTGGGTCTTTAGAAGCTTTTATTGACCTTTCTAATCACAACTCCCACCCACGCCCCTCCACGTATCCGCTGCTAGCTTCCAATCAAAAAGCGATATCTGATTGCATTTCTGAAGCTCCACTCAGTTAATCCTGATTGGGTTTTTGACTGTCCGAAGACTAATGGATTGAACGAGATATCCATTCATATCACATATGCATAATCATTTTATGAATTAAGAAATTGACAGAGTTAGGGATAGAGTGGAAATCAAGAATTCATTCACTCAAGGCCAGGTGAGGTGGCTCACACTTGTAATCCCAGCACTTTGGGAGGCCAAGGTAGGTGGATCACCTGAGGTCAGGAGTTCAAGACCAGCCTGGCCCACATGGTGAAACCCTGTCTCTACAAAAATAGAAAAGTTAGCCAGGCACGATGGTGGCTGCCTGTAGTCCAGTTACTCATGCGGCTGAGGTGGGAGAATCCCTTGAACCCTGGAGGCTGAGTTTGCAGTGAGCCAAGATTACACCATTGCCCTCCTGACTGGGCGACAGAGGGAGATTTTGTCAAAAAAAATGCATTCATTCATGAAATCCACAAACACTGATGGAATTTTACTGCTATTTCGCCTTCAAGTCCTGATGTGAGGCAGGGAAGGGGTTGATCTGTTCCAGACATTAGACAGAAAAATAAAACCTGAAAGTAGTGTTGTGGGGAGATCTTTGGCCACATCAAAATTATAAAATTTATAAAAATATTTCTAGTTAAAATAGCTGTATAAACACAGAGGAGTCGTCCCTACAAAATAAGAATAAAGATCTCCATGTATGGAATGGTCTTGTGGGTTTTATATCACCTAAGGTAGCAGTTTCTTCACTCGTGCTGGTGGAAGAGAGGTGCCACTGAGGGCTTGAGTGGTCTCAGGGCTTAGGTTAAGTCTTCTCTGGAAGAAATTGAAATGATACCTGTAAACTTTATAAGTTTAATCAGTGAAGAAGGGAGGGGGAGAAACAAAAATAAACCAAGCTTGCAGCGCATTCAGC
Organism: Homo sapiens; assembly: GCF_000001405.40. Lineage (NCBI taxonomy): Eukaryota > Metazoa > Chordata > Mammalia > Primates > Hominidae > Homo > Homo sapiens. Next base: position 13,117,899 of record NC_000001.11, read on the forward strand.
ATTCACCATGAGGTCAGCTTGCTCTCTGACCTTCTTCCTCATGGTTGCTGGCAGCTTACTGTCCCCAAATCAAGTAGACCTTAGCTTACAGTTCCCCTTAACTACCCTGCAGACAACAATTTAAGCCTTGTAAAACATTAACTTTCTCATTTGAGATATTCTTTCAGGTTCTGCATGTCAGTGAAACTACTGATGCCAGCTGATCTGAAGGGCTCTGCAAGGCACCAACTCACCAAAGAATGCAGTTTTGACATCCTGATGACTTCATCCCTCTTACCTCTACACCAACTTTCCAGCCCCTTGCTATCCAGGATCCACTGGAAACCCTCAGTACTACTTGGGGAGATGAATTTGAGGATATCCTCCTAGCTTCTCATTTAGCCACCCTGTGATCATTAAACTGTCTGCTGCAAACACTGCTGTCTCAGAATATTGGTCAGCTACTGTGCAGCAGGCATAGGAACCTGATGGTCCTGTAATAAAATCATGTCAAAATTACAAAGAGAAGTGAGGGTAGAGGATGGGCATGGTTGAGCTGGGTGTTTTAATGGGATCCTGGGAGTTAACCAAGACTTGGTAAACATGTTGGGGGTTACTGAGGGGGTGGAGGTGGAATCTATCCAACATTTCACTGATGCCCCTTTACTTTTGATTCTTAGGACCAAGGTTGAGTCTTTCAAAACAATTTGTATAATCCTCCTTATTTTTCCTTTCAAAACCTTTGTCTTCCTTTTTCTCCCAAAATAATCTCACATCTATTCCCATTGCTTTCCTCATTTCAGGATAAACACATCTTTTTTTTTTTTTTTTCTGACAGTCTCCTTCTCTGTTAAGTTTACCATATATTTTGTTGCCACTGAAGATGAGTAACTTGGTTTTATGGACAGGAAGGGTGAAAAGGATCCCATTCCTCAACAGCTGGAGGTGATATGAAGGTCATTGTTATTCTTTGTCATATCTGCACCTGCATATTGCCAGTGAAAACCTGAAGGTCTCATTGGGGCAAGCTTAAAAATTAGCCACCTATAGAAGGTCTTAGCATTGGCTTACATCCTGTCCCTGAGTAAAGAATCTGATCATGAGTTCATGAGTACCTCAAACTCTACAAGTACTGATGAAGTCTTCACCCGCTGACAGTGAGAAGGACACTGATTTTATTCTGATCATGAAGTCATGCTGGTTGTCTTGCAAGGAAAATGTTTTAGCCTGTTATGTTGTCATCTAAAGCTAACGATTGTAACCTCTGTCTTGTACCTTCCAATGGGAAAAACAAAAACAAAAACTCAACTCTATTTGAGCCTTGCCAGGTCAATAAAACAAAAGAAAATTAAAAAAAATTGATAGGAGGAGTCCCATTCCCTTCTTTTAACCTCTCTTACAAAAGCATTCCAACTTGTAACAGACTTTGGAAAACACTCACTTTGTCAGTGTGTGTCTTCCAGGTCGATTCTCACATTTAGCTTCCAATAAAGCTTTATTTAATTATTTCTACCTCAATGGCCTTAACTTCTATTGATACCAGGTTGCATGGTAATGGTTTGAATTGGGGTGGGAAGAAAAAGTATTTCTATGAGTTTTATAAAGTAATCCTTGCATGCCATCTGCATTGAAGAATGAATAGGTTCCTCTCCAAATATGTCCTGAGTATTGATGCATCCAATAAATAAAACTATTATGTATTTCACATAGTAGAGCTATAGACACATTCTATTTGCCTCTAGAGTTTCCAATGAACCAATGTCTAGTTTCAGTAAGTTCTCTGATTAAATGGCAGAGGGTAACATGGTCATGTTCTGATTCTATGTCTATGTCGATACCTATAGCACTCCAGTCTTCATAAGGTGTGTCAAACCAAAGAGTTTGATTCTAGTGGGAATCTGCGACACTACCTAGATTAGATCCAGTTTCACTAATGTTTTTTATGCATAGAGATAAAATGCCAGTAATGTAATCAATAATAGTCATAGGCCACCCATTTGCACCTATAGCTTCTTCTCAGTGCCAAGTCATGTAATTATAAATGTTAACCAACCTTCCAAAGGAAGGATAACAAACCTTATCATGAAGTTGGCATCCTCAATTGCTACCCAACTGTTTATGAGAGCATGTTCTACTATTTAGTTGTGATCCTTCCCTTTCATGTAAATGACTCCATAGCCAGCAATTGCTTTGGTTAGTGAGAGTGGCTACATTTTGAACAGAAGACCTTAGAAAGTGTTTGGTTTGAGTGGAGAAAGTACCTAACAACATAAAATATAGGTTTGAGCATTTTGTTTTAATACAAAACAAAACCAAGTCTCAGTCAATGGAAGAAGATCAAATGGAGTCTTGTTCCATTGTCTTGGAAAACTGTCTACCATGTGATGATGTCTGCTTCTAAGGAAGGCTTTTCCTTGGTTATCCTTAGTTTTAAGTCATCTGGTACAGTCCCATCCAGTGCTGCTCATGGGCAGATTTCCCTTGGTATCATTTCTAAAGGATGCAATCTCCAAATTCTAGGGCATGAAGGTCTAAGCATCACTGAAAGCCTCCCTCACCTACTGGAAAGACTTTGAAATACTGCATCAAGGTCTTGCAGTATTGAATCATGTTGTTACTGAACGATGGGCTCACTCTCCTAAGTGCATAGAAGTCCTTTGAGAAAAGAAAAAAAGATTAGGCTGGGCAAGGTGGCTCAAGCCTATAATTCCAGCACTTCAGGAGGCTGAGGCAGGGAGATCACAAGGTCAGGGGTTCAAGACCAACCTGGTCAACATGGTGAAACCCCGTTTCTGCTAAAAATACAAAAATCAGCTGGGTGTGGTGGTGTGTGCCTGTAATCCTGGCTACTCAGGAGTCTGAGGCAGGAGAATCTCTTGAACCCGGGAGGCAGATGTTGCAGTGAGCTGACATAGCACCACTGTACTCCCGCTTGGGCATCAGAGACTCTGTGTCAAAAAAAAGAAAAAGTAATCCAATCTTTTTTGTTAATTTAGCTAATTTAATTTTAAGATACCATTTATTCACTCAACCTTTGTAGAATACCAATGATAATGAAGTTAATGGTAGTGCCATTAGATCTGTAAAATCTTATCTGTGTGATCGCCTGCCCAGTAAACTGAGTTCTCCTACCATTGGAAATTTCTCCAGAGGTTCGCCAGAAAGGAAACACATTTTATAATCATTTATTCACTATGACTATGGCATCAGCCTTTCTAAAAAGGTAAGCTACAACCAATCCTGAAAATGGACACACAATCACAAAAATTGTAGCCTTTTTACATGGCTCACTGTCATCACTGGTCCATGACATTCCCTTTTCTTGCCGCTATATGTGTGTATGTCTACCTATCCATAACTATATCTACACCTTTTTTTATTACCATGATTCACTTCCACTCCCCTTTCCATAGATAGCCACTCTACTCTTTGACCTAGCCTTGAATTTGCATGTGACCTCTTAGAATATAAATATATAGAAAGTATATAGAATATATACTTGAATTTTGTATGTGTATTTATATTAATCCACATATATGCTATAGTGTATGGTGCTACAGAAGAGGGCCTGACAAGTAATTGTCCAGTCCTAGATACTTTGGAGAGTGAATGGACATGTTCTTATAATTTTTTTTTTTTTTGGAGATGGAGTCTCACTCTCTCGCCAGGCTGGAGAGCAATAGTTCAATCTTGGCTCACTGCAAACTCTGCCTCCTGGATTCAAGTGATTCTCCTGCCTCAACCTACCGAATACCTGGGATTACAGGTGTCCACCACCATGCCCAGCTATTTTTTGTATTTTTAGTAGAGAGATAGTTTCGCCATGTTGGTGAGGCTGGTCTCGAACTCCTGACCTCAGGTGATCCGCCCACCTTGGCCTCCCAAAGTGCTGGGATTACAGACGTGAGCCACCGTGCCTGGCCTTGTTATAATTAAGATTTTCAGAACAACAGTGGTGTATGAAGGCTTATAATCACCTTTACCATAGGCCTTGGTCTCTTACCTAAGTTTGTAACTAATATATTTTTCAAATATAATAACAATAAAAATATCCTTGCTTGCCCTATGTCAAATCCAGCTCGAAGTACTTAAATAGATTAATTTATAGCACTCTGTGAAGTCAATATTGCTATTATCCCATTTTATATGTGAATGAGCTAAGGCACAGAGAGGTTAAGTAAGTTGAGTAAGACCACACAGCCATTGGCCACTGAGCCAGTTTTTTTTCTTTTTTCTGAGACAGCGTCTCATGCTGTCGCTCAGGCTGGAGTGCAGTGGCGCGATCTCAGCTCACTGCAAGCTCTGCCTCCCGGGTTCACTCCATTCTGCTGCCTCAGCCTCCCGAGTAGCTGGGGCTACAGGCACCTGCCACCATGCCCGGCTAATTTTTGTGTTTTTAGTAGAGACGGGGATTCACCGTGTTAGCCAGGATGGTACTGAGCCAGTTTTGAACCTAAATTAAGCAGTCTGGGTCTGCTGGATCTGGAGTCTTTACTATTAACCAAAATACCTACGTGCGTCCAAATCCTAAGGTGCTGAGGTTCTTACCTTGTTTCATATCTCAGTAGGAAGGGAGCTAATGTTTATCCATTACATCTGATGTTTAATGCAAGTTTTCAACATACAACATTTCAGTTTCCGAAATATGTTATGATAAATTTAATTTGATTTTTCTGCAATTCTTTTCTGCATTTTGTAGGAACCTTGCTTTTCCCCCTTTAGTTTGTCAGTATGCTGAATTACACTTAGATTTTCCTGTGATTGGCTGGCATTCCTGGAATGGCCATTATATATCACTATATTGCTTTCTTTTTTTCTTTTTTTTTTCTTTTTAAGGTGGAGTTTCACTCTTTTTGCACAAGCTGAAGTGCAATGGCATGATCTCGACTCACTGCAACTTCCACCTTCTTGGTTCAAGCAAATCTCCAGCCTCAGCCTCCTGAGTTGCTGGGATTACAGGCATGCGCCACCACACCTGGCTAATTTTGTATTTTTAGTAGGGATGGGGTTTCTCCATGTTGGTCAGGCTGGTCTCGAACTCCAGACCTGAGGTGATCCACCTGCCTCGGCCTCTCAAAGTGCTGGGATTGCAGGCATGAGCCACGGAGCCTGGCCTGTCTATCACTTTCTAATGCAGTGTTGCATTTAGTTAACTGATAATTTATTAAGTACTTTTTTCTGGCTGACCGTGGTGGCTCATGCCTGTAATCCCAGCACTTTGGGAGGCCGAGGCAAGTGGATCACCTGAGGTCAGGAGTTCTAGCCAACACAGAGAAATTCTGCCTCTTCTAAAACTACATAAATTAGCTGGATGTGGTGGCATGTGGCTCTAATCCCAGCTACTAGAGAGGCTGAGGCAGGAGAATTGCTCGAATCTGGGAGTAAGAGGTTGCAGTGAGGTGAGATTGTGCCACTGCACTCCAGCCTGCATGACAGAGTGAGTCTCTGTCTCAAAAAAAAAAAAAAAGAAAGAAAAAAGAAAAAAAACTTTTGCCAAATAAGTTTAAATTTACTTTCCTTCTAATATCCTTAGCCATTTTTAAAATATGGGTTACTGCTCTCTTATGAAATGAATTAGACAACTTTCCATATTTGCCTTTCTTTCTGGAACATCTTGTACAAAACAGAAAATACCGGCCAGGTGCAGTGGCTCATGCCTGCAATCCTAGCACTTTGGGAGACTAAGGCAGGCGGATCACTAGCTTCCAATCAAAAAGTGATATCTGATTGCATTTCTGAAGCTCCACCCAGTTAATCCTGATTGGGTTTTTGGCTCTCCCCAGATTAATGGATTGAATCAGATATCCATTCATATCAGATATCCATATTAATTGCATGAATCAGGAAATTGACAGTGTTAGGGATAGGGTAGAAGTCAAGAATTCACTCATTCAAGGCCGGGTGAGGCAGCTCACGCCTGTAATCCTTCCAGAAGGACTTCCCTGTACTGGTTTAGGCTTTGCATACCCTGTCTTTCATTTGGGTCCCACTGGGGGTCTGTTCCTGCTAGTTGGATCCTCACATACCCTCGGGGATTTTGTAATCAGCTGGAACATGTTCTTCCAGCCACTTAGTTGCCACTTGGAGCACTCTCCACCTTTCATCTGTGTTAAAGAGGTGCATGAGCACCTGGTGGCAATCAGCCCAGGTGGGGTTGTGGGTCTGGATAACAGTTTGGAGCAAATAAATTATAGCTTGAGGCTTTTCGGTATAGGATGGGGTATTGTTTTCCAATGGAGGAGATGGGCAGAGGTGAAGGGTTGGTACACAAAGGCACGTCTTTCCACCATAAGCCCATCCTCGTCTACTCCAGTATACTGTTGCTCTCTCAGGGACATTTGTATCCCAGTTCTAGGCCTCATACGGGCAGCCAAGGGAGGGTCTTGCATCCTGAGGTCTTGCACCCTTTCTTCTCTACTCTGGGCAGCCTAGGGGTATGTAGGCCTTGTGGAAGCTTGGGCGCAGTGGGCTCAGGAGTGGGAGGCCTTCCTTCTTGGTGAAAGGGGGGGGCACTGGCACAGTGTCTTGCCAGTGTTCCTTTGCTTAGTTTCTTTTTTTAACTGTTGTTTGTGATTTTCCATCTTCCTGAGACCAACCACTACTTGCTGGACCTTCTGAATTGGGAAAGAATGGAAAGTCTGTCAGCCAGTTTTTTCCAACATTTAGGTTGTTGAACTGCTTAGGGGATCCTCTGAGCCTCTCACCTGAGGGGTCTGCCAATCATTTGTTGTCTGAACATGGGCAGATTCCTCTTGCTAGCCAAATCTCAGGGTCACCAACATGCTTTAGATTATTTGTGAGGGAGAGCTGAGATCTTGGATGAATGATACCAGCCCCTGCTGTGCCTCGTGGATGCTCAGTCACCAGAGACACTCACGATCACCCTTGGTGCTGAGCTCAACCTCAGCCTCAGGCTCACAAAGTGAGGGCAGGCAAAGTAGAAGCCCCACTGAACACATTTCAGTTTAACTCAATTGCACACATAGCAGGGCATTGACAGTGAGGTCAGAAATGTGGAGAAAGAACATTTACAGAAACATTTCAAGATAGAGAACACCCTTCAAAGTACTCCAGTTTTGGAGGCCAGTGGCATCTCAGAGCTGTTTGGTTTTCATATAGAATGGGAGAGAAAGGCCTGGAGGACTTTCTGGAGGCAGGGGAGGTTCTTGCTACTTTGTGCCCTAAAACATCGGAAGAATCACTGTGTGATCCCTCTTAGGATGGGAGCCATCCGTGAACTTAGCAGATATTTCAACATGAAATAGAGCTTCCAGGTTTTGTGGGGGAAATGTATTTTAGGTGTGCACCCAATATAACAGTATATATGCGCTGCTCTTAAAGACAAGAAGGCTCGCTCTTTTTCTTTCTTTCTTTCTTTCTTTCTTTCTTTCTTTCTTTCTTTCTTTCTTTCTTTCTTTCTTTCTTTCTTTCTTCTTTCTTTCTTTTTCTTCCCTTCCTTCTTTCCTTCTTTTTCTTTCTTTCTTTCTTTTTCTTACTTTCTTTCTTCTTTCTTTTTCTTTCTTTCCACCTTTCTTTCTGTTTCCTTCTGTCTTTTTCTCTCCCCTCCCTCCCTCCCTCCCTCCCTTCCTTCCTTCTTTCCTTCCTTTTTTTTGAGGCAAGGTTTCATTCTGTTGAGCAGGCTGGAGTGCAGTGGCACAATGATGGCTCACTGCAGTCTCAACCTCCTGGGCTCAGGTGATCCTCGCATCTAAACTTCTTGGGCAGCTGGGACTACAGGTGCACACCACCATGCCTGGCTAATTTTTCGTATATAGTTTTTATAGACAGAATTTTCCATGTTGCCCAGGCAGGTCTCAAACTCCTGCGCTCAAGTAATCTATCTGCCTTGGCCTCCCAAAGTGCTGAAATTAGAGATATGAGCCACCACACATGGCCTGAGTTTTCTTTGTATACCTAATGGTATCACTTTAATCAGAATCTCTCTGTTCAATATCAGGGACAAGGGAGGACTTTAAGGATGGCAGAACATTAATTATCAAAATATGCTGGGGAATGGCACGAGGGTATTGATGAGGATGAGGGGCCCTGGGAAACACCTGTGGGTGAGGGTTGCTGGGAAATGTCCCACTGTGGGAAGATCCCTGAGTCTAAAAGAAAGGTTTCCAGACCATAGCACCATGACAGAGACTTGGACCCTTGTTCACTTTCTCCCACATCCTGCAAAACCCACAGCTCCCACCTTCGATGGCTTCCAGGTTGGGAAAGTCTCCCTTCCCAGGTCTGGCCACACTGCTTCTCTCTGGCATCTGCCCCAGCTCAGATTCTCAGATTCCATCTTCCCAGGCTGATTTTCTGAGGCGAGCCCATCATTTTTGGGAGTAAACACGCTTTCCCTTCTAGTAGGGGCCAAGACTGTTTCTGCCTTCTCTGCCCTCAAAGACAATGTTGTGTTTGAAGAGTCTGCACTGTCTCTTCTGTAACTATTCCCTTTTTAATTTTTAAACTCAATCCAGACAGAGTCTTTCAATCCTTCTGTGGAGATGCCCACAAAATACCCACCATGTTTTATGCTGTCTTGGTTCCTTCCCAGGGTTCTACTAGAACACCCGGTCCCATCCTGCCCAGCCCCCACCTCACTTTGTCATTCTGTCCTGATTTCCTGCAGTGAAGCCTTGACCTTAGTCTTGTGATCAATAACACCCTCAGTGGTTCCCCTCTTCAACCTGAACCCACATATGACCTGCCCCGTTAGGAAGCATAAAACCCAGGTAACTGTTGGATAACAGAGCTTTGTATTCTGTTTTCTTAGGGTTGACATCACCGTCTTTTTAAAGCTGTCTTAGCTCTGAAACGTTTGGATAATTTCAATGTGGCCAAATATTCTCCCATAAAGATATCATCAGGTTTTGTTTTTTCTTTCTAATGCCAGGAACAGATTAAACCTTCCATGTCACTATGAAGGTCACATGTTAGTCAAACTTCATCAGTGTTTGGGGAATAAATGAATTAATGACTTTTGGACTTTCACCCTGTTATTTATTCTTTCACTTTCATAAATGCACATCTAATTTAATCAATGAATCAGAAGAAAGTGTGAAACTCAATCAGGATTAACTGGGTGGAACTTCAGGATCTAATCAGGTATCACTTTCTGATTGGAAGCTGGTGATTGAGAAGGGGAGGGTGTGGTTAGAAACATCAACAAAAGCTCCTGAGTTTGCACAGGACAGACCCAAAGCCCTGGTGCCTGGAGCTACTGCTTGGTTCTCTGAGAGGTCCCAGCACCCTGCAAACTGAGTCCAGATCTGGTAAGTCACCACCTTCTTAGGAACATGCCCGTCTAATCTGCAGCCAGCCAGTCAGGGATGGTGACACACAGCCCAAAATGGCACAGAGAATTTCCTGTCTGTTTTTTCAGATTAAACAGATGTAGGTTTTGATTTTTCCTCCAAATATAGTTTTGACTTCATCCCTCAAATTTTGATTTGTGCTTCATTTTCCTCATTTCAAAATTCTTATTGAAGCAGTTTTTAAAAAAAAAATATTAAAAATTTACAGTTGGATGGATGTTTATGTCTTGACATGTGAAGTTGTTGGTTTCTGTGCCTGTCAGCTATAGTTCACACACTTAGCGGTATTGTGATTTTATTAGTCAGGCTTTCATTTTACAGAAATCTTAGATCTCCCGTACACCATTCTCAAGAGACTTGTTCCGAACCTGGGATTTATCTCTTCCCTTAGACTCTGTCCCTAAGTGTGTGATTGTGAGTATGTGGAAGGGATGTGTATTGGATCCTTCTCCTCAGACTTAGTGTTTCCATTTCTACCTTCCAAGTGCTCTAGACTACTGCAACACTGCTTTTATAATTTCTCTTACAGTTTTTCAAAATAAAAACACACACCTTGGACTCCCAAAGTGCTGGGATTACAGGAGTGAGCCACTGTGCCTCATCTAGAGTTAGTATTTCTATCCCTACCTTCCAAATGCTCTAGAATACCATCACGTCGCTTTTAGTTTCTGGTTAATTCTTTTCTCTTGTTCTGAGATGGAGTCTCACTCTGTCACCCAGGCTGAAGGGCAGGGTGTTGAGTTCAGCTCACTGAAAACACTGCCTCCGGGATTCAAGTGATTCTTCTTCCTCTGCCTCCAGAGTAGCTAGGATTATAGGACTGCACCACCACACCTGGCTAACATTTTAATTAATTAATTATTATTATTATTATTATTATTATTATTATTATTTGAGACAGAGTCTAACTCTTTTGTCCAGACTGGAGTGCAGTGGTGGGATCTCGGCTCACTGCAACCTCTGCCTTTTGGAGTCAAATGATTTTTAATTTTTTTATATTTAGTAGAGACAGAGTTCATTACGTAAGCCAGGCTGTTCTCGAACTCCTAACCTCAAGTGATCTGCCTGTTTTGGCCTCCCACAGTGCTGGGATTACAGACATGAGCCACAGCACCCGGTCAGTTTCTGGTTGAAATTTTTCAAAATAAAAAATAATGGCATTGACTTTAGGGAGTCCCTTTAGTGTTCCCCCAGCATGTTCATGGTGAAAACTGAGAATGGAGGCTGTCTGGGGCCACAGGACACTCTCATTCTCATTGCTTTAGGGCGGTAAGTGACAAGAAAATTTTCCTCAAAGAGGTAGAGCTTGGCTTTCAGGATCCTCAGTGACACTTTCCAGTGGTACTGGGATTCAGTGGAGCCATGGATGAAAATTAATGGGCCAGTGGTCTCTTTGACCCCTCCCTCCTTGGTGTTTGGAAGACATTCTTCCTGGTACCAGCAGAAGCAGAAATATAGATTTGTGGCCACCAAGTGCAGAGTGGAATTGGGGTAAAGTGGTAATTTTTCTACCTCTACCAGAGCAATGCTACTGGCCTTAGGAGAAGATGAGGTGATTGTGTTTGGCCTGAAAGTGATGCCTTTTCTCTGGATTTGTCTTCTAGAGTTTTTCCTTACAGATTCATCAGGATGAGCATCCAGGCCCCACCCAGACTCCTGGAGCTGGCGGGGCAGAGTCTGCTGAGAGACAAGCCCTTGGCCATCTCTGCCCTGGAGGAGCTGCCCAGGGAGCTCTACCTCCCACTCTTCCTGGAGGCCTTCAGCAGGAGACACTTCCAGACTCTGACAGTGATGGTGCAGGCCTGGCCCTTCACCCGCCTCCCTCTGGGATCGCTGATGAAGACGCTTCATCTGGAGACCTTAAAAGCATTGCTGGAAGGGCTTCACATGCTGCTTACACAGAAGGATCGCCCCAGGTGAGGTGACCCAGGAAGGCTGGTAGATGGGGCTCAGGTGTCCAGGGAAAGAACAGCAGGGTCAGGCAAAGAAGTATCCCAAGGATGGCCCAGTGTCTTCTGGTGGTGCTGGTGACGAAGCTCAGGCATGCCTTGGCCATTGCCCAGATCCTCAGGGAAAGAACTGCCCACAATATAGGGTCCACTGTGGGAACAGAAACTTGCCTATTCCCAGTGGAAGGTAAATGGAATAGAAGTGGGGACCAGTCAGAATTGAAAGAGAAAAGGGACCAAGAAAACTCAGAGAGAACAGGGAGCAGCGAGGACAGGAGCAGCTGATTTATTGGATGAGAATGAAAGCAAAGGTCAGGGATTTGTCCTTCAAAGTTCTGAGCCTCTGCCTTACTTTACCCACAGGAGGTGGAAACTTCAAGTGCTGGATTTGCGGGATGTTGATGAGAATTTCTGGGCCATATGGTCTGAATCCAGGGCCCTGTCCTCCTCCCCAGAGGCCATGAGTAAGAGGCAGACAGCAGAGGACTGTCCAAGGATGGGAGAGCACCAGCCCTTGAAGGTGTTCATAGACATCTGCCTCAAGGAAATACCCCAGGATGAATGCCTGAGATACCTCTTCCGGTGGGTTTACCAAAGGAGAGGTTTAGTACACCTGTGCTGTAGTAAGTTGGTGAATTATCTAACGTCGATTGAATATCTCAGAAGATCATTGAAAATAATCCACCTGAATAGTATTCAGGAGCTGGAAATTTGCTATGTGTCCTGGCCACATCTGATAAGAAAGCTTCATTGTTACCTGAAGGAGATGAAGAATCTTCGCAAACTCATTTTTCTCCAGGTGCCATCCTTACACGTCAATTACCGCGAGGAATGCTCAGTCGCCAAAATCAGCTCTATGTTCCTCAGGCTGAAACACCTCCAGCTGCTTAAAATGAATATGGTCACCTTCCACAGAGGGCACCTGGGACAGCTGATCAGGTGAGAAAGGATCGTGCCCTTTCTCTGCAGACCACAGCGCAGCCTTTTTTTTTGTTACAGTAAACACTAGAAGACGTGTACTGTGTGCCAGCCAGTGGCGACGGCACAGTGCAGGGGACACCAGAATGTCAACACATTGTCCCGTTCAGTGCTCCATGTCCTGGAGTGGCTATCACAGGATCACTTCAATAAAGGCAGAGGGGTCACCTAGGGTAGAGGCTAGAGAGGGACATCATGTACAAGGTACTTAGTGGGCGTTTTGTCTCTACTGCATGTGCACGTGTGAATTTCTTGTTACAAAGTGTGTTTCAAGTTGATATGATGTAAAAGAGGTAACAAAGGAGGGTATGAAAGGAGGGACAGTGCATCAAACTTGTGCATTTCACAGTAGAAGCTCTGTCCTCACCAGCTTAGTGATCATGAATGATCCTGTCTCTGATTCCCTGTCTGTAGAAGGTTGTTTTGAACTCCAGGAAAGTCAATTGACATGGGACATGCATGCTTCTGGGATGGAGGGTGAAGGAGTAGGAGTGAGAGTGGTAAAAAGTGACAGTTGGTTTGCAGATGCAGGCAGGCCAGGGAGCCCCTGCCGGCAGGTAGCCCCAGCTAATGTCCCTAGACCTTGCTGAGTTGAGTTCTTTGTGCACATCTCCCACCGGGTACCTGTGGCCCAGAGATGAGGTTTTCTGCTAAAAGATGAAGATAAAAGGCTTTAGAGATTTTGTGGCCTTGACCCAATCACACAAGAAATGGTGAAAGGGCTGAGGCTAAAATGGGACAGCCCCTGAATGATCAGGGTCCTCAACATGCAGCAACTTGCATGAGGACCATCATCAGATGGTGGGAACAAACTTGTGTTTGGTTGAAGCAGGTATTTTCCTTGAGTTCATTCCCCACTACCTTCATCTAACTGGTACCATTGCCCAGAACTAACTTCTTGATCTCCACAGGTGCCTCTAGAACCCCTTGGAGAACTTGGAATTAACTTGCGGCTACCTATTGGAAGAGGACTTGAAGTGTCTCTACCAGTACCCAAGCCTCGCTTACCCAAAGCATCTGAATCTCAGCTACATGCTGCAGTTCTGTATCAGTCTTGAACCCCTCGGAGCTCTGCTGGAGAAAGTTTCTGCCAACACGAGGGTCTCGAGAGAGGCAGCAATTACTCTTAAGACCCTCATCTTGGAGGGCTGTCAGATCCACTACTCCCAACTCAGTGCCATCCTGCCTGGCCTGAGCCGCTGCTCCCAGCTCACCACCTTCTACTTTGGCAGAAATTGCATGTCTATGGAAGCCCTGAAGGACCTGCTGTGCCACACCAGTGGGCTGAGCAAGTTAAGCCTGGAGATGTATCCTGCCCCCGAGGAGAGTTTGAATTCCTTGGTTCATGTCGATTGGGAGATCTTCACCCCACTTCGGGCTTAGTTGATGTGTACACTAAGGGAAGTCAGGCAGCCCAAGAGGATCTTCATTGGCCCCGCCCCCTGCCCGTCCTGTGGCTCATCACCGTCTGAGGAACTGGAGCTCCATCTTTGCTGCTAGGGAAGGCGTGCCTAGCGGGGTAGAGAAATCCAATGTTCTCTTCTAGGCCCTTGGACACTAAAATCTAGTATGTAGGTGCAAGTTATTTTCCTCTTTTCTTATTTCCTTTTTTAATAATTCCAATATTTTTATTACAAAAAAATTGAGAAAGTGTTTCACTATGTTGCCCCAGCAGGTCTCAAACTGCTGGTCGCATGGGATTCTCCTGCCTCGGCCTTCTAAAGTGCTGGGATTACAGGCATGAGCGACTGTGCCCAGGCCACATGTGCAACTTAAAGGAAGCACAGAGCTCTGTTTCAGACAGGTGCTCAGTGCGAGGGAAAAAATCCTAAGAGCAGGGGGCAAGACTTGAGGAAAATATTGAGGTGGAGTCAATGAGAGCTACAGAGTCAGAAAGAGAAACTAAAATTCTTCAGTGATGAGAATGTTATCCCTGCAAGGATGATTACCAAGAAATATCAGAAATAGAGAACCTCAGTGAAAACTTTCTGGTGTCCTCTGTAATTGATTTACTTGTTTTAGGGATTTATACATCAGAAATCTCTAGTTATTGAGTTACTGATGGAAAAATAACGAGGCACTAGTTTGTCTGTGATTGAGGTTCAGCTGCGGAACATCATAGCAGCCAAATAAAATTAGACCATTTTGAGTAATTCCCACCCATTCTTGTTCTTTTATTTCATTATTTATTTTTTTATTTTTGGAGACAAAAATATTGCTTTGTCATTCAGGCTGGAGTGTAGTGGTGCAATCTGGGATCACTGGAATCCTTTCCTGTGGGGCTCAAGTGATTCTCGTGCCTCAACCACTCAAGTAGCTGGGAGTACAGGCACGTGCCACCAAGCCTGCTAATTTTTGTATTTTTCGTAGAGACAGGGTTTTACCCTGTTCACCAGGCTGGTCTTGAGTTCCTGGCTTTGAGTGATCTGCCAACCTTGGCCTCCCAAAGTGCTGGGATTACAGGTGTGCGAATGGTCTGCACCCATCCTTTACTTCTCTTTAGTCATCTGTTTTTTCATACTTTTTCGACTGTGGGGAGCAGCTCGGTCGGGCACAAAGGCACAGGCAGAAAGGGGCCATGAGGAGAAGATGGGCTTGGGGTGGTGCCGTGCTTGCACATGAAGTGTGGTTGTCAGGTTCCAAAGGCAGAGCTGGGGCCATGCTCCAGGGCCCCGAGTTGGGAAGCAGAAATGGCACCAAGTTCAATGACCTGGCCAGCTATGCATCAACTGTGTGCCCACCCTGCTAATAGTATCAAGTTCCTAGGTCTAAAAAGGAGTTCTGTGTGAATCTTCCTGAGGCTGCATTTCCAAGATCTGCCCCCAAGAGGGGTGAACACAGAGCCTGATGCTTCCGATTGCTGGGCCTGTGGACCACGATCCACTCCTAAAGGCACCACCTCTTGGCTGGGTTGTCAGCCAGGCCTGTGCCCCATGTCCCTGAGGCAGCCAACTGTGCCACCCATACCCTCTCACGGCTAAACGGGACTTGCCCCTAGGTCCGCAGTCTCCACCACAGCCTCGACCTCACTCCCCACTTTGTGCTGTTAGCCTGCAAACTCCTGGATCAGAGCGCAGTTGGGGCTCATTAAACCGGACCCAGGAGCTTCAGATTTGTTTCTGTGGGGTTGACCAGAGCTGCTGTGAACCTGCATCTCACCTGTCACCTCTGCACGGAAACAGAGAGAGGGCAAAGCTGAGGCTGTGCACACTTTGGAGCTGATGGGATCCTGGGACAAGAGGGAGTCCTGGTCCTCCCAAGTTGGCAGGGCAGTAGCTCCAAAGGCACAACTGAAGCTGCCCAGGTTGCAGTTACCAAACAAGGTCCCCTAGTGCTCTCGAGGGCCCAGGAGGTCCCCCCTTCCCCATTCTATTGCTCAATAAAGGTCCTCTTTATCTTGCTCACTCTCCACTTGTCTGCATATTTCATTCTTCCTGGTTGCAGGACAAGACCCGCCTAATGGTGGGGCTAAAAGCAGTAACACAAACAAAGCTGAAACACGCCCCTTGCTCACCAAGTTGTAGGTGAAGAGAAAAAGAGAAGAGCTACTACTCTTTTCAGGAGCCCAGACGTGGGAGCTTCCTGAGCCAGGGCTGTGATTCCCTTTTTGTGGTTCTGCAGTTCCCAGCACTTCCAAGAAGGCCCATAATGGCAGTTAATGCTAGAAAGGGGAGGTAGAGGAACCTGTGGAAGGAAAAAAAAAAATGGTGGGGCTGAGATGGAGGGCCTGGGTCCACCCACAGACGAAAGTCCCTTCCTAGCAGACCCTGCACTGGGCCCCGGGGATCCTGGCGTCCCTGGTTCACACCCACGCTGCATATCGCACCTATGGGGGGCACCCCAAAGCTTCTAGCAAGCCCAGAAAGGAAGACAAGACTTGAAAGGGGAGGTAGAGGCACCTGTGGAGGAAAAAAATGGGCACCGTAGAGGAGGGGTGCTTGGGTCCCCCCACAGAAGAATGTGCCTTCCCAGCAGCCCCTACGGAGTCCCCGGGATTTCTGGCATCCCTGGATCACACCCACGTTGCCTGTCATGGTGGTGGGGGCACCCGGAAGGGGCAAGAAAGCCCAGAAGGGAAGATAAGGTTTGAAAGGGGAGGTAGAGGCACCTGTGGAAGGAAAAAAATGGCGCAGTCGAGAAGGGGGGCCTGGGTCAACCCACGGATGAAAGTGCCCTCCCAGCAGACCCTGCACAGGGCCCGGGGGATCCTGGCATCCCTGGTTCACACCCACAGTGCGTGTTGCACCTGCGGGAGGCACCCCAAAGCATCAAGAAGGCCCAGAATGGAAGAGAAGGCTTGAAGCTTAAAGTAGAAGCACCTGTGGAAGGAATAAAAAACGGCACGGCAGAGGAGGTGGGCATGGGTCCCCCCATGGATGAAAGTGACTTCCCAGCAGCTCCTGAGCTTGGTCCTGGGGATACTGGTGTCCCTGGTTCGCCCCAACGATGCCTGTCCCTCCCACTGGGGGGAAACCCAAAGCAGCAACAGGCACTAGTGGAAGGTAAAAAATACGTGCGGCAGAGGAGGGGGGCCTGTGTCCCCACATGGACTAAAGTGCCTTCCCAGCAGCACTTGCACAGGGCTCCGGGGTTAGTTCCATCCCTGATTCACACCCAAGGTGCATGTCACACCCATGGGGGGCACCCCAAAGTGGTAAGAAGTCCCAGGATGGAAGATAAGGCTAGAAAGGGGAGGTAGAGACACCTGTGGAAGAAAAAAAATGGCGAGGCAGAGAAGGGGTGCCTGGGTCCCCCCACAGATGAAAGTGCCCTCCCAGCAGACCCTGCACAGGGCCCTGGTGATCCTGGCGTCCCTGGTGCTCACCCACGGTGCATGTCACACTCGCGGTTTTACCCCAATGGGGCAAGAAGGCCCAGAAAGGATGATAAGGCTTGAAAGGGGAGGTAGAGGCACCTGTGGAAGGAAAAAAAAAAGGGAACAGCGGAGGTTCAGGCCGGGGTACCTCCTTGGACAAAAGTGCCTTCCCAGCAGCCCCTGGGTGGGGCCCCGTGGATCCTGACATCCCTGGTTCGCCCCCTTGGTAAGTGTCAATGACCTCATGGTATGTGTATATATATATATATACATGTGTGTGGTGTGAGCACCTAGAAAGTGACAACTCTCCAGGACAGAGCTGGCCTCACAGATTAACATGGTTTTTCACTTGGCAGGGAAAAGTAAAACGCCTCGTGTCCCTGGCTGGGCAACCCCCTCAGGAGTGCAGCAAGGAGACATGGGATCTGTGGACAGGAGGCTACTGGGCGAAACCTCTCATTGAGGATTATGTTAAAATTTGCACTTGAGACGCTGAGTGCCCTATGTCCTTCCCACTCACCAAAGAACCCCAGCTGAGCCAGCCCTGACTCCCAGACACAAGAGCCCAGGGAGAAGCTGGGAGAGAGGGAGACCCGCTGTGACCTCAGGGCATGGAAGGAGCCCTGACCTTTTTCTCCATGATGCCTTCCCCACTCCCAAGTGCCTCTGGCCTGAAGCTTCCAGGGACCCCTGCATTCCATCCATGCCCTCCTCTGCTCCCTCCAACCCAGCCTTTTCTAAAGCCCCATGCATTTGTCTCCATGAGAGTGCCCCAGTCTCAGGCGCTCACAGTGCCTCAGAAGCTCGGGGTCCCTGTGCCTGCCTGGAGGCAGTCTCACTCTATGTGGCCCCATGTGTGTTCTTGGATTTCTTTCTACACAAGGTCACCTGTAGGTGTACAGTAGACACATCACCTGTAGAAGAGCCAATGGGGATGGGTGAGGACCAGGAACCCTCTCAGGCACACACATGGAAAGAGAGAGAAGTGTTCCTGGAAGCACAGGCCTGGGGGTGGGTGCTAGCCCCCTGTGTCTCCTCTAATCAAAGAGGTCAGCGACTTTGGCCACAGAATACACACCCACTTCCCATGGGTTCACATCCAAAGAACAAACTCCTTCAGACTCCCTGGTCCATGCACTCGAGATCCCCAGGGTGTCTTGAGTTTTTATCCCAGAAGGAGAGAGAAACAAGCTTTCATCAGCTAAACAAGACCACTACTAATACTAATGTAGGTATTGACACTAATACTAGTACTACTACTAATACAAGTGCTAACACTACCAAAAGTACTGTACTAATATGAATATCAACAGGGATTTTTTTTTCTAGCTGCTCAAGGAAATGTGTGGAGTCATCCCCTATTTTCTTTTTATTGGAGCCACTGTGTCAGTGGCGACAGTGGTTAGGAGCCTCCTTTGGGTAAAAACGAGGTAACTTCAGCCCCTGCTTGCTCCACTGTCTGCCTCTCCAGGGCCTCTGTGTCCTGCTGCAGAGTCTAGCCTGTTCTTCACAGGCACACATTCCTTATGGCACAGAGACACACCAATAAAAAAAGTCCTGAGAGAAAGGAAGGAATGGCACCTGCAAGAGACCTCACACTGATGGACCTCAGAGATATTCGTGGTCTGAGGAACACAGAGGAGAATGTGTGGGGAGCAGATCCCCACTGAGAAAGAAGCAGGACAGCTGGGCGCAGTGGCTCACACCTGTAATCCCAGGACTTTGGGAGGCTGAGGCATGTGGATCATGAGGTTAGGAATTTGAGACCAGCCTGGCCAATATGGTGAAACCTCATCTCTAGTAAAAATAGAAAAATTAGCTGGGTGTGGTGTTGTGCCTGTAGTCCCAGCTACTTGGGAGGCTGAGGCAGGAGAATTGCTTGAACTGAGGAAGCAGAGGTTTCAGTGAACAATAGGAAAACAGTATTACAAGGAAAACTACTAGTCCTAAGATTTCTAACTATGTTTATTTGCTTGATGAGTCCTCAAGCTTCGGCCGTGCGTAGACTAGTCAGCTTCCAGTGTGTGACTAGAGCAGGGCTTGTTGTCTCCTCAACCTTCAGCTGTACGTAGACTGGTCAGCTTCTGGAGTGACCAGAGCAGGGCAGTCATCTTTAGCATCAGCTTGGTCTCATCTCAGGATCAGCTGTGTCTCATCTCAGGATCAGGTGGGTGATCTGGGTCCTGCTGGCTGGTCCACTTGTCCTGAGCTTCGGTTTCAGCCAGCTGTGGTGGATCCAAGGCACAACACCTGCAACTTTAACAGCAGAGGGAGTACACAAGATTACAGTATAGGGCTGGGTGTGTTGGCTCATGCCTGTAATCCCAGCACTTTCAGAGCCCGAGGCGGGTGGATCACGAGGTTGGGAGATGGAGAGCATCCTGGCTAACACGGTGAAACCTCATCTCTATTAAAAAAAAAAATACAAAAATTACCCACGCATGGTGGTGGGCACCTGTAGTCCCAGCTACCTGGGAGGCTGAGGCAAGAGAATGGTGCGACCCCCAGGAGGCAGAGCTTGCAGTGAGCTGAGATCATACCACTGCACTCCAGCCTGGGGGACAGAGCAAGACTCTGCATCAACAAAAAAAAAAAAAAAAAAAAAAAAAAAGGTTACAGTATAGGGCCCATCCCATATGGGTCCTAGAGAATTTAATTCAACTTTTTAACTCAGAGTCACTAGGTTTAAAGGGGTGTGTCTGGTCTGTCAGGCTTACAGGCATTCTTTCCTGTACCCACCCATGGACACTTTGCAAGTCTGTCCCTAATGCCTGCATTTGCTTTCTTAAGGTTAATTCTCTTAGTTCAAGGAGATAACCTTTAATTTGACTTATGATTGGGGGAGGCTGACTGAACAAAATCTCATAGGGCAAATACCCAGTTTGTTTGGTGAGGGTGCACCTGACTCAGAGGAGGACCATAGGCAAGACCTGATCCCATCTCAGATAGGTTTCCTGGAAATATTTCTTCAGAAGCTCCTTGAGTGTCTGGTTCATGCATTCCACTTTTTCTGAACTTTGCGGCTGATAGGCTGTGTGTAACTTCCATTTTATTTTTAACAGTCTTGTTAAATCTTGCACTATTTCAGCTACAAATGCCGTGCAATTAACGGACCCTAAAGTTAGAGGCAGTCCAAGCCTGGGGATGATGTCTCTTAGCAGTACTTTAGTCACTTCTCATGCTTTTTCTGTTCTGGTGGGGAAAGCTTCAACCCATCCTGAAAAGGTGTAAATAAGCACCAGCATATACTGATAGCCTCCGGCATGGGGTAGTTTGGTAAAGTCTACAAGAAAGTTTTCACAAGGCATGGTTCCTACTTCCTGAATTCTTGGGGGTTGAGTGGGCCCCTGTCACGGGTTGTTCTGAGCACAGGTTAAACATTGTTTACAAACAGCTCAAATGATGGCCACGGCACATAGAAACAGCATTTCAGTAATGTTTCCAGTGCCATTTTTTCCCATATGAGTTCCTAGATAAATTTGCTTCAGAAACGTAGGAGCTAACATTTCTGGAATGGCTAATGTCCCATTGAAGAATTTCCACCACCCTCCTTTAATATATTTTCCAGCTTCTTGAGCAAACCAGGCTCTTTCATTTGGAGTAGAACTTGGATCTTCTTGGAGAGGAGCTTCTGGGAGGAGAAGCATAGCTAAGGCTTCCTCTTTAAAATGTGATGCAATCATTGCTCCCCTCTTTGCCTCTCTGTCTGCCTTTCTGTTTCTTTTGGTTTTTGGTGTCCCTGACTTTTGGTGCCATCTGCAGTGCATTAAAGCTACTTTTCCTGGAGGCCATACAGCCTCTAAGAGCTGTAGAATCTCTTCTTTGTACTTGATTTCTTTGCCTCCAGCTGTTAAAAGCCCTTTCTCTTTGTCTATAACTTCATGTACATGCAATGTAGTAAAAGCATACTTAGAATCAGTGTAAATATTGACCTTCTTCTCTTTTGCTAGAAACAGTGCTCTTGTCAGGGCTATTAATTCTGCCTTTTGAGCTCATGTTCCAGTAGGCAGAGGCAGAGCATCTACTACTAAGTCCAATGTTATTACTGCATACCTGGCATCTTGAACCCCTTCTAGCACAAAACTACTTCCATCTGTGAAGTATTCAAAAGCCGGGTCTCTGAGGTCTGTCTGCAAGATCTTTCCGACTGGAGAACACCTCATCTACTGTTGCAACACAGTCATGGAGGGGAGCCCCCGGTTAGACTGGGAGCAGAGGAGCCAGGTTTAAGGTGTTCACTGTTTCTAAAATAATGTAAGGGTTCTCACAAGGAAGACCTGAGTCATTTTTGGGTTTGATAACCAAAGATGCCCTCTTTGGTCCATCAAAGTTATAACTGAGTGTGGCACCCGCACAGTTAGCTGCTGTCCCAGAGTTAATTTGCTAGCTTCTTGTGTTAACAAGATGGTGGCAGCTAATGCCTTAAGGCAAGGAGACCATCCTAGCACCACAGAGTCCAGTTGTTTGTATAAATACGCCACTGGGCAATGCCATGATGCTATAATTTGAGTCAGAACCCCTATAACCATTCCTTTTCATTCATGAATACATAGAAAGAGAGGCTTAATTATATCTGGTAGTCCTAAGGTTGGGCCTGACCTAAAGCTTCCTTGAGCTGTTTGAATGCTATTTCCTGATTAGTTTCCCAAAGGAGGGGCTCTTTTTCTCCGATTTTGTGGCTTCATATAATGTCTTAGCCATCACTGAAAAATTTGGAATCCAGATGTGGCAGAATCCTGCTGCCCCTAAAGGAAGGGGGCCAGCCCCTCCACACCTGTGGGTATACCTCATCAAGTGGGGTGAGAGACTGAGAAAAGAAATAAGACACAGAGACAAAGTGTAGAGAGAGAACAGCGGGCTTCTAGCCAGCAGAGAGTTGCCTGTGTTACTCTCCGACACTCCTCAGTGTTAAACAGTGGGAGAAAAAACTGCCTGCAGTCTGGCCAGGTTGGATTGTGTGTCAGAAAGATGGATTGCATCAGATCTATAAGAGCTTGGGGCTTTGCCATATAGGAGGGAGTATGGTGTTTCCAGTTCAAGAGATCAATGGTTGAAAAGGGATGATAGATGAAAGTCCATTCCCCCCACCTGACTTGGCCTTGGTCATCATAATAAATGGGTCCTCCCATCTCCCTGAGATGCATTTGCATAACTCAAGCATGGCTAGATCTGAGATGGCCGGCTTAACCATCTTGACTTCCTTCCCTGGCCTCTCAAGCCTCTGATCCTTCCTTTGGGGTGAGACTTTGGGTGTGCTAGCTCCTGAATCTGGTTCCTGGGGGACTGTTGGCCTCGGTAAAGAAGGCTAGGCTGGGACATATGGAGTAGGAATCTCTATTCCCTCTGGTGGATCCTGCAAAACTGGCTTTTTTGCTCCCTCTGGGACTTTGCCTTTAACTCTGTGTCTGCCGGTGAAGCTGTTCTTACTTTCATTTTTGGCACGGCTCTGGCCACAAGTGTTTTGCACTAACTGGCTAAACAGAGCTGGACCATGCTGGTCTTGTCTGTGCTATATTTAACCATAAGTCAATATAAGGAAATTGATCTGGGTGCCCAGGCTGTCCTCCAACCCCTGTCACCACCTTAAATACACGGTCAATTATTTCCCTATCTATAGTTCCTTTGGTTGGCCATCCAACACCAAAAGAAGGCCATTTGAATTCACAGAGAGTTCTCAACCTCTAGGAGGTTAGCGTAACTCCATAATCTCCTGCAAAACCTTTATTAAAGTTCTCTAACATGCACCCAATGGAGTGTGTTTTGATGACTTTCCTCCTATTTCCTCGCTTTACGATGCAGCACACCCACTCTTCCTTTTGCCTCAGACCCACCAGATCATCTCCTATTATGGGAGTTTTCAGATGCCACTTGGCTTAAGAAAGGGTTTTATTCCCACCATAACTCTGAGATGTGGGGCAGCTCCTATTAGCTGTATGCGGTTCGCCACTAGTGCAGGTTGGCCCCACACTTGGCTTGGAGCACACAGACCATGCTAAGAGATCTGTGACTCCCCATGCCACTCCCACATTGGTTCCTCCCTGAACTGTATCTTTCACACACTTTCACACACCTCCCCACTCCCAGTTCGTGTGTTCCTAATTGGGGTTGTGAGCCACTCTCACCACCTCCAGTTTTCTTTTCCTAACCGACTTGGGGAGCCACTCTTGCATTGTGTGCCAGGTAGGGTGTGAGATTCATCTGAATTGGCGAGCCTCTGTCACCACCTCCAGCCTCTCTGGGTCAGATTACTAGTTACACCCTTGGAGGTGATCAGGCTCCCCTTCCGTCCTTATGGGACGGATCCTGTCTTTGGTCCCAAAACTTTACTGCAGTCCTGAAGAAATCACACTGCTCCTGGAATCATCCTGTAGCCCCTCAGGTTCTGTTGTGCTGCTGGGTGGGGGCACCAGGTCACAGGAGAGCCGATCTCCCCTCTGGGCTGAAGTTCTTCCAGCAGCGCCTGGGGTCACAGGTTTCTTTCCCTTGACCCTGGGCTCCAGCCCCACAAGAAAAGGAGAAAGTAAACCTGTCATCTCCACTCCTCCTGTCTGGCTCACCAAAAAGTTCTGAGAAACTGAGGACCAGAGAGACTGATATGGGAAAACAGGAGGATTTTTTTTTTTAAGGTACACACTGGCTCAGTGGATTCATATCCAAAAAGCTGAGCATTGAACAAAGACTGAGCAGGATTTTTATAAGCAGGCTTACAGAAGCAAAACAATGGCAGTTAATCATACAATGACAGGTAATGTAATCTATTACATAACTGTGGCCTTGCATAGCTGGTGGCCTTGTAGCTGCATCAAAAGAAAAAAGAAGAACTGGCTAAATACAGACATTTGCCATTTTTCTTTCTTTTTTTTAATCACCCTTGCTCTGGAGCAGTGGGTGTCTGGAGCCTATTCCTTTCTTTCAACTTCTCCAACAGCATTATCTTATAACTGTCCTTGAAATGAGCTTGCTAGGCAGAGGAAAACTTGTTTTTTGTTTGTTTGTTTGTTTGTTTTACCTTTGCCTGACACATTCTGGGCCTTGGCTTTTACTTCTCAGACTAGGTCACTATGACCTTCTTATAGCTTTGTCTGTAACTTTTCTTGGAGTAAATGAATGTAGTATTTATTGTTATTATTGTGTTTAAATTTCTGCCTCAAGACCAGACTACGTAGTAAAGCAAGACCCCATCACTATTAAAAAAATTAATAGAAAATAGCATATATGATGGGGCATGGTGGTTCATGCCTGTAATCCCAGCACTTTGGGAGGCCAAGGCAGGTGGATCATCTGAGGTTAGGAGTTCGTGACCAGTGAGGCCAATATGGTGAAACCCCAACCCTACTAAAAATACAAAAATTAGCTGGGTGTGTTGGCTCGCACCTGTAATCTCAGCTACGCAGGAGGCTGAGGCAGAAGAATCACTTGAATTTGGGAGGTGGAGGTTGCAGTGAGCTGAGATCATGCCATTGCACCCCAGCCTGAGTGACAGAGTGAGACTTCATTTCAAAATTAAAAAAAAAAAAGAAAAGAAAATAGCATATGGAATATCTCTGTGGTTTTCTTAAAAACAAAGCAAAATCTGTCATTTAAAATCACAATAACATTGCTGGGCACCATGGTTCACTTGAGTCCAGGAATTCTGAGACTAGCCCAGGAAATGTGGTAAAATCTTTTCTCTGCATGAAATACAAAATATTAGCCAGGTATGCTGCCACATGCTGGAAGTTCCAGCTACTCAGAAGGCTGAGAGGGGATGATTGCTTGAGCCTGGGAGGCAGAGGTTGCAGTAGGTCAAGATTGCAACACTGCACACCACCCTGGGTGACACCCAATCTAAAAAAAAAAAAAGTCTTTCAATCCTTTTGTCCAGATGCCCACAAAATACCTGCCATGTTTTATGTTGTCTTGGTTCCCTCCTAGGGTCCCATTAGAACACTTAGTCCCATCCAGCCCAGCCCTCACCTTACTTTGTAATGTAGGCCTGATTTCTTTCAGTGAAACCTTGACCTTAACCTTGAGAAAAATTACACCCTCAGTAGTTCCTGTCTTCCACCTGAATGGGCATATGATCTACCATGTTAGGTAGCATAAAACCCAGGTGCCCAGTGGATACACAGAGATTTTTATTGTGTTTTTTAGGGATGACATCCCTGTCTTCTTAAAGCTGCTTTAATGCTGAAATGTTTTGATACTTTTGATGTGGCCAAAGATTCTCCAATAAAGATATATATATATTCTAATGTCAGAAACAGATTAAATCCTTCCCTGTATCACTATGAAGGTCACATATTAGTCAAACTTTACCAGTGTTTGTGGAATAAGTGAATAAATGAGTTTTAGACCTTCATCCTGTTATTACTTCTTTCACTTTCATAAATGCCTATCTAATTTAATCACTTCATGAGAAGAAAATTGAAAACTCAATCAGGGTTAACTGGGTGGAAGTTCACGATCCAGTTGGATGTCGTTTTCGAATTGGAAGTTGGTAGTCAAGAAGGGGGTTGTAGTGAGAAAGGTCAATAAAAGCTCCTGAAGGTGCACAGAAGAGACCCAAAGCCCTGGCTCCTGGAGCTACTGCTTGATTCTCACAGAGGTCCCGGCACCCTGCAAAGTGAGTCCAGAACTGGCAAGTCACCACTTTTTAGGGACATGCCCATTTGATCTGATCTTCTGTATAGCAAGTCATACAAAAGTCTGGAAGACACTAGCACATACACTGTGAAGAGAAGTCTGGGATAAGGGGAAGATTATAGGAGATGTTTGCTCTGTGGTTTTGGAATGTTTTGCATTCAGAATACTGTCCAGAGAAGGGAAAAATGATGAAAAACAAATGAAGCTCGCCCTCATGTACCTCTATGTACCTCCTACCATGCTGGACTTTCTTGTTTTGTTTCATTTTGTTTTTCTTTCTTTCTTTCTCTCTCTCTCTCTCTCTCTCTTTCTTTCTTTCTTTTTCTTTTTTTGATACGGTATCTCACTCTGTTGCCTAGGCTGGGGTGCAATGGCATGATCTTCGATCACTGCAACCTCCACCTCCTGCGTTCAAGCAATTCTCCTCCCTCAGTCTCCCCAGTAGTGGGGACTACACCTATGCACCACCACGCCCAGTCAATTTTTGTATTTTTAATAGAGACAGGATTTCAATCATGTTGGCCATGCTTGTCTCAAACTTCCGACCTAAAGTGACCCACCCACTTCGGCCTCCCAGATGCTGGGATTACAGATGTGAGCCACTGCACCTGGCCAATTGCTGTACTTTCATGATACACATGGAGTATCCACAGTATCACAAGGGCTATTTTTTCCATAATCCAACTTATTTGTATTATTGGTAGTGAGCTACTGTTGACGTCCCCACGTTAGCAATTTAGTGGCTATACTGATGATAAGCATTTCCATGCATCATGTGGTCAACAGCATTTGCTACCAAGTGCCACGTTCCATGCTCAGCAGTGGGACCACAGGATGAGCGAGACAAAGTTCCTGACCTTTAGCAGCAATATCGAACAAGTGAGATTGTCAAGAAAGAAAAAATCCTTGTAAAACATACCATACCCCTACGATTCAGTCATCATGCTCCCAGGTATTTAACGAAGGGAGTAAACCCACACCTGGATGTTTATAGCAGCTTTATTCATAATCGCCAAAACTTGGAAGCAAGAAAGATGCCCTTCAGTGGGTGACTGGATAAAGAAACTGTGATCCATCTGGTCAGTGAACTATTACGAAGCCATAAAAAGACATGAAAGATTCCTAAATGCACGTTATTGTACAAGTGAAAGAAGGCAATGTGAAAAGACTCATCCTGTTAGACATTCCAGAAGAGCCTTCTGCCTTTTTCTATGGAGATGGTAGAAAACCCAGTGGTTGCAAGGGATTTGGAGTACAATGGGATGAATGGAAAGAGGACAGAGGACTTTTAAGGAAACAAAACTACTCTCCATGATGCTCTAATGGTGGATACATGTCATTATCCCTTTGTTAAAATCCATAGAATATACAAAACCAGCAATGATCCTTCATGTGAACTATGGACATTGGGTGATAATGATGTGTCCCTGTGGCTCATTGGTTGTGACGAATGCTCTGTGCTGGTGTGGGTGCTGATCCTGTGGGGGTGCTGTGTATTGAAGGGGGAAGAAGGTAGATGAGAACTCTGCAGTTTCTGCTTAGTTTTTCTGTGAATCTAAAACTGCTATAAAGAAAAAAATAGGCTGGGCGTGGTGGCTCACATCTATAGTCGTAGCATTTTGGGAAGCCGAGGCGGGTGGATCACCTGAGGTCAGGGGTTCGAGACCAGCCTGGCTAAAATGACAAAACCCTGTCTCTACTAAAAAATAATAATAATAATAATACAAAAATTAATCAGGTGTGGTGGTGCATGCCTGTAATCCCAGCTACTCTGGAGGCTGAGACAGGAGAATTGTTTGAACCCTGGAGGCAGAGGTTGCAGTGAGCTGAGATCGTACCACTGCACTCCAGCCTGGGTGAAAGAGTGAGACTCCATCTCCAAAATAAATAAATAAATAAACTCAAGGCTGGGTGCGGTGGCTCATACCTATAAGAGCTCACTCCCAGCAATTTAGGAGGCCGAGGCAGGTGGATCGCTTGAGCCCAGAATTTCAAGACCAGTCTGGGCAACGTGGTGAAGCCTGGTCTTCACTAAGAATACAAAAATAAGCCAGGCATGATGGTGCATGCCTGTTGTTCCAGCTACTAGGGGGACTGAGGCAGGGAGATCACCTGAGCCTAGGAGGTCAAGGCTGCAGTAAGCCGTGATCATGCCACTGCACTCCAATCTGGACGACAGAGTGAGACTTTGTCTCCAAATAAAATAAAATAAAATAAAATAAACTCAATATTTTTAAAAACTGTAATGTTTCCTTTCAAAGCTAAAATTGTATTATTCTAAATATATTTTAAAGAAGAAATGATTATTGTTCAGTGTCTTTAAAATTAGTTTTTAAAATCTCATTTGTTTTGACATTTCAAACCAAGTTAAGTATTCTTTTTCTCACCCTCCTTGAGACGGAGTCTTCCTCTTTCACCCAGGCTGGAGTGCAGTGGTGCATTCTCGGCTCACTGCAACCTTTGCCTCCCAGGTTCAAGCGATTCTCTTGCCTCAGCCTCCTGACTATCTGGGATTACAGGCGCCTGTCACCACGCCAGGCTAATTTTTTGTATTTTTCGTAGAGACGGGGTTTCATCATGTTGGCCAGGCTGGTCTGGAACTCCTGACCTCGTGATCTGCCCACCTCGGCCTCCCAAAGTGCCAGGAATACAGGCATGAACCACCACACCTGGCCATTAACCATTCTTAACATATCACGTTGCATTCTTTAAAAGTTCTAATCTTTCATGTACATAAATTACAACACAAATATTTGTACTCTAATAGTATTCACATTATAGTAAATTTTTTTTCATGCTCTGTCACCCAGGCTGGAGTGCAGTGGCGCGATCTTGTCTCATTGCAACCTTCGCCTCCCGGGTTCAAGTGATTGTCCTGCCCCAGCCTCCTGAATACCTGGGATTACAGGCGAATGCCACCACTCCCAGCAAATTTTGTGTATTTTTAGTAGAGACGGGGTTTCACCATGTTGGCAAGGCTGGTCTCAAAATCCCGAGGCTGCCTTGGCCTCCCAAAGTGCTGGGATTAGAAGTGTGAGACACCATGCCCGGCCATAATAATAAATTTTATTTTATCTTTTTTTTTTTGAGACGGACTTTTGCTACTGTTGCCCAGGCTGGAGTGCAATGGCTCAGTCTGAGCTCACCGCAACCTCCACCTCCCAGGTTCAAACGATTCTCCCGCCTCAGCCTATCGAGTAGCTGCAATTACAGACGTGCGCCACCACGCCTGGCTAATTTTTTGTATTTTAAGTAGAGAAGGGGTTTCTTCATGTTGCTCAGGCTGGTCTCAAACTCCCAACCTCAGGTGATCCACCTGCCTCAGCCTCCCAAAGTGCTGGAATTACAGGCGTGAGCCACTGCACCTGGCTCATAATAGTACATTTTTAAAAACACCATAAAATATAATCCTTGCAACACTCAATTATACCATCTGGTCGGATCTATCAGCAGATGGCACCCGAGACATACGGATTGGAAATTTTGATCTTATTATGAATGAATCCAGTCCAGAAATGCCCACCCTGCCCCCTGCTGGCTCCTGGGGCTCTGCTCTTTGGGGGAATCATGATGAAATTGTGGCAGAGAGTAGAAGTTGAGCCCCATTGCATGCCCTGAGTTCTTGTTGCCTCTCTATTATCAGGAAAAGGAGGTGAGATTGAAAGATGAAAAATGCTGGGACTTCTGCTGAGAAGAGAAAAAAGAACAAGATGTATTGATCTTACTGTATGCCAGACCCCATGCCAAGCCCTAAACATGAACCATCTCATTGGATCCTACCTAGGTCCCATAAGCTGTTGGACATCATCATCCTCATTTTACAGGAAGCTGAGGCTCTTGGCTAACATCCCTGACAGCAACACCAGCCCCTGAGTACTCAGCAGGATCCTTCACTTGGATGCCCGCTATGCAGGCTTCCTCAGCACAGGGAAGGTCACTCATCACCCACAGGCCCTTGATCGTTATCCACCCTTTGATGCTGTCAGATTCCAGAACACGCTGCACTAGTCTCTTCCTTCATAGGGAGAGAGGGAAAGTGTTATGAGAAAATCTCTCATCAATCTGACCTAGCTCCCCAAAAAGATGTAACTTTTAAAATGTCAGATGGAAATATTTAAAAAGTGTTACATGCCTGTATAGTTTTAGTATTTTACTTAAAGGGAATGTGGCTGTCTTTACTGGCTACAACCAGTTTAATTCAAGAAGGGCTGCTGGTCATCAGGGGAACAAGCAAGGTTTGGTGCTGCCCAGAGTCTCCAGCTAATACACAATATGGACATACCCTTCCAGGGCAGCGAGAAGAGAGTGGGTCCTTGTGCAGTGCAGCTGACATCCACCAACTAAGGCTTCTGGAAGCATGTGGAGACTCACAGGGAGTGGGCAGGGTCTCAGCATCTGGCTAGCGGTGAAAGACCCTGAGAAGAAGGTGCTTTCCGTGTGGATTGGCTCACTGTTCTTGCCCAGTAATGTTCCAGGCCTTTGGTGTCCACCTGGTGTGTATTAACCCACTGAACAGCCACAGAAACTAACAAGGATTTAACAGACATCTAAAGAAGTGAAGAACTGGAGGAGGCCAAGCCAAGCGTGGTGGTCCACGCCTATACTCCCTGCATTTTGGGAGGCCAAGGCAGGAGAATCACAAGCTCAGGAGTTCCAGATCAGCCTGGGGAAGACAGCGAGGCCTTGTTTCTACTAAAAAAAAGTATCCAGGTGTGGTGGCTCACACAGCTGTAGTCCTAGCTACTCAGGAGGCTGAGGTGGGAAGATCGCCTGAACCCAGGAAATTGAGGCTGCAGTGAGGTATGATTGTGCCACTGCACTGTAGCCTGAGTGACAGAAGACCTTTAAAAAACAAAAACAAAAGCAAAAGCCTGACACAGTGGCTCACACCTGTAATCCCAGCATTTTGGTAGGCCTACTTGCATGAATCACCCAAAGTCAGGAGTTTGAGACCAGCCTGACCAACATAGTGAGGAAACCCTGTCTCTACTAAACATACACAAATTAGCTGGGCACGGTGGTGCATGCCAGTAATCCCAGCTACTTGGGAGGCTGAGGCAGGAGAATCATTTAAACCCCAGGTGGAGGTTGCAGTCAGCTGAGATGGCACCATTGCACTCTAAACTCCAGCCTGGGCAACAAGAGTGAAACTCTGTCTCCAATAAAAGAATGGGAGGAAACTGATTACAATAACCAAATTTCATTTAAATGCCTTGATTTTCTTGGGCTGCATCTTATTGATTGGACAACTCAGTCAGTGCCTTTTGTTTTTTCCATCAATAACTGAAGATTCCTGAGGCTTAAACTGGAAAACAGGTTACTTAATAATAGAGGGCACCAGACAGATTCTGCTCAGTTTTCCTTTATTTCTGATTGTTTCTTTACAACCATCCATGCAAGAGTAACTCCCTCATGTATTCTCAAGCCTGAATTCCACTCTAGACATTCAGATTCCCATTTTCGACTCTACAGGATACACGTTCCCAAAGTCCCATCGAATCCATGGCAACATTTCCCCCAAGTCCTGCCCCTGCTTGATCAGCATTCCTTTCCCACTTTCAGAGCCCATGTGTGAAACGATGGGTTCTGTGCTCCCTTTAGGATGTACCTAAGACCTAGGTTTTAGTTTCCAAGTGTCCAGAAGAAAGCGTTTGACATACCCATCCAAATAGGCAGGCATTCAACAGCAGTATTGATCTGCCTCCAGGTCATAAAATGACCTGTTGCCACAGTCAGGGCAGTAGTCAGTACCGAACAAGATCCTCTTGGGGTGCCTTAAGTCCCTAACTCTCTTCATCAGCTCAGCCCTAATCTGAGTAAATCTGCTCCAGCAGAGAGTACCATCAGCACCATAACTCTCCCGTGGGGCAGGATACAGCTCCAGGCATAAGTTTTTGAGTATGATTGTGTGGCTCAGCAGGTTCTCCAGGGTGGCCATGGAGATGGGATTTCCACAGAAGCTGAAGGTGTTGAGCTCAAAGCAGCGGCTCAGGGCAGGCAGGATGGCGTTGACTTGGGAGTCTATGATGCCACAGTCATCTAAATCCAGGTACTCAAGGGTGGCTGCAACTTTTTCTAGGAGAATTTGGAGAGGCACAAGACTGTAATTGGTCAGTCTGATGCCACTCAGGTCCAGGGTCTTTAGTTGACTGATACTCGGGCACTGGGATAGATGCTTCAAGTCTGATTCCAAAAGCACACAGTTAGTTATTGTGAGGACCTTTAACGAGGTCTTCAGACAGCTGTGGAGAGAGAGCAAGAAGTTAATTCTGGGGAATCATAGGGGTGAGTGGAGGGTGGTGGGGAATGGCTTCAAGGTAATGGATGGAGACCATTTTGCCCAAGTCCAGGATCATTCTCATGGCCGGATGGTCAACACTTCGGATGATGTGTGATGAAGAGCTTTGCCACCGAGGTCAATTCCACTTTAGGCCCGGCCCAGTAACTCACACCTGTAATCCCAGAACTTTGGGAGGCTGAGACTGGTGGATTCCTTGAGATCAGGAGTTTGAGACCAGCCTGCTGAACATGGCAAAACCTCCTCTCTACTAAAAATCCAAAAATTAGCCAGCTGTGGTGGCGGGAGCCTGCAATTCCAGCTACTTGGGAAGCTGAGGCAGAAGAATCGCTTGAACCCAGGAGGTGTAGGTTGCAGTGAGCAGAGATCATGCCACTACACTCCAGCCTGGGTGACAGAGAGAGACTCTGTATTAAAAAAAAAAAAGGAGAAAAAATAATTCCATTTGAGGCTGAGTCATTTCACCATCATTTATAGGAATGGATCAAGTTCACAGAATCCCTAAAGCTCCCTTTCCTCATCTGTCAGGCAGAAAACCACATCCCTGGGCCACAGAAGCCCAGTGGAGATGCAGGCATAAAGGACAAACCCAGACAGGATCCTGCAACATCAGCTGGGGTGGGCGGGCTGCAGGCGTCCCTGACACGCCTGTATCATCAGCAAACCATCTATCACTTTCACCATTCTTTGTGCCTGCTCCCTGACCCTCTGTTTCAGAATCATACATTTCCTAGGTAATTAATTTACCTGGAGCTCAAAAGAAACTTTTACAACAGGGAATTAGAGATGGGATCATTCATGTTCACGGAACTGTGGGGCACAAAGCTGATTTTCTGACATGTGCAGATTTGCTGAGCATTCCCCTCTTCAGTGACCACTTCACTTCCCTACTTCCCATCATCTTCTTAAAAATTATCTTGTTGGCTGGGCGTGGTAGCTCTCGCCTATAATCCCAGCACTTTGGGAGTCCAAGGTGGGCGGATCACCTGAAGTCAGGAGTTGGAGAATATCCTGGCCAACATGGTGAAACCCTGTCTCTACTTAAAATATAAAAATTAGCCAGGTGTGGTGGCCCACGCCTGTAATCCCAGGCACTGAGGAGGCTGAGGCAGGAGAATCGCTTGAACCTGGGAGGCAGAAGTTGCTGCGAGCTGAGATGTCACAACTGCACTCTAGCCTGGACGATCATAGTGAAAATCCATCTCAGAAAAAAAAAAAGTTATCTTGTTTGTTTTTACTTTTATTTCTTCATTTCTGACAGGGGTCTTGGGATGTTACCCAGACTGGTCTTAAACTCCTAGGCTCAAGCTATCCTCTTGCCTCAGACTCCCAAAGTGATAGGATTACAGGCATGAGCCACCGTCCCTGGCCTATTTTTCATCATCTTAACTTAGACACACGTCCTCAGGAAGAATTCAGAAAGGCACCCTCACTAGATCTGAACCCCCCAGTAGCTAGCTTCCTAGTATGGCAACCTCTCTATAGCATCTCCCCTAGCTGATCCCTCTGCCTCTATTGGGATGGTTGCATGATACCCATTTCAGGACAGGGCCGCCAACAGGACAATGTATGGACATTCTAGTGTCCCCTTCACTGTTTCATCCTCATAGGCTGGCTCACAGTAGATGCCCACTAGCGTTTAGTGAAACAGGCTCTGCTGTGGTCTGCAGAGAAAGCTCACCACCCTCCCTCACCTGAGCAGCTGGTCCAGGTGGCCTTCGAGGAAAGAAACAGAGTTCATATAAAGCTTTTGGAGGCAGTGCAGCTTGAGGAACTGAGTGGTGAACTGGGTAACAATCTCCTTCTTCTGCTCTGGGGAAACGTAGCGAGAGACATCCATGTGGGAGAGAACGAGCTTCTGAAGATTCCTCATGTGGCCCAGGTATGGGGTAAACTGTGTCAGGATGGGCAGTACCCACTTGCAATTCACTTCCACCTCCTGGATACAGTCTAGGTTCACCATTTTCAGGATGCTTCTGATATTGCGGAAGGGCATTCCCAAAATTTTCAGCTTCTTACAGCACAGGTGTAGTAAATCTTTCCTCTGCTTGACCCATAGAAGGAGGCAGGTGAGGTGTTCATCCAGAGTCCTGTTCTTGAGCCAAAGTTCTACGAACACAGTCAAGGGCTGCCGTCCTCTCATCCTTGGACAGTCCTGCACTGGTTTTTTGTTCCTCTTGGCATTGAGGAAGCACCCACGGGCCATAGCTTCAGACCAAACCATCCAGAAGTTCTCACAGACATCCTGTAAATCCAGCACTTGAAGTTTCCACCTCCTGTGGGAAAATAGAGGTGAGACTGAGAATTTCAGAACTCATTTCTGAACTTAAACTCCACATCCTGGATAGCAGCTCCTCCCCTCCCTGCTTCTTGTCCCTGTCTCTGACATTTCTCCACCCTGTTTTCCCCTTGGATCCTGCCCACTTTCACATTTTTTTTTTTTTTTTTTTTTTTGAGACCAAGTCTCCTTCTGTCACCCAGGCTGGAGTGCAGTGGTGTGATGTCACCTCACTGCAACCTCTGCTTCCCCGGTTCAAAGGATTCTCCTGCCTCAACCTTGCAAGTAGCTGGGATTACAGGAGCCCAGCACCATGCCCAGCTAATTTTAGTATTTTTAGTAGAGTTGGGGTTTACCATGTTGGACAGGCTGGCCTCCAACTCTTGACCTCGGCCTCCCAATGTGCTGGGAATACATTGTGAGCCACCGTGCCCGGCCCAGTTCTCACTTTTCATGCTGGCTTTCAGTGCCATTAGGGGAGAGGTTCCTGTTACCTCCATGGACCTGGCATGGTCAGCAGTGCTTTCCCTGAGGAGCTGGTGAATGGCCAAGGCCTCTCAGCTTCCTCACCACCACCATCGCCCCTTGGGCCTCCTCACTTCTCATGACCCAGCTGTTCCTTCGGTTGGACACCTGGGCCCTCCCCACCAGCCCACCTGGCCCACCTCACCTGGGACGAACCCCGTGGGTAAGCAGTGCATCAAGCCCATTGAGCACAGCTTGGAAGGTCTCCAGACAAGGCATCTTTATCAGAGGCCTCAGAGGGAGGCGGCGGAAGGGCCAGGCCTGTACCATCAGCTTCAGGGCCTCACAGCGTCTCCTGCTGAAGGCCTCCATGAACAGTGGGGGGAAAAGTTCTGTGGGCAGCTCCTCCAGGGTGGACATGGCCAAGGCTTGGTCCCTCAGCACGCTCCGCCCCGCCAGCTCCAGGAGTCTGGGTGGAGTCCGGATGCTCATCTTCATGAATCTGCAGGGAAAACTTCCAGAGGACAAACCCAGAGAAAAGGCATCACTCTCAGGACAAGCCCATGCAATCTCATCTTCTCCCAGGGCCAAAGTCACTGCTTTGGCAATGGTGAAACAGCCCTCAGTTTACTCCAATTCTACTCAGTACTCAGTGGCCATTAAGCCAGCATTCTGCCTCTGCTGCATCAGCATGAGCGTCTCCGAAGCAGTGAGGAGGCAGGGCCACAACTAGCCCTTCCTTTCTATCCAGTGCTCCATCCAGTGACTAGTGAGTGTGGAGGAACCTGAAAGCAAACCCCTCCGACCATTGGGGGAAATTACTAATTACTCAAGGTTCTAAAACAATGGGAAAGGGAGTGTCACAAGCCTACATGCCCACAATTTCAGTTCCTACAAATAAGCTTGTTGGGAACATTCATGGGGCATCCCTAGAACAGGTTCTATTTGTTTTCTTTTCTTTATTTAAGGTTTCCTTCTCTTTCTCTCTCTTCTTTCCTTCTTTCCCTCTCTCCCTCCCTTCTTTCTTTCTTCCCCCCTCTCTCTCCCTTCTTTCTTTCTTGTCTTCTTTCCCTGCATCCCTTCTCTCATTCTCTCTCTCCCTCCCTCTCTCCCTCACTCTTTCTGACAGGGTCTTGCTCTGTTACCCAGCCTGGAGTGCAGTGGTGGGATCTTGGCTCACTGCAGCCTTGACTTCCCAGCCTCCCAAGCCTCCTCAGCCTCCCAAGTAGCTGGGACC
Organism: Homo sapiens; assembly: GCF_000001405.40. NCBI lineage: Eukaryota > Metazoa > Chordata > Mammalia > Primates > Hominidae > Homo > Homo sapiens. The sequence goes on from NC_000001.11 coordinate 13,153,835, forward strand.
ACAGTTATGCATCACCACACCCAGCTCATCTTTTATGTTTTGACTTTTTGTAAAGACAGTGGATTTCACTATGTTGTCCAAGCTGGTCTTGAACTCCTAGTCTCAAGCAATCCACCCCCCTTGGCCTCCCAAAGTACCGGGATTATAGTTGTGAGCCTCCACTCCAGCCTTATTATCGAATATTTCAGTGAGAAGCTTTGAAAGCTATGTGACACTGTTATGCATCATTCGCAAGATAGATGATTCCAATACACACCTCTCGCACATATTCAAAATCAACCACTTTGGCTGGGTGCAGTGACTCACCCGTAATCTGAGCATTTTGTGAGGCCAAGGCAGGTGGATCATCTGAGATCAGGAGTTCAAGACGAGCCTGGCCAACATGGTAAAACCCTACCTCTACTAAGCCAGCAAAAATTAGCCAGGTGCAGTGGTCTGCGCCTGTAGTCCAAGCTACTAGGGAGGCTGAGGCAGGAGGATCACTTGAACCCAGGAGGCAGAAGTTGCGGTGAGCTGACATTATACCACTCCACTCCAGCCTGGGAAATAGGCTAGATTCAAAAGAGAGACAGAGAGAGCTACATTTGATTAGACTTCTTAATCTCTACCCAGTTAATCCTGATTGGATTTTTGGCTTTCTTCCAGATTAACTGATTGAATTAGATATTCATCCATCAAAATGAAAGATTTAGGGATAGGGTGAAAGTCCAAGACTCATTCACTGATTCACTCCACAAACGTGGAGTTTTACTAATATGTGTCCTTCACAGTCCTGAGTGTGAGACAGGGAAGGGTTGAATCTCTTCCTGATATTAGACAGAAAGAAAGAAAACTTGAAAGTATCTGTAGAGGGATCCTTGGCCACATCAAATTTCTCAAAATATTTCAGAGTTAAAACAGTTTTACAAAGACAGAGATGACAGTTCCTAAGAAAACACAATAGTAATCTTCATATATCCAGTGATTACCTGGGTGGCATAATTCTTCTTGGTGTTGAGGGAGCTGAGTCTCACTTCGTTGCCCAGGCTGGAGTGCAGTGGTGCCATCTCGGCTCACTGTTACCTCAGCCTCCAAGATTCAAGCAATTCTCATGCTTCAGTCTTCCACGTAGCTGGGATTACAGGCATGCACCCCCACACTCATGTCTCCATTTGGGTGGAAGAGGATGTGATTGCTTTAAAATTAAGGTCAAAGATCCTTTTTTGTTAAGATGTTGCTTTTGTTTTTTGGACAGGGTCTCTCTCTTTTGCCCAGGCTGGAGTACAGCAGTGGTGTGAGCATGGCTCACTGCATCCTCAATCTTCTGGGCTAAAGTGATTCTCCCACACCAGCCACCCAAATAGCTGGGGCTACAGATGCATGCCACCATGCCCAGCTAATTAAAAAAAAAAAAAAAGTAGAGGCCAAGCACCAGTGGCTCATGGCTCTAATCCCAGCATTTTGGGAGGCCAAGGCAGGTGGATCACTTGAGGTCAGGCGTTTGAGACCAAACTGGCCAGCATGGTGAAACCCCCGCCCCTACTAAAAATACAAAAATTAGCCAGGCATGGTTTCAGATGACTGTTATACCAGCTTCTCTGTATGGAGACTGATGCATGAGAATTGCTTGAACCTGGGAGGTAAAGGTTACAGTGAGTTGAGATCGTGCCACTGCACTCCAGTCTGGGCAACACAGCGAGACTCCATCCCCATCCTCAAAAAAAAAAAAACGTTGTGTAGAGGAGGGTTTTTGTCATGTTGCCCAGGTTGGTATCAAACCCCTGGGCTGAAATGATCCTCCCACTTTGGCCTCCCAAAGTGTTGGGGTTAAAGGCATGAGTCACTGCTCCCTTCAAGAATTTTGAAATGACCTAAACCAAAGCACAATCAACTTTTTTGAAATAAAGACAGAACTCTATTTAGAGGAAAACATTCAAAGCTTCAAATTGTTCATATGAAAAAAAAAAGGACAGGATATAGCTCTGTGCCATCGTAGGCTGCACTGTCACCATCCCAGACCAGCTGACTGTAGGTCAGATGGGAGTGTCCTTACAGAAATTAATGACTTACCAGATCTGGATGTAGTTTAGAAGGTGCTCAGACCTCAGGAAGAACCAGGCAGGAACTCCAGGCTTGAAGACTTTGGGTCTCTCCTGTGGGTCTTTAGAAGCTTTTATTGACGTTTCTAGTCACAACTCCCACCCACGCCCCTCCACGTATCCGCTGCTAGCTTCCAATCAAAAAGTGATATCTGATTGCATTTCTGAAGCTCCAGCCAGTTAATCCTGATTGGGTTTTTGGCTCTCCCCAGATTAATGGATTGAATCAGATGTCCATTCATATCACATATCTATATTCACTTCACGAAGCAAGAAATTGACAGTGTTAGGGATAGGGTAGAAGTCAAGAATACATTCATTCAAGGCCAGGTGAGGTGGCTCACTCCTGTAATCCCAGCACTTTGGGAGGCAGAGGCAGGTGGATTATCTGAGGTCAGGAGTTTGAGAAAAGCCTGGCCGACATGGTAAAACCCTACCTCTACCAAAATTACAAAAATTAGCCAGGTGCGGTGGTCTGTGCCTATAGTCCAAGCTACCAGGGAGGTTGAGGCAGGAGGATCGCTTGAACCCAGGAGGCAGAGGTTGCAGTGAATTGACAATACACCACTGCACTCCAGCCTGGGAAATAGGCAAGATTCAAAAAAAAAAAAAAAAAAAAAAGAAAAAAGAGAGAGAGAGAACTACATTTGTACATTTGATTTGACTTCTTAAACTCTACCCAGTTAATCCTGATTGGATTTTTTGCTTTCTTCCAGATTTACTGATTGAGTTAGATATTCATCCATCGAAGTGAAAGAATTAGGGATAGGGTGAAAGTCCAGGACTCATTCAGTGATTCACTCCATAAACATGGAGTTTTACTAATATGTGTCCTTCAAAGTCCTGAGTGTGAGAGAGGGAAGGGTTGAATCTCTTCCTGACATTAGAGAAAAGAAAAAACTTGAAAGTACCTTTGTTGAGGGATCCTTGGCCACATCAAATTTATCGAAATATTTCAGAGTTAAAACGTTTTACAAAGACAGAGATGACAGTCCCCAAGAAAACACAATAGAAATCTTCATGTATCCAGTGATCACCTGGGTGGTATAATCTAATTTTTTTGGTGTGGGGGAAGCTGAGTCTAACTTTTTGCCCCATGCTGGAGTGCAGCGGCGCCATCTCAGCTCATTGTAACCTCCGCCTCTGAGATTCAAGCAATTCTCATGCTTCAGGCTTCCACGTAGCTGGGATTACAGGCATGCACCCCACACCCATGTCTCCATTCAGGTGGAAGAATTACCGAGAGGATGTGATTGGTTTAAAATTAAGGTCGAAGATCCTTTTTTGTTAAGATTTTGTTTTTGTTTTTTGGACAGGGTCTCTCTCTTTTGCCCAGGCTGGAGTACAGCAGTGGTGTGAGCATGGCTCACTGCAGCCTCAATCTTCTGGGCTAAAGTGATTCTCCCACACCAGTCACCCAAATAGCTGGGACTACAGATGCATGCCACCATGCCCGGCTAATTAAAAAAAAAAAAAGTAGAGGCCGAGCACCAGTGGCTCACGGCTCTAATCCCAGCAGTTTGGGAGGCCAAGGCAGGTGGATCACTTGAGGTCAGGTGTTGGAGACCAACCTGGCCAGCATGGTGAAACACCCGCTCTACTAAAAATGCAAAAATTAGCCAGGCATGGTGGCAGATGGCTGACACCAGCTTCTGAGGATGGAGACTGAGGCATGAGAATTGCTTGAACCTGGAAGGTAAAGGTTGCAGTGAGTTGAGATCGTGCCACTGCACTCCAGTCTGGGCAACACAGTGAGACTCCATCCCCGTCCTCACAAAAAAAATAACGTTGTGTAGAGGAGGGTTTCTGTCATGTTGCCCAGGTTGGTCTCAAACCCCTGGGCTGAAATGATCCTCCCACTTTGGCCTCCCAAAGTGTTGGGGTTAAAGGCATGAGTCACTGCTCCCTTCAAGAATTTTGAAACGACATCAACCAAAGAACGATCAACTTTTTTGAAATAAAGACAGAGCTGTATTTAGAGGAAAACATTCAAGCTTTAAATTGTTCATATAAAAAAAAAAAAGACAGGATACACTTCTGTGCCATCGTAGGCTGCACTGTCAACATCCCAGACCAGCTGACTGTAGGTCAGATGGGAGTGTCCTTACAGAAATTAGTGACTTACCAGATCTGGATGTAGTCTAGAAGGTGCTCAGACCTCAGGAAGAACCAGGCAGGTACTCCAGACTTGAAGACTTTGGGTCTCTCCTGTGGGTCTTTAGAAGCTTTTATTGACCTTTCTAATCACAACTCCCACCCACGCCCCTCCACGTATCCGCTGCTAGCTTCCAATCAAAAAGTGATATCTGATTGCATTTCTGAAGCTCCAGCCAGTTAATCCTGATTGGGTTTTTGGCTCTCCCCAGATTAATGGATTGCATCAGATGTCCATTCATATCACATATCTATATTCACTTCATGAAGCAAGAAATTGTCAGTGTTAGGGATAGGGTAGAAGTCAAGAATACATTCATTCAAGGCCAGGTGAGGTGGCTCATACCTGTAATCCCAGCACTTTGGAAGGACAAGGTGAGTAGATCACCTGATGTCAGGGGTTCAAGACCAGCCAGGACAAAAAGGTGAAACCCTGTCTCTACAAAAATACAAAAATACAAAAATTAGCCCGGCATGATGGCAGGTGCCTGAAACACAGCGACTCAGGAGGCTGAGGCAGGAGAATTGCTTGAACCCAGGAGGCAATGGTTGCAGTGAGCCAAAATTGTGCCACTGCACTCCAGTCTGGGTGACAGAGGGACATTCTGTCAAAAAATAAAAAAATTAATTCATTCATGAACTCCACAAACACTGATGGAACTTTACTAATATGTGAACTTCATAGTCTTGAGTGTGAGGCAGGGAAGGATTTGATCTGTTCCCGACATTAGACAGAAAAATAAAATCTGAAAGTAGTGTTGTTAGGAGATCTTTGGCCACATCAAAATATGAAAATGCTTTATACTTTAAAAAGCTTTATAAAAACAGAGGAGTCATCCCTACAAAATCAGAATAAAAATCTCAATTTATCGAATGGTCTTGGGGATTTTATATAACCTAAGGTAGCAGATTATATGCTCGTTCTGGTGGAGGAGAGGTGCCACTGAGGGCGTGAGTGGTCTCAGGGCTTAGGTTAAGGCTTCTTTGGAAGAAATTGAAACCACAACTATAAACTTCATCAATTTAATCAGTGAAGAAGGGAGGGGGAGAAACAAAAATAAACCAAGCTTGCAACACATTCAGCATTCATCAGGAGGTCAGCTTGCTCTCTGACCTGGTTCCTTATGGTTGCTGGCAGCCTACTGTTCCAAAATCATATAGACCTTAGATTACAGTTCCCCTTAACTTCCCTGCAGACAACAATTTAAGCATTGTGAAACATTAACTTTTTTCATTTGACATATTCTTTCAGATTCTGCATGTCAGTGAAACTACTGATGCCAGCTCATCTAAATGGGCCCTGCAAGGCACTAACGCAAAGAATGCAGTTTCTAGATCCTGTTGACTTCTTCCCTCTTACCGCTACCCCAACTTTCCAGTCCCTTGCTATCCAGGATCCACTGGAAATGCTCAGTACTCCTTGGGGTGATGAATTTGAGGATCTCCTCCTAACTTCTCATTCAGCCACCCTGTGATCATTAAACTCTCTGCTGCAAACCCTGCTGTCTCACAATATTGCTAAGCTACTGTGCAGCAGGCATAGGAACCTGATGGTCCTGTAATAAAGTCATGTCAAAATTACAAATGGAAGTGAGGGTGGAGCTGGTCAGGGTTGAGCTGGGTTTTTAATGGGAACCTGGGAGTGAACCAAGACTTGCTGAACATGTTGGGGGTTATTGAGTGGGTGGAGGATGAATCTATCCAACATTGCATGGATGCCCCTTTGGTTTTGATCCTTATGACCAAGTATGAGTCTTTCAAAACAATTTATATAATCCTCCTTATATTTCCTTTCAAAACCTTCAACTTCCTTTATCTCCCCGAATAATCTCACATCTATTCCCATTTCTTTGCTTACTTCATAATACATTTTTTTTTTTTTTTTTACAGAGTCCTCTTCTCTGTTAAGTAGACCATATATTTTGTTGCCACACAAGATGAGTAACCTGGTTCTATGGACAGAAAGGGTCAAAAGGATCCCATTCCTCAACAGCTGGGGGTGATGTAAAGGCCATGGTTATTCCTTGTCATATCTGCACCTGCATATTGCCAGTGAAAACTTGCAGGGCACATTGGGCAGGCTTCCAAATTAACCACCTGTGGGAAGGTCTTTCGATTGGCTTACATCCTGTCCCTGAGCAAAGTGTCTGATCATGAGTTCATGAGTGCCTCAAACCCCACAACTACTGATGAAGGCTTCACCCACTGACAGTGAGAAGGACGCTGATTTGATTCTGATCATGAAGTTTTGCTGGTTGTCTTGCAAGGAATACGTTTTATCCTGTTATGTTGTCATCTAAAGCCAATGATTGTAACCTCTGTCTTGTCCCGTCCAATGGAAAAAAACAAAAACAAAAACTCAATTCTATTTGAGCCTTGCCAGGTCAATAAGACAAAAGAAAATTTAAAAACAAACTGATAGGAGGAGTCCCATTCCCTTCTTTTAACCTTTCTTACAAAAGCATTCCAACTTGTAACAGACTTTGGAAAACACCCACTTTGTCAGTGTGTGTCTTCCAGGTCAATCCTCACATTTAGCTTCCAGTGAAGCTTTCGTTAATTATTTCTACCTCAACAGCCTTATCTTCTATTGACACAAGGTTGTATGGTAATGGTTTGAATTGGGGTGGGAAGAAAAAATATTTCTATGTCTTTTATAAAGTAATCCTTGCATGTCATCTCCATAGAAGAATGAGTAGGTTCCTCTCCAAATATGTCCTGAGTATTGATGCACCCAATAAACAAAACTAATATTTATTTCATATACTAGAGCTATAGATGCATTCTATTTCCCTCTAGAATCTCCAATGAACCAATATCTAGTTTCAGTAAGTTTCTCTGATTATATGGCAGAGGGTAACATGGTCATGTTCTGATTCTGTGTCTATGTCGATAACTATAGCGTTCCAGCCTTCATAATATGCATCAAACCAGAGTTTATTCTAGTGTGAGTCTGGCACACCATCTAGATTAGACCCAGTTACACTAATGTTTTCTATGCATAGAGATAAGTTACCAGTAATGAAATCAATAATAGTCATAGACCACTCATTTGCACCTATAGCTTCTTCTCAATGCCAAGTCATTTAATTATCAATATTAACCAACCTACCAAAGGAAGGATAACAAATCTTATCATGAATTTAGCATCCTCAATTGCTACCCAACTGTGTACGAAAGCAGGTTGTAGTATTAAGTGTGATCCTTCCCTTTCATCTAAATGACTCCATAGCCAGCAATTGCTTTGGTTAGTGAGAGTGGCTACATTTTGAACAGAAGATCTTAGAAAGTGTTTGGTTTGAGTGGTGAAAGTACCTAACAACATAAAATATAGGTTTGATAATTTTGTGTTAATACAAAACAAAACCAAGTCTCAGTCAATGGAAGAAGATCAAATGGAGTCTTGTTCCATTGTCTTGGAAAAGCTGTCTACCAGGTGATGATGTGTGCTTCTAGGGAAGGCTTTTCCTCAGATATCCTTAAGTTTAAGTCATCTGGTACAGTCCCATCCAATGCTGTTCATGGGCAGATTTCCCTTGGTGTCATTTCTAAAGGATGCAATCTCCAAATGCTAGGGCATGAAGGTCTAAGCATCACTGAAAGCCTCCTTCACCTAGTGGAAATAGTCTTTCAAATACTGCATCAAGGTCTTGCAGTATTGATTCATATTGTTACTGAACGATGGGCTCACTCTTCTAAGTGCATAGAACCCAATACTATGACACCATGCTTGAGAAAAGTAAAAAAGATTCAACCAGGCATGGTGGCTCACGCCTATAATCCCAGCACTTTAGGAGGCTGAGGCAGGCAGATCCCAAGGTCAGAGGTTTGAGACCAACCTGGCCAACATGGAGAAACCCCCTTTCTGCTAAAAATACAAAAGTTAGCTCAGTGTGGTGACATGTGCCTGTAATCCCAGCTACTCAGGAGGCTGAGGCAGGAGAACCACTTGAACCCAGGATGCAGAAGTTGCAGTGAGCCAAGGTAGCACCATTGTACTCCAGCCTGGGCAACAGAGACTCTGTCTCTAAACAAAAAATAAAAAGAATGCAGTCTCCTTTATTGGTTCAGCTAATTTTAGTTTCAAGATACAGTTTGTTCACTCAACCTTTGTAGAATACGAAGGATAATGAAGTTAATATTAGTGCCATTGGATCAGTAAAATCTTACCTGTGTGATAACCTGCCCAGTAACTGAGTTCTCCTCCCATTGGAGATTTCTCCAGAGATGCTCCAGAAAGGAAGCAAATTTTATAATCATTTTTTTTGACTATGACTGTGGCATCAGCCTTTCTAAAAAGGTAATCTACAACCCATCCTGAAAACGGACACACAATCACAAGAATTGTAGCCTTTTTACATGGCTCACTGACATCATTGGTCCACGACAACCCCGTTTCTTGCAGCTATATGTGTGTATGTCTACCTATTCATATCTGTATCTATTTCCATTTATTACCATGATTCACTTCCACTCTCCTTTCCATAGACAGCCACTCTACTCTTTGACCTAGCCTTGAATTTGCTTGTGACCTCATGGAACATAAGTATATGGAAAGCATATAGACTATATACTTGCATTTTGTATGTGTATTTATTTAAATCCACATATATGTTATAGCGTATGGTGCTACAGAAGAGGACCTCACAATTAATTGTCCAGTCCCAGACACTTTGGAGAGAATAGACATGCTGTTATAATAATTATTATTATTTTTGGAGATAGTGTCTGGCTCTGTGGCCAGGCTGGAGTGCAATGGCATGATCTCGGCTCACTGCAACCTCTACCTCTTGGGTTCAAGTGCCTCTCCTGCCTCGGCCTCCTGAGTACCTGGGATTACAGGTGCCCGCCACCACGCCTGGCTCTTTTTTGTATTTTTAGTAGGAATGGAGTTTCTCCATGTTGGCCAGGCTTGTCTTGAACTCCTGACCTCAGCTGATCCACCCGCCTCAGCCTCCCAAAGTGCTGGGAATACAGGCCTGAGCCACTGCACTCGGCCTCTCATGTGCCTTTTTAAATTGATGGGAAAATGACACCCAGGATAATTTATGGCCATTGTGGGAATTATTGGAAATCTTTAAGACTGTTTTTCTTACAAAACCACAATTGTAGGATTAAACAGTCTGAATGGGATGCTAGCACGTAGAGCCTTCTAAACTCTCTTTCTCTTCTTTTTTTGGGGAATTTGGGATCTGCCTACTGATTACAATTAATTGGTTTTCTTAAAAAACTGTTTGGTTAAGATTTTTTTTTTTGACAAGGTCTCACTCTGTTGCCCAGGCTGGAGTACAGCAGTGGTGTGAACATGGCTCACTGCAGCCTCAATCTTCTGAGCTCAAGGGATTCTCCCACCTCAGCCACCCAAGTAGCTGGGACTACAGATCCATGCCACCATGCCCGGCTAATTTTTTAAAAAAGAAGCAGGGCGTTGGTGGCTCACTGGTGTAATCCCAGCACATTGGGAGGCCAAGGCAGGTGGATCACTTGAGGTTAGGAGTTCAAGACCAGCCTGGCCAACATGGTGAAACCCTGTTTCTACCAAAAATATAAAAATTAGCCAGGCATGGTGGCGGGTGGCTATAATCGCAGCTACTCAGGAGGCTGAGGCATGAGAATCGCTTGAGCCTGGGAGGCAGAGGTTGGAGTGAGTTGAGATCATGCCACTGCACTCCAGCCTGGGTAACAGAGCCAGATACCATCCCCACCCCTCAAAACAAATGTTTTGTAGAGATAGGGTTTTGCCATGTTGCCCAGGTTGGTCTCGAGCCCCTGGGCTCAAATGATCCTCCTGCCTTGGCCTCCCAAAGTGTTGGAATTGTAGGCATGAGTCACTGCTCCCACCAAGAATTTTTTTCTTTAAATTCCTGGTTTAATAAGGACTTGTTTATTTTGAGGAAAAAAGGTCCCAAACATGGAGCTGTTCACAAAAATAACCCACAGTATCAACTTTAGAAAACACATTTTAAGAGTATAACACTAATTATTTTTCTGAGGATGCATTTGACATGCCAACTCTCATTCACAAAAATACATTGTTAGATTTTTGTTGAACTGCCCCACACAGCACACTGACATGGGGTGTAACACACATACTTCTAACTCCAAGCTGCTTTCAGGAGCTACTCAACTCAATGAGATTGCCTTTGCAGTTAGGGAAGCAACTATTGAACTTATGTATAAATGAAAAGAACTGTATTCCCTGCATAACAAGAGATTATTTTGGAGACAGTTGATAAAAACCATACATCCTTTTTACTGTTAAGTCATAAGGAGGTATCTAAATTAAAAGCAAAAATTGCAGGGTAAGACTTAAGAAAACTTCTAGGAGCATCAAGGGAAGTGAAAATGGAACTAGGTGCAGGGCAATATGAATTAATGAATGTGGGAAGGACAAGGATGGGGAGAACAGTAAGCATGTGCTGAAGATGCTAAGGGAGAGGATCTGGTGAAAAATTTGATGTTAGACAAGCACCTAGGTAAAGAAACAATGGGATAAGATTTCTCAACCCCACTATGTGCTTAAGAGTCATCCTGGCCATTCGCCCTGTCTCTGTCATCCTCTCCTTCCTCAGCCCCTTTTTCATCATCCTTGATCAACTCCAGCTGGTTGTCCCCCTGATCTTCATTATCATCATCACACAGTAGGTCCCCCTCCTCAACAGAGTCATCTGCACCCCCCTCAGACTCCATCTTCACGTGAGTCTTATCCTTCTTCGAGGAGCTGCTGGTCTGCTCCTCTTCAGACTTAGCATTCTTTACCTCTACTCCTTGCTTGCAATGTTCCTTTTCAATTTTTTCCAGGTTTTCCAGGAGAGAATCCACTTTCTGTTTTATCTGGGTCAACTCCTGCTTAATGGCCTGAAGGTCATCTCCTTTCAGCTTTCCAGACTTGGAAGATCCCCGCTTTCCACTCTTAGAATTGAAGCCACTTTTGCCCCTTCGTGAGGTGTTTCCTGATATGCGCTGGCGTTTCGAGGGCACTACAGCCAGAGCAATGGGAGGAGGAGGAGGTACACGTGCTGGGAAACTGTACATCCCACCATAATAATCCCGTTGCAGGTTATAGTCCAAGTCAAAAGAGGAGCCGTACATCTCTGCTGCTGATCGTTTCACACCTGCGTTTCCTCGGTTCACTTTTGGCTCTGCAGCCAGGTTAATATCTACAACCTGGCTAGCAATCATTCTGCCATCCTCTCCTGCTACAGCAGCCCGGGCATTTTTCTCCTTATCATATTGAACGAAGGCAAAGCCCTTATGAACAGAGCAGCCCGCAATTTTGCCATACTTGGAAAAGATCGCCTCCACATCCGATTTCTTGACAACAAGAGTGTTGAGATTCCCAATGAACACACGGGAGTTCATGGAGTGAGGATCCATCTTGTTGGTAACGTTGCTGGCCATTGTGTTGGATGATAAGGTTTCTCAAAAAGCCAAAAACAGGAGGCGGGAGGGAGAAGAGATTCGATTCTAAGTCTCCTACTGCCGGGTTCTACGTGGAGAAGCTGACTGCGGCTCGAGGCCAGAAATGCAGCCAAACCAGCTCAGTCTTCGTCTCTTCACAAAATGGCTCCCAACAAGAATTCTGAAATGACGTAAAGAAAAGCACAATCAACATTTTTGAAATAAAGACAAAACTGCATTTAGAAAAAAAAATCAAAGCTTCAAAGTGTTCATATGAAAAAAAGAAAAAAAAGACAGGATATAGCTCTGCTCTGTCGTAGGCTGCACTGTCACCATGCTACATCGGCTGACTGTAGGTCCCATGGGAGTGTCCTTACAGAAATTAGTGACTTACCAGATCTGGGCTCAGTTTGCAGGGTGTTCAGACCTCAGGAAGAACCAAGCAGGAACTCCAGGCTTGAAGACTTTGGGTCTCTCCTGTGGGTCTTTAGAAGCTTTTATTGACCTTTCTAATCACAACTCCCACCCACGCCCTTCCACGTATGCACTGCTAGCTTCCAATCAAAAAGCAATATCTCATTGCATTTCTGAAGTTCCACCCAGCTAATCCTGATTGGGTTTTTGGCTTTCCCCAGATTAATGGATTGAACCAAATATCCATTCATATCACATACCCATATTCATTTCATGAATCAAGAAATTGACAGCATTAGGGATAGAGTGGAAATCAAGAATTCATTCATTTAAGGCCAGCTGAGTTGGCTCATGCCTGTAATCCCAGCACTTTGGGAGGCCAAGACAGGCGGATCACCTGAGGTCAGGAGTTCAAGACAAGCTTGACCAATATGGTGAAACCCTGTCTCTACAAAAATACAAAATTAGCCGGGCATGATGGCGGCTGCCTGTAATCCGGATACTTGGGAGGCTGAGGTGGGAGAATTGCTTGAACCCAGGAGGCTGAGGTTGCAGTGAACCGAGATTGCACACTGCCCTCCAGACTGGGTGACAGAGGGAGACTCTGTCAACAACAACAACAACAACAACAACAACAACAGAATGCCTTCATTCACGAACTCCACAAGCACTGATGGAATTTTACTGATATGTCACCTTCATAGCCCTGGGTGTGAGGCAGGGAAGGGGTTGATCTGTTCTGGACATTAGACAGAAAAATAAAACCTGAGAATAGTGTTGTTGGGAGATCTTTGGCCACATCAATATTTTAAAAATGCTTTATAGTTAAAATAGCTTCCTGACCTTCCTTAACCTGAACTGCTTGGTTCCCTAGAAGCAGAAATTGATCATATTAGAACCCAAACTCATACCAACCTTGACCTTCATGAAGTACTCAAGTGTTTCTGCTCTTCTTCCTCATGTGATGTAGAAAGTATTAAAAGTGATGAGTTTAGGCCGGGCACGGTGGTTCACGCCTGTAATCTCAGCACTTTCAGAGGCCGAGGTGGGTGCATCACCTGTGGTCAGGAGTTCCAGACCAGCCTGGGCAACATGGTGAAACTCTGTCTCTACTAAAAATACAAAAACTAGTTGTGTGTGGTGGCCTGTGCCTGTAATTCCAGCTAACTGGGAGACTGAGGCAGGAGAATCACTTGAACCGGGAGGCAGAGGTTGCAGTGAGGCGAGATCGCACCATTGCACTCCAGCCTGGAAAGCAAGAGTGAAACTCCATCTCAAAAAAAAATTAATAAATAAATACATTATAAATAAATAAATTAATTAATGCTTTAAAGAAAAAAGAAATAAACTTTGCCTACAAATTTCATATGCAATTGAATACCTCTTAAATTTTGATGTGAACCGACCAGGCATGGTGGCTGAGGCCTGTAATCCCAGCACTTTGGGAGGCCGAGGCGGGCAGACCACGAAGTCAGGAGATTGAGACCATCCTAGTTAACATGGTGAAACCCCGTCTTTACTAAAAATACAAAAAATTAGCCAGGTGTAGTGGCATGCACCTGTAGTCCCGGCTATTTAGGAGGCTAAGGCAGGAAAATTGCTTGAACCGGGGAGGCAGAGGTCGAAGTGAGCTGAGATCGTGCCACTGCATTCCAGCCTGGTGACGGAGCGAGACTCCATCTCAAAAAATAAATGAATAAAATAAATAAATCAATAAAAATATTGTGACAGGAACCAACATTGCTCAACTTGTACACTAATGTCTTACAAAATCCTTTCCTTGTCACCTTCAAATCTCCATTTCAAATGCTACACTCTGCATAACTCTACCACTTTGTTGCCATTTTCTGATGATGGAGAAGACCATACGTGTGTGTGTGTGGCATCAGAACTATTGACTCCTCCTATTGACGTTTAAGATATTCCATTACACAAACCTGGGTTCATACTTTTTGTTGATAGATCTTATGCCAAAAATGTAGGCAAAAAATGCCAAGCAGGAAATGCTATCACTTCTGAAGATGAATTCATAGAGATGGAAATTCTTTCAGAATTTATTTTTCCAGCTTTTTTCTTTGTTTGTTTGTTCGTTTGTGTTTGTTTGTTTTGAGACGGAGTCTCGCTCTGTCACCAAGTTGGAGTGCAGTGGTGAAATCTTGGCTGACTGCAACCTCCTCCTCCTGAGTTCAAGCGACTCTCATGCCTCAGTCTCTCGAGTAGCTAGGACTATGGGTGGGCGCCACCATGCTCAGCTAATTTTTGTATTTTTAGCAGAGACAGGGTTTCACCATGTTGGCTAGGATGGTCTCAATTTTTTGGCATCGTGATCTACCTGCCTTGGCCTCCTGAAGTGCTGGGATTAGAGGTGTGAGCCACCACCGTGCCCGGCCTTTTTTTTTTTTTTCCTTTTGAGATGGAGTCTCACTCTATTGCCCGGGCTGGGAAAGGGACTCCTCCTATCAATTATTTTTTTAAATTTTCTTTTGTTTTATAGACCTGACAAGGCTCAAATAGAGTTGACTTTTTGTTTTTGTTTTTTCCATTGGAAGGGACAAACAGAGGTTACAATCATTGGCTTTAGATGACAAGATAAAAGAATAAAACATATTCCTTGCAAGACAACCAGCAGAACTTCATGATCACCATCAAATCAGTGCCTTCTCACTGTCAGTGGGTGGAAGCCTTCATCAATACTTGTAGAGTTTGAAGCACTCATGAACTCACGATCAGACTCTTTACTCAGAGACAGGATGTAAGCCAAGCGAAAGACCTTCCATAGGTGGTGAATTTGGAAGCCTGCCCAATGTGACCTGCAAGTCTTGCTTCACTCCCAGGTTCCCATTAAAAACCCAGCTCAACCCTGACCAGCTCCACCCTCACTTCCATTTGTAATTTTGACATGACTTTATTAAAGGACCATCAGGTTCCTATGCCTGCTGCACAGTAGTTTAGCAATATTCTGAGACAGCAGGGTTTGCAGCAGAGAGTTTAATGATCACAAGGTGGCTGAATGAGAAGCTAGGAGGAGATCCTCAAATTCATCTCCCCAAGGAGTACTGAAGGTTTCCAGTGGATCCTGGATAGCAAGGGGCCGGAAAGTTGGGGTAGCGGTAAGAGGGAAGAAGTCAACAGGATGTAGAAACTGCATTATTTGGTGAGTTGGTGCATTGCATGGCCCTTCAGATCAGCTGGCATCAGCAGTTTCACTGACATGCAGAACCTGAAAGAATATCTCAGATGAAAAAGTTAATGTTTTACAATGCTTAAATGGTTGTCTGCAGGGAAGTTAAGGGGAACTGTAATCTAAGGTCTATATGATTTTGGAACAGTAGGTTGCGGCAACCATGAGGAACCAGGTCAGAGAGCAAGAAGACCTCCTGATGAATGCTGAATGTGTTCCAAGCTTGGTTTATTTTTGTTTCTCTCCCTCCCTTCTTCACTGATTAAATTTATAAATTTTAGAGATGTGGTTTCAATTTCTTCCAAAGAAGCCTTAACCTAAGCCCTGAGACCACTCACGCCCTCAGTGGCACCTCTCCTCCACCAGAACGAGCATGTAATCTGCTACCTTAGGTTATACAAAATCCCAAAGACCATTCAGTATATTGAGATTTTTATTCTGATTTCGTAGGGACGACTCCTCTGTTTTTATAAAGCTTTTTAAAGTAGAAAGCATTTTTATATTTTGATGTGGCCAAAGATCTCCTAACAACACTACTTTCAGATTTTATTTTTCTGTCTAATGTCGTAAACAGATCAAATCCGTCCCTGTCTCACACTCAAGACTATGAAGTTCACATATTAATAAAAAAAAAATCAGTGTTTGTGGAGTTCATGAATGAATGATTTTTTTATTTTTTGACAGAATCTCCCTCCGTCACCCAGACTGGAGTGCAGTGGCACAATTCTGGCTCACTGCAACCATTGCCTCCTGGGTTCAAGCAATTCTCCTGCCTCAGCCTCCTGAGTCGCTGTGTTTCAGGCACCTGCCATCATGCCGGGCTAATTTTTGTATTTTTGTATTTTTGTGGAGACGGGGTTTCACCTTTTTGACCTGACTGGTCTTGAACCCCTGACATCAGGTGATCTACTCACCTTGTCCTTCCAAAGTGCTGGAATTACAGGTATGAGCCACCTTGCCCACCAGTGAATGAATGTATTCTTGACTTCTACCCTATCCCTAACACTGTCAATTTCTTGCTTCACGAACTGAATATAGATATGTGATATGAATGGATATCTGACTCAATCCATTAATCTGGGGAGAGCCAAAAACCCAATCAGGATTAACTGGGTGGAGCTTCAGAAATGCAATCAGATATGGCTTTTTGATTGGAAGCTAGCAGTGCACCCGTGGAAGGGCGTGGGTGGGAGTTGTGATTAGAAAGGTCAATAAAAGCTTCTAAAGACCCACAGGAGAGACCCAAAGTCTTCAAGCCTGGAGTTCCTGCCTGGTTCTTCCTGAGGTCTGAGCACCTTCTAAACTACATCCAGATCTGGTAAGTCACTAATTTCTCTAAGGACACTCCCATCTGACCTAGAGTCAGTCAGTCTGGGATGGTGACAGTGCAGCCTACGATGGCACAGAGCTATATCCTGTCCTTTTTTTTTTTCATATGAACAATTGGAGGCTTTGAATTTTTTCCTCTAAATGCAGTTCTGTCTTTATTTCAAAAAAGTTGATTGTGCTTTGGTTTAGGTCATTTCAAAATTCTTGAAGGGAGCCGTGACTTATGCCTTTAACCCCAACACTTTGGGAGGCCAAAGTGGGAGGATCATTTCAGCCCAGGGGTTTGAGACCAACCTGGGCAACATGACAAAAACCCTCCTCTACACAACGTTTTTTTTTTGAGGGTGGGGATGGAGTCTCACTGTGTTGCCCAGACTGGAGTGCAGTGGCACGATCTCAACTCACTGCAACCTTTACCTCCCGGGTTCAAGCAATTCTCATGCCTCAGTCTCCATCCTCAGAAGCTGGTGTCACAGACATCTGAAACCATGCCTGGCTAATTTTTGTATTTTTAGTAGAGGTGGGGTTTCACCACGCTGGCCAGGTTTGTCTCGAACACCTGACCTCAAGTGATCCACCTGCCTTGGCCTCCCAAAGTGCTGGGATTACAGCTGTGAGTCACTGGTGCTTGGCCTCTACTTTTTTTTATTTTAATTAGCCGAGCATGGTGACATGCATCTGTAGTCCCAGCTATTTGGGTGGCTGGTGTGGGAGAATCACTTGAGCCCAGAAGATTGAGGCTGCAGTGAGCCATGCTCACACCACTGCTGTACTCCAGCCTGGGCAAAAGAGAGAGACCCTGTCCAAAAAACAAAAACAATATCTTAACCAAAAAGAATCTATGACCTTAATTTTAAACCAATCACGTCCTCACTGTAATTCTTCCACCCGAATGGAGACATGGGTGTGGGGGTGCATGCCTGTAATCCCAGCTACGTGGAAGGCTGAAGCATGAGAATTGCTTGAATCTCAGAGGTGGAGGTTACAGTGAGCTGAGATGGCGCCGCTGCACTCCAGCCTGGGCGACAAAGTGAGACTCAGCTTCCCCCACACCAAAAACAATTAGATTATACCACCCAGGTGATCATTGGATACATGAGGATTTCTATTGTGTGTTCTTGGGGACTGTCAACTCTGTCTTTGAAAACTGTTTTAACTCTGAAATATTTTGATAAATTTGATGTGGCCGAGGATCCCTCAACAAAGATACTTTCAAGTTTTTTCTTTCTGTCTAATATCAGGAAGAGATTCAACCCTTCCCTATCTCACACTCAGGACTGTGAAGGACACATATTAGTAAAACCCCATGTTTGTGAAGGGAATCAGTGAATGAGTCCTGGACTTACACCCTATCCCTAAATCTTTCACTTTGATGGATGAATATCTAATTGCATCAGTAAATCTGGAAGAAAGCCAAAAATCCAATCAGGATTAACTCGGTAGAAGTGGAATCAAATGTAGTTCTCTCTCTCTCTTTTTTCTTTTTCTTTTTTTTTTTTTTTTTTTTTAAATCTAGCCTATTTCCCAGGCTGGAGTTCAGTGGTGTATTGTCAGCTCACTGCAACCTCTGCCTCCTGGGTTCAAGGGATCCTCCTGTCTCAGCCTCCCTAGTAGCCTGGACTATAGGCGCAGACCACCGCAACTGGCTAATTTTTGTAATTTTAGTAGAGGTAGGGTTTTACCATGTTGGCCAGGCTTGTCTCAAACTCCTGACCTCAGATAATCCACCTGCCTCTGCCTCCCACAGTGCTGGGATTACAGGTGTGAGCCACTTCGTCTGGCCTTGAATGAATGTATTCTTGACTTCTACCCTATCCCTAACACTGTCAATTTCTTGCTTCGTGAAGTGAATATAGATATGTGATATGAATGGACATCTGATTCAATCCATTAATCTGGGGAGAGCCAAAAACCCAATCAGGATTACCTGGGTGGAGTGGAGCTTCACAAATGCAATCAGATATCATTTTTTGATTGGAAGCTAGCAGCGGATACGTGGAGGGGCGTGGGTGGGAGTTATGATTAGAAAGGTCAATAAAAGCTTCTAAAGACCCACAGGAGAGACCCAAAGTCTTCAAGCCTGGAGTTCCTGCTTGGTTCTTCCTGAGGTCTGAGCACCTTCTAAACTACATCCAGATCTGGTAAGTCACTAATTTCTGTAAGGACACTCCCATCTGACCTACAGTCAGTCAGTCTGGGATGGTGACAGTGCAGCCTAAGATGGCAGAGAGCTATATCCTGTCCTTTTTTATATATATATATGAACAATTTGAAGCTTTGAATGTTTTCCTCTAAATGCAGTTCTGTCTTTATTTCAAAAAAGTTGATTGTGCTTTGGTTGATGCCATTTTAAAATTCTTGAAGGGAGCAGTGACTCATGCCTTTAACCCCAACACTTTGGGAGGCCAAAGTGGGAGGATCATTTCAGCCCAGGGGTTTGAGACCAACCTGGGCAACATGACAAAAACCCTCCTCTACACAACGTTTTTTTTGAGGGTGGGGATGGAGTCTCACTGTGTTGCCCAGACTGGAGTGCAGTGGCACGATCTCAACTCCCTGCAACCTTTAACTCCTGGGTTCAAGCAATTCTCATGCCTCAGTCTCCATCCTCAGAAGCTGGTGTCACAGACATCTGAAACCATGCCTGGCTAATTTTTGTATTTTTAGTAGAGGTGGGGTTTCACCACGCTGGCCAGGTTGGTCTCGAACACCTGACCTCAAGTGATCCACCTGCCTTGGCCTCCCAAAGTGCTGGGATTACAGCTGTGAGTCACCATGCATCTGTAGTCCCAGCTATTTGGGTGGCTGGTGTGGGAGAATCACTTGAGTCCAGAAGATTCAGGCTGCAGTGAGCCATGCTCACACCACTGCTGTACTCCAGCCTGGGCAAAAGAGAGACACTCTGTCCAAAAACAAAATCAATCAAAAAGGATCTTTGACCTTAATTTTAAACCAATCACATCCTCTTCCACCCAAATGGAGACATGGCTGTGGGGGGTGCCTGCCTGTAGTCCCAGCTACGTGGAAGGCTGAAGCATGCGAATTGCTTGAATCTTGGAGGCAATCTTGGAGGTAACAGTGAGCCAAGATGGTGCCACTGCACTCCAGCCTGGGCGACGAAGTGAGACTCAGCTCCCTCAGCACCAAAAAAAATTATATGACCCAGGTGATCATCGGATACATGAAGATTTCTATTGTGTTTTCTTAGGGACTGTCATCTCTGTCTTTGAAAACTGTTTTAACTCTGAAATATTTTGATAAATTTGATGTGGCCAAGGATCCCTCAACAAAGATACTTTCAAGTTTTCTTTCTTTCTGTCTAATATCAGGAAGAGATTCAACCCTTCCCTGTCTCACACTCAGGACTTTGAAGGACACATATTAGTGGAAGTCCATGTTTGTGAAGGGAATCGGTGAATGAGTCCTGGACTTTCACCCTATCCCTAAATCTTTCATTTTGATGGATTAATATCTAATTCGATCAGTTATTCTTTAAGAAAGCCAAAAATCCAATAAGGATTAACTGGGTAGAGATTAAGAAGTCTAGTCAAATGTAGCTCTCTCTGTCTCTCAGTTCAATCTAGCCTATTCCCCAGGCTGGAGTGGAGTAGTATAATGTCAGCTCACTGCAACTTCTGCCTCCTGGGTTCAAGTGATCCTCCTACCTCAGCCTCCCTAGTAGCTTGGACTACAGGCGCAGACCACTGCACCTGGCTAATTTTTGCTGTCTTAGTAGAGGCAGGGTTTTACCATGTTGGCCAGGCTCGTCTTGAACTCCTGATCTCAGATGATCCACCTGCCTCGGCCTCACAAAATGCTCAGATTACAGGTGTGAGTCACTGCACCCAGCCAAAGTGGTTCAGTTTGAATATGTGTAAGAGGTGTGCATTGGAAACATCTATCTTGAGAATGATGCATAACAGTGTCACATAGCTTTCAAAGCTTCTCACTGAAATTTTCAATAACGAGGCTGGGGCAGAGGCTCACACCTATAATCCCAGTATGTTGGGAGGCCAAGAGGGGTAGATTGCTTGAGACTAGGAGTTCAAGACCAGCTTGGACAACATAGCGAAATCCACTGTCTTTACAAAAAGTCAAAACATAAAAGATGAGCTGGGTGTGGTGATGCATAACTGTGGTCCCAGCTACTTGGGAGGCTGAGGGGGAAGAATCCTTTGAGCTGGGAGGTCAAGGCTGCACTGAGCTGAGATCCCACCACTACACTCCAGGCTGGGTGACAGAGCAAGACCCTGTCAGAAAGAGTGAGAGAGGGAGAGAGAGAAAGAGAGAGAGAATGAGAGAAGGGATGCAGGGAAAGAAGACAAGAAAGAAAGAAGGGAGAGAGAGGGGGAAAGAAAGAAAGAAGGGAGGGAGAGAGGGAAAGAAGGAAAGAAGAAAGAGAGAGAAAGAGAAAGCAAGCTTAAATAATGAAAAGAAAACAAATAGAACCTGTTCTAGGGATGTCCCATGAATGTTCCCAACAAACTTATTTGTAGGAACTGAAAATGTGGGCATGTAGGCTTGTGACACTCCCATTCCCATTGTTTTAGAACCTTGAGTAATCAGTAATTTCCCCCAATGGTAGGAGGGGTTCACTTTCAGGTTCCTCCACACTCACTAGTCACTGGATGGAGCACTGGATAGAAAGGAAGGGCTCGTGGTGACCCTGCTTCCTCACTGCTTCGGAGACGCTCATGCTGATGCAGCAGAGGCAGAATGCTGGCTTAATGGCCACTGAGTACAGAGTAGAATTGGAGTAAACTGAGGGCTGTTTCACCATTGCCAGAGCAGTGAGTTTGGCCATAGGAGAAGATGAGATTGCATGGGCTTGGCCTGAGAGTGATGCCTTTTCTCTGGGTTTGTCCTCTGGAAGTTTTCCCTGCAGATTCATGAAGATGAGCATCCGGACTCCACCCAGACTCCTGGAGCTGGCGGGGCGGAGCCTGCTGAGGGACCAAGCCTTGGCCATGTCCACCCTGGAGGAGCTGCCCACAGAACTTTTCCCCCCACTGTTCATGGAGGCCTTCAGCAGGAGACGCTGTGAGGCCCTGAAGCTGATGGTGCAGGCCTGGCCCTTCCGCCGCCTCCCTCTGAGGCCTCTGATAAAGATGCCTTGTCTGGAGGCCTTCCAAGCTGTGCTCGATGGGCTGGATGCACTGCTTACCCAAGGGGTTTGTCCCAGGTGAGGTGGCCCAGGTGGGCTGGTGGGGAGGGCCCAGGTGTCCAACTGAAGGAACAGCTGGGTCATGTGAAGTGAGGAGGCCCAAGGGGGATGGTGGTGGTGAGGAAGCCGAGAGGACTTGGCCATTCACCAGCTCCTCAGGGAAAGCACTGCTCACCACGCAAGGTCCATGGAGGTAACAGGAACCTCTCCTCTAATGGCACTGAAAGGCACCATGAAAAGTGAGAACTGGGCCGGGCACGGTGGCTCACAATGTAATCCCAGCACATTGGGAGGCTGAGGTCAAGAGTTGGAGGCCAGCCTGTCCAACATGGTAAACCCCAACTCTACTAAAAATACTAAAATTAGCTGGGCATGGTGGTGGGCTCCTGTAATCCCAGCTACTTGTGAGGTTGAGGCAGGAGAATCATTTGAACCCAGGAAGCAGAGGTTGCAGTGAGGTGACATCACACCACTGCACTCTAGCCTGGGCGACAGAGGGAGACTTGGTCTCAAAAAAAAAAACAAAAAAATGTGGAAGTGGGTAGGATCCAAGGGGAAAACAGAGTGAAGAAAAGTCAGAGAGAGGGACAAGAAGCAGGGAGGGGAGGAGCTGCTATCCAGGATGTGGAGTTTAAATTCAGAAATGAGTTCTTAAATTCTCAGTCTCACCTCTATTTTCCCACAGGAGGTGGAAACTTCAAGTGCTGGATTTACAGGATGTCTGTGAGAACTTCTGGATGGTTTGGTCTGAAGCTATGGCCCGTGGGTCCTTCCTCAATGCCAAGAGGAACAAAACACCAGTGCAGGACTGTCCAAGGATGAGAGGACAGCAGCCCTTGACTGTGTTCGTAGAACTTTGGCTCAAGAACAGGACTCTGGATGAATACCTCACCTACCTCCTTCTATGGGTCAAGCAGAGGAAAGATTTACTACACCTGTGCTGTAAGAAGCTGAAAATTTTGGGAATGCCCTTCCGCAATATCAGAAGCATCCTGAAAATGGTGAACCTAGACTGTATCCAGGAGGTGGAAGTGAATTGCAAGTGGGTACTGCCCATCCTGACACAGTTTACCCCATACCTGGGCCACATGAGGAATCTTCAGAAGCTCGTTCTCTCCCACATGGATGTCTCTCGCTACGTTTCCCCAGAGCAGAAGAAGGAGATTGTTACCCAGTTCACCACTCAGTTCCTCAAGCTGCACTGCCTCCAAAAGCTTTATATGAACTCTGTTTCTTTCCTCGAAGGCCACCTGGACCAGCTGCTCAGGTGAGGGAGGGTGGTGAGCTTTCTCTGCAGACCACAGCAGAGCCTGTTTCACTAAACGCTAGTGGGCATCTACTGTGAGCCAGCCTATGAGGATGAAACAGTGAAGGGGACACTAGAATGTCCATACATTGTCCTGTTGGCGGCCCTGTCCTGAAATGGGTATCATGCAACCATCCCAATAGAGGCAGCGGGATCAGCTAGGGGAGATGCTATAGAGAGGTTGTCATACTAGGAAGCTAGCTACTGGGGGGTTCAGATCTAGTGAGGGTGCCTTTCTGAATTCTTCCTGAGGACGTGTGTCTAAGTTAAGATGATGAAAAATAGGCCAGGGACGGTGGCTCATGCCTGTAATCCTATCACTTTGGGAGTCTGAGGCAAGAGGATAGCTTGAGCCTAGGAGTTTAAGACCAGTCTGGGTAACATCCCAAGACCCCTGTCAGAAGTGAAGAAATAAAAGTAAAAACAAACAAGATAACTTTTTTTTTTTCTGAGATGAATTTTCACTTTGATCATCCAGGGTAAAGTGCACTTGTGACATCTCAGCTCGCAGCAACTTCTGCCTCCCAGGTTCAAGCGATTCTCCTGCCTCAGCCTCTTGAGTGCCTGGGATTACAGGCATGAGTCAGCACACCTGGCTAATTTTTATATTTTAAGTAGAGACAGGGTTTCACCATGTTGGCCAGGATATTCTCCAACTCCTGACTTCAGGTGATCCGCCCACCTTGGACTCCCAAAGTGCTGGGATTATAGGCGAGAGCTACCACGCCCAGCCAACAAGATAATTTTTAAGCAGATGATGTAAAGTAGGGAAGTGAAGTGGGCACTGAAGAGGGGAATGCTCAGCAAACCTGCACATGTCAGAAAATCAGCTTTGTGCCCCATAGTTTGGTGAACATGAATGATCCCATCTCTAATTCCCTGTTGTAAAAGTGTTTTGAGCTCCAGGTAAATTAATTACCTAAGCAATGCATGATTCTGAAACAGAGGGTCAGGGAGCAGGCACAAAGAATGGTGAAAGTGATAGATGGTTTGCTGATGATACAGGCATGGCAGGGACGCCTACAGCCCGCCCACCCCAGCTGATGTTGCAGGATCCTGTCTGGGTTTGTCCTTTATGCCTGAATCTCCACTGGGCTTCTGTGGCCCAGGGATGTGGTTTTCTGCCTGACAGATGAGGAAAGGGAGCTTTAGGGATTCTGTGAACTTGATCCATTCCTATAAATGATGGTGAAATGACTCAGCCTCAAATGGAATTATTTTTTTTCCTTCTTTTTTTTTAATACAGAGTCTCTCTCTGTCACCCAGGCTGGAGTGTAGTGGCATGATCTCTGCTCACTGCAACCTACACCTCCTGGGTTCAAACGATTCTTCTGCCTCAGCTTCCCAAGTAGCTGGAATTGCAGGCTCCCCCCACCACACCTGGCTAATTTTTGGATTTTTAGTAGAGACGAGGTTTTGCCATGTTCAGCAGGCTGGTCTCAAACTCCTGATCTCAAGGAATCCACCAGTCTCAGCCTCCCAAAGTTCTGGGATTACAGGTGTGAGTTACTGGGCCGGCTCTAAGGTGGAATTGACCTCGGTGGCAAAGCTCTTCATCACACATCATCCTAAGTGTTGACCATCAGGCCATCAGAATGACCCTGGACTTGGGCAAAATGGTCTCCATCCATTACCATGAAGCCATTCCCCACCACCCTCCACTCACCCCTATGATTCCCCAGAATTAACTTCTTGCTCTCTCTCCCCAGCTGTCTGAAGACCTCGTTAAAGGTCCTCACAATAACTAACTGTGTGCTTTTGGAATCAGACTTGAAGCATCTATCCCAGTGCCCGAGTATCAGTCAACTAAAGACCCTGGACCTGAGTGGCATCAGACTGACCAATTACAGTCTTGTGCCTCTCCAAATTCTCCTAGAAAAAGTTGCAGCCACCCTTGAGTACTTGGATTTAGATGACTGTGGCATCATAGACTCCCAAGTCAACGCCATCCTGCCTGCCCTGAGCCGCTGCTTTGAGCTCAATGCCTTCAGCTTCTGTGGAAATCCCATCTCCATGGCCACCCTGGAGAACCTGCTGAGCCACACAATCATACTCAAAAACTTATGCGTGGAGGTGTATCCTGCCCCGCGGGAGAGTTATGGTGCTGATGGTACTCTCTGCTGGAGCAGATTTGCTCAAATTAGGGCTGAGCTGATGAACAGAGTGAGGGACTTAAGGCACCCCAAGAGGATCTTTTTCTGTATTGACAACTGCCCTGACTGTGGCAACAGGTCATTTTATGACCTGGAGGCAGATCAATACTGCTGTTGAATGCCTGCCTATTTGGATGGGTATGTCAAACGCTTTCTTCTGGACACTTGGAAACTAAAACCTAGGTCTTAGGTACATCCTAAAGGGAGCACAGAACCCATCATTTCACACATAGGCTCTGAAAGTGGGAAAGGA
Organism: Homo sapiens; assembly: GCF_000001405.40. Taxonomy (NCBI): domain Eukaryota; kingdom Metazoa; phylum Chordata; class Mammalia; order Primates; family Hominidae; genus Homo; species Homo sapiens. The sequence continues at coordinate 13,179,268 of NC_000001.11, forward strand.
AAGCTGATCAAGCAGGGGCAGGACTTGGGGGAAATGTTGCCATGGATTCGATGGGACTTTGGGGACCTGTATCCTGTAGAGTCGAAAATGGGAATCTGAATGTCTAGAGTGGAATTCAGGCTTGAGAATACATGAGGGAGTTACTCTTGCATGGATGGTTGTAAAGAAACAATCAGAAATAAAGGAAAACTGAGCAGAATCTGTCTGGTGCCCTCTATTATTAAGTAACCTGTTTTCCAGTTTAAGCCTCAGGAATCTTCAGTTATTGATGGAAAAAACAAAAGGCACTGACTGAGTTGTCCAATCAATAAGATGCAGCCCAAGAAAATCAAGGCATTTAAATGAAATTTGGTTATTGTAATCACTTTCCTCCCATTCTTTTATTGGAGACAGAGTTTCACTCTTGTTGCCCAGGCTGGAGTTTAGAGTGCAATGGTGCCATCTGAGCTGACTGCAACCTCCACCTGGGGTTTAAATGATTCTTCTGCCTCAGCCTCCCAAGTAGCTGGGATTACAAGCATGCACCACCATGCCCAGCTAATTTGTGTATGTTTAGTAGAGACAGGGTTTCCTCACTATGTTGGTCAGGCTGGTCTCAAACTCCTGACTTTGGGTGATTCAAGCAAGTAGGCCTACCAAAGTGCTGGGGTTACAGGTGTGAGCCACTGTGTCAGGCTTTTTTTTGGTTTTTGTTTTTTAAAGGTCTCCTGTCACTCAGGCTACAGTGCAGTGGCACAATCATACCTCACTGCAACCTAAATTTCCTGGGTTCAAGTGATCCTCCCACCTCAGCCTCCTGAGTAGCTAGGACTACAGCTGTGTGAGCCACCACACCTGGATACTTCTTTTTAGTAGAGACAAGGCCTCGCTGTCTTCCCCAGGCTGATCTGGAACTCCTGAGCTTGTGATTCTCCTGTCTTGGCCTCCCAAAATGCAGGGAGTATAGGCGTGGACCACCACGCTTGGGTTGGCCTCCTCTAGTTCTTCACTTCTTTAGATGTCTGTTAACTCCTTGTTAGTTTCTGTGGCTGTTCAGTGGGTTAATACACACTAGGTGGACACCAAAGGCCTGGAACATTACTGGGCAAGAACAGTGAGCCAATCCACGTGGAAAGCACCTTCTTCTCAGGGTCTTTCACTGCTAGCCAGATGCTGAGACCCTGCCCACTCCCTGTGAGTCTCCACATGCTTCCAGAAGCCTTATTTGGTGGATGTCAGCTTCACTGCACAAGGAGCCACTCTCTTCCCACTGCCCTGGAAGGGGATGTCCATATTGTGTATTAGCTGGAGACTCTGGGCAGCATCAACCCTTGCTTGTTCTCCTGATGACCAGCAGCCCTTCTTGAATTAAACTGGTTGTAGCCAGTAAAGACAGCCACATTCCCTTTAAGTAAAATACTAAAACTATACAGGCATGTAACACTTTTTAAATATTTCCATCTGACATTTTAAAAGTTACATCTTTTTGGGGAGCTAGGTCAGATTGATGAGAGATTTTCTCATAACACCTCCCCTCTCTCCCTATGAAGGAAGAGACTAGTACTAGTGCAGCGTGTTCTGGAATCTGACAGCATCAAAGGGTGGATAACGATCAAGGGCCTGTGGGTGATGAGTGACCTTCCCTGTGCTGAGGAATTCTGCATAATGGGCACCCAAGTGAAGGATCCTGCTGAGTACTCAGGGGCTGGTGTTGCTGTCAGGGATGTTAGCCTAGAGCCTCAGCTTCCTGTAAAATGAGGATGATGATGTCCAACAGCTTATGGGACCTTGGTAGGATCCAATGAGATGGTTCATGTTTAGGGCTTGGCATGGGGTCTGGCATACAGTAAGATCAATACATCTTGTTCTTTTTTCTCTTCTCAGCAGAAGTCCCAGCACTTTTCATCTTTCAATCTCACCTCCTTTTCCTGATAATAGAGAGGCAACAAGAACTCAGGGCATGCAATGGGGCTCAACTTCTACTCTCTGCCACAATTTCATCATGATTCCCCCAAAGAGCAGAGCCCCAGGAGCCAGCAGGGGGCAAGGTGGGCATTTCTGGACTGGATTCATTCATAATAAGATCAAAATTTCCAATCCGTATGTCTCGGGTGCCATCTGCTGATAGATCCGACCAGATGGTATAATTGAGTGTTGCAAGGATTATATTTTATGGTGTTTTCAAAAATGTACTATTATGAGCCAGGTGCAGTGAGTCATACCTGTAATTCCAGCACTTTGGGAGGCTGAGGCAGGTGGATCACCTGAGGTTGGGAGTTTGAGACCAGCCTGAGCAACATGAAGAAACCCCTTCTCTACTTAAAATACAAAAAATTAGCCAGGCGTGGTGGCGCACGTCTGTAATTGCAGCTACTCGATAGGCTGAGGCGGGAGAATCATTTGAACCTGGAGGTGGAGGTTGCGGTGAGCTCAGACTGAGCCATTGCACTCCAGCCTGGGCAACCCTAGCAAAACTCCATCTCAAAAAAAAAAGATAAAATAAGATTTATTATTATGGCCGGGCATGGTGTCTCACACTTCTAATCCCAGCACTTTGGGAGGCCAAGGCAGCCTCAGGATTTTGAGACCAGCCTTGCCAACATGGTGAAACCCCATCTCTACTAAAAATACACAAAATTTGCTGGGAGTGGTGGCATTCGCCTGTAATCCCAGGTATTCAGGAGGCTGAGGCAGGACAATCACTTGAACCCGGGAGGTGAGGGTTGCAATGAGACGAGATTGCACCACTTCACTCCAGCCTGGGCGACAGAGCATGAAAAAAAATTTACTATAATGTGAATACTATTAGAGTATAAATATTTGTGTTGTAATTTATGTATATGAAAGATTAGAACTTTTAAAGAATGCAACGTGATATTTCAAGAATGGTTAATGGCCAGGTGTGGTGGTTCATGCCTGTATTCCTGGCACTTTGGGAGGCCGAGGTGGGCAGATCACGAGGTCAGGAGTTCCAGACCAGCCTGGCCAACATGATGAAACCCCGTCTCTACGAAAAATACAAAAAATTAGCCTGGCGTGGTGACAGGTGCCTGTAATCCCAGATAGTCAGGAGGCTGAGGCAAGAGAATCGCTTGAACCTGCGAGGCAAAGGTTGCAGTGAGCCAAGAATGCACCACTGCACTCCAGCCTGGGTGAAAGAGGAAGACTCCGTCTCAAGGAGGGTGAGAAAAAGAATACTTAACTTGGTTTGAAATGTCAAAACAAATGAGATTTTAAAAACTAATTTTAAAGACACTGAACAATAATCATTTCTTCTTTAAAATATATTTAGAATAATACAATTTTAGCTTTGAAAGGAAACATTACAGTTTTAAAAAATATTGAGTTTATTTTATTTTATTTTATTTTATTTTATTTGGAGACAAAGTCTCACTCTGTTGTCCAGATTGGAGTGCAGTGGCATGATCACGGCTTACTGCAGCCTTGACCTCCTAGGCTCAGGTGATCTCCCTGCCTCAGTCCCCCTAGTAGCTGGAACAACAGGCATGCACCATCATGCCTGACTTATTTTTGTATTCTTAGTGAAGACCAGGCTTCACCATGTTGCCCAGACTGGTCTTGAAATTCTGGGCTCAAGCGATCCACCTGCCTCGGCCTCCTAAATTGCTGGGAGTGAGCTCTTATAGGCATGAGCCACCGCACCCAGCCTTGAGTTTATTTATTTATTTATTTTGGAGATGGAGTCTCCTTCTGTCATCCGTGCTGGAGTGCAGAGGTACGATCTCTGTTCACTGCAACTTCTGCCTCCAGGGTCCCAGCAATGCTCCTGTCTCAGCCTCCAGAGTAGCTGGGATTACAGGCATGCAACACCACACCTGATTAATTTTTGTATTATTATTATTATTATTTTTTTTAGTAGAGACAGGGTTTTGTCATTTTAGCTAGGCTGGTCTGGAACCCCTGACCTCAGGTGATCCACCTGCCTCGGCTTCCCAAAATGCTATGACTATAGACGTGAGCCACCACACCCAGCCTATTTTTTCCTTTACAGCAGTTTTAGATTCACAGAAAAACTAAGCAGAAACTGCAGAGTTCTCATCTACCTTCTTCCCCCTTCAATACACAGCACCCCCACAGGATCAGCACCCACACCAGCACAGAGCATTCATCACAACCAATGAGCCACAGGGACACATCATTATCACCCAATGTCCATAGTTCACATGAGGGATCATTGCTGGTTTTGTACATTCTATGGATTTTAACAAAGGGATAATGACATGTATCCACCATTAGAGCATCATGGAGAGTAGTTTTCTTTCCCTAAAATTCCTCTGTCCTCTTCCCATTCATCCCATTGTGCTCCCAACCCCTTGCATCCACTGGGCTTTCTACTGTCTCCTTAGAAAAATGCAAAAGCTTTTTCTGGAATGTCTAACAGGATGAGTCTTTTCAGATTGCCTTCTTTCACTTGTACAATAACGTGCATTTAGGAATTTTTCATGTCTTTTTACAGCTTTATAATAGTTCACTGACTGGATAGATCAGTTTGCTTATCCAGTCACTGACCGAAGGGCAACTTGCTAGCTTCCAAGTTTTGGCGATTATGAGTAAGTTGCTGTAAACATCCAGGTGTGGGTTTACTCACTTCATTAAATATCCAGGAGCATGATTATGGAATTGTAGGGGTATGGTATGTTTTACAATTATTTCTTCTTTCTTGACAATCTCACTTGTTCGATATTGCTGCTAAAGGTCAGGAACTTTGTCTCCATCATCCTGTGTTCCCACTGCTGAGCATGGAACGTGGCACTTGGTAGCAAATGCTGTTGACCACGTGATGCATGGAAACGTTTATCATGGATATAGTCACTAAATTGCTACCTTGGGGACATCAACATTAGCTCACTACCAATAATATAAATAAATTGGATTATGGAAAAAAATGGCCCTTGTGATACTGTGGATACTCCAGGTGTATCATGAACGTCCAGCAATTGACCAGGCACAGTGGCTCACATCTGTAATCCCAGCACTTGCAGAGACTGAGGTGGGTGGATCACTTCAGTCAGGAGTTCAAGACGACTCTGGCCAATATGATGAAACCCTGTCTCTATTAAAGACACAAAAATTAACTAGGGGGTTGAGCCAAGATGGCCGAATAGGAACAGCTCCAGTCTACAGCTCCCAGCCTGAGCGGTGCAGAAGACGGGTGATTTCTGCACTTCCAACTGAGGTACCAGGTTCTTCTCACTGGGGAGTGTCAGAAAGTGGGTGTAGGACAGTGGGTGCAGTGCACCGAGCATGAGCCAAAGCAGCATGAGGCATTGCCTCTCCTGGGAAGTGCAAGGAGTCAGGGAATTCCCTTTCCTAGTCAAAGAAAGGGGTGACAGATGGCACCTGTAAAATCCGGTCACTCCCACCCTAATACTGCGCTTTTCCAACAGTCTTAGCAAATGGCACACCAGGAGATTATATCCCGTGTCTGGCTCAAAAGGTCCTATGCCCACGGAGCCTCACTCATTGCTAGCACAGCAGTCTGAGATCAAACTGCAAGGCGGCAGCAAGGCTGGGGGAGGGGCGCCTGCCATTGTTGAGGCTTGAGTAGGTAAACAAAGCAGCCAGGAAGCTGGAACTGGGTGGAGCCCACTGCAGCTCAAGGAGGCCTGCCTGCCTCCACAGACTCCATTTCTGGGGGCAGGGCATTGCCAAACAAAAGGCAGCAGAATCCTCTGTAGACTTAAATGTCCCTGTCTGACAGCTTTGAAGAGAGTAGTGGTTCTCCCAGCACGCAGCTGGAGATCTGAGAATGGACAGACTGACTCCTCAAGTGGGTCTGTGACCCCTAAGTAGCCTAACTGGGAGGCACCCACCAGCAGGGGCAGACTGGCACCTCACATGGCCAGGTACTCCTCTGAGACAAAACTTCCACAGGAATGATCGGGCAGCAACATTTGTTGTTCACCAGTATCCACTGTTCTGCAGCCTCTGCTGCTGATACCCAGGCAAACAGCTTCTGGAGTGGACCTCCAGCAAACTCCAACAGACCTGCAGCTGAGGGTCCTGACTGTTAGAAGGAAAACTAACAAACAGAAAGGACATCCACACCAAAACCCAGTCTGTACATCAGCATCATCAAAGACCAAAGGTAGATAAAACCACAAAGATGGGGAAAAAACAGAGCAGAAAAATGGGAAACTCTAAAAATCAGAGTTCCTCTCCTCCTCCAAAGGAACGCAGCTCCTCACCAGCAATGGAACAAAGCTAGAGGGAGAAGGACTTTGATGAGTTGAGAGATGAAGGCTTCAGATGATCAAACTACTCTGAGCTAAAAGAGGAAGTTCGAACCCATGGCAAAGAAGTCAAAAACATTGAAAAAAAATTAGATGAATGGCTAACTAAAATAACCAATGCAGAGAAGTCCTTGAAGGACCTGATGGAGCTGAAAACCATGGCACGAGAACCACGTGACAAATGTACAAGCCTCAGTAGCTGATTCCATCAACTGGAAGAAAGGGTATCAGTGAGGGAAGATCAAACGAATGAAATGAAGCGAGAAGAGAAGTTCAGAGATAAAAGAATAAGAGGAAATGAACAAAGCCTCCAAGAAATATGGGACTATGTGAAAAGACCAAGTCTATGTCTGACAGGTGTACCTGAAAGTGATGGGGAGAATGGAACCAAGCTGGAAAACACTCTTCAGGATATTATCCAGCAGAACTTCCCCAATCTAGCAAGGCAGGCAAACATTCAAATTCAGGAAATACACAGAATGCCACAAAGATACTCCTTGAGAAGAGCGACTCCAAGACACATAATTGTCAGATTCGCCAAAGTTGAAATGAAGGAAAAAATGTTAAGGGCAACCAGAGAGAAAGGTCGGGTTACCCACAAAGGGAAGCCCATCAGACTGACAGCGGAGCTCTCGGCAGAAACTCTACAAGCTAGAAGAGAGTGGGGGCCTATATTCAACATTCTTAAGAAAAGAATTTTCGACCCAGAATTTCATATGCAACCAAACTAAGCTTCATAAGTGAAGGAGAAATAAATTCCTTTACAGACAAGCAAATGCTGAGAGATTTTGTCACCACCAGGCCTGCCCTAAAAGAGCTCCTGAAGGAAGCACTAAACATGGAAAGGAACAACTGGTACCAGCCACTTCAAAAACATGCCAAATTGGAAGGACCATCGATACTAGGAAGAAACTGCATCAACTAAAGAGCAAAATAACCAGCTAACATCATAATGACAGGATCAAATTCACACATAACAATATTAACCTTAAATGTAAATGGGCTAAATGCTCCAATTAAAAAACACAGACTGGCAAATTTCATAAAGAGTCAAGACCCATCAGTGTGCTGTATTCAGGAAACCCATCTCACATGCAGAGACACACATAGGCTCAAAATAAAGGGATGGAGGAAGATCTTCCAAGCAAATGGAAAACACAAAAAGGCAGGAGTTGCCATCCTAGTCTCGGATAAAACAGACTTTAAACCAACAAAGATCAAAAGAGACAAAGAAGGCCATTACATCATGGTAAAGGGATCCATTCAACAAGAAGAGCTAACTATCCTAAATATAGATGCACCCAATACAGGAGCACCCAGATTCATAAAGCAAGTCCTTAGAGACCTACAAAGAGACTTAGACTCCCACACAATAATAATGGGAGACTTCAACACCCCACTGTCAACATTAGACACATCAATGAGACAGAAAGTTAACAAGGATATACAGGAATTGAACTCAGCTCTGCGCCAAGCGGACCTAATAGACATCTACAGAACTCACCATCCAAAATCAACAGAATATACATTCTTCTCAGCACCACACTGCACTTATTCCAAAAATTGACCACATAGTTGGAAGTAAAGCACACCTCAGCAAATGTAAGAGAACAGAAATTATAACAAACTGTCTCTCAGGCCACAGTGCAATCAAACTAGAACTCAGGATTAAGAAACTCACTCAGTGTGTGATGTTCCCTTTCCTGTGTCCATGTGTTCTCATTGTTCAATTCCCACCTATGAGCGAGAACATGCAGTGTTTGGTTTTTTGTGCTTGTGATAGTTTGCTGAGAATGATGGTTTCCAGCTTCATCCATGTCCCTACAAAGGACATGAACTCATCATTTTTTATGGCTGCATAGGATAGCATTAGGAGGTATACCTAAGGCTAAATGACGAGTTAATGTGTGCGGCACACCAACATGGCACACGTATACATATGTAACAAACCTGCACGTTGTTCACATGTACCCTAAAACTTAAAGCATAATAATAATAATAAAAGAAACTCACTCAAAACCGCTCAACTACATGGAAATTGAACAACCTGCTCCTGAATGACTACTGGGTACATAACGAAATGAAGACAGAAATAAAGACATTCTTTGAAACCAATGAGAAAAAAGACACAACATACCAGAATCTCTGGGACACATTCAAAGCAGTGTGTAGAGGGAAATTTATAGCACTAAATGCCCACAAGAGAAAGCAGGAAAGATCTAAAATTGACAACCGAACATCACAATTAAAAGAACTAGAGAAGCAAGAGCAAACATATTCAAAAGCCAGCAGAAAGCAAGAAATAGCTAAGATCAGAGCAGACCCGAAGGAAATAGAGACACAAAAACCCCTTCAAAAAATCAATGAATCCGGTAGCTGGTTTTTTGAAAAGATCAACAAAATAGATAGACTGCTAGCAAGACTAATAAAGAAAAGATAGAAGAATCAAATAGATGCAATAAAAAATGATAAAGGGCATATCACCACGGATCCCACAGAAAGACAAACTACCATCAGAGAATACTATAAACACCTCTATGCAAATAAACTAGAAAATCTAGAAGAAATGGATAAATTCCTCAACACATACACCCTCCCCAGAATAAGCCAGGAAGAAGGTGAATCTCTGAATAGACCAATAACAGGCTCTGAAATTGAGGAAATAATTAATAGCTTACCAACCAAAAAAAGTCCAGGACCAGATGGATTCACAGTCGAATTCTATCAGAGGTACAAGGAGGAGCTGGTACCATTCCTTCTGAAACTATTCCACTTAATAGAAAAAGAGGGAATCCTCCCTAACTCATTTTATGAGGCCAGCATCATCCTGACACCAAAGCCTCGCAGAGACACAACAAAAAAAGAGAATTTGAGACCAATATCCCTGATTAACATCGATGCAAAAATCCTCAATAAAATACTGGCAAACCGAATCCAGCAGCACATCAAAAAGCTTATCCACCAATATCAAGTCGGCTTCATCCCTGATCCGCAAGGCTGGTTCCACTTACGCAAATCAATAAACATAATCCATCACATAAACAGAACCAATGACAAAAACCACATGATTGTTTCAATATGTGCAGAAATGGCCTTCGATAAAATTCAACACCCTTTCAGGCTAAAAACTCTAGATAAACTAGGTATTGATGGAACGTATGTAAAAATAATAAGAGCCATTTATGACAAAACCACAGCCAATATCATACTGAATGGGCAAAAGCTAGAAGCATTCCCTCTGAAAACCAGCACAATGCATGGATGCCCCCTCTCACCACTCCTATTCAACATAGTATTGGAAGTTCTGGCCAGGGCAATCAGGCAAGAGAAAGAAATAAAGAGTATTCAAATAGGAAGAGAGGAAGTCAAATTGTCTCTGTTTGCAGATGACATGATTGTATATTTAGAAAACCCCATCATCTCAGCCCAACATCTCCTAAAGCTGATAAGCAACTTCAACAAAGTCTCAGGATACAAAATCAATGTGCAAAAATCAAAATCATTCCTATACATCAACAATAGACAAACGGAGAGCCAATCATGAGTGAACTCCCATTCACAATTGCTAAAAGAAAATAAAATACATAGGAATACAACTTACAAGGGATGTGAAGGACCTCTTCAAGGAGAACTACAAACCACTGCTTAAGGAAATAAGAGAGGACACTAACACATGGAAAAACATTCCACGCTCATGGGTCTGAAGAATCAATATCATGAAAATGGCCATACTGCCCAAAGTGATTTATAGATTCAATGCTATCCCCATCAAGCTGTAATGGAGTTTCTTCACAGAATTAGAAAAAACTACTTAAAACTTCATATGGAAGCAAAAAAGAACCTGTATACACAACACAATCCTAAGCAAAAAGAACAAAGCTGGAGGCATCACGCTACCTGACTTCAAACTATACGACAAGGCTACAGTAACCAAAACAACATGGTACAGTTATCAAAACAGATATGTAGACCAATGAAACAGAACAGAGGACTCAGAAATAATGCCACACATCTACAACCATCTGATCCTTGACAAACCTGACAAAAACAGCCAATGGGGAAAGGATTCCCCATTTAATAAACGGTGTTGGGAAAACTGGCTAGCCATATGCAGAAAACTGCAAATGAACCCCTTCCTTTCACCTTATGCAAAAATTAACTCAAGATGGATTAAAGACTTAAATGTAAGACCTAAAGCCATAAAAACCCTAGAAGAAAACCTAGGTGATACCATTCAGGACATAGGCATGGGCAAAGACTTCATGGCTAAAACACTAAAACCAATGGCAACAAAAGCCAAAATTGACAAATGGGATCTAATTAAAATAAAGAGCTTTTGCACAGCAAAAGAAACTATCATCAGAGTCAACAGGCAACCTATAGAATGGGAAAATTTTTTGCAATCTATCCATCAGACAAATGGCTAATATCCAGAATCTACAAGGAACTTAAGCAAATTTACAAGAAAAAAACAAACAACCCTGTCAAAAAGTGGGTGAAGGATACTAACAGACAACTCTCCAAAAAAACCATTTATCCAGCCAACAAACATATGAAAAAATGTTCATCACCACTGGTCATTTGATTTGCATTTCTCTAATGCAAATCAAAACCACAGTGAGATACCATCTCATGCCAGTTAGAATGGTGATCATTAAAAAGTCAGGAAACAACAGATGCTGGAAAGGATGTGGAGAAATAGGAATGCTTTGACACTGTTGGTGGGAGTGTAAATTAGTTCAACCATTGTGGAAGACAGTGTGGCAATTCCTCAAGGATCTAGAACCAGAAATACCATTTGATCCAGCAATCTCATTACTGGGTATATATCCAAAGGATTATAAATCCTTCTACTATAAAGACACATGCACAAGTATGTTTATTGCAGCACTATTCACAACAGCAAAGACTTGGAACCAACCCAAATGCCCATCAATGATAGACTGGATAAAGCAAATGTGGCACATATACATCATGGAATACTATGCAGTCATAAAAAATAAGTTCATTTCCTTTGCAGGGACATGGATGAAGCTAGAAACCATCATTCTCAGCAAACTAACACAGGAACAGTAAACCAAAACACCACATAAGTGGGAGTTGAACAATGAGAACTCATGGTCACAGGTAGGGGAACACTACACATCAGGGCCTCTCGGGGTGTGGAGGGCTAGGAGAGGGGTAGCATTAGGAGAAATACCTAATGTAGATGACGGGTTGATGGGTACAGCAAACCACCATGGCATGTGTATACGTATGTAACAAAACTGCACGTTCTGCACATGTATCCCAGAACTTAAAGTGGAAAGAAAGAAAGAAAGAAAGAAAGAAAGAAAGAAAGAAAGAAAGAAAGAAAGAAAGAAAGGGAAAGAAAGAAAGAAAGAAAGAAAGAGATGAAGCAAGAAAGATGGAAGGAAGGAAGGAAGGAAGGAAGGAAGGAAGGAAGGAAGGAGAGAGAGAGAGAGAGAGAAAGAAAGAAAGAAAGAAAGAAAGAAAGAAAGAAAGAAAGAAAGAAAGAAAGAAAGAAAGAAAGAAAAAAAGAAAGAAAGAAAGAAAGGAAAAGAAAAGACAGTGGAGGGGAGGGGATGGGAGAGGAGGTGAAGGGAAGGGAAGGGAAGGGAAGGGAGAAGAAAAGAAATACCCATAAAATAGGAAAGCTGGCTGGTCACAGGAGAAGCATGAAAATATCAAGCAGTGATTTCATATAGCAGCAAGAAAAGAGCTTGTAAAATTAGCTGCAAGAATAAGGATAAGCCTTGACCCATAAGATCCGAACAAGCAGGAAGGGGCTAAGCTGGCTGACACTGAATTGGTCAGACATGGCACTGGGTTTGACCCTTGCCCTACCCCAGGCCTAATTATACACCTATTATGACAGTAAGTCACACACCAGCGCCAGGACGGTTCTGAGAATGCCCATATTTAGTATAAAAATAGTTAACACCTAGCCACGTGCAGTGGCTCATGCCTGTAATCCCAACATTTTGGGAACCTGAGGCAGGCGAATCACCTGGTGTCGGGAGTTTGAGACCACCCTGACCAACATGGAGAAATCTCGTCTCTACTAAAAATACAAAATTAGCCGAGTGTGGTGGTGCATGTCTGTAACCCCAGCTACTCCAGAGGCTGAGGCAGGAGTATTGCTTGAACACGGGAGGCGGAGATTGCAGTGAGCCAAGATCGCGCCATTGCACTCCAGCCTGGGCAACAAGAGCGAAACTCCATCTCAAAACATAAATAAATAAATAAATAAATAAATAAATAAATAAATAAATAGGTGACACCTCAGTTCTAAGAAAACTTCACCATTTTTTCTTAAAATCCTAATGATTATTTCAACCTCTCCTTACAGATCCTATAAAATTAGAAACCCAAACTCTCTTGTACCTGACTCGCTCTCCTGAATAAGCCCTCTCTTGAGTGTGTTCCTTTGCTTTGCAATAGACACTTCTTGCCTTTTGCTTCATTCTGCCTACTTCCTAAACTCTTTCTTGCAGCGGTGACAAGAATGTGGACACTGGTTGGTGATTGAGTCTCTGGGCACCTGGAGACGACCTAAGCACTATGGCAATAGTCAGTCTAAAAATCACACAGGATATCACAATTCACTCTCTGGTTTTCTTGGGGGAAAAATCCAGTAACTTTGGCCCCATATCCCCAAGGGGCATCACTCAGCACAAACTGAGAAGCAGCAGTCCTACCGCTGGGTTGTAAGTATGCGGCTTTATTCCGGGGTTCTCTATTCCATTCCATTGGTCTATGTCTCGACCTTCATACTGGCACCACGCAGTTTTGCTTACTGTTGCCTTACTGTATAAATTGAAGTCAGGTAATGTGATGTCTCCATATTTGTTCATTTTGCTTCGGATTGCTTTGGCTCTTCAGGCTCTTCTTCATCTCCATATGAATCTTAGGATTCTTTTTTTAATCTTGTGAAAATGGTGTTTGTATTTTGGTGTATGAAATTTTTAGACTGACGTTTTTAGATTGATGTTTGATGTTTGCAGTTTTTAGATTGCTTTGGGCAGTGTGGTCATTTTCACAATATTGTGTCTGTCAATCCGTGAGCATGGGCTGTTTTTCTACTTTTTTGTTGTCTATGATTTTTTTCAGCAGTGTCTTGTAGTTCATCTGATAGAGATCCTTTACCTAATGGTTAAGTGTATTCCTAGGTTGTTTTTGTTATTGTCACTGTTTTTGTTGTTGTTTTGCAACTATTGTGAAGGGATGGAGTTCTTGAATTGATTCTCAGCTTACTTGTTGTTGGTATCAAACAGTGGTACTTATTTGTACATATTGATTTTGTACCTGAGATTTAAGTGAATTCACTTATCGCATCTATGAGTCTTGGTGGAATCTTTCCAGTTTTCTAAGCACATATGATCACATCATTGGCAAACACAGGTAGTTTCACTTCCTTCTTTCCAATTTAATTATACTTTATTCCTTTTGCTTACCAGATTGCTCTGACAAAAATTTTCAGTCCTATGTTGATTACAAGTGGATAAAGTGAGGATTTTTGTCTGCTTGTAGTTCCTAGCAGGAATACTTTCAACGTTTCTTCATTCAATATGATGTTGCATGTGGATTTGTCATTTTTGGCTTCTATTATTTTGATGTATGTTCTTTCTAGGCATAGTTTGTGTAAGCGTAGTCTATTATTTTACAAGCTCAGATTTGTATTCTGTTTTATCTGAGTGCATTGTGAGATTTGGCATCTATTTTACCTGATATAAGTACAGCTACTCTTGCTGTTTTTGGTTTCCAGTTGCATGGAATATCTTATTCTACCCCTTCACTTTCCATCTACATGTATGTTTATAGGTGAATTAAGTTTCTGGAAAACAGCATATAGTAGGGTTTTATGTTTTTACTCATTCAAAGACCCTATGCCTTTCACTTGCAGAATTCAGATAAATTATATTCATTGTTTTTATTGATAAAGGCTTAGTGCTCCCATTTCATTTCTTGTTTTTTGGTTGTTTAGAGACTTCTCTCTTCCATCCTTTTCTTATTGTCTTTCTTTGTGTTTAAGTAATTTTCTCTTCTGGAATACTTAGAATGTGACTCTTCTGGCCAGAAACCTCTGTGGCTGGGGGCACCTTTGCCAGAGTTTTGATGGGGTTCACTGGGTTCGTTCTGCCCATGCAGCCTGGTAGACTATGCTTGGCTCATGTTTCAAGCCTGGAGCACATGCCTATTAAGGGTGGGTCAGGGCTGGAGTGGTGAGGGGTGTGTGAGTGAGCAGGGGGTCTGGCCACTTTGGACGGTCACCGGCTGCTGCTGCTGCAGCAGTGGGTTGGGCAGCTCCAGGTGTCAGCATGTGTGCCAGATTTCTGCAAGGCTGCAAATGAATCAGGCACAGCACAAACAGCTTCCATGGTTGTCACTGGAATACACAGTGACACCAACACTGAAAGCTTGGAAATGCCAGGAACTGCAGAACCCCCAAAAGGGAGTCACAGCCCTGGCTCAGGAAGCTCCCACATCTGGGCTCCTGGAAGAGTAGTCGCTCTTCTCTTTTTCTCTTCACCTACAATTTGGTGAGCAAGGGGCATGTTTCAGCTTTATTTGTGTTATTGCTCTTTTACCCCACCATTAGGCGGGTCTCAAGTTTTTGTCCTGTGACCAGGAAGAGTGAAATATGCAGACAAGTGGAGGGTGAGTGAGATAAAGAGGAGCTTTATTGAACAATAGAACAGCTCAGAGACCCACAGTGGGTAACTTCTTTCTGCAGCCAGGGCGTCCTGATGAGTGTTTAGTACTGAGCAGAGAGGAGGCCCTGGGGTGGGTGACCCCTCCCTCCTGGCAGGTTATTCCATCATCACCACTGCTCTCAGTAGAGAGAAGGCCCTGGAGTGGGTTGCTGCTCTCTGCAGGAAAGTCATCTCATCATCTCTACAGCTCTCAGCAGAGAAAAGGACCCGGAGGGGGTTGCTTGTCTCTACAGGAAAATCATCCCCACAGTGGGTAGTTCCTCTCTGCCACTGGTCTTCCTAATGTTCTCCCTGAGTCTGGGGTTTTTTTGACATCAGACAGGAGAAAGTATGCACTCATTGGGTCATAGGTGGCCATGAGCAGGCACAGAAAAGGCAACACATGTTCCCACTCTGGTCCATAGGACTGGTGGCCCAGCCCACGGGCTTCAGGCCCTCCTTGATCAGAAGGTGGAGCTTCACCAGTGACCCTCACCTTCCTGTCCAGGATTCTGTCTGCCTCCCACCACCAACCATGGAGCCCAGGTCACTTGTACCAAGGAGCATCCAAAGACCAGTGCTGATCAGTCCGCAACACCCCTCAGCCTCCCTCCTACACTCATCAAGGCCCAAAGTCCAGAGGGTTCAAGACAGCAGTGGGATGGTGCATCAGCACTGACCCGAGTGTGCACAGACCCACCTGGGCTGCGACAGCATCTGGGCTTGACCACAACCACACTCCAAAATTAGAGCAGGTGCCATGAGAGATGAGGCAGTGAGAGCGGACACCCCCAAGCTGCAGGAGAAGGGGGGATCTCCTGGACCCTCGAGAGTACTGGGGGACCTCATTTGGTAACTGTGACCTGGACAACTTCAGTTGCGTCTTTGGAGCTACTGCCCTGCCAACTCAGGAGGACCAGGACTCCCTCTTGTCCCAGGCTCCCATCAGCTCTGAAGTGTACGCAGCCTTGGATGTGCCCTTTCTCTGTGTTTCCCTGCAGAAGTGACAGTTGAGAAGCAGATACACAGCAGCTCTGACCAACCCCGCACAAACAAACCCAATGCTCCTGGGTGTGGTTTAACCAGCCCCAACTGCACTATCATCCAGGAGCTTGCAGGCTAACAGCAGGCAGTGAGCAGTGAAGTAGAGGCTGTGGTGGAGACTCCAGACCTGGGACAAGGTTCCATTTTGCGATGAGAGGGTGTGGGTGGCACAGTTGGCTGCCTCAGGGAAATGGAGCACAGGCCTGGCTCATGACCCAGTCAAGGGGAGTGCCTCCAGGAGTGGTTCATGGTTCCCAGGCCCAGCAATCGGGCTGGTCACCCCTATGGGGGGCGGATCTCGGAAACACAGCCTGGGGTGGATCCGCATAGAACCTCCCTTCAAGACCTGGGAGCTTGACACTGTTAGCAGGATGGGCACAGTGGCCAGATAGCTGGCCAGGTCCTTGAAGCAGGTGCCATTTCTGCTTCTCACCCTGGCCCCCTGATGGATGGCCCCAGCTATGCCTTCTGGGCCTGGCATCCGCACATCTTGTGCGAGCGTGGCACCACCCCATTCCTGTCTTCTCCTTGGGGCCCCTCTCTGCCCGTCCCTTCGCGCCTGACCGAGCTGCTCCCCGTGGGCAAAAAAGTAAGAAAAAAACTGATGACTGAAGAGAAGTAAAGAATGGGTGGAGATCATCTGTATGCCTGTTTTCCCAGCGCTTTGGGAGGCCAAGGTCAGTGGATCACTTGAAGCCAGGATCTTGAGACCAGGCTGATCAACACGGAAAAACCTCATCTCTATTAAAAATACAAAAATCAGCCAGTCTTGGTGGAACGTGCCTGCAGTCCCAGCTATTTGAGTGGTTGAGGCACAAGAATCACTTGAGCCCTGAAGGAAAGGATTGCAATGAGCCCAGATTGCACCACTGCACTCCAGCCTAAATGACAAACTGAGATTTTGTCTCCAAAACAAAACAAAGAACAAGAATGGGTGGGAAATACTTAAAATGATCAAATTTTATTTGGTTGCTTTGATGTTCTACAGCTGAAACTCAATCACAGACAAAGTAGTATTTCATTATTTTTCCATCAGTAACTCAATAACTAGATATTTCTGGTGGATAAATTGCTACAACAGGTTAAAAGTTTTCATTCAGGTGCTCTTTATTTCTGATATTCCTTGGTAACCATCCTTGCAGGGATAACATTCTCATCACTGTAGAACTTTAGCTTCTCTTTCTGACTCTGTAGGACACGGGTCCCTGAAGTTCTCATTGATGTCACCTCAACATTTTCCTCCAGCCTTGCCCCCTGCTGTTATGTTTTCTCCCTCACACTGAGCACTTCCCTGTGCTTCCTTTAAGTTGCATGTGGCCTGGACACAGTCACTCATGCCAGTAATCCCAGCACTTTAGGAAGCTGAGGCAGGAGGACCCCATAAGCCCAGCTGAGGCAGGAGGATCCCAGAGCAACACAGAGAAACCCTGTCTCAAATTGTCTTTAATAAAAATTTTGGAATTATTAAAAAATGAAATAAATAAGAAAAGAGAAAAATAGCTTGCACCTACATAGTAGATTTTAGTGTCCAAGTGCCTGGAAGAGAACTTTGGATTTCTCTACCCCACTGGGCATGCCTTCCCTAGCAGCAAAGATGGAGCTCCAGTTCCTCAGACAGTGATGAGCCACAGGAAGGGCAGGGGGTGGGACCAATGAAGATCCTCTTGGGCTGCCTGACTTCCCTCAGTGTACACATCAGCTCAGCCCGAAGTGGGGTGAAGATCTCCCAATTGACACGAACCAAGGAATTCAAACTCTCCTCAGGGGCAGGATACGTCTCCAGGCTTAACTTGCTCAGCCCACTGGTGTGGCGCAGCAGGTCCTTCAGGGCACCCATAGACATACAATTTCTGCCAAAGTAGAAGGTGGTGAGCTGGGAGCAGCGGCTCAGGCCAGGCAGGATGGCACTGAGTTGGGAGTAGTGGATCTGACAGCCCTCCAAGATGAGGGTTTCGAGAGAGGCAGCAATTTTCTCTAGCAGAGCTCCGAGGGGTTCAAGACTGATGCGGAACAGCAGCACGTAGCTGAGATTCAGATGCTTTAGGTAACCGAGGCTTGGGTACTGGGAGAGACACTTCACATCCTCTTCCAATAGGTAGCCATAAGTTAATTCCAAGTTCTCCAAGGGGTTCTGGAGGCACCTGTGGAGATCAAGAAGTTAGTTCTGGGCAATGGTACCAGTTAGATGAAGGTAGTGCCTTCATCTAGGAAAATGCCTGCGTCAAACAAACACAAGTTTGTTCCCACCATCTGATGATGGTCCTCATGGAAGTTGCTGCATGATGAGGACCCTGATCGTTCAGGGGCTGTCCCATTTTAGAATCAGCCCTTTCACCATTGCTTGTGTGATTGGGTCAAGGCCATAAAATCTCTAAAGCCTTTTTTTTTTTTCATCTTTTAGCAGAAAACTTTATCTCTGGGCCACAGGTACCCGGTGGGAGATGTGAACAAAGAACTCAACTCAGCAAGGTCTAGGGACATCAGCTAGGGCTACATGTCGGCAGGGGCTACCTGACATGCCTGCATCTGCAAACCAACTGTCACTTTTTACCACTCTCACGCCTACTACCTCACCTCCATCCCAGAAGCACGCATTTCCCATGTCAGTTACCTTTCCTGGAGTTCAAAACAACCTTTTACAAACAGGGAATCAGAGACAGGATCATTCGTGATCACTAAGCCGGTGAGGACAGACGTTCTATTGTGAAATGGACAGGTTTGATGCACTTTCCCTCCTTTCATACCCTCCTCTATTATCTCTTTGACATCATATCAACTTGAAACACACTTTGTAACAGGAAATTCACACGTGCACCCCCAATAGAGCTGAAACCCCCACTAACTAGCTTGTACATGATGTCCCTCTCTAGCTTCTACCCCAGGTGACCCCTCTGCCCTTATTGGAGCGATCCTGTGATAGCCACTCCAGGACATGGAACACTGAATGGGACAATGTGTTGACATTCTGGTGTCCCCTTCACTGTGACGTTGCCACTGGCTGGCACACAGTACACGCCTTCTAATGTTTGCTGTAAGAGAACAAGGCTATGCTGTGGTCTGCATAAAAAATGCATGATCCTTCCTCACCTGATCAGCTGTTCCAGGTGCCCACTGAAGAAGGTGATCAATTTTATTTTAAGCAACTGGAGGTGTTCCAGCCCGAGGAACACAGAGCTGAATTTGGTGACTAACCGTCCTTCGAGTTCATTATCTGACGTGGAATGATGGCACCTGGAGAAAACGAGTTTGCCAAGAGTCTTCATCTCCTTCAGGTAACAACGAAGCTTTCTTATCAGACGTGGCCAGGACATGTTGTGAATTTCCAGCTCTTGAATACTATTCAGGTATATTATTTTCAATGACTTTCTGAGATGTTTAATCGGCGTTAGATAATTGACCAGCTTACTACAGCACAGGTGTACTAAACCTCTCCTTTGGTAAACCCACTGGAAGAGGTATCTCAGGCATTCATCCTGGGGTATTTCCTTGAGGCAGATGTCTATGAACACCTTTAAGGGCTGGTGCTCTCCCATCCTTGGACGGTCCTCTGCTGTCTGCCTCTTACTCATGGTCTCTGGGAAGCAGGACAGGGCCCAGGCTCCAGGCCATCTGGCCCAGAAATTCTCGTCAACATCCCGCAAATCCAGCACTTGAAGTTTCCGCCTCCTGTGGGTAAAGTAAGGGAGAGGCTCAGAATTTAGAAGGACAAATCCCTGACCTTTGCTTTCATTGTCATCCCATAAATCAGCTGCTCCTGTCCTCAGTGCTCCCTGTTCTCTTTGTCTTTTCTTGATCCCTTTTCCCTTTGGATTCTGAGTGGTCCCCACTTCTATTCCCTTTACCTTCCACTGAGAAAAGGCAGGTTTCTGTTCCCACAGTGGACCCTGTATGGTGAGCAGTCCTTTCTCTGAGGATCTGGACAATGGCCAAAGCCTCCCTGATCTTCCTCGCCAACACCATCAGAAGACTCTGGGCTACACTTGGGCTACTTCTCTGCCTGACCCTGCTGTTCTTTCCCTGGACACCTGAGCCCTATCTACCAGCCCTCCTGGGTCACCTCACCTGGGGCGATCCTTCTGTGTAAGCAGCATATGAAGCCCTTCCAGCAATGCTTTTAAGGTCTCCAAATGAAGCGTCTTCATCAGTGATCCCAGAGGGAGGCAGGTGAAGGGCCAGGCCTGCACCATCACCGTCAGAGTCTGGAAGTGTCTCCTGCGGAAGGCCTCCATGAAGAGTGGGAGATAGAGCACCCTGGGCAGCTCCTCCATGGCAGAGATGGACAAGGCCTGGTCTCTCAGCAGGCTCTGCCCCGCCAGCTCCAGGAGTCTGGGTGGGGCCTGGATGCTCATCCTGATAGATCTGCAAGGAAAATCTCTAGAAGACAAATCCAGGGAAAATGTATCACTCTCATGGCAAACACAATCATCTGCTTCTACTGGTACCAGGAAGAATGTCTTCCAAACACCAAGGAGGGAGGGGTCAAGGAGACCACTGGCTTATTAATTTTCATCCATTGCTCCACTGAATCCCAGAACCACCGGACAGTGCCACTGAGGATCCTGAAAGCCAAGCTCTACCTCTTTGAGGAAAAATTTCTTGTCACTTACCAACCTAAAGCAATGAGAATGAGAGTGTCCTGTGGCCCCAGACAGCCTCCATTCTCAGTTTACACCATAAACATGCTGGGGGAACACTAAAGGGACTCCCTAAAATCGATGCCATTATTTTTTATTTTGAAAATTTTCTACCAGAAATGGACCAGGTGCTGTGGCTCATGTCTGTAATCCCAACACTGCTGGACACCAAGGCAGGCAGTTCACTTGAGGTCAGGAGTTCGAGAACAGCCTGGCCTACATAATGAAACGATGTCTCTACTAAATACAAAAAAATTAAGAATCATTTGACTCCAGAAGGCAGAGGTTGCAGAGAGCCAAGATCTCACCACTGCTCTCCAGCCTGGGTGACAGAGTTGGACTCAGACTCAAACAAAAACAAATTGATAAATTAATTAATTAAAATGTTAGCCAGGTGTGGTCATGCATGACTGTAATCCTAGCTACTCTGGAGGCAGAGGAAGGAGAATCACTTGAAGCCCAGAGGCAGAGTTTCCAGGGAGCCCAGCTCAGGGCCCTGCACTCCAGTCTGGGTGACACACTCAGAGTACATCCCAGAAAAAAAACAAAATAATTCACTGGAACTGTAAAAGTGGTGTGATGGTATTCCACAGCATTTGGAAGGTATGTATAGAAATGCTAACTGTACCTGGGCGCGGTGGCTCACTCCTGTAATCCCAGCACTTTGGGAGTCTGAGGGGGGCAGATCTCCTGAGGTCAGGAGTTTGAGGACAGCATGGCCAACATGGCAAAACCCTGTGTCTACTAAAAATACAAAAATTAGCTGGGCATGGTGGTGAGTGCCTGTAATCCAAGCTACTCAGGAGGCTGAAGCAGGAGAATCGCATGTAACTAGGAGGCAGAAATTTCAGTGAACCAAACCACACCATGGCACTCCAGCCTGGGCAACAATAGGGAAACTCCATCTCAAAAACTGTAAAAGTGCTACCATGCTATTCTAGAGCACTGTAACTCTGAGATGAAGGTTCCTATAGACATCACTTCCACATACTCACAATTACCCACTTTTTGATGGATCCTAGGGGCAAAGATAAATCCCATGATCTGAGCAAAACTGCACTCTTGAGATTGCTGTGTGGGATACCTTTAAGGATTTTATGAAAATGAAAGCATACTTGGAGAATCACAATAACACCAAGTCTATGAACTGTAATTGAAAGGCACAAAAACAAATAACTTCAAATGTCAAGAAATAAAAATTCATGTCACTGTAAATTTTTAATATATTTTTAAAAAACCTGCTTCGATAAGAATTTTAAAATGACAAAAACCAAGCACAAATCACAATTTGATGGATGAAGACAAAACTACATTTAGAGGAAAAATGAAAGCCTAAATCTGTTCATCTCACGAAACAGACAGAAAAATATTGTGTGCCACTTTGGGATGTGTGTCACCGTCCCTGACTGGCTGGCTGCTGATCAGATGGGCATGACCCTAAGCAGGTGGTGACTTACCAGCGCTGGACTCACTTTGCAGAGTTCTGGGACCTCTCAGGGAACCAAGCAGTAGCTCCAGGAATGAGTGCTGTGGGTCTCTTCTGGGTACCCTCAGGAGCTTTTATAGACCTTTCTAACCCCACCCTTCCCTTCTCAATCACCAGCTTCCAATCAGAAACTGATACCTGATTAGATCTTGCAGTCACACCCAGTTAATCCTGATTGAGTTTTCAGCTTTCTTCTGACTAATCGATTGAATTAGATACACATTTATGGAAGTAAAAGAATAAATAATAGGGTGAAAGTCTAAAACTCATTCGTTCATTTATTCCCCAAATACTGATGAAGTTTGGCTAATACACGACTTTCGTAGTGATGTAGGGAAGGGATTAATCTGTTCCTGATATTAGGCCAAAAAAAAAAAAACCTTAAGGTGTCCTTATTGGAGGATGTTTGGCCACATCAAAATTGTCAAAATGTTTCAGAGCTACAATAGCCTGAAGAAGATAGTGATGTCATTCCCAAGAAAACAGAATAAAAAGCTGTGTATATCGAATGGTCACCTGTGTTTTATGCTATCTAACATAGCAGATCATATGCACATTCAGGTAGAAGAAAGGAACCACTGAGAGTGTGATCTATCTCAAGACTAAGTCAAGGCTTCACCGAAGGAAATCAGGACAAAGTGACCAAGTGAGGTGGGGACTGAGCGGAATGAGACTAGGTGTTCTAATGGGAACCTGCAAAGGAAACAAGACAATGTAAAACATGGCGGTTATCTTGTGGGCATCTAGATGTCAGGACTCAAAGTCTTTTGTCAAGATTGAGTTTATTTATTGATTGTTTGTTTGATTTTCAGACTGGGCCTACATCTGTCACTCAGGCTGGAGTGCAGTGGCACGATTTCAGCTCACTGCAGCCTCAACCTTCTGGTTCAAGTGATTCTCTCATTTCTGCCTCCCAAGTAGCTGGGAATTACGGGTGCACTCCAACAAGCCCTACTAATTTTTGTATTTTAGTCGAGATGGGGTTTCACCATGTTGGCCCGGCTGGTCTCAAACTCCTGACCTCAAGTGATCTCCTCACCTTGGCCTCCCAAAAGGCTGGGATAACAGGCATCAGCCATCTCACCCACCCTAGATTGAGTTCAGAAATTAAAAGGAGAATCATCAAAAGAGATAGGGCAGACTTAAACCATAACATTCACTTTGAAAACACAGGGGGCAGGTATAGTCTTGGCCCTACTAGAAGGTAAAGGGTGTTTACTCACAAAACTGATGGGCTCCTCTCAGAAAACCAGCTTGCAAAGATGGAATCTAAGAATGTGAACTGGAGCAGAGGCCAGAGAGAAGATTGGGGCCAGACCTGGGAAGGGAGGCTCTCCCAAGCTGGAAGCCACCCAGGTAGAAACTGTGGGCTCTACAGGATGTGAGAGAGAAATGAACGAGGGTCCATATGTCCATCATTGTTCTATCATCTGGAGACCTTTCCTGTAGACTCTGGGATCTTCCCACAGTGGAACATTTCCCAGCAACCATTGGCCCCAGTCATTTTCCAGGACCCTTCATCCAAATCTTAATCTCACCCACTCCCTTCCTACTCTAATTTGATAATTCATGTTTCCTCCTTCTTAGAGTCCTTTCCTGTCGCTAATATTGAACATAGAGATTCTTATCAGAGCATCAACATTAGGCCTACAAAGAAAGCTCAGACCCAGGCACAGTGGCTCATGCCTGTAACATCAGCCCTTTGAGAGGCCAAGGTGGGCTGATCATGAGGTCAGTATATCAAGACCATTCTAGCTAACACGGTGAAACTCCGTCTCTACTAAAAATACAAAAAATTAGCCGAGCATAGTGGCAGATGTCTGCACTCCCAGCTACTCAGAAGGCTGAGGCAGGAGAATCGCTTAAACCCAGGATGTGAAGTTGCAGTGAGCTGAGATGGCGCCACTGCCCTCCATCCTGGGTGACGGCATGACACTGTCAAAAAAGAACAAAAGAAAAAGCAAGCAAGCAAGCAAGCAAGCAAGCAAGCAAGCAAGAAAGAAAGAAAGAAAGAAAGAAAGAAAGAAAGAAAGAAAGAAAGAAGAAAGAAGGAAGGAAGGAAGGAAGGAAGGAAGGAAGGAAGGAAAGAAAGAAGAAAGAAAGAGAAAGAAAGAAAGAAAGAAAGAAAGAAAGAAAGAAAGAAAGAAAGAAAGAAAGAAAGAAAGAAAGAAAAAAGAAAGAAAGAAAGTAAGGAAGGAAGGAAAAGAAAGAAAGACCTCAGGCCTCTAATCCCAGCCCTTTGGGAAGCCAAGAAAGGCAGAGTGCTAGAGCTCAGGAGTTTGTGAGGAATATGGGCAATGTGATGAAACCCTGTCTCTAATACAAATACAAGATATTAGCTGGGGGGAGGCAGTGTGCACCTGTAGGCCAAGCTGCCCAAGAAGTTGAGGTGGGAGGATCACCTGAGCCCAGTGAGGCTTCTACTTCCCACGCCCCACTTTGTAAACCTGAGGCTGAGGGTGAGCTCAACACCAATAATGGTTGTGAGAATCTGTGTTCACTGAGCATCCACGAGGCACAACAGACGGCTGGTACTGATCATCCCGGACCTCAGCTCTTCTTCATGGAGAATCTAAGGCACGTTGCTATTTTCCCCATTTCTAACCTGATAAACCTGAGATTTGGCCAGAGAAAAATCTTCCCATGTTCTGGCAGCAAATGATTGGCAAACCCCTCAGGTGAGGGGCTCAGTGGAACCCCCAAGGTGTTCAATAAGCTAAATATTGGAAAGAACTGGCTAACTGACTCCCTCTTCCTGCCCATTTCAAGGGGTGCAGTAGCACCCCCAGGACCCCAGTGAGAATCCTGCACTTGGGGTCTTTTCTACCATGTTCTGTCACCAGTTCTTCTCGAGGTGCTCATCTGCTGCCAAGCTCAGAGCAACCTTCGAAACCCATCTCAGGAAACGACCTGACCTATTCTCCAATCCCAGAATCCACACTGGGATTCCAAAGCTCCTATGAGGCCCTTGCTTAGGCTCTCTAGAATATTCCTGAGCCTCTGTTTTCTCCCTCAGCCTGAGCTGATGGGGCCGGCGTCACTTTATGCATCCCAAGGCCATCAGCCCATCTCTCCTGGACTTCAGAACATGGCCACAATGCAGAGAGACCCAGCAGTAATTAAGAAATTTTCCCCAGTTTATATTGAGTGATGTTGGTGAACATGGCAAGGCACAAAGCAGGAAACTCCACAGCTGCTGCTCTGGACCTAAAGAGGCACCCTGGACTTCTGGGTGGTGACACTGCCTGGCTTGCAGAGGAAGACCTGACCCTTCTGGTCTTCCAAGGCTGTCAGGATGATGACAGAGCCTTGGACAGGTCCCAGCGCAGGGGCCATCCCTTCCCAGGTTCCCCTGGCCCAGCCTTACAGCTGATAAGGATGCACCTGGAATGCACTAAGTATTTTTTTGTCCAAGCCAGGTCTCTTCTTAGCCTTAGGTGAGGCTTTTTTCAGCTGGGTGCTATGGAAGAACCCGAAGCCCAGTGGGCATCACTGCAATGTCCACATGGTAAGTATGTGTGTGTGTGTGTGGCCACCTAGAAAGGCACAACTCTACCTGACAGAGCTGGTTCCATGGAAGAGAAAAGTATAACATCCCATGTCCCTGGTAGGACAACTTCCTCTGGGAGTCCAGCAAGAAGACGTGGAATCTGCGGACAAGAGGTCCCTGGGTAAAAGCCCTCATTTGAGGATAAGAGTAAAGTTGAACCTTAGACCCTGAGGGATCTATGCCCTTCCCACAGGGCTGCAGCAGAGCCAGCCCTGACTCCCAGGCACAATAGCCCAGAGAGATCTTCGAAGGGAAGTAAACCTGCTGGGGCCTCAGGGCTCAGAAAAAGCCCTGGACCTATCTCCCAGTCATGCCTCTCCCACTCCCAAGTGCCTCTGGCCCTGGAACTGTCAGAGACCCCTGTGTCTTTTCCATGTGCTCTTCTTCTCCTTTCACTCAGCCCTGCCTCTGCCAATGCTCCCTGCATTTGCCTCCATGTAAGGCCCCCAACCCCAAGCTCTGGCAGTGGCTGGGGAGCTAGGGGTTTTTGTGCCCACCTGGAGAAAGCCTCACTCAGCATGGGCCCGTGTGGGTTCTGCAGTCTTTTCCTACACAGGGTCACCTACAGGTGTTATGGTTGCATCTCCCCTAGAAGAGCCAATGGGGATGGGTGAGGAATCTGAAATCACTCAGGCACCCCACATACAAATGAGAGCCAGGGTCCCTGCAAGCACAGGCCCCGGGGTAGGTCCTGGCCCTTGTTGTTGCCTTCTGATCCCAGAGGCCTTGGGTTTGTGGTCACAGGAGCCCTACCTACTTCCCATGCACCCCCAGCCCAAGATAAACAAATTCCTGCAGCCTCCCCGGTCCATGTACTTGAGATCTCCAAATCGTGCCACTTCACTCCAACCTGGACGACAGGGCGAGACTCGGGGCCAAAAAAAAAATTAGCTGAGCATGGTGGCAGGCACTTGTAGTCCGAGCTATTTGGGAGGCTGAGGTAGGAGAATCACTTGAAGCCAGGAGGCAGAGGTTTAAGTGAGCTGAGATAGAGCCACTACACTGCAGCCTGGGAAATAGAGCAAGACTCCGTCTCAGGAAAAAGAGACAAGAAAAAGAGAAAATCAGAAGCACCGAGCTGTGTTTTTAATGAGGTCCTGCCCCAGGAAGTCAGGCATCCAAATGAAATTTCCTCATTTTTATCAATTCCCTCCTGTTCTTTACTTCTCTTTACAAATCTGTTACCTCCTGACTTTGTTCTGTGGCTGATCAGTGGGTGAATACCCACAAGATGCACACACAGGGCCAGGAACATTCTATGTGGGCAAAGAGTGTGAGTCACTCAAGTAAAGCCCCTTCTCAGGTCCCTCCCTGCTAACCAGATGCTGAGACCCTGTTCAGTCCTAATGGGCAGATTGAGAAGAATCCATTTCTGACCATTAGCTGTGCTGGGACAGAGATTCACTGCACAAGGCATGGCCCCTGCTTTGGAAGGGGACATTCACATCATTGATTACCTGGAGCTTCAGGGCATCACCAACCCATACCTGTCGTCATGGTGGGCAGTGCTCCTTCCTTAATTAAACTAGTTGTGTCTTATAAAGATATCAAAATTCCCTTTTAGCAAAATACTGCCTACAATATATAAATATGGCTGGGTTTGTTGGCTCATACCTATAATAGTAGCACTTTGGGAGGCTGAGGCAGGAGAATCACAAGATCAAGAGATCGAGACCATCCTAGCCAACATGGTGAAACCCCGTCTCTACTAAAACTACAAAAATTAGCTGGACATGTTGTCACATGCCTGTACTCCCAGCTACTAGAGAGGCTGAGGCAGGAGAATTGCTTGAACCCAGGAGGCGTAGGTTGCTGTGAGCTGAGATTGTGCCACCACACTTCAGCCTCATGACAGAGTGAGACTCCATCTCAAAAACAAAACAAAACAAAAGAAAATAACATATAAATACTAATAATCATATAGACATAAAACATGGTTTAAATATTTCTTTACCACATTCAAAAATCAAGCATGCTTTTTGGGGGCCAGGTCATATTGATGAGAGATCCTTTCTTAACACCCTTCCCATACCTAGCAGACTAAAGAAGAAGACTAGCGTATGCAGGGAAAAGAAAGAGAGATCAGACGGTTACTGTGTCTATGTAGAAAAGGAAGACATAAGAAACTTCATTTTGATCTGTACCCTGACTTTGCCCTGAGATGCTGTTAATCTGTAACTTTAGCCCCAACTTTGAGCTCACAGCAGCATGTGTTGTATAGAATCAAGGTTTAAGGGATCCAGGGCTGTGCAGGATGTGCTTTGCTAGCAAAAGGTTTACAGGCAGTATGCTTGATAAAAGTCATCACCATTCTCCATTCTCAAGTAACCAGGGGTGCAATACACTGTGAAAAACCTCAGGGACCCCTGCCCTGGAAAGCCAGGTATTGTCCAAGGTTTCTCCCCATGTGATAGTCTGAAATATGACCTCATTGGATGGGAAAGACCTGACCTTCCACCCAGCTTGACATCCATTAAGGGTCTGTGCTGAGGAGGATTAGTAAAAGAGGAAGGCCTCTTGCAGTTGAGATAAGAGGAAGGCTTCTGTCTCCTGCCTGCCCCTGGGAACTGAATGCCTCAGTATAAAACCTGATTATACATTTGTTCTATTCTGAGATAGGAGAAAAACTGCCTGTGGTGGGAGGCGAGACATGTTGGCAGCAATGCTGCTTTGTTACTCTTTACTCCATTGAGATGTTTGGGTGGAGAAAAGCATAAATCTGGCCTATGTGCACATCCAGGCATAGTACCATCCCTTGAACTTATTTGTGACACAGATTCCTCTGCTCACATGTTTTCTTGCTGACTTTCTCCCCACTATCACCCTGCTCTCCTGCCACTTTTCCCTTACTGAGTTAGTGAAAATAGTAATCAATAAATACTGAGGGAACTCAGAGACCAGTGCCGGTGTGGGTCCTCCGTATGCTGAGCAGCAGTCCCCTGGGCCCATTTTTCTTTCTCTATACTTTGTCTCTGTGTCTTATTTCTTTTCTCAGTCTCTTGTCCTGCCTGATGAGAAATACCCACAGGTGTGGAGTGGCTGACCCCCTTCACCTGGCGCCCAACGTGGGCCTTTCTCTAGGGTGAAGGTACGCTAAAAACGTGAGCATTGAAGACAGTCAACGAGAGATTCCCAAGTACTTCCACGGTCAGCCATGCGGTAAGCTTGTGTGCTCAGAGGAACCCAGGGTAACAATGGGACAAACTGAAAGTAAATATGCCTCTTATCTCAGCTTCATTAAAATTCTTCTAAGAAGATGGGGAGTTAGAGCTTCTACAGAAAATCTAATTATGCTATTTCAAACAATAGAACAATTCTGCCCATGGTTTCCAAAACAAGGACTTTAGATCTAAAAGATTGGGGGAAAATTGGCAAAGAATTAAAACAAGCAAGTAGGGAAGATAAAATCATCCCACTTACAGTATGGAATGATTGGCCCATTATTAAAACAACTTTAGAACCGTTTCAAATAGAAAAAGATAGCCTTTCAATTTCTGATGCCCCTGAAAGCTGTGTAGTAGATTGTGAAGAAGAGGCAGAGACAAAATCCCGGAAATTAATGGAAAGTTCACATTGTAAAATGTAACAGAGTCTGTAATGGCTCAGTCAACGCAAAATGTTGACTACAATCAGTTACAGGAGGTAATATATCCTGAATCATCAAAACTGGTGGAAGGAGGTCCAGAATTATTGGGGCTACCAGAGCCTAAACCACAATGGCCATCAACTCCTCCTCCAGTGGTTCAGATGCCTGTAACATTACAACCTCAAATGCAGGTTAGACAAGTGCAAACCCCAAGAGAATATCATGTAGAAAAGGATAGAGTCTCTATCCCGGCCATGCCAATTCAGATACAGTATCCACAATATCAGCTGGTAGAAAATAAGACCCAACCACCGGTAGTTTATCAATACTGGCCGCCAGCTGAGCTTCAGTATGGGCCGTCTCCGGAGGTTCAATACAGACCTCAAGCTGTGTGTCCCGTGCCACATAGCACGGCACCTCACCAGCAACCCAGCGGTGTTTAGTCCTACATCACCACCTAGTGGACAAGGTAGTACACTGCATGAAATCATTGATAAAGCCAGAAAACAGGGAGATCTTGAGGCATGGCAGTTCCTTGTAATTTTACAACCAATACCAGCTGGGAAAGGGGGGCAAGCTGGAGCGTCTGTCCAAACTGAGGCTAGATATGAATCTTTCACCATGAAAATGTTAAAAGATATGAAGGAAGGAGTTAAACAATATGGACCCAACTCCCCTTATATGAGAACTTTATTAGATCCCATTGCTCATGGAAATAGACTTATTCCCTATGATTGGGAAATGTTGGCTAAATCTTCCCTTCCACCCTCTCAGTTCCTACAATTTAAAACCTGGTGGATTGATGGAGTACAAGAACAGGCACGAAAAGTCAGGCTATTTATCCCGCTGTTAATATAGATGCAGATCGATTGCTAGGAACAGGTCCAAATTGGAGTACAATTGGCCAACAGTCAGTAATGCAGAATGAGGGTATTGAACATCTAAGGGCTCTTTGCCTCAGGGACTGGGAAAAAATTCAGGACCCAGGCACCTGGGTGCCCCACACACCACTTGCCCAGGCATCACTTGCCCAGGCACCGCTTGCCCTTCTTCTAATTCAATTAGACAAGGCTGCAAAGAGCCATATGCAGACTCCGTGGCAAGGTTGCAAGATGCCTCTGAAAAATCTGTTTCGGATGATAATGCTCAAAAAGTTATTGTAGAAATAATGGCTTATCAAAAGTCAAATCCAGAATTTCAACCAGCCATAAAGCCATTAAAAGGAAAAGGTCCAGCAGGAGTTGATGTAATTACAGAATATGTGAAAGCTTGTGATGGGATTGGAGGAGCTATGCGTAAGGCAATGCTAATGGCTCAAGCAATGACCGGAGTCACTTTAGGAGGATAGTTAGAGCATTTGGGGGGAAATGTTATAATTGTGGTCAAATCGGTCATCTAAAAAAGAACTGCCCAGTCTTAAATAAACAGAGTAAAAATAAAGAGCCACCTGGCCTGTGTCCAAGACATGGAAAAGGAAAACATTGGGCTAATCAATGTCGTTCTAAATATGATAAAAATGGGCAACTATTGTCAGAAAAAGGGGTGAGGGGCCAGCCTCAGTCCCAACAACAAACTGGGGCATTCCCGATTCAGCCGTTTGTTCTTCAGGGTTTTCAGGGACAGCAACCACCACAGCAAATACCACCACTTCAGGGAATCAGCCAATTACAACAATACAACAGCTGTCCCCCGCCACAGCAGGCAGCACAGCAGTAGATTTATGTTCCACTCAAAAGGTTTCTTTACTCCCTGGAGAGACCCCGCAAAAGATTGCTACAGGGGTATATGGCCCACTGCCAGGAGGGACAGTAGGCCTCATTTTAGGGAGATGAAGTCTAAATTTGAAGGGAGTCCAAATTCATACTGGGGTAATTGATTCAGATTATAAAGGGGAAATTCAGTTAGTGATCAGCTCCACTGTTCCCTGGAGTGCCAATCCAGGTAATAGAATTGCTCAATTATTGCTTTTGCCTTATATTAAAATTGGGGAAAATAAAACGGAAAGGACAGGAGGGTTTGGAAGTACCAACTCTGCCGGAAAAGCCACTCACTGGGCTCGTCAGGTCTCAGAGAATAGACCTGTGTGTACAGTCACTATTCAGGGAAAGCAGTTTATAGGATTAGTGGATACCGATGCTGATGTTTCCATTATCGCCTTAAATCAATGGCCAAAAAATTGGCCTAAACAAAAGCCTGTTACAGGACTTGTCGGTGTGGGCAGCGCCTCAAAAGTGTATCAAAGCACCATGATTTTACATTGTCTAGGACCTGATAAACAAGAAAGTACAGTTCAACCTATGATTACTTTTATTCCAATTAATTTATGGGGCCGAGACTTGTTACAACAATGGCATGCAGAGATGACTATCCCAGCCTCCTTATACAGCCCCACGAGTCAAAAAATCAGACTAAAATGGGGTATCTCCCTGGCAAAGGACTAGGGAAAAATGGAGATGGCATTAAAATCCCAATTGAGGCTGAGGGAAATCAAGAAAGAAAAGGAATAGGATATCCTTTTTAGGAGTGGCCACTGTAGAGCCCCCAAAACCCATTCCATTAACTTGGAAAACAGAAAAACCTGTATGGGTAAATCAGTGGCTGCTACCAAAACAAAAGCTGGAGGCTTTACACTTACGGGCAAAAGAACAATTAGCAAAGGGACATATTGAGCCTTCATTTTCGCCTTGAATTCTCCTGTGTTTGTAACTCAGAAAAAATCCAGCAGATGGCACATGTTAACCGACTTAAGAGCCGTCAATGCTGTAATTCAACCTATGGGGGCTCTCCAACCTGGGTTGCCCTCTCTGGCCATGATCCCCAAAGATTGGCCTTTAATTATAATTGATCTGAAGGATTGCTTTTTTACCATTCCTCTAGCAAAACAGGATTTTGAAAAATTTGCTTTTACTATACCAGCCATAAATAATAAAGAACCAGCCACCAGGTTTCAGTGGAAAGTGTTGCCTCAGGGAATGCTTAATTGTCCAACTATTTGTCAGATTTTTGTAGCTGAAGCTCTTCAACCAGTTAGAGACAAGTTTTCAGACTACGTCTTTCATTATGTTGATGATCTTTTGTGTGCTGCAGAAACGAGAGACACATTAATTGACTGTTACACATTTCTGCAGACAGAGGTTGCAAACTCAGGACTGACAATAGCATCTGATAAGATTCAAACCTCTACTCCTGTCCATTACTTGGGAATGCAGGTAGAGGAAAGAAAATTTAAACAACAAAAAATAGAAATAAGAAAAGACATTAAAAACATTAAACGACTTTCATAAATTGCTAGGAGATATTAATTGGATTTGGTCAACTCTAGGCATCCTTACTTATGCCATGTCAAATTTGTTCTCTATCTTGAGTGGGGATCCAGAATTGAATAGTAAAAGAACATTAACTCCAGAGGCAACTAAAGAAATTGAATTAATTGAAGAAAAAATTCGGTCAGCACAAGTAAATAGAATAGATCACTTCACCCCACTCCAACTTTTGATTTTTGCTACTGCACATTCTCAACAGGCATTATTGTTCAAAATACAGATCTTGTGGAGTGATCTTTCCTTCCTCACAGTACGATTAAGACTTTTACATTGTACTTGGATCAAATGGCTACATTAATTGGTCAGGCAAGATTACAAATAATAAAATTGTGTGGAAGTGACCCAGATAAAATCATTGTTCCTTTAAACAAGGAAGAGTTTAGACAAGGCTTTATCAATTCTGCTGCATGGCAGATTGCTCTTGCTGATTTTGTGGGAATTATTGATAACCATTACCCAAAAACAAAAATCTTCCAGTTTTTAAAATTGACTACTTGAATTTTACCTAAAATTACCAGACATAAACCTTTAGAAAATGCTCTGACTGTGTTTACTGATGGTTCCAGCAATGGAAAAGTGGTTTACACCAGGCCGAAAGAACGAGTCATTGAAAATCAGATTCTGCATATGTAGTACAGCTACAAAGGATGTTGAGACAGCCCTAACCAAATATAGTATGGATGATCAGTTAAACCAGTCCTTTTATTTGTTACAACAAATTGTAAGAAAAAGAAATCTCCCATTTTATATTACTCATATATGAGCACATACTAATTTACCAAGGCCTTTAACTAAAGCAAATGAACAAGCTGACTTGCTAGCATCATCTGCATTCATAGAAGCACAAGAACTTCATGCTTTGACTCATGTAAATGCAACAGGACTAAAAAATAAATTTGATATCACATGGAAACAGGCAAAAAATATTGTACAACATTGCACCCAGTGTCAAGTCCTACACCTGCCCACTCAGGAGGCAGGAGTTAATCCCAGAGGTCTATGTCCTAATGCATTATGGCAAATGGATGTCACACATGTACCTTCATTTGGAAAATCATCGTTTGTCCATGTGACAGTTGATTCTTATCTGCATGTTGTATGGGCAACCTGCCAGACAGGAGAAAGTACTTCCCATGTTAAAAGACATTTATTATCTTGTTTTGCTGTCATGGGAGTTCCAAAAAAAAATTAAAACACGTAATGGGCCAGGATACTGTAGTAAAACATTTTAAAAATTGTGAAATCAGTGACAAATTACACATACAACAGGAATCCCCTATAATTCCCAAGGACAGGCCATAATTGAAAGAACTAATAGAACACTCAAAGCTGAATTGGTGAAACAAAAAAAGGAAAAAGACATTAAGGAGTATAACACTCCCCAGATGCAACTTAATTTAGCACTCTATACTTTAAATTTTTTAAACATTTATAGAAATCAGACCACTACTTCTGCAGAGCAACATTTTACTGGTAAAAAGAACAGCCCACATGAAGGAAAACTGATTTGGTGGAAAGACAACAAAAATAAGACAAGGGAAATAGGGAAAATGATAACATGGGGGAGAGGTTTTGCTTGTGTTTCACCAGGAGAAAATCAGCTTCCTGTTTGGATACCCACTAGACATTTAAAGTTCTACAATGAACCCATCGGAGATGCAAAGAGAAGCGCCACCACGGAGATGGAAAACCCGCAATCGAGCATCATCGACTCACCGGGTGAACAAAATGGTGATATCAGAAGAACAGATGAAGCTGCCATCCACCAAGAAAGTGGGGCCACTGACCTGGGCCCAATTAAAGAAGCTGACACAGTTAGCTGAAAAAAGCCTGAAGAACAAAAAGGGTAACACAAACTCCAGAGAACATGCTGCCTGCAGCTTTGATGATTGTATCAACGGTGGTAAGTCTCCCTGTGACTGCAGGAGCAGCCACAACTAATCATACTTACCGGGACTGTGTGCCTTTCCCGCCCTTAATTCAGGCAGTCACATGGATGGATAATCCTATTGAAGTATATGTTAATAATAGTGCATGGGTACCAGGCCTCACAGATGATCGTTGCCCTGCCCAACCTAAAAAAGAATTGATGATAAATATTTCCACTGGGTATCATTATCCTCCTATTTGCCAAGGGAAGGTGCCAGGATATTTAATGCCTACAACCCCAAATTGGTTGGTAGAAGTACCTACTGTCAGTGCCACCAGTAGATTTACTTATCACATAGTAAGTGGGATGTCACTCGGGCCACAGATAAAATAATTTACAGGACTCTTCTTATCAAAGATCATTAAAATTTAGGCCTAAGGGGAAGCCTTGCCCCAAGAAAATTCCCAAAGAATCAAAAGGCCCAAAAGTTTCAGTTTGGGAAGAATGTGTGGCTGATACTGCGGTGGTATTACAAAACAATGAATTTAGAACTATTATAGACCGGGCCCCTCGAGGCCAATTTTATTATAATTGTACAGGCCAGACTCTCTCATGTTCACAGCCCCATCCATCTGGCCCATTAATCTGGCCTATGAGAGTGATTTAACTGAAAGGCTGGATCAGGTTTATAGAAAGTTACAATCACCCTATCCATGGAAATGGGGTGAAAAGCGAATTTCATCACCTCGACCAAAGTTAGTTAGTCCTGTTACTGGTCCTGAACATCCAGAATTATGAAAGCTTACTGTGGCCTCACACCACATTAGAATTTGGTCTGAAAATCAAGCTATAGGAACAAGAGATCGTAAGCCATATTATACTATTAACTTAAATTCCAATCCGACAATTCCTTTGCAAAGTTGTGTAAAACCCCCTTATATGCTAGTTGTAGGAAACATAGTTATTAAACCAGATTCCCAAACTATAACCTGTGAAAACAGTAGATTGTTTACTTGCATTGATTAGACTTTTGATTGGCAGCACCGTATTCTGCTGGTGAGGGCAAGAGAGGGCATGGGGATCCCTGTGTCCATGGACTGACAGTGGGAGGCTTCCCCATCTGTCCATATTTTAACAGAAGTATTGAAAGGAGTTCTAACTAGATCCAAAAGATTCTTTTTTACTTTGATTGCAGTGATTTTGGGTCTTATTGCAGTCACAGCTACTGCTGTGGCTGCTGGAATTGCTTTACACTTCTCTGTTCAAACTGCAGAATATGTAAATAATTGGCAAAAGAATTCCTCAAAATTGTGGAATTCTCAGACCCAAATAGATCAAAAATTGGCAAACCAAATTAATGATCTTAGACAAACTGTCATTTGGATGGGAGATAGGCTCATGAGCTTGGAATATCTTTTTCAGTTACAGTATGACTGGAATATGTCAGATTTTTGTATTAAACCCCAAGCGTATAATGAGTCTGAGCATCACTGGGACATGACGCCAACTACAAGGAAGAGAAGATAATCTTACTTTAGATATTTTAAAATTAAAAGAACAAGTTTTTGAGGCATCAAAAGCCCATTTAAATTTGGTGCCAGAAACTGAGGCAATCATGAAAGTTGCTGATGGCCTCACAAATCTTAACCCTGTCACTTGGGTTAAAACCATCAGAAATTCAACTGTTGTAATTTCATATTA
Organism: Homo sapiens; assembly: GCF_000001405.40. NCBI lineage: Eukaryota > Metazoa > Chordata > Mammalia > Primates > Hominidae > Homo > Homo sapiens. The sequence goes on from NC_000001.11 coordinate 13,215,391, forward strand.
ATCCTGGTATATCTGTTTTGTCTGTTGTTAGTCTACAGGTGTATCCAGCAGCTCCAAAGAGAGAGCGACCAGTGAGAACGGGCCATGATGATGATGGCGGTTTTCTCAAAAAGAAAAGGGGGATATGTAGGGAAAAGAAAGAGAGATCAGACGGTTACTGTGTCTATGTAGAAAAGGAAGACATAAGAAATTTCATTTTTATCTGTACCCTGAACAATTGCTTTGCCCTGAGATGCTGTTAATTTGTAACTTTAGCCCCAACCTTGAGCTCACAGAAACATGTGTTGTATGGAATCGAGGTTTAAGGGATCTAGGGCTGTGCAGGATGTGCCTTGTTTACAAAATATTTACAGGCAGTGTGCTTGATAAAAGTCATCGCCGTTCTTCATTCTCAAGTAACCAGGGGCACAATGCACTGTGGAAAGCCGCAGGGACCTCTGCCCTGGAAAGCCAGGTATTGTCCAAGGTTTCTCCCCATGTGATAGTCTGAAATATGACCTCATGGGATGGGAAAGACCTGACCGTCCCCAAGCCTGACACCCGTGAAGGGTCTGTGCTGAGGAGGATTAGTAAAAGAGGAAGGCTTCTTGCAGCTGAGATAAGAGGAAGGCCTCTGTCTCCTGCCTGCCCCTGGGAATGCAATGTCTTGGTATAAATCCCGATTGTACATTTGTTCCATTCTTTGATAGGAGAAAAACCGCCTTGTGGCAGGAGGTGGGACATGTTGGGAGCAATGCTGCTTTGTTACTCTTTACTCCATTGAGATGTTTGGGTGGAGAAAAGCATAAATCTGGCCTATGTGCACATCCAGGCATAGAACCTTCCCTTGAACTTATTTGTGACACAGATTCCTTTGCTCACATGTTTTCTTGCTGACCTTCTCCCCTCTATCACCCTGCTCTCCTGCCACGTTCCCCTTGATGAGATAGTGAAAACAGTAATCAATAAAAACTGAGAAAACTCAGAGACCAGTGCTAGTGCAGGTCCTCCGTATGCTGAGCGCCGGTCCCCTGGGCCCAATTTCTTTCTCTATACTTTGTCTCTGTGTCTTATTTCTTTCCTCAGTCTCTCATCCCACCTGAGGAGAAGTAACCACAGGTGTGGAGAGGCTGGCCCCACTTCAAGTGTATAGAATTCTGGTGTGGCATGTCCCATCAGGTTACTTAAGGGTGCATGTCCCCTGCCTGAACCCTGAAGGCCAGGTGGGAAGCCAAGTCTCTTGTGCCCAGCCAAGAAGCAGGTGTCCCCGAGAACCCAAACATCCCAGACAGTATCTGAGAACCTACCAGGCAGAAGAGGCTGATTGCTCAAAATCAGTGGACAAAGAGCCAGAAAATTCACTTAAAAGCAGTTTAGAGACAGGAGGTGGCACAGATCTTTGGGGCTGTGCTGCTGCTGCCCTGGAGTGCCCTGCATGTGAATCCTAATCAACTCATTATTTGCCAAGCTGGGCTCATCTGAGTCATCCTTTGATCTCTTGGCTCCTTTCCGGTTTGGCGGGGAAAATGATACGGCCCTGGTTTTTCTCAGAGCAAGCGTGTTTTGGAATCGCACATCCTTCGAGGGCAGATAATAGTCAAGTGCCTGTGGGTGATGAGTGACTTTCCCTATGGTGAGAAACCCTACACAAAGGGCATCTGAGTGAGGACCCTGCTGGGGACTCAGGTGAGAAATCCTACACGAAGGACATCCGAGTGAGGACCCTGCTCAGGACTCAGATGAGAAACCCTACAAAAAGGGCATCCGAGTGAGGACCCTGCTCAGGACTCAGATGAGAAACCCTACACAAAGGACATCCAAGTGAGGACCCTGCTGAGGGCTCAGGTGAGAAACCCTACACAAAGGACATCCGAGTGAGGACCCTGCTCAGGACTCAGATGAGAAACCCTACACAAAGGACATCCGAGTGAGGACCCTGCTCAGGACTCAGATGAGAAACCCTACACAAAGGGCATCCAAGTGAGGACCCTGCTGAGGACTCAGGTGAGAAACCCTACACAAAGGACATCCGAGTGAGGACCCTGCAGAGGATTCAGATGAGAAACCCTACACAAACGGCATCCAGGTGAGGACCCTGCTGAGGACTCAGGTAAGAAACCCTACACAAAGAGTATCTGAGTGAGGACCATGCTGAGAACTCAGGGCCTGGTGTTGTTGGGCAGGAACCTTGGGCGAGAGCCTCAGTTTTCCTGAAAAATGAGGATGATGATGTCCACCACCTGTGTGACCCTGGTAGAATCGAATGAGATGGGGCAACTTAAGGGCTTGGCATAGGGCCTGGCATACAGGAAGAGTGAAATTAATGCATTTTTTCTACTTTTTCCCTCCCAGCAGAAGCCTCCATGATTATTCATCCCTCGTTCTGAAAACTAAAAATAAAATCCTAAGCTCCCCCTATGAACTGAACAGATTCCCTCTCGGCCAAGTGTACCCAGAGAAATCTTTAAAACTGAGTTCCTGGCCATGGCAGGATGGGAGGATAGACACGTCTCATTTTACTTCCTTCCTTTCATGGTTGAGACACAAAAACTGACCAGCATTCATGTTAAAATAGAGATTATAAGGCTGACTGAATTGACTATTTAGGGTAATAAGATACCAAGTTATATACAGGACCTAAGGTCTTACCAGGCAAGGGTTAAGTCAAGGGCCCCTACCCTTAAAAAATGAACTATATACTTTTTTTTTTTTTTTTTTTGAGGCAGCGTCTCGCTTTGTAGCCCAGGCTGAAGTGCAGTGGCATGATCTTGGCTCACTGCAACCTCTGCCTCCCAGGTTCAAGCAATTCTCCTGCCTCAGCCTCCCGAGTAGCTGGGATTACAGGTGCATGCCACCACACCTGGCTAATTTTTTGTATTTTTAGTACAGACAGGGTTTCACCATGTTGGCCAGGCTGGTCTTGACCTGCTGACCTCATTATCCACCCGCCTCAGCCTCCCAAAGTGCTGGGATTACAGGCAAGAGCCACTGTGCCCAGCTGAATGAACTATATTCTAACTGCCACAGGGTTTTTCTCTCTCTAGCAGCTGAACAAGCACTGGCCCTAAGATAAGCAATATTGAAATGATTGCAGCTCATCCATCCCAGATTCTGACTAACTGACCCCCTGTTCCACAAGCCATGACTCCAGCTTTGATTGGACAAGAGATTGATTCCAGTAACTTTCTGCTGATGAGAGGCCTCTGAGCATTGACTGCTTCTGGCCACTTGAAAGAGACTTAGCACGCGAGCGTCTTCATGTCCCTGATGAACCATTTGATATGGGGGGGTCTAGCTGCAATGCATTGAAACATGAAGTCTCGGCGCAGCACGGTGGCTCACGCCTGTAATCCCAGCACTTTGGAACACTCTGGGAGACCGAGGCGGCAGATCACCTGAGGTCAGGCGTTCCAGACCAGCCTGGCCAACATAGTGAAACCCTATCGCTACTAAAAATAGAAAAAGTGGGCCAGGCGCGGTGGCTCACGCCTGTAATCCCAGCACTTTGGGAGGCCTAGGAGGGCGGATCACAAGGTCAGGAGATCGAGACAATCCTGGTTAACACAGAGAAACCCCGTCTCTACTAAAAATACAAAAATTAGCTGGGCGTGGCGGCGTGTGCCTGTAGTCCGAGCTGCTGGGGAGGCTGAGGCAGGAGAATGGCGTGAACCCGGGAAGTGGAGCTTGCAGTGAGCAGAGATTGCACCACTGCACTCCAGCCTGGGTGACAGAGCAAGACTCCATCTCAAAAAAAAAAAAAAAAAAAAAAGTAGCCAGGTGTGGTGGCATGTACCTGTAGTCTCAGCTACTTGGCTGACACAGGAGAATCGCTTGAACCTGGGAGGTGGAGGATGCAGTGAGCTGATACGGTGCCATTGCAGTCCAGCCTGGGTGACATAGCAAGACTCTGTCTCAAAAAGAAAAAGAAATGTGAAGTCTCCACCCCAAAGTGAACATGGGACATAAGCCACATGAATGTTTATTCAGTATGCATGTGTTAGGCCCCCTTCAAGAATACTCATAGCCCATTTCATGACCTGTTGAGTGTGTATACTTGGCCAACCCACTCAGCATAAATTCCTGCCTCATCACTTCCTCCCTGGAAATACCAGTGAAGGATCTTTTCTGAAAGCTGCACTTTCGAGCCTGAGGCATGGCGAGCCTACAGGCCATAAGCTACAGAAATATATCCTTTTTTTCCTTTTTAAGTAGAGACAGGATTTTGCTTTGTTGCCCAGGCTAGAACTCCTTGGTTCAAGCAATCCACCCACATCGGCCTCCCAAAGTGCTGGAATTACAGGCGTGAGCCACCTTGCTTGGCCTATAGAATTATAGCTTTTTTTTTTTTTGAGAGGGAGTCTCACTCTTTGCCCAGGCTGCAGTGCAGCAGCACGATCTCGGCTCACTGCAATCTCCGCCTCCCGGGTTCAAGCGATTCTCCTTGACTCAGCCTCCTGAGTAGCTAGGATTACAGGCACGTGCCACCATGCCCAGCTAATTTTTGTATTTTTAGTAGAGACGGGGTTTCACCATGTTGGCCAGGATGGTCTCCATCTCTTGACCTCGTGATCCACCCGCCTTGGCCTCCCAAAGTGCTGGGATTACAGGCGTGAGCCACCACACCCGGCCTAGAAATATATGTTATAATAAAATAGAGCCATGTGTGGTGGCTCATGCCTGTAATCCCAATACTTTGTAAGGCTAAGATTGGAGCCCTGCCTGAGCCTGGCCGTTCTGGACCAGCCCGGGTAATATAGAGACACTCCAGTAACGTGAGACTCTAGCACATGTTGAGTGGGAGTGGTCACATGTGGATGCTCATCGCAGCACTATTCACAACAGCAAAGACATGGAATCCACTGGAATGCACATCAGTGGTGGACTGGATTAACAAAATATGGTACAGATACACCATGGAAACCTACACAGCTTGAAACAAGAACAAGATAATGCCCTTTCATTAAGTCCTCATCCTCCTTTTGCTGCAACACGGATGGAGCTAGAAGCCGTTATGCTAAGCAAACTAAAGCAGGCACAGAAAACCAAACACCACATGTTCTCACTTATAAATGAGAGCCAAATATTAAGTATACATGACATAATAATGGGAACAATAGACGCCCGGGACTACTGGAGAGTGGAGGGTGGAAGGGGAGTGGGTATCAACAAACTACCAAAACTGGCTGGACATGGTGGCTCACACCTCTAATCCCAGCACTGAGGCAGTGCACCATTTGAGGTCAGGAGTTCTCCATGTCCAACATGGTGAAACCCTGTCTCTACTAAAAATGCAAAAACTTAGCCTGGCGTGGTAATGCAAGTCTGTAGTCTCAGCTACTTGGGAGGCCGAGGCAGGAGAATTGCTTGACTCTGGGAGGCAGAGGTTGCAGTGAGCTGAGAGCATGCCACTACACTCCAGCCTGGGTGACAGAGTGAGACGCCACCTCAAAAAACAAACAAACAAACAAATAAACAAAAGCTACCAAAATTATTTATCTGATAGTTTGTCTATTATCTATAGAACAAACCTGCATCTGTATTCCTGGAACTAAAATACAAGTTTGAAAACCTGCGATTTTCAGTGATTGGTTAGAGACCTGACAAATAGCCATCACATTAGAGTCACCCACTAGATTTCTGCTTTGTCATTTTGGGGAGGTCACAGTTTCCTGTTTGCTCTAGTTTCTTGTAGATATAGATCTGTATTTTTGCACTGAAGGAAGAATGATTTACTCCAGTTTTCTCTGTCTGGCTTGCTTTGGTTTGGACTGAATACATTCCCTTAGTGAATCTTCACCACTAGGTTGCTGCTTCCTTCTTGGCTCCAGGTGGTGGCTTAAGCCCAGGTTTACCTAAGTTTTAGTAAACCACAAGAGTGCTGCCAGTCCCAAATGGGGAAAGTCCCAAAGGGATTCTCATGGCAGTGTAGGAGCGCTAGCTAGGTCAAGCCCAGGTTTTCCTGTTTTTTGATAAGGAGAGAAGGGAGGTGTGATAGGAAGATCTCTCATTGAAATGAGTTAGTTTCCAAAAGGATGTATATTTCCATTAATATGGGCTGGAAATATTTAGAATGTATTATCCACCTAAATGATTTTAGCATTATTCTAAGAGAAATTGGATATCTTTACTGGACACAATCACTTTAATTCAGTAAACCCCACTAGTCACCATGAGGACAGGTCAGTGCCCTGGTTTTCCCGTTTTTTGATAAGGAGAGAAGGGAGGTGTTACAGGAAGATGTCTCATTGAAATGAGTTAATTTCCAAAAGGATGCATATTGATGTGGGCTAGAAATATTTAGAATGTGTCATCTACCTAAATGATTTTACTATTCTTCTAAGAGAAATTGGACATCTTTACTACACACAATTATGTTAATTCAGTAAAACCCACTAGCCACCATGAGGACAGGCAAGTGTTGGTGATGCCATGAGGCTCCCGCTAGTACACACTATGGCCATTCCCTCCCAAGGCAGGGGGCCGCACCTTGTGCAGTGAAGCCCTTTCCTGACATGGCCAATGATCAGGAACAGATTCTCCCAGATCTGCCCATTAGGAGTGAGCAGGGTCTCGGTATCTGGGGAGCAGTGAGGGCCCCTGACAAGAAGAGGGTTGACTCAATGGTTCATCATCACTGCCCACATAGAATGTTCCAGGTCCCAGGCATGCATCTTTTGTGGATGAACCCAGTAAATAACCACAGGAGAAAGTAAGGAAGAGATGACTGGAGAGGTAAAGAATGGGCATAAATTAATCAAAGTTTAGGCTAGGCACGTTGGTTCACGCCTGTAATCCTAGCACTTTGGGAGGCTTCCTTGAGGTCACCTGAGGTTAGGAGTTTGAGACCAGTCAGGCCAACATCGTGAAACCCCGTCTCTTCTAAAAACACAAATTCCCTTGAACCTGGGAGTTGGAGGTTGCAGTGAGCCAAGATCACACCACTGCACTCCAGCCTAGGTGACCAAGCAAGACTCCGTCAAATAAACAAAACAAACAAACAAAACAGGTCAGGCTCTGTGGCTCATGCCTGTAATCCTAGCACTTTGGGAGGCCAAGGTGGGCAGATTACCTGAGGTCAGGAGTTCGAGACCAGCCTGATCAACATGGAGAAATGCCGTTTCTAATAAAAATACAAAATTAGCTGGGCATGGTGGCGCATGCCTGTGATCCCAGCTACTCGGGAGGCTGAGGCAGGAAAATCGCTTGAACCCAGGAGGCGGAGGTTGTGGTGAGCCAAGATCATGCCATTTCACTCCAGCCTGGGCAACAAGAGCGAATCTCCGTCTAAAACAAAACAAAAAAAAAAGAAAAAAAAACCACAACGACAACATGAAGTTTATTTTGATTCCTTTATTTCCTGCAGATGAACCTAAATCACAGATGAACTAGTACCTCTTTTTTTAATTCATCAGGAACTAAAGATTTCTGATGTATAAATTGCTGAAACAGGCTAATCAATCATGAAGGACAGCAGAGAGTTTCCATTTAGGTTCCCTCTACTTCCGACGTTTCTTTGTATCCATCCTTGCTGAGATAACTCCCTCACTCTAGAACTTCAGCTTTCTATTTCTGACTGTCTAGGACACAGATCCCTGAGTCTCAGTGACTCCATTCAACTTTTTCCCCAGTGCTGCCCCCTGCTGGGATTTTTTGTTTTTTGTTTTCCACTCACAGAAAGCACATGCCTGAAACAGAGGTTTCTCTGTTCCCTTTATAATACACCTATAGACCCGGCACAGCTGCTTATGCCTGTAATCCCAGAATCTTGGGAGGCCAAGCAGGGGGCTCCCTTAAGCGTAAGAGTTTGAGACCAGCCTGGACAACATAGGGAAACCCTGTTTCAAATTTTTAAATAAAAGCTGTAAAATTGTAAAATAAGGAAAAAGAAAAATAAAAGACATCTATGTCCCAGATTTTAGTTTCCAAGTGCCTGGAGAAAAAGCTTTTTATACCTCCACCCCACTAGGCAGGCCTTCCCCACAAGCAAAAATTGGACTCCAGTTGCTCAGTGGGCGACGTGCCACAGCAAGGGCAGGACACCGGACCAAAGAAGATCCTTTTGGGCTCCCTTACTTCCCTCAGTATACGCATCAGCTCAGCCTGAAGTGGGGTGAGGAGCTCCAAAATGACACGACCCCTGTTGTCAAGACTCTCCCGAGGGGCAGGATATGTTTCCAGGCTCAAATTGCTCAGCCTGCCTGTGTGGCGCAGCAGGTCCTTCAGAGCATCCATGGACGTGTCATTGCCGTGAAAACAGAAAGTGGTGAGGTTGGAGCAGCGGCTCAGGGCAGGCAGGATGACCCTGAGTTTGGAGTACCCAATCCCACAGTCCACTAAGAAGAGGGTCTGAAGAGTGGCAGCAACTTTCTCTAGCAGAGCTCGGAGGGGCTCAAGACGGATGAAGCGCAGTGCACCATGACTCAGATTCAGCTGCTTCAGTTGACTGAGACTTGGGTACCGGGGCAGGCATTTCAAGTCCTCTTCTTCTAGGAAGCCATAAGTTAATGCCAATGTCTCCAACGGGCTCCTGAGGCACCTGGGGAGAGCAAGAAGTTAGTACTGGGCAATGGCACCAGTTAGAGGACGGTGGTAGAAAATAACGTCAAGGGAAGAGCCTGTTTTGCCCAAACACAAGTTTGTTCTCATCATCTAATCATGGTCCTCCCGCAAGGTGCTGCCTGATGAGGACTTGGATCATTCAGAGGCAGTCCCATTTTAGGCTCAGTCCTTTCACCATCACTGGTGTGATTGGTTCAAGGCCATAAAATCTCTAAAGCCTCTTTTCTTCATCTTCCAGCAGAAAGCTTCATCTCTGGGCCACAGGAGCCCAGTGGAAGAGATGCCCAAAGAACTGACCTGAGCAAGGTCTAGGGACATCAGCTAGGGCTACCTGCTTTCAGAGGCTCCCTGACATGGCCACATCTGCAAACCACCTGTCACTTTGTACCACTCTCGTGCCTATTCCCTCACCTCCATCCCAGAAGCACGCATTTCCCATGTCACTTACCTTTCCTGGAGTTCAAAACAACCTTTTACAGACAGGGAATCAGAGAGAGGATCATTCATGTTCACTAAGCTGTGAGGACAGAGCTTCCTCTGTGAAACACACAGGTTTGGTGCACTTTCTCTTCTTTTACACCCTCCCCTCTGTTGCCTCTTTTTTATCATATTAACTTTAAACACACTTCCTAACAAGGAATTCCTAAAAGGAATTCACCCTCACTAGAGCTGAACCCTCCACTAACCAGCTCCCTACACGATGTCCCTCTCTGTAGCTTCTACCCCAGGTCATCCCTCTGCCCTTACTGGAGCGATCCTGTGATACCCACTTCAGGATATAGAGCACCAAACAGGACAATGCATTCTAGTGTCCCCTTCCCTAGACATCTCCAGTGGCTGGCACACAGTAGATGCTGATTGGTGTTTATTGTAACAAAAAAAGGCTGTGCTATGGCCCCCAGAGAAAGCTCACCATCCTTCCTCACCTGATCAGCTGGTCCAGGTGGCCTCTGAAGAAGCAGACCCTTCTTACATAAAGCATCTGGAGGTTCTCCAGCCTGAGGAGCACAGAGCTGAATTCAGCAACTAACTGTTCTTGGCTGTCAGAGCTTAGCAGGTAACGACAGCCATCAGAGATGAAGAGTTTGCGAAGATTCCTCATCTGGCTCAGGTAACGGCTAAACTCTACTATCATACACAGCCAGCACATGTTCCAAATTTCCAACACTTGGATACTGTCTGGGTATACTGTTTCCAATATGTTTCTGAAATTTAGAATGCTCATTGAATAATTCACCACCTTAGTACAGCACAGGTGTACTGAACCTCTTCTGTGCTGCACCCACCCAGAGAAGAAGCTCAGATCTTCATCCATGAATTTTTCCTTGAGGCAAACATCCATGAACACCTTCAAGGGCTGCTTCTCTCCTGTCCTTGGACAGTCCTCCACTGTCTGTCTCTTACTCATGGCCTCTGGGGAGCAGGACAGGAGCCTGGCTCCAGACCATATGGTCCAAAAATTCTCATCAACATCCCGCATTTCCAGCACTTGAAGTTTCCACCTCCTGTGAGTAACATAGGGGAAAAGCTCAGAACGTAGACAAGGACCCACCCCTGACCTGGGCTTTCACTCCACATCAAGGACTTCAGCTGCTTTTTTCCTCAGCGCCCCTCCTTCTGTCTCTTCTCCATCCCTTTCCCCCTTGGATTCTGCCTGGTACCCACTTCTAGTGCCTTTACCTTCCACTGGGAGCAGGCAGGTTCCTGTTTCCTCAGTGGACCCTGTATGGTGAGCAGTCCTTTCCCAGAGGAGCTGGGCAATAGCCAAGAACGTTCCCAGCTTTCTCACTGGCACCATCAGAAGCCCCTGGGCCACCCCGGGTTCCCAATTTGTCTGACCCAGCTGTTTAGTCCCTGGACACCTGGGCCCTCCCCACCTGGGTCACCTCACCTGGGGCGAACCTTTTGGGCAAGCAGGCAATCAATCCCATCCACTACATAATGTAAGATCTCCAGATCAGGCGTCTTCATCAGGGACCCCAGAGGGAGGCAGGGGAAGGGCCAGGCCTGCACCATCACCTTCAGAACCTCGCAGCGTCTGCTAGTGAAGGCCTCCACGAACAGTGGGGGGAAGAGCTCCCTGGGCAGCTCATCCAGGACGGAGATGGCCAAGGCCTGGTCCCTCAGCAGGCTCTGCCCTGCCAGCTCCAGGAGTCTGCGTGGGGCCTGGAAGCTCATCCTGATAAATCTGCAAGAAAACAAATCCAGAGAAGACAAACTTATCAGGCCAGTCCTCTCACACCCTGACTTCTCCTGGGCCAAAAGTCACTACTCTGGCAGGTGTGAAAGTCCTTAGTTTACCCCAATTCGACTCTGCAATAATTGGCCACAGAGACATAGTTCTGCCCTTCTGGTACCAAGAAGAGTGTCTCCCAACCTCCAAGGAACGGGCAAGATCACTCCTACTCCATGAATTTTCATTAATTTCTCCACCCAACTCTATTAGCTCTGGGAAGTGTTACCAAGAATCTTCAAAGCTCAGCTCCTTTTTTGAGAAAAAAATGTCTTCTCAATTTAAGGATCTAAAGCAATGGTCATGTGGCTGGGCTTGGTGGCTCACAACTGTAGTCCCAGCACTTTGGAGGCCAAGGCGGGTGGCTCACTTGAGGTCAGGAGTTAGAGACCAGCCTGGCCAACAAGGTGAAACCCAGTCTTTACTAAAAACACAAAAAGTAACCAGGCATGGTGGCAGGTGCCTGTAACTCCAGCTACTCGGGAGGCTGAGGCACAAGAATCACTGGAACCCAGGAGGCGGAGGTTGCAGTGAGCTCAGACAGTGCCACTGCACTCCAGCCTGGGCAATAGAGCGAGACTCAGTCTCAAAAAAATAAATAAATAAAATAAAACAATAAAACAATGGTAATGGGAGTCTCCTGTGGCCCCAAACAGTCTACAGTCTCAGTTCCCACAGTGAACTTGGCTGGGAGAGACTAAAGGGATATTTTTAATTAGACACCATTATGTTCACTTTCAAAAGAGTAATGAGGGGCCACACATGGAGGCTCACAGCTGTAATTCCAACACTTTGGCAAGCCAAGGCAGAACAATCACTTAAGCCCTGGAGTTGCTGACCAGCCTGGGCTACATAGTGAGACCCTGTCTCTCCAAAAAAATACAAAAAATAGATGGATGTGATGGCGCACACCTGTAGTCCCAGCTGCTCTGCAGGCTGAGGTGGAAGGATGGCTTGTGTCTGTGAAGCAGAAGTTACAGTGATCTGAGACTCTGCCACTGTACCCCTAGCCTGGGCAGAACAGCAAGACTCTGTCTTAATAAAATAAATAAATAAATAAAATATTACCCACTTTGGAATGGAGTCTAGAGAAACAAATGGATCCCACATTCAGAACAAAGACTCCATTCTTGAAAATGGTGTATGAGACCAGTCATGTTGGCTCATGCCTGTAATCCCAAGACTTTAGGAGGCAAAGTGGGAGGTTTGCTTGAATCTAGGTGTCCCAGACCAGCCTAGGTAACAAACCAAGACCTCATCACTATAAAAAATAATAATAATAGGCCTGGCACGGTGGCTCACACCTGTAATCTCAGCACTTTGTGAGACTGAGGCGGGCAGATCGCCTGAGTTTGGGAGTTTAAGACCAGCCTGGCCAACATAGTGAAACCCTATCTCTATTAAAAATACAAAAATTAGCCAGGTGTGGTGGCACACACCCACAGTCCCAGCTACTTGGGAGGCTGAAGCAGGAGAATCACTTGAACCCGGGAAGCAGAATTTGCAGTGAGCCAAGATCATGCCTCTGCACTCGAACCTGGGCAACAGAGTGAGACTCTCTCTCAAAAAAAAAAAAAAAAGAAAAAAACAAAATCAAAAAAATTAGCCAGTTATACTAGTGCATGCCTGAATTCCAGCTATTCAGAAGGCTAGAACTTCTGAGTAGGGAGGATGGCTTGAGCCCAGAAGGCAGAGGTTGCAGTGAGTCGAGATCACAATACTGCATTCCACCAAGAATGACGCAGGAAGACAATGTCTCAAAGAAAAAAAAAAAAAGACTTCAGTCAATTGCATTATTTTTCAACTGCTTGATTTGGAACTCTGAAGCTGGGCATGGTGGCTCACACCTATAATCCCAGCACTTTGAGAGGCCTAGGTGGGCAGATCACGAGGTCAGGTGTTCGAGACCAGCCTGGCCAACATGGTGAAACCCTGTCTCTACTAAAAATACAAAAATTAGCCGGGCATGGTGGTGGGCACCTGTAATCCCAGCTACTCAGGAGGCTGAGGCAGGAGAATTGCTTGAACTTAGGAGGCAGAGGTTGCAGTGAGCCGAGACCTCATCATTGCACTCCAGCCTGGGTGACAGAGCAAGACTCCATCTCAGAAAAAAAAAAAAAAAACATTTGAAATGACATAAACTAAACACAAATAAAATATTTGGAGTGAAGAGATAAAACTGCATTAGAGAAAAAATTAAAGCCTACATCTGTTCATCTGAAAAACAGGCAAGAAAATTCTCTGTGCCACCTTGGCCTTCATGTCGCCCTCTACTGGCTGACTGTGGGTCATAGGAGTGCCCTTGTGAAGGTACCTGACTTACCAGATCTGGACTCACTTTGCAGTCTGCTCGGACCTCTTGGAGAATCAAGCAATAACTCCAGGTACCACAGCTTGGGGTTTCTTCTGTGGATGTTCACAAGCTTTCTTGGACCTTTCTGTTTTTTTGAGATGGAGTTTTGCTCTTGTTGCCCAGTTTGGAGTAAAATGGCGTGATCTCGGCTCACCGCAACCTCCACCTCCTGGATTCAAGTGATTCTCCTGTCTCAGCCTCCAAAGTAGCCGGAATTACAGGCATGCGCCACCACACCTAGCTAATTTTGTATTTTTAGCAGAGATGGTGTTTCACCATATTGGCCAGGCTGGTCTTGGGAACTCCTGACCTCATGACCCACCCTCCCCCTCAGCCTCCCAAAGTGCTGGATTACAGGCATGAGCCACGGCTCCCAGCAACTTTCTTGGACTTTCCTAATCCCACCTCCTTTATCAACTTCCAGATTCCTATCAGAAAGTGATGCCTGATGGGATTTCTGAATTCCACCCAGTTAAGCCTGATTGAAGTTTTGGCTTTCTGCAGAATAATGGATTGAATCAGATATCCAATCATGAAACTGAAAGCACTGTAATTAGGGTGGAAGTCAAGAACTCATTTTGATGATTTTGATGTCACCAAAGAACTCCCAACCATAATATTTTCCGGTTTTGCTTTTCTGTCTAATCTCAGGAATAGGTTGAACCCTTCCCTGTCTTCCACTCAGGACTAGGAAGGTCACATATTACTACCACTCCATCTCTGCTTCTGGAGGGCATTAATGAGTGAATTCTTGACTTCCACCCTAACAAACACTGATGGAATTTACCAGTATGTGACCTTCTTTGTCCTGAGTGTGAGACAGGGAACTCTCACTCTGTTCCTGACATTAGAGAGAAAAACAAAACCTAAAAAGATTAATGTTGGGGAAATCTTTGGCCCCATCAAAATTATCAAAATGGGCCAGGCGCGGTAGCTCATGCCTGTAATCCCAGCACTTTGGGAGGCCCAGGCGGTGGATCACGAAGTCAGGAGATCGAGACCATCCTGGCCAACATGGTGAAACCTTGTCTCTACTAAAAATACAAAAATTAGCCGGGTGTGGTGGTGGGCGCCTGTAGTCCCAGCTACTCAGGAGGCTGAGGCAGGAGAATCACTTGAACCCAGGAGGCGGAGGTTGCAGTGAGCCAAGATCATGCCACTGCACTGCAGCCTAGGTGACAGAGAGAGACTCTGCCTCAAAAAGCAAAACAAAACAAAATTATAAAAGGTTTCAGCCAGGCACTGTGGCTCACACCTATAATCCCAGCACTTTGGGAGGCTGAGGCGGGTGGATCACGAGGTCAGGAGATCGAGATCATCCTGGCTAACACTGAAACCCTGTCTCCACCAAAAATACAAAAAATTAGCCAGGCATGGTGGTGGGTGCCTTTATTCCCAGCTACTCCAGAGGCTGAGGCAGGAGAATGGCAAGAACCTGGGAGGCGGAGCTTGCAGTGAGCCAAGATCGCACAACTGCACTCCAGCCTGGGTGACAGAGCAAGACTCAGTCTCAAGATAAATAAATAAATAAATAAAAATAAAAATATTTCAGAGTTTAAACTTTATAAGCCAGGTGCGGTGGCTCAAGCCTGTAATCCTGGCACTTTGAGAGGACAAGGTAGGCAGATCATGAGGTCAGCAGTTCGAGACCAGCCTGGCAAATACGGTGAAACCCCGTCTCTACTAAAAATACAATAATTAGCTGGGCATGGTGGGATGCACCTCTAGTCCCAGCTACTCAGGAGTCTGAGGCAGAAGAATCACTTGAACCCGGGAGGTGGAGGTGGCAGTGAGCCAAGATCATGCCACTGCACTACACCCTGGGTGACAGAGGGAGACACCATCTCAAAAAAAAAAAAAAAATCAGTGAAGCATGGTGGCACACACCTGTGGTCCCAGCTACTCTGGAGGCTGAAATGGGAAGATCCATTTTTTGATCCCCACGATGCAGAGGTTGCAGTGAGCCTAGATCAATCTATTGCCCTCTGGGCTGAGCGACAGAGCCTGTATCAAAAACAAAAACAAACAAAACAAAAAACAGCTTCATGAAGGCAGTGGTTTTATCCCTACAAAATTGAATTTAAATGTTCGTGTATATATTGGTCATTTGGGATTTAAGTTACCCATATGAGGAAATCGTATGCTCATTTGTGTGGAAGAGAGGTACCACTAAGGGTGTGATTGGTCTCAAGATTTTGTTCCAGGTTTCTCTGGAGGAAATCAGGTAACAATTACAAAGAGAAGTAAGGGTGGTGGCTGGGCTGGGCTGGGTTGGGCTTAGTGTTCCAATGGGACCTTGAGATTGAACCAAGGCATGGTCAATGTGTTGGGTTTTTGTGGGCATGAGGGAGACTCTTTCCAACATTGGCCAATGCCACCTTAACTGTGATCCTTATGGCCAAGGAGGATGCCTTCAGAACCACTTATGTAATCCTCCTTATTTTTCCTTTCAAAACCCTTGTCTTCCTTGACCTCCCTGAATAGTCTCACACCTATTCCCATTGCTTTGCTCATTTCATAAGAAAAAAATCCTTTTTTACTGAGTCTCTTTCTCTGTCTGTTAAGTACACCATATTTTTGTTGACACACAGATGAGTAACCCAGTTTTAGGGTGAGAAAGGGTCAAAGGATCCCATTCTCCACCAGTCGGAGGTAATGGGACGGTCATGGTTATTCTTCATCATAGCTACGTCTGCACATTGCCAGTGAAATCCTGCAGATCGGCCAGGCTTGGTGGCTCACACTTGTAATCCCAACACTTTAGGAGGCCAAGTCGGGAGAATCACCTAAGGCCAGGAGTTCAAGACCAGCCTGGCCAACATGGTGAAACCCCATCTCTACTAAAAAATATATACATATATATAAATTAGCCAGGTGTGTTGGGGCATGCCTGTAATCCCAGCTGCTTGGGAGGCTGAGGCAGGAGAATTGCTTGAACAAGGGAGGTGGACATTGCAGTGAGCCAAGACTGCACCATTGCACTCCACCCTGGGTGACAGAGTGAGACTCCATCTCAAAAAAGCAAAAACAAAAACAAAAACCTGCAAATCACAGTTGGCGGGCTTCCAAACCAACCATCTGGGGAAGGGCTTAGGATTCATGGCTTACATCCTGTCCCTGAGTAAATCATCTGATCATGAGCTTCTCAAACTCTTCAAGTACTGACAAAGGCTTCACCTTCTGACATTGAGAAGGACGCTGATTTGATTTTGATCATGAAGTTTAACTGTCTTGCACTTCAAGCATTTTGGCCTGTTCATTGTCAACCTTGGTCAATGATTGTAACCTCTGTGTTGTACCCATCACTGAAGGACAACTCAGCTATGAGGAGTCCCACTGCCTTCTACACTCTCTCATGAAAGCATTCCAACTTATAATAGACTTTGGAACACACCCACTTTGTTGCTGTATGTTCCTGGGTCAATTCTCACATTCAGCTTCCAATAAACTTGTATCAAATTATTTCTCCCTCAACAGCCTTAATTTCCATTGACACCAGATTGTGTGATTGTGGTTTAAATTGGGATAGAGGAGCAAGCATGGTGGTTAACACCAGTAATCCCAGCATTTGGAAAGCCAAAGTGGGCAGATTGTTGAGTCCAGGAGTTCAAGACCAGCCTGGGCAATGTGGCAAAACCTCATCTCTACAAAAAATACAAAAATTAGCTGGGCATGGTGGCATGCACCTGTACTCTCAGTGACTTGGGGGGCTGAGGTGGAAGGATCACTTGAGCCCAGGAGGCAGAGGTTGCAGTGAGCTGAGATCTGCCACTGCACTCCAGCCTGGGTGACAGAGTGAGAACCTGTCTTATAAATAAATGAATAAATAAATAAATAAATAAATAAATAAGGCTGGGCACAGTGGCTCACACCTGTAATCCCAGCACTTTGGGAGGTCGAGGTGGGTGGATCACCTGAGGTCGGGAGTTCAAGACCAGCCTGACCAACATGGAGAAACCCCATCTCTACTAAAAATACAAAATTAGCCGGGCGTGGTGGCACATGCCTGTAATCCCTGCTACTAGGGAGGCTGAGGCAGGAGAATCGCTTGAACCAGGGAGGCAGAGGTGTGGAGCTGAGATCACACCAATGCACTCCAGCCTGGGCAACAAGAGTGAAACTCCATCTCAAAAAAAATAAAATAAAATAAATACATAAATAAATAAATGTAGGAAGAAAAAGTATTTTAATGAATTAGATGAAGTAGCCATTGCATGCTATCTCCATTAAAGGATAAGTAGGTTCCTCTACAAAATGCCCTGATTATTGATGCATCTAATAAACCAAACTATTGGCCGGGCGCAGTGGCTCACGCCTGTAATCCCAACACTTTGGGAGGCCAAGGTGGATGGATCACTAGGGCTCAGGAGTTTCAGACCAGCCTGGCCAACATGGCAAAACCTCGTCTCTACTGAAAATACAAAAAATTAGCCAGGTGTGGTGGAGAGCACCTGTAATCCTAGCTACTTGGAGGCTGAGGCAGGAGAACTGCTTGAACCCAGGAGGCAGAGGTTCCAGTGAGCCAAGATCATGCCATTGCTCTCCAGCCTGGGCAACAGAGTGAGACTCTGTCTCAAAAAAACAAAAACAACACAAACAAACAAAAGAAGCTATTATTTATTTCATATAGTAGAACTGTAGAGACAATCCCTTTGCCTCTCATGTTTCCATTAAACCAATGTCTAGTTTTTTAGTTTTTTGTTTTTTGGGTTTTTTATTGAGACGGAGTCTTGTTATGTTACCCTGGCTGGAGTGCAATGGCACCATCTCAGCTCACTGCAACCTCTGTTTCCCAGGTTCCAGCGATTCTCCTGCCTCAGCCTCCCAAGTAGCTGGAATAACAGGCACTCGCCATAATGCCCAGCTGATTTTTTTGTATTTTTTGTAGAGACGGAGTTTCACCACGTTGGCCAGGCTGGTCTTGAACTCCTGACCTCAGGTGATCTGCCTGCTTCGGCCTCCCAAAATGCTGGGATAACAGATGAGAGCCACTGTGCCCGGCCACCAATGTCTGGTTTTAGTAAGACGTTGATTACGTAGTAGAGGGTAACATGATCATGCTCATGTATTGTTTCGTTTTGTTTTGTTGTTTTGTTTTGTTTTGTTTTGCTTTGTTTTGTTTTGCTTTGATTGAGACAGAGTCTCACTCTGTTGCCCAGGCTGGAGTGTAGTGTTGCCATCTCGGCTCACTGCAACCTCTACCTGCTGGGTTCAAGCGATTTTCCTGGCTCAGCCTCCCAATTAGCTGGGATTACAGGGGCCTGCCACTACACCCAGCTAATTTTTCTTGTACTTTTAGTAGAGATGGGGTTTCACCATGTTGACCAGGCTGGTCTTGAACTCCTGATCTCAAGTGATCTGCCCTCTTCAGCCTCCTAAAGTGCTGGGATTACAGGCATGAACTACTACCTCTGACTGTTGTTTTGTTTGTTTGTTTTTGTTTTTGTTTTTGTTTTATTTTGTTTTGTTTTTTGAGATAAGGTCTTCTTCACTCTGTTGCCGAGGCTAGAGTTCAGTGGCATAATCATAGCTCATAGCAGCCTTGAACTCCTGGACTCAAGTGATCCTTCTGCTGCAGCCTCCTAAGTAGTGGTCATGTTCTAATTTTATATCTATTTCCCTTACACATTGGCTTCCAATCTCCATAATGTGTGTCAAACCAAAGAGTCTGATTACAGAGGGAGTCTGGAACACTGCCTAGATCAACCCAGTTGCACTAAGGTTTTCTATGCACAGAAATAAATTTCCAGGCCCTGCTTGGTGGCTCACACCTGTTATCCCAGAACTTTTGGAGGCCGAGTCAGGCAGATTGCTTAAGCCCAGAGGCCAGGAGTTAGTGACCAGCCAGGGCAGCATGGTGAAACCCTGTCTCTACAAAAAAATAAAAAAACACAAAACCTAACCAGGTGTGGTGGCACACACCTGTAATCCTAGCTATTTAGGAGATTGATTTGGAGGATTGATTGAGACTGGCAGGTCAAGGCTGCAATAAGCCGTGATCGTGCCACTTCACTCCAGCCTGGGTTGCAAAACAAGACCCTGTCTCGAAAAAGGAAAACAAAAACAAAGATTAAAAAAAAAATGTTTACATAGCCAGCAATTGATTTGCTTAGTGAAAGAAGCTAAACTTTGAACAGTAGAACTTTGAGAATGTTCAGTTTGAGGCCAGGCACGGTAGCTTACACCTGTAATCCCAGCACTTTGGAAGGCCAAGGTGGGAGGATCACTTGAGGTACGGAGTTCGAGGCCAGCCTGGCCAACTTGGTGAAACCCCGTCTCTACTAAAAATACAAAAATTAGCCCGGCATGGTGGTGTAAACCAGTAGTTACAGCTACTTGGACGGCTGAGGCAGGAGAATCGCTTGAACCCGGGAGGCAGAGGTTGCAGTGAGCAGAGATGGTGCCACTGCACTCCAGCCTGGTGACAGAGGGAGACTTTATCTCATTTTTTTTTTTTTTTTTGAGACGGAGTCTCGCTCTGCTGCCCAGGCTGGAGTGCAGTGGCGCAATCTCGGCTCACTGCAAGCTCCGCCTCCCAGGTTCACGCCATTCTCCTGCCTCAGCCTCCCAAGTAGCTGGGACTACAGGCGCCCGCCACCACGCCCGGCTAATTTTTTGTATTTTTAGTAGAGGCGGGGTTTCACTGTGTTAGCCAGGATGGTCTCGATCTCCTGACCTCATGATCCACCTGCCTCTGCCTCCCAAAGTGCTGGGATTACAGGCGTGAGCCACCGCGCCCGGCCGGGGGACTCTATCTCAAAAAAAAAAAAAAAAAATTCAGTAGTAAAACTTTTGGTTAGCAGGGCACGGCTGCTCACGCCTGTAATCCCAGCACTTTGGGAGGCCGAGGCGGGCAGATCATGAGGTCAGGAGATCGACACCATCCTGGCTAACATGGTGAAACCGCATCTCTACTAAAAATAGAAAAAAAATTAGCCAGGCGTGGTGGCAGGTGCCTGTAGTCCCAGCTACTCAGGAGGCTGAGGCGGGAGAATGGCATGAACCCAGGAGGCAGAGCTTGCAGTGAGCCAAGATCATGCCACTGCACTCCAGCCTCGGTGACAGAGCAAGACTCCGTCTCAAAAATAAAAAACAAAAAAAAACTTTCGGTTAGTGTAATCTAGTCTTCCCTGTAGATGTAGCTAATTTTATTTTATTTTTATTATTATTTTTATTGAGACAGAGTCTTCCTCTGTCTGCCAGACCGGAGTACAATGGTGCGATCTCGGCTCACTGCAACCTCTGCCTCCTGGGTTCAAGTGATTCTCCTGCCTCAACCTCCCTAGTAGCTGGGAATACAGGCATGCACCACCATGCCCAGCTTCTTTTTGTACCTTTAGAAAAGAAGGGGTTTCACCGTGTTGGCCAGGCTGGTCTCGAACTCTTGACAAGTGATCCACCCGCCTCGGCCTCCCAAAGTGCTGGGATTACAGATGTGAGCCACCGTGCCCAGCCTGATTTAGCTAATTTTAGTTTCAAGATACCATTTGTTCATTCAACCTTTGTAGAAGGCTGAGAAAAACAAGGGCAATGGTAGTGCCACTAAATTTGTAAAATCTTCTTTAAGTGTTTGATAACCTGTCCAGTAAAGTGTGTTCCTGAGACAGGATTGTTCCCTTGACTTTGACCTTCTTCATGGGCAGGAACTAGAGTGGTTTGTTTCACTCCGGCTGCAGTCTGTGGATGGCTGAGTGTGAACAGCTCAGTGTATGGTCAGAGTGACAGCTTCCCGCACCTGCCCTTTTTGACACTCAAGTTCTTATTCGGTGTAAAGGAAGAACCAGGTCACATTAGCTATTTAAAGAGTAGCATAAGTGAAGGATTTTATTGGGTGATAAATGTGGCTCTCAGTGGAAAGGGGAGTTAGAAAGGGGATGGTGCTGCCAGGCGCAGTGGCTCAAGCCTGTAATCCCAGCACTTTGGAAGGCTGTGGGAGGCTGAGGCAGATGGATCACCTGAGGTCAGGAGCTCGAGACCAGCCTGGCCAACATGGTGAAACCCCATCTCAAATAAAAATGCAAAAAAATTAGCTGGGCGTGGTGGCGGGTGACTGTAATCCCAGCTACTTGGGAGGCTGAGGCAGGAGAATCTCTTAAGCCCAGGAGGCAGAGCTTGCAGTGAGCAGTGAGCTGAGATCACGCCACTGCACTCCAGCCTGGGCAACAGAGTGAGACTCCGTCTCAAAAAAAAAAAAAAAAAGAAAGGGGATGGTGCAGCAAGAAGGTGATCTTCCCCTGAAGCCACACCATCTGAAGTTAGCTGCATCTCTCTGTAGGCTTTAATGCTCATCTGCTTGTATCCCCAACGTTCAGCCACTTGTATTCCGATGCTCAGCATCTTGCATCCCCAACCACTTGCAGCAGCCGCTTGTGTTGCTCTGCCAGCTGGTCTTTTTATGGGCCCAGGATAGGGTGTGAGGAAGGCCAAAAGGGCAATCATTTGGGCAGAAAAATGGGGTTAGCTGTTTTCACTTAGGGCCGAGTTTCCAGGATTGAGGGTGGGTTTAGTTGGGAGCCCAGCTGTTCTGAATCATTTCCTTATTGCTGGCCAACAAGGTAAAACCCTGTCTCTACCGAAAATTAGCTGGGTGTGGTGGGGGATGCCTGTAGTTCCAGCTACTTGGGAGGCTGAGGCAGGAGATTCCTTGAACCCAGGAAGCAGAGGTTGCAGTGAGCTGAGATCGTGCCACTGCACTCCAGCCTGGTGACAGAGCAAGACTCCGTATCCAAAAAAAGAAGAATGGGCACACAGATGCCTCAACATTTGGCAACTGAGGGACTTTTCCTCCTGGGTCATTATCCATCCATTCCAATTATGGAAAAATTCCTGCTTTCTAGAGCATTAAAGGAGAATCACCAAGAGGATATCAAGACAGGTGGTGATAAAGCCTTTTGGGTATAGTTGTTCTCACTATTGGGTTTATGCAAATGGAGATATGATAAAGACTTTTTTGGCCACTTTAGGACAGATTACAAAAGAAACCACAAAAAAATGCTGTGGGACACAGAAGTCTCTAAATTCCTTACCTTAAGTGGTTTCAGGGAAATGTTTATGTTTATAGCTAATTGCTACAAGTCTAACTAAAACCAAGGTTGCAGTAGCTCAATGCATAGAACTTATAGATAAGTCCATTTTTGTAAGCTTGCTTTTTGGCTTTGGTTTTAGGCTTATGTTGCCTAAAAGGTTTTAAGTGTTGATGCATGCCTGCCCACCGCCACGCTCATCTGGCCTAGGATGCTTTAATTGGCTGTAAGTCTTTTGGCTCTGAATCTCACGTCCATAGGAGTCCCACCTAGGGGCTGGGTGGACCAAGGCAGGTAGCTCCGCCACCCTGTCATCCACATGAGACAAATTAAAACTTTGGCCATTGATGCTGCTTCTGGCATATCCTGATGAACAGGGGGGAAAATGAGAAATAACAGTGAATTTCTAAGCCCCCTAACTGAAGAAACAGACCCCCTGTTGGTCAAGAGGAAACCCCAGTTATCCTTGAAAACTGAGTTCTCAAGGAGAACGAGATGTTGGGCGGGGGGGGTCCACAAGCTTCACTATACCCCCTCCCTTGCTAACCACCATTAGCCTTTCTTCCTTAAGGGTCAAACAGAAACCAGCTCTTTAAGAATCTACCACTCATAGCAACCAACTGCCTGATGCTGCTTCTCCTGTCAGAGTGGCCATCCGACACTTGGCCACTCTTTTTTTTTTTTTTTTTTTTTTTTTTGACACGGAGTCTCCTTCTGTCGCCCAGGCTGGAGTGCAGTGGCGCCATCTCGGCTCACTGCAACCTCTGCTTCCCAGGTTCAAGTCATTCTCCTGCCTCAACCTCCCAAGTAGCTGGGATTACAGGCGTGGGCCACCATGCCCAGTTGATTTTTGTATTTTTAGTAGGGACAGGGTTTCAACATGTTGGCCAGGCTGGTCTCGATCTCCTGACATCAGGGTATCCACTCACTGGGATCAGGTGCTGGAATTCCAGCTGTGAGCCACCTTGCCTGGCCATGGCCACCTTTTATGAAAAATAAAGCTCTCCCTTCCAAACTTAAAATAAATAAGTAGTAAAATAAATGATACATACCAACAGAACACTGTATATAGTAAATACACACATATAATATGTATGCAGTTGAAAAATATAATAGTAATGTTGACAAAAAGAGTCAAACTCTGTAATATATGTGAAGAGATTTATTCTGAGCCAAATATGAATGACCATGGCCCATGACACAGCCCTCAAGAGGTCTGGAGAGGCTGGGCGCAGTGGCTCATGCCTGTAATCCCAGCACTTTGGGAGGCCGAGGCAGGCGGATCACGAGGTCAGGAGATCGAGACCATCCTGGCTAAAATGGTGAAACCCTGTCTCTACTAAAAATACAAAAAAAAATTAGGTGGGCATGGTGGTGGGCGCCTGTAGTCCCAGCTACTCGGGAGGCTGAGGCAGGAGAATGGCGTGAACCCGGGAGGCAGAGCTTGCATTGAGCCGAGATCGTGCCACTGCACTCCAGCCTGGGTGACAGAGCAAGACTCCATCTCAAAAAAAAAAAAAAAAAAAGAGGTCTGGAGAACACGTGCCCAGGGTTGTTTGGGGCGCAGGTTGGTTTTATACAGTTTAGGGGTACATGAAACATCAATTAAATACATCTAAGAAATATATGGCCAGTCCCCCTGGTTCTGTGGCTCACGCCTGTAATCCCAGCACTTTCAGAGGTTGAGGTGGGTGGATCATTTGAGGTCAGGAGTTCGAGACCAGCCTGGCCAACATGCTGAAACCCCATCTCTACTAAAAATACAAAAATTAGCCTGTCACGGTGCTACACACCTTTAATCCCAGCTACTCAGGAGGCTGAGGCAGAAGAATTGCTTGAATCTGGGAGGTGGAGTTTGCAGGGAGCTGAGATCACACCACTGCATCCCAGACTGGGTGACAGAGCCAGAATCCATCTCAAAAAAAAAAAAAAAAAAGAAAGAAAGAAAAAAGAAATACATGGCTGGGTGAGTGGTGGCTCACGCCTGTAATCCCAGCACTTTAGGAGGCCGAGGCGGGTGGATCATCTGAGGTCAGGAGTTAGAGACCAGCCTGGCCAACATAGTGAAACCCCGTCTAATTTTTGTAAAAATACAAAAATTAGCCAGGTGTGATGGTGTGTGCCTGTATTCCCAGCTACTCGGGAGGCTGAGACAGGAGAATTACTTGAACCTGGGAGACAGGGATCGCAGTAAGCCAAGAGCAAACCACCGCATTTCAGCCTGGGTGACAGAGTGAGAATCTGTGTGAAAGAAAGAAAGAGAGAGGGAGAGAGGGAGGGAGGGGGAGAGAGAGAGAGAGAGAAGAAAAGAAAAGAGAAGAGAAGAAAAGAAAAGAAAAGAAAAGAAAAGAAAAGAAAAGAAAAGAAAAGAAAAGAAAAGAAAAGAATTACATTGGTTTGGCTCAGAAAGGAGAGACAACTGAAGGGTCGGGGGCTTCCAGGCTATAGGTAAATTTAAACATTTTCTGGTTGACAATTGGTTGAGTTTGTCTAAAGACCTGGGATCCATAGAAAGGAAATGGTCAGGGTGAAATAAAAGATTGTGGAGACCGAGGTTCTTTTGAAATCTCATAGTGGCCACCCTTCGAGACAACAGATGACAGATGTTTGCTATTCAGACCCTTAAAATTACCAGACAGTCCATCTCTTCAGGACTGGGAGGGCCTGCAAGAAAAAGATCTAGCTGTGTTAATAGAGATTCTTTACAGATGCAGATTTTCCCCCATAAAGGACAGCTTTGCAGGGCCATTTCAAGATATGGCAAAGAAACATGCCTTGGGGCAAAATATCTTGACTTTCTCCTCTGTCACAGGATGTTATGCCAGAGTCAGATTGGAAAGTAAGTCACCATATACAGGGCTAAAAAAACTCATCTGATGGGAATTTATGATTTTGGGGCATGACTCTGTAGACTCCTTAGGAATTTGGGCAAGATAAAAAATTCAGACCTTAGTCCTCAGTAAAATGAAGGCATATGTACCTTCCACCCACTTTAGGGCCACCTGTCTCTCCACTCTTCTCCTTCCAATCCCATCCACCTATGTGTCTTCCAACAATTTATAAAAGTGACCAAAGGGACAATGAAAATGGTTTTAACATTTGAATATCAACCAAACATGCATGATTGGGCCACGTGCAGTGGCTCACGCCTGCACTCCCAACAACTTTGGGAGGCCGAGGTGGGCAGATCACCAGAGATTACAAGTTCAAGACCAGCCTGGGCAACATGGGAAACGCTGTCTCTAGTAAAAATACAAAAATTAGCCAGGCGTGATGGTGCACATTTGTAATCCCAGCCACTCAGGAGGCTGAGGCAGGAGAATTGCTTGAACTCAGAAGATGGAGGTTGCAGTGAGCCGAGATCACGCCACTGCACTCCAGCCAGGACCACAGAGCGAGACTCTGTCTCCCCCCCAAAAAAAAAAAAAAAAAATTCAACAAACGTATTTAAACAAATAAATAGAATAAAAGCACCAGAAAATGATCATCTTAATTGATGTACGAAAAACATTTGAAAAAATTCAATGACTCATTCAGGATTTTAAAAATATTCTCAGCAAAATAAGAAAATAATTCCTCAATATGAATTGCTCAATGGGATTACAGGCACACACCATCCACCTTATCAGTCAGTCCCTTAGTAAATTCCATCAGTGTTTGTTAGGATTAGGGTGGAAGTCAAGAATTCATTCATTAATGCCCTCCACAGAGAATGAATTGTACTAATATGTGACCTTCCTTCCTATTTTTGAGTTTGAGACAGGGAAGGGTTCAATCTGCTCCTGAGATTAGACACAAAAACAAAACCTGAAAGCTTTATGGTTCAGAG
Source organism: Homo sapiens (assembly GCF_000001405.40). NCBI lineage: Eukaryota > Metazoa > Chordata > Mammalia > Primates > Hominidae > Homo > Homo sapiens. Next base: position 13,241,367 of record NC_000001.11, read on the forward strand.
AACTTTGGCTGGATCAACGTTATCAAAATGAATTCTTGACCTGCATTCTAATCCCAACACTTTCAATTTCATGATTGGATATCCAAGGGATTGAATGGACACCTGAATTCACAGGCTTAACTGGGTGGAGCTTCAGAAATCCAATCAGGCATCACTCTCTGATGGGAAGCTGGTGGTTGAAAAGGGGAGGTGTGATGAGAAAGGTTCAAGAAAGCTTGTGAGCACCCCCAGAAGAGACCCAGAGCTGTGGTGCCTGGAGTTACTTCTTGGTTCTCCACAAGATCCGAGCACACTGCAAAGTGAGTCCAGATCTGATAAGTCAGGGACCTCCACAAAGGGCACTCCTATGACCCACAGTCAGACAGTCAGGATGACGACACGGAGGTCAAGACGACACAGAGAATTCTCCTGTCTGTTTTTCAGATGAAAAGATGTAGGCTTTGATTTTTCCTCTAATATACTTTTATCTACACTCCAAATATATATCTACATATATATTTTTGTTTGTTTGTTTGTTATGAGACAGAGCCTCACTCCGTTGCCTGGGCTGGAATGCAGTGGCACGATCTCGGCTCATTGCAACTTCCACCTCCTGAGTTCAAGCAATTCTCCTGCCTCAGCCTCCCGAGTAGCTGGGACTACAGGCGCCCACCACCACGCCTGGCTAATTTTTTTTGTATTTTTAGAGAGACAGGGTTTCACCATGTTGGCCAGGCTGGTCTTGAACTCCTGACCTCGTGGTTCACCTGCCTCAGCCTCCCAAAGTGCTGAGATTACAGGCATGAACCACCACGCCCAGCCACTCTCCAAATATTTTATTTCTGTTTTAGTTTATGCCATCTCAAAGTTCTCTTTTATTTTATTTTTTTGAGACAAACTTGCTCTGTCACCCAGGCTGGAGTGCAGTGGTGCGATCCTGGTTCACTGCAACCTCCGCCTCCCGGATCAAGTGATTCTCCTGCCTCAGCCTCCCTACTATCTGGAATGACAGGCGCCCACCACTATGCCTGACTAAATTTTGTATTTTTTTTTTCCCATATTGCTTCAGGGCTTGATAAGCTTCTTTTTTTTTTTTTTTTTTTTTTTTTTTGAGACGGAGCGTCACTCTTGCGCTGGCTGCAGGGCAATGGCACTTTCATGCGCGTCCTTGTTAAGAGACCACCAAACAGGCTTTGCGTGAGCAATACGGCTGTTTATTTCACCTGGGTGCAGGCGGGCTGAGTCCGACAAGAGAGTCAGTGAAGGGAGATAGGGTTGGGGCCATTTTATAGGATTTGGGAAGGTAATGGAAAATTACAGTCAAAGGGGGTTGTTCTCTGGTGGGCAGGGGTGGATCTCACAAAGTACATTCTCAAGGGTGGGGAGAATTACAAAGAACCTTCTTAAGGGTGGGGGAGACTACAAAGTACCTTCTTAAGGGTGGGGGAGATTACAAAGTACATTGATCAGTTAGGGTGGGGCAGGAACAAATCACAATGGTGGAATGTCATCAGTTAAGGCTGTTTTTACTTCTTTTGTGGATCTTCAGTTACTTCAGGCCATCTGGATGTATACGTGCAAGTCACAGGGGATGCGATGGGTTGGCTTGGGCTCAGAGACCTGACAGGCACAATCTCGGCTCACTGCAACCTCCACCTCCCAGGTTCAAGTGATTCTCCTACCTCAGCCTCCCGAGTACTAGGATTATAGGCAACCACCATCACACCTGGCTAATTTTTGTATTTTTAGTAGAGATGGGATTTCACCATGTTGGCCAGGCTTGTCTCAAACTCCTGACTTCGTGATCCGCCCGCCTCGGCCTCCCAAAGTGCTGGGATTACAGGTGTGAGCCACCGTGCCCAGCCCTGATTTTGTATTTTTAGTAGAGGTAAGTTTTCACCATGTTGGCCAGGCTGGTCTTGAACTCCTGACCTCTCAAGTGATTAACCTGCCTTGGCCTCCCAAAGTGCTGGGATAATAGGCATGAGCTACTGGGCCCTGCCACATTTCAAAGTTCTTTTTTTTTTTTTCTCCAAGAAGGAGTCTCACTCTGTCGCCCACGTTGGAGTGCAGTGTCGCGATCTCAGCTCACTGCAACCTCCGCCTCCCGGCTTCAAGCAATTCTCCCGCCTCAGCCTCCCAAGTAGCTGGGATTACAAGGCACCTGCCACCATGCGCAGCTAATTTTTGTATTTTTAGTAGAGATGAGATTTTGCCATGTTGGCCACACTGCTCTCAAACTCCTCACCTCACTGCAACCTCTGCCCCCCACGCTCAACGGATCCTCCCTCCTCAGCCTTCCAAGTAGCTGAGACTCCCGTGATGGCTCACACCTGTAATTCCAGCAACCTTGAAAGGCCAAGGCAGCCAGATCACATGAGGCCAACTCCATCTCTACTTAAAATGCAAACATTAGCCGGGCATGGTGGTGCACACCTGGGTGACCCAGCAAGACTCTGCCTTAAAAAGGAAAAAAAAATGTATTTGTGCTTTGTTTTATGTCATTCCAAAATTCTTAACCAAAGAACTAAAAAAGAATCCAACTGGGCCAGGGACAGCAGCTCATGCCTGTAATCCCAGCACTTTGGGAGACCAAGGTGGGTGCATCACCTGAGGTCAGGAATTTGAGACCAGGCTGACCAACACAGTGAAACGCCTTCTCTACTGAAAATACAAAAATTAACTGGGCATGGTGGCACATGTCTGTAATCCAAGCTACTGAGGAGGCTGAGGCAGGTGAATTGCTTCAGCCCGCGAGGTGGAGGTTGCAGTGAGCCGAGATCATGCCATTGCACTCCAGCCTGGGCAATAGACTCCGTCTCAATTAAAAAAAAAAAAGAATCCAATTAATTAATGTCTGATTCCTTGACATTTAAAATTTGTAGATTGTGTGCTCTTAATTTGCAGTTTATAGACTATGTTATTATGATTTTAATTTCTTGAGACAAAGTCTCACTCTGTCACCCAGCTGTACTGCAGTGGTGTGATAATTGCCTCAGTGCAACCTCTGTCTCCTGTATTCAAGGGATCTTCTCACCTCAGCCTTCCCAGTAGCTGGGATTACAGACCCACACCATGAGGCCTGGCTAATTGTATTTTTAGTAGAGATGGGGTTGTACCATATTGCCCAGGCTGGTCTGGAACCCCTGGACTCCATGTAATCTGCCAGCCCTTAGCCTCCCAAAGTGCTGGGATTACAGGCAAGAGTCACCCCACCCAAGAATGCTATTGTGATTTTGAAAGATAGGCTTTGTTTTTTACTAAAATTATAAAGATATTCCTTCCACTATGTTCTATTAAATTTTTTTATAATGATGGGGTCTCGCTTTGTTAGCCAGGCTGGTCTGGAACACCTGGACTCAAGCAAACCCCCCACCTTGTCTCCTAAAGTCTTGGGATTACAGGCATGAGCCACCATGTCTGGCCCCATACACTATTTTCAAGAGTAGAGTCTTTGTTTTGAATGTAGGATCCATTTCTTCCCCTAGACTCAATCCCAAAGTGTGTTGTTATTATTATTATTATTATTATTATTATTATTATTATTATTATTACTTGAGACAGGGTCTTTCTCTGTTGCCCAGGCTGGAGTGTGGTGGCAAAATCTCAGATAACTGAAACCTCTGCTTCCCAGGCTCAAGCCATCCTCCCACCTCCATGTGCAGAGTAGCTGAGACTATAGGCATGTGCCACAATGCTCAGATAATTACTTAATATTCTAGTAGAGTCTAGTAGACATGGGCTATCACTATGTTGCCCTGGCTGGTCTGGAACTCCTGGGCTCAAGTGATTGTTCTGCCTTGGCTTCCCAAAGTGTTGGGATTACAGCTGTAAGCCGCCATGCTTGGCTTCCCTTTACTTTTTTTTTTTTTTTTTTTTTTTTTGAGACAGAGTCTCACTCTGCCACCCAGGCTGGAATGCAGTGGCTAGATTTTGGCTCACTGCAAACTCTGGACCTCGGGTTGAGAGATTCTCCTGCCTCAGCTTCCCAAGTAGCTGGGATTACAGGCAGGGACCACCACACCCAGCTAATATTTTGTATCGGTACAGATGGTATTTCACCATGTTGGCCGGGCTGGTCTCGATCTCCTGACCTCATGATCCGCCCACCTTGGGCTCCTAAAGTGCTGGGATTACAGGCATGAGCCACCGTGCCTGGCCAAGAAGACATTTTGTTTTCTCAAAAAAGTGGAGATCTGAGCTTCAAAGATCCTTGCTAACACTTCCCAGTGCTATCAGTGTAGTAGTGCAGTGGCTAATAATTCATGGACCCTATAGGAGGGATCTTGCCTGCTCTTTAGAGGTTGGGACACACTCTTCTTAGTACCAGAAGGGCAGAACTATGCCTCTGTGGCCACTTATTGCAGAATGGAATTGGAGTAAACTGAGGGCTCTTTCACACATGCTAGAGAAATGACTTTGGCCCTAGGAGAAGCGGGGATTGCAGGGGATTGGCCTGAGAAACTTGCCTTTTCACTGGATTGTCCTCTAGAGTTTTTCCTTGCAGATTTGTCAGAATGAGCCTCCAGTCCCCATCCAGACTCCTGGAGCTGGCAGGGCAGAGCCTACTGAGGAACCAGTTCTTGACCATCTTCATCCTGGACGAGCTGCCCAGGGAGGTCTTCCCTCTGATGTTCATGGAGGCCGTCAGCAGGAGACGCTGTGAGGCCCTGAAGCTGATGGTGCAGGCCTGGTCCTTCCTCCACCTCCCTCTGGGATCCCTGATGAAGACACCTCATCTGGAGACCTTGCAAGCTGTGCTGAAGGGACTTGATACACTGCTGGCCCAGAAGGTTTGCCTCAGGTGAGGTGACTCAGGTGGCCTGGTGGGAAGGGTCCAGGCATCCAGGGAAGGGACAGCTGGCTCAGGAGGAGTGGTGGGGTTGGGGAGCTAGGGTGGCTCAGAGGCTTCTGATGGTGCCCATGAGAGGCCTTGACCATTGCCCAGATCCTCTGGGAAAGGACTGCTCACCATACAGGGTCCACTGAGGAAACAGGAACCTGCTTTCTCCCAGTGGAACGTAAAGATTCTAGAAGTGAGAACCAGGCAGAACCCAAGGGGGAGCGGGATGGAGAAGAGACAGAAGGAGGAGCACTGAGGACAGGAGCAGCTGACTGATGTCCTGGATGTGGAGTGAAAGCTCAGGTCAGGGGTGGGTCCTTGCCTACATTCTGAGCTTTTCCCCTGTGTTACTCACAGGAGGTGGAAACTTCAAGTGCTGGATTTGCGGGATGTTGATGGGAATTTCTGGACCATATGGTCTGGAGCCAAGGTCCTCTCCTGCTCCCCAGAGGCCATGAGTAAAAGGCAGACAGTGGAGGACTGTCCAAGGATGGGAGAGTGCCAGCCCTTGAAGGTGTTCATAGACCGCTGCCTAAAGAAAAGTACACTGGATGAATGCCTGAGCTACCTTTGTGGGTAGATCCACTACAGAAGAGGTCTAGTGCACCTGTGCTGTAATAAGGTGCAGAATTACTCAATGCCCACTTCAAGTTTCAGAAATTTATTGAAAAGGGTATACCCAGACAGTATCTAGCAGTTGGAAGTTAGGAGAAAGTGCTCTCTGAATAAAACAGGAAAGTTTGCCCCTTACCTGAGCCAGATGAGCAATCTTCGCAAACTCTTTTTAGCCTTCGGTTATGACAGTGAGTTATATGTAAGCGGCCAACAATAGTTCGTTCCTGACTTGGACTGTCCATTCCTCTGCCTGTCCTACCCTCAGATGCTTTATATAAGAAAGGTCAATAATATCAAAGACCTGGAGCACCTGCTCAGGTAAGAAAGGATGGTGAGCTTTCTCTGCGGACCATACCACAGACTTTTGTTCTTTTTCACAGTAAACGCTAGTGGGCATCTACTGTGTGCCAGCCACTGGTGATGTCACAGGGAATGGGACGCTAGAATGTCAACTCATTATGCTGTTCAGTGCTCTATATCCTGAAGTGGGTATCACAAACCCGCTCAAATAAGGGCAGAGGGATGGCCCGGGCCAGATGCTACAGAGAGAGACATGCAGGGATCTAGTTAGTCAGGGGTTCAGATCTAGGGAGGGTGCATTTGTGAATTCCTTTTTAGGAAGTGCGTTTGAAGTTAATATGATGAAACTTACTCTTCATATAGAGGAGAGTATGAAAGAAGGGAAAGTGCATCAAACCTGTGCGTTTCACAGTAGAAGCTCCGTCCTCACAGCTTAGTAAACACCAATGATCCTGCCTCTAATTCTCTGTCTGTAAAAGGTTCTTTTGAACCCCAGGAAAAGTAGTTGACATGAGAAAAGCATGCTTCTTGGACAGAGGTGAGGGAGTAGGCAGGAGAGTGGTATAAAGTGATAGGTGGTTTGCAGACGCGGGCACGTCAGGGAACCTTTGCAGGCAGGTGGCCCTAGCTGATGTCCCTAGACCTTGCTCAGTTGAGTTCTTTGTGCACATCTCCCACTGGGCTCCTCTGGCCCAGAGATGAGGTTGTCTGCTGAAAGATGCAGTAAAGAGGCTTTAAAGATTTTGTGGCCTTGAACCAATCACACAAGCAAGGCTGAAAGGACTGAGCCTAAAATGGAGCTGCCCCTGAATGATCTGAGTCTTCATCAGGCAGCACCTTGCACACAGACCATCATCTGATGATGGGAACAAACTTGTGTTTGGGTGAAACAGGCTTCCCCATTGCAGTTACTATAACACCTGTGTGGTAGTAAGGTGCAGAATTACTCAATGCCCACTTCAAGTTTACCATTGAGATGATTTCCCACCCCTCTCCTCTAACTGGCACCATTGCCCATAACTAATTTCTTGCTCTCCCCAGGTGCCTCAAGAACCTCTTGGGGGCCTTTATATTCTGTCATGCTTACCTAGCTGATCGGGACATGGAGTGTCTGTCTCAGTACCCAAGCCTCAGTCAGCTAAAGGAGCTGCATCTGATTCATATCCTAATGTGGACCACCAATCTTGAGCCCCTTGGAGCTCTGCTAGAGAAAGTTGCTGCTACTCTTGAGACCCTCACGTTAAAGGACTGTCAGATCCAGGACTCCCAACTCAGGGTCCTCCTGCCTGCCCTGAGCCACTGCTCCCAGCTCACCACCTTCTACTTTCAAGGAAACGAGACTTCCATGAATGCTCTGAAAGACCTTCTGTGTCACACAGGTGGGCTGAGCAAGTTAGGCCTGGAGTTGTATCCTTCCCGTCTGGAGAGTCTTGACAACAGGGGTCATGCCAATTGGGAGATCCTTGCCCCAATTCGGGCTGAGCTGATGTGTACACTCAGGGAAGTCAGGCAGCCCAAGAGGATCTTTTTTGGTCCCGTCCCCTGCCCTTCCTGTGGCTCATGGCCATCTGAGAAAGTGGACCTCCATCTTTGCTCTTAGGGAAGGCCTGGCTAGTGGGATGGACACGTTTTCTTCTGGACCCTTGGGCACTAAAATCTAGGACACAGGTGCTTTTTTTTTTTGATGGAGTCTCACTCTGTCCCTCAGGCTGAAGTGCACTGGCACAATCTCAGCTCACTGCAACTTCCACCTCCCAGGTTCAAGTGATTCTCCTGCCTCAGCCTCCCTAGTAGCTGGTGTTACTGGCATGCACCACCACATCCAGCTAATTTTGTATTTTTTTTCTTTTTTTTTTGAGACAGAGTCTCGCTCTGTCACCCAGGCTGGAGTGCACTGGCACGATTTCGGCTCACTGCAACCTCCGCCTCCAGGGTTCACGCCATTCTCCTGCCTCAGCCTCCAGAGTAGCTGGGACTACAGGTGCCCACCACCACACCCAGCTAATTTTTGGTATTTTTAGTAGAGTCAGGGTTTCACCAAGTTAGCCAAGATGGTCTCGATCTCCTGACCTCGTGATCCACCCGCCTCGGCCTCCCAAAGTGTAATTTTTGTATTTTTAGTAGAGACAGGGTTTCACGATGTTGGAGGAGGCTGGCCTCAAACTCCTGACCTCAAGTGATCTGACTACCTTGGACTTCCACAGTGCCGGGTTTACAGGCATGAGCAGCCTGGCCCGGTCAGGTGCATCTTAAAGGAAGCACACGGTCATGTGTTTCAGGCACGTGCTGACTGTGAGTGGAAAAACAAAGGTGACTCAGCTGGGGGCAGGACTTGGTGAAAATGCTGACTTGGCATCAATAAAGCCTTCAGGGACCTGTTTCCTAGACTCGGAAATGGAACCTGAAGTTCTAGAATGATGCAGGAGTTACCCTCGCAAGGATGGTTATTTAAAAATGTCAAAAATAAATGGAACCTGAATGGAAACTTTCTGGTGTCTTCCATGATTGATCAACCTGTTTTAGCCATTTATATATCAGAAATCTCTAGTTACTGATGAGAGGTACTACGTCATCTGTGATTGAGGTTCAGCTGCAGCAAATCAAGGCATCAAAACTGAAATGTGATCATTTTGATTAGTTCTCACTCATTTTTTGCTTCCTTTCAGTCATCTGTTTCTTCCTTAATTTCTCCCATGCCTGTTCACTGGGTTCATTCACAAAGGATGCACACTTGGGGCCTGGAACATTCTGTGTGGGCAGTGATGATGAGCCACTGAAACCTACCCTCTTCTCAGGGGCCCTCACTGCTCCCCAGATACTGAGACCCTGCTCACTCCTAATGGACAGATCCAGAGGAATCCGTTCCTGATCTTTGGCCATGCCAGGAAATGGCTTCATTGGACCAGGAGTGAATTCACATGAAATTCACTGAAAGCTTCACATGAAGCTCAGAAAATTCCTGTGTTCAAAGCAGTCCAAATGACATTTGGACCATTTTTAGGAAAGTATGGCTTTTTATTAGGTGACAACATGGGGATGAGATTTGCTTTCTCCATTAAGGTGATACGTAAAGCTTTCTTTGAAGGGAGAGAAAACCCTAGAGTTTCCTGACCTTCCTTAACCTGAGCTGCTTGGTTCCCTAGAAGCAGAAATTGATCATATTAGAACCCAAACTCATACCAACCTTGACCTTCATGAAGTACTCAAGTGTTTCTGCTCTTCTTCCTCATGTGATGTAGAAAGTATTAAAAGTGATGAGTGTAGGCCGGGCACGGTGGTTCACACCTGTAATCTCAGCACTTTCAGAGGCCGAGGTGGGTGCATCACCTGTGGTCAGGAGTTCCAGACCAGCCTGGGCAACATGGTGAAACTCTGTCTCTACTAAAAATACAAAAACTAGCTGTGTGTGGTGGCCTGTGCCTGTAATTCCAGCTAACTGGGAGACTGAGGCAGGAGAATCACTTGAACCGGGAGGCAGAGGTTGCAGTGAGCTGAGATCGCACCATTGAACTCTAGCCTGGAAAACAAGAATAAAACTCCATCTCAAAAAAAAATTAATAAATAAATACATTATAAATAAATAAATTAATGCTTTAAAGAAAAAAGAAATAAATTTTGCCTACAAGTTTCATATGCAATTGAATACCTCTTAAATTTTGATGTGAACCGACCAGGCATGGTGGCTGAGGCCTGTAATCCAGCACTTTGGGAGGCCGAGGCAGGCAGACCACGAAGTCAGGAGATTGAGACCATCCTAGTTAATATGGTGAAACCCCGTCTTTACTAAAAATACAAAAAATTAGCCAGGTGTAGTGGCATGTACCTGTAGTCCCGGCTATTTAGGAGGCTAAGGCAGGAAAATTGCTTGAACCGGGGAGGCAGAGGTTGAAATGAGCTGAGATCGTGCCACTGCATTCCAGCCTGGTGACACAGTGAGACTCCATCTCAAAAAATAAATGAATAAAATAAATAAAAAAATAAATAAAAATACTGTGACAGGAACCAACATTGCTCAACTTGTACACTAATGTCTTACAAAATCCTTTCCTTGTCACCTTCAAATCTCCATTTCAAATGCTACACTCTGCATAACTCTACCACTTTGTTGCCATTTTCTGATGATGGAGAAGACCATATATGTGTGTGTGGCATCAGAACTATTGACTCCTCCTATTGATGTTTAAGATATTCCATTACACAAACCTGGGTTCATACTTTTTTGTTGATAGATCTTATGCCAAAAATGTAGGCGAAAAATGCCAAGCAGGAAATGCTATCACTTCTGAAGATGAATTCATAGAGATGGAAATTCTTTCAGAACTTATTTTTCCAGCTTTTTCCTTTGTTTGTTCATTTGTGTTTGTTTCCTTGTTTGTTTGTTTTGAGATGGAGTCTCGCTCTGTCACCAAGTTGGAGTGCAGTGGTGAAATCTTGGCTGACTGCAACCTCCTCCTCCTGAGATCAAGCGACTCTCCTGCCTCAGTCTCTCGAGTAGCTAGGATTATGGGTGGGCGCCACCATGCTCAGCTAATTTTTGTATTTTTAGCAGAGACAGGGTTTCACCATGTTGGCTAGGATGGTCTCAATTTTTTGGCATCGGGATCTACCTGCCTTGGCCTCCTGAAGTGCTGGGATAACAGGTGTGAGCCACCACCGTGCCCGGCCTTTTTTTTTTTTTCTTTTGAGATGGAGTCTCACTCTATTGCCCAGGCTGGGAATGGGACTCCTCCTATCAATTATTTTTTTAAATTTTCTTTTGTTTTATTGACCTGACAAGGCTCAAATAGAGTTGAGTTTTTGTTTTCGTTTTTTCCATTGGAAGAGACAATACAGAGGTTACAATCATTGGCTTTAGATGACAAGATAAAAGAATAAAACATATTCCTTGCAAGACAACCAGCAAAACTTCATGATCACCATCAAATCAGTGCCTTCTCACTGTCAGTGGGTGGAAGCCTTCATCAATACTTGCAGAGTTTGAGGCACTCATGAACTCACCATGAGATTCTTTACTCAGGGACAGGATGTAAGCCAAGCAAAAGACCTTCCACAGGTGGTGAATTTGGAAGCCTGCCCAATGTAACCTGCAAGTTTTCACTGGCAATATGCAGGTGCAGATATGACAAAGAATAACCATGACCTTTACATCACCCCCAGCTGTTGAGGAATGGGATCCTTTTGACCCTTTCTGTCCATAGAACCAGGTTGCTCATCTTGTGTGGCAACAACATATGTGGTCTACTTAACAGAGAAGAAGACTCTGTAAAAAAAATGTTTATTATGTAGTAAGCAAAGAAATGGGAATAGATGTGAGATTATTTGGGGAGATAAAGGAAGTTGAAGGTTTTGAAAGGAAAAATAAGGAGGATTATACAAATTGTTTTGAAAGACTCATACTTGGTCATGAGGATTAAAACCAAAAGCGCATCAGTGCAATGTTAGATAGATTCCTCTTACACCCACTCGATAACCCCCAACATGTTCAGCAAGTCTTGGTTCACTCCCAGGTTCCCATTAAAAACCCAGCTCAACCCTGACCAGCTCCACCCTCACTTCCATTTGTAATTTTGACATGACTTTATTACAGGACCATCAGGTTCCTATGCCTGCTGCACAGTAGCTTAGCAATATTCTGAGACAGCAGGGTTTGCAGCAGAGAGTTTAATGATCACAAGGTGGCTGAATGAGAAGCTAGGAGGAGATCCTCAAATTCATCTCCCCAAGGAGTACTGAGGGTTTCCAGTGGATCCTGGATAGCAAGGGGCCGGAAAGTTGGGGTAGCGGTAAGAGGGAAGAAGTCAACAGGATGTAGAAACTGCATTCTTTGGTGAGTTGGTGCATTGCAGGGCCCTTCAGATCAGCTGGCATCAGTAGATTCACTGACATGCAGAACCTGAAAGAATATCTCAGATGAAAAAGTTAATGTTTTACAATGCTTAAATGGTTGTCTGCAGGGAAGTTAAGGGGAACTGTAATCTAAGGTCTATATGATTTTGGAACAGTAGGTTGCCAGCAACCATGAGGAACCAGGTCAGAGAGCAAGAAGACCTCCTGATGAATGCTGAATGTGTTCCAAGCTTGGTTTATTTTTGTTTCTCTCCCTCCCTTCTTCACTGATTAAATTTATAAAGTTTATCGATGTGGCTTCAATTTCTTCCAAAGAAGACTTAACCTAAGCCCTGAGACCACTCACGCCCTCAGTGGCACCTCTCCTCCACCAGAATGAGCATGTAATCTGCTACCTTAGGTTATACAAAATCCCGAAGACCATTCAATACATTGAGATTTTTATTCTGATTTCCTAGGGACGACTCCTCTGTTTTTATAAAGCTTTTTAAAGTAGAAAGCATTTTTATATTTTGATGTGGCCAAAGATCTCCTAACAACACTACTTTCAGATTTTATTTTTCTGTCTAATGTTGGGAACAGATCAAATCCTTCCCTGCCTGTCACTCAAGACTATGAAGTTCACATATTAGTAAAATACCATCAGTGTTTGTGGAGTTCATGAATGAATGATTTTTTTATTTTTTGACAGAATGTCCCTCTGTCACCCAGACTGGAGTGCAGTGGCACAATTCTGGCTCACTGCAACCATTGCCTCCTGGGTTCAAGCAATTCTCCTGCCTCAGCCTCCCAAGTAGCTGGGTTTCAGGCACCTGCCATCATGCCCAGGTAATTTTTGTATTTTTGTATTTTTGTAGAGACAGGGTTTCACCTTTTTGACCTGGCTCGTCTTGAACCCCTGACATCAGGTGATCTACTCACCTTGTCCTTCCAAAGTGCTGGAATTACAGCTATGAACCACCTCACCCACCCTTGAATGAATGTATTCTTGACTTCTACCCTATCCCTACCACTGTCGATTTCTTGCTTCATGAAGTGAATATAGATATGTGATATGAATGGACATCTGATTCAATCCGGTAATCTGGGGAGAGCCAAAAACCCAATCAGGATTAACTGGGTGGAGCTTCACAAATGCAATCAGATATCATTTTTTGATTGGAAGGTAGCAGCGGATATGTGCAGGGGCGTGGGTGGGAGTTGTGATTAGAAAGGTCAATAAAAGCTTCTAAAGACGCACAGGAGAGACCCAAAGTCTTCAAGCCTGGAGTTCCTGCTTGGTTCTTCCTGAGGACTGAGCACCTTCTAGACTACATCCAGATCTGGTAAGCCACTAATTTCTGTAAGGACACTCCCATCTGACCTACAGTCAGTCGGTCTGGGATGGTGACAGTGCAGCCTACGATGGCACAGAGCTATATCCTGTCCTTTTTTTTTTCATATGAACAATTTGAAGCTTGAATGTTTTCCTCTAAATGCAGTTCTGTCTTTATTTCAAAAAAGTTGATTGTGCTTTGGTTGATGCCATTTTAAAATTCGTGAAGGGAGCAATGACTCATGTCTTTAACCCCAACACTTTGGGAGGCCAAAGTGGGAGGATCATTTCAGCCCAGGGGTTTGAGACCAACCTGGGCAACATGACAAAAGCCCTCCTCTACACAACGTTTTTTTTTTTTTGAGGGTGGGGATGGAGTCTCACTGTGTTGCCCAGACTGGAGTGCAGTGGCACGATCTCAAATCACTGCAACCTTTACCTCCCGGGTTCAAGCAATTCTCATGCCTCAGTCTCCATCCTCAGAAGCTGGTGTCACAGACATCTGAAACCATGCCTGGCTAATTTTTGTATTTTTAGTAGAGGTGGGGTTTCACCATGCTGGCCAGGTTGGTCTCGAACACCTGACCTCAAGTGATCCACCTGCCTTGGCCTCCCAAAGTGCTGGGATTACAGCTGTGAGTCACTGGTGCTTGGCCTCTACTTTTTTTTATTTTAATTAGCCGAGCATGGTGACATGCATCTGTAGTCCCAGCTATTTGGGTGGCTGGTGTGGGAGAATCACTTGAGCCCAGAAGATTGAGGCTGCAGTGAGCCATGCTCACACCACTGCTGTACTCCAGCCTGGGCAAAAGAGAGAGACCCTGTCCAAAAAACAAAAACAATATCTTAACCAAAAAGGATCTATGACCTTAATTTTAAACCAATCACGTCCTCACTGTAATTCTTCCACTCGAATGGAGACATGGGTGTGGGGGTGCATGCCTGTAATCCCAGCTACGTGGAAGGCTGAAGCATGAGAATTGCTTGAATCTCAGAGGTGGAGGTTACAGTGAGCTGAGATGGCGCCGCTGCACTCCAGCCTGGGCGACAAAGTGAGACTCAGCTTCCCCCACACCAAAAAAAATTAGATTATACCACCCAGGTGATCATTGGATACATGAAGATTTCTATTGTGTGTTCTTGGGGACTGTCAACTCTGTCTTTGAAAACTGTTTTAACTCTGAAATATTTTGATAAATTTGATGTGGCCGAGGATCCCTCAACAAAGATACTTTCAAGTTTTTTCTTTCTGTCTAATATCAGGAAGAGATTCAACCCTTCCCTATCTCACACTCAGGACTGTGAAGGACACATATTAATAAAACCCCATTTTGTTTGTGAAGGGAATCAGTGAATGAGTCCTGGGCTTCCACCCCATCCCTAAATCTTTCACTTTGATGGGTGAATATCTAATTCCATCAGTAAATCTGGAAGAAAGCCAAAAATCCAATCAGGATTAACTGGGTAAATTCGAATCAAATCTAGCTCTCTCTCTCTCCTTTTTCTTTTTCTTTTTTTTTTTTTTTTTTTTTTTTTTTTTTGAATCTAGCCTATTTCCCAGGCTGGAGTTCAGTGGTGTATTGTCAGCTCACTGCAACCTCTGCCTCCTGGGTTCAAGCGATCTTCCTGTCTCAGCCTCCCTAGTAGCTTGGACTATAGGCGCAGACCACCGCAACTGGCTAATTTTTGTAATTTTAGTAGAGGTAGGGTTTTACCATGTTGGCCAGGCTTGTCTCAAACTCCTGACCTCAGATAATCCACCTACCTCTGCGTCCCAGAGTGCTGGGATTACAGGTGTGAGCCACTTCGTCTGGCCTTGAATGAATGTATTCTTGACTTCTACCCTATCCCTAACACTGTCGATTTCTTGCTTCATGAAGTGAATATAGATATGTGATATGAATGGACATCTGATTCAATCCGGTAATCTGGGGAGAGCCAAAAACCCAATCAGGATTAACTGGGTGGAGCTTCACAAATGCAATCAGATATCATTTTTTGATTGGAAGGTAGCAGCGGATATGTGCAGGGGCGTGGGTGGGAGTTGTGATTAGAAAGGTCAATAAAAGCTTCTAAAGACCCACAGGAGAGACCCAAAGTCTTCAAGCCTAGAGTTCCTGCTTGGTTCTTCCTGAGGACTGAGCACCTTCTAGACTACATCCAGATCTGGTAAGTCACTAATTTCTGTAAGGACACTCCCATCTGACCTACAGTCAGTCGGTCTGGGGTGGTGACAGTACAGCCTACGATGGCACAGAGCTATATCCTGTCCTTTTTTTTTTTCATATGAACAATTTGAAGCTTTGAATGTTTTCCTCTAAATGCAGTTCTGTCTTTATTTCAAAAAAGTTGATTGTGCTTTGGTTGATGCCATTTTAAAATTCTTGAAGGGAGCAATAACTCATGCCTTTAACCCCAACACTTTGGGAGGCCAAAGTGGGAGGATCATTTCAGCCCAGGGGTTTGAGACCAACCTGGGCAACATGACAAAAGCCCTCCTCTACACAACGTTTTTTTTTTTTGAGGGTGGGGATGGAGTCTCACTGTGTTGCCCAGACTGGAGTGCAGTGGCACGATCTCAAATCACTGCAACCTTTACCTCCCGGGTTCAAGCAATTCTCATGCCTCAGTCTCCATCCTCAGAAGCTGGTGTCACAGACATCTGAAACCATGCCTGGCTAATTTTTGTATTTTTAGTAGAGGTGGGGTTTCACCATGCTGGCCAGGTTGGTCTCGAACACCTGACCTCAAGTGATCCACCTGCCTTGGCCTTCCAAAGTGCTGGGATTACAGCTGTGAGTCACTGGTGCTTGGCCTCTACTTTTTTTTTTTTAAATTAGCCGAGCATGGTGACATGCATCTGTAGTCCCAGCTATTTGGGTGTCTGGTGTGGGAGAATCACTTGAGACCAGAAGATTGAGGCTGCAGTGAGCCATGCTCATACCACTCCTGTACTCCAGCCTGGGCAAAAGAGAGACACCCTGTCCAAAAAACAAAAACAAAATCAATCAAAAAGGATCTTTGACCTTAATTTTAAACCAATCACATCCTCTTCCACCCAAATGGAGACATGGCTGCAGGGGGTGCATGCCTGTAGTCCCAGCTATGTGGAAGGCTGAAGCATGAGAATTGCTTGAATCTTGGAGGCCGAGGCAACAGTGAGCCGAAATGACACCACTGCACTCTAGCCTGGCCGATGAAGTGAGATTCAGCTCCCTCAACACCAAAAAGACTTATGCCACCTAGGTGATCATTGGATATATGAAGATTTCTATTGTGTTTTCTTAGGGACTGTCATCTCTGTCTCTGAAAACTGTTTTAACCCTGAAATATTTTGATAAACTTGGCATGGCCAAGGATCCCTCAACAAAGATACTTTCAAGTTTTCTTTCTTTCTGTCTAATATCAGGAAGAGGTTCAACCCTTCCCTGTCTCACACTCAGGACTTTGAAGGACACATATTAGTAAAACCCCATGTTTGTGAAGGGAATCAGTGAATGAGTCCTGGACTTTCACCCTATCCCTAAATCTTTCATTTTGATGAATGAATATCTAATTTGATCAGTTAATATTTAAGAAAGGCAAAAATCCAATCAGGATTAACTGGGTAGAGATTAAGAATTCTAATCAAATGTAGCTCTCTCTGTCTCTCTGTTCAATCTAGCCTATTTCCCAGGCTGGAGTGGAGTGGTATAATGTCAGCTCACTGCAACTTCTGCCTCCTGGATTCAAGCGATCCTCCTACCTCAGCCTCCCTAGTAGCTTGGACTACAGGCGCAGACCACTGCACCTGGCTAATTTTTGCTGTCTTAGTAGAGGCAGGGTTTTACCATGTTGGCCAGGCTCGTCTTGAACTCCTGATCTCAGATGATCCACCTGCCTCGGCCTCACAAAATGCTCAGATTACAGGTGTGAGTCACTGCACCCAGCCAAAGTGGTTCACTTTGAATATGTGTAAGAGGTGTGCATTGGAAACATCTATCTTGTGAGTAATGCATAACAGTGTCACATAGCTTTCAGAGCTTCTCACTGAAATTTTCAATAATGAGGCAGGGGTGGAGGCTCACACCTATAATCCCAGTATGTTGGGAGGCCAACAGGGGTAGATTGCTTGAGACTAGGAGTTCAAGACCAGCTTGGACAACATAGCGAAATCCACTGTCTTTACAAAAAGTCAAAAAATAAAAGATGAGCTGGGTGTGGTGATGCATAACTGTGGTCCCAGCTACTTGGGAGGCTGAGGAGGAAGAATCCTTTGAGCTGGGAGGTCAAGGCTGCACTGAGCTGAGATCCCACCACTACACTCCAGGCTGGGTGACAGAGCAAGACCCTGTCAGAAAGAGTGAGAGAGGGAGAGAGAGAAAGAGAGAGAGAATGAGAGAAGGGATGCAGGGAAAGAAGACAAGAAAGAAAGAAGGCAGAGAGAGGGGGAAAGAAAGAAAGAGGGAGAGAGAGGAGGAAACAAAGAAAGAAGGGAGGGAGAGAGGGAAAGAAGGAAAGAAGAAAGAGAGAGAAAGAGAAAGCAAGCTTAAATAATGAAAAGAAAACAAATAGAACCTGTTCTAGGGATGCCCCATGAATGTTCCCAACAAGCTTATTTGTAGGAACTGAAAATGTGGGCATGTAGGCTTGTGACATTCCCATTCCCATTGTTTTAGAACCTTGAGTAATTAGTAATTTCCCCCAATGGTAGGAGGGGTTCACTTTCAGGTTCCTCCACACTCACTAGTCACTGGATGGAGCACTGGATAGAAAGGAAGGGCTCGTGGTGGCCCTGCTTCCTCACTGCTTCGGAGACGCTCATGCTGATGCAGCAGAGGCAGAATGCTGGCTTAATGGCCACTGAGTACAGGGCAGAATTGGAGTAAACTGAGGGCTGTTTCACCATTGCCAGAGCAGTGACTTTGGCCTTGGGAGAAGATAAGATTGCATGGGCTTGGCCTGAGAGTGATGCCTTTTCTCTGGGTTTGTCCTCTGGAAGTTTTCCCTGCAGATTCGTGAAGATGAGCATCCGGACTCCACCCAGACTCCTGGAGCTTGCAGGGCGGAGCCTGCTGAGGGACCAAGCCTTGGCCATGTCCACCCTGGAGGAGCTGCCCACAGAACTTTTCCCCCCACTGTTCATGGAGGCCTTCAGCAGGAGACGCTGTGAGGCCCTGAAGCTGATGGTGCAGGCCTGGCCCTTCCGCCGCCTCCCTCTGAGGCCTCTGATAAAGATGCCTTGTCTGGAGGCCTTCCAAGCTGTGCTCGATGGGCTGGATGCACTGCTTACCCAAGGGGTTCATCCCAGGTGAGGTGGCCCAGGTGGGCTGGTGGGGAGGGCCCAGGTATCCAACCAAAGGAAGAGCTGTGTCATGACAAGTGAGGAGGCCCAAGGGGGATGGTGGTGGTGAGGAAGCCGAGAGGACTTGGCCATTCACCAGCTCCTCAGGGAAAGCACTGCTCACCACGCAAGGTCCATGGAGGTAACAGGAACCTCTCCTCTAATGGCACTGAAAGGCACCATGAAAAGTGAGAACTGGGCCGGGCACGGTGGCTCACAATGTAATCCCAGCACATTGGGAGGCTGAGGCCAAGAGTTGGAGGCCAGCCTGTCCAACATGGTAAACCCCAACTCTACTAAAAATACAAAAATTAGCTGGGCATGGTGGTGGGTTCCTGTAATCCCAGCTACTTGTGAGGTTGAGGCAGGAGAATCATTTGAACCCGGGAAGCAGAGGTTGCAGTGAGGTGACATCACACCACTGCACTCCAGCCTGGGCGACAGAGGGAGACGTGGTCTCAAAAGAAAAACAAAAAAATGTGGAAGTGGGCAGGATCCAAGGGGAAAACAGGGTGAAGAAAAGTCAGAGAGAGGGACAAGAAGCAGGGAGGGGAGGAGCTGCTCTCCAGGATGTGGAGTTTAAGTTCAGAAATGAGTTCTGAAATTCTCATTCTCACCTCTATTTTCCCACAGGAGGTGGAAACTTCAAGTGCTGGATTTACAGGATGTCTGTGAGAACTTCTGGATGGTTTGGTCTGAAGCTATGGCCCATGGGTGCTTCCTCAATGCCAAGAGGAACAAAAAACCAGTGCAGGACTGTCCAAGGATGAGAGGACAGCAGCCCTTGACTGTGTTCGTAGAACTTTGGCTCAAGAACAGGACTCTGGATGAATACCTCACCTGCCTCCTTCTATGGGTCAAGCAGAGGAAAGATTTACTACACCTGTGCTGTAAGAAGCTGAAAATTTTGGGAATGCCCTTCCGCAATATCAGAAGCATCCTGAAAATGGTGAACCTAGACTGTATCCAGGAGGTGGAAGTGAATTGCAAGTGGGTACTGCCCATCCTGACACAGTTTACCCCATACCTGGGCCACATGAGGAATCTTCAGAAGCTCGTTCTCTCCCACATGGATGTCTCTCGCTACGTTTCCCCAGAGCAGAAGAAGGAGATTGTTACCCAGTTCACCACTCAGTTCCTCAAGCTGTGCTGCCTCCAAAAGCTTTCTATGAACTCTGTTTCTTTCCTCGAAGGCCACCTGGACCAGCTGCTCAGGTGAGGGAGGGTGGTGAGCTTTCTCTGCAGACCACAGCAGAGCCTGTTACAGTAAACGCTAGTGGGCATCTACTGTGAGCCAGCCTATGAGGATGAAACAGTGAAGGGGACACTAGAATGTCCATGCATTGTCCTGTTGGCGGCCCTGTCCTGAAATGGGTATCATGCAACCCTCCCAATAGAGGCAGAGGGATCAGCTAGGGGAGATGCTATGGAGAGGCTGCCATGCTAGGAAGCTAGCTCCTGGGGGGTTCAGATCTAGTGAGGGTGCCTTTCTGAATTCTTCCTGAGGATGTGTGTCTAAGTTAAGATGATGAAAAATAGGCCAGGGGCGGTGGCTCATGCCTGTAATCCTAGCAGTTTGGGAGTCTGAGGCAAGAGGATAGCTTGAGCCTAGGAGTTTAAGACCAGTCTGGGTAACATACCAAGACCCCTGTCAGAAATGAATAAATAAAAGTAAAAACAAACAAGATAACTTTCTTTTCTGAGATGGAGTTTCACTTTGATCGTCCAGGCTACAGTGCAGTTGTGACATCTCAGCTCGCAGCAACTTCTGCCTCCCAGGTTCAAGCGATTCTCCTGCCTCAGCCTCCTGAGTGCCTGGGATTACAGGCGTGAGCCACCACACCTGGCTAATTTTTATATTTTAAGTAGAGACAGGGTTTCACCATGTTGGCCAGGCTATTCTCCAACTCCTGACTTCAGGTGATCCACCCACCTTGGACTCCCAAAGTGCTGGGATTATAGGCGAGAGCTACCACGCCCAGCCAACAAGATAATTTTTAAGAAGATGATGTGAAGTAGGGAAGTGAAGTGGGCACTGAAGAGGGGAATGCTCAGCAAACCTGCACATGTCAGAAAATCAGCTTTGTGCCCCACAGTTTCGTGAACATGAATGATCCCATCTCTAATTCCGTGTTGTAAAAGTTTCTTTTGAGCTCCAGGTAAATTAATTACCTAGGAAATGCATGATTCTGAAACAGAGGGTCAGGGAGCAGGCACAAAGAATGGTGAAAGTGATAGATGGTTTGCTGATGATACAGGCTTGTCAGGGACGCCTGCAGCCCGCCCACCGTAGCTGATGTTGCAGGATCCTGTCTGGGTTTGTCCTTTATGCCTGAATCTCCACTGGGCTCCTGTGGCCCAGGGATGTGGTTTTCTGCCTGACAGATGAGGAAAGGGAGCTTTAGGGATTCTGTGAACTTGATCCATTCCTATAAATGATGGTGAAGTGACTCAGCCTCAAATGGAATTATTTTTTTCTCCTTTTTTTTTTAATGCGGAGTCTCTCTCTGTCACCCAGGCTGGAGTGTAGTGGCATGATCTCTGCTCACTGCAACCTACACCTCCTGGGTTCAAGCGATTCTTCTGCCTCAGCTTCCCAAGTAGCTGGAATTGCAGGCTCCCGCCACCACACCTGGCTAATTTTTGGATTTTTAGTAGAGAGGAGGTTTTGCCATGTTCAGCAGGCTGGTCTCAAACTCCTGATCTCAAGGAATCCACCAGTCTCAGCCTCCCAAAGTGCTGGGATTACAGGTGTGAGTTACTGGGCCGGGCCTAAAGTGGAATTGACCTCGGTGGCAAAGCTCTTCATCACACATCATCCTAAATGTTGACCATCAGGCCATCAGAATGACCCTGGACTTGGGCAAAATGGTCTCCATCCATTACCTTGAAGCCATTCCCCACCACCCTCCACTCACCCCTATGATTCCCCAGAATTAACTTCTTGCTCTCTCTCCCCAGCTGTCTGAAGACCTCGTTAAAGGTCCTCACAATAACTAACTGTGTGCTTTTGGAATCAGACTTGAAGCATCTATCCCAGTGCCCGAGTATCAGTCAACTAAAGACCCTGGACCTGAGTGGCATCAGACTGACCAATTACAGTCTTGTGCCTCTCCAAATTCTCCTAGAAAAAGTTGCAGCCACCCTTGAGTACCTGGATTTAGATGACTGTGGCATCATAGACTCCCAAGTCAACGCCATCCTGCCTGCCCTGAGCCGCTGCTTTGAGCTCAACACCTTCAGCTTCTGTGGAAATCCCATCTCCATGGCCACCCTGGAGAACCTGCTGAGCCACACAATCATACTCAAAAACTTATGCGTGGAGCTGTATCCTGCCCCCCGGGAGAGTTATGATGCTGATGGTACTCTCTGCTGGAGCAGATTTCCTCAAATTAGGGCTGAGCTGATGAAGAGAGTGAGGGACTTAAGGCACCCCAAGAGGATCTTGTTCTGTACTGACTGCTGCCCTGACTGTGGCAACAGGTCATTTTATGACCTGGAGGCAGATCAATGCTGCTGTTGAATGCCTGCCTATTTGGGTGGATATGTCAAACGCTTTCTTCTGGACACTTGGAAACTAAAACCTAGGTCTTAGGTACATCCTATAGGGAGCACAGAACCCATCATTTCACACATGGGCTCTGAAAGTGGGAAAGGAAAGGTGATCAAGCAGGGGCAGGACTTGGGGGAAGTGTTGCCATGGATTCGATGGGACTTTGGGGACCTGTGTCCTGTAGAGTGGAAAATGGGAATTTGAATGTCTAGAGTGGAGGCTTGAGAATACTTGAGGGAGTTACTCTTGGATGCATGGTTGTAAAGAAACAATCAGAAATAAAGGAAAACTGAGTGGTAACTGTCTGGTGCCCTCTATTATTAAGTAACCTGTTTTCCAGTTTAAGCCTCAGGAATCTTCAGTTATTGACGGAAAAAACAAAAGGCACTGAGTTGTCCAATCAATAAGATGCTACCCAAGAAAATCAAGGCATTTAAATGAAATTTGGTTATTGTAATCAGTTTCCTCCCATTCTTTTATTTGAGACAGAGTTTCACTCTTGTTGACCAGGTTGGAGTTTAGAGTGCAATGGTGCCATCTCAGCTGACTGCAACCTCCACCTGGGGTTTAAATGATTCTCTTGCCTCAGCCTCCCAAGTAGCTGAGATTACAGGCATGCACCACCATGCCCAGCTAATTTGTGTATGTTTAGTAGCGACAGGGTTTCCTCACTATGTTGGTCAGACTGTTCTCAAACTCCTGACTTTGGGTGATCCACGCAAGTAGGCCTACCAAAGTGCTGGGATTACAGGCGTGAGCCACTGTGTCAGGCTTGTTTTTGTTTTTGTTTTTTAAAGGTCTCCTGTCACTCAGGCTAGAGTGCAGCGGCACAATCATAGCTCACTGCAGCCTCAATTTCCTGGGTTCAAGCGATCCTCCCACCTCAGCCTCCTGAGGAGCTAGGACTACAGGCGTGTGAGCAACCATGCCTGTTTGCTTGTTTTTTTAAGTGGTGACAAGGTCTCGCTGTCTTGCCCAGGCTGATCTGGAACTCCTGAGCTTGTGATTCTCCTGCCTTGGCCTCCCAAAATGCAGGGAGTATAGGCGTGGACCACCACGATTGGCTTGGCCTCCTCCAGTTCTTCACTTCTTTAGATGTCTGTTAATTCCTTGTTAGTTTCTGTGGCTGTTCAGTGGGTTAATACACACTAGGTGGAAACCAAGGGTCTGGAACATTACTGGGCAAGAACAGTGAGCCAATCCACGTGGAAAGCACCTTCTTCTCAGGGTCTTTCACTGCTAGCCAGATGCTGAGACCCTGCCCACTCCTTGTGAGTCTCCACATGGTTCCAGAAGCCTTAGTTGGTGGATGTCAGCTTCACTGCACAAGGAGCCACTCTCTTCCCGCTGCCCTGGAAGGGGATGTCCATATTGTGTATTAGCTGGAGACTCTGGGCAGCACCAACCCTTGCTTGTTCTCCTGATGACCAGCAGCCCTTCTTGAATTAAACTGGTTGTAGCCAGTAAAGACAGCCACATTCCCTTTAAGTAAAATACTAAAACTACACAGGTATGTAACACTTTTTAAATATTTCCATCTGACATTTAAAAAGTTACTTCTTATTAGGGAGCTAGGTCAGATCGATGAGAGATTTTCTCATAACACCTCCCCTCTCTCCCTATCAAGGAAGAGACCAGTGCAGCGTGTTCTGGAATCTCACATGATCAAAGGGTGGATAACAATCAAGTGCCTGTGGGTGATGAGTGACCTTCCCTGTGCTGAGGAAGCCTGCATAATGGGCACCCAAGTGAAGGATCCTGCTGAGGATTCAGGGGCTGGTATTGCTGTCAGGGATCTTAACCAAGAGCCTCAGGTCCCTGTAAAATGAGGATGATGTCCAACGGCTTATAGGACCCTGCAAGGATCCAATAAGATGGTTCATGTTTAGGGCTTGGCATGGGGACTGGCATACAGTTAGATGAATACATCTTGTTCTTTTTTCTCTTCTCAGCAGAAGTCCCAGCAATTTTCATCTTTCAATCTATCTCACCTCCTATTCCTGATAACAGGGAGGCAACAAGAACCCAGGGCATGCAATGGGGCTCATCTTCTACCCTCTGCCACAACTTCATCATGACTCCCCCAAACAGCAGAGCCCCAGGAGCCAGCAGGGGGCAGGGTGGGCATTTCTGGACTGGATTCATTCCTAAGAAGAGTAAAATGTCCAATCCATAGGTCTCGGGTGCCATCTGCTGGTAGATCAGATCAGATGGTGTAATTTAATGTTGCAAGGATTATATTATATGGTATTTTTTTAAATTTACTATTATGAGCCAGGAGCGGTGGCTCGTGTCTGTAATCCCAGCACTTTGGGAGGCTGAGGCCATTGTCATGGCCAGGCTTGGTGTCTCACACCTGTAATCCCAGCATTTTGGGAGGCTGAGGCGGGCAGATCACTTCAGGTCAGGATTTTGAGACCAGCCTGGCCAACATGGTGAAACCCCGTCTCTACTCAAAATACAAAAAAAATTGCTGGGCGTGGTGGCATTCGCCTGTAATCCCAGGTATTCAGGAGACTGAGGCAGGACAATCACTTGAACCCGGGAGGCGAAGGTTGCAGTGAGCTGAGATCGCACCACTGCACTCCAGCCTGGGCAACAGAGCAAGAAAAGAAAATTTACTATAATGTGAATACTAGTTGAGTATAAATATTTGTGTTGTAATTTATGTATATGAAAGATATAAAACTTTTAAAGAATGCAATGTGATATTTTAAGAATGGTTAATGGCCAGGCGTGGTGGCTCACGCCTGTAATCCCAGCACTTTGGGAGGCCGAGGCAGGCAGATCACGAGGTCAGGAATTTGAGAGCAGCCTGGCCAATGTGGTAAAAACCCGTCCCTACTAAAAATACAAAAAATTAGCCTGGTGTGGTGACGGGCCCCTGTAATCCCAGATAGTCAGGAGGCTGAGGCAAGAGAATCTCTTGAACCCAGGAGCAAATGCTGTTGACCACGTGATGCATGGAAACGTTTGTCATGGGTATAGCCACTGAATTGCTAACTTAGGGACGTCAACATTAGCTCACTACCAATAATATAAATACATTGGATTATGGAAAAAATTGCCTTTGTGATACCATATCCATGTGTGACATGAGAGTCCAGCAATTGGCCCGGTGTGGTGGCTCACGTCTGTAATCCCAGCACTTTGGGAGACTGAGGCGCATGGATCACTTCAGGTCAGGAGTTCGAGACCAGTCTGGGCAACACGGTGAAACTCTGTATCTATTAAAAACACAAAAATTCCCACCTATGAGTGAGAACATGCGGTGTTTGTTTTTTTGTCCTTGTGATAGGATGGGAATTGAACAATGAGAACACATGGACACAGGAAGAGGAACATCACACACTGGGGCCTGTTGTGTGGGGAGTGGGGAGGGATAGCATTTGGAGATATACCTAATGTTAAATGACAAGTTACTGGGTGCAGCACACCAACATGGCACATGTATACATGTGTAACTAACCTGCACATTGTGCACATGTACCCTAAAACTTAAAGTATAATAAAAACAAATACAAAAATTAACTGGGCGTGGTGGCAAGTATCATCCCAACTACTGGGGAGGCCGAGGGAGGAGAATTGCTTGAACCCAGGAGGTGGAGGTTACAGTGATCAAAGATCATGCCACTGCACTCCAGCCTGGGCAACAGAGCGAGATGCCATATCAAAAAAAAAAAAAAAAAAAAAAAGAGAGAGAGAGAAAAGAAAACAAAACAAAAGAAAGTCCAGCATGGTAAAAGGTACATAGAGGTACATTTGGGTGAGCTTCCTTTGTTTTTCATTCTTTTTCCCTTCTCTGGACAGAATTCTCAATGCAAAACATTCCAAAAACACAGAGCAAGTGTCTTCTATAACCTTCCCTTTTTTTGAGACTTCTCTTCACAGTGTATGTGCTAGTGTCTTCCAGACTTTTGTGTGACATGCTATACAGAACATCAGATCAAACGGGCACATCCCTAATAAGTGGTGACTTGCCAGATCTGGACTCACTTTGCAGGGTGCTGGGACCTCTCTGAGAATCAAGCAGTAGCTCCAGGAGCCAGGGCTTTGGGTCTCTTCTGTGCATCTTCAGGAGTTTTATTGACTTTTCTCACCACAACCCCCTTCTCAATTACCAACTTCCAATCCAAAAATGACATCCAACTGGATCCTGAACTTCCACCCAGTTAACGGTGATTGAGTTTTCAACTTTCTTCTTATTAAGTGATTAAATTAGATATGGATTTATGAAAGTGAAAGAATTAATAATAGGGTGAAGGACTAAAACTCATTTATTCACTTATTCCATAAATATTGGTAAAGTTTTACCAATATGTGACCTTCATAGTGATACAGGGAAGGTTTTAATCTGTTTCAGACATTAGAAATACATATATTTATATATGGTATCTTTATTGGAGAACCTTTGGCCACATCAAAAGTATCAAAACTTTTCAGAGTTAAAACAGCTTTAAGAAGACAGTGATGTCATCCCTAAAAACACAATAAAAATCTCAGTGTATCCACTGGTCACCTGGGTTTTGCGCTACCTAACATGGTAGATCATATGCCCATTCAGGTGGAAGACAGGAACTACTGAGGGTGTAATTTATCTCAAGGTTAAGGTCAAGGCATCACTGAAAGAAATCAGGCCTAAATTACAAAGTGAGGTGGAGGTTGGGCTGGACAGTACTGACTGTTCTAATGGGACCCTAGGAGGGAACCAAGACAACATAAAACATGGCAGGTATTTTGTGGGCATCTAGACAAAAGGATTGAAAGACTTCCTTCTACATTGAGTTTAAAAATTAAAAAAACCTAATTACAAAAGAGATAATGCAGACTCGTAAAACATCACAGTGTCTTTGAGGGCAGAGAGGGCAGACACAATCTTGACTCCTACTGGAAGGTGAAGCATCATTACTCACAAACAGGATGGGCTTCCCTCAGAATACCAGCTTGGGAAGAGTGAATCTGAGTGTGTGAGCTGGGGCAGAGCCCAGAGAGGAGCAGTGTGGTCAGACATAAGGAGGGAGACTTTTCAATCTGGAAGCATGAATGGTGCAAGCTGTGTATCTGAAGAATTTGGGAGAAAAATGAACCTCTTGGGGGAATCCTGCACCATCCTCAGGACCCCAGTGAGAATCCTGCAGTTTCGGGGGTCTTTCTACCATGTTCTGGTTGCCTGTGCTTCTGAAGGTGCTCCTCTGCTGTCCAGGTCAGAGTAGCTTTCAGAGCCCATCTGAAGGGACGGCCTGACTTCAATTCCACTCACAGAATTTCTACTGGGATTCCAAAGCTTCTCCAGGCTTTTGATGGGGGTCTCTAAAATATTTCTGAATTTCTGTTTTCCTCCCCCAGCCTGAGCTGTGAGAGAAGCTGAATCCTCTGCTTCCTGGAAATGTCAGCCGATCTCTCCTGCACCGAGGACTATGGCCACAAACAATGCTAAGAGACACTCTCCCTGGAATCAGCAGTGACTCATACATTCTCCCCAAATTCTACTGAGCTTTTTGGGTGCACATAGCAAGGCACAAAGCAGGGAGCTCCTCAGCTGCTCTTCCGGACCTAAAGAGGCACCCAGGACCAATGGAGGGGAAGTTTGTCTGCCTTCCACAGGAAGAGCTGACTCCTCTGGTTTTCCTAGAAGTGCCAGGCTGTTGGCAGAGCCTGGGACAGGTCCCAGTGCAGGGGGCCATCCCTTCTAGGATCCCCTTGCCCAGTCTTAGAGCTGACGAGGCTGCACCTGGAATGCAGTGAGTCTGTTTCTGAGTCAGGGCTTTCTTTGCCCATGGTGTTTGCCCTCTCCATGTTTCTAACAGTAGAAATCACTGTTCAGGCCCTGCTGGACTTCTTTAGTCCTCAACAGGATCTCATTCCAGGTCGCATTTGTGACCGTCTTTTCCAAGATCAGGGGCTGCCCCTCCTTTTTTCCCCAATAAAGATCTGAGGAGAAGCTCACTCTGAAAGCAGAGTAGATGCCTAAGAAGGTGCTTGTGGCAGCCTGGGGTGGGGGAGGTCTGGGAACTCGCTGCAGGCTGGATGGAGCCAGGAGGACTAAGGAAAAGAACAGGGCCCAGAAAGGGAGTGGCCCAGAGGAGCTGATGTGGGCCAGAGTAAGTACAGAGGAGAGAGATGGCAGCAGGGTAGGGGGCCGGGTTATTTGGCTTTCACAGAGCCGCGTCCCTGATAAGCTGTGGACTTGTGTCTGAGATCCTCAAAGGACCTGTGCCTGGATGTGGAGCTGTGAGTTTCTAAGGCCCTTTGATTTCACCCTGGTCTACATGAGGTTCCAGTGGCTGCCCCATCTCACCCCAGGGGCAAAGAGTCAGTCTAGCAGGGAGACATGGGGAGAGAGAGTCAATGGCAAACATCCACCCTGGATGCAAAGACAAGGGACATGTCAGAGGGAGGGAGACTTGGTGTGAGGCCAGGGGAAGGGAGGCACGTTGGATATGGTGCAGTTCTGTCTCTGCACTTGCCACAGCCTCATAGGACTGTGAGGATTGAACTTTGCAGGAGGGAATGAGGTAGAATGGGGTCTGGACTGGAGTCCCTGTCATCCAAGTGACCCCCATATCTACTCCTGCCAACCAGGTGAAGGTCTTGCTAGATGTAAGTCAAACCAGGACCTATCAGACTGCCTGGCACTTTCTGATGGATCTAGAAGGAGCACAGTGATCCTCAGTCAAAAAAAATCTTGCATTGTCCAGGGCTGAGGATTTTCAGGTGGCCCTGGAGGGGGAGACTCTGGGGAAAAACCACAGAGAAGATTTTGGCACATTTGACACTATTAACATCCAGTGCCTCCCCTTCCTATTGGTCGGGTGTGGTGGCAGGAGAATTGCTTGAACCCGGGAAGCAGAGGTTGCAGTGAGCTGAGATCACGCCATTGCACTCCAGCCTGGGTGGGCAACAAGAGTGAAACTCTGTCTCAAAAACAAACAAACAAACAAAACAAACAGACAAAAAAATGTGAAACAAAAAAAAAAAACCTTTGAATGAGTGCCTGCAATGTGCCACCTACTATTCTGGGTGCTACTTAGGATAAACAAGAAGCAAGGCAGCTGCAAAGTGAGCTCAACAGAATACACCTGGCTTGGCAGTGCAGTGCAGATCAGAAAAAAAATGCCTGTGCAGCATAAAATGTGAAGAGACATCTTCTTTGCTTTTCTTTTCTTTCTTCTTCTTTTGAAAGACAGAGCCTTACTCTGTTTCTAAGGCTGGCGTGCAGTGGTGCAATCTCGGCTCAGTGCAGCCTCGGCCTCTCAGGCTGAAATGATCCTCCCATGTCAGTCTGCCAGTTAGCTGGAAACACAGGTGTGTTGCATGGAATATCTTTTTCTACCCCTTCACTTTCAGACTACATGTGTCCTTATAGGTGAAGTGAGTTTCTGGAAAACAGCATATAGTATGGTCTTATTCTTTTACTCATTCAACGACCCTAAGACTTTCACTTGCAGAACTGAGATATATTGTCTTCATTGTTGTTATTGATAAAGGCTTAGTACTCCCATTTAATTTCTTGTTTTCTGGTTGGTTAGAGACTTCTCTCTTCCATCCTTCCTTTCTTATTGTCTTTCTTTGTGTTTAAGTAATTTTCCCTTATGAAATCCTTGGGATGTGACTTTTCTGGCCAGAAGCCTCTATGGCTGGGGGCACCTTTGCCGGAGTTTTGATGGGGTTCACTGGGTTTGTTCTGCCCACTCAGACTGGTAGACTATGCTTGGCTCATGCTTCAGGCCTGGATCACATGCCTATTAAGGGAGGGTCAGGACTGGAGCAGTGAGGGGTGTGTGAGTGAGCAGGGGGTCTGGTCACTTTGGACAGTCACTGGCTCCCGCAGCAGTGGGGCAGGCAGCTCCAGGTGCCAGCACAGGTGCCAGATTTTTGCAAGGCTGCAAATGAACCAGGCACAGCAAAAGCAGCTTCCATGTTTGTCCCTGGAGTACACAGTGGTGTCTGCTGCTCTTTCCAGGAAAGTCATCTCATCATCTCCACAGCTCTCAGTAGAGAAAAGGCCCCAGAGTGGATTGCTTGTCTGCAGGAAAATCATCCCAAGAGTGGGTAGTTTCACTCTGCCACTGTTCATCCTGATGTTTTCCCTGAGTCTGGGGCTGTTGGGGCATCATGGGGAAGGAAGTATGTGCTGCTTGGGTCATAGGTAGCCATTGGCAGGCACAGAAAAGGCACCACATATTCCCACTCTGGTCCATAGCACTGGTGGACCAGCCCACGGGCTTCAGGCCCCCCTTGGTCACAAGGTAGAGCCTCACCAGGTACCCTCGTCTTCCCATCCAGGAGTCTGTCTGCCTCCCACCACCACCCATGGCGCCCAGGTCACTTGCATCAAGGAGCATCCAAAGGCCAGCACTGATCTGTCCTCAGCCCCCTCTCAGCCTCCCTCCCATGCTCATCAGGGCCCAAAGCCCAGAGTGTTCAAGACAGCAGGCAGACGGTGCATCAGCACGAACCTGAGCATGCACACGCTCATCTGGGCTGCCACAGCATACATGCTTGACCCCAACTCCGCTCCAAAATTACAGCAGGTGCCAGGAGGGACCACACAGTGGGAGCAGACACCCCCATGCTGCAGGAGAAGGGGAGACCTCCTGAGCCCTCAAGAGCACTGGGGGACCTTGGTTGGAACTGCGACCTGGGCAGCTTCAGTTGTGCCTTTGGAGCTACTGTCCTGCCAACTCGGGAGGGCCAGGACTCCCTCTTGTCCCAGGATCCCATCAGGTTCAAAGTGTATGTAGCCTCAGTTATGCCCTCTCTCTGTGTTTCTCCACAGAGGTGACAGGTGAGATGCAGGTTCACAGCAGCTCTGGCCAACCCTGCAAAAACAAACCCAATGCTTCTGGGTCTGGTTGAATGAGCCCCAACTGCACTCTAGTTAAGAATATTGCAGGCTAACAGCAGGCCGTGAGGAGTGAGTTTGAGGCTTTGTAGAGGCTCCAGACCCGGGAGCGGGTCTCATTAAGCCATGAGAGGGTGTGGGTGGCACAGCTGTCTGCCTCAGGAACACGGGGCAGAGGCCTGGCTCACAACCCTGCCAAGGTGGGGTGCCTCCAGGAGTGGACCGTGGTCCCCAGACCCAGCAATTAGGAACGTCAGTCTCTGTGGTCACCCCTGTGGGGGGCAGATCTTGGAAATGCAGCCCCAGGAGGATTAGCACAGAACCTCCCTTCGACACCCAGGAACTTGGCACTGTTAGCAGGGTGGGCACAGTGGCCCCATAGCTGGCCAGGTCATTGAACTAGGTGCCATTTCTGCTTCCCAACAAAGGCCCCTGTAGCTTGATCCCAGCTCTGCCTACCACCTCAAGCCCATCTTCTCCTCGGGGCCCCTCTCTGCCCGTCCCTTTGTGCCTGACTGAGCTGCTCCTTGCAGGCGAAAATGTAAGGAAAAAACAGATGACTGAAGAGAAGTAAAGAATGGGTGGAGATCATTGGCACACCCGTAATCCCAGCACATTGGGAGGCCAAGGTCAGCAGATCACTGAAGCCAGGAGCTCAAGACCAGCCTGGTCAACATGGAAAAACCGCGTCTCTACTAAAAATACAAAAACTAGCAGGCTTGGTGGCACTTGCATGCAATTCCACCTACTAGAGTGGCTGAGGCATGAGAATCACTTGAGCCCCGAAGGGTAGGATTGCAGTGAGCCCAGACGGGACCACTGCACTGCAGCCTGGGTGACAAAGCAAGATGTTGTCTTTTTTTTTTTTTTTTTTTTTTTTTTTTTAAAAAAAAGCAAAGAAAAAGAATGGGTGGGAATTAGATGTTTTGCAGCTGAATCTCAATCACAGACAACAGAGTACTTTGATACTTTTCCATCAGTAACTCAATAACTAGAGATTTCTGATGTATAAATCGCTAAAACAAGTCAATCAAATACAGAGGACACCAGAAAGTTTTCATTGAGGTTATTTCTGATATTTCTTGGTAACCGTCCCTGCAGGGATAACATTCTCATCACTGTAGAACTTTAGCTTCTCTTTCTGACTCTGTAGGACATGGGTCCCGTAAGGTCTCATTGACTCCACCTCCACATTTTCCTCCAGTCTTGCCCCCTGCTGTTATCTTTTTTCCCTCATACTGAGCACCTGCCTGAAGCAAAGAATTCTGTGCTTCCTGTAAGTTGCATGTGGCCTGGTCACAATCACTCATGCCAGTAATCCTGGCACTTTAGGAGGCCAAGGCAGGAGAATCCCATGTGCCCAGCAGTTTCAGACCAGCTGGGGCAACACAGCGAAACCCTGTCTCAAATGTTCTTTAATAAAATTTTAGAATTATTAAAAAAGGAAATAAGAAAAAACAAACATAACTTGCACTTACATACTAGATTTTAGTGTCCAAGTGCCTGGAAGAGAACTTTGGATTTATCAACCCCACTAGGCACGCCTTCCCTAGCAGCAAAGATGGAGCTCCAGTTCCTCAGACGGTGATGAGCCACAGGAAGGGCAGGGAGTGGGACCAGTGAAGATCCTCTTGGGCTGCCTGACTTCCCTCAGTGTACACATCAGCTCAGCCCGAAGTGGGGCGAAGATCTCCCAATCGACACGAACCAAGGAATTCAAACTCTCCTCAGGGGCAGGATACGTCTCCAGGCTTAACTTGCTCAGCCCACTGGTGTGGCGCAGCAGGTCCTTCAGGGTGTCCGTAGACATGCAATTTCTGCCAAAGTAGAAGGTGGTGAGCTGGGAGCAGCGGCTCAGGCCAGGCAGGATGGCGCTGAGTTGGCAGTAGTGGATCTGACAGCCCTCGAAGATGAGGGTCTTGAGAGTGGCAGCAATTTTCTCTAGCAGAGCTCCGAGGGGTTCAAGACTGATGCGGAACAGCAGCACGTAGCTGAGATTCAGATGCTTTAGGTAGCTGAGGCTTGGGTACTGAGACAGACACTTCATGTCCTCTTCCAATAGGTAGCCACAAGTTAACTCCAAGTTCTCCAAGGGGTTCTGGAGGCACCTGTGGAGATCAAGAAGTTAGTTCTGGGCAGTGATACCAGTTAGATGAAGGTGGTGGGGAATAACTGAAAGGGAAATGTCTGCTTCACCCAAACACAAGTTTATTCCCATCATGTGATGATGGTCCACATGCAAGTTGCTCTGTGATGAGGACTCTGATCATTCAGGGGCAGTCCTAGTTTAGCCTCAATCCTTTCACCATTGCTTGTGTGATTGGTTCAAGGCCACAAAATCACATCACTAAAGCCTCTTTTCTTCATCTTTTAGCAGAAAACTTCATCTCTGGGCCACAGGTACCCGGTGGGAGATGTGCATGAAGAACTCAACTGAGCAAGGTCTAGGGTCATCAGCTAGGGCTACCTACTGGCAGGGGCTCCCTGACGTGCCTGCATCTGCAAACCACCTATCACTTTTTACCACTCTCACGCCTACTCCCTCAGCCTCCATTCAAGAAGCACACATTTCCCATGTCAGTTACCTTTCCTGGGGTTCAAAACAACCTTTTACAGACAGGGAATAGAGACAGGATCATTTGTGATCACTAAGCTGGTGAGGACAGAGTTTCTACTGTGAAATGCACAGGTTTGATGCGCTGTCCCTCCTTTCATACCCTCCTCTATTACCTCTTTCCTATCATATCAACTTGAAACACACTTTGTAACAAGAAATTCACATATGCACCCCCCAGTAGAGCTGAAACCCCCACTACCTGGCTTGTACATGATGTAGCTCTCTAGCCTCTACCCCAGGTGACCCCGCTGCCCTCATTGCAGAGATCCTGTGATAGCCACTCCGGAACATGGAGCACTGAATGGGACAATGTGTTGATATTCTGGTGTCCCCTTCACTGTGATGTCACCACTGGCTGACACAAAAGTTATGCCTTCTAGCGTTTGCTGTAACAAAAAAAGGCTGTGCTGTGGTCTTCAGAGAAAGTGCACGATCCTTTCTCACCTGATCAGCTGTTCCAGGTGCCCACTGAAGAAGGTGATCAATTTTACTTTAAGCAATTGGAGGTGTTCCAGCCTGAGGAACACAGGCTGAATTTGGTGAGTAACCATTCCTCGAGGTCATTGTCCGAAGAGTAATGATGGCACCTGGAGAAAACGAGTTTGCGAAGATTCTTCATCTCCTTCAGGTAACAATGAAGCTTTCTTATCAGATGCAGCCAGGACATGTTGTGAATTTCCAACTCCTGAATACTATTCAGGTGGACTATTTTCAATGACTTTCTAAGATATTTAATGGGTGTTAGATAATTCACCAACTTACTACAGCACAGGTGTACTAAAACTCTCCTTTGGTAAACCCACTGGAAGAGGTATCTCAGGCATTCATCTTGGGGTGTTTCCTTGAGGCAGACGTCTATGAACACCTTTAAGGGCTGGTGCTCTCCCATCCTTGGATAGTCCTCTGCTGTCTGCCTCTTACTCATGGCCTCTGGGGAGGAGGACAGGGCCTAGCCTCCAGGCCATCCAGCCCAGACATTCTCATCAACATCCAGCAAGTCCAGCACTTGAAGTTTCCACCTCCTATAGGTAAAGTAAGGGAGAAGCTCAGAATTTAGAAGGACCCATCCCTGACTTTTGCTTTCATTCTCATTGCTCCCTGTTCTCTCTCTGACTTTTCTCAGTCCGTTTTCTCTTTTGATTCATACTGCTCCCCACTTCTAGTCCCTTTACCTTCCACTGGGAAAAAGCAGGTTTCTGTTCCCACAGTGGACCCTGTATGGTGAGCAGTCCTTTCTCTGAGGATCTGGACAATGGCCAAAGCCTCCTTGAGCTTCCTCACCAGCACCATCAGAAGACTCTGGGCTACCCTGAGTCAGGCTGGAAAACAAGCCGCTTTATTGTATGTATGTATGTATTTATTTATTTATTTATTTATTTATGGATTTTGAGACCGAGTTTTGCTCTTGTTGCCCCGGTTGCAGTGCAATGGTGTGATCTCAGCTCACCGCAACCTCCGTCTCCTGCGTTCAAGCGATTCTCCTGCTTCAGCCTCCCGAGTAGCTGGGATTACAGACATATACCACCATGCCCAGGTAATTTTGTATTTTTAGTGGAGATGGTGTTTCTCCAAGTTGGTCAGGCTGGTCTCCAACTTCTGACCTCAAGTGATCTGCCCACCTTGGCCTCCCAAAGTGCTGGGATTACAGGCGTGAACCACTGCACTCAGCCTTAAGCCACTTTATATAGGGTTAAATAAACCCCCTCTGAGGGGACTTTGTGATTTGTAGAAGGTGACTCCCCAGGCCCTTTAGTTAGGAATTGCGGACCTTCATGTCCCAACTTCTCCTTTGGATGCAGAGAACCTAATTATAATGCATTTAAATGTAAAGCCTCAACCACCAGGTGAACCTGGGATGTATGTGACATGTATATTTGCTTACCATACATGCATGCATCCCCCACCCTGTGAATTTTCATAGCTGCTCCAATGACCTGCTGAATATGCACACTTGGTGGCCAACAGGTTCAGCATAGATTCCTGGGTCACTTTCCCTCCCTCCAAGCGCTTGCCTCAGGTCCTGCCTGGAGGCCCATTTCCCAGCGAGCAGGTTGTAAACCTTTAGAAGAAATTACGCTCCTTTTTTCTAAATCTATAGACCCCATAATTTTTAGTGGACCTCACTGGTGTTAGAAGTGGGATTCAAAGGGGACCTCCGATCTCTTCCTGATGCCTCCAGAACCAATGCATCCTGCACTGGCAAGAGTCCCGTGAGCTCTTCTCGATTGCGCCATGGGAAGGCCTCGGGTAAGTCTTCCTGAATTCAGATGTCCAGCTCTTAGGTGGAAGATCTCAGAGACTTTAATTCTTCCCAGCTGGTTCTCTCCAAACAGTTTCTGGAGGGGACCTTCTCCATCAGTTCCAGGTTTTGGGACCCATGGTGCCTTCCCTTCCCTGTTCCCTCTCAGTCCCTGTCCTGGCTCCCTAATTGGGATCTTGGAGGGAATCTCTTTGTTGGTCCTGGGTTTGAGGAGACTCTTCCAGTTCCCTCCATCTGGACTGGATAGAAGATTCCTCTGAGGACCCCTGCCTAGCAGGGAGACATTCAGGTCAGACTTCTTGGGTCCATCAGGTTTGGTGAAGATGCTCGCCCTCTAGTGGTGCTTACAGGGACGCCTGTGGTAGGTAAGTGCAGTTATGAGGGCCCTTAGTTCCAAAGGGACAGACTCAGACCAGTGGCCATCAGGAACTCCGGTGACTCTTTGTTTAAAGACTGTGTCCTGTATTACATGGGGGGAAATCTATAAAAAACAGATGAAGTTCATCCATGTGATGACGGCACTGCCGTGACACACAGGTAGTGACCCCGGCAAAAGGAGGGTGACTTCATCCATATTCAACGTGTTTATATTATTGGTGGCAGCTCATGTTGACTGC
The DNA here is from genome assembly GCF_000001405.40 of Homo sapiens. NCBI lineage: Eukaryota > Metazoa > Chordata > Mammalia > Primates > Hominidae > Homo > Homo sapiens. Next base: position 13,277,481 of record NC_000001.11, read on the forward strand.
CCGACATTTGCATTGTAGTGGCTATAAAGTGATTTCTGAGCACTATGTGATCAATAAGCATTTACAGCCACCTGCCAGGTTCCATGCTCTGCTGTGGGACCACAGGGTGACAGAGACACAGTCCCTGCCCTTGAAGAAGCAGTCTCTGTCTACATGAGATTGTCAAGGAAAAAATCATTATCAAACACAACCTAGGCACATGGTCCAGCAGCCACGCTCCTTGGCATTTACCCAAATGAGAAAACCTAAAACCTGGATGTTTTTAACCACTACATTCATAATAGACAAAACTTAATAGGGACCAATATATTCTTCAGCAGATAAATGGATGAATAAACTGTAGCACATCCTGACAGTGTAAATTATTAAGCCCTAAAAGACATAAAAAAAACTTAAATGCACATAACCAAGTGAAAGAAGCCAACATGAAAAGGCCACATGACATTCTGGAAAAGGCAAATCTATGGACACAGTAGAAAGCCCAGGGGTTGCAAGGAGTCAGGGTAGAGTGGGATGGATAGAAAGAGAACAGGTGATTTTTTTAGGGCACTGAAGCTACTCTGCATGATGCTATAAGGGTGAATACATGTCATCCTCAATTCATCAGAACTCATAGAATATACAGCACCAGATGTGAACCCTTAATGTTAATTATGAACTTTGGGTGATAAGGATGGTTCGTGTGGTTCATGCATTGGAGCAAATGGACCACGCTGGGGCAGGACGTTGATCCTTTAGGAGTCCGCGCTAGAGTGGGGTCATGAAGTATGTGGGAATGATCCACTTTCTGCTCAACTTCACTGCAACCTTATAACTGCTCTAAGAAAATAAATCATATATCCCTAAAAATATTGCACTTCCTTCCAGCTCCAAAATTGTATAAACTTAAATATTTTTAAATAAGAGCAATTCTTATTCATTGATCTTCAAAATCAGTTTTGAAGGTGTCATTTTATTTGAGACTCAACACCACATTAAGCATTTTCTAAATATACTTCAAGTTCTGGGACACATGTGCAGAACGTGCAGGTTTGTTACATAGGGATACATATGCCATGGTGGTTTGCTGCACATATCAAGCCATCATCTACACTAGGTATTTATCCTAATGCTAACCCTCCCCCACCATCCCTACCCCCCAACAGGCCCCAGTGTGTGATGTTCCCTGTATCCATGTGTTCGCATTGTTCAACTCCCACTTATGACTGAAAACATGTGGTATTTGCTTTTCTGTTCCTGTGTTAGTTTGCTGAGAATGATGATTTCCAGCTTCATCCATGTCCCTGAAAATGACCTGAACTCATCATTTTTTATGGCTGCATAGTATTGAATGGTGTATATGTGCCATATTTTCTTTATCTAGTCTATCACTGAAGAGCTTTTGGTTTGTTTCCAAGTCTTTGCTATTAAGAACAGTGCCACACTAAACATACGTGTGCATTTGTCTTTATAGTAGAATGATTTATAATCCTTTGGGTATATACCCAGTAATGGGATTGCTGGGTCAAATGATATTTCCAGTTCTAGATCCTTGAGGAATCACCACACTGTCTTCCACAATGCTAGAACTAATTTACACTCCCACCAACACTGTCAAAGCATGCCTAATTTCTCCACATTCTCTCCAGCATCTGTTGTTTCCTGAAAAATATGGAACTTGTCACGAATTTGCACATCATCCTTGCGCAGGGGCCATGCTAATCTTCTCTGTGTCATTCCAACTTTAGTATACGTGCTGCCCAGGCCAACACAAACATTTTCTTTTTTTTTGAGACGGATCTCACTCTGTCCCCCAGGCTGGGGTGCAGTGGCACGCTCTCGGCTCACTGCAAGCTCTGCCTCCTGGGTTCATGCCATTCTGCTACCCCAGCTTTCTGAGTAGCTGGGACTACAGGTGCCTGTCACCATGCCCGGCTAATTTGTTGTATTTTTAGTAGAGACGGGGTTTCATCATGTTAGCCAGGATGGTCTCCATCTCCTGACCTCGTGATCCACCCATCTCGGCCTCCCAAAGTGCTGGGATTACAGTCGTGAGCCACTGTGCCCAGCCTACAAACCTTTTTAAAATATTGCACTACATACTTTAAAATACTAAATTCCCATTATAATTTAAAATTTCAATATACATATATTCAATATGTATAAAATTATATATATTCAATATGTATAAAATTATGTACGTAAATTTATGTAAAAATATGTATTCAATATGTATAAAATTATATATGAATCACAATATTTATTCTCTATAAACACTTACATAACAGCAGATTTTTGGAGATACCACTCAATATCATCCTGTTTGCATCAATAAATTACACCAGATGGTCTGACCAACCAGCAGATGGCACATGAGTCTCATGGGTTGGAAATTTTTATCTCATGATCACTAGAGATGAACTCAGTCCTGCCCCACCCATCCCAACCTCTGCTGGCTGCTGAGGCTCTGCTGTTTGGGGGAATCACGATTAAGTGGTGGTGGTGTGTAGAAGTTGAGTCCCATTGCCTGCCGTGGGTTTCTGCTGCCTCCCTATTATCAGGAATAGAAGGTGAGATTGAAGGGTGAAGAATGCTGGGACTTCTATTAGGAGGGGGAAAAAAAAAAAGAACAAGATGCATGTATTGAGCTCTTACTGTATGCCACGCCCCATTCCAAGTCCTGACCATACACCATCTCATTGGGTCCTACGATAGTCTCATAGGGTGGTGGCATCATCATCTTCATTTTACAGGGAAGCTGAGCCTCTTGGCTGTTTCGTGCCCAATAGCACCAGCCCCTGAGTCCTCGGCAGGGTTCTACACTTAGGTGCCCTTTGTGTAGGGTCCTTCAGCACAGGTGTGGTCATTAATTACCCACAGGCACTTGATCATTATCCACCCTCTAAGGATGTGTGATTCCTACTACCATGCACTAGTCTTCCTTCACAGGGAGAAAAAGGAGGAGTTAAGAAAAGGTCTTTCATTGATGTTACAGGTATTATATGCCTACATAATGTCAGCATTTTGCTGAAAGGGAATTTGGATGTCTTTATTGGCCACAACTACTTTAATTCAGCAAGGGCCGCTACCCACCATGACAGGCATGGGTTAGTGATGCCCTGAGGCTCCTGCTCATACAGTGTGGAGCTCCCCTTCCAGGGCAGGGCCACGCCTTGGGCAGTGAAGTCCTTTCCCAGCACAGGTAACGGTCAGGAACTGAGAGCTCTGAATCCACCCATTGAGAGTGAACAGGGTCTCGGCATCAGGACAGAATGAGGGCACCTGAAGGGGCTTAACTTAAGTGGCTGACACTCACTTTGCACTTAGAATGCTTCAGGCCCTGTGTGCGTCTCTCATGTGCCACTAAATAGGCACAGAGAATAGCAAGAAGGTAACAGGAGGGGGATTGATCTAAATGATCAAATTCCATTTTGATGGTTTGATTTCCAGGAGCTGAACCTCATCAGTCACAGACAAATCAGTGCCTTATTAGCTCGATCAGTAACTGGACTTTTTTAGGTTTAAATTGTTTAATTGTTAAGCCATGTTAAGCAATTACGGAGGACACCAGATAGTTTCCACTCAGTTTCCCTTTATTTCTGACTGTTACTTTACAACCATCTGTGCAGGGGTAACCCTCTCATGTGTCTCTCCTCCCTGATTCTCACTCTAGCAATTCAGATTCCCATTTCTGATTCTCTGGGACACAGGTCTCTAAAGAGCCCATCCACTCCAAGTCAACTTTTCCCCCAGTCCTGCCCCTCCTGCATCCTCATTCCTTTCCCATTCACACTGAGGAGGCATTTGAAACGATGGGTCTGTGCTCCCTTTAACATGCACTCATGGCCTAGGTTTCAGCTCCGAAATGACCAGAAGAAAGCTTGAAATATATCCACCCTGATGGCAGGCATTCAACAGAGGCAGTGACTGGGCTCCAGGTCATAGGAGGCCCTGATGCCACAGCGAGGGCAGGGGACGGTGCAGAACACAATGATCTTGGGCTGCCTTAAGTCCCTCAGTGTGTTCATCAGCTCAGCCCCAAGTTCAGCAAATCTCCCCCAGCAGAGAGCTCCCTGGGTGTCATAACTCTCCAGAGGGGCAGGATACAGCTCCAGGCTTAGCTTGCTCAGCCCGACGGTGTGGCGCAGCAGGTTCTCAAGGGCAGCCATGGAGATGAGGTTCCCACAGAAGCTGAAGGTGCTGAGCTGGGAGCAGCGGCTCAGGACAGGCAGGATGGCGCTGAGTTGGGAATCCATGATCCCACAGTCCTCTAAGTCCAGGGTCTGCAGGGTGGCCACAACTTGCTCCAGCAGACCTGTGAGGGGCTCAGGGCTGAAATGGGTCAGCGTGACACCCCTCAGGTCCAGCTCCTTTAATTGACGGATGCTCGGGCACCAAGAGAGATGCTTCAAGTCCGACTCTGACAGCAGGCAGTCGGTCATAACGACCATCTCCAAGGAGGCCTGGAGACACCTGGGAGAGAACAAGAAGGAGTTAGAGGAGAGAGGTGGGGATGACTTCAGGGTGAGAGATGATGCTCTCCATAACCCAGGGCTGCTCTGCTCATCTGAGGATAGTCAGCACCTGGGGTGTGGGAATGGAGACTCTGTTCCTTCAGTGCAGTCCCAATCGAGGCTCAGTCCTTCACCATCACCGAGGTGATTGGATCAAGTCCATGAACTCTAAGTCTCCCTTTCCTCATCTGTCAGGTAGAAAACCACATCTCTGGGCCACAGGAGCCCGATGGAGACACAGGCATAAATGACAAACCCAGGCAGGATCCTGCAACATCAGCTGGGTTGGCCAGGTTGCAGGAGACCCTGACATGCCTGTACCATCAGCAAACCATCTATCACTTTTACCATTCTTTGCTCCTGCTCCCTCACCCTCTATTCTATCATCATGTATTTCCCATACATTAATTACCTGACCTGGAGCTCAAAACAGGGTGCTGACAGGGAAACATAGGATTTTGCCTGTTCACTAGGCAGGTGAGGATAGACCTCATATTTTAAAATATAGGAGTGGGATGGGCATTCTCTTTAGTGCCCTCTTCACCTCCCTATTTCCCATCATCTTAACTTAGACACACATCCTCAGGAGGAATTCACAAATGCACTCTCGCCAGATCTAAACCCTGCAGTAGCTAGCTTCCTAGCTTGGCACCTTCTCTATAGCATCTAGCCCAGGAGATCCCTCTGACTTTATTGGGATGGTTGTGTGATACCCGTATCAGGACAGAGCCACCAACAGGATAATGCATGGATATTCTAGTGTCCCCTCACTCTTACTTCCTCACAGGCTCACAGTGCATACCCACTGGTGTTTACTGTAACAAAGAAAGGCTCTGCTGTGGTCTGAAGAGAAAGCTCACCATCCTTCCTCACCTGAGCAGCTGGTCCAGGTGGCCTTCGAGGAAAGAGACGGAGTGCATAGACAGATTCTGGAAATAGTCCAGCTTGAGGAACTGAGAGGTGAATCGGGCAATGAACTGCCCCTTGTTGTCTGGGGGAATGCAGGCAGATGCACGGATGTTGAAGAGAACAAGTTTGCGGAGATTCCTCATCTGGCCCAGGTAAGGGGCAAACTTCACAAGAGTGGACAGCTCCCAGGGGCAGCACACTTCCACCTCCTGGATACAGTCAAGCTCCACCATGTTCAGGACCTCTATGATACTGTGGATGGGCATTCCAAAAACCTGCAGCTCCTTGCAACACACATGCAGTAAGCCTTTTCTCTGCTTGCCCCACTCTAAGAGGTGGGTGAGGCATTCATCTAGTGTCCTGTTCTTGAGACAAAGGTCTATGAACACCATGAATGGCTGCTGCCTGCCTGTCCCTGGACAGTTATCTGCTGTTTGCTTCTGACTCAGAGCCTCCGGGAAGGATGCAGTAGCTCCAGAAAATATGTCGCAGAAGTTCTCATCCACATTCCTCAAGTCCAGCACTTGAAGTTTTGACTGCCTGTGGGTAAAGGAGAAGAGAGGCTCCAAACTAAGGCAAGGACCTGAGCTTTTATTTACATCCCAGACATCAGCTGTTCTCCTCTCTGCCACTTTTCCCTCTCTGATTTTGTCCAACCCCTTTTCCCTCCGGATTTTGCCTCATCCCCATTGCCTGTAGCTTTCAGAGCCACTAGAAGAGAAGTTTCTGTTTCCTCAGTGGACCCTGCATGGTGAGCAGTCCTTTCCCAGAGGGGCTGGGCAATGGCCAAGGCCTTCCTGAGCTTCCTCACTGGCACCATCAGAAACCTCTGGGCCTCCATGGTGCCCCTCCTCCTCCTGAAACAGCTGTCCCTACCCTGGACAAAAGGGCCCTCCCCACCTGGACACCTGGGTCACCTCACCTGGGGCGAACCTCTTGGGTCAACAGCACATCAACCCCTTCCAGCACAGATTTTAATGACTCCAGATGAGGCGACTTCATCAGGGACCCTAGAGGGAGGCGGGTGAAAGGCCAGGCCTGCACCATTGTTTTCAGGGTTTCACAGCGTCTCCTGCTGAAGGCCTCCATGAACAGTGTGGGGAAGAGCTCCCTGGGCAGCTCCTCCATGGTGGAGATGGCCAAGGCCTGGTCCCTCAGCAGCCTCTGCCTTGCCAGCTCCAGGAGTCTGGGTGGGGCCCTGATGCTCATCTTGATGAATCTGCAAGGGAAAACTCTAGAGGACAAATCCAGAGAAAAGGCATCACTCTCAGGCCAAATATGATCACCTCATCTTCTCCTATTGCTAATCTCATTGCTCTGGTGGAGGTGGAAAAGCCCTCAATTCCCCCCAGTTCCATTCTGCACTTGGTGGCCACAAATCTGTATCTGTGCCCCTGTGACTACCACAAAGAATGTCTTTCAAACACCAAGGAGGGGACGAGGTGGCCAGTGGCCCATTAATTTCTATACATTGCTCCACTGAAACTCAGGATTACTGGGATCTGTCACTCAGGATCCTGAAAGCTAAGCTCCACCTTTTTGAGGGAAATTTTTTTGTTACTTACCACCCAAAAACAATGAGAATGACTGTCCTGTGGCCCCACACAGCCTGCATTCTCAGTTTACACAATTAGCATGCTTGGGGAAGACTGAAGTGACTCCTTAAAATCAATGCCACTTGTTTTTATTTTGAAAAATTATAAGAGAAACTATAAAAGCAGTGTGGCAGTATTCTAGAGCACTTGGAAGGTGCGGGTGGAAACACTAAGTCTCAGATGAAGGATCCAATACTCATCCCTTCTACATACTCACAATCACCCACTTAGGGACAGAGTCTAAGGGCAGAGATAAATCCCATGTTCAGAACAAGACTCGAGAAAATCACAATACAACTAAGTGTGTGAACTGTAGCTGAAGGGCACAGAAACAAATAACTTCACATGTCAAGACATAAAAATTCATCCAACTGTAAATTTTTAATATCTTTTTTAAAAAACTGCTTCAATAAGAATTTTGAAATGAGAAAAATGAAGCAGAAATCAAAATTTGAGGGATGAAGTGAATACTATATTTAGAGGAAAAATCAAAACCTACATCTGTTAAATTGAAAAAACAGACAGGAAATTCTCTGTGCCACTTTGGGCTGTGTGTCACCATCCCTGACTGGCTGGCTGCAGATCAGATGGGCATGTTCCTAAGGAGGTGGTGACTTACCAGATCTGGACTCAGTTTGTAGGGTGCTGGGATCTCTCAGAGAATCAAGCAGTAGTTCCAGGCACCAGGGCTTTGGGTCTCTCCTTTGCAAACTCAGGAGCTTTTATTGATGTTTCTAACCACACCCTCCCCTTCTCAATCACCAGCTTCCAATCAGAAAGTGATACCTGATTAGATTCCGAAGTTCCACCTAGTTAGTCCTGATTGAGTTTTACACTTTCTTCTGATTCATTGATTAAATTAGATGTGCATTTATGAAAGTGAAAGAATAAATAACAGGGTGAAAGTCCAAAACTCATTAATTCATTTATTCCCCAAACACTGATGAAGTTTGACTAATATGTGACCTTCATAGAGACATGGAAGGTTTAATCTGTTCCTGACATTAGAAAGAAAAAACAAAACCTGATGATATCTTTATGGGAAAATCTGTGGCCACATCGAAATTATCAAAACGTTTCGTTAAGACAGTTAAAACAGCTTTAAAAAGACAGTGATGTCCACCCTAAGAAAACGGATTAAAAAGCTCCTTTATCCAATGGTCACCTGGGTTTTATGTTTTATAACAGGGCAGGTCATATGTGGGTTCAGGTTGAAAAGGGGACCACGGAGGGTGTGATTGATCACAAGACTAAGGTCAAGGCTTCACTGAAGGAAATCAGGACAGAATGACAAAGTGAGGTGGCGGCTGGGCAGGATGGGACCGGGTGTTCTAGTAGAACCCTGGGAAGGAACCAAGACAGCATAAAACATGGTGGGTATTTTGTGGGCATCTCCACAGAAGGATTGAAAGACTCTGTCTAGATTGAGTTTAAAAATTAAAAAGGGAATAATTACAAAAGAGACAGTGCAGACTCTTCAAACACAACATTGTCTTTGAGGGCAGAGGAGGCAGATACAGTCTTGGCCTCTACTACAAGGGAAAGCGTGTTTACTCCCAAAAATGATGGGCTCGCCTCGGAAAATCAGCCTGGGAAGATGGAATCTGAGAATGTGAGCTGGGGCAGATGCCAGAGGAAGGAAGGAAGGAAGGGAGGGAGGAAGGAAGGAAGGGAGGGAGGGAGGGAGGGAGGGAGGGAGGGAGGGAGGGAAGGAGGGAGGGAGGGAGGGAAGGAAGGAAATGAAAGAAAGAAAGAAAGAAAGAAAGAAAGAAAGAAAGAAAGAAAGAAAGAAAGAAAGAAAGAAAGAAAGAGAGAGAGAAACTCAGCCTTCCTGTCTTTAAGAACGGTGCACACATCTGGTTGTATTGTGTGCAAATGTACAATACATTTCCCCAACAAAACCTGGAAGCTCTATTTCATGTTAAAAGATCTGCTAAGTTCAGGGATGGCTCCCATCCTAAGCAGGATCACACAGTCATTCTTCTGCTATTTTAGGGCACAAAGTAGCAAGAACGTCCCCCGCCTCCAGAAAGTCCTCCAGGCCTTTCTCTCCCATTCCATATGAAACCCAAACAGCCCGGAGATGCCACTGGCTTCCAAAACTGAAGTACTTTGAAGGATGTTCTCCATCATGGAATATTTCTGTAAATGTTCTTTCTCCACATTTCTGACCTCACTATCAATGCCCTGCTATGTGTGCAATCGAGTTAAACTGAAACGTGCTCAGTGCGGCTTCTACTTCACCTGCCCTCACTTTGTGAGCCTGAGGCTGAGGGTGAGCTCAGCACCAAAGGTGATCCTGAGTGTCTCTGTTGATTGAGCATGCACAAGGCACAGCAGGGACTGGTACCATTCATCCAAGATCTCAGCTCTCCCTCACGAGGAATCTAAGGCATGTTGCTATATTCCTCATTTTTAAAGTGGTGACCCTGAGACTTGGCTAGGGAGAGGAACCTGCCCGTGTTCAGGCAGCAAATGATGGACAGACCCCTCTGGTGAGGAGCTCAGAGGATCCCCTAAGGAGTTCAATAATCTAAATGTTGAAAAGAACTGATTGACAGACTTTCCCTTCCTGCCCAATTCAGAAGGTCCAGCACCACCCCCAGGACCCCAGTGAGAATCCCGCACTTGGGGGCATTTCTACCATGTCCTGTCACCTGTTCTTCTCAAGGTGCTCATCTGCTGTCAAACTCAGAGCATCCTTCAGAGCCCCTCTGAGAAGATGACCTGACCCCTTCTCCACTCACAGAATCTCCACCAGAATACCAAAGCTCCCCCAGGCACTTGCTCAGGGTCTCTAGAATATTTCTGAGCTTCTGTTTCCCTCCTGCAGACTGAGCTGTCAAGGCAGGTATCTCTTTATGCATCCTGGATACCTCAGCCCAAATCTCCTGAACAACAGAACATGGCCACAATGCTGGGAGACCTTCACCCCAGAGCAGTCATTGAGGAATTCTCCCAAAATTCTATTGAGCTATTTTGGTGAACATGAGAAGCCATAAAGCAGGGAGTTCCTCAGCTGCTGCTCTGGCCCTAAAGAGGCCCCTGGGACAGGACTGCTGGAGGGTGACCCTGCCTGGCACGCAGAAGGAGACCTGAGTCCTCTGGTCTTCCTATGGGTGCCAGGCTGAGAAGAGGTCCTGGGAAATGTCTCGGTGCAGGGGCCATCCCTTCCCAGGCTCCCCTGGGTCAGCCTTAGAGCTGACAAGGCTGCACCTGGAATGCAGTCAGTCTGTTTCTGTCCAAGTCAGGTCTCTTCTTAGCCTGAGCTGTTCACCCTCTGTGCATTTCTAAGAGTCAAAATCTCTGTTCTGGCCCTGTTGCCCTTCTCTGGTCCTCAACCGGGTCTGATTCCAGGTCAGATTCATGCACATCGTGTGCTAAAGTAGGGGCTTCCTCTCTTTCTTCCTCCAATCAAGTCTGAGGACAAGGTCACCCTGAAAGCAGACACTTGATGCTGAGGGAGGTGCTCAGAGCCTGGGGTGGGAGGAGGTCTGCACCCTCACTCCAGGCTGGACAGAGCCAGAGGGACTGAAAGTAGGAATGGGGCCAAGAAGGGGAGTGATCAGAGGAGCTGATGGGGCTGAAATAAAGGGGAAGGAGGGAGGTGGCAGCAGAGCAGGCAGCCAGGTTCTCTGGCTCTCATAGAGCTGTGTCTCTGAAAGGCAGGGACTTGTGTCTGAGACCGTGGGGCACTGGGGCTTGGACTTGGGTCTGTGAGTTCCCAAGACACTTTATGTGCCCTGGTCTGCATGAGGTTTTAGTGGCTGCCCCATCCTGCCCCAGGGGCACAGAGTCAGGAGAGTGGGGAGTCCCAGGAGAGGAAGAGCGGGTGGCGAGTGTCCATCCTGGATCCAAAGACAAGCAGCAGGTCAGAAGGAAGCAGCTGTGGCTTGAGGCCAAGGAAAGGATTCTCTTTGGAAATCGTGCAGCTCCATCTTTTCACTGGTCAGAGCCTTATGGGACGGTGAGGACTGGGCTTTTCAGGAGGGAATGAAAAAGAATGGGGTCTGGCTCAGAGTCCCTGACATCCAAGTTATTCCAAACCTCCTCTGACAAGCAAAGGGAAAATCATGGAGGATGGAAGTCAAACCAAGGCTCACATGGCTGCCCAGAGCTTTCCAGTGGATCCAGAGAGGGCACAATGATCCTCAGTCAGAAAAGTCCTCCAATGTCCAGCACTGAGGCCCAACAAGAGTGCCTGGAGGGGACTCTCTGTGACATGTCTGAAGAGAAGATTCTGGCACATGTGACTCCTCCCACACCCTCTGCCTCCCCCTGACTCCTCTCCCCTTGATTCATTCAAAGACCTTCACTGAGCACCAGGGATTGCTTCCTGCAATTCCGGGTGCTACCAGGGAAGATGAATAAAATGCAAGGAAGCTGGAAAATGAACTCAGCAGAGGACACCAGGCTCAGCACTGCAATCCCGGTCAGAAAAATAACTCTGCAGGCTGCGCGGTACAGAGCGATCATAATAACCCATGGGGATAATCACAGGTGTCCCAAATCCTTTAATCACTTTTTGTTGGAATATGAAGAGGTCTCTCACTGCTGAATATAAATATACAGGGAAGTGAAAAACATTAGTAAAACGAACATTTACTAAGTGCAATGTGACTCAAAGCACTGAGAAGCCAAGGGTTTTATTTCTTTGAAACAACTTGCCAAGGCAGTTTGAACAGTGATCATCTTCCTCCTGGGCTCAGCACCGCAGAGGCAGCTGGTGTCTTCTCCACCTGGGAGAGTTGTCCTGCTTTTTTTTAAGTTGGGATAGGCCAGTGAGTCGGGAAGTTTGTTCATCTTGGGCTTGGGGTACAGGAGGAGTTGGTGGGGTGCCTGTGGCCACTCCACTGCCCTCTGGGATTAGGAGGAGACAGTGGGGTCAGGACTCACCCCCTGGCCTGTGCTTCAGGTGATCCCTCTCTGTCCTGTGGATGTGGGGTTGGGAGCAGGTTTGGGGTCCTCGCCTATCCCCATTGGCTCTTCTTGGGAAGATGAATTTATGGGGCACCTGCAGGTGGCCACGTGTGGGAAGGAATCTCAGAACTTACATGGATCCATGCAAATGAGGCTTCCTTCAGGCAGACACAGGAACTCTGAGCCTCCCTGATGCTGCAGGCACCTGGGTTTGGGGACCCTCTTGGAGACAAATGCATGGAGCGTCCCAGCAAGTTTCCCTGTCTCCCAGCTCCTCCCTGGGCTTCTGCATCCGGGAGTCAGGGCCGGATCAAGAGAAGCCCTGCGGGGAGTGGGAAGGACATAGGATTCTCAGGGTCTCAAGTTCAGCTTTTAACATTATCCTCAAAGGTGGGGTTTTTCCCAGAGGCCTCCTTTCCACAGATCCCATGCCTTCTTGCTGGACTCACGGGAAACTTGCCCTGCTAGAGACATGGCATATTTTACTTTTCTGTGCCATGGAGCCATGCTGGAGAGCTGTGACTTCCTAGCTGACCACACACACACATAAACATGTAAACACCATGAGGTCATTGTAGGGATGCCCACTGGGCCTGCGGTTCTCCCATAGCACCCAGTTCATAAAAGCCTCCCTTTCACTCACCTGGGGCCTGGAGTCATTGGCCTCCTCCTGTCTCATTGATCCAGCATTTGGCCTTGACTGGCCAGTGACTCAGACCCCAGCAAGAAGGACAAAATGACTAGTTCACGTGCTTTAGGGGAAACACAGAGAGAATGAGAAGACCAGTGTCTGAACTGGCAGGTTGTGAATTGGCTCAGGGAGATGAGACTGGAGAGGTGCAGCCAGGGGCAAGGGTGACTCAGGGGTCATTGGCAGTTTGGGATTAGGGTTGTGAGGCCACTTGAAGCCTATCTTCCACATCCCCGAGGTGGCTGAGAGGACCGTGTTCCCTGGGGGGACAACCAGAGGGCAGGGACACGCTTCAGAAGATTCTTGCACTGTCCAGACAGGAGGTCCTGGTGTCCACTTGAGTGGCCATGGACAGCATAGGGACGTCCTGGAGGCAGAGTCAGCAGGACTTGCTCTTAATTCTTCCTGGGGTGGATGTGAAGCTTGTGTCCTGGCAGAGGGAGTGGTTGGCACAGGAGAGGACTCTGCCTTAGGGCTGAGTTATCCCCTGTGGCCTCAACTGTTTTCCTGATTATGCCTGTTGTCTTTGAATGTCAACAAAAGTAGCCAACATTTATGGAGGGTTTATTATGCCCCATGCTTTGGGCTCAGCATTTTTACCTGAAGATTGAGATTATCCTTCTACACATTTGATGGAGAAAGAGACACATTCAAAGAGAGAGGGAGAAATTTTCAAGGTCAGACAGCCTGTAAGTGGTGGGACTGGAATGACGGAATGTCTGTTTGTCAACATCTTTGGCGGTGACATGATACTGTCCCAGTCCCTGCAATCTGCTGCTCATTTTCATCCTTTCAAATAAAACTCCACAGTCAGAGGCTTGTGCAAGAGTTGGGGTCCAGAGCATCAGGTCTAATGTTTGCTATGTTTATATTCACTGCCAAATCTGTTATTCCAAAGAAATTTTACTAGTGAAATAGAAATACGTTGTCTGACAGCATTACCCCCTGTGATATGGTTTGGATCGAACCATTGCTCTCCAGCCTGGCAACAGAGTGAGACTCCATCTCCAAAAAAAAAAGCAATTAATTATAACAACACGTCCATTCACTCTCCAAAGTGTCTGGGACTGGACAATTAATTGTCAGGCCCTCTTCTGTAGCACCATACACTAGAGCATATACGTGGATTAAAATAAATACACACACAAAATGCAAGTATATATTCTTTTTTCATTATTATTATACTTTAAGTTTTAGGGTTCATGTGCACAACGTGCAGGTTTGTTACATATGTATACATGTGCCATGTTGGTGTGCTGCACCCATTAACTCATAATTTAGCATTAGGTATATCTCCTATTGCTATCCCTCCCCCCTCCCCCCACCCCACAACAGTCCCCGGTGTGTGATGTTCCCCTTCGTGTGTCCATGTGTTCTTATTGTTCAATTCTCACCTACGAGTGAGAACACCTATGAGTTTTGTTCTAGGGTTTTTATGGTTTGAGGTCTAACATGTAAGTCTTTAATCCACCTTGAATTAATTTTTCTATAAGGTGTAAGGAAGGGATCTAGTTTCAGCTTTCTACTTATGGCTAGCCAGTTTTCCCAGCACCATTTATTAAATAGGGAATTGTTTCCCCATTTCTTGTTTTTGTCAGGTTTGTCAAAGATCAGATAGTTGTAGATATGTGGCATTATTTCTGAGGGCTCTGTTCTGTTCTGTTGGTCTATATCTCTGTTTTGGTACCAGTACCGTGCTGTTTTGGTTGCTGTAGCCTTGTAGTATAGTTTGAAGTCAGGTAGCATGATGCCTCCAGCTTTATTCTTTTGGCTTAGGATTGACTTGGCAATGCGGGCTCTTTTTTGGTTCTATATGAACTTTAAAGTAGTTTTTTCCAATTCTGTGAAGAAAGTCATTGGTAGCTTGATGGGGATGCCATTGAATCTATAAATTACCTTGGGCAGCATGGCCATTTTCACCATATTGGTTCTTCCTACCCATGAGCATGGAATATTCTTCCATTTGTTTGTATCCTCTTTTATTTCATTGAGCAGTGGTTTGTAGTTCTCCTTGAAGAGGTCCTTCACATCCCTTGTAAGTTGGATTCCTAGGTATTTTATTCTCTTTGAAGCAATTGTGAATGGGAGTTCACTCATGATTTGACTCTCCATTTGTCTGTTAGTGGTGTATAAGAATGCTTGTGATTTTTGCACATTGATTTTGTATCCTGAGACTTTGCTGAAGTTGCTTATCAGCTTAAGGAGATTTTGGGCTGAGACGATGGGGTTTTCTAGATATATAATCATGTCATCTGCAAACAGGGACAATTTGACTTCCTCTTTTCCTAATTGAATTCCCTTTATTTCCTTCTCCTGCCTGATTGCTCTGGCCAGAACTTCCAACACTATGTTGAATAGGAGTGGTGAGAGAGAGCATCCCTGTCTTGTGCCAGTTTTCAAAGGGAATGCTTCCAGTTTTTGTCCATTCAGTATGATATTTGCTGTGGGTTTGTCATAGATAGCTCTTATTATTTTGAGATGCGTCCCATCAATACCTAATTTATTGAGAGTTTTTAGCATGAAGGTTGTTGAATTTTGTCAAAAGCCTTTTCTGCATCTATTGAGATAATCATGTGGTTTTTGTCTTTGGTTCTGTTTATATGCTGGATTATGTTTATTGATTTTCGTATGTTGAACCAGCCTTGCATCCCAGGGATGAAGCCCACTTGATCATGGTGGATAAGCTTTTTGATGTGTTGCTGGATTCAGTTTGCCAGTATTTTATTGAGGATTTTTGCATCAATGTTCATCAAGGATATTGGTCTAAAATTCTCTTTTTTTGTTGTGTCTCTGCCAGGCTTTGGTATCAGGATGATGCTGGCCTCATAAAATGAGTTACGGAGGATTCCCTCTTTTTCTATTAAGTGGAATAGTTTCAGAAGGAATGGTACCAGCTCCTCCTTATACCTCTGGTAGAATTCGGCTGTGAATCCAACTGGTCCTGGACTTTTTTTGGTTGGTAAGCTATTAATTATTTCCTCAATTTCAGAGCCTGTTATTGGTCTGTTCAGAGATTCAACTTCTTCCTGGTTTAGTCTTGGGAGGGTGTGTATGTCGAGGAATTTATCCATTTCTTCTAGATTTTCTTGTTTATTTGCGTAGAGGTGTTTATAGTATTCTCTGATGGTAGCTTGTATTTCTGTGGGATCAGTGGTGATATCCCCTTTGTCATTTTTTATTGCATCTATTTGATTCCTCTCTCTTTTCTTCTTTATTAGTCTTACTAGCAGTCTATTAATTTTGTTGATCTTTTCAAAAAACCAGTTCCTGGATTCATTGATTTTTTGAAGGGTTTTTTGTGTCTCTATTTCCTTCAGTTCTGCTCTGATCTTAGTTATTTCTTGCCTTCTGCTAGCTTTTGAATGTGTTTGCTCTTGCTTCTCTACTTCTTTTAATTGTGATGTTAGGGTGTCAATTTTAGATCTTTCCTGCTTTCTCTTGTAGGCATTTAGTGCTATAAATTTCCCTCTACACACTGCTTTGAATGTGTTCCAGAGATTCTGGTATGTTGTGTCTTTGTTCTCATTGGTTTCAAAGAACATCTTTATTTCTGCCTTCATTTCGTTATGTACCCAGTAGTCACTCAGGAGCAGATTGTTCAGTTTCCATGTAGTTGAGCAGTTTTGAGTGAGTTTCTTAATCCTGAGTTCTAGTTTGATTGCACTGTGTTCTGAGAGACAGTTTGTTATAATTTCTGTTCCTTTACATTTGCTGAGGAGTGCTTTACTCCCAACTATGTGGTCAATATTGGAATAGGTGTGGCGTGGTGCTGAAAAGAATGTACATTCTGTTGATTTGGGGTGGAGAGTTCTGTAGATGTCTATTAGGTCTGCTTGGTGCTGAACTGAGTTCAATTCCTGGATATCCTTGTTAACTTTCTGTCTCATTGATCTGTCTAATGTTGACAGTGGGGTGTTAAAGTCTCCCATTATTATTGTGTGGGAGTCTAAGTCTCTTTGTAGGTCACTAAGTACTTGCTTTATGAATCTGGGTGGGGCAACCCGCTCGGGTCCCCTTCCACAGTGTGGAGGCTTTGTTCTTTCGCTCTTTGCAATAAATCTTGCTACTGCTCAAAAAAAAAAAAAAAAAAAAAAAAGTATGAATCTGGGTGCTCCTGTATTGGGTACATATATATTTAGGATAGTTAGCTCTTCTTGTTGAATGGATCCCTTTACCATGATGTAATGGCCTTCTTTGTCTCTTTTGATCTTTGTTGGTTTAAAGTCTGTTTTATCAGAGACTAGGATTGCAACCCCTGCCTTTTTTTGTTTTCCATTTGTTTGGTAGATCTTCCTCCATCCCTTTATTTTGAGCCTATGTGTGTCTCTGCACGTGAGATGGGTTTCCTGAATACAGCACACTGATGGGTCTTGACTCTTTATCCAATTTGCCAGTCTGTGTCTTTTAATTGGAGCATTTAGCCCATTTATATTTAAGGTTAGTATTGTTATGTGTGAATTTGTTCCTGTCATTATGATGTTAGCTGGTTATTTTGCTCATTGGTTGATGCAGTTTCTTCCTAGCCTTGATGGTCTTTACAACGTGGCATGTTTTTGCAGTGGCTGGTACTGGTTGTTCCTTTCCACGTTTAGTGCTTCCTTCAGGAGCTCTTTTAGGGCAGGCCTGGTGGTGACAAAAATCTCTCAGCATTTGCTTGTCTGTAAAGTATTTTATTTCTCCTTCACTTATGAAGCTTAGTTTGGCTGGATATGAAATTCTGGGTTGAAAATATTTTTCTTTAAGAATGTTGAATATTGGCCCCCACTCTCTTTCTGGCTTGTAGAGTTTCTGCCAAGAGATCAGCTGATAGTCTGATGGGCTTCCCTTTGTGGGTAACCCGACCTTTCTCTCTGGTTGCCCTTAACATTTTTTCCTTCATTTCAACTTTGGCGAATCTGACAATTATGTGTCTTGGAGTTGCTCTTCTCGAGGAGTATCTTTGTGGCATTCTCTGTATTTCCTGAATTTGAATGTTGGCCTGCCTTGCTAGATTGGGGAAGTTATCCTGGATAATATCCTGCAGAGTGTTTTCCAGCTTGGTTCCATTCTCCCCACCACTTTCTGGTACACCAGTCAGACATAGATTTGGTCTTTCCACATAGTACCATATTTCTTGGAGGCTTTGTTTTTTTCTTTTTATTCTTTTTTCTTTAAACTTCTCTTCACACTTCATTTCATTCATTTCATCTTCCATCGCTGATACCCTTTCTTCCAGTTGATTGCATATGTTAATGAGGCTTGTGCATTCGTCATATAATTCTCATGCTATGGTTTTCAGCTCCATCAGGTCCTTTAAGAACTTCTCTTCATTGGTTATTCTAGTTATCCATTTGTCTAATTTTTTCCCAAAGTTTCTAACTTCTTTGCCATTGGTTCCAACTTCCTCCTTTATCTCGGAGTAGTTCGATCTTCTGAAGTCTTCTTCTCTCAAATCATCAAAGTCATTCTCCATCCAGCTTTGTTCTATTGCTGGTGAGGAGCTGCGTTCCTTTGGAGGAGGAGAGGCACTCTGAATTTTAGAGTTTCCAGTTTTTCTGCTCTGTTTTTTGCCCATCTCTGTGGTTTTATCTACCTTTGGTCTTTGATGATGGTGATGTACAGATGGGTTTTTGGTGTGGATGTCCTTTCTGTTTGTTAGTTTTCCTTCTAACAGTCAGGACTCTCATCTGCAGTTCTGTTGGAGTTTGCTGGAGGTCCACTCCAGACCCTGTTTGCCTGGGTATCAGCAGCAGAGGCTGCAGAACAGTGGATATTGGTGAACCGCAAATGCTGCTGTCTGATCTTTCGTCTGGAAGTTTTGTCTCAGAGGAGTACCCAGCTGTGTGAGGTGTCAGTCTGCCCCTACTTGGTGTTGCCTCCCAGTTAGGCTACTCGGGGGTCAGGGACCCACTTGAGGAGGGAGTCTGCCCGTTCTCAGATCTCAAGCTGCATGCTGGGAGAACGACTACTCTCTTCAAAGCTGTCAGACAGGGACATTTAAGTCTGCAGAGGTTATTGCTTTCTTTTGTTTGTCTGTGCCCTGCCCCCAGAGGTGGAGTCTACAGAGGCAGGCAGGCCTCCTTGAGCTGTGATGGGCTCCACCCAGTTCCAGCTTCTGGGCTGCTTTGTTTACCTACTCAAGTCTCGGCAATGGTGGGGGCCCCTCCCCCAGCCTTGCTGCCGCCTTGCAGTTTGATCTCAGGCTGCTGTGCTAGCAATGAGCAAGGCTCCGTGGGCACAGGACCCTCCAAGCCAGGTGTGGGATATAATCTCCTGGTGTGCAGTTGTTACGCCCATTAGAAAAGCGCAGTATTAGGGTGGGAGTGACCTGATTTTCCAGGTGCCATCTGTCACCCCTTTCTTTGACTAGGAAAGGGAATTCCCTGACCCCTTGTGCTTCCCAGGTGAGGCGATGCCTCGCCCTGCTTCAGCTCACGCACGGTGCACTGCACCCACTGTCCTGCACCCACTGTCTGGCACTCCCCAGTGAGTTGAACCTGGTACCTCAGTTGGAAATGTAGAAATCACCCATCTTCTGCATCACTTATGCTGGGAGCTGTAGACTGGAGCTGTTCCTATTCAGCCATCTTAAGTATATATTCTAAATACTTTCTATATACTTATATTCTAAGAGGTCACATGCAAATTCAAGGCTAGGTCAAAGAGTAGAGTGGCTATCTATGGAAAGGGGAGTGGAAGTGAATCATGGTAATAAAAATTAAGTATAGATATAGATAGGAATAGATAGACATACACACATATAGCTGCAAGAAAGGGGAATGTCATGGACCAATGATGTCAGTGAGCCATGTAAAAAGGCTACAATTCTTGTGATTGTGTGTCTGTTTTCAGGATGGGTTGTAGCTTACCTTTTTAGAAAGGCTGATGCCACAGCCATAGTGAATAAATGGTTATAAAATGTGTTTCCTTTCTGGGGCATCTCTGGAGAAATCTCCAGTGGTAGGAGAACTCCGTTTACTGGGCAGGTGATCACACAGATAAGATTTTTCAGATCCAATGGCACTACCATTAACTTCATTATCCTTGGTATTCTACAAAGGTCGAGTGAAGAAATGGTATCTTGAAACTAAAATTAGCTAAACTAACAAAGGAGACTGGGTTAATTTTTTTTTTTTTTTTTTTTGAGACAGAGTCTCTGTTACCCAGGCTGGAGTTCAGTGGTGCTATCTCAGCTCACTGCAACCTCTGCCTCCTGGGTTCAAGTGATTGTCATGCCTTAGCCTCCCAAGTAGCTGGGATTACAGGCATACCACCACACCCAGCTAATTTTTGTATTTTTAGTAGATAACGGGGTTTCACCATGTTGCCCAGATTGCTCAACTCCTGGCCTCAAGTGATCCACCAGCCTCGGCCTCCCAAAGTGCTGAGATTACAGGTGTGAGCCATCATGTCCAGCAAGACTGGATTACTTTAATGAAATTTTTACCACCCCCTATGGGAAAACACAGCCAGATCCCCCATAAGGTATTTTTTTTTCACCAACTGCAATCAGAAACACTGATAATTAAGTATTTACTGGAGAACCTATGCCTTTGATAATAGAACATTATGTATCCCCTGCACTTTTTAGCTCTGATCATGTAACCAGAGGATCAACTCCAACAGATTAGTCATTGCTTAAGTTGTTACAGGTGATGACGCAAAGCCCAAATTGCTCAGGCATGTCCGATGGGAAAAAGGTTTAACCTCTTAACTATTAACACAGCCAGGCGGACTGTTTGAATTGGCATCATCTGAAACCAGTTGGAGAGATGATGCAAGCTTGCTCCACCATCCCCAGATTGGGGAGACAGGTTTAGAACTTGTCTCCTATCTGCTTGTCAGTTAACTCTTTTTTATTTTTATTTTTATTTTTTTCTTTGAGACAGAGTCTCACTCTGTTGCCCAGGCTGGAGTGCAGTGGCATGATCTCAGCTCACTGCAACATTGGCCTTCCAGGTTCAAGTGATTCTCCTGCCTCAGCCTCCCCAGTAGCTGGGATTACAGGCATGCACCACCATGCCCAGCTAATTTTTGTATTTTTGTATATTTATTTATTTATTTATATATTGATCATTCTTGGGTGTTTCTCACAGAGGGGGATTTGGCAGGGTCATAGGACAATACTGGAGGGAAGGTCAGCAGATAAACAAGTGAACAAAGGTCTCTGGTTTTCCTAGGCAGAGGACCCTGCGGCCTTCCGCAGTGTTTGTGTCCCTGGGTACTTGAGATTAGGGAGTGGTGATGACTCTTAACGAGCATGCTGCCTTCAAGCATCTGTTTAACAAAGCACATCTTGCACCACCCTTAATCCATTTAACCCTGAGTGGACACAGCACATGTTTCAGAGAGCACAGGGTTGGGGGTAAGGTCATAGATCAACAGGATCCCAAGGCAGAAGAAGTTTTCTTAGTACAGAACAAAATGAAAAGTCTCCCATGTCTACTTCTTTCTACACAGACATGGCAACCATCCGATTTCTCAATCTTTTCCCCACCTTTCCCCCTTTTCTATTCCACAAAACTGCCATTGTCATCATGGCCCATTCTCAATGAGCTGTTGGGTACACCTCCCAGACGGGGTGATGGCCGGGCAGAGGGGCTCCTCACTTCCCAGTAGAGGCGGCCGGGCAGAGGCGCCCCTCACCTCCCGGACTGGGCGGCTGGCCGGGCGGGGGGCTGACCCCCCACCTCCCTCCCGGACGGGGCAGCTGGCCTGGCGGGGGCTGACCCCCACCTCCCTCCCGGACGGGGTGGCTGCCGGGTGGAGGGGCTCCTCACTTCTCAGACGGGGCGGCTGCCAGGTGGAGGGTCTCCTCACCTCCCAGAAGGGGCGGCGGGGCAGAAGCGCTCCCCACATCTCAGACGATGGGCGGCCGAGCAGAGACGCTCCTCACTTCCCAGACGGGGTGGCGGCCGGGCAGAAGCTGCAATCTCGGCACCTTGGGAGGCCAAGGCAGGCGGCTGGGAGGTGGAGGTTGTAGCGAGCTGAGATCACGCCACTGCACTCCAGCCTGGGCAACATTGAGCACTGAGTGAACGAGACTACGTCTGTAATCCCGGCACCTCGGGAGGCCGAGGCTGGCGGATCACTCGTGGTTAGGAGCTGGAGACCAGCCCGGCCAACACAGCGAAACCCCGTCTCCACCAAAAAAATACGAGGACCAGTCAGGCGTGGTGGCGCGCGCCTGCAGTCGCAGGCACTGGGCAGGCTGAGGCAGGAGAATCAGGCAGGGAGGTTGCAGTGAGCCGAGATGGCAGCAGTACAGTCCAGCTTCGGCTCGGCATCAGAGGGAGACCGTGGAAAGAGAGGGAGAGGGAGACCGTGGGGAGAGGGAGACCGTGGGGAGAGGGAGACCGTGGGGAGAGGGAGAGGGAGAGGGAGAGGGAGAGCAATTTTTGTATTTTTAATAGAGAGGGAGTTTCACCATATTGGTCAGGCTGATCTGGAGCTCCTGACCTTGTGATCCGCCCACCTTGGCCTCCTAAAGTGCTGGGATTACAGGTATAAGCCACTGTGCCCAGCCCAGTTAACTGTTAATAAATTTTTTTTTCCCAAAATGGAGTCTTGCTCTGTCACCCAGGCTGGAGTGCAGAGGTGCAATCTCGACTCACTGCAACCTCTGCCTCACAGGATCAAGTGATTCTTCTGCCTCAGCCTCCTAAGTAGCTGGGATTACAGACATGGGTCATCACACCCAGCTAATTTGTGTATTTTTCATAGAGACAGGGTTTCACCATATTGGCCAGGCTGGATTCGAACCCCTGACCTTGTGATCCGCCTACCTTGGCCTCCTAAAGTGCTGCAAATATAGGTGTCAGCCACCATGCCCAGCCTTTTTTGCTTTTCTATGCACTTAGGA
Organism: Homo sapiens; assembly: GCF_000001405.40. Lineage (NCBI taxonomy): Eukaryota > Metazoa > Chordata > Mammalia > Primates > Hominidae > Homo > Homo sapiens. Next base: position 13,299,930 of record NC_000001.11, read on the forward strand.
GAGTGAGCCCATCGTTCAGTAACAATATGACTCAGTACTGCAAGACCTTTCAAAGCCTATTTCCAGTTGGTGAAGGAGGGTTTCGATGATCACTGGACCTTCATGCCCTACCATTTGGAGACTGCATCTTTTAAAATGACACCAAGGGAAATCTGCCCATGAGCAGCATTGGATGGGACCATACCAGGTGACTTAAAATTAAGGATAACCAAGGAACAAAGTCTTTCTTAGAAGCAGACATCATCACATGGTAGACAGCTTTTTTAAGAAAATGGGACAAAACTCCATTTGATCTCCTTCCACTGACTGAGACTTGGTTTTGTTTTGTATTAACACAAAATGATCAAGCCTACATTTTATTTTGTTACGTACTTTCACCAGTCAAAGCAAACACTTTCTAAGTTCTCCTATTCAAAATTTAGCCACTCTCACTAACCAAAGCAATTACTGGCTATGGAGTCATTTAGATGAATGGGAAGGATCACAACTAATAGTAGAACCTGCTCTCACACACGGTTGGTTAATATTGATAATTAAATGACTTGGCACTGAGCAGAAGCTATAGATGCAAATGGGTGGCCTATGACTATTGTTGATTTCATTACTTGTAACTTATCTCCATGCATAGGAAACATTAGTGTAACCGGGTCTAATCTAGGTAGTGTCCCAGACTCCCCTTGGAATCAAACTCTTTCATTTGACACACATTATGAAGACTGAAATGCTATAAGTATTGACATAGACACAGAATCAGAACATGACCATGTTATCCTCTGCCATATAATCAGAGAACTTACTGAAACTAGACATTTGTTCATTGGAAACTCGAGGCAAATAGAATGCATCTATAGCTCTACCATATGAAATAAACAATAGTTTCATTTATTGGATGCATCCATACTCAGCACATATTTGGAGAAGACCCTATTCATTCTTCAATGGAGATGACATGCAAGGATTATATAATAAAATTCATAAAAATATTTTTTCATCCCACCCCAGTTCAAACTGTCACCATGCAACCTGGTGTCAGTGGAAGGTAAGGCGCTTAAGGCAGAAATAATTAAATAAATCTTCATTGGAAGCTAAATGTGAGAATCAATGTGGAAGACACAGACCAACAAAGTGGGTGTGTTCCAAAGTCTGTTACAAGTTGGAATGCTTTTGTGAGAAAAGTTAAAAGAAGGGAATGAGACTCCTCCTATCAGCTTTTTTTTTAAATTTTCTTTTGTTTTACTGACCTGGCAAGGCTCAAATAGAGTTGAGTTTTTGTTTTGTTTTTGTTTTTTCCATTGGAAGGTACAATACAGAGGTTACAATCATTGACTTTAGCTGACAACATAACAAGTTAAACATTTTCCTTGCAAGACAACCAGTGAAACTTCATGATCAGAATCAAATCAGTGTCCTTCTCACTGTAAGTGGGTGAAGCTTCATCAATAATTGCAGAGTTTGAGGCACTCATGAACTCAAGATCAGATTCTTTACTCAGGGACAGAATGTAAGCCAATCATAAGACCTTCCACAGGTGGTTAATTTGGACTCCTGAAAAATGTGACCTGTAAGTTTTCACTGGCAATATGCAGGTGCACATATGACAAATAATAACCAGGACCTTTATATCACCCCCAGCTGGTGGGGAATGGGATCCTTTTGACCCTTTCTCTCCATAATACCAGGCTACTCATGTTGTGTGGCAATAAAATATATGGTCTACTTCACAGAGAAAGAGATTCTTTTTTAAAAAAAAAGGATTTTTATTATGAAATGAGCAAAGCAATGGGAATAGATGTGAGATTATTCAGGGAGGTAAAGGAAGACAAAGGTTTTGAAAGGAAAAATCAGGAGAATTACATACACTGTTTTGGAAGACTCATTCTTGGTCACAAGTATCAACACCAAGGGGGCCTCAGTGCAATGTTGGAAAGATTCCTCCTCCACGCCCTCAATAACCCCCAACATGTTTACCAAGTCTTGGTTCACTCCCCGGATCCCATTAAAACACACAGCTCAACCCTGACCAGCCTCCACCTTCACTTCCCTTTGTAATTTTGACATGACTTTTTTTACAGGACCATCAGGTTCCTATGCCTGCAGCACAGTAGCATACTAATATTCTGAGACAGCAGGGTTTGCAGCAGAGAGTTTAACGATCACAGGGTGGCAAAATGAAAAGCTGGGAGGAGACCCTCAAATTCATCTCCCCAAGAAGTACTGAGAGTTTTCAGAGGATCATGGATAGCAAGAGGCTGGAAAGTTGGTGCAGTTTGGTGGCAGTAAGAGGTATGAAGTCATCAGGATGTCAAAACTGCATTCCTTGGTGAGTTGGTGCCTTGCAGGGCCCTTCAGATCACCTGCCATCAGTAGCTTCACTGACATGCAGAACCTGAAAGAATATGTCAAATGAAAAAGTTAATGTTTTACAAGGCCTAAATTGTTGTCTGCAGGGCAGTTAAGGGCAACTGTAATCTAAGGTCTACATGATTTTGGGACAGCAGGCTGCCAGCAACCATGAGGAAGCAGGTCAGAGAGCAAGCTGACCTCATGATGAATGCTGAATGCACTGCAAGCTTGGTTTATGTCTGTTTCTCCCCCTCCCTTCTTCACTGATTAAATTTATAAAGTTTATAAGTATGGTTGCAATTTCTTCCAGAGTAACCTTAACCTAAGCCCTGAGACCACTCAGGTCCTCAGTGGCACCTCTCTTCCACCAGCAGGAGTGAAAAAATTGCTACCTTAGGTGATATAAAACCCACAAGACCATTCAATACATGGAGATTTTTATTTTGATTTTGTAGGGACGACTCCTCTGTTTTTATAAAGCTATTTTAACTATAAAACATTTTTGTGATTTTGATGTGGCCAAAGATCTCCCAACAATACTACTTTCAGATTTTAGTTTTCTGTCTAATATCTGGGAAAGATTAGACCCTTCCCTGCTTCAGACTCAGGACTATGCAGGTCACATATTAGTGAAATTCCATCAGTGTTTGTGAAGTTCACGAATGAATGAATTTTTTTTTTCCGACAAATTCTCCCTCTGTCACCCAGAGTGGAGTGCAATGGTGCAATCTTGGTTCACTGCAACCATTGCCTCTTGGGTTCAAGCGATTCTCCCACCTCAGCCTCCTGAGTAGCTGGATTACAGGCATGTGCCATCGTCCCTGCCTAATTCTTGTATTTTTGTAGAGACGGGGTTTCACCTTGTTGGCCTGGCTCGTCTTGAATGTCTGAACTCAGGTGACCCACCCAACTTGTCTTCCCAAAGTGCTGGGATTACAGGAGTGAGCCACCTTGCCCGGTCTTGAATGAATGCATTCTTGATTCCCACCCTATCCCTAACACTGTCAATTTCTTGATTCATGAACTTAATATGGATATCTGATATGAATGGATATCTGATTCAATCCATTAATCTGGGGAGAGCCAAAACCCCAATCAGGATTAACTGGGTGGAGCTTCAGAAATGCAATCAGATATCACTTGTTGATTGGAAGCTAGCAGTGGATACGTGGAGGGGTGTGGGTGGGAGTTGTGATTAGAAAGGTCAATAAAAGCTTCTAAAGACCCACAGAAGAGACCCAAAGTCTTCAAGTCTGGAGTTCCTGCTTAGTTCTTCCTGAGGTCTGAGCACCCTCCAAACTGAGTCCAGATCTGGTAAGTCACTAATCTCTCTGTAAGGACACTCCCAACTGACCTACAGTCAGCTGGTCTGGGATGGTGACAGTGCAGCCTAAGATGGCATAGAGTTATATCCTGTTTTGTTTTTTTTCTCATATGAACAATTTGAAGCTTTGCATTTTTTCCTCTAAATGCAGTTTTGTCTTTATTTCAAAAAATTGGATTGTGCTTTGGTTTATGTCATTTCAAAATTCTTGAAGGGAGCAGTGACTCATGCCTTTAACCCCAACACTTTGGGAGACCAAGGCGGGAGGATCATTTCAGCCCAGGGGTCTGAGACCAACCTGGACAACACGGCAAAAACCCATCTCTATAAAATATTCTTTATTGAAGGGGGGATGGAGTCTCGCTCTGTTTCCAAGGCTGGAGTGCAGTGGCACGATCTCAAATCATTGCAACCTCTGCCTCCCAGGCTCAAGCAATTCTCATGCCTCAGCCTCCTGAGTATCTGGTATTACATCCAACTGCCAACTTGCCTGGCTACTTTTTGTATTTTTAGTAGAGGTGGGGTTTCACCATGCTGGCCAAGTTGGTCTCAAACTCCTGACCTCAAGTGATCCACCTGCCTTGGCCTCCCAAAGTGCTGGGATTACAGCCATGAGCCACTGGTGCTTGGCCTCTACAAAATATACATATTTTTTAATTAGCCGGGCATGGTAGCATGCATCTGTCTTCCCAACTGTATGGGTTGCTGACATGGGAGAAACAATTGAGCCCAGAAGATTGAGGCTGCAGTGAGCCATGCTCATACCACTGCTGTACTCCAGCCTGGGCAACATTGCGAGGCCCTATTAAAGAAAAAAAATCTTAACCAAAGAGGATCTTTGACCTTAATTTTAAACCAATCACATCCTCATTGTAACTCTTCCACCCAAACGGAGACATGGGTGTGGAGGTGCATGCCTGTAATCCCAGCTACATGGAAGGCTGAAGCATAAGTATCACTTGAACCTGGGAGGCAGAGGTTACAGTGAGCTGAGATGGCACCACTGTACTCCAGCCTGGGTGATGAAGTGAGACTCAGCTACCCCGACACGAAAAAAATTAAATTATACCACCCAGGTGATCATTGGATTCATGAAGATTTCTACTGTGTTTTCTTAGGGACTGTCATGTCTATCTTTGTAAAACTGTTTTAACTCTGAAATATTTTGATAAATTTGATGTGGCCAAGGATCTCTCAACAAAGATACTTTCGAGTTTTTTTCTTTCTGTCTAATGTCAGGAAGAGATTCAACTCTTCCCTATCTCACACTCAGAACTACAAAGGTCACATATTACTAAAATTCCATGTTTGTGGAGTAAATCAGTGAATGAGTCCTGGACTTTCACCATATCCCTAAATATTTCACTTTCATGGATGAATATCTAATTTGATAGTTAATCTGGAAGAAAGACAAAAATCCAATCATGATTAACTGGATGGAGCTTAAGAAGTCTAATCCAATGTAGTTCTCTCTCTCTCTCTCTCTTTTTTGAATCTAGCCAATTTCCCAGGCTGGATTGTAGTGGTATAATCTCAGCTAACTGCAACCTATGCCTCCTGGGTTCAAGCGATCCTCCTGCTTCAGCCTCCCTAGTAGCTTGGACTATAGGCGCAGACCACTGCACCTGGCTAATTTTTGTAATTTTAGTAGAGGTAGTGTTTTACCATGTTGGCCAGGATGGTCTCAAACTCCTGACCTCAGATAATCCAATGCCTCTGCCTCCCAAAGTGCTGGGATTACAGGTGTGAGTCACTGCGCACAGCCAAAGTGGTTCATTTTGAACATGCGTAAGAGGTGTGTATTGGAAACATCTGTGTCTTGCGAATGATGCATAACACTGTCACACAGCTTTCAAAGCTTCTTGGTGAAATTTTCAATAATGAGTCCGGGAAGAGGATTACGCCTGTAATCCCAGTACTTTGGGAGGCCAAGGCGGGTGGAATGTTTGAGTCTAGGAGTTCAAGACCAGCCTGGACAACATAGTGAAACCCACTGTCTTTACAAAAAGTCAAAAAATAAAAGATTAGCTGGGCATGAGATCCGAGCTTCAGAGATCCTCGGTAACATTTCCCAGTGCTATGAGTTTATTGCAACAGTGGCTAATAATTCATGGACTAGGAGGGATCTTGCCTGCTCTTTAGAGGTTGGGACACACTCTTCTTGGTACCAGAAGGGCAGAACCATGCCTCTGTAGCCACTTATTGCAGAACGGAATTGGAGTAAACTGAGGGCTCTTTCACACGTGCTAGAGAAATGACTTTGGCCCTAGGAGAAGTGGGGCTTGCTGGGGAATGGCCCGAGAAACTTGCCTTTTCACTTGATTGTCCTCTAGAGTTTTTCCTCGGAGATTTGTCAGAATGAGCCTCCAGGCCCCATCCAGACTGCTGGAGCTGGCAGGGCAGAGCCTGCTGAGGAACCAGTTCTTGACCATCTTCACCCTGGATGAGCTGCCCAGGGAGGTCTTCCCTCTGATGTTCATGGAGGCCTTCAGCATGAGACGTTTTGAGGCCCTGAAGCTGATGGTGCAGGCCTGGCCCTTCCTCCGCCTCCCTCTGGGATCCCTGATGAAGACACCTCATCTGGAGACCTTGCAAGCTGTCCTGAGGGGACTTGATACACTGGTGGCCCAGAAGGTTCGCCCCAGGTGAGGTGACTCAGGTGGCTTTCGGGGAAGGGTCCAGGCATCCAGGGAAGGGACAGCTGGCTCAGGAGGAGTGGTGGGGTTGGGGAGCTAGGGTGGCTCAGAGGCTTCTGACGGTGCCCATGAGAGGCCTTGGCCATTGCCCAGATCCTCTGGAAAAGGTCTGCTCACCATACAGGGTCCACTGAGGAAACAGGAGCTTGCTTCCTCCCAGCAGAAAGTAAAGGTACTAGAAGTGGGTACCAGGCAGAATCCAAGAGGGAGCAGGATGGAGAAGAGACAGAAGGAGGAGCACTGAGGACAGGAGCAGCTGACTGATGTCCTGGATGTGGAGTGAAAGCTCAGGTCAGGGGTGGGTCCTTGCCTACATTCTGAGCTTTTCCCCTATGTTACTCATAGGAGGTGGAAACTTCAAGTGCTGGATTTGCAGGATGTTGATGAGAATTTCTGGACCATATGGTCTGGAGCCAGGGTCCTCTCCTGCTCCCCAGAGGCCATGAGTAAGAGGCAGACAGTGGAGGACTGTCCAAGGATGGGAGAGCACCAGCCCTTGAAGGTGTTCATAGACCTCTGCCTAAAGGAAAGTACACTGGATGAATGCCTGAGCTACCTTTTTGGGTGGATCCACTACAGAAGAGGCCTAGTGCACCTGTGTTGTAGTAAGGTGCAGAATTACTCAATGCCCACTTCAAGTTTCAGAAATCTATTGGAAAGGATATACCCAGACAGTATCCAGGAGTTGGAAGTCTGGAAAAAGTGCTCTCTCAATAAAACGGGAAAGTTTGCCCCTTACCTGAGCCAGATGAGCAATCTTCGTGAACTCTTTTTAGCCTTCGGTTATGAGCGTGAGTTGTACGTGAGCGTCCAGTGGCCGTGCATTCCTGACTTGGACTCTCCATTCCTCTGCCTGTACTACCCCCAGATGCTTTATATAAAAAAGATCAGTAATATCAAAGAGCACCTGGAGCACCTGCTCAGGTAAGAAATGATGGTGAGCTTTCTCTGCAGACCATACCACAGACTTATGTTCTTTTTCACAGTAAATGTTAGTGGGCATCTACTGTGTGCCAGCCACCGGTGATGTCATAGGGAATGGGACGCTAGAATGTCAACTCATTATGCTCTTCAGTGCTCTATATCCTGAAGTGGGTATCACAAGACCACTCAAATAAGGGCAGAGGGATGGCCTGGGGTAGATGCCACAGAGAGAGGTGTGTAGGGAGCCGGTTAGTTGAGGGTTCAGATCTAGTGAGGGTGCATTTGTGAACTCCTTGTGAGGAACAGTGTATAAAGTTAATATGATGAAAACACATTCTTCATACAGAGGATGGTATGAAAGAAGGGAAGGTGTGGCCGGTTGTGGTGTCTCATGCCTGTAATCCCAGCACTTCGGGAGGCCAAGGCAGGGAGATCATGAGGTCAGGAATTTGAGACCAGTCTGGCCAACACAGTGAATCCCCGTCTCTAATAAAAATACAAAAAAAAAATGTCACCGGGCATGCAGACAGGCACCTGTAATCCCAGCTGCTTGGGAGACTGAGGCAAGGGAAGTGGAGGCTGCAGTGAGCTGAGTCGGTGCCACTACACTCCAGCCTAGGTTACAATGTGAGACTGTCTCAAAAAAAAAAAAAGAGAAAGTACATCAAACCTGTGCATTCCACAGTAGCAGCTCTGTCTTCAGCAGCTTAGCAAACTGCTCTAATTCCCTGTCTGTAAAACGTTGTTTTGAACTCCAGGAAAGATAATTGATATCAGAAGTGCATGCTTCTGGGATGGAGGGTGAGGGACTAGGTGTGAGAGTGGTACCAATCACACAGGCAAGGGTGAAAGGACTGAGCCTAAAATGGAGTGGCCCCTGAATGATCTGAGTCTTCATCAGGCAGCACCTTGCATGCAGACCATCATCTGATGATGGGAACAAACTTGTGTTTGGGTGAAACAGGCTTCCCCATTGCAGTTACTATAACACCTGTGTGGTAGTAAGGTGCAGAATTACTCAATGCCCACTTCAAGTTTACCATTGAGATGATTTCCCACCCCCCTCCTCTAACTGGCACCATTGCCCATAACTAACTTCTTGCTCTCCCCAGGTACCTCAAGAACCCCTTGGGGGCCTTTATATTCAGTGATGCTTACCTAGCTGATCGGGACATGGAGTGTCTGTCTCAGTACCCAAGCCTCAGTCAGCTAAAGGAGCTGCGTCTGATTCATATCCTAATGTGGACCACCAATCTTCAGCCCCTTGGAGCTCTGCTAGAGAAAGTTGCTGCTACTCTCAAGACCCTCGTCTTAAAGGACTGTCGGATCCAGGACCCCCAACTCAGGGTCCTCCTGCCTGCCCTGAGCCACTGTTCCCAGCTCACCACCTTCAACTTTCATGGAAATGAGACCTCCATGAATGCTCTGAAAGACCTGCTGCGTCACACACGTGGGCTGAGCAAGTTAGGCCTGGAGTTGTATCCTGCCCCTCTGGAGAGTCTTGACTACAAGGGTCATGTCAATTGGGAGATCCTCACCCCAATTCGGGCTGAGCTGATGCGTACACTCAGGGAAGTCAGGCAGCCCAAGAGGATCTTCTTTGGTCCCGTCCCTTGCCCTACCTGTGGCTCATGGCCATCTGAGAAAGTGGACTTCCATCTTTGCTCCTAGGGAAGGCCTGGTTCGTGGGATGGATAAGCTTTTTTCTGGACACTTGGGAACTAAAATATTGTACATGGGTGCATTTTTTAAAATTTTATTTTATTTTTTATATTTTTTATTTTATTTTATTTTTATTTTATTTTATTTTATTTTTTGAGACAGAGTCTCACTGTGTCCCTCAGGATGAAGTGCAGTGGCACAATCTCAGCTCACTGCAAGCACCACCTCCTGGGTTCAAGTGATTCCCCTGCCTCAGCCTCCCAAGTAGCTGGTGTTGTGGGTGTATGCCCCCACGCCTGGCTAATTTTTGTATTTTTAGTAGAGACAGGGCTTCACGATGTTGGCGAAGGCTGACCTCAAACTCCTGACCTCAAGTGATCTGACCACCTTGGCCTTCCACAGTGCCAGGTTTACAGGTGTGAGCAGCAGGGCCCGGTCACCCGCTTCTTAAAGGAAGCACACAGCCACGTATTTGAGGCACGTGCTCACTGTGAGTGGAAAAACAAAGGTGACTCAGCCAGGGGCAGGACTGGGTAAAAATGCTGACTTGGCATCAATGAGGCCTTCAGGGACCTGTGTCCTAGACTTAGAAATGGAACCTGAAGTTCTAGAGTGATGCAGGACTTACCCCTGCAAGGATGGTTATTTAAAAATGTCAAAAATAAATGGAACCTGAATGGAAACTTTCTGGTGTCTTCCATGATTGATCAACCTGTTTTAGACATTTATACATCAGAAGTCTCTAGAAATCTGCCTCCTGGGTTCAAGCAATTCTCCTGCCTCAGCCTCCTGAGTAGCTGGAACTACAGGGACCCGCCACCATGCCTGGCTATTTTTTGTATTTTTTGTAGAAACGGGGGTTTCACCATGTTGACCAGGCTGGTCTTGAACTCCTGACTTCAGGCAAACCATCCGCCTCAGCCTCCCAAAGTGCTCAGATTGTAGACATTAGTCACTGCACCTGGCCTGAAATTCTGATATAAGCATAAAATGTGTAATGTTCAAATCATGGTAACAGGAATAGCCACCATCTCAAGAATTTATCATTTCTTTGTGTTAGCAACATTCCAATTCCATTGTTTTAATTATGTAGAAATTTACTATGAACTATTGTCAACACGAGTTGCCCTATTGTGCTACTGAACCCTAGATCTTATTCCTGTCTGTGTTTTTGTTCCCATTAACCATCCCCTTCTTATTCTCTATTTCCCAGTACCCTTCCTAGCTTCTGATAACCGTCATTTTACTATTTTTAAGTTTCGTGTTTTTTAATTCCCAAATATGAGTGCAAACATGCCATGTTTGTCTTTCTGTATCTGGCTTACTTCACTCAACATAACGCCCTCCAGTTCCATCCATGTTGTCGCAGATGACAGGATTTCCTTCATGTTTACAGCTCAATGATATTCTGTTGTGTATATTTACCACATTTTCTTGATCCATTCATCTGTTGATGGACACTTATGTTGATTCCAAATTTTGGCTATTGTGGATAGTGCTACAATAAATAGGAGAGTGCAAGCTGAGTGCAGTGGCTCATGCCTGTAATCCCAGAATTTTGGGAGGCTGAGGCAGGTGGATTACTTGAGGTCAGGAGTTCGAGACCAGCCTGACCAACATGGTAGTGTAGATATCTCCTGGATATATTTCTTTTTTTTTTCTGGATATATATCCAGCAGTGGGATTTATGGTTTATATGGTAATCCTATTTTTATTTTTTGGAGGAAACTCCATGCTGCCTTCCTTAGTAGCTGTACTAATTTACATAACTACCAATGTTGTACCAGGGTTCTCATTTCTCCATATTCTTCATAGCATCCATTATTTTCTGTTGGTTTTTTATGGGGGAGATCCCCTTACTATTAAAACTCAAATCCAGTTTGGTGTAAACACAGAAACCCTGCTAGAGTTGCCTGCCACCCTTGAAACAGGCCATTGGAATGAAAATTGTCCACCTATGCACCAGGTCTCTATTGGACAGAATGCTTTTGTCCCAGAGGTTGTTCACATTAGAGGACATTTCTTTTTTGTTTTTCTTTACTTTTCTGCCTTTTTTTTTTTTTTTAAGGTAGAGTTTCACTATTGTTGCCCAGGCTGGAGTGCAATGGTGGGATCTCAGCTCACTGCAACCTCCACCTCCCGAGTTCAAGCGATTCTCTTGCCTCAGCCTCCCAAGTAGCTGGGATTACATTCATGCACCACCACAGCTGGCTAATTTTGTGTTTTTAGTAGAGACAGGGTTTCTCCATGTTGGTTAGGCTGGTCTCGAACTCCCAACCTCAGGTTATTCCACCACCTCAGCCTCCCAAAGTGCTGGGATTACAGGCAGGAGCCACCACATCCAGCTAGAGGACATTTCTGATGTCTCCATATTGATGGAATTTAAAATAACTCTCTGGTAAATTGTTTTCTATAATAGCCTTAAATAAAAATGGAGAAGGTGAGATTAAGATCATTGCAGACTTAGGTACAGAATTGGTGGAAACCAGGGCTGCCATATCCAGTGTACAGCCAATATATCAGCAAATCCCTTGGAGAAAGGAAAATATTTCTGAGGAGGGGTTTCACATGAAGTTCAGAAAATTCCTGTGTTTGAAGCAGTCCAAATGACATTTGGACCATTTTTAGGAAAGTATGGCTTTTTATTAAGTGACAACATGGGGATGAGATTTGCTTTCTCCGTTAAGTTGATGCGTAAAGCTTTCTTTGGAGGGAGAGAAAACCCTAGAGTTTCCTGACCTTCCTTAACCTGAACTGCTTGGTTCCCTAGAAGCAGAAATTGATCATATTAGAACCCAAACTCATACCAACCTTGACTTTCATGAAGTACTCAAGTGTTTCTGCTCTTCTTCCTCATGTGATGTAGAAAGTATTAAAAGTGATGAGTTTAGGCCGGGCACGGTGGTTCATGCCTGTAATCTCAGCACTTTCAGAGGCCGAGGTGGGTGCATCACCTGTGGTCAGGAGTTCCAGACCAGCCTGGGCAACATAGTGAAACTCTGTCTCTACTAAAAATACAAAAACTAGCTGTGTGTGGTGGCCTGTGCCTGTAATTCCAGCTAACTGGAAGACTGAGGCAGGAGAATCACTTGAACCGGGAGGCAGAAGTTGCAGTGAGCTGAGATCGCACCATTGCACTCCAGCCTGGAAAACAAGAGTGAAACTCCATCTCAAAAAAAAATTAATAAATAAATACATTATAAATAAATAAATTAATTAATGCTTTAAAGAAAAAAGAAATAAACTTTGCCTACAAGTTTCATATGCAATTGAATACCTCTTAAATTTTGATGTGAACCGACCAGGCATGGTGGCTGAGGCCTGTAATCCCAGCACTTTGGGAGGCCAAGGCAGACAGACCACGAAGTCAGGAGATTGAGACCATCCTAGTTAACATGGTGAAACCCCGTCTTTACTAAAAATACAAAAAATTAGCCAGGTGTAGTGGCATGCACCTGTAGTCCCGGCTATTTAGGAGGCTAAGGCAGGAAAATTGCTTGAACCGGGGAGGCAGAGGTCGAAGTGAGCTGAGATCGTGCCACTGCATTCCAGCCTGGTGACGGAGCGAGACTCCATCTCAAAAAATAAATGAATAAAATAAATAAATCAATAAAAATATTGTGACAGGAACCAACATTGCTCAACTTGTACACTAATGTCTTACAAAATCCTTTCCTTGTCACCTTCAAATCTCCATTTCAAATGCTACACTCTGCATAACTCTACCACTTTGTTGCCATTTTCTGATGATGGAGAAGACCATACATGTGTGTGTGTGGCATCAGAACTATTGACTCCTCCTATTGATGTTTAAGATATTCCATTACACAAACCTGGGTTCATACTTTTTGTTGATAGATCTTATGCCAAAAATGTAGGCAAAAAATGCCAAGCAGGAAATGCTATCACTTCTGAAGATGAATTCATAGAGATGGAAATTCTTTCAGAATTTATTTTTCCAGCTTTTTTCTTTGTTTGTTTGTTCGTTTGTGTTTGTTTTGAGACAGTCTCGCTCTGTCACCAAGTTGGAGTGCAGTGGTGAAATCTTGGCTGACTGCAACCTCCTCCTCCTGAATTCAAGCGACTATCATGCCTCAGTCTCTCGAGTAGCTAGGACTATGGGTGGGCACCACCATGCCCAGCTAATTTTTGTATTTTTAGCAGAGACAGGGTTTCACCATGTTGGCTAGGATGGTCTCAATTTTTGGCATCGTGATCTACCTGCCTTGGCCTCCTGAAGTGCTGGGATTAGAGGTGTGAGCCACCACCGTGCCTGGCCATTTTTTTTTTTTTCCTTTTGAGATGGAGTCTCACTCTATTGCCCGGGCTGGGAAAGGGACTCCTCCTATTAATTATTTTTTTAAATTTTCTTTTGTTTTATTGACCTGACAAGGGTCAAATAGAGTTGAGTTTTTGTTTTTGTTTTTTCCATTGGAAGGGACAAACACAGGTTACAATCATTGGCTTTAGATGACAAGATAAAAGAATAAAACATATTCCTTGCAAGACAACCAGCAGAACTTCATGATCAGCATCAAATCAGTGCCTTCTCACTGTCAGTGGGTGGAAGCCTTCATCAATACTTGTAGAGTTTGAAGCACTCATGAACTCACGATCAGACTCTTTACTCAGGGACAAGATGTAAGCCAAGCGAAAGACCTTCCACAGGTGGTGAATTTGGAAGCCTGCCCAATGTGACCTGCAAGTTTTCACTGGCAATATGCAGGTGCAGATATGACAAAGAATAACCATGACCTTTACATCACTCCCAGCTGTTGAGGAATGGGATCCTTTTGACCCTTTCTGTCCATAGAACCAGGTTACTCATCTTGTGTGGCAACAACATATATGGTCTACTTAACAGAGAAGAAGACTCTGTAAAAAAAAAAGTTTATTATGAAGTAAGCAAAGAAGTGGCAATAGATGCGAGATTATTTGGGGAGATAAAGGAAGTTGAAGGGTTTGAAAGGAAAAATAAGGAGGATTATACAAATTGTTTTGAAAGACTCATACTTGGTCATAAGGATTAAAACCAAAAGGGCATCAGTGCAATGTTAGATAGATTCCTCTTACACCCACTCAATAACCCCCAACATGTTCAGCAAGTCTTGGTTCACTCCCAGGTTCCCATTAAAAACCCAGCTCAACCCTGACCAGCTCCACCCTCACTTCCATTTGTAATTTTGACATGACTTTATTACAGGACCATCAGGTTCCTATGCCTGCTGCACAGTAGCTTAGCAATATTCTGAGACAGCAGGGTTTGCAGCAGAGAGTTTAATGATCACAAGGTGGCTGAATGAGAAGCTAGGAGGAGATCCTCAAATTCATCTCCCCAAGGAGTACTGAAGGTTTCCAGTGGATCCTGGATAGCAAGGGGCCGGAAAGTTGGGGTAGCGGTAAGAGGGAAGAAGTCAACAGGATGTAGAAACTGCATTCTTTGGTGAGTTGGTGCATTGCAGGGCCCTTCAGATCAGCTGGCATCAGCAGTTTCACTGACATGCAGAACCTGAAAGAATATCTCAGATGAAAAAGTTAATGTTTTACAATGCTTAAATCGTTGTCTGCAGGGAAGTTAAGGGGAACTGTAATCTAAGGTCTATATGATTTTGGAACAGTAGGCTGCCAGCAACCATGAGGAACCAGGTCAGAGAGCAAGAAGACCTCCTGATGAATGCTGAATGTGTTGCAAGCTTGGTTTATTTTTGTTTCTCTCCCTCCCTTCTTCACTGATTAAATTTATAAAGTTTATCGATGTGGTTTCAATTTCTTCCAAAGAAGCCTTAACCTAAGCACTGAGACCACTCACGCCCTCAGTAGCACCTCTCCTCCACCAGAACGAGCATGTAATCTGCTACCTTAGGTTATATAAAATCCCAAAGACCATTGAATACATTGAGATTTTTATTCTGATATCGTAGTGATGACTCCTCTGTTTTTATAAAGCTTTTTAAAGTAGAAAGCATTTTTATATTTTGATGTGGCCAAAGATCCCCTAACAACACTACTTTCAGATTTTATTTTTCTGTCTAATGTCGGGAACAGATCAAATCCTTCCCTGCCTCACACTCAAGACTATGAAGTTCACATATTAATAAAATACCATCAGTGTTTGTGGAGTTCATGAATGAATGATTTTTTTATTTTTTGACAGAATCTCCCTCTGTCACCCAGACTGGAGTGGAGTGGCACAATTCTGGCTCACTGCAACCATTGCCTCCTGGGTTCAAGCAATTCTCCTGCCTCAGCCTCCCAAGTAGCTGGGTTTCAGGTGCCTGCCATCATGCCCAGCTAATTTTTGTATTTTTGTAGAGACGGGGTTTCACCTTTTTGACCTGACTGGTCTTGAACCACTGACATCAGGTGATCTACTCACCTTCTCCTTCCAAAGTGCTGGAATTACAGGTATGAGCCACCTCGCCCACCCTTGAATGAATGTATTCTTGACTTCTACCCTATCCCTAACACTGTCAATTTCTTGCTTCACGAACTGAATACAGATATGTGATATGAATGGATATCTGACTCAATCCATTAATCTGGGGAGAGCCAAAAACCCAATCAGGATTAACTGGGTGGAGCTTCACAAATGCAATCAGATATTGCTTTTTGATTGGAAGCTAGCAGTGCATACGTGGAGGGGCGTGGGTGGGAGTTGTGATTAGAAAGGTCAATAAAAGCTTCTAAAGACCCACAGGAGAGACCCAAAGTCTTCAAGCCTGGAGTTCCTGCTTGGTTCTTCCTGAGGTCTGAGCACCTTCTAGACTACATCCAGATCTGGTAAGTCACTAATTTCTGTAAGGACACTCCCATCTGACCTACAGTCAGTCGGTCTGGGATGGTGACAGTGCAGCCTACGATGGCACAGAGCTATATCCTGTCCTTTTTTTTTTTTTTTATATGAACAATTGGAAGCTTTGAATTTTTTCCTCTAAATGCAGTTCTGTCTTTATTTCAAAAAAGTTGATTGTGCTTTGGTTGATGCCATTTTAAAATTCTTGAAGGGAGCAGTGACTCATGCCTTTAACCCCAACACTTTGGGAGGCCAAAGTGGGAGGATCATTTCAGCCCAGGGATTTGAGACCAACCTGGACAACATGACAAAAACCCTCCTCTGCACAACGTTTTTTTTGGGGGTGGGGATGGAGTCTCACTGTGTTGCCCAGACTGGAGTGCAGTGGCACGATCTCAACTCCCTGCAACCTTTACTTCCCGGGTTCAAGCAATTCTCATGCCTCAGTCTCCATCCTCAGAAGCTGGTGTCACAGACATCTGAAACCATGCCTGGCTAAGTTTTGTATTTTTAGTAGAGGTGGGGTTTCACCACGCTGGCCAGGTTGGTCTCGAACACCTGACCTCAAGTGATCCACCTGCCTTGGCCTCCCAAAGTGCTGGGATTACAGCTGTGAGTCACCATGCATCTGTAGTCCCAGCTATTTGGGTGGCTGGTGTGGGAGAATCACTTGAGCACAGAAGATTGAGGCTGCAGTGAGCCATGCTCATACCACTGCTGTACTCCAGCCTGGGCAAAAGAGAGACACTCTGTCCAAAAACAAAAACAAAATCAATCAAAAAGGATCTTTGACCGTAATTTTAAACCAATCACATCCTCTTCCACCCAAATGGAGACATGGCTGTGGGGGGTGCATGCCTGTAGTCCCAGCTATGTGGAAGGCTGAAGCATGAGAATTGCTTGAATCTTGGAGGCCGAGGTAACAGTGAGCCAAGATGGTGCCACTGCATTCCAGCTTGGGCGACGATGTGAGACTCAGCTCCCTCAGCACCAAAAAAAATTATATGACCCAGGTGATCATGGGTTACATGAAGATTTCTATTGTGTTTTCTTAGGGACTGTCATCTCTGTCTTTGAAAACTGTTTTAACTCTGAAATATTTTGATAAATTTGATGTGGCCAAGGATCCCTCAACAAGGATAATTTCAAGTTTTCTTTCTTTCTGTCTAATATCAGGAAGAGATTCAACCCTTCCCTGTCTCACACTCAGGACTTTGAAGGACACATATTAGTAAAACTCCATGTTTGTGAAGGGAATCAGTGAATGAGTCCTGGACTTTCACCCTATCCCGAAATCTTTCATTTTGATGGATTAATATCTAATTCGATCAGTTATTCTTTAAGAAAGCCAAAAATCCAATAAGGATTAACTGGGTAGAGATTAAGAAGTCTAGTCAAATGTAGCTCTCTCTGTCTCTCAGTTCAATCTAGCCTATTCCCCAGGCTGGAGTGGAGTGGTATAATGTCAGCTCACTGCAACTTCTGCCTCCTGGGTTCAAGTGATCCTCCTACCTCAGCCTCCCTAGTAGCTTGGACTACAGGCGCAGACCACTGCACCTGGCTAATTTTTGCTGTCTTAGTAGAGGCAGGGTTTTACCATGTTGGCCAGGCTCGTCTTGAATTCCTGATCTCAGATGATCCACCTGCCTCGGCCTCACAAAATGCTCAGATTACAGGTGTGAGTCACTGCACCCAGCCAAAATGGTTCAGTTTGAACATGTGTAACAGGAGTGCATTGGAAACATCTATCTTGCGAATGATGCATAACAGTGTCACATAGCTTTCAAAGCTTCTCACTGAAATTTTCAATAATGAGGCTGGGGTGGAGGCTCACACCTATAATCCCAGTATGTTGGGAGGCCAAGAGGGGTAGATTGCTTGAGACTAGGAGTTCAAGACCAGCTTGGACAACATAGCGAAATCCACTGTCTTTACAAAAAGTCAAAAAATAGAAGATGAGCTGGGTGTGGTGATGCATAACTGTGGTCCCAGCAACTTGGGAGGCTGAGGAGGAAGAATCCTTTGAGCTGGGAGGTCAAGGCTGCACTGAGCTGAGATCCCACCACTACACTCCAGGCTGGGTGACAGAGCAAGACTCTGTCAGAAAGAGTGAGAGAGGGAGAGAGAGAAAGAGAGAGAGAATGAGAGAAGGGAGGCAGGGAAAGAAGACAAGAAAGAAAGAAGGGAGAGAGAGGGGGAAAGAAAGAAAGAAGGGAGGGAGAGAGGGAAAGAAGGAAAGAAGAAAGAGAGAGAAAGAGAAAGCAAGCTTAAATAATGAAAAGAAAACAAATAGAACCTGTTCTAGGGATGCCCCATGAATGTTCCCAACAAGCTTATTTGTAGGAACTGAAAATGTGGGCATGTAGGCTTGTGACACTCCCATTCCCATTGTTTTAGATCCTTGAGTAATTAGTAATTTCCCCCAATGGTAGGAGGGGTTCACTTTCAGGTTCCTCCATACTCACTAGTCACTGGATGGAGCACTGGATAGAAAGGAAGGGCTAGTGGTGGCCCTGCTTCCTCACTGCTTCGGAGACGCTCATGCTGATGCAGCAGAGGCAGAATGCTGGCTTAATGGCCACTGAGTACAGAGTAGAATTGGAGTAAACTGAGGACTCTTTCACCATTGCCAGAGCAGTGAGTTTGGCCATAGGAGAAGATGAGATTGCATGGGCTTGGCCTGAGAGTGATGCCTCTTCTCTGGGTTTGTCCTCTGGAAGTTTTCCCTGCAGATTCATGAAGATGAGCATCCGGACTCCACCCAGACTCCTGGAGCTTGCAGGGCGGAGCCTGCTGAGGGACCAAGCTTTGGCCATGTCCACCCTGGAGGAGCTGCCCACAGAACTTTTCCCCCCACTGTTCATGGAGGCCTTCAGCAGGAGACGCTGTGAGGCCCTGAAGCTGATGGTGCAGGCCTGGCCCTTCCGCCGCCTCCCTCTGAGGCCTCTGATAAAGATGCCTTGTCTGGAGGCCTTCCAAGCTGTGCTCGATGGGCTTGATGCACTGCTTACCCAAGGGGTTCGTCCCAGGTGAGGTGGCCCAGGTGGGCTGGTGGGGAGGGCCCAGGTGTCCAACTGAAGGAACAGCTGGGTCATGTGAAGTGAGGAGGCCCAAGGGGGATGGTGGTGGTGAGGAAGCCGAGAGGACTTGGCCATTCACCAGCTCCTCAGGGAAAGCACTGCTCACCACGCAAGGTCCATGGAGGTAACAGGAACCTCTCCTCTAATGGCACTGAAAGGCACCATGAAAAGTGAGAACTGGGCCGGGCACGGTGGCTCACAATGTAATCCCAGCACATTGGGAGGCTGAGGTCAAGAGTTGGAGGCCAGCCTGTCCAACATGGTAAACCCCAACTCTACTACAAATACAAAAATTAGCTGGGCATGGTGGTGGGTTCCTGTAATCCCAGCTACTTGTGAGGTTGAGGCAGGAGAATCATTTGAACCCGGGAAGCAGAGGTTGCAGTGAGGTGACATCACACCACTGCACTCTAGCCTGGGCGACACAGGGAGACTTGGTCTCAAAAAAAAAAAAAAACAAAACAATGTGGAAGTGGGCAGGATCCAAGGGGAAAACAGAGTGAAGAAAAGTCAGAGAGAGGGACAACAAGCAGGGAGGGGAGGAGCTGCTATCCAGGATGTGGAGTTTAAGTTCAGAAATGAGTTCTTAAATTCTCAGTCTCACCTCTATTTTGCCACAGGAGGTGGAAACTCCAAGTGCTGGATTTACAGGATGTCTGTGAGAACTTCTGGATGGTTTGGTCTGAAGCTATGGCCCATGGGTGCTTCCTCAATGCCAAGAGGAACAAAAAACCAGTGCAGGACTGTCCAAGGATGAGAGGACGGCAGCCCTTGACTGTGTTCGTAGAACTTTGGCTCAAGAACAGGACTCTGGATGAATACCTCACCTACCTCCTTCTATGGGTCAAGCAGAGGAAAGATTTACTACACCTGTGCTGTAAGAAGCTGAAAATTTTGGGAATGCCCTTCCGCAATATCAGAAGCATCCTGAAAATGGTGAACCTAGACTGTATCCAGGAGGTGGAAGTGAATTGCAAGTGGGTACTGCCCATCCTGACACAGTTTACCCCATACCTGGGCCACATGAGGAATCTTCAGAAGCTCGTTCTCTCCCACATGGATGTCTCTCGCTACGTTTCCCCAGAGCAGAAGAAGGAGATTGTTACCCAGTTCACCACTCAGTTCCTCAAGCTGCGCTGCCTCCAAAAGCTTTATATGAACTCTGTTTCTTTCCTCGAAGGCCACCTGGACCAGCTGCTCAGGTGAGGGAGGATGGTGAGCTTTCTCTGCAGACCACAGCAGAGCCTGTTACAGTCAACACTAGTGGGCATCTACTGTGAGCCAGCCTATGAGGATGAAACAGTGAAGAGGACACTAGAATGTCCATGCATTGTCCTGTTGGTGGCCCTGTCCTGAAATGGGTATCATGCAACCATCCCAATAGAGGCAGAGGGATCAGCTAGGGGAGATGCTATGGAGAGGCTGCCATGCTAGGAAGCTAGCTACTGGGGGGTTCAGATCTAGTGAGGGTGCCTTTCTGAATTCTTCCTGAGGACATGTGTCTAAGTTAAGATGATGAAAAATACACCAGGGGCGGTGGCTCATGCCTGTAATCCTATCACTTTGGGAGTCTGAGGCAAGAGGATAGCTTGAGCCTAGGAGTTTAAGACCAGTCTGGGTAACATACCAAGACCCCTGTCAGAAATGAATAAATAAAAGTAAAAACAAACAAGATAACTTTTTTTTTCTGAGATGGAGTTTCACTTTGATCGTCCAGGCTACAGTGCAGTTGTGACATCTCAGCTCGCAGCGACTTCTGCCTCCCAGGTTCATGCGATTCTCCTGTCTCAGCCTCCTGAGTGCCTGGGATTACAGGCGTGAGCCACCACACCTGGCTAATTTTTATATTTTAAGTAGAGACAGGGTTTCACCATGTTGGCCAGGTTATTCTCCAACTCCTGACTTCAGGTGATCCACCCACCATGGACTCCCAAAGTGCTGGGATTATAGGCGAGAGCTACCACGCCCAGCCAACAAGATAATTTTTAAGAAGATGATGGGAAGTAGGGAAGTGAAGTGGGCACTGAAGAGGGGAATGCTCAGCAAACCTGCACATGTCAGAAAATCAGCTTTGTGCCCCACAGTTTTGTGAACATGAATGATCCCATCTCTAATTCCCTGTTGTAAAAGTTTCTTTTGAGCTCCAGGTAAATTAATTATCTAGGCAATGCATGATTCTGAAACAGAGGGTCAGGGAGCAGGCACAAAGAATGGTGAAAGTGATAGATGGTTTGCTGATGATACAGGCATGTCAGGGATGCCTACAGCCCGCCCACCCCAGCTGATGTTGCAGGATCCTGTCTGGGTTTGTCCTTTATGCCTGAATCTCCACTGGGCTCCTGCGGCCCAGGGATGTGGTTTTCTGCCTGACAGATGAGGAAAGGGAGCTTTAGGGATTCTGTGAACTTGATCCATTCCTATAAATGATGGTGAAGTGACTCAGCCTCAAATGGAATTATTTTTTCTCCTTTTTTTTTTTTCAAAACAGAGTCTCTCTCTGTCACCCAGGCTGGAGTGTAGTGGCATGATCTCTGCTCACTGCAACCTACACCTCCTGGGTTCAAGCGATTCTTCTGCCTCAGCTTCCCAAGTAGCTGGAATTGCAGGCTCCCGCCACCACACCTGGCTAATTTTTGGATTTTTAGTAGAGAGGAGGTTTTACCATGTTCAGCAGGCTGGTCTCAAACTCCTGATCTCAAGGAATCCACCAGTCTCAGCCTCCCAAAGTGCTGGGATTACAGGTGTGAGTTACTGGGCCGGGTCTAAAGTGGAATTGACCTCAGTGGCAAAGCTCTTCATCACGCATCATCCTAAGTGTTGACCATCAGGCCATCAGAATGACCCTGGACTTGGGCAAAAAGGTCTCCATCCATTACCTTGAAGCCATTCCCCACCACCCTCCACTCACCCCTATGATTCCCCAGAATTAACTTCTTGCTCTCTCTCCCCAGCTGTCTGAAGACCTCGTTAAAAGTCCTCACAATAACTAACTGTGTGCTTTTGGAATCAGACTTGAAGCATCTATCCCAGTGCCCGAGTATCAGTCAACTAAAGACCCTGGACCTGAGTGGCATCAGACTGACCAATTATAGTCTTGTGCCTCTCCAAATTCTCCTAGAAAAAGTTGCAGCCACCCTTGAGTACCTGGATTTAGATGACTGTGGCATCATAGACTCCCAAGTCAACGCCATCCTGCCTGCCCTGAGCCGCTGCTTTGAGCTCAACACCTTCAGCTTCTGTGGAAATCCCATCTGCATGGCCACCCTGGAGAACCTGCTGAGCCACACAATCATACTCAAAAACTTATGTGTGGAGCTGTATCCTGCCCCCCGAGAGAGTTATGGTGCTGATGGTACTCTCTGCTGGAGCAGATTTGCTCAAATTAGGGCTGAGCTGATGAACAGAGTGAGGGACTTAAGGCACCCCAAGAGGATCTTGTTCTGTACTGACTACTGCCCTGACTGTGGCAACAGGTCATTTTATGACCTGGAGGCAGATCAATACTGCTGTTGAATGCCTGCCTATTTGGATGGGTATGTCAAACGCTTTCTTCTGGACACTTGGAAACTAAAACCTAGGTCTTAGGTACATCCTAAAGGGAGCACAGAACCCATCATTTCACACATAGGCTCTGAAAGTGGGAAAGGAAAGCTGATCAAGCAGGGGCCGGACTTGGGGGAAATGTTGCCATGGATTCGATGGGACTTTGGGGACCTGTGTCCTGTAGATTCGAAAATGGGAATCTGAATGTCTAGAGTGGAATTCAGGCTTGAGAATACATGAGGGAGTTACTCTTGCATGGATGGTTGTAAAGAAACAATCAGAAATAAAGGAAAACTGAGCAGAATCTGTCTGGTGCCCTCTATTATTAAGTAACCTGTTTTCCAGTTTAAGCCTCAGGAATCTTCAGTTATTGATGGAAAAAACAAAAGGCACTGACTGAGTTGTCCAATCAATAAGATGCAGCCCAAGAAAATCAAGGCATTTAAATGAAATTTGGTTATTGTAATCACTTTCCTCCCATTCTTTTATTGGAGACAGAGTTTCACTCTTGTTGCCCAGCTTGGAGTTTAGAGTGCAATGGTGCCATCTCAGCTGACTGCAACCTCCACCTGGGCTTTAAATGATTCTCCTGCCTCAGCCTCCCAAGTGGCTGGGATTACAAGCATGCACACCATGCCCAGCTAATTTGTGTATGTTTAGTAGAGACAGGGTTTCCTCACTATGTTGGTCAGGCTGGTCTCAAACTCCTGACTTTGGGTGATTCATGCAAGTAGGCCTACAAAAGTGCTGGGATTACAGGTGTGAGCCACTGTGTCAGGCTTTTTTTTTCTTTTTGTTTTTTAAAGGTCTCCTGTCACTCAGGCTACAGTGCAGTGGCACAATCATACCTCACTGCAGCCTCAATTTCCTGGGTTCAAGCGATCCTCCCACCTCAGCCTCCTGAGTAGCTAGGACTACAGCTGTGTGAGCCAACACACCTGGATACTTCTTTTTAGTAGAGACAAGGCCTCGCTGTCTTCCCCAGGCTGATCTGTAACTCCTGACCTTGTGATTCTCCTGCCTTGGCCTCCCAAAATGCAGGGAGTATAGGCATGGACCACCACGCTTGGCTTGGCCTCCTCCAGTTCTTCACTTCTTTAGATGTCTGTTAACTCCTTGTTACTTTCTGTGGCTGTTCAGTGGGTTAATACACACTAGGTGGACACCAAAGGCCTGGAACATTACTGGGCAAAAACAGTGAGCCAATCCACACGGAAAGCACCTTCTTCTCAGCGTCTTTCACTGCTAGCCAGATGCTGAGACCCTGCCCACTCCCTGTGAGTCTCCACATGCTTCCAGAAGCCTTAGTTGGTGGATGTCAGCTTCACTGCACAAGGAGCCACACTCTTCCCACTGCCCTGGAAGGGGATGTCCATATTGTGTATTAGCTGGAGACTCTGGGCAGCATCAACCCTTGCTTGTTCTCCTGATGACCAGCAGCCCTTCTTGAATTAAACTGGTTGTAGCCAGTAAAGACAGCCACATTCCCTTTAAGTAAAATACTAAAACTATACAGGCATGTAACACTTTTTAAATATTTCCATCTGACATTTTAAAAGTTACATCTTTTTGGGGAGCTAGGTCAGATTGATGAGAGATTTTCTCATAACACATCCCCTCTCTCCCTATGAAGGAAGAGACTAGTGCAGCGTGTTCTGGAATCTGACAGCATCAAAGGGTGGATAACGATCAAGGGCCTGTGGGTGATGAGTGACCTTCCCTGTGTTGAGGAAGCCTGCATAATGGGCACCCAAGTGAAGGATCCTGCTGAGTACTCAGGGGCTGGTGTTGCTGTCAGGGATGTTAGCCAAGAGCCTCAGCTTCCTGTAAAATGAGGATGATGATGTCCAACAGCTTATGGGACCTTGGTAGGATCCAATGAGATGGTTCATGTTTAGGGCTTGGCATGGGGTCTGGCACACAGTAAGATCAATACATCTTGTTCTTTTTTCTCTTCTCAGCAGAAGTCCCAGCACTTTTCATCTTTCAATCTCACCTCCTTTTCCTGATAATAGAGAGGCAACAAGAACTCAGGGCATGCAATGGGGCTCAACTTCTACTCTCTGCCACAATTTTATCATGATTCCCCCAAAGAGCAGAGCCCCAGGAGCCAGCAGGGGGCAGGGTGGGCATTTCTGGACTGGATTCATTCATAATAAGATCAAAATTTCCAATCCGTATGTCTCGGGTGCCATCTGCTGATAGATCCGACCAGATGGTATAATTGAGTGTTGCAAGGATTATATTTTATGGTGTTTTTAAAAATGTACTATTATGAGCCAGGTGCAGTGGGTCATACCTGTAATTCCAGCACTTTGGGAGGCTGAGGCAGGTGGATTACCTGAGGTTGGGAGTTTGAGACCAGCTTGAGCAACATGAAGAAACCCCTTCTCTACTTAAAATACAAAAAATTAGCCAGGCGTGGTGGCGCACGTCTGTAATTGCAGCTACTCGATAGGCTGAGGCGGGAGAATCGTTTGAACCTGGGAGGTGGAGGTTGTGGTGAGCTCAGACTGAGCCATTGCACTCCAGCCTGGGCAACCCTAGCAAAACTCCGTCTCAAAAAAAAAGATAAAATAAAATTTATTATTATGGCTGGGCATGGTGTCTCACACTTCTAATCCCACCACTTTGGGAGGCCAAGGCATCCTCAGGATTTTGAGACCAGCCTGGCCAACATGGTGAAACCCCGTCTCTACTAAAAATACACAAAATTTGCTGGGAGTGGTGGCATTCGCCTGTAATCCCAGGTATTCAGGAGGCTGAGGCAGGACAGTCACTTGAACGCAGGAGGTGAGGGTTGCAATGAGACAAGATCGCACCACTGCACTCCAGCCTGGGCGACAGAGCATGAAAAAAAATTTACTATAATGTGAATACTATTAGAGTATAAATATTTGTGTTGTAATTTATGTATATGAAAGATTAGAACTTTTAAAGAATGCAACGTGATATTTCAAGAATGGTTAATGGCCAGGTGTGGTGGTTCATGCCTGTATTCCTGGCACTTTGGGAGGCCGAGGTGGGCAGATCACGAGGTCAGGAGTTCCAGACCAGCCTGGCCAACATGATGAAACCCCGTCTCTACTAAAAATACAAAAAATTAGCCTGGCGTGGTGACAGGTGCCTGTAATCCCAGATAGTCAGGAGGCTGAGGCAAGAGAATCGCTTGAACCTGGGAGGCAAAGGTTGCAGTGAGCCAAGAATACACCACTGCACTCCAGCCTGGGTGAAAGAGGAAGACTCCGTCTCAAGGAGGGTGAGAAAAAGAATACTTAACTTGGTTTGAAATGTCAAAACAAATGAGATTTTAAAAACCAATTTTAAAGACACTGAACAATAATCATTTCTTCTTTAAAATATATTTAGAATAATACAATTTTAGCTTTGAAAGGAAACATTACAGTTTTAAAAAATATTGAGTTTTATTTTATTTTATTTTATTTTATTTTATTTTATTTTATTTTATTTTATTTGGAGACAAAGTCTCACTCTGTTGTCCAGATTGGAGTGGAGTGGCATGATCACGGCTTACTGCAGCCTTGACCTCCTAGGCTCAGGTGATCTCCCTGCCTCAGTCCCCCTAGTAGCTGGAACAACAGGCATGCACCATCATGCCTGGCTTATTTTTGTATTCTTAGTGAAGACCAGGCTTCACCATGTTGCCCAGAATGGTCTTGAAATTCTGGGCTCAAGCGATCCACCTGCCTCAGCCTCCTAAATTGCTGGGAGTGAGCCCTTATAGGCATGAGCCACCACACCCAGCCTTGAGTTTATTTATTTATTTATTTTGGAGATGGAGTCTTACTCTTTCACCCAGGCTGGAGTGCAGTGGTACAATCTCAGCTCACTGCAACCTCTGCCTCGAGGGTTCAAGCAATTCTCCTGTTTCAGCCTCCAGAGTAGCTGGGATTAAAGGCATGCAACACCACACCTGATTAATTTTTGTATTATTATTATTATTATTATTTTTTAGTAGAGACAGGGTTTTGTCATTTTAGCCAGGCTGGTCTGCAACCCCTGACCTCAGGTGATCCACCCGCCTCGGCTTCCCAAAATGCTACGACTATAGACGTGAGCCACCACACCCAGCCTATTTTTTTCTTTACAGCAGTTTTAGATTCACAGAAAAACTAAGCAGAAACTGCAGAGTTCTCATCTACCTTCTTCCCCCTTCAATACACAGCACCCCCACAGGATCAGCACCCACACCAGCACAGAGCATTCATCACAACCAATGAGCCACAGGGACACATCATTATCACCCAATGTCCATAGTTCACATGAGGGATCATTGCTGGTTTTGTATATTCTATGGATTTTAACAAAGGGATAATGACATGTATCCACCATTAGAGCATCATGGAGAGTAGTTTTCTTCCCCTAAAAGTCCTCTGTCCTCTTCCCATTCATCCCATTGTGCTCCCAACCCCTTGCATCCACTGGGTTTTCTACTGTCTCCTTAGAAAAACGCAAAAGCTTTTTCTGGAATGTCTAACAGGATGAGTCTTTTCAGATTGCCTTCTTTCACTTGTACAATAACGTGCATTTAGGAATTTTTCATGTCTTTTTACAGCTTTATAATAGTTCACTGACTGGATGGATCAGTTTGCTTATCCAGTCACTGACCGAAGGGCAACTTGCTAGCTTCCAGGTTTTGGCGATTATGAATAAGTTGCTGTAAACATCCAGGTGTGGGTTTACTCACTTCATTAAATATCCAGGAGCATGATTACGGAATTGTAGGGGTATGGTATGTTTTACAATGATTTCTTCTTTCTTGACAATCTCACTTGTTCGATATTGCTGCTAAAGGTCAGGAACTTTGTCTCCATCATCCTGTGTTCCCACTGCTGAGCATGGAACGTGGCACTTGGTAGCAAATGCTGTTGACCACGTGATGCATGGAAACGTTTACCATGGGTATAGTCACTAAATTGCTACCTTGGCGACATCAACATTAGCTCACTACCAATAATATAAATAAATTGGATTATGGAAAAAATGGCCCTTGTGATACTGTGGATACTCCATGTGTATCATGAAAGTCCAGCAATTGACAAGGCACAGTGGCTCACATCTGTAATCCCAGCACTTTCAGAGACTAAGGTGGGTGGATCACTTCAGTCAGGAGTTCGAGACGACTCTGGCCAATATGATGAAACCCTTTCTCTATTAAAGACACAAAAATTAACTAGGGGGCTCTCTCCCTCTCCCGTCTCCCTCTCCCTCTCCCGTCTCCCTCTCCCTCTCCCGTCTCCCTCTCCCTCTCCCGTCTCCCTCTCCCTCTCCCGTCTCCCTCTCCCTCTCCCGTCTCCCTCTCCCTCTCCCGTCTCCCTCTCCCTCTCCCGTCTCCCTCTCCCTCTCCCGTCTCCCTCTCCCTCTCATGCCGAGCCAAAGCTGGACGGTACTGCTGCCATCTCGGCTCACTGCAACCTCCCTGCCTGATTCTCCTGCCTCAGCCTGCCGAGTGCCTGCGATTGCAGGCGCGCGCCGCCACGCCTGACTGGTTTTCGTTTTTTTTTGGTGGAGATGGGGTTTCGCTGTGTTGGCCGGGCTGGTCTCCAGCTCCTAACCGCGAGTGATCCGCCAGCCTCGGCCTCCCGAGGTGCCGGGATTGCAGATGGAGTCTCGTTCACTCAGTGCTCAATGGTGCCCAGGCTGGAGTGCAGTGGCGTGATCTCGGCTCGCTACAACCACCTCCCAGCCGCCTGCCTTGGCCTCCCAAAGAGCCGAGATTGCAGCCTCTGCCCGGCCGCCACCCCGTCTGGGAAGTGAGGAGCGTCTCTGCTTGGCCACCCATCGTCTGGGATATGAGGAGCCCCTCTGCCTGGCTGCCCAGTGTGGAAAGTGAGGAGCGTCTCTGCCCGGCCGCCATCCCATCTAGGAAGCGAGAAGCGCCTCTTCCCCGCCGCCATCCCATCTAGGAAGTGAGGAGCGTCTCTGCCCGGCCGCCCATCGTCTGAGATGTGGGGAGCACCTCTGCCCCACCGCCCTGTCTGGGATGTGAGGAGCGCCTCTGCTGGGCCGCAACCCTGTCTGGGAGGTGAGGAGTGTCTCTGCCCGGCCGCTCCGTCTGAGAAGTGAGGAAACCCTCTGCCTGGCAACCGCCCCGTCTGAGAAGTGAGGAGCCCCTCCGTCTGGCAACCACCCCGTCTGGGAAGTGAGGAGCGTCTCCGCCCGGCAGCCACCCCGTCCGGGAGGGAGGTGGGGGGGGTCAGCCCCCCGCCCGGCCAGCCGCCCCGTCCGGGAGGTGAGGGGCTCCTCTGCCCGGCCGCCCCTACTGGGAAGTGAGGAGCCCCTCTGCCCGGCCAGCCGCCCCGTCCGGGAGGGAGGCGGGGGGGGGGGGGTCGGCCAGCCGCCCCGGCCGGGAGGTGAGGGGCTCCTCTGCCCGGCCGCCCCTACTGGGAAGTGAGGAGCCCCTCTGCCCGGCCAGTCGCCCCGTCCAGGAGGGAGGTGGGGGGGTCAACCCCCCGCCCGGCCAGCCGCCCAGTCCGGGAGGGAGGTGGGGTGTCAGCCCCCCCCCGGCCAGCCGCCCCGTCCGGGAGGTGAGGGGCGCCTCTGCCCGGCCGCCCCTACTGGGAAGTGAGGAGCCCCTCTGCCCGGCCAGCCGCCCCGCCCAGGAGGGAGGTGGGGGGGTCAGCCCCCCGCCCGGCCAGCCGCCCCGTCCGGGAGGGGGGAGGGCGGGTCAGCCCCCTGCCCGGCCAGCCGCCCCGTCCGGGAGGGAGGTGGGGGGATCAGCCCCCTGCCTGGCCAGCCACCCCGTCCGGGAGGTGAGGGGCGCCTCTGCCCGGCTGCCCCTACTGGGAAGTGAGGACCCCTCTGCCCGGCCAGCCGCCCCGTCCGGGAGGGAGGTGGGGGGGGTCAGCCCCCCGCCCGGCCAGCCGCCCCGTCCGGGAGGGAGGTGGGGGGATCAGCCCCCTGCCTGGCCAGCCGCCCCGTCCGGGAGGTGAGGGGTGCCTCTGCCCGGCCGCCCCTACTGGGAAGTGAGGACCCCTCTGCCCGGCCAGCCGCCCCGTCCGGGAGGGAGGTGGGGGGAACAGCCCCCCGCCCGACCAGCCGCCCTATCCAGGAGGTGAGGGGCGCCTCTGCCCGGCCGCCCCTACTGGGAAGTGAGGAGCCCCTCTGCCTGGCCAGCCGCCCCGTCCGGGAGGGCGGTGGGGGGGTCAGCCCCCCGCCCGGCCAGCCGCCCCATCTGGGAGGTGAGGGGCACTTCTGCCGGGCCGCCCCTACTGGGAAGTGAGGAGCCCCTCTGCCCGGCCACGACCCGTCTGGGAGGTGTGCCCAGCGGCTCATTGGGGATGGGCCATGATGACAATGGCGGTTTTGTGGAATAGAAAGGCGGGAAGGGTGGGGAAAAAATTGAGAAATCGGATGGTTGCTGGGTCTGTGTGGATAGAAGTAGACATGGGAGACTTTTCATTTTGTTCTGTACTAAGAAAAATTCTTCTGCCTTGGGATCCTGTTGATCTGTGACCTTATCCCCAACCCTGTGCTCTCTGAGACATGTGCTGTGTCCACTCAGGGTTAGATGGATTAAGGGCGGTGCAAGATGTGCTTTGTGGAACAGATGCTTGAGGGCAGCATGCTCGTTGAGAGTCATCACCACTCCCTAATCTTAAGTACCCAGGGACACAAACACTGCGGAAGGCCGCAGGGTCCTCTGCCTAGGAAAACCAGAGACCTTTGTTCACTTGTTTATCTGCTGACCTTCCCTCCACTATTGTCCTATGACCCTGCCAAATCCCCCTCTGTGAGAAACACCCAAGAATGATCAATAAAAATAAAAAATAAAAAAAAAAAAAAAAAAATTAACTAGGGGGTTGAGCCAAGACGGCCGAATAGGATCAGCTCCAGTCTACAGCTCCCAGCCTGAGCGGTGCAGAAGACGGGTGATTTCTGCATTTCCAACTGAGGTACCAGGTTCTTCTCACTGGGGAGTGTCAGAAAGTGGGTGTAGGACAGTGGGTGCAGTGCACCGAGCGTGAGCCAAAGCAGCATGAGGCATTGCCTCTCCTGGGAAGTGCAAGGAGTCAGGGAATTCCCTTTCCTAGTCAAAGAAAGGGGTGACAGATGGCACCTGTAAAATCCGGTCACTCCCACCCTCATACTGCGCTTTTCCAACAGTCTTAGCAAGTGGCACACCAGGAGATTATATCCCGTGCCTGGCTCAAAAGATCCTATGCCCACGGAGCCTCACACATTGCTAGCACAGCAGTCTGAGATCAAACTGCAAGGCGGCAGCAAGGCTGTGGGACGGGCGCCTGCCATAGCTGAGGCTTGAGTAGGTAAACAAAGCAGCCAGGAAGCTGGAACTGGGTGGAGCCCACTGCAGCTCAAGGAGGCCTGTCTGCCTCCGCAGACTCCATTTCTGGGGGCAGGGCATTGCCAAACAAAAGACAGCAGAATCCTCTGTAGACTTAAATATCCCTGTCTGACAGCTTTGAAGAGAATAGTGGTTCTCCCAGCATGCAGCTGGAGATCTGAGAATGGACAGACTGCCTCCTCAAGTGGTTCTGTGACCCCTAAGTAGCCTAACTGGGAGGCACCCACCAGCAGGGGCAGACTGACACCTCACATGGCCAGGTACTCCTCTGAGACAAAACTTCCACAGGAACGATCAGGCAGCAACATTTGCTGTTCACCAATATCCACTGTTCTGCAGCCTCTGCTGCTGATACCCAGGCAAACAGGTTCTGGAGTGGACCTCCAGCAAACTCCAACAGACCTGCAGCTGAGGGTCCTGACTGTTAGAAGGAAAACTAACAAACAGAAAGGACATCCACACCAAAACCCAGTCTGTACATCAGCATCATCAAAGACTAAAGGTAGATAAGACCACAAAGATGGGGAAAAAACAGAGCAGAAAAACGGGAAACTCTAAAAATCAGAGTTCCTCTCCTCCTCGAAAGGAACACAGCTCCTCACCAGCAATGGAACAAAGCTAGAGGGAGAAGGACTTTGATGAGTTGAGAGATGAAGGCTTCAGATGATCAAACTACTCTGAGCTAAAAGAGGAAGTTCGAACCCATGGCAAAGAAGTCAAAAACATTGAAAAAAAATTAGATGAATGGCTAACTAAAATAACCAATGCAGAGAAGTCCTTGAAGGACCTGATGGAGCTGAAAACCATGGCACGAGAACTACGTGACAAATGTACAAGCCTCAGTAGCTGACTCAATCAACTGGAAGAAAGGGTATCAGTGAGGGAAGATCAAATGAATGAAATGAAGCGAGAAGAGAAGTTCAGAGATAAAAGAATAAGAGGAAATGAACAAAGCCTCCAAGAAATATGGGACTATGTGAAAAGACCAAATCTATGTCTGACTGGTATACCTGAAAGTGATGGGGAGAATGGAACCTAGCTGGAAAACACTCTTCAGGATATTATCCAGCAGAACTTCCCCAATCTAGCAAGGCAGGCAAACATTCAAATTCAGGAAATACACAGAATGCCACAAAGATACTCCTTGAGAAGAGCGACTCCAAGACACATAATTGTCAGATTCGCCAAAGTTGAAATGAAGGAAAAAATGTTAAGGGCAACCAGAGAGAAAGGTCGGGTTACCCACAAAGGGAAGCCCATCAGACTGACAGCGGAGCTCTCGGCAGAAACTCTACAAGCTAGAAGAGAGTGGGGGCCTATATTCAACATTCTTAAGAAAGAATTTTCGACCCAGAATTTCATATGCAACCAAACTAAGCTTCATAAGTGAAGGAGAGATAAATTCCTTTACAGACAAGCAAATGCTGAGAGATTTTGTCACCACCAGGCCTGCCCTATAAGAGCTCCTGAAGGAAGCACTAAACACGGAAAGGAACAACTGGTACCAGCCACTTCAAACACGTGCCAAATTGGAAGGACCATCGATACTAGGAAGAAACTGCATCAACTAAAGAGCAAAATAACCAGCTAACATCATAATGACAGGATCAAATTCATACATAACAATATTAACCTTAAATGTAAATGGGCTAAATGCTCCAATTAAAAAACACAGACTCGCAAATTTCATAGAGTCAAGACCCATCAGTGTGCTGCATTCAGGAAACCCATCTCACATGCAGAGACACACATAGGCTCAAAATAAAGGGATGGAGGAAGATCTTCCAAGCAAATGGAAAACACAAAAAGGCAGGAGTTGCCATCCTAGTCTCGGATAAAACAGACTTTAAACCAACAAAGATCAAAAGAGACAAAGAAGGCCATTACATCATGGTAAAGGGATCCATTCAACAAGAAGAGCTAACTATCCTAAATATAGATGCACCCAATACAGGAGCACCCAGATTCATAAAGCAAGTCCTTAGAGACCTACAAAGAGACTTAGACTCCCACACAATAATAATGGGAGACTTCAACACCCCACTGTCAACATTAGACACATCAATGAGACAGAAAGTTAACAAGGATATACAGGAATTGAACTCAGCTCTGCGCCAAGCGGACCTAATAGACAT
Organism: Homo sapiens; assembly: GCF_000001405.40. Taxonomy (NCBI): domain Eukaryota; kingdom Metazoa; phylum Chordata; class Mammalia; order Primates; family Hominidae; genus Homo; species Homo sapiens. The sequence continues at coordinate 13,332,756 of NC_000001.11, forward strand.
CTACAGAACTCACCATCCAAAATCAACAGAATATACATTCTTCTCAGCACCACACTGCACTTATTCCAAAAATTGACCACATAGTTGGAAGTAAAGCACACCTCAGCAAATGTAAGAGAACAGAAATTATAACAAACTGTCTCTCAGACCACAGTGCAATCAAACTAGAACTCAGGATTAAGAAACTCACTCAGTGTGTGATGTTCCCTTTCCTGTGTCCATGTGTTCTCATTGTTCAATTCCCACCTATGAGTGAGAACATGCAGTGTTTGGTTTTTTGTGCTTGTGATAGTTTGCTGAGAATGATGGTTTCCAGCTTCATCCATGTCCCTACAAAGGACATGAACTCATCATTTTTTATGGCTGCATAGGATACCATTAGGAGGTATACCTAAGGCTAAATGATGAGTTAATGTGTGCAGCACACCAACATGGCACACGTATACATATGTAACAAACCTGCACGTTGTTCACATGTACCCTAAAACTTAAAGCATAATAATAATAATAAAAGAAACTCACTCAAAACCGCTCAACTACATGGAAATTGAACAACCTGCTCCTGAATGACTACTGGGTACATAACGAAATGAAGACAGAAATAAAGACATTCTTTGAAACCAATGAGAAAAAAGACACAACATACCAGAATCTCTGGGACACATTTAAAGCAGTGTGTAGAGGGAAATTTATAGCACTAAATGCCCACAAGAGAAAGCAGGAAAGATCTAAAATTGACAACCTAACATCACAATTAAAAGAACTAGAGAAGCAAGAGCAAACACATTCAAAAGCCAGCAGAAAGCAAGAAATAGCTAAGATCAGAGCAGACCCGAAGGAAATAGAGACACAAAAACCCCTTCAAAAAATCAATGAATCCAGGAGCTGGTTTTTTGAAAAGATCAACAAAATAGATAGACTGCTAGCAAGACTAATAAAGAAGAAAATATAGAAGAATCAAATAGATGCAATAAAAAATGATAAAGGGCATATCACCACGGATCCCACAGAAAGACAAACTACCATCAGAGAATACTATAAACAACTCTATGCAAATAAACTAGAAAATCTAGAAGAAATGGATAAATTCCTCAACACATACACCCTCCCCAGAATAAACCAGGAAGAAGGTGAGTCTCTGAATAGACCAATAACAGGCTCTGAAATTGAGGAAATAATTAATAGCTTACCAACCAAAAAAAGTCCAGGACCAGATGGATTCACAGTCGAATTCTATCAGAGGTACAAGGAGGAGCTGGTACCATTCCTTCTGAAACTATTCCACTTAATAGAAAAAGAGGGAATCCTCCCTAACTCATTTTATGAGGCCAGCATCATCCTGACACCAAAGCCTCGCAGAGACACAACAAAAAAAGAGAATTTGAGACCAATATCCCTGATTAACATCGATGCAAAAATCCTCAATAAAATACTGGCAAACCGAATCCAGCAGCACATCAAAAAGCTTATCCACCAATATCAAGTCGGCTTCATCCCTGATCCGCAAGGCTGGTTCCACTTACGCAAATCAATAAACGTAATCCATCACATAAACAGAACCAATGACAAAAACCACATGATTATTTCAATATGTGCAGAAAAGGCCTTCGATAAAATTCAACACCCTTTCAGGCTAAAAACTCTAGATAAACTAGGTATTGATGGAACGTATGTAAAAATAATAAGAGCCATTTATGACAAAACCACAGCCAATATCATACTGAATGGGCAAAAGCTAGAAGCATTCCCTTTGAAAACCAGCACAATGCATGGATGCCCTCTCTCACCACTCCTATTCAACATAGTATTGGAAGTTCTGGCCAGGGCAATCAGGCAAGAGAAAGAAATAAAGAGTATTCAAATAGGAAGAGAGGAAGTCAAATTGTCTCTGTTTGCAGATGACATGATTGTATATTTAGAAAACCCCATCGTCTCAGCCCAAAATCTCCTAAAGCTGATAAGCAACTTCAACAAAGTCTCAGGATACAAAATCAATGTGCAAAAATCAAAATCATTCCTATACATCAACAATAGACAAACGGAGAGCCAATCATGAGTGAACTCCCATTCACAATTGCTAAAAGAAAATAAAATACATAGGAATACAACTTACAAGGGATGTGAAGGACCTCTTCAAGGAGAACTACAAACCACTGCTTAAGGAAATAAGAGAGGACACTAACACATGGAAAAACATTCCACGCTCATGGGTCTGAAGAATCAATATCATGAAAATGGCCATACTGCCCAAAGTGATTTATAGATCCAATGCTATCCCCATCAAGCTGTAATGGAGTTTCTTCACAGAATTAGAAAAAACTACTTAAAACTTCATATGGAAGCAAAAAAGAACCTGTATACACAACACAATCCTAAGCAAAAAGAACAAAGCTGGAGGCATCACGCTACCTGACTTCAAACTATACGACAAGGCTACAGTAACCAGAACAACATGGTACAGTTATCAAAACAGATATGTAGACCAATGGAACAGAACAGAGGACTCAGAAATAATGCCACACATCTACAACCATCTGATCCTTGACAAACCTGACAAAAACAGCCAATGGGGAAAGGATTCCCTATTTAATAAACGGTGTTGGGAAAACTGGCTAGCCATATGCAGAAAACTGCAAATGAACCCCTTCCTTTCACCTTATGCAAAAATTAACTCAAGATGGATTAAAGACTTAAATGTAAGACCTAAAGCCATAAAAACCCTAGAAGAAAACCTAGGTGATACCATTCAGGACATAGGCATGGGCAAAGACTTCATGGCTAAAACACTAAAACCAATGGCAACAAAAGCCAAAATTGACAAATGGGATCTAATTAAAATAAAGAGCTTTTGCACAGCAAAAGAAACTATCATCAGAGTCAACAGGCAACCTATAGAATGGGAAAATTTTTTGCAATCTATCCATCAGACAAATGGCTAATATCCAGAATCTACAAGGAACTTAAGCAAATTTACAAGAAAAAAACAAACAACCCTGTCAAAAAGTGGGTGAAGGATACTAACAGACAACTCTCCAAAAAAACCATTTATCCAGCCAACAAACATATGAAAAAATGTTCATCACCACTGGTCATTTGATTTGCATTTCTCTAATGCAAATCAAAACCACAGTGAGATACCATCTCATGCCAGTTAGAATGGTGATCATTAAAAAGTCAGGAAACAACAGATGCTGGAAAGGATGTGGAGAAATAGGAATGCTTTGACACTGTTGGTGGGAGTGTAAATTAGTTCAACCATTGTGGAAGACAGTGTGGCAATTCCTCAAGGATCTAGAACCAGAAATACCATTTGATCCAGCAATCTCATTACTGGGTATATATCCAAAGGATTATAAATCCTTCTACTATAAAGACACATGCACAAGTATGTTTATTGCAGCACTATTCACAACAGCAAAGACTTGGAACCAACCCAAATGCCCATCAATGATAGACTGGATAAAGCAAATGTGGCACATATACATCATGGAATACTATGCAGTCATAAAAAATAAGTTCATTTCCTTTGCAGGGACATGGATGAAGCTAGAAACCATCATTCTCAGCAAACTAACACAGGAACAGTAAACCAAAACACCACATAAGTGGGAGTTGAACAATGAGAACTCATGGTCACAGGTAGGGGAACACTACACATCAGGGCCTCTCGGGGTGTGGAGGGCTAGGAGAGGGGTAGCATTAGGAGAAATACCTAATGTAGATGACGGGTTGATGGGTGCAGCAAACCACCATGGCATGTGTATACGTATGTAACAAAACTGCACGTTCTGCACATGTATCCCAGAACTTAAAGTGGAAAGAAAGAAAGAAAGAAAGAAAGAAAGAAAGAAAGAAAGAAAGAAAGAAAGAAAGAAAGAAAGAAAGAAAGAAAGAAAGAAAGAAAGAAAGAAGAAAGAAAGAGAAAGAAAGAAAGAAAGAAAGAAAGAAAGAAAGAAAGAAAGAAAGAAAGAAAGAAAGAAAGAAAGAAAGAAAGAAAAGACAAGACAAGACAGTGGAGGGGAGGGGAGGGGAGAGGAGGTGAAGGGAAGGGAAGGGAAGGGAAGGGAGAAGAAAAGAAATACCCATAAAATAGGAAAGCTGGCTGGTCACAGGAGAAGCATGAAAATATCAAGCAGTGATTTCATATAGCAGCAAGAAAAGAGTTTGTAAAATTAGCTGCAAGAATAAGGATAAGCCTTGACCCATAAGATCCGAACAAGCAGGAAGGGGCTAAGCTGGCTGACACTGAATTGGTCAGACATGGCACTGGGTTTGACCCTTGCCCTACCCCAGGCCTAATTATACACCTATTATGACAGTAAGTCACACACCAGCGCCAGGACGGTTCTGAGAATGCCCATATTTAGTATAAAAATAGTTAACACCTAGCCACGTGCAGTGGCTCATGCCTGTAATCCCAACATTTTGGGAAACTGAGGCAGGCGGATAACCTGGTGTCGGGAGTTTGAGACCACCCTGACCAACATGGAGAAATCTCGTCTCTACTAAAAATACAAAATTAGCCGAGTGTGGTGGTGCATGTCTGTAACCCCAGCTACTCCAGAGGCTGAGGCAGGAGTATTGCTTGAACACGGGAGGCGGAGATTGCAGTGAGCCAAGATCGCGCCATTGCACTCCAGCCTGGGCAACAAGAGTGAAACTCCATCTCAAAACATAAATAAATAAATAAATAAATAAATAAATAAATAAATAAATAAATAAATAAGTGACACCTCAGTTCTAAGAAAACTTCACCATTTTTTCTTAAAATCCTAATGATTATTTCAACCTCTCCTTAGAGATCCTATAAAATTAGAAACCCAAACTCTCTTGTACCTGACTCGCTCTCCTGAATAAGCCCTCTCTTGAGTGTGTTCCTTTGCTTTGCAATAGACACTTCTTGCCTTTTGCTTCATTCTGCCTACTTCCTAAACTCTTTCTTGCAGCGGTGACAAGAATGTGGACACTGGTTGGTGATTGAGTCTCTGGGCACCTGGAGACGACCTAAGCACTATGGCAATAGTCAGTCTAAAAATCACACAGGATATCACAATTCACTCTCTGGTTTTCTTGGGGGAAAAATCCAGTAACTTTGGCCCCATATCCCCAAGGGGCATCACTCAGCACAAACTGAGAAGCAGCAGTCCTACCGCTGGGTTGTAAGTATGCGGCTTTATTCCGGGGCTCTCTATTCCATTCCATTGGTCTATGTCTCGACCTTCATACTGGCACCACGCAGTTTTGCTTACTATTGCCTTACTGTATAAATTGAAGTCAGGTAATGTGATGCCTCCATATTTGTTCATTTTGCTTCGGATTGCTTTGGCTCTTCAGCCTCTTTTTCATCTCCATATGAATCTTAGGATTCTTTTTTTAATCTTGTGAAAATGGTGTTTGTATTTTGGTGTATGAAATTTTTAGACTGACGTTTTTAGATTGATGTTTGATGTTTGCAGTTTTTAGATTGCTTTGGGCAGTGTGGTCATTTTCACAATATTGTGTCTGTCAATCCATGAGCATGGGATATTTTTCTACTTTTTTGTTGTCTATGATTTTTTTCAGCAGTGTCTTGTAGTTCATCTGATAGAGATCCTTTACCTAATGGTTAAGTGTATTCCTAGGTTGTTTTTGTTATTGTCACTGTTTTTGTTGTTGTTTTGCAACTATTGTGAAGGGATGGAGTTCTTGAATTGATTCTCAGCTTGCTTGTTGTTGATATCAAACAGTGGTACTGATTTGTACATATTAATTTTGTACCTTAGATTTAAGTGAATTCACTTATCGCATCTACAAGTCTTGGTGGAATCTTTCCGGTTTTCTAAGCACATATGATCACATCATTGGCAAACACAGGTAGTTTCACTTCCTTCTTTCCAATTTAATTATACTTTATTCCTTTTGCTTACCAGATTGCTCTGACAAACATTTTCAGTCCTATGTTGATTACAAGTGGATAAAGTGAGCATTTTTGTCTGCTTGTAGTTCCTAGCAGGAATACTTTCAACGTTTCTTCATTCAATATGATGTTGCATGTGGATTTGTCATTTTTGGCTTCTATTATTTTGATGTATGTTCTTTCTAGGCATAGTTTGTGTAAGCGTAGTCTATTATTTTACAAGCTCAGATTTGTATTCTGTTTTACCTGAGTGCATTGTGAGATTTGGCACCTATTTTACCTGATATAAGTACAGCTACTCTTGCTGTTTTTGGTTTCCAGTTGTATGGAATATCTTATTCTACCCCTTCACTTTCCATCTACATGTATGCTTATAGGTGAATTGAGTTTCTGGAAAACAGCATATAGTAGGGTTTTATTTTTTTACTCATTCAAAGACCCTATGCCTTTCACTTGCAGAATTCAGATAAATTATATTCATTGTTTTTATTGATAAAGGCTTAGTGCTCCCATTTCATTTCTTGTTTTTTGGTTGTTTAGAGACTTCTCTCTTCCATCCTTTTCTTATTGTCTTTCTTTGTGTTTAAGTAATTTTCTCTTCTGGAATACTTAGAATGTGACTCTTCTGGCCAGAAACCTCTGTGGCTGGGGGCACCTTTGCCAGAGTTTTGATGGGGTTCACTGGGTTCGTTCTGCCCATGCAGCCTGGTAGACTATGCTTGGCTTATGTTTCAGGCCTGGAGCACATGCCTATTAAGGGCGGGTCAGGGCTGGAGTGGTGAGGGGTGTGTGAGTGAGCAGGGGGTCTGGCCACTTTGGACGGTCACCGGCTGCTGCTGCTGCAGCAGTGGGATGGGCAGCTCCAGGTGTCAGCATGTGTGTCGGATTTCTGCAAGGCTGCAAATGAATCAGGCACAGCACAAACAGCTTCCATGGTTGTCACTGGAATACACAGTGACACCAACACTGAAAGCTTGGAAATGCCAGGAACTGCAGAACCTCCAAAAGGGAGTCACAGCCCTGGCTCAGGAAGCTCCCACATCTGGGCTCCTGGAAGAGTAGTTGCTCTTCTCTTTTTCTCTTCACCTACAATTTGGTGAGCAAGGGGCATGTTTCAGCTTTATTTGTGTTATTGCTCTTTTACCCCACCATTAGGCTGGTCTCAAGTTTTTGTCCTGTGACCAGGAAGAGTGAGATATGCAGACAAGTGGAGGGTGAGTGAGATAAAGAGGAGCTTTACTGAGCAATAGAACAGCTCAGAGACCCACAGTGGGTAACTTCTTTCTGCAGCCAGGGCGTCCTGATGAGTGTTTAGCTCTGAGCAGAGAGGAGGCCCTGGGGTGGGTGACCCCTCCCTCCTGGCAGGTTATTCCATCATCACCACTGCTCTCAGTAGAGAGAAGGCCCTGGAGTGGGTTGCTGCTCTCTGCAGGAAAGTCATCTCATCATCTCTACAGCTCTCAGCAGAGAAAAGGACCCGGAGGGGGTTGCTTGTCTCTACAGGAAAATCATCCCCACAGTGGGTAGTTCCTCTCTGCCACTGGTCTTCCTAATGTTCTCCCTGAGTCTGGGGTTTTTTTGACATCAGACAGGAGAAAGTATGCACTCATTGGGTCATAGGTGGCCATGAGCAGGCACAGAAAAGGCAACACATGTTCCCACTCTGGTCCATAGGACTGGTGGCCCAGCCCACGGGCTTCAGGCCCTCCTTGATCAGAAGGTGGAGCTTCACCAGTGACCCTCACCTTCCTGTCCAGGATTCTGTCTGCCTCCCACCACCAACCATGGAGCCCAGGTCACTTGTACCAAGGAGCATCCAAAGACCAGTGCTGATCAGTCCGCAACACCCCTCAGCCTCCCTCCTACACTCATCAAGGCCCAAAGTCCAGAGGGTTCAAGACAGCAGTGGGATGGTGCACCAGCACTGACCCGAGTGTGCACAGACCCACCTGGGCTGCGACAGCATCTGGGCTTGACCACAACCACACTCCAAAATTAGAGCAGGTGCCATGAGAGATGAGGCAGTGAGAGCGGACACCCCCAAGCTGCAGGAGAAGGGGGGATCTCCTGGACCCTCGAGAGTACTGGGGGACCTCATTTGGTAACTGTGACCTGGACAACTTCAGTTGCGTCTTTGGAGCTACTGCCCTGCCAACTCAGGAGGACCAGGACTCCCTCTTGTCCCAGGCTCCCATCAGCTCTGAAGTGTACGCAGCCTTGGCTGTGCCCTTTCTCTGTGTTTCCCTGCAGAAGTGACAGTTGAGAAGCAGGTACACAGCAGCTCTGACCAACCCCGCACAAACAAACCCAATGCTCCTGGGTGTGGTTTAACCAGCCCCAACTGCACTATCATCCAGGAGCTTGCAGGCTAACAGCAGGCAGTGAGCAGTGAAGTAGAGGCTGTGGTGGAGACTCCAGACCTGGGACAAGGTTCCATTTTGCGATGAGAGGGTGTGGGTGGCACAGTTGGGTGCCTCAGGGAAATGGAGCACAGGCCTGGCTCATGACCCAGTCAAGGGGAGTGCCTCCAGGAGTGGTTCATGGTTCCCAGGCCCAGCAATCGGGCTGGTCACCCCTATGGGGGGCGGATCTCGGAAACACAGCCTGGGGTGGATCCGCATAGACCCTCCCTTCAAGACCTGGGAGCTTGACACTGTTAGCAGGATGGGCACAGTGGCCAGATAGCTGGCCAGGTCCTTGAAGCAGGTGCCATTTCTGCTTCTCACCCTGGCCCCCTGATGGATGGCCCCAGCTATGCCTTCTGGGCCTGGCATCCGCACATCTTGTGCGAACGTGGCACCACCCCATTCCTATCTTCTCCTTGGGGCCCCTCTCTGCCCGTCCCTTCGCGCCTGACCGAGCTGCTCCCCTTGGGCAAAAAAGTAAGAAAAAAACTGATGACTGAAGAGAAGTAAAGAATGGGTGGAGATCATCTGTATGCCTGTTTTCCCAGCGCTTTGGGAGGCCAAGGTCAGTGGATCACTTGAAGCCAGGATCTTGAGACCAGGCTGATCAACATGGAAAAACCCCATCTCTATTAAAAATACAAAAATCAGCCAGTCTTGGTGGAACGTGCCTGCAGTCCCAGCTATTTGAGTGGTTGAGGCACAAGAATCACTTGAGCCCTGAAGGAAAGGATTACAATGAGCCCAGATTGCACCACTGCACTCCAGCCTAAATGACAAACTGAGATTTTGTCTCCAAAACAAAACAAAGAACAAGAACGGGTGGGAAATACTTAAAATGATCAAATTCTATTTGGTTGCTTTGATGTTCTACAGCTGAAACTCAATCACAGACAAAGTAGTATTTCATTATTTTTCCATCAGTAACTCAATAACTAGATATTTCTGGTGGATAAATTGCTACAACAGGTTAAAAGTTTTCATTCAGGTGCTCTTTATTTCTGATATTCCTTGGTAACCATCCTTGCAGGGATAACATTCTCATCACTGTAGAACTTTAGCTTCTCTTTCCGACTCTGTAGGACACGGGTCCCTGAAGTTCTCATTGATGTCACCTCAACATTTTCCTCCAGCCTTGCCCCCTGCTGTTATGTTTTTTTCCCTCACACTGAGCACTTCCCTGTGCTTCCTTTAAGTTGCATGTGGCCTGGACACAGTCACTCATGCCAGTAATCCCAGCACTTTAGGAAGCTGAGGCAGGAGGATCCCATAAGCCCAGCTGAGGCAGGAGGATCCCAGAGCAACACAGAGAAACCCTGTCTCAAATTGTCTTTAATAAAAATTTTGGAATTATTAAAAAATGAAATAAATAAGAAAAGAGAAAAATAGTTTGCACCTACATAGTAGATTTTAGTGTCCCAGTGCCTGGAAGAGAACTTTGGATTTCTCTACCCCGCTAGGCACGCCTTCCCTAGCAGCAAAGATGGAGCTCCAGTTCCTCAGACGGTGATGAGCCACAGGAAGGGCAGGGGGTGGGACCAATGAAGATCCTCTTGGGCTGCCTGACTTCCCTCAGTGTACACATCAGCTCAGCCCGAAGTAGGGCGAAGATCTCCCAATCGACACGAACCAAGGAATTCAAACTCTCCTCAGGGGCAGGATACGTCTCCAGGCTTAACTTGCTCAGCCCACTGGTGTGGCACAACAGGTCCTTCAGGGCACCCATAGACATACAATTTCTGCCAAAGTAGAAGGTGGTGAGCTGGGAGCAGTGGCTCAGGCCAGGCAGGATGGCACTGAGTTGGGAGTAGTGGATCTGACAGCCCTCCAAGATGAGGGTTTCGAGAGAGGCAGCAATTTTCTCTAGCAGAGCTCCGAGGGGTTCAAGACTGATGCGGAACAGCAGCACGTAGCTGAGATTCAGATGCTTTAGGTAACCGAGGCTTGGGTACTGGGAGAGACACTTCATGTCTTCTTCCAATAGGTAGCCATAAGTTAATTCCAAGTTCTCCAAGGGGTTCTGGAGGCACCTGTGGAGATCAAGAAGTTAGTTCTGGGCAATGGTACCAGTTAGATGAAGGTAGTGCCTTCATCTAGGAAAATGCCTGCGTCAAACAAACACAAGTTTGTTCCCACCATCTGATGATGGTCCTCATGGAAGTTGCTGCATGATGAGGACCCTGATCGTTCAGGGGCTGTCCCATTTTAGCCTCAGCCCTTTCAACATTGCTTGTGTGATTGGTTCAAGGCCATAAAATCTCTAAAGCCTTTTTTTTTTTTTTTTTCATCTTTTAGCAGAAAACTTTATCTCTGGGCTACAGGTACCCGGTGGGAGATGTGAACAAAGAACTCAACTCAGCAAGGTCTAGGGACATCAGCTAGGGCTACATGTCGGCAGGGGCTCCCTGACATGCCTGCATCTGCAAACCAACTGTCACTTTTTACCACTCTCACGCCTACTCCCTCACCTCCATCCCAGAAGCACACATTTCCCATGTCAGTTACCTTTCCTGGAGTTCAAAACAACCTTTTACAAACAGGGAATCAGAGACAGGATCATTCGTGATCACTAAGCCGGTGAGGACAGACGTTCTATTGTGAAATGGACAGGTTTGATGCGCTTTCCCTCCTTTCATACCCTCCTCTATTATCTCTTTGACATCATATCAACTTGAAACACACTTTGTAACAGGAAATTCACACGTGCACCCCCAATAGAGCTGAAACCCCCACTAACTAGCTTGTACATGATGTCTCTCTCTAGCTTCTACCCCAGGTGACCCCTCTGCCCTTATTGGAGCGTTCCTGTGATAGCCACTCCAGGACATGGAACACTGAATGGGACAATGTGTTGACATTCTGGTGTCCCCTTCACTGTGACGTTGCCACTGGCTGGCACACAGTACACGCCTTCTAATGTTTGCTGTAACAGAACAAGGCTATGCTGTGGTCTGCATATAAAGTGCATGATCCTTCCTCACCTGATCAGCTGTTCCAGGTGCCCACTGAAGAAGGTGATCAATTTTATTTTAAGCAACTGGAGGTGTTCCAGCCTGAGGAACACAGAGCTGAATTTGGTGACTAACCGTCCTTCGAGTTCATTATCTGACATGGAATGATGGCACCTGGAGAAAACGAGTTTGCGAAGATTCTTCATCTCCTTCAGGTAACAACGAAGCTTTCTTATCAGACGTGGCCAGGACATGTTGCGAATTTCCAGCTGTTGAATACTATTCAGGTATATTATTTTCAATGACTTTCTGAGATGTTTAATCGGCGTTAGATAATTGACCAGCTTACTACAGCACAGGTGTACTAAACCTCTCCTTTGGTAAACCCACTGAAAGAGGTATCTCAGGCATTCATCCTGGGGTATTTCCTTGAGGCAGATGTCTATGAACACCTTTAAGGGCTGGTGCTCTCCCATCCTTGGACAGTCCTCTGCTGTCTGCCTCTTACTCATGGTCTCTGGGAAGCAGGACAGGGCCCAGGCTCCAGGCCATCTGGCCCAGAAATTCTCATCAACATCCCGCAAATCCAGCACTTGAAGTTTCCACCTCCTGTGGGTAAAGTAAGGGAGAGACTCAGAATTTAGAAGGACTCATCCCTGACCTTTGCTTTCATTCTCATCCCATAAATCAGCTGCTCCTGTCCTCAGTGCTCCCTGTTCTCTTTGTCTTTTCTCAATCCCTGTTCCCTTTTGATTCCCTTTTGATTCTGACTTTTGATTCCCCACTTCTATTCCCTTTACCTTCCACTGAGTAAAGGCAGGTTTCTGTTCCCACAGTGGACCCTGTATGGTGAGCACTCCTTTCTCTGAGGATCTGGACAATGGCCAAAGTCTCCCTGATCTTCCTCGCCAACACCATCAGAAGACTCTGGGCCACACTTGGGCTACTTCTCTGCCTGACCCTGCTGTTCTTTCCCTGGACACCTGAGCCCTATCTACCAGCCCTCCTGGGTCACCTCACCTGGGGCGATCCTTCTGTGTAAGCAGCATATGAAGCCCTTCCAGCAATGCTTTTAAGGTCTCCAAATGAAGCGTCTTCATCAGTGATCCCAGAGGGAGGCAGGTGAAGGGCCAGGCCTGCACCATCACCGTCAGAGTCTGGAAGTGTCTCCTGCGGAAGGCCTCCATGAAGAGTGGGAGATAGAGCACCCTGGGCAGCTCCTCCATGGCAGAGATGGACAAGGCCTGGTCTCTCAGCAGGCTCTGCCCTGCCAGCTCCAGGAGTCTGGGTGGGGCCTGGATGCTCATCCTGATAGATCTGCAAGAAAAATCTCTAGAAGACAAATCCAGGGAAAATGTATCACTCTCATGGCAAACACAATCATCTGCTTCTACTGGTACCAGGAAGAATGTCTTCCAAACACCAAGGAGGGAGGGGTCAAGGAGACCACTGGCTTATTAATTTTCATCCTTCATTCCACTGAATCCCAGAACCACCGGACACTGCCACTGAGGATCCTGAAAGCCAAGCTCTACCTCTTTGAGGAAAAATTTCTTGTCACTTACCACCCTAAAGCAATGAGAATGAGAGTGTCCTGTGGCCCCAGACAGCCTCCATTCTCAGTTCACACCATAAACGTGCTGGGGGAACACTAAAGGGACTCCCTAAAATCGATGCCATTATTTTTTATTTTGAAAATTTTCTACCAGAAATGGACCAGGTGCTGTGGCTCATGTCTGTAATCCCAACACTGCTGGACACCAAGGCAGGCAGATCACTTGAGGTCAGGAGTTCGAGAACAGCCTGGCCTACATAATGAAACGATGTCTCTACTAAATACAAAAAAATTAAGAATCATTTGACTCCAGAAGGCAGAGGTTGCAGTGAGCCAAGATCTCACCACTGCTCTCCAGCCTGGGTGACAGAGTTGGACTCCGACTCAAACAAAAACAAACTGATAAATTAATTAATTAAAATGTTAGCCAGGTGTGGTCATGCATGACTGTAATCCTAGCTACTCTGGAGGCAGAGGAAGGAGAATCACTTGAAGCCCAGAGGCAGAGTTTCCAGGGAGCCCAGCTCAGGGCCCTGCACTCCAGTCTGGGTGACACACTCAGAGTACATCGCAGAAAAAAAACAAAATAATTCACTGGAACTGTAAAAGTGGTGTGATGGTATTCCACAGCATTTGGAAGGTATGTATAGAAATGCTAACTGTAGCTGGGCGCGGTGGCTCACTCCTGTAATCCCAGCACTTTGGGAGTCTGAGGTGGGCAGATCTCCTGAGGTCAGGAGTTTGAGGCCAGCATGGCCAACATGGCAAAACCCTGTGTCTACTAAAAATACAAAAATTAGCTGGGCATGGTGGTGAGTGCCTGTAATCCAAGCTACTCAGGAGGCTGAAGCAGGAGAATCGCATGTAACTAGGAGGCAGAAATTTCAGTGAGCCAAATCACACCATGGCACTGCAGCCTGGGCAACAATAGGGAAACTCCATCTCAAAAACTGTAAAAGTGCTACCATGCTATTCTAGAGCACTGTAACTCTGAGATGAAGGTTCCTATAGACATCACTTCCACATACTCACAATTACCCACTTTTTGATGGATCCTAGGGGCAAAGATAAATCCCATGATCTGAGCAAAACTGCACTCTTGAGATTGGTGTGTGGGATACCTTTAAGGATTTTATGAAAATGAAAGCATACTTGGAGAATCACAATAACACCAAGTCTATGAACTGTAATTGAAGGGCACAAAAACAGATAACTTCAAATGTCAAGAAATAAAAATTCATGTCACTGTAAATTTTTAATATATTTTTAAAAAACCTGCTTCGATAAGAATTTTAAAATGACAAAAACTAAGCACAAATCACAATTTGATGGATGAAGACAAAACTACATTTAGAGGAAAAATGAAAGCCTAAATCTGTTCATCTCACGAAACAGACAGAAAAATATTGTGTGCCACTTTGGGATGTGTGTCACCGTCCCTGACTGGCTGGCTGCTGATCAGATGGGCATGACCCTAAGAAGGTGGTGACTTACCAGCGCTGGACTCACTTTGCAGAGTTCTGGGACCTCTCAGGGAACCAAGCAGTAGCTCCAGGAATGAGTGCTGTGGGTCTCTTCTGGGTACCCTCAGGAGCTTTTATGGACCTTTCTAACCCCACCCTTCCCTTCTCAATCACCAGCTTCCAATCAGAAACTGATACCTGATTAGATCTTGCAGTCACACCCAGTTAATCCTGATTGAGTTTTCAGCTTTCTTCTGACTAATTGATCGAATTAGATACACATTTACGGAAGTAAAAGAATAAATAATAGGGTGAAAGTCCAAAACTCATTCGTTCATTTATTCCCGAAATACTGATGAAGTTTGGCTAATACACGACTTTCGTAGTGATGTAGGGAAGGGATTAATCTGTTCCTGATATTAGGCCAAAAAAAAAAAAACCTTAAGGTGTCCTTATTGGAGGATGTTTGGCCACATCAAAATTGTCAAAATGTTTCAGAGCTACAACAGCCTGAAGAAGATAGTGATGTCATTCCCAAGAAAACAGAATAAAAAGCTGTGTATATCGAATGGTCACCTGTGTTTTATGCTATCTAACATAGCAGATCATATGCACATTCAGGTAGAAGAAAGGAACCACTGAGAGTGTGATCTATCTCAAGACTAAGTCAAGGCTTCACCGAAGGAAATCAGGACAAAGTGACCAAGTGAGGTGGGGACTGAGCGGAATGAGACTAGGTGTTCTAATGGGAACCTGCAAAGGAAACAAGACAATGTAAAACATGGCGGTTATCTTGTGGGCATCTAGATGTCAGGACTCAAAGTCTTTTGTCAAGATTGAGTTTATTTATTGATTGTTTGTTTGATTTTCAGACTGGGCCTACATCTGTCACTCAGGCTGGAGTGCAGTGGCACGATTTCAGCTCACTGCAGCCTCAACCTTCTGGTTCAAGTGATTCTCTCACTTCTGCCTCCCAAGTAGCTGGGAATTACGGGTGCACTCCAACAAGCCCTACTAATTTTTGTATTTTAGTCGAGATGGGGTTTCACCATGTTGGCCGTCACCATGTTGGCCCGGCTGGTCTCAAACTCCTGACCTCAAGTGATCTCCTCACCTTGGCCTCCCAAAAGGCTGGGATAACAGGCATCAGCCATCTCACCCACCCTAGATTGAGTTCAGAAATTAAAAGGAGAATCATCAAAAGAGATAGGGCAGACTTAAACCATAACATTCACTTTGAAAACACAGGGGGCAGGTATAGTCTTGGCCCTACTAGAAGGTAAAGGGTGTTTACTCACAAAACTGATGGGCTCCTCTCAGAAAACCAGCTTGCAAAGATGGAATCTAAGAATGTGAGCTGGAGCAGAGGCCAGAGAGAAGATTGGGGCCAGACCTGGGAAGGGAGGCTCTCCCAAGCTGGAAGCCACCCAGGTAGAAACTGTGGGCTCTACAGGATGTGAGAGAGAAATGAACGAGGGTCCATATGTCCGTCATTGTTCTATCATCTGGAAACCTTTCCTTTAGACTCTGGGATCTTCCCACAGTGGAACATTTCCCAGCAACCATTGGCCCCAGTCATTTTCCAGGACCCTTCATCCAAATCTTAATCTCACCCACTCCCTTCCTACTCTAATTTGATAATTCATGTTTCCTCCTTCTTAGAGTCCTTTCCTGTCACTAATATTGAACATAGAGATTCTTATCAGAGCATCAACATTAGGCCTACAAAGAAAGCTCAGACCCAGGCACAGTGGCTCATGCCTGTAACATCAGCACTTTGAGAGGCCAAGGTGGGCTGATCATGAGGTCAGTATATCAAGACCATTCTAGCTAACACGGTGAAACTCCGTCTCTACTAAAAATACAAAAAATTAGCCGAGCATAGTGGCAGATGTCTGCACTCCCAGCTACTCAGAAGGCTGAGGCAGGAGAATCGCTTAAACCCAGGATGTGAAGTTGCAGTGAGCTGAGATGGCGCCACTGCCCTCCATCCTGGGTGACAGCATGACACTGTCAAAAAAGAACAAAAGAAAAAGCAAGCAAGCATGCAAGAAAGAAAGAAAGAAAGAAAGAAAGAAAGAAAGAAAGAAAGAAAGAAAGAAAGAAAGAAGGAAGGAAGGAAGGAAGGAAGGAAAGAAAGGAAAGAAAGAAAGAGAAAGAAAGGAAGAAAGAAAGAAAGAAAGAAAGAAAGAAAGAAAGAAAGAAAGAAAGAAAGAAAGAAAGAAAAAAGAAAGAAAGAAAGAAAGAAAGGAAGGAAGGAAGGAAGGAAGGAAGGAAGGAAGGAAGGAAGGAAGGAAGGAAAAGAAAGAAAGACCTCAGGCCTCTAATCCCAGCCCTTTGGGAAGCCAAGAAAGGCAGAGTGCTAGAGCTCAGGAGTTTGTGAGGAATATGGGCAATGTGATGAAACCCTGTCTCTAATAAAAATATAAGATATTAGCTGGGGAGAGGCAGTGTGCACCTGTAGGCCAAGCTGCCCAAGAAGTTGAGGTGGGAGGATCACCTGAGCCCAGTGAGACTTCTACTTCCCACGCCCCACTTTGTAAACCTGAGGCTGAGGGTGAGCTCAACACCAATAATGGTTGTGAGAATCTGTGTTCACTGAGCATCCACGAGGCACAACAGACGGCTGGTACTGATCATCCCGGACCTCAGCTCTTCTTCATGGAGAATCTAAGGCACGTTGCTATTTTCCCCATTTCTAACACGATAAACCTGAGATTTGGCCAGAGGAAAAGCCTTCCCATGTTCTGGTAGCAAATGATTGGCAAACCCCTCAGGTGAGGGGCTCAGTGGAACCCCCAAGGTGTTCAATAAGCTAAATATTGGAAAGAACTGGCTGACTGACTCCCTCTTCCTGCCCATTTCAAGGGGTGCAGTAGCACCCCCAGCACCCCAGTGAGAATCCTGCACTTGGGGTCTTTTCTACCATGTTCTGTCGCCAGTTCTTCTCGAGGTGCTCATCTGCTGCCAAGCTCAGAGCAACCTTCGAAACCCATCTCAGGAAACGACCTGACCTATTCTCCACTCCCAGAATCCACACTGGGATTCCAAAGCTCCTATGAGGCCCTTGCTTAGGCTCTCTAGAATATTCCTGAGCCTCTGTTTTCTCCCTCAGCCTGAGCTGATGGGGCCGGCGTCACTTTATGCATCCCAAGGCCATCAGCCCATCTCTCCTGGACTTCGGAACATGGCCACAATGCAGAGAGACCCAGCAGTAATTAAGAAAATTTCCTCAATTTATATTGAGTGATGTTGGTGAACATGGCAAGGCACAAAGCAGGAAACTCCACAGCTGCTGCTCTGGACCTAAAGAGGCACCCTGGACTTCTGGGTGGTGACATTGCCTGGCTTGCAGAGGAAGACCTGACCCCTCTGGTCTTCCAAGGCTGCCAGGATGATGACAGAGCCTTGGACAGGTCCCAGCGCAGGGGCCATCCCTTCCCAGGTTCCCCTGGCCCAGCCTTAGAGCTGATAAGGATGCACCTGGAATGCACTAAGTATTTTTTTGTCCAAGCCAGGTCTCTTCTTAGCCTTAGGTGAGGCTTTTTTCAGCTGGGTGCTATGGAAGAACCCCAAGCCCAGTGGGCATCACTGCAATGCCCACATGGTAAGTATGTGTGTGTGTGTGTGGCCACCTAGAAAGGCACAACTCTACCTGACAGAGCTGGTTCCATGGAAGAGAAAAGTATAACATCCCATGTCCCTGGTAGGACAACTTCCTCTGGGAGTCCAGCAACAAGACGTGGAATCTGCGGACAAGAGGTCCCTGGGTAAAAGCCCTCATTTGAGGATAAGAGTAAAGTTGAACCTTAGACCCTGAGGGATCTATGCCCTTCCCACAGGGCTGCAGCCGAGCCAGCCCTGACTCCCAGGCACAATAGCCCAGAGAGATCTTCGAAGGGAAGTAAACCTGCTGGGGCCTCAGGGCTCAGAAAAAGCCCTGGACCTATCTCCCAGTCATGCCTCTCCCACTCCCAAGTGCCTCTGGCCCTGGAACTGTCAGAGACCCCTGTGTCTTTTCCATGTGCTCTTCTTCTCCTTTCACTCAGCCCTGCCTCTGCCAATGCTCCCTGCATTTGCCTCCATGTAGGGCCCCCAACCCCAAGCTCTGGCAGTGGCTGGGGAGCTAGGGGTTTTTGTGCCCACCTGGAGAAAGCCTCACTCAGCATGGGCCCGTGTGGGTTCTGCAGTCTTTTCCTACACAGGGTCACCTACAGGTGTTATAGTTGCATCTCCCCTAGAAGAGCCAATGGGGATGGGTGAGGAATCTGAAATCACTCAGGCACCCCACATACAAATGAGAGCCAGGGTCCCTGCAAGCACAGGCCCCGGGGTAGGTCCTGGCCCTTGTTGTTGCCTTCTGATCCCAGAGGCCTTGGGTTTGTGGTCACAGGAGCCCTACCTACTTCCCATGCACCCCCAGCCCAAGATAAACAAATTCCTGCAGCCTCCCCGGTCCATGTACTTGAGATCTCCAGATCGTGCCACTTCACTCCAACCTGGACGACAGGGCGAGACTCGGGGCCAAAAAAAAATTAGCTGAGCATGGTGGCAGGCACTTGTAGTCCAAGCTATTTGGGAGGCTGAGGTAGGAGAATCACTTGAAGCCAGGAGGCAGAGGTTTAAGTGAGCTGAGATAGAGCCACTACACTGCAGCCTGGGAAATAGAGCAAGACTCTGTTTCAGGAAAAAGAGACAAGAAAAAGAGAAAATCAGAAGCACCGAGCTGTGTTTTTAATGAGGTCCTGCCCCAGGAAGTCAGGCATCCAAATGAAATTTCCTCATTTTTATCAATTCCCTCCTGTTCTTTACTTCTCTTTACAAATCTGTTACTTCCTGACTTTGTTCTGTGGCTGATCAGTGGGTGAATACCCACAAGATGCACACACAGGGCCAGGAACATTCTATGTGGGCAAAGAGTGGGAGTCACTCAAGTAAAGCCTCTTCTCAGGGTCCCTCCCTGCTAACCAGATGCTGAGACCCTGTTCAGTCCTAATGGGCAGATTGAGAAGAATCCATTTCTGACCATTAGCTGTGCTGGGACAGAGATTCACTGCACAAGGCATGGCCCCTGCTTTGGAAGGGGACATTCACATCATTGATTACCTGGAGCTTCAGGGCATCACCAACCCATACCTGTCATCATGGAGGGCAGTGCTCCTTCCTTAATTAAACTAGTTGTGTCTTATAAAGATATCAAAATTCCCTTTTAGCAAAATACTACCTATAATATATAAATATGGCTGGGTTTGTTGGCTCATACCTATAATAGTAGCACTTTGGGAGGCTTAGGCAGGAGAATCACAAGATCAAGAGATCGAGACCATCCTAGCCAACATGGTGAAACCCCGTCTCTACTAAAACTACAAAAATTAGCTGGACATGTTGGCACATGCCTGTACTCCCAGCTACTAGAGAGGCTGAGGCAGGAGAATTGCTTGAACCCAGGAGGCGTAGGTTGCTGTGAGCTGAGATTGTGCCACCACACTTCAGCCTCATGACAGAGTGAGACTCCATCTCAAAAACAAAACAAAACAAACGAAAATAACATATAAATACTAATAATCATATAGACATAAAACATGGTTTAAATATTTCTTTACCACATTCAAAAATCAAGCATGCTTTTTGGGGGCCAGGTCATATTGATGAGAGATCCTTTCTTAACACCCTTCCCATATCTAGCAGACTAAAGAAGAAGACTAGTGTATGCACGGAAAAGAAAGAGAGATCAGACGGTTACTGTGTCTATGTAGAAAAGGAAGACATAAGAAACTTCATTTTGATCTGTACCCTGACTTTGCCCTGAGATGCTGTTAATCTGTAACTTTAGCCCCAACTTTGAGCTCACAGCAGCATGTGTTGTATAGAATCAAGGTTTAAGGGATCCAGGGCTGTGCAGGATGTGCTTTGCTAGCAAAATGTTTACAGGCACTATGCTTGATAAAAGTCATCACCATTCTCCATTCTCAAGTAACCAGGGGTGCAATACACTGTGAAAAACCTCAGGGACCCCTGCCCTGGAAAGCCAGGTATTGTCCAAGGTTTCTCCCCATGTGATAGTCTGAAATATGACCTCATTGAATGGGAAAGACCTGACCTTCCACCCAGCTTGACATCCATTAAGGGTCTGTGCTGAGGAGGATTAGTAAAAGAGGAAGGCCTCTTGCAGTTGAGATAAGAGGAAGGCTTCTGTCTCCTGCCTGCCCCTGGGAACTGAATGCCTCAGTATAAAACCTGATTATACATTTGTTCTATTCTGAGATAGGAGAAAAACTGCCTGTGGTGGGAGGCGAGACATGTTGGCAGCAATGCTGCTTTGTTACTCTTTACTCCACTGAGATGTTTGAGTGGAGAAAAGCATAAATCTGGCCTATGTGCACATCCGGGCATAGTATCATCCCTTGAACTTATTTGTGACACAGATTCCTCTGCTCACATGTTTTCTTGCTGACTTTCTCCCCACTATCACCCTGCTCTCCTGCCACTTTTCCCTTACTGAGTTAGTGAAAATAGTAATCAATAAATACTGAGGGAACTCAGAGACCAGTGCCGGTGTGCGTCCTCCATATGCTGAGCACCAGTCCCCTGGGCCCATTTTTCTTTCTCTATACTTTGTCTCTGTGTCTTATTTCTTTTCTCAGTCTCTTGTCCTGCCTGATGAGAAATACCCACAGGTGTGGAGTGGCTGACCCCTTTCATCTGGCGCCCAACGTGGGCCTTTCTCTAGGGTGAAGGTATGCTAAAAACGTGAGCATTGAAGACAGTCAACGAGAGATTCCCAAGTACTTCCACGGTCAGCCATGCGGTAAGCTTGTGTGCTCAGAGGAACCCAGGGTAACAATGGGACAAACTGAAAGTAAATATGCCTCTTATCTCAGCTTCATTAAAATTCTTCTAAGAAGATGGGGAGTTAGAGCTTCTACAGAAAATCTAATTATGTTATTTCAAACAATAGAACAATTCTGCCCATGGTTTCCAAAACAAGGACTTTAGATCTAAAAGATTGGGGGAAAATTGGCAAAGAATTAAAACAAGCAAGTAGGGAAGATAAAATCATCCCACTTACAGTATGGAATGATTGGCCCATTATTAAAACAACTTTAGAACCGTTTCAAATAGAAACAGATAGCCTTTCAATTTCTGATGCCCCTGAAAGCTGTGTAGTAGATTGTGAAGAAGAGGCAGAGACAAAATCCCGGAAATTAATGGAAAGTTCACATTGTAAAATGTAACAGAGTCTGTAATGGCTCAGTCAACGCAAAATGTTGACTACAATCAGTTACAGGAGGTAATATATCCTGAATCATCAAAACTGGTGGAAGGAGGTCCAGAATTATTGGGGCTACCAGAGCCTAAACCACAATGGCCATCAACTCCTCCTCCAGCGGTTCAGATGCCTGTAACATTACAACCTCAAATGCAGGTTAGACAAGTGCAAACCCCAAGAGAATATCATGTAGAAAAGGATAGAGTCTCTATCCCGGCCATGCCAATTCAGATACAGTATCCACAATATCAGCTGGTAGAAAATAAGACCCAACCACCGGTAGTTTATCAATACTGGCCGCCAGCTGAGCTTCAGTATGGGCCGTCTCCGGAGGTTCAATACAGACCTCAAGCTGTGTGTCCCGTGCCACATAGCACGGCACCTCACCAGCAACCCAGCGGTGTTTAGTCCTACATCACCACCTAGTGGACAAGGTAGTACACTGCATGAAATTATTGATAAAGCCAGAAAACAGGGAGATCTTGAGGCATGGCAGTTCCTTGTAATTTTACAACCAATACCAGCTGGGAAAGGGGGGCAAGCTGGAGCGTCTGTCCAAACTGAGGCTAGATATGAATCTTTCACCATGAAAATGTTAAAAGATATGAAGGAAGGAGTTAAACAATATGGACCCAACTCCCCTTATATGAGAACTTTATTAGATCCCATTGCTCATGGAAATAGACTTATTCCCTATGATTGGGAAATGTTGGCTAAATCTTCCCTTTCACCCTCTCAGTTCCTACAATTTAAAACCTGGTGGATTGATGGAGTACAAGAACAGGCACGAAAAAATCAGGCTATTTATCCCGCTGTTAATATAGATGCAGATCGATTGCTAGGAACAGGTCCAAATTGGAGCACAATTGGCCAACAGTCAGTAATGCAGAATGAGGGTATTGAACATCTAAGGGCTCTTTGCCTCAGGGACTGGGAAAAAATTCAGGACCCAGGCACCTGGGTGCCCCACGCACCACTTGCCCAGGCACCGCTTGCCCTTCTTCTAATTCAATTAGACAAGGCTGCAAAGAGCCATATCCAGACTTTGTGGCAAGGTTGCAAGATGCCTCTGAAAAATCTGTTTCGGATGATAATGCCCAAAAAGTTATTGTAGAAATAATGGCTTATCAAAAGTCAAATCCAGAATTTCAACCAGCCATAAAGCCATTAAAAGGAAAAGGTCCAGCAGGAGTTGATGTAATTACAGAATATGTGAAAGCTTGTGATGGGATTGGAGGAGCTATGCGAAAGGCAATGCTAATGGCTCAAGCAATGACCGGAGTCACTTTAGGAGGATAGTTAGAGCATTTGGGGGGAAATGTTATAATTGTGGTCAAATCGGTCATCTAAAAAAGAACTGCCCAGTCTTAAATAAACAGAGTAAAAATAAAGAGCCACCTGGCCTGTGTCCAAGACATGGAAAAGGAAAACATTGGGCTAATCAATGTCGTCCTAAATATGATAAAAATGGGCAACTATTGTCGGAAAAAGGGGTGAGGGGCCAGCCTCAGTCCCAACAACAAACTGGGGCATTCCCGATTCAGCCGTTTGTTCTTCAGGGTTTTCAGGGACAGCAACCACCACAGCAAATACCACCACTTCAGGGAATCAGCCAATTACAACGATACAACAGCTGTCCCCCGCCACAGCAGGCAGCACAGCAGTAGATTTATGTTCCACTCAAAAGGTTTCTTTACTCCCTGGAGAGACCCCGCAAAAGATTCCTACAGGGGTATATGGCCCACTGCCAGGAGGGACAGTAGGCCTCATTTTAGGGAGATGAAGTCTAAATTTGAAGGGAGTCCAAATTCATACTGGGGTAATTGATTCAGATTATAAAGGGGAAATTCAGTTAGTGATCAGCTCCACTGTTCCCTGGAGTGCCAATCCAGGTAATAGAATTGCTCAATTATTGCTTTTGCCTTATATTAAAATTGGGGAAAATAAAACGGAAAGGACAGGAGGGCTTGGAAGTACCAACTCTGCCGGAAAAGCCACTCATTGGGCTCGTCAGGTCTCAGAGAATAGATCTGTGTGTACAGTCACTATTCAGGGAAAGCAGTTTATAGGATTAGTGGATACCGATGCTGATGTTTCCATTATCGCCTTAAATCAATGGCCAAAAAATTGGCCTAAACAAAAGCCTGTTACAGGACTTGTCGGTGTGGGCAGCGCCTCAAAAGTGTATCAAAGCACCATGATTTTACATTGTCTAGGACCTGATAATCAAGAAAGTACAGTTCAACCTATGATTACTGCTATTCCAATTAATTTATGGGGCCGAGACTTGTTACAACAATGGCATGCAGAGATGACTATCCCAGCCTCCTTATACAGCCCCACGAGTCAAAAAATCATGACTAAAATGGGGTATCTCCCTGGCAAAGGACTAGGGAAAAATGGAGATGGCATTAAAATCCCAATTGAGGCTGAGGGAAATCAAGAAAGAAAAGGAATAGGATATCCTTTTCAGGAGTGGCCACTGTAGAGCCTCCAAAACCCATTCCATTAACTTGGAAAACAGAAAAACCTGTATGGGTAAATCAGTGGCTGCTACCAAAACAAAAGCTGGAGGCTTTACACTTATGGGCAAAAGAACAATTAGCAAAGGGACATATTGAGCCTTCACTTTCGCCTTGAATTCTCCTGTGTTTGTAACTCAGAAAAAATCCAGCAGATGGCGCATGTTAACCGACTTAAGAGCCGTCAACGCTGTAATTCAACCTATGGGGGCTCTCCAACCTGGGTTGCCCTCTCTGGCCATGATCCCCAAAGATTGGCCTTTAATTATAATTGATCTGAAGGGTTGCTTTTTTACCATTCCTCTAGCAAAACAGGATTTTGAAAAATTTGCTTTTACTATACCAGCCATAAATAATAAAGAACCAGCCACCAGGTTTCAGTGGAAAGTGTTGCCTCAGGGAATGCTTAATAGTCCAACTATTTGTCAGATTTTTGTAGCTGAAGCTCTTCAACCAGTTAGAGACAAGTTTTCAGACTATGTCTTTCATTATGTTGATGATCTTTTGTGTGCTGCAGAAACGAGAGACACATTAATTGACTGTTACACATTTCTGCAGACAGAGGTTGCAAACGCAGGACTGACAATAGCATCTGATAAGATTCAAACCTCTACTCCTGTCCATTACTTGGGAATGCGGGTAGAGGAAAGAAAATTTAAACAACAAAAAATAGAAATAAGAAAAGACACATTAAAAACATTAAACGACTTTCATAAATTGCTAGGAGATATTAATTGGATTTGGCCAACTCTAGGCATCCTTACTTATGCCATGTCAAATTTGTTCTCTATCTTGAGTGGGGATCCAGAATTGAATAGTAAAAGAACATTAACTCCAGAGGCAACTAAAGAAATTGAATTAATTGAAGAAAAAATTCGGTCAGCACAAGTAAATAGAATAGATCACTTCGCCCCACTCCAACTTTTGATTTTTGCTACTGCACATTCTCAACAGGCATTATTGTTCAAAATACAGATCTTGTGGAGTGATCTTTCCTTCCTGACAGTACGATTAAGACTTTTACATTGTACTTGGATCAAATGGCTACATTAATTGGTCAGGCAAGATTACAAATAATAAAATTGTGTGGAAGTGACCCAGATAAAATCATTGTTCCTTTAAACAAGGAAGAGTTTAGACAAGGCTTTATCAATTCTGCTGCATGGCAGATTGCTCTTGCTGATTTTGTGGGAATTATTGATAACCATTACCCAAAAACAAAAATCTTCCAGTTTTTAAAATTGACTACTTGAATTTTACCTAAAATTACCAGACATAAACCTTTAGAAAATGCTCTGACGGTGTTTACTGATGGTTCCAGCAATGGAAAAGTGGTTTACACCAGGCCGAAAGAACGAGTCATTGAAAATCAGATTCTGCATATGTAGCACAGCTACAAAGGATGTTGAGACAGCCCTAACCAAATATAGTATGGATGATCAGTTTAACAAGCCCTTTAATTTGTTACAACAAATTGTAAGAAAAAGAAATTTCCCATTTTATATTACTCATATATGAGCACATACTAATTTACCAAGGCCTTTAGCTAAAGCAAATGAACAAGCTGACTTGCTAGCATCATCTGCATTCATAGAAGCACAAGAACTTCATGCTTTCACTCATGTAAATGCAACAGGACTAAAAAATAAATTTGATATCACATGGAAACAGGCAAAAAATATTGTACAACATTGCACCCAGTGTCAAGTCCTACACCTGCCCACTCAGGAGGCAGGAGTTAATCCCAGAGGCCTATGTCCTAATGCATTATGGCAAATGGATGTCACACATGTACCTTCATTTGGAAAATTGTCGTTTGTCCATGTGACAGTTGATACTTATTTGCATGTCTATGGGCAACCTGCCAGACAGGAGAAAGTACTTCCCATGTTAAAAGACATTTATTATCTTGTTTTGCTGTCATGGGAGTTCCAAAAAAAAATTAAAACACGTAATGGGCCAGGATACTGTAGTAAAACATTTTAAAAATTGTGAAATCAGTGACAAATTACACATATAACAGGAATCCCCTATAATTCCCAAGGACAGGCCATAATTGAAAGAACTAATAGAACACTCAAAGCTGAATTGGTGAAACAAAAAAAGGAAAAAGACATTAAGGAGTATAACACTCCCCAGATGCAACTTAATTTAGCACTCTATACTTTAAATTTTTTAAACATTTATAGAAATCAGACCACTACTTCTGCAGAGCAACATTTTACTGGTAAAAAGAACAGCCCACATGAAGGAAAACTGATTTGGTGGAAAGACAACAAAAATAAGACAAGGGAAATAGGGAAAATGATAACATGGGGGAGAGGTTTTGCTTGTGTTTCACCAGGAGAAAATCAGCTTCCTGTTTGGATACCCACTAGACATTTAAAGTTCTACAATGAACCCATCGGAGATGCAAAGAGAAGCGCCACCACGGAGATGGTGGCATCATCGACTCACCGGGTGAACAAAATGGTGACATCAGAAGAACAGATGAAGCTGCCATCCACCAAGGAAGTGGGGCCACTGACCTGGGCCCAATTAAAGAAGCTGACACAGTTAGCTGAAAAAAGCCTGAAGAACAAAAAGGGTAACACAAACTCCAGAGAACATGCTGCCTGCAGCTTTGATGATTGTATCAACGGTGGTAAGTCTCCCTATGACTGCAGTAGCAGCCACAACTAATCATACTTACTGGGCCTGTGTGCCTTTCCCGCCCTTAATTCAGGCAGTCACATGGATGGATAATCCCATTGAAGTATATGTTAATAATAGTGCATGGGTACCAGGCCTCACAGATGATCATTGCCCTGCCCAACCTAAAAAAGAATTGATGATAAATATTTCCACTGGGTATCATTATCCTCCTATTTGCCTAGGGAAGGTGCCAGGATATTTAATGCCTACAACCCCAAATTGGTTGGTAGAAGTACCTACTGTCAGTGCCACCAGTAGATTTACTTATCACATAGTAAGTGGGATGTCACTCGGGCCACAGATAAAATAATTTACAGGACTCTTCTTATCAAAGATCATTAAAATTTAGGCCTAAGGGGAAGCCTTGCCCCAATAAAATTCCCAAAGAATCAAAAGGCCCAAAAGTTTCAGTTTGGGAAGAATGTGTGCCTGATACTGCGGTGGTACTACAAAACAATGAATTTGGAACTATTATAGACCAGGCCCCTCGAGGCCAATTTTATTATAATTGTACGGGCCAGACTCACTCATGTTCACAGCCCCATCCATCTGGCCCATTAATCTGGCCTATGAGAGTGATTTAACTGAAAGGCTGGATCAGGTTTATAGAAAGTTACAATCACCCTATCCATGGAAATGAGGTGAAAAGCGAATTTCATCACCTCGACCAAAGTTAGTTAGTCCTGTTACTGGTCCTGAACATCCAGCATTATGAAAGCTTACTGTGGCCTCACACCACATTAGAATTTGGTCTGAAAATCAAGCTATAGGAACAAGAGATCATAAGCCATATTATACTATTAACCTAAATTCCAATCTGACAATTCCTTTGCAAAGTTGTGTAAAACCCCCTTATATGCTAGTTGTAGGAAACATAGTTATTAAACCAGATTCCCAAACTATAACCTGTGAAAACTGTAGATTGTTTACTTGCATTGATTCGACTTTTGATTGGCAGCACCGTATTCTGCTGGTGAGGGCAAGAGAGGGCATGTGGAACCCTATGTCCATGGACTGACAGTGGGAGGCTTCCCCATCTGTCCATATTTTAATAGAAGTATTAAAAGGAGTTCTAACTAGATCCAAAAGATTCTTTTTTACTTTGATTGCAGTGATTTTGGGTCTTATTGCAGTCACAGCTACTGCTGTGGCTGCTGGAATTGCTTTACACTTCTCTGTTCAAACTGCAGAATATGTAAATAATTGGCAAAAGAATTCCTCAAAATTGTGGAATTCTCAGAACCAAATAGATCAAAAATTGGCAAACCAAATTAATGATCTTAGACAAACTGTCATTTGGATGGGAGACAGGCTCATGAGCTTGGAATATCTTTTTCAGTTACAGTGTGACTGGAATATGTCAGATTTTTGTATTAAACCCCAAGCCTATAATGAGTCTGAGCATCAATGGGACATGGTTAGATGTCATCTATAAGGAAGAGAAGATAATCTTACTTTAGATATTTCAAAATTAAAAGAACAAATTTTTGAGGCATCAAAAGCCCATTTAAATTTGGTGCCAGAAACTGAGGCAATCGTGAAAGCTGCTGATGGCCTCGCAAATCTTAACCCTGTCACTTGGGTTAAAACCATCAGAAGTTCAACTATTGTAATTTCATATTAATCCTGGTATATCTGTTTTGTCTGTTGTTAGTCTACAGGTGTATCCAGCAGCTCCAAAGAGAGAGCGACCAGTGAGAACGGGCCATGATGATGATGGCGGTTTTCTCAAAAAGAAAAGGGGGATATGTAGGGAAAAGAAAGAGAGATCAGACGGTTACTGTGTCTATGTAGAAAAGGAAGACATAAGAAATTTCATTTTGATCTGTACCCTGAACAATTGCTTTGCCCTGAGATGCTGTTAATTTGTAACTTTAGCCCCAACCTTGAGCTCACAGAAACATGTGTTGTATGGAATCGAGGTTTAAGGGATCTAGGGCTGTGCAGGATGTGCCTTGTTTACAAAATATTTACAGGCAGTGTGCTTGATAAAAGTCATCGCCGTTCTTCATTCTCAAGTAACCAGGGGCACAATGCACTGTGGAAAGCTGCAGGGACCTCTGCCCTGGAAAGCCAGGTATTGTCCAAGGTTTCTCCCCATGTGATAGTCTGAAATATGACCTCATGGGATGGGAAAGACCTGACCGTCCCCAAGCCCGACACCCGTGAAGGGTCTGTGCTGAGGAGGATTAGTAAAAGAGGAAGGCTTCTTGCAGCTGAGATAAGAGGAAGGCCTCTGTCTCCTGCCTGCCCCTGGGAATGCAATGTCTTGGTATAAAACCCGATTGTACATTTGTTCCATTCTGAGATAGGAGAAAAACCGCCTTGTGGCAGGAGGTGGGACATGTTGGGAGCAATGCTGCTTTGTTACTCTTTACTCCATTGAGATGTTTGGGTGGAGAAAAGCATAAATCTGGCCTATGTGCACATCCAGGCATAGAACCTTCCCTTGAACTTATTTGTGACACAGATTCCTTTGCTCACATGTTTTCTTGCTGACCTTCTCCCCACTATCACCCTGTTCTCCTGCCACGTTCCCCTTGATGAGATAGTGAAAACAGTAATCAATAAAAACTGAGAGAACTCAGAGACCAGTGCTAGTGCAGGTCCTCCGTATGCTGAGCGCCGGTCCCCTGGGCCCAATTTCTTTCTCTATACTTTGTCTCTGTGTCTTATTTCTTTCCTCAGTCTCTCATCCCACCTGAGGAGAAGTAACCACAGGTGTGGAGAGGCTGGCCCCACTTCAAGTGTATAGAATTCTGGTGTGACAGGTCCCATCAGGTTACTTAAGGGTGCATGTCCCCTGCCTGAACCCTGAAGGCCAGGTGGGAAGCCAAGTCTCTTGTGCCCAGCCAAGAAGCAGGTGTCCCCGAGAACCCAAACATCCCAGACAGTATCTGAGAACCTACCAAGCAGAAGAGGCTGATTGCTCAAAATCAGTGGACAAAGAGCCAGAAAATTCACTTAAAAGCAGTTTAGAGACAGGAGGTGGCACAGATCTTTGGGGCTGTGCTGCTGCTGCCCTGGAGTGCCCTGCATGTGAATCCTAATCAACTCATTATTTGCCAAGCTGGGCTCATCTGAGTCATCCTTTGATCTCTTGGCTCCTTTCCGGTTTGGCGGGGAAAATGATACGGCCCTGGTTTTTCTCAGAGCAAGCGTGTTTTGGAATCGCACATCCTTCGAGGGCAGATAATAGTCAAGTGCCTGTGGGTGATGAGTGACTTTCCCTATGGTGAGAAACCCTACACAAAGGGCATCTGAGTGAGGACCCTGCTGGGGACTCAGGTGAGAAATCCGACACGAAGGACATCCGAGTGAGGACCCTGCTCAGGACTCAGATGAGAAACCCTACAAAAAGGGCATCCGAGTGAGGACCCTGCTCAGGACTCAGATGAGAAACCCTACACAAAGGATATCCAAGTGAGGACCCTGCTGAGGACTCAGGTGAGAAACCCTACACAAAGGACATCCGAGTGAGGACCCTGCTCAGGACTCAGATGAGAAACCCTACACAAAGGGCATCTGAGTGAGGACCCTGCTCAGGACTCAGATGAGAAACCCTACACAAAGGGCATCCAAGTGAGGACCCTGCTGAGGACTCAGGTGAGAAACCCTACACAAAGGACATCCGAGTGAGGACCCTGCAGAGGATTCAGATGAGAAACCCTACACAAACGGCATCCAGGTGAGGACCCTGCTGAGGACTCAGGTAAGAAACCCTACACAAAGAGTATCTGAGTGAGGACCATGCTGAGAACTCAGGGCCTGGTGTTGTTGGGCAGGAACCTTGGGCGAGAGCCTCAGTTTTCCTGAAAAATGAGGATGATGATGTCCACCACCTGTGTGACCCTGGTAGAATCGAATGAGATGGGGCAACTTAAGGGCTTGGCATAGGGCCTGGCATACAGGAAGAGTGAAATTAATGCATTTTTTCTACTTTTTCCCTCCCAGCAGAAGCCTCCATGATTATTCATCCCTCGTTCTGAAAACTAAAAATAAAATCCTAAGCTCCCCCTATGAACTGAACAGATTCCCTCTCGGCCAAGTGTACCCAGAGAAATCTTTAAAACTGAGTTCCTGGCCATGGCAGGATGGGAGGATAGACACGTCTCATTTTACTTCCTTCCTTTCATGGTTGAGACACAAAAACTGACCAGCATTCATGTTAAAATAGAGATTATAAGGCTGACTGAATTGACTATTTAGGGTAATAAGATACCAAGTTATATACAGGACCTAAGGTCTTACCAGGCAAGGGTTAAGTCAAGGGCCCCTACCCTTAAAAAATGAACTATATACTTTTTTTTTTTTTTTTTGAGGCAGCGTCTCACTTTGTAGCCCAGGCTGAAGTGCAGTGGCATGATCTTGGCTCACTGCAACCTCTGCCTCCCAGGTTCAAGCAATTCTCCTGCCTCAGCCTCCCGAGTAGCTGGGATTACAGGTGCATGCCACCACACCTGGCTAATTTTTGTATTTTTAGTACAGACAGGGTTTCACCATGTTGGCCAGGCTGGTCTTGACCTGCTGACCTGGTTATCCACCCGCCTCAGCCTCCCAAAGTGCTGGGATTACAGGCAAGAGCCACTGTGCCCAGCTGAATGAACTATATTCTAACTGCCACAGGGTTTTTCTCTCTCTAGCAGCTGAACAAGCACTGGCCCTAAGATAAGCAATATTGAAATGATTGCAGCTCATCCATCCCAGATTCTGACTAACTGACCCCCTGTTCCACAAGCCATGACTCCAGCTTTGATTGGACAAGAGATTGATTCCAGTAACTTTCTGCTGATGAGAGGCCTCTGAGCGTTGACTGCTTCTGGCCACTTGAAAGAGACTTAGCACGCGAGCGTCTTCATGTCCCTGATGCACCATTTGATATGGGGGGGTCTAGCTGCAATGCATTGAAACATGAAGTCTCGGCGCAGCACGGTGGCTCACGCCTGTAATCCCAGCACTTTGGAACACTCTGGGAGACTGAGGCGGCAGATCACCTGAGGTCAGGCGTTCCAGACCAGCCTGGCCAACATAGTGAAACCCTATCGCTACTAAAAATAGAAAAAGTGGGCCAGGCGCGGTGGCTCACGCCTGTAATCCCAGCACTTTGGGAGGCCGAGGCGGGCGGATCACAAGGTCAGGAGATCGAGACAATCCTGGTTAACACAGAGAAACCCCGTCTCTACTAAAAATACAAAAATTAGCTGGGCGTGGCGGCGTGTGCCTGTAGTCTGAGCTGCTGGGGAGGCTGAGGCAGGAGAATGGCGTGAACCCGGGAAGTGGAGCTTGCAGTGAGCGGAGATTGCACCACTGCACTCCAGCCTGGGTGACAGAGCGAGACTCCATCTCAAAAAAAAAAAAAAAAGTAGCCAGGTGTGGTGGCATGTACCTGTAGTCTCAGCTACTTGGCTGACACAGGAGAATCGCTTGAACCTGGGAGGTGGAGGATGCAGTGAGCTGATACGGTGCCATTGCAGTCCAGCCTGGGTGACATAGCAAGACTCTGTCTCAAAAAGAAAAAGAAATGTGAAGTCTCCACCCCAAAGTGAACATGGGACATAAGCCACATGAATGTTTATTCAGTATGCATGTGCTAGGCCCCCTTCAAGAATACTCATAGCCCATTTCATGACCTGTTGAGTGTGTATACTTGGCCAACCCACTCAGCATAAATTCCTGCCTCATCACTTCCTCCCTGGAAATACCAGTGAAGGATCTTTTCTGAAAGCTGCACTTTCGAGCCTGAGGCATGGCGAGCCTACAGGCCATAAGCTACAGAAATATATCTTTTTTTTCCTTTTTAAGTAGAGACAGGATTTTGCTTTGTTGCCCAGGCTAGAACTCCTTGGTTCAAGCAATCCACCCACATCGGCCTCCCAAAGTGCTGGAATTACAGGCGTGAGCCACCTTGCTTGGCCTATAGAATTATAGCTTTTTTTTTTTTTTTTGAGAGGGAGTCTCACTCTTTGCCCAGGCTGCAGTGCAGCAGCACGATCTCGGCTCACTGCAATCTCCGCCTCCCGGGTTCAAGCGATTCTCCTTGACTCAGCCTCCTGAATAGCTGGGATTACAGGCACGTGCCACCATACGTAGCTAATTTTTGTATTTTTAGTAGAGACGGGGTTTCACCATGTTGGCCAGTATGGTCTCCATCTCTTGACCTCGTGATCCACCCGCCTCGGCCTCCCAAAGTGCTGGGATTACAGGCGTGAGCCACCACACCCGGCCTAGAAATATATGTTATAATAAAATAGAGCCATGTGTGGTGGCTCATGCCTGTAATCCCAATACTTTGTAAGGCTAAGATTGGAGCCCTGCCTGAGCCTGGCCATTCTGGACCAGCCCGGGTAATATAGAGACACTCCAGTAACGTGAGACTCTAGCACATGTTGAGTGGCAGTGGTCACATGTGGATGCTCATCGCAGCACTATTCACAACAGCAAAGACGTGGAATCCACTGGAATGCCCATCAGTGGTGGACTGGATTAACAAAATATGGTACAGATACACCATGGAAACCTACACAGCCTGAAACAAGAACAAGATAATGCCCTTTCATTAAGTCCTCATCCTCCTTTTGCTGCAACACGGATGGAGCTAGAAGCCGTTATGCTAAGCAAACTAAAGCAGGCACAGAAAACCAAACACCACATGTTCTCACTTATAAATGGGAGCCAAATATTAAGTATACATGACATAATAATGGTAACAATAGACGCCCGGGACTACTGGAGAGTGGAGGGTGGAAGGGGAGTGGGTATCAACAAACTACCAAAACTGGCTGGACATGGTGGCTCACACCTCTAATCCCAGCACTGAGGCAGTGCATCATTTGAGGTCAGGAGTTCTCCATGTCCAACATGGTGAAACCCTGTCTCTACTAAAAATACAAAAACTTAGCCTGGCGTGGTAATGCAAGTCTGTAGTCTCAGCTACTTGGGAGGCCGAGGCAGGAGAATTGCTTGACTCTGGGAGGCAGAGGTTGCAGTGAGCTGAGAGCATGCCACTACACTCCAGCCTGGGTGACAGAGTGAGACGCCGCCTCAAAAAACAAACAAACAAACAAAAACTACCAAAATTATTTATCTGATAGTTTGTCTATTATCTATAGAACAAACCTGCATCTGTATTTCTGGAACTAAAATACAAGTTTGAAAACCTGCGATTTTCAGTGATTGGTTAGAGAGCTGACAAATCACCATCTCTTTAGAGTCACCCACTAGATTTCTGCTTTGTCATTTTGGGGAGGTCACAGTTTCCTATTTGCTCTAGTTTGTTGTAGATATAGATCTGTATTTTTGCACTGAAGGAAGAATGATTTACTCCAGTTTTCTCTGTCTGGCTTGCTTTGGTTTGGACTGAATACATTCCCTTAGTGAATCTTCACCACTAGGTTGCTGCTTCCTTCTTGGCTCCAGGTGGTGGCTTAAGCCCAGGTTTACCTAAGTTTTAGTAAACCTCAAGAGTGCTGCCAGTCCCAAATGGGGAAAGTCCCAAAGGGATTCTCATGGCAGTGTAGGAGCGCTAGCTAGGTCAAGCCCAGGTTTTCCTGCTTCTTGATAAGGAGAGAAGGGAGGTGTGATAGGAAGATCTCTCACTGAAATGAGTTAGTTTCCAAAAGGATGTATATTTCCATTAATATGGACTGGAAATATTTAGAATGTATTATCCACCTAAATGATTTTAGCATTATTCTAAAAGAGAAATTGATTATCTTTACTGGACACAATCACTTTAATTCAGTAAACCCCACTAGTCACCATGAGGACAGGTCAGTGCCCTGGTTTTCCTATTTTTTGATAAGGAGAGAAGGGAGGTGTTACAGGAAGATGTCTCATTGAAATGAGTTAATTTCCAAAAGGATGCATACTGATGTGGGCTAGAAATATTTAGAATGTGTTATCTACCTAAATGATTTTAGCATTTTTCTAAGAGAAATTGGACATCTTTACTACACACAATTACATTAATTCAGTAAAACCCACTAGCCACCATGAGGACAGGCAAGTGTTGGTGATGCCATGAGGCTCCCACTAGTACACACTATGGCCATTCCCTCCCAAGGCAGGGGGCCTCACCTTGTGCAGTGAAGCCCTTTCCTGACATGGCCAATGATCAGGAACCGATTCTCCCAGATCTGCCCATTGGGAGTGAGCAGGGTCTCAGTATCTGGGGAGCAGTGAGGGCCCCTGACAAGAAGAGGGTTGACTCAATGGTTCATCATCACTGCCCACACAGAATGTTCCAGGTCCCAGGCATGCATCTTTTGTGGATGAACCCAGTAAATAACCACAGGAGAAAGTAAGGAAGAGATGACTTGGAGAGGTAAAGAATGGGCATAAATTAATCAAAGTTTAGGCTGGGCACGGTGGTTCACACCTGTAATCCTAGCACTTTGGGAGGCTTCCTTGAGGTCACTTGAGGTTAGGAGTTTGAGACCAGTCAGGCCAACATGGTGAAACCCCATCTCTACTAAAAATACAAATTCCCTTGAACCTGGGAGTTGGAGGCTGCAGTGAGCCAAGATCACACCACTGCACTCCAGCCTAGGTGACCAAGCAAGACTCCGTCAAAAAAACAAAACAAACAAACAAACAAAAACAGGTCAGGCTCGGCGGCTCATGCCTGTAATCCTAGCACTTTGGGAGGCCAAGGTGGGCAGATTACCTGAGGTCAGGAGTTCGAGACCAGCCTGATCAACATGTTGAAACACCATTTCTATTAAAAATACAAAATTAGCAGGGCATGGTGGTGCATGCCTGTGATCCCAGCTACTCAGGAGGCTGAGGCAGGAAAATCGCT
The DNA here is from genome assembly GCF_000001405.40 of Homo sapiens. Lineage (NCBI taxonomy): Eukaryota > Metazoa > Chordata > Mammalia > Primates > Hominidae > Homo > Homo sapiens. The sequence continues at coordinate 13,368,312 of NC_000001.11, forward strand.
TGAACCCAGGAGGCGGAGGTTGTGGTGAGCCAAGATCGTGCCATTTCACTCCAGCCTGGGCAACAAGAGCGAATCTCCGTCTAAAACAAAACAAAAAAAAAAGAAAAAAAACACAACAACAAAATGAAGTTTATTTTGATTCCTTTATTTCCTGCGGATGAACTTAAATCACAGATGAACTAGTACCTCTTTTTTTAATTCATCAGGAACTAAAGATTTCTGATGTATAAATTGCTGAAACAGGCTAATCAATCATGAAGGACAGCAGAGAGTTTCCATTTAGGTTCCCTTTACTTCCGACGTTTCTTTGTATCCATCCTTGCTGAGATAACTCCTTCACTCTAGAACTTCAGGTTCTATTTCTGACTGTCTAGGACACAGATCCCTGAGTCTCAGTGACTCCATTCAACCTTTTCCCCAGTGCTGCCCCCTGCTGGGTTTTTTTGTGTTTTTTTTCCCACTCACAGAAAGCACATGCCTGAAACAGAGGTTTCTCTGCTCCCTTTATAATACACCTATAGACCCGGCACAGCTGCTTATGCCTGTAATCCCAGAATCTTGGGAGGCCAAGCAGGGGGCTCCCTTAAGCGTAAGAGTTTGAGACCAGCCTGGACAACATAGGGAAACCCTGTCTCAAATTTTTAAATAAAAGCTGTAAAATTGTAAAATAAGGAAAAAGAAAAATAAAAGATATCTATGTCCTAGATTTTAGTTTCCAAGTGCCTGGAGAAAAAGCTTTTTATACCTCCACCCCACTAGGCAGGCCTTCCCCGCAAGCAAAAATTGAACTCCAGTTGCTCAGTGGGTGACATGCCACAGCAAGGGCAGGAGACGGGACCAAAGAAGATCCTGTTGGGCTCCCTTACTTCCCTCAGTATACGCATCAGCTCAGCCTGAAGTGGGGTGAGGAGCTCCGAAATGACACGACCCCTGTTGTCAAGACTCTCCCGAGGGGCAGGATATGTTTCCAGGCTCAAATTGCTCAGCCTGCCTGTGTGGCGCAGCAGGTCCTTCAGACCATCCATGGACGTGTCATTGCCGTGAAAGCAGAAAGTGGTGAGGTTGGAGCAGCGGCTCAGGGCAGGCAGGATGACCCTGAGTTTGGAGTCCCCAATCCCACAGTCCACTAAGAAGAGGGTCTGAAGAGTGGCAGCAACTTTCTCTAGCAGAGCTCGGAGGGGCTCAAGACGGATGAAGCGCAGTGTACCATGACTCAGATTCAGCTGCTTCAGTTGACTGAGACTTGGGTACCAGGGCAGACATTTCAAGTCCTCTTCATCTAGGGAGCCATAAGTTAATGCCAATGTCTCCAACGGGCTCTTGAGGCACCTGGGGAGAGCAAGAAGTTAGTACTGGGCAATGGCACCAGTTAGAGGACGGTGGTAGAAAATAACGTCAAGGGAAGAGCCTGTTTTGCCCAAACACAAGTTTGTTCTCATCATCTAATCATGGTCCTCCCGCAAGGTGCTGCCTGATGAGGACTTGGATCATTCAGAGGCAGTCCCATTTTAGGCTCAGTCCTTTCACCATCACTGGTGTGATTGGTTCAAGGCCATAAAATCTCTAAAGCCTCTTTTCTTCATCTTCCAGCAGAAAGCTTCATCTCTGGGCCACAGGAGCCCAGTGGAAGAGATGCCCAAAGAACTGACCTGAGCAAGGTCTAGGGACATCAGCTAGGGCTACCTGCTTTCAGAGGCTCCCTGACATGGCCACATCTGCAAACCACCTGTCACTTTGTACCACTCTCGTGCCTACTCCCTCACCTCCATCCCCAGAAGCACGCATTTCCCATGTCAATTACCTTTCCTGGAGTTCAAAACAACCTTTTACAGACAGGGAATCAGAGAGAGGATCATTCACGTTCACTAAGCTGTGAGGACAGAGCTTCCTCTGTGAAACGCACAGGTTTGGTGCACTTTCTCTTCTTTTACACCCTCCCCTCTGTTGCCTCTTTTTTATCATATTAACTTTAAACACACTTCCTAACAAGGAATTCACAAAAGCTATTCATACTTATCATATTAACTTTAAACACACTTCCTAACAAGGAATTCCTAAAAGGAATTCACCCTCACTGGAGCTGAACCCCCCACTAACCAGCTCCCTACACGATGTCCCTCTCTGTAGCGTCTATGCCAGGTCATCCCTCTGCCCTTACTGGAGCGATCCTGTGATACCCACTTCAGGATATAGAGCACCAAACAGGACAATGCATTCTAGTATCCCCTTCCCTGGACATCTCCAGTGGCTGGCACACAGTAGATGCTGACTAGTGTTTACTGTAACAAAAAAAGGCTGTGCTGTGTCCCCCAGAGAAAGCTCACCATCTTTCCTCACCTGATCAGCTGGTCCAGGTAGCCTTCGAAGAAGCGGATCCTTCTCATATAAAGCATCTGGAGGTACTCCAGCCTGAGGAACACAGAGCTGAATTCAGCAACTAACTGTCCTTGGCTCTCAAAGCTTGGCAGGTAACCACAGCCATCGGAGATGAAGAGTTTTCGAAGATTCTTCATCTGGCTCAGGTAACGGCTAACCTCTGCTACCATACACGGCCAGCACATGTTCCAAATTTCCAATACTTGGATACTGTCTGGGTATACTGTTTCTAATATGTTTCTGAAATTTAGAATGTTCATTGAATAATTTACCACCTTAGTACAGCACAGGTGTACTGAACGTCTTCTGTGCTGCACCCACCCAGAGAAGAAGCTCAGATCTTCATCCACGGATTTTTCCTTGAGGCAAACATCCATGAACACCTTCAAGGGCTGCTTCTCTCCTGTCCTTGGACAGTCCTCCACTGTCTGTCTCTTACTCATGGCCTCTGGGGAGCAGGACAGGGGCCTGGCTCCAGACCATATGGTCCAAAAATTCTCATCAACATCCCGCATTTCCAGCACTTGAAGTTTCCACCTCCTGTGAGTAACATAGGGGAAAAGCTCAGAACGTAGACAAGGACCCACCCCTGACCTGGGCTTTCACTCCACATCAAGGACTTCAGCTGCTTTTTTCCTCAGCGCCCCTCCTTCTGTCTCTTCTCCATCCCTTTCCCCCTTGGATTCTGCCTGGTACCCACTTCTAGTGCCTTTACCTTCCACTGGGAGCAGGCAGGTTCCTGTTTCCTCAGTGGACCCTGTATGGTGAGCAGTCCTTTCCCAGAGGAGCTGGGCAATAGCCAAGAACGTTCCCAGCTTTCTCACTGGCACCATCAGAAGCCCCTGGGCCACCCCAGGTTCCCAATTTGTCTGACCCAGCTGCTTAGTCCCTGGACACCTGGGCCCTCCCCACCTGGGTCACCTCACCTGGGGCGAACCTTTTGGGCAAGCAGGCAATCAATCCCATCCACTACATAATGTAAGATCTCCAGATCAGGCGTCTTCATCAGGGACCCCAGAGGGAGGCAGGGGAAGGGCCAGGCCTGCACCATCACCTTCAGAACCTCGCAGCATCTGCTAGTGAAGGCCTCCACGAACAGTCGGGGGAAGAGCTCCCTGGGCAGCTCATCCAGGACGGAGATGGCCAAGGCCTGGTCCCTCAGCAGGCTCTGCCCTGCCAGCTCCAGGAGTCTGCGTGGGGCCTGGAAGCTCATCCTGATAAATCTGCAAGAAAAATCCAGAGAAAAGACAAACTTATCAGGCCAGTCCTCTCACACCCTGACTTCTCCTCGGCCAAAAGTCACTACTCTGTCAGGTGTGAAAGAGTCCTTAGTTTACCCCAATTCGACTCTGCAATAATTGGCCACAGAGACATAGTTCTGCCCTTCTGGTACCAAGAAGAGTGTCTCCCAACCTCCAAGGAGCGGGCAAGATCACTCCTACTCCATGAATTTTCATCCATTGCTCCACCCTGGCCAGGCGCGGTGGCTCACGCCTGTAATCCCAGCACTTTGGGAGGCCGAGGCGGGCGGATCACGAGGTCAGGAGATCGAGACCATCCTGGCTAACATGGTGAAACCCCGTCTCTACTAAAAATACAAAAAATTAGCCAGGCGAGGTGGCGGGCACCTGTAGTCCCAACAACTCTGGAGGCTGAGGCAGGAGAATGGCATGAACCCCAGGGAGCAGAGCCTGCAGTGAGCCGAGATTGCGCCACTGCACTCCAGCCTGGGCGACAGTGAGACTCTGTCTCAAAAAAAAAAAAAAATTGCTCCACCCAACTCTATTAGCTCTGGGAAGTGTTACCAAGGATCTTCAAAGCTCAGCTCCTTTCTTGAGAAAAAATGCCTTCTCAATTTAAGGATCTAAAACAATGGTCATGTGGCTGGGCTTGGTGGCTCACAACTGTAGTCCCAGCACTTTGGAGGCCAAGGCGGGCGGCTCACTTGAGGTCAGGAGTTAGAGACCAGCCTGGCCGACAAGGTGAAACCCAGTCTTTACTAAAAATACAAAAAGTAGCCAGGCATGGTGGCGGGTGCCTGTAACTCCAGCTACTCAGGAGGCTGAGGCACAAGAATTGCTTGATCCCAGGAGGTGGAGTTTGCAGTGAGCTGAGATAGTGCCACTGCACTCCAGCCTGGGCAATAGAGCGAGACTCAGTCTCAAAAAGAAAAACAAAACAAAACAACAAGACAATGGTAATGGGAGTCTCCTGTGGCCCCAAACAACCTGCAATCTCAGTTCCCACAATGAACCTGGCTGGGAGAGACTAAAGGGATATTTCTAATTAGACACCATTATGTTCACTTTCAAAAGAGTAATGAGGGGCCACACATGGAGGCTCACAGCTGTAATTCCAACACTTTGGCAAGCCAAGGCAGAACAATCACTTAAGCCATAGAGTTGCCGACCAGCCTGGGCTACGTAGTGAGACCCTGTCTCTCCAAAAAAATTCAAAAAATAGATGGATGTGATGGCGCACACCTGTAGTCCCAGCTGCTCTGCAGGCTGAGGTGGAAGGATGGCTTGTGTCTGGGAAGCAGAAGTTACAGTGATCTGAGACTGTGCCACTGTACCCCCAGCCTGGGCAGAAGAGCAAGACTCTGTCTTAATAAAATAAATAAATAAATAAAATATTACCCACTTTGGAATGGAGTCTAGAGAAACAAATGGATCCCACATTCAGAACAAAGACTCCATTCTTGAAAATGGTGTGTGAGACCAGTCATGTTGGCTCATGCCTGTAATCCCAAGACTTTGGAAGGCGAAGTGGGAGGTTTGCTTGAATCTAGGTGTCCCAGACCAGCCTAGGTAACAAACCAAGACCCCATCACTATAAAAAAACATAGTAATAGGCCCGGCACGGTGGCTCACACCTGTAATCTCAGCACTTTGCGAGACTGAGGTGGGAAGATCACCCGAGTTTGGGAGTTTAAGACCAGCCTGGCCAACATAGTAAAACCCCATCTCTATTAAAAATACAAAAATTAGGCCGGGAGCAGTGGCTCACGCCTGTAATCCCAGCACTTTGGGAGGCCGAGGCGGGTGGATCACGAGGTCAGGAGATCCAGACCATCCTGGCTAACACGGTGAAACCCCGTCTCCGCTAAAAAAACAAAAAATTCTCTGGGCGTGGTGGCGGGCCCCTGTAGTCCCAGCTACTTGGGAGGCTGAGGCAGGAGAATGGCGTGAGCCCGGGAGGCGGAGCTTGCAGTGAGCCGAGATCACGCCACTGCACTCCAGCCTGGGCAACAGAGCGAGACTCCGTCTCAAAAAAAAAAAAATACAAAAATTAGCCAGGCATGGTGGCAGACACACATAGTCCCAGCTACTTGGGAGGCTGAAGCAGGAGAATCACTTGAACCCAGGAAGCAGAAGTTGCAGTGAGCCAAGATCGCGCTCTGCACTCGAACCTGGGCAACAGAGTGAGACTCCATCTCAAAAAAAAAAAGAAAAAAACAAAAAAATTAGCCAGTTATACTGGTGCGCGCCTGAATTCCAGCTATTCAGAAGGCTAGAACTTCTGAGTAGGGAGGATTGCTTGAACCCAGAAGGCAGATGTTGCAGCGAGTCGAGATCAAAACACTGCATTCCACCATGAATGACGCAGCAAGACACTGTCTCAAAAAAAAAAAAAAAAAAAAGACTTCAGTCAATTGCATTATTTTTTAACTGCTTGATTCAGAACTTTGAGGCTGGGCACCGTGGCTCATGCCTATAATCCCAGCACTTTGGGAGGCCTAGGTGGGCAGATCACGAGGTCAGGTGTTCGAGACCAGCCTGGCCAACATGGTGAAACCCTGTCTCTACTAAAAATACAAAAATTAGCCGGGCATGGTGGCGGGCACCTGTAATCCCAGCTACTCAGGAGACTGAGGCAGGAGAATTGCTCAAACCCAGGAGGCAGAGGTTGCAATGAGCCGAGACCGCATCATTGCACTCCAGCCTGGGTGACGGAGCAAGACTCCATCTCAGAAAAGAAAAAAAAAAAAGAAAACCTTTGAAATGACATAAAAACTACAACACAAAATATTTGGAGTGAAGAGATAAAACTGCATTAGAGAAAAAATTAAAGCCTACATCTGTTCATCTGAAAAACAGGCAGGAAAATTCTCTGTGCCACCTTGGCCTTCATGTCGCCATCTCTACTGGCTGACTGTGGGTCATAGGAGTGCCCTTGTGAAGGTCCCTGACTTACCAGATCTGGACTCACTTTGCAGTCTGCTCAGACCTCTTGGAGAACCAAGCAATAACTCCAGGCACCACAGCTCGGGGTCTCTTCTGTGGATGTTCACAAGCTTTCTTGGACCTTTCTCTTTTTTTTTCAGACGGAGTTTCGCTCTTGTTGCCCGGTTTGGAGTGCAATGGCGTGGTATCGGCTCTCCGCAACCTCCACCTCCTGGGTTCAAGTGATTCTCCTGTCTCAGCGTTCAAAGTAGCTGGAATTACAGGAATGCGCCACCACACCTGGACAGCGCCCAGCACCTTTCTTGGACCTTCCTAATCCCACCTCCCTTATCAACTTCCAGATTCCTATTAGAAAGTGATGCCTGATTGGATTTCTGAATTCCACCCAGTTAAGCCTGATTGAAGTTTCGGCTTTCTGCAGAATAATGGATTGAATCAGATATCCAATCATGAAACTGAAAGCACTGTAATTAGGGTGGAAGTCAAGAACTCATTTTGATGATTTTGACGTGACCAAAGAACTCCCAACCATAATATTTTCAGGTTTTGCTTTTCTGTCTAATCTCAGGAATAGTTTGAACCCTTCCCTGTCTTCCACTCAGGACTAGGAAGGTCACATATTACTACCACTCCATCTCTGTTTGTGGAGGGCATTAATGAGTGAATTCTTGACTTCCACCCTAACCCTAACAAACACTGATGGAATTTACCAGTATGTGACCTTCTTTGTCCTAAGTGTGAGACACAGAACTCTCACTCTGTTCCTGACATTAGACAGAAAAACAAAACCTAAAAAAATTAATGTTGGGGAAACCTTTGGCCCCATCAAAATTATCAAAATGGGCCAGGCGCGGTAGCTTATGCCTGTAATCCCAGCACTTTGGGAGACCCAGGCGGGTGGATCATGAAGTCAGGAGATCGAGACCATCCTGGCCAACATGGTGAAACTCTGTCTCTACTAAAAATACAAAAATTAGCCGGGTGTGGTGGCAGGCGCCTATAGTCCCAGCTACTCAGGAGGCTGAGGCAGGAGAATCACTTGAACCCAGGAGGCGGAGGTTGCAGTGAGCCAAGATCGTGCCTCTGCACTGCAGCCTAGGTAACAGAGAGAGACTCCGCCTCAAAAAGCAAAACAAACAAAATTATAAATGGTTTCAGCCAGGCACGGTGGCTCATGCCTATAATCCCAGCACTTTGGGAGGCCAAGGTGGGTGGATCACGAGGTCAGGAGATGGAGATCATCCTGGCTAACAGTGAAACCCTGTCTCCACTAAAAATACAAAAAATTAGCCAGGCATAGTGGCGGGCGCCTGTAGACCCAGCTACTCCAGAGGCTGAGGCAGGAGAATGGCATGAACCTGGGAGGCGGAGCTTGCAGTGAGACAAGATCGCGCCACTGCACTCCAGCCTGGGTGACAGAGCAAGACTCAGTCTCAAGACAAATAAATAAATAAATAAATAAAGATAAAATGTTTCAGAGTTTAAACTTTATAAGCCAGGCGCGGTGGCTCGTGCCTGTAATCCTAGCACTTTGAGAGGACAAGGTAGGCAGATCACGAGGTCAGCAGTTCGAGACCAGCCTGGCAAATATGGTGAAACACCGTCTCTACTAAAAATACAATAATTAGCTGGGCATGGTGGCACGTGCCTGTAGTCCCAGCTGCTTAGGAGTCTGAGGCAGAAGAATCACTTGAACCCGGGAGGTGGAGGTTGCAGTGAGCCAAGATCATGCCACTGCACTACAGCCTGGGACAGACGGAGATTCCATCTCAAAAAAAAAAAAAAAAAAATCAGTGAAGCATTGTGGCACACACCTATGGTCCCAGCTACTCTGGAGGCTGAAATGGGAAGATCCATTTTTTGATCCCCACAATGCAGAGGTTGCAGTGAGCCTAGATCAATCCACTGCCCTCTGGGCTGGGCAACAGAGCTTGTATCAAAACCAAAAACAAACAAAACAAAAAACAGCTTCATGAAGGCAGTGGTTTTATCCCTACAAAATTGAATTTAAATGTTCGTGTATATATTGGTCATTTGGGATTTAAGTTACCCATATGAGGAAATCATATGCTCATTTGTGTGGAAGAGAGGTACCACTAAGGATGTGATTGGTCTCAAGATTTTGTTCCAGGTTTCTCTGGAGGAAATCAGGTAACAATTACAAAGAGAAGTAAGGGTGGTGGCTGGGCTGGGCTGGGTTGGGCTTAGTGTTCCAATGGAACCTGGAGATTGAACCAAGGCATGGTCAACATGTTGGGTTTTTGTGGGCATGGAGGGAGACTCTTTCCAACATTGGCCAATGCCACCTTAATTGTGATCCTTATGGCCAAGGAGGATGCTTTCAAAACCACTTATGTAATCCTCCTTATTTTTCCTTTCCAAACCCTTGTCTTCCTTGACCTCCCTGAATAGTCTCACACCTATTCCCACTGCTTTGCTCATTTCATAAGAAAAAAATCCTTTTTTACAGAGCGTCTTTCTCTGTCTGTTAAGTACACCATATTTTTGTTGACACACAGATGAGTAACCCAGTTTTAGGGTGAGAAAGGGTCAAAGGATCCCATTCCCCACCAGTCGGGGGTAATGTGACGGTCATGGTTATTCTTCATCATAGCTGCATCTACACATTGCCAGTGAAAACCTGCAGATCGGCCAGGCTTGGTGGCTCACACTTGTAATCCCAACACTTTAGGAGGCTGAGGTGGGTGAATCGCCTAAGGCCAGGAGTTCAAGACCAGCCTGGCCAACATGGTGAACCCATCTCTACTAAAATATATATATATATTAGCCAGGTGTGTTGGGGCATGCCTGTAATCCCAGCTGCTTGGGAGGCTGAGGCAGGAGAATTGCTTGAACCAGGGAGGCAGACATTGCAATGAGCCAAGACTGCGCCATTGCACTCCAGCCTGGGTGACAGAGTGAAACTCCATCTCAAAAAGCAAAAACAAAAACAAAAACAAAAACCTGCAAATCACAGTTGGCGGGCTTTCAAACCAACCATCTCGGGACTTAGGATTCATGGCTTACTTCTTGTCCCTGAGTAAATCATCTGATCATGAGCTTCTCAAACTCTTCAAGTACTGATGAAGTCTTCACCTTCTGACATTGAGAAGGACACTGATTTGATTTTGATCATGAAGTTTGACTGTCTAGCACATCAAGCATTTTGGCCTGTTCATTGTCAACCTTGGCCAATGATTGTAACCTCTGTGTTGTACCCATCATTGAAGAAGGACAACTCAGCTATGAGGAGTCCCACTGCCTTCTACACTCTCTCATGAAAGCATTCCAACTTATAACAGACTTTGGAACACACCCTCTTTGTTGCTGTATGTTCCTGGGTCAATTCTCACATTCAGCTTCCAACAAACTTTTATCAAATTATTTCTCCCTCAACAGCCTTAATTTCCATTGACACCAGATTGTGTGATTGTGGTTTAAATTGGGATAGAGGAGCAAGCATGGTAGTTAACATCAGTAATCCCAGCATTTGGAAAGCCAAAGTGGGCAGATTGTTGAGTCCAGGAGTTCAAGACCAGCCTCGGCAATGTGGCAAAACCTCATCTCTACAAAAAATACAAAAATTAGCTGGGCATGGTGGCATGTACCTGTACTCTTAGTGACTTGGGGGGCTGAGGTGGAAGGATCACTTGAGCCCAGGAGGCAGAGGTTGCAGTAAGCTGAGATCTGCCACTGCACTCCAGCCTGGGTAACAGAGTGAGAACCTGTCTTATAAATAAATAAATAAATAAATAAGGCTGGGCGCAGTGGCTCACGCCTGTAATCCCAGCGCTTCGGGAGGCTGAGGCAGGTGGATCACCTGAGGTCAGGAGTTCAAGACCAGCCTGACCAACATGGAGAAACCACATCAACACTAAAAATACAAAATTAGCTTGGCATGGTGGTACATGCCTGTAATCCCTGCTACTAGGGAGGCTGAGGCAGGAGAATCGCTTGAACCTGGGAGGCAGAGGTTGTGGTGAGCTGAGATGCATCAATAATCAGGGCATTTTGTAGAGGAACCTACTTATCCTTTAATGGAGATAGCATGCAATGGTTACTTCATCTAATTCATTAAAATACTTTTTCTTCCTACATTTATTTATTTATGTATTTATTTTATTTTATTTTTTTGAGACGGAGTTTCGCTCTTGTTGCCCAGGCTGGAGTTCAGTGGCATAATCATAGCTCATAGCAGCCTTGAACTCCTGGACTCAAGTGATCCTTCTGCTGCAGCCTCCTAAGTAGTGGTCATGTTCTAATTTTATATCTATTTCCCTTACACATTGGCTTCCAATCTCCATAATGTGTGTCAAACCAAAGAGTCTGATTACAGAGGGAGTCTGGAACACTGCCTAGATCAACCCAGCTGCACTAAGGTTTTCTATGCACAGAAATAAATTTCCAGGCCTTGCTTGGTGGCTCACACCTGTAATCCCAGCACTTTTGGAGGCCGAGTCAGGCAAATTGCTTGAGCCCAGAGGCCAGGAGTTAGTGACCAGCCAGGGCAGCATGGTGAAACCCTGTCTCCACAAAAAATAAAAAAACACAAAACCTAGCCAGGTGTGGTGGCACACGCCTGTAATCCTAGCTATTTAAGAGACTGATTTGGAGGATTGATTGAGCCTGGCAGGTCAAGGCTGCAATAAGCCGTGATCGTGCCACTTCACTCCAGCCTGGGTTGCAAAACAAGACCCTGTCTCGAAAAAGAAAAACAAAAATAAAGATTAAAAAAAATGTATACATAGCCAGCAATTTGATTTGCTTAGTGAAAGAAGCTAAACTTTGAACAGTAGAACTTAGAAAATGTTCCATTTGAGGCCAGGCACTGTGGCTCACACCTGTAATCCCAGCACTTTGGAAGGCCAAGGTGGGAGGATCGCTTGAGGTAAGGAGTTTGAGGCCGGCCTGGCCAACATGGCGAAACCCCATCTCTACCAAAAATACAAAAATTAGCCCAGCATGGTGGCATAAACCAATAGTTACAGCTACTTGGGAGGCTGAGGCAGGAGAATCTCTTGAACCCAGGAGGCAGAGGTTGCAGTGAGCAGAGACAGTGCTACTGCACTCCAGCCTGGTGACAAAGTGAGATTCCATCTGAAAAAAAAAAAAATCAGTGGTAAAACTTTTGTTTAGGGTAATCTAGTCTTCTCTGTAGATGTAGCTAATTTTATTTTTATTCATTTATTTATTTATTTTTTGAGAGAGAGTCTTCCTCTGTCACCCAGGCTGGAGTAAAATGGTGCGATCTTGGCTCACTGCAACCTCTGCCTCCCGGGTTCAAGTGATTCTCCTGCCTCAGCCTCCCTATTAGCTGGGAATACAGGCATGCACCACCATGCCCAGCTACTTTTTGTATCTTTAGAAAAGAAGGGGTCTCACCATGTTGGCCAGGCTGGTCTCGAACTCTTGACAAGTGATCCACCCGCCTCGACCTCCCAAAGTGCTGGGATTACAGATGTGAGCCACCGTGCCCAGCCTGATTTAGCTAATTTTAGTTTCAAGATAACATTTGTTCATTCAACCTTTGTAGAAGGCTGAGAAAAATGAGGGCAATGGTAGTGCCACTAAATTTGTAAAATCTTCTTTAAGTGTTTGATAACCTGTCCAGTAAAGTGTGTTCCTGAGACAGGATTGTTCCCTTGACTTTGACCTTCTTCATGGGCAGGAACTAGAGTGGCTTGTTTCACTCCGGCTGCAGTCTGTGGATGGCTGAGTGTGAACAGCTCAGTGTAGGGTCAGAGTGACAGCTTCCCGCACCTGCCCTTTTTGACACTCAAGTTCTTATTCGGTGTAAAGGAAGAACCAGGTCACATTAGCTATTTAAAGAGTAGCATAAGTGAAGGATTTTATTGGGTGATAAATGTGGCTCTCAGTAGAAAGGGGAGTTAGAAAGGGGATGGTGCTGCCAGGCGCAGTGGCTCAAGCCTGTAATCCCAGCACTTTGGGAGGCTGTGGGAGGCTGAGGCAGATGGATCACCTGAGGTCAGGAGCTCGAGACCAGCCTGGCCAACATGGTGAAACCCCATCTCAAATAAAAATGCAAAAAAATTAGCTGGGCGTGGTGGCGGGTGACTGTAATCCAAGCTACTTGGGAGGCTGAGGCAGGAGAATCTCTTAAGCCCAGGAGGCAGAGCTTGCAGTGAGCAGTGAGCTGAGATCACGCCACTGCACTCCAGCCTGGGCAACAGAGTGAGACTCCGTCTCCAAAAAAAAAAAAAAAAAAAAAAGAAAGGGGATGGTGCAGCAAGAAGGTGATCTTCCCCTGAAGCCACACCATCTGAAGTTAGCTGCATCTCTCTGTAGGCTTTAATGCTCATCTGCTTGTATCCCCAACGTTCAGTCACTTGTATTCCGATGCTCAGCATCTTGCATCCCCGACCACTTGCAGCAGCCGCTTGTGTTGCTCTGCCAGCTGGTCTTTTTATGGGCCCAGGATAGGGTGTGGGGAAGGCCAAAAGGGCAATCATTTGGGCAGAAAAATGGGGTTAGCTGTTTTCACTTAGGGCCGAGTTTCCAGGATTGAGGGTGGGTTTAGTTGGGAGCCCAGCTGTTCTGAATCATTTCCTTATTGCTGGCCAACAAGGTAAAACCCTGTCTCTACCGAAAATTAGCTGGGTGTGGTGGGGGATGCCCGTAGTTCCAGCTACTTGGGAGGCTGAGGCAGGAGATTCCTTGAACCCGGGAGGCAGAGGTTGCAGTGAGCTGAGATCATGCCACTGCACTCCAGCCTGGTGACAGAGCAAGACTCTGTATCCAAGGAAAAAAAAAAAAAAAAGAATGGGCACACAGATGCCTCAACAGTTGGCAACTGAGGGACTTTTCCTCCTAGGTCATTATCCATCCATTCCAATTATGGAAAAATTCCTGCTTTCTAGAGCATTAAAGGAGAATCACCAAGAAGATATCAAGACAGGTGGTGATAAAGCCTTTTGGGTATAGTTGTTCTCACTATTGGGTTTATGCAAATGGAAATATGATAAAGACATTTTTTGGCCACTTTAGGACAGATTACAAAAGAAACCACAAAAAAATGCTGTGGGACACAGAAGTCTCTAAATTCCTTACCTTAAGTGGTTTCAGGGAAATGTTTATGTTTATAGCTAATTGCTACAAGTCTAACTAAGACCAAGGTTGCAGTAGCTCAATGCGTAGAACTTATAGATAAGTCCATTTCTGTAAGCTTGATTTGGCTTTGGTTTTAGGCTTATGTTGCCTAAAAGGTTTTAAGTGTTGATGCATGCCTGCCCACCGCCATGCTCATCTGGCCTAGGATGCTTTAATTGGCTGTAAGTCTTTTGGCTCTGAATCTCACATCCACAGGAGTCCCACCTAGGGGCTGGGTGGACCAAGGCAGGTAGCTCCGCCACCCTGTCATCCACATGAGACAAATTAAAACTTTGGCCATTGATGCTGCTTCTGGCATATCCTGATGTACAGGGGGATAAATGAGAAATAACAGGGCCGGGCGCGGTGGCTCACGCCTGTAATCCCAGCACTTTGGGAGGCCGAGGTGGGTGGATCACAAGGTCAGGAGTTCAAGACCAGCCTGACCAAGATGGTGAAACCCCGTCTCTACTAAAAATACAAAAAAATTAGCCAGCCGTGGTGGTGGGCGCCTGTAATCCCAGCCACTCAGGAGGCTGAGGCAGAGAACTGCTTGAATCCGGGAGGTGGAGGTTGCAGTGAGTTGAGATCGTGCCACTGCACTCCAGCCTGGGCGACAGAGTGAGACTCGTCTCAAAAAAAAAAAAAAAGAGAAATAACAGTGAATTTCTAAGCCCCCTAACTGAAGAAACAGACCCCCTGTTGGTCAAGAGGAACCCCCAGTTATCCTTGAAAACTGAGTTCTCAAGGAGAACGAGATGTTGGGCGGGGGGGGTCCACAAGCTTCACTATACCCCCTCCCTTGCTAACCACCATTAGCCTTTCTTCCTTAAGGGTCAAACAGAAACCAGCTCTTTAAGAATCTACCACTCATAGCAACCAACTGCCTGATGCTGCTCCTCCCGTCAGAGTGGCCATCCGACACTTGGCCACTCTTTTTTTTTTTTTTTTTTTGACACGGAGTCTCCTTCTGTCGCCCAGGCTGGAGTGCAGTGGCGCCATCTCGGCTCACTGCAACCTCTGCTTCCCAGGTTCAAGTGATTCTCCTGCCTCAGCCTCCCAAGTAGCTGGGATTACAGGCGTGGGCCACCATGCCCACCTGATTTTTGTATTTTTAGTAGGGACAGGGTTTCAACATGTTGGCCAGGCTGGTCTCGAACTCCTGACCTCAGGTGATCCACCCACTGGGATCAGGTGCTGGAATTCCAGCTGTGAGCCACCTTGCCTGGCCATGGCCACCTTTTATGAAAAATAAAGCTCTCCCTTCCAAACTTAAAATGAATAAGTAGTAAAATAAATGATACATACCAACAGAACACGGTATATAATAAATACACACATATAATATGTAAGCAGTAGAAAAATATAATACTAATGTCGACAAAAACAGTTCAACTCTGTAATATATGTGAAGAGATTTATTCTGAGCCAAATATGAATGACCATGGCCCATGACACAGCCCTCAAGAGGTCTGGAGAACACATGCCCAAGGTGGTTGGGGCGCAGCTTGGTTTTATACAGTTTAGGGGAACATGAGACATCAATTAAATACATCTAACAAATACATGGCCGGTCCGCCGGGCGCTGTGGCTCACGCCTGTAATCTCAGCACTTTGAGAGGCCGAGGTGGGCGGATCATTTGAGGTCAGGAGTTCGAAACCAGCCTGGCCAACATGCTGAAACCCCATCTCTACTAAAAATACAAAAATTAGCCTGGCATGGTGCTACACGCCTTTAATCCCAGCTACTCAGGAGGCTGAGGCAGAAGAATTGCTTGAATCTGGGAGGTGGAGTTTGCCGTGAGCTGAGATCGCACCACTGCACTCCAGCCTGGGCGACAGAGTGACACTCCATCTCAAAAAAAAAAAAGAAAGAAAGAAAGAAAAGAGAAATACATGGCTGGGTGCATGGTGGCTCACGCCTGTAGTCCCAGCACTTTGGGAGGCCAAGGCAGGTGGATCACCTGAGGACAGGAGTTAGAGACCAGCCTGGCCAACATGGTGAAACCCCGTCTAATTTTTGTAAAAATACAAAAATTAGCCAGGCGTGATGGTGTGTGCCTGTATTCCCAGCTACTCGGGAGGCTGAGACAGGAGAATTACTTGAACCCAGGAGACAGGGATCGCAGTAAGCCAAGAGCACACCACTGCATTTCAGCCTGGGCGACAGAGTGAGAATCCATGTGAAAGAAAGAAAGAGAGAGAGAAAGAAAAGAAAAGAATTACATTGGTTTAGCTCAGAAAGGAGAGACAACTGAAGGGTCGGGGGCTTCCAGGCTATAGGTAAATTTAAACATTTTCTGGTTGACAATTGGTTGAGTTTGTCTAAAGACCGGGGATCCATAGAAAGGAAATGGTCAGGGTGAAATAAAAGATTGTGGAGACCGAGGTTCTTTTGAAATCTCATAGTGGCCACCCTTCGAGACAACAGATGACAGATGTTTCCTATTCAGACCCTTAAAATTACCAGACAGTCCATCTCTTCAGGACTGGGAGGGCCTGCAAGAAAAAGATCTAGCTGTGTTAATAGAGATTCTTTACAGATGCAGATTTTCCCCCATAAAGGACAGCTTTGCAGGGCCATTTCAAGATATGGCAAAGAAACATGCCTTGGGGCAAAATATCTTGACTTTCTCCTCTGTCACAGGATGTTACGCCAGAGTCAGATTGGAAAGTAAGTCACCATATACAGGGCTAAAAAAAACTCATCTGATGGAAATTTATGATTTTGGGGCATGACTCTGTAGACTCAGTAGGAATTTGGGCAAGATAAAAAATTCAGACCTTAGTCCTCAGTAAAATGAAGGCATATGTACCTTCCACCCACTTTAGGGCCACCTGTCTCTCCACTCTTCTCCTTCCAATCCCATCCACCTATGTGTCTTCCAACAATTTATAAAAATGACCAAAGGGACAATGAAAATGGTTTTAACATTTGAATATCAACCAAACATGCATGATTGGGCCAGGCGCAGTGGCTCACACCTGCACTCCCAACAACTTTGGGAGGCCGAGGTGGGCAGATCACCAGAGATCACAAGTTCAAGACCAGCCTGGGCAACATGGGAAACGCTGTCTCTAGTAAAAATACAAAACTTAGCAAAGCGTGGTGGTGCACATTTGTAATCCCAGCCACTCAGGAGGCTGAGGCAGGAGAATCGCTTGAACTCGGGAGATGGAGGTTGCAGTGAGCCGAGATCACACCACTGCACTCCACCCGGGACCACAGAGCGAGACTCTGTCTCCCAAAAAAAAAAAAAAAAAAAAAATGCACAATTAGTTGAACATTTGAATTCAACCAATGTATTTAAACAAATAAATAGAATAAAAGCACCAGAAAATGATCATCTTAACTGATGTAGGAAAAACATTTGAAAAAATTCAATGACTCATTCAGGATTTTAAAAATATTCTCAGCAAAATAAGAAAATAATTCCTCAATATGAATTCCTCAATGGGATTACAGACACACACCACCCACCTTATCAGTCAGTCCCTTAGTAAATTCCATCAGTGTTTGTTAGGATTAGGGTGGAAGTCAAGAATTCATTCATTAATGCCCTCCACAGAGAATGAGTTGTACTAATATGTGACCTTCCTATTTTTGAGTTTGAGACAGGGAAGGGTTCAATCTGTTCCTGAGATTAGACAGAAAAACAAAACCTGAAAGCTTTATGGTTCAGAGATCTTTGGCTGGATCAACGTTATCAAAATGAATTCTTGACTTGCGTTCTAATCCCAACACTTTCAATTTCATGATTGGATATCCAAGGGATTGAATGGACACCTGAATTCACAGGCTTAACTGGGTGGAGCTTCAGAAATCCAATCAGGCATCACTCTCTGATGGGAAGCTGGTGGTTGAAAAGGGGAGGTGTGATGAGAAAGGTTCAAGAAAGCTTGTGAGCACCCCCAGAAGAGACCCAGAGCTGTGGTGCCTGGAGTTACTGCTTGGTTCTCCACGAGATCCGAGCATACTGCAAAGTGAGTCCAGATCTGGTAAGTCAGGGACCTCCACAAAGGGCACTCCTATGACCCAAAGTCAGACAGTCGGGATTACGACACGCAGGTCAAGATGACACAGAGAATTCTCCTGCCTGTTTTTCAGATGAACAGATGTAGGCTTTGATTTTTCCTCTAATACACTTTTATCTACACTCCAAATATATATATACATATATATTTTTGTTTGTTTGTTTGTTTTTGTTTTGAGACAGAGTCTCACTCTGTTGCCTGGGCTGGAGTGCAGTGGCACGATCTCGGCTCATTGCAACTTCCACCTCCCAAGTTCAAGCAATTCTCCTGCCTCAGCCTCCCGAGTAGCTGGGACTACAGGCGCCCACCACCAAGCCTGGCTAATTTTTTTTTGTATTTTTAGAGAGACAGGGTTTCACCATGTTGGCCAGGCTGGTCTTGAACTCCTGACCTTGTGGTTCACCCGCCTCAGCCTCCCAAAGTGCTGAGATTACAGGCATGAACCACCACGCCCAGCCACTCTCCAAATATTTTATTTCTGTTTTAGTTTATGCCATCTCAAAGTTCTCTTTTATTTTATTTTTTTGAGACAGACTCTTGCTCTGTCACCCAGGCTGGAGTGCAGTGGCATGATCCTGGTTCACTGCAACCTCCGCCTCCTGGATCAAGTGATTCTCCTGCCTCAGCCTCCCTACTATCTGGAATTACAGGCGCCCACCACTATGCCTGACTAAATTTTGTATTTTTTTTCTCCCATGTTGCTTCAGCACTTGATAAGCTACTTCTTTTTTTTTTTTTTTTTTTTTTTTGAGATGGAGCGTCATTCTATTGCCCTGGCTGCGGGGCAATGGCACAATCTCAGCTCACTGCAACCTCCACCTCCCAGGTTCAAGCGATTCTCCTGCCTCAGCGTCCCGAGTACTGGGATTACAGGCACCTGTCACCACACCTGGCTAATTTTTGTATTTTTAGTAGAGATGGGGTTTCACCATGTTGGCCAGGCTTGTCTCGAACTCCTGACTTTGTGATCGGCCCACCTCGGTCTCCCAAAGTGCTGGGATTACAGGTGTGAGCACCGTGCCCAGCCTTAATTTTGTATTTTTAGTAGAGGTAAGTTTTTACCATGTTGGCCAGGCTGGTCTTGAACTCCTGACCTCTCAAGTGATCAACCTGCCTTGGCCTCCCAAAGTGCTGGGATAATAGGCATGAGTTACTGGGCCCTGCCACATTTCAAAGTTCTTTTTTTTTTTTTTCTCCAAGGAGTCTCACTCTGTCGCCCATGTCGGAGTGCAGTGTCGCGATCTCAGCTCACTGCAACCTCCGCCTCCCGGCTTCAAGCAATTCTCCCGCCTCAGCCTCCCAAGTAGCTGGGATTACAAGGCACCAGCCACCATGCGCAGCTAATTTTTGTATTTTTAGTAGAGATAAGATTTTGCCAGGTTGGCTACACTGCTCTCAAACTCCTCACCTCACTGCAACCTCTGCCCCCCACGCTCAACGGATCCTCCCTCCTCAGCCTTCCAAGTAGCTGAGACTCCCATGATGGCTCACACCTGTAATTCCAGCAACCTTGAAAGGCCAAGGCAGCCAGATCACATGAGGCCAACTCCATCTGTACTTAAAATGCAACCATTAGCCAGGCATGGTGGTGTGCACCTGGGTGACCCAGCAAGACTTTGCCTTAAAAAGGAAAAAAAAATTTATTTGTGCTTGTTTTATGTCATTCCAAAATTCTTAACCAAAGAATTAAGAAAGAATCCAACTGGGCCAGAGACAGTGGCTCATGCCTGTAATCCCAGCACTTTGGGAGACCAAGGTGGGTGCATCACCTGAGGTCAGGAATTTGAGACCAGGCTGACCAACACAGTGAAAAGCCTTCTCTACTAAAAATACAAAAATTAACTGGGCATGGTGGCACATGCCTGTAATCCAAGCTACTCAGGAGGCTGAGGCAGGTGAATTGCTTCAGCCCGGGAGGTGGAGGTTGCAGTGAGCTGAGATCACGCCATTGCACTCCAGCCTGGGCAATAGACTCCGTCTCAATTAAAAAAAAAAAAATTCCAATTAATTAATGTCTCATTCCTTGACATTTAAAGTTTGTAGATTGTGTGCCCTTAATTTACAGTTTATAGACTACGTTATTGTGATTTTAATTTCTTGAGACAAAGTCTCACTCTGTCACCCAGCTGTACTGCAGTGGTGTGATAATTGCCTCAGTGCAACCTCTGTCTCCTGTATTCAAGGGATCTTCTCACCTCAGCCTTCCCAGTAGCTGGGACTACAGACCCACACCATGAGGCCTGGCTAATTGTATTTTTAGTAGAGATGGGGTTGTACCATATTGCCCAGGCTGGTCTGGAACCCCTGGACTCCATGTAATCTGCCAGCCCTTAGCCTCCCAAAGTGCTGGGATTACAGGCAAGAGTCACCCCACCCAAGAATGCTATTGTGATTTTGAAAGATAGGTTTTGTTTTTTACTAAAATTATAAAGATATTCCTTCTACCATGCTCTATTAAATTTTTTTATGATGTTGGGTTCTGGCTTTGTTAGCCAGGCTGGTCTGGAACACCTGGACTCAAGCAAACCCCCCACCTTGTCTCCTAAAGTCTTGGGATTACAGGCATGAGCCACCATGTCTGGCCCCATACACTATTTTCAAGAGTAGAGTCTTTGTTTTGAATGTAGGATCCATTTCTTCCCCTAGACTCAATCCCAAAGTGTGTTATTATTGTTATTATTATTTGAGACAGGGTCTTTCTCTGTTGCCCAGGCTGGAGTGTGGTGGCAAAATCTCAGATAACTGAAACCTCTGCTTCCCAGGCTCAAGCCATCCTCCCACCTCTGTCTGCAGAGTAGCTGAGACTATAGGCATGTGCCACAATGCTCAGATAATTACTTAACATTCTAGTAGAGTCTAGTAGACATGGGCTATCACTATGTTGCCCTGGCTGGTCTGGAACTCCTGGGCTCAAGTGATTGTTCTGCCTTGGCTTCCCAAAGTGTTGGGATTACGGCTGTAAGCCGCCATGCTTGGCTTCGCTTTACAATTTTTTTTTTTTTTTTTTTGAGACAGAGTCTTACTCTGCCACCCAGGCTGGAGTGTAGTGGCTAGATTTTGGCTCACTGCAAACTCTGGCCCTTGGGTTAAGAGATTCTCCTGCCTCAGCTTCCCAAGTAGCTGGGATTACAGGCATGGACAACCATACCTGGCTAATATTTTGTATTAGCAGAGACGGTATTTCACCGTGTCGGCCGGGCTGGTCTCGAACTCCCGACCTCATGATCCGCCTACCTCGGGCTCCCAAAGTGCTGGGATTACAGGCATGAGCCACCGTGCTTGGCCAAGAAGACATTTTGTTTTCTCAAAAAAGTGGAGATCTGAGCTTCAAAGATCCTTGGTAACACTTCCCAGTGCTATCAGTGTAGTGGTGCAGTGGCTAATAATTCATGGACCCTATAGGAGGGATCTTGCCTGCTCTTTAGAGGTTGGGACACACTCTTCTTGGTACCAGAAGGGCAGAACTATGCCTCTGTGGCCACTTATTGCAGAATGGAATTGGAGTAAACTGAGGGCCCTTTCACACATGCTAGAGAACTGACTTTGGCCCTAGGAGAAGTGGGGGTTGCAGGGGATTGGCCTGAGAAACTTGCCTTTTCACTGGATTGTCCTCTAGAGTTTTTCACTGGAGATTTGTCAGAATGAGCCTCCAGTCCCCATCCAGACTCCTGGAGCTGGCAGGCCAGAGCCTGCTGAGGAACCAGTTCTTGACCATCTTCATCCTGGACGAGCTGCCCAGGGAGGTCTTCCCTCTGATGTTCATGGAGGCCTCCAGCATGAGACATTTTGAGGCCCTGAAGCTGATGGTGCAGGCCTGGCCCTTCCTCCGCCTCCCTCTGGGATCCCTGATGAAGACACCTCATCTGGAGACCTTGCAAGCTGTGCTGAAGGGACTTGATACACTGCTGGCCCAGAAGCTTCGCCCCAGGTGAGGTGACTCAGGTGGCCTGGTGGGAAGGGTCCAGGCATCCAGGGAAGGGACAGCTGGCTCAGGAGGAGTGGTGGGGTTGGGGAGCTAGGGTGGCTCAGAGGCTTCTGATGGTGCCCATGAGAGACCTTGACCATTGCCCAGATCCTCTGGAAAAGGACTGCTCACCATACAGGGTCCACTGAGGAAACAGGAACCTGCTTCCTCCCAGTGGAAGGTAAAGGTTCTAGAAGTGAGAACCAGGCAGAATCCAAGGGGGAGCGGGATGGAGAAGAGACAGAAGGAGGAGCACTGAGGACAGGAGCAGCTGACTGATGTCCTGGATGTTGAGTGAAAGCTCAGGTCAGGGGTGGGTCTTTGCCTACATTCTGAGCTTTTCCCCTATGTTACTCACAGGAGGTGGAAACTTCAAGTGCTGGATTTGCGGGATGTTGATGGGAATTTCTGGACTATATGGTCTGGAGCCAGGGCCCTCTCCTGCTCCCCAGAGGCCATGAGTAAGAGGCAGACAGTGGAGGACTATCCAAGGACGGGAGAGCACCAGCCCTTGAAGGTGTTCATAGACCTCTGCCAAAAGGAAAGTACACTGGATGAATGCCTGAGCTACCTCTGCAGGTGGATCCACTACAGAAGAGGTCTAGTGCACCTGTGTTGTAATAAGGTGCAGAATTACTCAATGCCCACTTCAAGTTTCAGAAATTTATTGAAAAGGGTATACCCAGACAGTATCCAGGAGTTGGAAATTAAGAGAAAGTGCTCTCTGAATAAAACAGGAAAGTTTGCCCCTTACTTGAGCCAGATGAGCAATCTTCGCAAACTCTTTTTAGCCTTCGGTTATGACGATGAGTTATATGTAAGCGGCCAACAGCAGTTCGTTCCTGACTTGGACTGTCCATTCCTCTGCCTGTACTACCCTCAGATGCTTTATATAAGAAAGATCAGTAATATCAAAGAGCACCTGGAGCACCTGCTCAGGTAAGAAAGGATGGTGAGCTTTCTCTGCAGACCATACCACAGACTTTTGTTCTTTTTCACAGTAAACGCTAGTGGGCATCTACTGTGTGCCAGCCACTGGTGATGTCACAGGGAATGGGACGCTAGAATGTCAACTCATTATGCTGTTCAGTGCTCTATATCCTGAAGTGGGTATCACAAGCCCGCTCAAATAAGGGCGGAGGGATGGCCCGGGGCAGATGCTACAGAGAGAGACATGCAGGGAGCTAGTTAGTCAGGGGTTCAGATCTAGGGAGGGTGCATTTGTGAATTCCTTTTTAGGAAGTGTGTTTGAAGTTAATATGATGAAACTTATTCTTCATATAGAGGAGAGTATGAAAGAAGGGAAAGTGCATCAAACCTGCGTGTTTCACAGCAGAAGCTCCGTCCTCACAGCTTAGTAAACACCAATGAACCTGTCTCTAATTCCCTGTCTGTAAAAGGTTCTTTTGAACCCCAGGAAAAGTAGTTGACATGAGAAAAGCATGCTTCTTGGACAGAGGTGAGGGAGTAGGCAGGAGAGTGGTATAAAGTGATAGGTGGTTTGCAGACACGGGCATGTCAGGGAATCTTTGCAGGCAGGTGGTCCTAGCAGATGTCCCTAGACCTTGCTCAGTTGAGTTCTTTGTGCACTTCTCCCACTGGGCTCCTCTGGCCCAGAGCTGAGGTTGTCTCCTGAAAGATAAAGTAAAGAGGCTTTAAAGATTTTGTGGCCTTGAACTAATCACACAAGCAAGGCTGAAAGGACTGAGCCTAAAATGGAGCTGCCCCTGAATGATCTGGGTCTTCATCAGGCAGCACCTTGCACGCAGACCATCATCTGATGATGGGAACAAACTTGTGTTTGAGTGAAACAGGCTTCCCCATTGCAGGTTACTACAACACCTGTGTGGTAGTAAGGTGCAGAATTACTCAATGCCCACTTCAAGTTTACCATTGAGATGATTTCCCACCCCCCTCCTCCAACTGGCACCATTGCCCATAACTAATTTCTTGCTCTCCCCAGGTGCCTCAAGAACCCCTTGGGAACCTTTATATTCTGTCATGCTTACCTAGCTGATCAGGACATGGAGTGTCTGTCTCAGTACCCAAGCCTCAGTCAGCTAAAGGAGCTGCATCTGATTCATATCCTAATGTGGACTACCAATCTTGAGCCCCTTGGAGCTCTGCTAGAGAAAGTTGCTGCTACTCTCGAGATCCTCACGTTAAAGGACTGTCAGATCCAGGACTCCCAGCTCAGGGTCCTCCTGCCTGCCCTGAGCCGCTGCTCCCAGCTCACCACCTTCTACTTTCGCGGAAATGAGACCTCCACGAATGCTCTGAAAGACCTGCTGTGTCACACAGGTGGGCTGAGCAAGTTAGGTCTGGAGTTGTATCCTGCCCCTCTGGAGTGTCTTGACAACAGGGGTCATGTCAATTGGGAGATCCTCGCCCCAATTCGGGCTGAGCTGATGTGTACACTCAGGGAAGTCAGGCAGCCCAAGAGGATCTTTTTTGGTCCCATCCCCTGCCCTTCCTGTGGCTCATGGCCATCTGAGAAAGTGGACTTCCATCTTTGCTCTTAGTGAAGGCCTGATTAGTGGGATGGATATGCTTTCTTCAGGACCCTTAGGCACTAAAATCTAGGACACAGGTGGGTTTTTTTGTTTTTTTGTTTTTTTTTTGATGGAGTCTCGCTCTGTCCCTCAGGCTAAAGTGCAGTGGCAAAATCTCAGCTCACTGTAACCTCCACCTCCCAGGTTCAAGTGATTCTCCTGCCTCAGCCTCCCTAGTAGCTGGTGTTACTGGCGTGTGCCACCACACCCAGCTAATTTTTGTATTTTTTTGTATTTTTTTTTTGAGACAGAGTCTTGCTCTGTTGCCCAGGCTGGAGTGCAGTGGTGTGATTTCGGCTCACTGCAACCTCCACCTCCTGGGTTCACGCCATTCTCCTGCCTCAGCCTCCAGAGTAGCTGGGACTACAGGTGCCACCGTGTTAGCCAGGATGGTCTCGATCTCCTGACCTCGTGATCCACCCACCTCAGCCTCCCAAAGTGTAATTTTTGTATTTTTAGTAGAGACAGGGTTTCACGATGTTGGAGGAGGCTGGCCTCGAACTCCTGACCTCAAGTGATCTGACCACCTTGGCCTTCCACAGTGCTGGGTTTACAGGCATGAGCAGCCGGGCCCGGTCAGGTGCATCTTAAAGGAAGCACACGGTCATGTGTTTCAGGCACGTGCTGACTGTGAGTGGGAAAACAAAGGTGACTCAGCTGGGGGCAGGACTGGGTGAAAATGCTGACTTGGCATCGATGAGGCCTTCAGGGACCTGTTTCCTAGACTCAGAAATGGAACCTGAAGTTCTTGAGTGATGCAGAAGTTACCCTCACAAGGATGGTTATGTAAAAATGTCAAAAATAAATGGAATCTGAATGGAAACTTTCTGGTGTCTTCCATGATTGATCAACCTGTTTTAGACATTTATACATCAGAAATCTCTAGTTACTGATGAGAGATACTACATCATCTGTGATCGAGGTTCAGCTGCAGCAAATCAAGGCATCAAAACTGAAATGTGATCATTTTGATTAATTCTCACCCATTTTTTACTTCCCTTCAGTCATCTGTTTCTTCCTTACTTTCTCCCATGCCTGTTCACTGGGTTCATTTACAAAGGATGCACACTTGGGGCCTGGAACATTCTGTGTGGGCAGTGATGATGAGCCACTGAAATCTACCCTCTTCTCAAGGGCCCTCACTGCTCCCCAGATACTGAGACCCTGCTCACTCCTAATGGACAGATCCAGAGGAATCCATTCCTGATCTTTGGCCATGCCAGGAAATGGCTTCACTGCACCACGGGCTGCCCCCTGACCTTGAAGGGAATGGCCATAGTGTGTATTGCAGGAGCCTCATGACATCACCAACCCTTGCCTGTCCTCAAGGTGGCTGGTGGGCTTCACTGAATTAAAGTGGTTGTGTCCAATTTCCCTTTTAGAAAAATGCATATTACATATTCTAAATATTTCTAGTCCACATTAATAGAAAAATACATCTTTGGAAAGCTAATTCATACCAATGAGATATCTTCCTATAACATCTCCCTTCTCTCCTTATCAAGAAACACAAGAGACCAGGGCACTGACCTGTAGGCAGCATTCCTGGGCTGCCTTGAGAATCTCTTTGGAACTTGCCCCTGTGGGCCAGGAAGCTCTCTGATGGTTCACTGAGGTGAAGCTGGGCTCACTGTGTTGTCCCAGTTGATCTCAAACTCCTAGACTCAAGTATTTCTCCTATCTTGGCCTCCCAAAGTGCTGGAATTACAGGCATGAGCCACCATGCCTAGTCTTACTATTTTTCTTTCTTTTTTTTTTTTTTTAATTGATCATTCTTGGGTGTTTCTCGCAGAGGGGGATTTGGCAGGGTCATAGGACAATAGTGGAGGGAAGGTCAGCAGATAAACAAGTGAACAAAGGTCTCTGGTTTTCCTAGGCAGAGGACCCTGCGGCCTTCCGCAGTGTTTGTGTCCCTGGGTACTTGAGATTAGGGAGTGGTGATGACTCTTAAGGAGCATGCTGCCTTCAAGCATCTGTTTAACAAAAACATCTTGCACCGCCCTCAATCCATTCAACCCTGAGTGGATACAGCACATGTTTCAGAGAGCACAGGGTTGGGGGTAAGGTCATAGATCAACAGGATCCCAAGGCAGAAGAAGTTTTCTTAGTACAGAACAAAATGAAAAGTCTCCCATGTCTACTTCTTTCTACACAGACACAGCAACCATCCGATTTCTCAATCTTTTCCCCACCTTTCCCCCTTTTCTATTCCACAAAACCGCCATTGTCATCATTGCCCGTTCTCAATGAGCTGTTGGGTACACCTCCCAGACGGGGTGGTGGCCGGGCAGAGGGGCTCCTCACTTCCCAGTAGGGGCGGCCGGGCAGAGGCGCCCCCCACTTCTCGGACGGGGCGGCCGGCCGCGTGGGGGCTGACCCCCCACCTCCCTCCCAGACGGGTTGGCTGCCGGGCGGAGACGCTCCTCACTTCCCAGATGGGGCGGCTGCCGGGCGGAGGGGCTCTTCACTTCTCAGACGGGGCGGCTGGGCAGAGGCGCTCCTCACATCCCAGACGGGGCGGCGGGGCAGAGGCGCTCCCCACATATCAGACGATGGGCGGCCGGGCAGAGACGCTCCTCACTTCCTAGATGGGATGGCAGCCGGGAAGAGGCGCTCCTCACTTCCTAGATGGGATCGCGGCCGGGCAGAGACGCTCCTCACTTTCCAGACTGGGCAGCCAGGCAGAGGGGCTCCTCACATCCCAGATGATGGGCGGCCGGGCAGAGACGCTCCTCACTTCCCAGACGGCGTGGCCGCCGGGCAGAGGCTGCAATCTCGGCACTTTGGGAGGCCAAGGCAGGCGGCTGGGAGGTGGAGGTTGTAGGGAGCCGAGATCACGCCACTGCACTCCAGCCTGGGCACCATTGAGCACTGAGTGAACGAGACTCCGTCTGCAATCCCGGCTCCTCGGGAGGCCGAGGCTGGCGGATCACTTGCCGTTAGGCGCTGGAGACCAGCCCGGCCAACACAGCTAAACCCCATCTCCACCAAAAAAATACGAAAGCCAGTCAGGCGTGGCGGCGCGCACCTGCAATCGCAGGCACTCGGCAGGCTGAGGCAGGTGAATCAGGCAGGGAGGTTGCAGTGAGCCAAGATGGCAGCAGTACAGTCCAGCTTCGGCTCGGCATCAGAGGGAGACCGTGGAAAGAGAGGGAGAGGGAGAGGGAGAGGGAGGCTATTTTTCTAATTTTAAAATTATTGTGGATATATAAATCTCGTGCATATTTACAGGGTACATCTGATGTTCTTTTCTTTTCTTTTCTTTTTGTGAGAGGGAGTCTCCCTCTGTCACCCAGGCTGGAGTGCAATGGCACAATCTCGGCTCACTGCAACCTCTGCCTTTCGAGTTCAAGAAATTCTCCTGCCTCAGCTTCCTGAGTAGCTGGGACTACAGGAGCCCATCACCACATCTGGCTAATTTTTGTATTTTAAGTGGAGATGGGGTTTCACCAGGTTGTCCAGGCTGGTCCTGAACTCCTGACCTCAGGTAATCCACCCGCCTCGGCCTCCCAGAGTGCTGGGATTATAGACATGAGCCACAGCACCTGGCCTGATATTCTGATATAAGCGTAAAATGTGTAATGTTCAAATCAGGGTAACACAGGTTTTCACCATCTCAAGAATTTATCATTTCTTTGTGTAAGCAACATTCCAATTCCATTGTTTTAATTATGTAGAAATTTACTATGAACTATTGTCAACATGAGTTGCCCTATGGTGCTACTGAACTCTAGATCTTATTCCTACCTAACTGCATTTTTGTACCCATTAACCATCCCCTTCTCTTTTCTTTTCTTTTTTTTTTCTTTTTTTTTTTTTTTTTTTTTTTGAGATGGAGTCTTCCTCTGTCACCCAGGCTGGAGTGCAGTAGTGCGATCTCAGCTCACTGCAAGCTCCACCTCCTGGGTTCACGCCATTCTCCTGCCTCAGCCTCTGAGTAGCTGGGACTATAGGTGCGTGCCACCATGTCTGGCTAATTTTTTTTTGTATTTTTAGTAGAGACGGGGTTTCACCGTATTAGCCAGGATGGTCTCAATCTTCTGACCTCGTGATCCACCCACCTTGGCCTCCCAAAGTGCTGGGATTACAGGTGTGAGCCACCGTGCCCTTCTTATTCTTTGTTTCCCATTATCCTTCCTAGCTTCTGATAATCATCATTGTACTCTCTATTTTTAAGTTTCATGTTTTTTAGTTCCTAAATATGAGTGAGAACATGCCATGTTTGTCTTTCTGTATCTGGCTTACTTCACTTAACATAACGCCCTCCAGTTCCATCCATGTTGTTGCAGATGACAGGATTTCATTCAGTTTATGGCTGAATGATATTCTATTGTGTATATTTAACACATTTTCTTGATCCATTTATCTGTTGATTGACACTTAGGTTGATTCCATATTTTGGCTCTTGTGGATAGTGCTGCAATAAATATGGGAGTGCAGGCTGGGTGCAGTGGCTCATGCCTGTAATCCCAGAATTTTGGGAGGCCAAGGCAGGTGGATCATTTGAGGTCAGGAGTTAGAGACCAGCCTGACCAACATGGTGAAACCCCGCGTCTACTAAAAATACAAAATTAGCTGGGCATAGTGGCACATGCCTGTAATCCCAGCTACTTGGGAGTCTGAGGCAGAAGAATCACTTGAACCCGGAAGGCAGAGGTTGCAGTGAGCTAAGATCACACCACTGCACTCCAGCCTGTGCAACAAGAGTAAAAACTCAGTCTCATAAAAATAAAAAGAAATAAAGAAAAAGAAAAATAATATGGAAGTGCAGATATCTCTTGGATATATTTCTTTTTTCTTTTGGATATATATCCAGCAGGGGGATTTATGGTTCATATAGTAATTCTATTTTTATTTTTTGGAGGAAACTTCATACTGGTTTTCATAGTACCTGTACTAATTTACATAACTACCAACGGTGTACCAAGGTCCTCATTTCTCCATATCCTCCTTAGCATTATTTTCTGTTGGTTTTTTATTTTTATTTTTTCAGAGACAGGGTCTTGCAATGTTGCCCAGGTTGGCTTTGAACTTCTGGCCTCAAGTGATCCTCCTACCTCAGACTCTCAAAGTGCTGGGATTACAGATGTGAGTTACTGCACCTGATCTACTGAGTAAACTAGAATCCTCACAAGGAAGCTATGACTCTGGGTTACCTGATTTATATCAGTTGACACACATGTATTAGGACCTGGGAAAGCTTAAAAATGAATGACTACATCATTCCCTCAAAAGCTACTTCTAGGGATGACCCAAAAGATGCAGCAATCCCCACTGCCTTCCCATGATAGATTGACTGGTCCATTCTTATTTATTTATTAATTTTTTCTGAGACAGGATCTCCCTCTGTCACCCAGGCTGGAGTGCAGTGGTGTGATCATAATCCACTGCAACCTCAACTTCCTGGGCTCAAGCAATCCTCCCACCTCAGCCTCCTGAGTAGCTGAGACCACAGATGGACACCATCACAACTGGCTAATTTTTTTTTATTTTTATAGGGATGGGGCCTCACTCTGTTGGCTAGGCTGGTCTCGAACTCCTGGTCTTCAGCGATACTCCTGCCTTGACATCCAAAAGTGCTGGGATTAGTCTTGAGTCGCCACACTCAGCCAACTGGTTTATTATTGAATCATGTAAACAGAAGACAGGTGTATCAGTTTTTGATTCCAAGTCTAGAATGGTAATTTCCTTTGTAAAACATTCTGGTCCTATAATAACTAGGGAGTATTTCCTGCTAGAACTGAAGGGCTCTGACAACTTTACTCATTAATGGACTTCGTCTACAGCTTGGTGACCTGACTGAAAAACATAACATAAGAAGTTACCAGGCCGGGTGCAGTGGCTCACACCTGTAGTCCCAGCACTTTGGTAGGCCGAGGTGGGTGGCTTATTTGAGGTCAGGAGTTTGAGACCAGCCTGACTAACATGGTGAAATCCCATCTCTACTAAAAATACAAAAGGCCGGGCATGGTGGCTCACGCCTGTAATCCAGTACTTTGGGAGGCCGAAGAGGGCAGATCACGAGATCAGGAGTTCGAGAGCAGCCAGGTCAACATAGTGAAACCCCACCTCTACTAAAAATACAAAAATTAGCCAGGCTTGGTGGTATGTGCCTGTAGTTCCAGCTACTCGGAAGGCTTAGGCAGGAGAATTGCCTCAACTTGGGAGGCGGAGGTTACAGTGAGCCAAGATCACGCCACTGCACTCCAGCCAGGGCGACAGAGGGAGACTCTGTCTCAAAAAAAAAAAAAAAAAAAAGAAGTTACTGATATTGCCGAATTGGTCACCACAGGAGAACATTTTAAGAGATTTCTAGAACATAAAAGTATCCAATGCTGAACGAAAAGAATGCAAAGGATAATAAAGTGTTTGCAGCTAAAACAGCTGAAGGGACAAGAGCAAGGGGAGCTCCCCTTACTATTAAAACTCATATTCAGTTCGTTGGAAACAGGGAAACCCTGCTCAAGTTGCCTGCCACCTTTGAAATAGTCAGGCCATTGGAATGAAAATTGTCCGCATTTGCACCAGGTCTCTACTGGACCGAACCCTTTTGGCCCAGACATTGTTTGATCTCATTAGAGGAGATTTCTTTTTTTCTTTTCTTTTTCTTTCTTTTTTTTTTTTTCTTTGAGATGGAGTTTCGCTTTTGTTCCCCAGGCTGGAGTGCAATGACACAATCTCGGCTCACTGCAACCTCCACCTCCCGGGTTCAAGCGATTCTCCTGCCTCAGCCTCCCAAGTAGCTGGGATTACAGGCATGCGCCACCTCAGCCAGCTAATTTTGTATTTTTTGTGGACAGGGTTTCTCCATGTTGGTCAGGCTGGTCCATAACTCCCGACCTCAGGTGATCCCCCTGCCTCAGCCTCCCGAAGTGCTGAGGTTACAGGTGTGAGCCCCAGCACCTGGCTAGAGTTCATTTCTGACGGCTCCATATTGATGGAACTTCAGATAACTCTCTGGTAAATTATTTTCTATAAAACACTTAAATAAAAATGGAGAAGCTGAGATCCAGATCAACGTGGACTTAGAAACAGAGTTGGTGGATACCAGCGCTGCCATATCCAGTTTACACCCAATATATCAGCAAATTCCTTGGAGTAAGGAAAATATTTGTGAGGAGAGGTTTCTAATGAAGTTTCGAAAATTCCTGTGTTTGAAGCAGTCCAAATGACATTTGGACCATTTTTAGGAAAGTATGCCTTTTTACTAAGTCTCAACAGGGGATGAGATTTGCTTTCTAAGTCAAGGTGATGCGTAAAGCTTTCTTTGGAGGGAAAGAAAGCTTTCTCTCTAGAGTTTCTTTCTAGAGTTTCCTGACCTTCCTTAACCTGAACTGCTTGGTTCCCTAGAAGCAGAAATTGATCATATTGGAACCCAAACTTATACCAACCTTGACCTTCGTGAAGTACTCAAGTGTTTTGGCTCTTCTTCCTTATGTGATGTAGAAGGTATTAAAAGTGATGAGTTTAGGCTGGTCACGGTGGTTCACGCCTGTAATCTCAGCACTTTCAGAGGCTGAGGTGGGCGGATCACATGAAGTCAGGAGTTCGAGACCAGCCTGGCCAACATGGTGAAACCCCATCTCTACTAAAAATACAAAAATTAGCTGGGCGTGGTAGCATCCACCTGTAATTCTAGCTACCAGGAAGGCTGAGGCAGGAGAATCACTTGAACCCAGGAAGCAGAGGTTGCAGTGAACTGAGATTGTGCCATTGCACTCCAGCCTGGGCAACAAGAGTGAAACTCCATCTCAAAATAAATAAATAAATAAATAAATAAAATAAATCAAAAATAAATAAATGCTTTAAAGAAAAAAGAAATAAACTTTACCTATAAGTTTCATATGCAATTGAATACCTATTAAATTTTGACACAATCCAGCCAGGCATGGCAGCTCACGCCTGTAATCCCAGCACTTTGGGAGGCTGAGGCAGGCAGATCACGAAGTCAGGAGATTGAGACCATCCTGGCTAACCTGGTGAAATCCCGTCTCTACTAAAAATACAAAAAATTAGCTGGGCATAGTGGCATGCGCCTGTAGTCCCAGCTCCCCAGAGGCTGAGGCACAAGAATCACTTGAACCCACGAGGCGGAGGTTGCAGTGAGTTGAGATCCTGCCACTGAACTCCAGGCTAGTGACAGAGAGAGACTCTGCCTCAAAAAAGAGAAAAATTTGACAGGAACCAACATTTTTCAACATGTAGGCTAATGTCTTACAAAATCCTTTTCCTGTCACCTTCAAATCTCCATCTCAAATGCTACACTCTGCATAACTCAGCCACTTTGTTGCCATTTTCCGATGATGGAGAAGACCATACATGTGTGTGTGTGATATCAGGACTATTGACTCCTCCTATTGATGTTTAAGATATTCCATTACACAAACCTGGGTTCATACTTTTTGTTGACAGATCTTATGCCAAAAAATATAGGAGAAAAATAATGCTATAACTTCTCAAGATGAACTCACAGAGATGGAAATTCTTTCACAATTTATTTTTCCAATTTTTTTTTTCTTTTTTTTGAGACCAAGTCTCACTCTGTCGCAAGGCGGGAGTGCAGTGGCGCGATCTCCACTCATGCCTCCCGAGTAGCTGGGACTACAGTGGCGTGTCACCAAGCCCAGCTAATTTTTGTATTTTTAGTAGAGACAGGGTTTCACCATGTTGGCTAGGATGGTCTCGATCTTTTGACCTCTTGATCTGCCCTCCTCAGGCTCTCAAAGTGTTGGGATTACAGGTGTGAGCCACTGCGCTTGGCTTTTTTTTTTTTTTTTTTTTTGAGACGGAGTCTTGCTCTGTCACCCAGGATGGAGTGCAGTGGCACAATCTCGGCTCACTGCAACCTCCGACTCCCAGGTTCAAGCGATTCTCCTGTCTCAGCCTCCCGAGTAGCTGGGATTACAGGCACATGCCATTCACGCCTGGGTAATTTTTGTATTTTTAATAGAGACGGGTTGCACCATGTTGGCCAGGATGGTCTCCATCTCCTGACCTCGTGATCTGCCCGCCTTGGCCTCCCAAAGTGGTGGAATTACAGGCTGAGCCACCGCACCTGGCCTATTTTTCCTGTTTTAAAAAGCTAGCTAATTCTTTTGTGTTTATTTCAGAGTTTATATCAGAACAATTTACAGTAATATACACCCCTACTAGAGCTTGTCATATAGTAAAAGACAAAGTAGTTAATACTTTTACAAACAGTAGATATGCCTTTGGAGTGACTGATAATTTTAAAATATTATGTAAACAATGAGAATTTCTCACTTCTAGTGGAAGTATATCAAATATGGACCAAGAGTGAATAAGTTTGTTCTCAAACTTTTTTTTTTTTTTTTGAGATGGAGTCTCACTCTGTTGCCCAGGCTGGAATGCAGTGGCACAATTTCGGCTCACTGCAAACTCCGCCTCCCGGGTTCAAGAAATTCTCCTGCCTCAGCCTCCCAAGTAGCTGGGAATACAGGCGCTTGCCAGCATGCCCGGCTAATTTTTGTATTTTTAGTAAGACGGGGTTTCACCATTTTGGCCAGGCTCGTCCCAAACTCCTGACCTCGTGATCCACCTGCCTCGGCTTCCCAAAGTGCTGGGATTACAGGTGTGAGCCACTGCATCCAGCATCCTCAAACTTTGTTGTTGTTGTTGTTGTTTTTGTTGTTGTTGTTTGAGACAGAGTCTTGCTCTGTCCCCCAGGCTGGAGTGCAGTGGTTCCATCTCGGCTCTCTGCAACCTCTGCCTCCTGGGTTCAAGCGATTTTCCTGACTCAGCCTCCTGAGTAGCTGGGATTACAAATGCACACTACCACGTCCAGCTAATTTTTTTTGTATTTTTAGTAGAGATGGGGTTTCACCATGTCGGTCAGTCTGGTCTCGAACTCCTGACCTCAGGTCACCTACCCGCCTTGGCCTTCCAAAGTGCTGGGATTGCAGGTGTGAGCCACCGCGCCCGGCCAGAAGATGTCAGGTTTTACCTTTCCTTATAGAAATAGTGTTTTACTGTGATATTGATCATCTCACTTTTTTCCACTTAACTGTAAATCTTGAGGATTTGTCCTCATTTTAATTAGCTGGCATAGAGTAGTTTATAAAATGAATGGTGCACAGTTTAACCTTTTGCCTGTTCATGTACATTTATTTTACTATTATGGATCATGTGGTACTAAAATTCCTTGTCTACACTAAAGTTTCTCTTTGGCTTCTCAAAGCTTTCCCTCTATTTATCCCATCTCTTATGGATCATCAATTTTCTTGTCTCTGATAAATCATTTTCATCAGCTTATGACCAGGCCCTTCACAGTCTTTCATTTTGAAAATGAAGCAAAAGGAAAAGAAAGAAAAACTGTGCTTGCTGCCATAGGAGTCTCTAGCCAGCATTCATTTCTTCCCATTTCCAGCAGAATTTCTCCCAAGTGTTCTGGGCTGGGTGTAGTGACTCACCCCTGTAATACTAGTACTTTGGGAGGCCAAGGCAGGCAGATCACTTGAGCTCAGGAGTTCAAGACCAGCCTGGGCAACATGGTGAAATCCGGTCTGTACAAAAAATTAGCCAGGTGTGGTGGTGCACACCTGTAGTCTCAGCTACTTAGGGGGCTGAGGCTGGAGGATGGCTTGAGCCCAGGAGGTCAAGGCTGCAGTGAGGCAAGATAGTGCCATGGCACTCCAGTCTGGGTGACAAAGTGAGACCCTGTCTCACAAAAAAAAAAAAAAAAAAGGAATTCTGCACATTCCAATCACGATCTCTTAGTCTCTCATATATTCTCAGTATAATTTTCATTATATTCAAATACACAGAAAAGTATACTGAGTAATACATAAAACACAAAGTTACTCACACCCAGATTTATTGTTAACATTTTGCCTATTTGCTTCAGATTTCCCCAGATGAATAACCTTCCAGAAGAATCTTCCTGTATGACCCTCCCTTATTGCTGCAGTCTTGTCTCTTCCTTTCTGCCCAGACAAAACCACTTTCTTGAATTTGTTATATACTGGCTGAGCACGGCGGCTCATGCCTGTTATCCCAGCACTTTGGGAGGCCGAGGCGGGAGGATCACTTGAGGTCAGGCATTTGAGACCCGCCTGGCCAACATGGTGAAACCACATCTCTACTAAAAATACAAAAATCAAATTACATGCGTATAATCCCAGCTACTCAGGAGACTGAGACAGGAGAACCGCTTGAATCCAGGAGGCAGAGATTGCAGTGAGCCGAGATCCCACCACTGCATACCAACCTGGGCAACCAAGTGAGACTCTGTCTCAAAAAAATAAACAAATAAATTCTAATCAGAGACCTCACTCCCACAAATCTCTAGGCTCAGACAATTTCCATGTGATTTCTTCCACACTGTCAGTTATGTTTTTTTGGTTTGTTTGTTTTGTTTTTGTTTTGAGACGGAGTCTTGCTCTGTCGCCCAGGTTGAAGTGCAACGGCAAAATCTCTGCTCACTGCAAACTCCGCCTCCAGACTCAAGTGATTCTCCTGCCTCAGCCTCTGGAGTAGCTGAGAGTACAGGCACCCATCACCACACCTGGCTAATTTTTACATTTTTAGTAGAGATGGGGTTTAACCATGTTGGCTAGGCTGGCCTCAAACTCCTGACCTGAAGTGATCTGCCTGCCTCGGCCTCTCAAAGTGCTGGTATTAGAGGTGTGAGCCACTGCACCCAGCCGGTATTTTCTGTCTTATATAAGATGTTCCAGAAAGAAAGGCAAATATGGAAAGCTGTCTAATTCATTTCATGAGAGAGCTGTAACCTATGTTTTAAAAATGAATAAGGATATTAGAAGGAAAGTAAATTTAAAACTTATTTGGCGAAAGTTTTTTTTTTTTTTTTGAGACAGAGTCTCACTCTGTCACCCAGGGAGGAGTGCAGTGGCATGATCTCAGCTCACTGCAACCTCCACCTCCCGGATTCGAGCAATTCTCCTGCCTCAGCCTCCCAAGTAGCTGGGATTATAGGCACACGTCACCACACCCAGCTAATTTTTGTATTTTTAGTAGAGGCGGAGTTTCTCCATGTTGGCCAGGCTGGTCTCGAACTCCTGACCTCAGGTGATCCACCGGCCTCGGCCTCCCTAAGTGCTGGGATTATAGGCATGAGCCACTGCACCCGGCCAGCAAAAGTTCTTAATAAAATATCAGCTACCTAAATGCAACAGTGCATTAGAAAGTCATATGTAATGGATATAATAGCCATTCTGGGAATTCCAGACAATCACAGAAAAATCTAAGTGTAATTCACCACACTGGCAAACTAAAGGGGGAAAAGCAAGGTTCCTACAAAATGCAGAAAAGAATAGCAGAAAAATCAAATTAAATTTATAACATATTTTGGGAAATGAAATGTATGTTAAAAACTTGCATTAAACATCAGATGTAATGGATAAACATTAGCTCCCTTCCTACTGAGATATGAAACAAGGTAAGACCCTCAGCAACTTAGGATTTAGAGGCCCATAGGTATTTTGGTCAGTAGTAAAGACTTCAGATCCAGACTGATTAATTTAGGTTCAAAACTGGCTCAGTGGCCAATGGCCATGTGACCTCCAACTTCCTTAACCTCTCTGTGCCTCAGCTCACTCACCCATAAAATGGGATAATCACAATATTGACTTCACAGAGTGCTATGAGTTCATCTATTTAAGTACTTCAAGGTGGATTTGACATAAGACAAGCAATAGTATTTTTATTGTTATTATATTTGAAAAATATATTAGTTAAAAACTTAGGTTAAAAACCAAGGTCTATAGTTAAGGTGATTATAAGCCTAAATACACCCCTGTTGTTCTGAAAATCTTAATTATAACAAGGCTGGGTGAGGTGGCTCATGCCCATAATCCCAGCACTTTGGGAGGCCGAGGTGGGTGGATCACCTGAGGTCAGGAGTTCAAGACCAGCCTGGCCAACATGGCGAAACCCCATCTCTACTAAAAATACAAAAAGTAACCAGGTGTGTCAGCAAGCACCTGTAATCCCAGGTACTTGGGAGGCTAAGACAGGAGAATCACTTGAACCCGGGAGGTGGAGGTTGCAGTGAGTGGAGATTGCATGCACATTGCACTCCAGCAGCCTGGTGACAGAGCGAGACTCCATCTCCACACACACACAAAAAATAATAATTATAACAGCATGTCCATTCACTCTCCAAAGTGTCTGGGACTGGACGATTAATTGTGAGGCCCTCTTCTGTAGCACCATACACTATAGCATATACGTGGATTAAAATAAATACAACTACAAAATGCAAGTATATATTCTATATACTTTCCATATACTTATATTTTATGAGGTCACATGCAAATTCAAGGTTAGGTCAAAGAGTAGAGTGGCTGTCTATGGAAAGGGGAGTGGAAGTGAATCATGGTAATAAAAGGAAATAGATACAGATATAAATATAGATATGAATAGATAGACATACACATATATAGCTGCAAAAAAGGGGATTGTCATGGACCAATGATGACAGTGAGCCATGAAAAAAGGCTACAATTCTTGTGATTGTGTGTCTGTTTGCAGGATGGGTTATAGCTTCCTTTTTTAGAAAGGCTGATACCACAGTCATAGCAAATAAATGATTATTTTTCTCTCTTTTTGTATTTTTTTTTATAAATGAGTATAAAATATGTTTCCTTTCTGGGGCATCTCCGGAGAAGTCTCCAATGGTAGGAGAACTCAGTGTACTGGGCAGGTTATCACACAGATAAGATCTTACAGATCCAATGGCCCTACCATTAACTTCATTATCCTTGGTATTCTACAAAGGTTGAGTGAACAAATGGTATCTTGAAACTAAAATTAGCTAAACTAACAAAGAAGACTGGATTACTTTTTTTTTTTTTTTTGAGACAGAGTCTCTGTTGCCCAGACAGGAGTACAGTGGTGCTGTCTTGGCTCACTGAAACCTCTGCCTCCTGGGTTCAAGTGATTCTCATGCCTCAGCCTCCCAAGTGGCAGGAATTACAGGTGTGCCACCACACCCAGCTAATTTTTGTATTTTTAGTAGAAACCGTGTTTCACCATGTTGGCCAGGCTGATCAACTTGCCTCAAGTGATCCGCCAGCCTTGGCCTCCCAAATTGCTGGGATTACAGGCGTGAGCCACCACGCCCAGCAAAACTGTATTACTTTAATGAAAAGTTTTACCACCGCTGTGGGAAAACACAGACAGAGCCCTCATAAGGTATTTTTTTTCACCAACTACAATCAGAAGCACTGATGATACAGTATTTACTATAGAACCTATGCCTTTGATAATAGAACTTCCTGTATCCCCTGCACTTTTTAGCTCTGATTGTGTAACCAGAGGATCAGCTTGAACGCTTAACCATTGCTTAAGTTGTTACAGGTGATGATGCAAAGCCCAAATTGCTCAGGCATGTCCAATGGGGAAAAGGTTTAACCTCTTAACTGCTAACACCACCAGCCTGGCAGACTGTATGAACTGGCATCACCTGAAACCAGCTGGAAAGGTCATGAGAGCTTGCTTCACCATCCCCAGATTGGGGAAGGCAGGTTTCGACCTTGTCTCCTATCTCCTTGTCAGTTAACTCTCTCTTTTTTTTTTTTTTTTTTTTTTTTTTTGAGAAAGAGTTTCACTCTTGTTGCCCAGGTTGGAGTGCAAGGGCACAATCTCACCTCACTGCCACCTCCGCTTCCTGGGTTCAAGTGATTCTCCTGCCCCAGCCCTCCCAGTAGCTGGGATTACAGGCATGCGCCACCATGCCTGGCTAGTTTTGTATTTTTAGTAGAGATAGGGTTTCTCCATGTTGGTCAGGCTGATCTCAAACTCCTTACCTCAGGTGATCCGCCCGCCTCAGCCTCCCAAAGCACTGGGATCACAGGCATGAGCCACCACGCACGGCCCCTATTCATTCTTCAGTGGAGATGGCATGCGGGGATTACTTTATAAAATTCATAGAAATATTTTTTCTTCTCACCCCAATCTAAACCATTACCATGCAGCCTGGTGTCAATGGAAGTTAGGGCTCTTGAGGCAGAAATAATTAATAAAGCTTCATTGGAAGCTAAATGTGAGGATCGACCTGGAAGACACACACTGACAAAGTGGGTGTGTCCCAAAGTCTGTTACAAGTTAGAATGTTTTTGTGAGAAATGTTAAAAGAAGGGAATGGGGCTCCTCCTATCAGTTTGTTTGTTTGTTTTAATTTGCTTCTGTTTCTTGATCTGGCAAGCCTCAAATAGAGTTGTTTTTTCAGTGTGTCTTTTCCATTGGAAGGTATAATACAGAGGCTACAATCATTGGCTTTAGATGACAACATAACAGGCTTACATTTTCCTTGCAAGACAACCAGCAAAACTTCATGATCAGAATCAAATCAGTGTCCTTCTCACCGTCTGTAGGTGAAGCCTTCATCAGTACTTGAAGAGTTTGAGTCACTCATGAACTCATGATCAGATTCTTTACTCAGGGACAGGATGTAAGCCAATCGTAAGACCTTCCGCAGGTGGTTAATTTGGAAGCCTGCCCAATGTGACCTGCAGGTTTTCACTGGCAATATGCAGGTGCAGATATGACAAAGAATAACCATGACCTTCATATCACCCCCAGCTGGTTAGGAATGGGATCCTTTTGACCCTTTCTCTCCATAAAACCAGGTTACACATCTTGTGTGGCGACAAAATATATGGTCTGCTTAACAGAGAAAGAGACTCTGTAAAAAAATAAAAATAAAAAAATAAGGATTTTTATTATGAAATGAGCAAAGCAATGGGAATAAATGTGAGATTATCCAGGGAGGTAAAGGAAGACAAAGATTTGAAAGGAAAAATAAGGAAGATTACATAAACTGTTTTGAAAGACTCATCCTTGCTCATAAGGTTCAAAACCAAGGGGTCATCCAGTGCAATGTTGGATAGATTCCTCCTCCACCACCTCAATAACCCACAACATGTTTACCAAGTCTTGGTTCACTCCCAGGATCCAATTAAAACACCCAGCTCAACCCTGCCCAGCCCCCACCCTCACTTCCCTTCGTAATTTTGACATGACTTTATTACAGGACCATCAGGTTCCTATGCCTGCTGCACAGTAGCTTAGCAATATTCTGAGACAGCAGGGTTTGCAGCAGAGAGTTTAATGATCACAGAGTGGCTGAATGATAAGCTAGGAGGAGATCCTCAAATTCATCTCCCCAAGGATTACTCAGGGTTTTCAGGGGATCATGGATAGCAAGCGGCTGGAAAGTTGGTGTAGTTTGGTGGCAGTAAGAGGTATGAAGTCATCAGGATGTCAAAACTGCATTCTTTGGTGAGTTGGTGCCTTGCAGAGCCCTTCAGATCAGCTGGCATCAGTAGTTTCACTGACATGCAGAACCTGAAAGAATATGTCAAATGAAAAAGCTAATGTTTTACAATGCTTAAATTGTCGTCTGCAGGGCAGTTAAGGGGAACTGTAATCTAAGGTCTACATGATTTTGGGACAGTAGGCTGCCAGCAACCATGAGGAAGCAGGTCAGAGAGCAAGCTGACCTCCTGATGAATGCTGAATGCACTGCAAGCTTGGTTTGTTTTGGTTTCTCCCCCTCCCTTCTTCACTGATTAAATTTATAAAGTTTAGAAATACGGTTTCAATTTCTTCCAGACAAGCCTTAACCTAAGCCCTGAGACCACTCACGCCCTCAGTGGCACCTCTCTTCCACCAGAACAAGCGTATAATCTGCTACATTAGGTGATATAAAACCCACAAGACCATTCGATACAAGGAGATTTTTATTCTTATTTTGTAGGGATGACACCTTTGTTTTTATAAAGCTATTTTAACTATAAAGCATTTTTTTTTTTTGAGATGGAGTCTTGCTCTGTCACCCAGGCTGGAGTGCCTCAGCCTCCTGAGTAGCTGCGATTACA
The DNA here is from genome assembly GCF_000001405.40 of Homo sapiens. NCBI lineage: Eukaryota > Metazoa > Chordata > Mammalia > Primates > Hominidae > Homo > Homo sapiens. The sequence goes on from NC_000001.11 coordinate 13,409,395, forward strand.
GGCACATGCCACCAAGCCCAGCTAATTTTTGTATTTTTAGTAAAGACCAGGTTTCACCATGTTGGTCAGGCTGGTCTCGAACTCCTGACCTCATGATCCACCCACCTTGGCCTCCCACAGTGCTGGGATTACAGGTGTGGGCCACCGCACCCGGCCACTATAAAGTATTTTTATAATTTTGATGTGGCCAAAGATCTCCTAACAATACTCCTTTCAGATTTTATTTTTCTCTTTAATGTCTAGAACAGATCAAACCGTTCCCTGCCTCACACTCAGGACTATGCAGGTCACATATTAGTAAAATTCCATCAGTGTTTGTGGAGTTCATGAATGAATGAATTTTTTTTTTTTTTTGACAGAGTCTCCTTCAGTTGCCCAGGCTGGAGTGCAATGGCACAATCTCCACTCACTGTAACCTCTGCCTCCTGGGTTCAAGCAATTCTCCCACCTCAGCCTCCCAAGTAGCTGGATTACAGGCCCCCACCATCATGCCCAGCCAATTTTTGTATTTTATTTTATTTTATTTTGAGACAGAGACAGGGTTTCACCATGTTGGCCAGGCTGGTCTTGAACTCCTGACCTCAGGTGATCCACCCACCTTAGTCTCCCAACGTGCTGGGATTACAGGCGTGATCCACCATGCCTGGCCTTAATTTTTCTATATTTGTAGAGACAGGGTTTCACCCTGTCGGCCAGGCTGGTCTTGAACTCCTGACCTCAAGTGATCCACCTGCCTTGGCCTCCCAAAGTGCTGGTAATACAGGCATGAGCCACCGAGCCTTGAATGAATGAATTCTTGACTTCCACTCTATCCCTAATACTGTCACTTTCTTGATTCATGAAATGAATATGGATATCTGGTATGAATGGATATCTGATTCAATCCATTAATCTGGGGAGAGCCAAAAACCCAATCAGGATTAACTGGGTGGAGCTTCAGAAATGCAATCAGATACCACTTTTTGATTGGAAGCTAGCAGCGGATACGTGGAGGGGCGTGGGTGGGAGTTGTGATTAGAAAGGTCAATAAAAGCTTCTAAAGACCCACAGGAGAGACCCAAAGTCTTCAAGCCTGGAGTTTCTGCTTGGTTTTTCCTGAGGTCTGAGCACCCTGCAAACTGAGTCCAGATCTGGTAAGTCCCTAATCTCTGTAAGGACACTCCCATCTGACCTACAGTCAGCCGGTCTGGGATGGTGACAGTGCAGGCACAGAGTTATATCCTGTCTTTTTTTTTTTTTTTGTATGAACAATTTGAAGCTTTGACTTTTTCCTTTAAATGCAGTTTTGTCTTCATTTCAAAAAATTTGATTTGTGCTTTGGTTTATATCCTTTCAGAATTCTTGGTGGGAGTAGTGACCCATGCCTACAATCCCAACACTCTCGGAGGTCAATGTGGGAGGATCATTTGAGCCCACGGGTTCAAGACCAATCTGGGCAACATGGCAAAACTCCATCTCTACAAAATATTTTTTTTTGGTGGGGGATAGAGTCTTGCTCTGTTGGCCAGGCTGCAGTGCAGTGGCATGATCTCGGCCCACTGCAACCTCCGCCTCCCAGGCTCAAGCAATTCTCATGCCTCAGCCTCCTGAGTAGCTGGGATTACAGCCGCCTGCCACTATGCCTGGCTAATTTTTGTATTTTTAGTAGAGGTGGGGTTTCACTATGTTGGCCAGGCTGGTCTCGAACTCCTGACCTCAAGTGATCCACCCACCTTGGCCTCCCAAAGTGCTGGGATTACAGCCATCAACCACCAGTCCCCAGCCTCTACATAAAATGTTTTTAAATTAGCCGGGCATGGTGGCATGCATCTGTAGTCCCAGCTATTTGGGTGGCTGAGGTGGGAGAATCCCTTGAGCCCGGAAGTTTGAGGCTGCAATGAGCCGTGCTCACACCACTGCTGTACTCCAGCCTGGGCAACAGAGTGAGACTCTGGCCCCCTCCCCCCCACCGCCAAAATATATCTTATGCAAACAGTTTAAACAATATCCAATTAATTGAAATCAGTAGGCAGATCCCAACCCACCCCCCTTCAAAAAAGGAGAGAAAGAGTTTAGAAGTCTCTACATGCTAGCATCCCATTCAGACTGTTTAATCCTACAATTGCGGTTTTGTAAGAAAAACAGTCTTAAAGATTTCCAATAATTCCCACAATGGCCTTATGGTCATTATCCTGGGTGTAATTTTCCCATCAGTTTAAAAATGCACATGAGAATGACCATGAATTTTGAAGGTATAGCTGGCTGGAGTCCCAGAGGCTTTGTTTGGGATGCCTTAGAATTTTGAGAACCACATTCCATTTCTTAATAATATCTCTAGAGCAAAGGAAATCCTATAAATTCTGTTGGAATTTGAAGAGTTTGGGCAAAGTGATTTGGTTTGACAAGTGTTCCGTGTACAGAATTCTCTCTTTATCCTTGGTGATGGCCTGTGCCCTCATTGTTCCACCAGTGACCAAGACTTTCCGAGTTGCATGAAAATTGACTTGAGACTTGCTTATGTCCCAGTGGTAATTTTTGCCCACCCATGACAAGATTATCCTAACACTAGAGACTTTTTCTCTGGTGTCCTTTATACCTGGCTGTGACCACCTTAGTGGCTTTTAATTGGTCATTCTGTGCTGCCTTTAATTTAATTTATTTTATTTATTTATTTATTTAATTTAATTAATTTATTTATTTATTTATTTTTGAGGCAGAGTTTTGCTCTCTCACTCAGGCTATCCGGGCTCACTACAACTTCAGCCTCTCAAGTAGCTGCGATTAGAGGCATGAGCCACCACACCAAGTTAATTTTTGTATTTTTAGTAGAGACAGGAGTTCATCGTGTTGCCCAGGCTGGTCTCCAACTCCTGACTTCAAGTGATCCACCCACCTCAGCCTCCCAAAGTGTTGGGACTGCAGGCGTGAGCCACCACACCTGGCCTCACATTCTTTAATTTTCTCAAACTGCTTTGCTGAGCTAAGCCCATGTCTTTGGGAGGAAACACCCTTTAACTTCTTGGAAACATTGAACCTTTCTCCCTCCCCTCAAGGATAATGTTGAATTTTTCAGATTCTACATCTTCTCTTTTGTAGCTACTTAACCTTTTAATTTTTAACCTCAATCTAGACACCAGACTTTCAATTCTTCAAGATCCCCAAACAGATCCCCTAAGATCCCCCAACATATTCACATGTCGTGGTTTCTTCCCCAAATTTCATTTAAAACACTCAGCCCCACCCTGCCCGGCTCCCACCCTTCATTTTCCTATCTAGTTTTCACTGTAATTGAATTATCCTATCCAGTTTTCATGGTAATTTTGGCCTGATTTCCTTCAGAGAATCTTTGAGCTTAATTTTAAACCAATCACATCCTCATTGTAACTCTTCCACCCGAATGGAGACATGGGTGCGGGGGTGCATGCCTGTAATCCCAGCTACATGGAAGGCTGAAGCATGAGAATCCATTGAACCTGGGAGGTGGAGGTTACAGTGAGCCAAAATGACGCCACTGCACTCCAGCCTGGGCTAGGAAATGAGACTCAGCCCCCCACCCTGCAACACCAAAAAAAATTAAATTATACCACCCAGGTAATCACTGGATACATGATGATTTCTATTGTGTTTTCTTAGGGACTGTCATCTCTGTCTTTGTAAACTGTTTTAACTCTGAAATATTCTGATAAATTTGTGACCAAGGATCCCTCAACAAAGATACTTTCAAGTTTTTTCTTTCTGTCTAATGTCAGGAAGAGATTCAACCCTTCCCTATCTCACACTCAGGACTAGGAAGGACATATATTAGTAAAATTCCATGTTTGTGGAGTGAATCAGTGAATGAGTCATGGACTTTCACCCTATACCTAAATCTTTCACTTTCATGGATGAATATCTAATTCAATCAGTTAATCTGGAAGAAAGCCAAAAATCCAGTCAGGATTAACTGGGTGGAGCTTAAGAGATTTAAATGTAGTTTTCTTTTTTGTTGTTGTTGTTTTTGTTTTTGTTTTTGAGATGAATCTAGCCTATTTCTCAGGCTGGAGTGCAGTGGTACAATCTCAGCTCACTGCAACCTCCACCTCCTGGGTTCAAGTGATCCTCCTGCCTCAGCCTCCCTAGTAGCTGGGACTACAGGCACACACCACTGCACCTGGCTAATTTTTGTATTTTTGGTACAGATAGGGTTTTACCATGTTGGCCAAGCTGGTCTCAAACTCCTGACCTCTAGGCATCCACCCTTCTCAGCCCCCCAAAGTGCTGAGATTACAGGTGTGAGCCACTGTGCCTAGCCAAGGTGTTTTCTGATTGGCAAAGGGGTGATGTGATTAGAAAGGTCCATAAAATCCTCTGAAGATCTATGGGAGAGACCTGAGGCCTGGAGTTACTGCTTGGTACTGTGAGGGGTCCAAGCACCCTGAACACTGAGTCCAGATCTGGTAAGTCTCCACCTCCATAAAGACACTCCCATCTGATCTGCAGTCAGCCAGTCTCATAGTTTCAGGCAGCCCAAGATGGCACAGAGAATTATCCTGTTTTATCAGATGAACAGATTTTGGCTTTGAATTTTTCTCTAAATGCAGGTTTGTCTTTATCCCCAAAATTTTGATTTATGCTTTGGTTTTTGCCATTTCAAAATTCTTAGCCAAGCAGTTTTTGTGTTTTTGTTTTTTGTTTATTTGTTTGTTTGAGAAGGACTCTCATTCTGTTGCCCAGGCTGGAGTGCAGTGGCATGATCTCAGCTCACTGCAACCTCCGACTCTCTGGTTCAGGCGATTCTCCTGACTCAGCCTCTCAAGTAGCTGGGACTACAGGCACCCGCCATCACACCTGACTAATTTTTTTTTTTTTTTTTTTTTTTTGTATTTTTACTAGAGACTGGATATCACTATGTTTTCCAGGCTGGTCTTGAACTCCTGACCCTGTGATCCACCTGCCTTGGCCTCCCAAAGTGCCAGGATTACAGGCGTGAGCCACCTCACCCAGCCTTCTTGACATTTTAAATACATATTTTGTGATTTTGTGTGCCCTTAAATTATAGTTCATAGACTTTGGGGTATTGTGATTTTACAAGTTAGGTTTTCCTTTTTACTAAAAGTTTTTTTTGAGACAGGGTTTCACCCTGCCGACCAGGCCGGAGTGCAGTGGGGCAATCCCTTCTCACTGCAACCTCTGCTTCCCGGGTTCAAGTGATTCTCAGGCCTCAATCTTCCAAGTAACTGGGATGACAGGTGCATGCCACCACGCCCAGCTAATTTTTGTGGGTTTTTTTTTAGTAGAGACGGGGTGTCACCATGGTGGCCAGGCTAGTCTCCAACTCCTGACCTCAGGTGATACACCCGCTGCAGCCTCTCAAAGTGCTGGGATAACAGGTGTGAACCACCGCACCCAGCCCCTTTAATAAAAGTTTTAAAACATTCTATGTAATATATATATATAGAGAGAGAGAGACATAGTCTCACTCTGTCGCCCAGGCTGCAGTGGAGTGGCTCAATCTCAGCTCACTGCTACATCTGCCTCCCAGGTTCAAGTGATTCTCCAGCTTCAGCCTCCCAAGTAGCTGGGATTACAGGTGTGTGCCACCATGCCCAGCTAATTTTTGTATTTTTAGTAGAGATGAGGTTTCACCATATTGGTCAGGCTTGTCTTAAGAGTGATAGCTTTGTTCTGAACATGTGATCCATTTGTTCCCTTATGCTCTATCCAAAGTGGTTCTTTGTTTTTTGAGCTTGGAGTTTCATTCATGTCGCCCAGGCTGGAGTGCAGTGGCACAATCTCAGCTCACTGTAACCTCCGCCTCCCGGGTTCAAGTGATTCTCCTTCCTCAGCCTCCCAAGTAGCTGGGATTACAGGTGTGTACCACCATGCCCAGCTAATTTTTTTGTATTTTTAGTACAGACAGGGTTTCACCATGTTGGCCAGGCTGGTCTTGAACTCCTGACCTCAAATGATCTGCCTGCCTCGGCCTCTCAAAGTGCTGGGATTACAGGCATAAGTCACCATGCCCAGCCAAAGTGGTTCATTTTTAATATGTGTAAGAAGTGTGTATGGAAACATCTCTGTCTTGCGAATGATCCATAACATTGTCACATAGCTTTCAAAGTTTCCCACTGAAATTTTAAATAATGAGGCCGGAGCAGAGGCTCATGCCTGTAATCCCAGCACTTTGGGAGGCCAAGGTGGGTGGATTGCTTGAGTCTAGGAGTTCAAGACCAGCCTGGGCAACATAGGGAAACCCATTGTCTTTACAAAACATCAAAAACTAAAAGGTTAGCTGGGCATGGTGATGCATGCCTGTGGTCCCAGCTACTTGGGAGGCTGAGATGGAAGAATCCTCTGAGCCTGGGAGGTCCAGGCTGCACTGAGCTGAGATTGCACCACTGCACTCCAGCCTGGGTGACAGAGCAAGACCCTGGCAAAAAAAAGAACAAAGGGAGGGAGGGAGGGAGGGAGGGATGAGGGAAAGAAGGAAAGAAGAAAGGGAGAGAGAAAGAGAAAGAAAGTAAGCTTAAATAATGAAAAGAAAACAAAACAAATAGAACCCATTCTAGGGATGCCCCATGAATGTTCCCAACCAGCTTATTTGCAGGAACTGAGAATGTAGGCATGTAGGCTTTTGACACTCCCATTCCCATTGTTTTAGAACCTTGAGTAATTAGAAATTTCCCCCAAAGGTGGGAGGGATTAGCTTTCAGGTTCCTCCATATTTACTACTCACTGGATGAGCACTGGATAGAAAGGAAGGGCTAGTGGTGGCCCTGCCTCCTCACTGCTTGGGAGATGCTTATGCTGATGCAGCAGAGGCAGAAGCCTGGCTTTGTGGCCACTGAGTACAGAGTAGAATTGGAGTAAACTGAGGGCTCTTTCACCATTGCCAGAGCAATGACTTTGGCCCTGGGAGATGAGATTGCATGGGCTTGGCCTGAGAGTGATGCCTTTTCTCTGGATTTGTCCTCTGGAACTTTTCTTTGCAGATTCAGGAAGATGAGCATCCGGACTCCACCCAGACTCCTGGAGCTGGCGGGGCGGAGCCTGCTGAGGGACGAGGCCTTGGCCATCTCCACCCTGGAGGAGCTGCCCACGGAACTTTTTCCCCCATTGTTCATGGAGGCCTTCAGCAGGAGACACTGTGAGGCCCTGAAGCTGATGGTGCAGGCCTGGCCTTTCCTCCGCCTTCCTCTGGGGTCTCTGATGAAAAGGCCTTGCCCAGAGACCTTCCAAGCTGTGCTCGATGGGCTTGATGCACTGCTTACCCACAGGGTTCGTCTCAGGTGAGGTGGCCCAAGTGGGCTGGTGGGGAGGGCCCAGGTGTCCAACAGAAGGAACAGCTGGGTCATGAGGAGTGAGGAGGTCCAAGGAGGGCCCACAGGCTTCTAATGGTTTTGGTGAGGAAGCTTAGAGAGGCCTTGGCCATTGCCCAGCTCCTCAGGGAAAGGACTGCTCATCACCCGGGGTCCACCGAGGTAACAGGAACCTCTCTTCTAGTGGCACTGAAAGGCACCACTAAAAGTGGGAACTAGGCTGGGCACAGTGGCTCACACCTGTAATCCCAGCATTTTGGGAGGCTGAGGCAGGTGGATCACCTGAAGTCAGGAGTTCAAGACCAGCCTGGCCAACATTGTGTCCAGAATTGGTTCCTGCCGGTGGGTTCATGGTCTTGCTGACTTCAAGAATGAAGCCACAGACCTTTGCAGTGAGTGTTACAGTTCTTAAAGATGGCACGGACCCAAAGAGTGAGCGGTAGCAAGGTTTATGGTGAAGAGCAGAAGGACGAAGCTTCCACAGCGTGGAAGGGGACCTGAGTAGGTTGCCGCTGCTGACTGGGGTGGCCAGCTTTTATTCCCTTATGGTCCCCTCCCATGTTCCATTTCTGTCCTATCAGAGTGCCTTTTTTTCAATCATCCCCACGATTGGCTACTTTTAGAATCCTGCTGATTGGTGCATTTTATAGAGCGTTGATTGGTGCATTTTACAATCCTCATGTAAGACAGGGAAGTTCCCCAAGTCCCCACTGGAGCCAGGAAGTCCAGCTGGCCTCACCTCTGAACATGGTGAAACCCCAACTCAGCTAAAAATACAAAAATTAGCTGGGCATGGTAGCAGACACCTGTAATCCCAGCTACTTGGGAGGCTGAGGCAGGAGAATTGCTTGAACCCGGGAGCTGGAGGTTGCAGTGAGGCGAGATTGCGCCACTGCACTCCAGCCTGGGCGACAGAGGGAGACTCTGTCTCAAAAAAAAAAAAGTGGAACTGGGCAGGATCCAAGGGTAAAACAGGGTGGAGAAAAGTCAGAGAGAGGGAAAAGAAGCAGGGAAGAGAGCAGCTGATATCCAGGATGTGAAGTATAAGTTCAGAAGTGAGTCCTTTTTTTTTTTTTTTTTCTGAGACGGAGTCTTGCTCTGTCGCCCAGGCTGGGGCTAGAGTGCAGTGGCGCGATCTCAGCTCACTGCAAGCTCCGCCTCCCGGGTTCACATTATTCTCCTGCCTCAGCCTCCCGAGTAGCTGGGACTACAGGCGCCCGCCACCACGCCCGGCTAATTTGTGTGTGTGTGTGTGTGTGTGTGTGTGTGTGTGTGTGTGTGTTTAGTAGAGACGGGGTTTCACCATGCTAGCCAGGATGTTCTCGATCTCCTGACCTTGTGATCCGCCCGCCTTGGCCTCCCAAAGTGCTGGGATTACAAGCGTGAGCCACTGAGCCCAGCCTCAGAAGTGAGTCCTTAAATTCTCAGCCTCTCTTCTATTTTTCCTCAGGAGGTGGAAACTTCAAGTGCTGGATTTACAGGATGTCAGTGAGAACTTCTGGATGGTTTGGTCTGAAGCCATGGCCCGTAGGTGCTTACCAAATGCCATGATGAACAGAAAACCACTGCAGGACTGTCCAAGGATGAGAGGACAGCAGCCCTTGACTGTGTTCATAGACCTTTGCCTCAAGAACAGGACTCTGGATGAATACTTCACCTGCCTCTTTCTATGGGTCAAGCAGAGGGAAGGTTTAGTACACCTGTGCTGTAAGAAGCTGAAAATGTTGGGAATGCTCTTCCACAATATCAGAAACATCCTGAAAACAGTCAACCTAGACTGTATCCAGGAGGTGGAAGTGAATTGCAATTGGACACTGCCCGTCCTGGCAGAGTTTACCCCATACCTCGGCCAGATGAGGAATCTTCGGAAGCTCGTTCTCTCTGACATAGATTCTCGCTACATTTCCCCAGAGCAGAAGAAGGAGTTTGTTACCCAGTTCACCACTCAGTTCCTCAAGCTGCGCTGCCTCCAAAAGCTTTATATGAACTCTGTTTCTTTCCTCGAAGGCCACCTGGACCAGATGCTCAGGTGAGGAAGGGTAGTGAGCTTTCTCTGCAGACCACAGCAGAGCCTTTCTTGTTACAGGGGGCATCTACTGTGAGCCAGCCTATGAGGATGTAACAGTAAAGGGGACACTAGAATGTCAGTGCATTTTCCTGTTGGAAGTGGGTATCACACATTCATCCCAATGAAGACAGAGGAATCAGCTGGGGTAGATGCTATAGAGAGGCTGCCATGCTAGGAAGCTAGCTACTGGAGGATTCAGATTTAGTGAGGTTGCATTTGTGAATTCTTCCTGAGGATGTGTGTCTAAGTTAAGATGATGAGAAATAGGCCAGGGATGCTGGCTCATGCCTGTAATCCTAGCACTTTGGTTAGTGCTAGCAAGAGGATAATTTGAGCCCAGGAGTTTAAGACCAGTGTGGGTAACACAGCAAAGACTCCTGTCTAAAAAATAAATAAATAAAAAATACAAACAAGATAATTTTTCTTTTTTTGAGATGAAATTTCACTTTTATCACCCAGGCTGGAGTGCAGTGGTGTGATCTTGGCTCGCTGCAACCTCTGCCTCCTGGGTTCAAGCAATTCTCCTGCCTCTGCCTCCTGAGTAGCTGGGATTACAGGCACGGGCCACCACTCCTGGCTAAGTATTTTTAGTAGAGATGGGGTTTCACCATGTTGGCCAGGCTGGTCTCAAATTCCTGACCTCAGGTGATCCACCCACTTCGGCCTCCCAAAGTGTCAGGATTATAGGCGTGAGCCACCACACCCGACCCAAAAACAAGATAATTTTTTTTGTTTTTTTGAGATGGAGTCTTGCTCTGTCTCGCTTTATTGCCCAGGGTTCACGCCATTCTCCTGCTTCAGCCTCCTGAGTAGCTGGGACAACAGGTGCCCGACACCACGCCCGGCTAATTTTTGTTGTATTTTTTAGTACAGATGGGGTTTCACCATGTTAGCCAGGATGGTCTCGATCTCCTGACCTTGTGATCCGCCCGCCTCGGCCTCCCAAAATGCTGGGATTACAGGTGTGAGCCACCGCACCCGGCCAAAACAAGATAATTTTTAACAAGATGATGGGAAGTAGGGAAGTGAAGTGGGCACTGAAGAGGGGAATGCTCAGCAAACCTGCACATGTCAGATTATGAGCTCTGTGCCCCACAGCTTGGTGAACATGAATGATCCCATGTCTAATTCCCTGTCATAATGGGTTGTTTTGAGCTCCAGGTAAATTAATTACCTGAGAAATGTATGATTCTGAAACAGAGGGTCAGGGACCAGGCACAAAGAATGGTGAAAGTGATAGATGGTTTGCTGATGATACAGGCGTGTCAGGGACGCCTGCAGCCTGCCCACCCCAGCTGATGTTGCAGGATCCTGCCTGGGTTTGTCCTTTATGCCTGCATCCCCAATGGTCTCATGTGGCCCAGAGATGTGGTTTTCTGCCTGACAGATGAGGAAAGGGAGCTTTAGGGATTCTGTGAACTGGATCCATTCCTATAAATGATAGGGAAAAGACTCAGCCTGAAATGGGTTTTTTATTTCTCTTTCTTTTGAGACAGAGTCTCGCTCTGTCACCCAGGCTGGAGTGCAGTGGCACGATCTCTGCTCACTGCAACTTCCATCTCCTGGGTTCAAGCGGTTCTCCTGCCTCAGCCTCCCAAGTAGCTGGAATTACAGGCGCCCACCACCATGCCCAGCTAATTTTTGCATTTTTAGTAGACAGGGTTTTGCCATGTTGGCCAGGCTGGTCTCAAACTCCTGACCTCCAGTGATCTGCCCGTCTCAGCTTCCCAAAGTTCTGGGATTACAGGTGTGAGTTACTGCGCCAGGCCTAAAATGGAATTGACCTCAGTGGCAAAGCTCTTCATCACGCAGCATCCTAAGTGTTGACTATCAGACAATCAGAATGACCCTGGGCTTGGGCAAAATGGTCTCCATCCATCACTTTGAAGTCATTCCCTACCACCCTCCACTCACCCCTACGATTCCCCAGAACTAACTTCCTGCTCTCTCTCCCCAGCTGTCTAAAGACCTCGTTAAACATCCTCGCAATAACTAACTGTGTGCTTTTGGAATCAGACTTGAAGCATCTGTCCAAGTACCCGAGCATTGGTCAACTAAAGACCCTGGACCTGAGTGGCACCAGACTGGCCAATTTCAGCCTTGTGCCGCTCCAAGTTCTCCTAGAAAAAGTTGCAGCCACCCTTGAGTACCTGGACTTAGATGACTGTGGCATCGTAGACTCCCAAGTCAACGCCATCCTGCCTGCCCTGAGCCGCTGCTTTGAGCTCACCACCTTCAGCTTCCGTGGAAATCCCATCTCCACGGCCACCCTGGAGAACCTGCTGTGCCACACAATCAGACTCAACAACTTATGCCTGGAGCTGTATCCTGCCCCGCGGGAGAGTTATGATGTTCGTGGTATCGTCTGCCGGAGCAGATTTGCCCAACTTGGGGCTGAGCTGATGGGGAGAGTGAGGGCCTTAAGGGAGCCCGAGAGGATCTTGTTCTGTACCGACTACTGCCCTCAGTGTGGCAACAGGTCACTTTACGACCTGGAGGTAGATCGGTGTTGCTGTTGAATGCCTGCCTATTTGGGTGGATATATCAAACTCTTTTTTCTGAACACTTGAAAACTAAAACCTAGGTCTTTTTGCGCCCAGGCTGGAGTTCAGTGGCACAATCCTGACTCATTGCAACCTCTGCCTCCTGAGTGCAAGCGCTTCTCCTGCCTCAGACGCACCCGCCATAACACTTTTTAAATATTTCAATCCCACATTTTAAAAGTTACATCTAGGCTGTGCACGGTGGCTCACACCTGTAATCTTAGCACTTCAGGAGGCTGAGGCGGGGGGGTGGCTCACGAGGTCAAGAGATCGAGACCATCCTGGCCAACATGGTGAAACCCCGTCTCTATTAAAAATACAAAAATTAGCTGGGCGTGGTGGCGCATGCCCGTAGTCCCAGCCACTCAGGAGGCTGAGGCAGGAGAATCGCTTGAACCCGGGAGGCAGAGGGTGCAGTGAGCCGAGATCATGCCACTGCACTCCAGTCTGACGACAGAGCGAGAATCTGTCTCAAAAAAGTAAATAAAAACAATCTGTCTCAAGAAAAAAAAAGTTACATCTTTTTGGGGAGCTAGCTCAGATTGATGAGAGATTTTCTCATAACACCTACCCTCTCTCTCTATCAAGGAAGAGACTAGTGCAGAGTGTTTTGGAATCTCACATCATCAAAGGGTGGATAACGATCAAGTGCCTGTGGGTGATGAGTGACCTTCCCTGTGTTGAAGAAACCTACTTAAAGGGCACCTAAGTGAAGGATCCTGCTGAGGATTCAGGGGCTGGTGTTGCTGCCAGGGATCTTAGCCAAGAGCCTCAGTTTCCCTGTAAAATCAGGATGGTAGTGTCCAACAGCTTATGGGACCCTTGTAGGATCCGATAAGATGGTCCATGTTTAGGGCTTGGCATGGGGCCTGGCATAAGTAAGATCAATACACCTTGTTCTTTTCTCTCTTCTCAGCAGAAGTCCCAGCATTTTTCATCTTTCTTTCTTTTTTTTTTTTTTTTTAAGACAAAGCCTTGCTCTTCACCAGGCTGGAGTGCAGTGGTGCAATCTTGGCTCACTGCAACCTCCGCCTCTCGGGTTCAAGCGATTCTCCTGCCTCGTGCTCCCGAGCAGCTAGGACTACAGGCGCGCGCCACCACGCCCCGCTAATATTTGTATTTTTAGTAGAGACGGGGTTTCACCATGTTGGCCAGGATGGTCTCGATCTCCTGACCTCGTGATCCTCCCTGCTCGGCATCCCAAAGTGCTGGGATTACAGGCGTGAGCCACCGCGCCCAGCCGCATTTTTCATCTTTTAATCTCACCTCCATTTCCTGGTAACAGGGAGGCAACAAGAACCCAGGACATGCAATGGGGCTCAGCTTCTACACGCCGCCACAATTTCATCATGATTCCCCCAAACAGCAGAGCCCCAGGAGCCAGCAGGGGACGGGCTGGGCAGTGCAGGACTGGATTCATTTCCAGTGATTATAAAATCAAAATTTCCAGTCCATGGGTCTCGACTGCCATCTGCTGGTAGATGAGACCAGATGGTGTAATTTAGTGTTGCAAGGATTATATTTTATGGTATATTAAAAATTTTACTATTATGTAAATACTATTTGAGTACAAATATTTGTGTTGTCATTTATGTATATTAAAGATATAGAACTTTTAAAGAATGCAGTGTGATATTTTAAGAATGGTTAACAGCTGGGAGCAGTGGCAACAGAGCAAGACTCCGTCTCAGGAAAAAAAAAACAGGCCGGGCGCAGTGGCTCATGCCTGAAATCCCAGCACTTTGGGAGGCCGAGGCAGGCGGATCAACTGAGGTCAGGAGTTCGAGACTAGCCTGGCAACATGGGGAAACCCTGTCTCTACTAAAAAATACAAAATTAGCCGGGCGTGGTGGTGCATGTCTGTAAGGCGGCTGAGGCAGGAGAATCACTTGAACCCGGGAGGCGGAGGTTGCGGTGAGCTGAGATCGCGCCATTGCACTACAGCCTGGGCAACAAGAGCGAGACTCCGTCTCAAAAAAAAAAAAAAAAGAATGAAAGAATGGTTAACTTAGTTTGGATTTTCAAAAAGAATGAGATTTTTAAAACTAATTTTAAAAACACTGAACAAGAATCGCTTGTTCTTTAAATATACTTAGAATAGTACAATTTTAGCATTGGAAGGAAGCATTACAGGTTTTTTTAAGTATTGAGTTTATTTTATTTTATTTTATTTTGAGACCAGGTCTCACTCTCGTCCAGGCTGGAGTGCAGTGGCATGATCACGGCTCACTGCAGCCTCAACCTCCCAAGGCTCACGTGATCTTCCTGTCTCAGCCCACCTGGTAGCTGGAACAACAGGCATGAACCATCATGCCTGGCTTATTTTTGTATTTTTAGTAGAGACCAGGTTTCACCATGTTGCCCAGGCCGGTCTTGAACTTCTGGGCTCAAGCGATCCACCTGCCTGTGCCTCCCAAAGTGCTGGGATTACAGGTGTGAGCCACTGTGCCCAGGCTTCAGTTTGTTTATTTATTTATTTTTGAGAACGAGTTTCACTCTGTCGCCCAGGCTGGAGCACAGTGGCACGATCTCGGCTCACTGCAACCTCCGCCTCCAGGGTTCAAGCGATTCTACTGCCTCAGCCTCCCAAGTAGTTGGGATTACAGGCATGAGCCACCACGCCTGGCTAAGTTTTGTATTATTATTGTTATTTTTATTTTTAGTAGAGACAGGGCTTTGCCAAGTTGGCCAGGCTGGTCTCGGACCCCGGACCTCAGGTGATCCACCTGCCTCGGCCTCCCAAAGTGCTAGGACTACAGGTGTGAGCCACCATGCCCGGCCTATTATTATTTATTTATATTTTTATTTATTTTATTTTATTTATTTTTTTTTTGAGATGGAGTTTCACTCTTGTTGCCCAGGCTGGAGGCAATGGTGCGATCTCTGCTCACTGCAACTTCTGCCTACCAGGTTCAAGCAATTCTCCTGCCTCAGCCTCCAGAGTCGCTGGGACTACAGGTGCCCACCACAATGCCCGGCTAATTTTTTGTATTTTTAGTAGAGACGGGGTTTCACCATGTTAGCCAGGCTGATCTCAAACTCCTGATCTCAAGTGATCCACCTGTCTCGGCCTCCTAAAGTGCTGGGATTTCAGGCATGAGCCAGCACACCCAGCCTATTTTTTTTTTTTTTAATAGAAGTTTTAGGTTCACAGAAAAACTAAACAGAAAGTGCAGAGTTCTCATCTACCCCCTTCCTCCTTCAACACACAGCACCCCTACGGGATCAACACCCACACCAGCACAGAGCATTCGTCACAATCAATGAGCCACATGGACACATCATCATCACCCAATGTCCATAGTTTACATGCAGGATCACTGCTGGTTTTGTATATGCTATGGATTTTAATAAAGGGATAATGACAGATATCCACCATTAGAACATCATGCAGAGTAGTTTTCTTTCCCTAAAGTCCTCTGTCCTCTTCCCACTCATCCCATTGTATTCTCACCCCCTGGCAACCACTGGGCTTTCTACTCTCTCCATAGAAAAAGGCAAAAGCCTTTTCCAGAATGTGTAACAGGATGAGTCTTTTCACATTGCCTTCTTTCACTTGTACAATAACATCATGCATTTAGGAATCTTTCTTTACTTTTTTTTTTTTTTTTTTTTTTTTTTTTGAGACGGAGTCTCGTTCTGTTGCTCAGGCTGGAGTGCAGTGGTGCGATCTTGGGTCACTCCAATCTCCACCTCCTGGATTCAAGCAATTCTCTGCCTCAGCCTCCCGAGTAGCTAGGATTACAGGCACCCACCACCATCCCCGGCTAATTTTTGTATTTTTAGTAGAGACGGGGTTTCACCATCTTGACCACGCTGGTCTTGAACTCCTGACCTCATGATCCACTCACCTCAGCCTACCAAAGTGCTGGGATTACAGGTGTGAACCACTGCACCCAGCCAGGAATATTTCATGTCTTTTTATGGCTTCATAATAGTTCACTGACCGGATGGATCACAGTTTGTTTATCCAGTCACCTACTGAATGGCATCTTGCTTGCTTCCAAGTTTTGGCAATTAAGAATAAAGCTGCTATAAACATCCAGGTGTGAGTGTACTCATTTTGTTAAATACCCAGGAGCATGATTACTGAATTGTATGGGTACGGTATGTTTTACAAGGATTTTTTCTTTTTTCTTTTTCTTTTTTTTTTTTTTTTTTTTGAGACGGAGTCTCACTGTCACCCAGGCTGGAGTGCAGTGGCGTGATCTCAGCTCACCGCAACCTCCACCTCCCAGGTTCAAGTGATTCTCCTGCCTCAGCCTCCGGAGTAGCTGGGATTGCAGGCACGCACTGCCAGGCACAGCTAATTTTTATATTTTTGGTAGAGATGAGGTTTCACCATGTTGGCCAGGCTGGTCTCGAACTGACCACAGGTGATCCGCCCGCCTCAGCTTCCCAAAGTGGTGGGATTACAGGCATGAGCCACCATGCCCAGCCTAAGGATTTTTTCTTTCTTGAAAATCTCACTTGTTAGATATTGCTGCTAAAGGTCAGGGACTTTGTCTCCATTATCCTGTGGTCCCACTGCTGAGCATGGAACCTGGCGCTTGGTAGCAAATGCTGTTGACCACGGGATGCATGAAAATGTTTTGCCATTGGCCGGGCGCTGTGACTCATGCCTGTAATCCTAGCACTTTGGGAAGCAGAGGCAGGCGGATCACCTGAGGTCAAGAGTTCGAGACCAGCCTGACCAACGTGGAGAAACCCTGTCTCTACTAAAAAAAAAATGACAAAATTAGCTGGGCATGGTCGCTTATGCCTGTAACCCAGCTACTCGGGAGGCTGAGGCAGGAGAATCGCTTGAACCTGGGAGGCGGAGATTGCAGTGAGCTGAGATCACACCATTGCACTCCAGCCTGGGCAACAAGAGTGAAACTCCATCTCAAAAAAAAAAAAAAAAAATTGCTAACTTGGGTACATCAACATTATCCAACAAATAAATTGGATTGTGAAAAAAATAGCCCTTGTGACACTGTGGCCACTCCATGTGTATCATGAAAGTCCAGCAACTGGCTGGGCGCGGTAGCTCACATCTGTAATCTCAGCACTTTGGGAGGCCGAGGTGTGCGGATCCCTTGAGGTCAGGAGTTCAAGACCAGCCTGACTAACATGGTGAAACCCTGTCTCTATTAAAAATGCAAAATTAGCTGGGCGTGGTGGCATATACCTGTAGTTCCAGCTACTGGGGAGGCTGAGGGAGGAGCATTGCTTGAACCTGGGAGGCGAAGGTTGCAGTGATCCAAGATCGCACCAATGAACTCTAGCCTGGGTAACAGAGTGAGACTCCATATCAAAAAAAAAAAAAAAAAGATAAGAAAGTCCAGCATAGTAAGAGGTACACAGAGGCACATGTGGGTGAGCTTCATTTGTTTCTCATTCTTTTTTTCCTCCCTTTGGACAGAATTCTCAATGCAAAACATCCTAAAAACACAGAGCAAATGTCTCCTCTAATTTCCTTATCCCAGACTTCTCTCCATAGTGTGTGTGCTAGTGTGCTATCTTCCAGACTCTTCTGTGACTTGCTATACATTTCTTTTCTTTTCTTTTGGGGGTGGGGGACAGTCTTGCTCTGTCACCAGGCTGGAGTACAGTGACGTGATCTCGGCTCACTGCAACCTCCGCCTCTCGGGTTAAAGCGATTCTCCTGCCTCAGCCTCCCAAGCAGCTGAGACTACAGGCGTGTGCCACCATGCCCAGCTAGTTTTTGTATTTTTAGTAGAGATGGGGTTTCACCATGCTGACCAGGATGGTTTTGATCTCTTGACCTTGGGATCCGCCCACCTCAGCCTCCCAAAGTGCTGGGATTACAGGCGTGAGTCATTGCACCCGGTCGCAACTTGCTATACATTTCTTTTGTTTTGTTTGTTTGTTTGTTTTGTTTTTGTGGTTTTTTTGAGACAGAGTCTCGCTCTGTCACCCAGGCTGGAGTACAGTGGCGCGATCTCAGCTCACTGTAATCTCCATCTTCTAGGTTCAAGCAATTCTCCTGTCTCAACCTCCTTAGTAGCTATGATTACAGGTGTGTGCCACCACGCCCAGCCCTAAATTATCTTTGGTGAGTTTTTTTTTTTCCCCCACTATTGTAAGTATTTTTAGCTTCCAGGGCCAGAAAGCTTATGCATGAAAAAGGCAGGTCTACCAGAAGGTGGAGTACTCAGCTCTTTAGAAATTAGAGATCCAGGTGAGGTGGCTCACACCTGTAATCTCAGCAATTTGGGAGGCCAAGGCGGGCGGATCATGAGGTCAGGAGATAGAGACCATCCTGGCCAACATGGTGAAACCCTGTCTCTACTAAAAATACAAAAAAAAATTAGCCAGGCATGGAGGTGGGTGCCTGTAATCCCAGCTAATCGGGAGGCTGAGGCAGGAGAACCACTTGAACCCAGGAGGCAGAGGTTGCAATGAGCCGAGATTGCACCACTGCACTCCAGCCTGGTGACAGAGCAAGACTCCATCTTAAAAGAAAAAAAAAAAAGAAAGAAAGAAAGAATAAAGAAAGAAATCAGAGATCCCGGCTGGGCATAGTGGCTCACGCCTGTAATCCCTGCACTTTGGGAGGCTGAGGCAGGCGGATCACGAAGGCAGGAGTTCGAGACCAGCCTAGCCAACATAGTAAAACCCCGTTTCTACAGATCCCATTTTCATGTTGGATCTTGGGTCTCTCACAGCAGAGATGGTTTTGGCTCCAAGATCTGCTCAACCAACATAGCCAATAATTTTTCAATTTCTCTCCAAGCAGGTCAGACACCTGAGGCTTTTTTACCTAAATATGAAAAAAAAAAAAAGAAAAGAAAAAGAACCCACATACCTGTGATTTCCATAAGCTGGAGTTTATGCCTCCCTGCAGTAATAAACACTGACGGCAATTGTCAATTTCCTTTACGACTACGCCTTTTGGCCGGCCGTGGTGGCTCACGCCTGTAATCCCAGCACTTTGGGAGGCAGATCATTTGAGGTCAGGAGTTTGAGACCAGCCTGGCCAACATGGTGAAAGTCCATCTCTACTAAAAATAAAAAATTAGCCGGGTGTGGTGGCACGTGCCTTTAGTCCCAGCTACTGGGGAGGCTGAGGCAGGAGAATCGCTTGAACCTGGGAGGCAGGGGTTGCAGTGAGCCAAGATCAAGCCACTGCACTCAAACCCACCCAAAAAAAACAGGCTGGAGGATGGGATTTACAAGGGGAAACATTTTCTCCCACTCAGAACCATCCCTGCGCTGACGGGTGGACCTGGAGAATCTAGCCTTTCACTTAGGGTGAGAAAGCAACGTTCCGGCTTTATGTAGTGGTATTAATTCCAGTTCTCCATCCTTTGTAGGCTCTGGCCTATTTTCCTGTCCCTCCCCTATGTGGGTATTAAAATCTATGCCCCTAGATTACTGGGCTCATAATGACTCCCTGCATGACGTTTTTCCTGCCCTTCGCAGACATTACTTTAGTTCACTTCCTCACCACTCTAGTTGCAATCTTCATTTTGTTTTTGTTTTTGTTTTTGTTTTGAGATGGAGTCTCGCTCTGTCACCCAGGCTGGAGTGCAGTGGTGCGATCTTGGCTCACTGCAAGCTCCACCTCCCAGGTTCAAGCCATTCTCCTGCCTCAGCCTCCCAAGTAGCTGGGACACAGGCACCCGCCACCACACCTGGCAAATTTTTTGCATTTTTAGTAGAGACGGGGTTTCACCGTGTTAGCCAGGAGGGTCTCGATCTCCTGACCTT
Source organism: Homo sapiens (assembly GCF_000001405.40). Lineage (NCBI taxonomy): Eukaryota > Metazoa > Chordata > Mammalia > Primates > Hominidae > Homo > Homo sapiens. The sequence continues at coordinate 13,428,999 of NC_000001.11, forward strand.
GTAATCCACCCTCCTCGGCCTCCCAAAGTGCTGGGATTACAGGCGTGAGCCACCACGCCCGGCACAATCTTCATTTTGTTCTAGCACATAAATGCTTCTTTTTCTCTCTCTCATAGGCTCAGCTATGCATTAAAAGTAGGTTGTGGCCTGGCGCGGTGCCTCACACACTGACCACCTGTAGCCTCCCTATCAAAAATCCTTAACCCAGCAGGTTTCCTAACAGGGGATCGAAATCTTAATTAATTACCATACAAAGGTCCGACCAGATCTAGGAGGAACTCCCTTCAGGACAGGACGATAGATAGTTCCTCCTGGGTGATTAAGGGAAAAAGACACAGTGGGTATTCAGTAAGTGATAAGGAAACTCTTGTAGAAGCAGAGTTAGGAAAATTGCCTAATAACTGGTCTGCTCAAACATGTGAGTTGTTTGCACTCAGCCAAATCTTAAAGTACTTACAGACAGTAAGGAGACATCTATACCAATTTTAAGTTAATATGGACTGACCGAGGTCTTATTAATAGCAAAGAATAATTGAAATCCCAAACTTACAAGTTTTTCAACAAAAGTAAAGTTTGCTAAAAAAGTTAACAGTGTAACATGTATTATCCTAACTTCTAATCTTATGGAAATCAGACCCTATCTGTGCCCCTCAAAGCTCAAGTCTGTCAGCACAGAGCCATACAACTAATACCCCTACTTATAGGGTTAGGAATGGCTACTGCTACAGGAACCAGTTTACCTACTGCATTATCCTACTACCACACACTCTCAAAGGATTTCTCAGACAGTTTGCAAAAAATAACAAAATCTATCCTTACTTTACAATCCCAAATAGACTCTTTGGCAGCAGTGACTCTCCAAAACTGCCGAGGCCTAGACTTCCTCACTGCTGAGAAAGGAGGACTCTGCACCTTCTTAGGGGAAGAGTGTTGTTTTTACACTAACCAGTCAGGGATAGTACGAGATGCCACCTGGCATTTACAGAAAAAGGCTTCTGAAATCAGACAACGCCTTTCGAACTCTTATACCAACCTCTGGAGTTGGGCAACATGGCTTCTCCCCTTTCTAAGTCCCATGGCAGCCATCTTGCTGTTACTCGCCTTTGGACCCTGTATTTTTAACCTCCTTGTTAAATTTGTTTGCTCTAGAATCAAGGCCATCAAGCTACCAATGGTCTTACAAATGGAACCCCAAATGAGTTCAACTAACAACTTCTACTGAGGACCCCTGGACCAACCTGCTAGCACTTTCACTGGCCTAGAGAGCTCCCCTCTGGAGAACACTACAACTGCAGGGCCCCTTCATTGCTCCTATCCAGCAGGAAGTAGCTAGAGCTGTCATCGGCCAAATTCCCAACAGCAGTTGGGGTGTCCTGTTTAGAGGGGGGATTGAGAGGTGACAACATGCTAGCAGCCCTTGCTCGCTCTCAGCACCTCCTCAGCCTCAGTGTCTGCTCTGGCCATGCTTGAGGAGCCCTTCATTCCTTCACTGCACTGTGGGAGCCCCTCTCTGGGCTGGCCGAGGCCAGAGCCAGCTCCCTCTGGGGAGGTGTGGAGGGAGAGGCGTGGGCGGGAACTGGGGCTACGTGTGGTGCTCACAGGACAGCGCAAGTTCCAGGTGGGTACAGGCTAGGTGGGCCCTGAACTCAGAGTGGCCAGCCGGTGCCACCGGCCCCAGGCAGTGAGGGGCTTAGCACCCAGGCCAGCAGCTGTGGAGGGTGCACTGGGACCTCCCGCACTGCCGGCCCACCCACGCTGCACTTGAATTCTCCCTGCAAGCAGAGGGAGCGGGCTCTGGCCTCACCCAGCCCAGAGAGGGGTTCCTACAGTGCAGCGAAAGGCTGAAGGGCTCCTCAAGTGTGGCCAGAGTGGATGCCGAGGCCAAGGAGGAGCTGAGAGTGAGCGAGGGCTACTAGCACGTTGTCATCTCTCATTAGGAGAACAGAGCTGGGGACAGTGGTGGTGCAGGACAGGGCAAAGGAAGGAGCCATGCAAGGGCAGGTTTGCAGCTGGAGCTAGCTTCAGCCTGACCCCCCAGGAGCTGAAGCTATCTTCAGCCTCACCCCCCAGGAGCTCTGGAGCATGAATCTTAGCAGAGTTGGTCCCACCTGCAGGCCAGGGAGCTGCCCTTGTTAGTGAGTTACGGTGGTGGGATGCCTAGAGGTGAAGCTGCATAACCTCCCTGGCAAGGTGCTTTCACTTCTGCCAAGGATGATTTTCTAGAAGTGGGAGTGGGCACTGAGCCATTAGCAATCCACACCCACAGCAGTTAGGTGTGCCTAGTCCTGCAGATCTGGATGGGACAGTAAAGTTCACTGCACCTAAGGAAACCTGTCTCTCTGACCGAGGGGAAGGCTCTGTGGGCACTGCTGTGTGACACAGGGAGCAGACACCAGGTTCTCAGGACAAAGGACTATAACAGTAGTATCAATAGTCAATGTCATTCCACGATTTAGGGCCTGGGCACCCAAACCATTGGAGAAAGCTGCAACATGCAAAGGGAAACTGGGTTTCAAGAAGACACTTTTTTAAAAAATGAGGCCGGGCACAGTGGCTCACACCTGTAATCTCTGCACTTTGGGAGACCAAGGTAGGTGGATCACCTGAGGTCAGGAGTTCAAGACCAGGCTGGCCAATGGGGTGAAACCCCATCTCTACTAAAAATATAAAATTAGGCCAGGCGCAGTGGCTCATGCCTGTAATCCCGGCACTTTGGCAGGCCAAGGCAGGTGGATCACGAGGTCAGGAGTTCAAGACCAGCCTAGCCAAGATAGTGAAACCCCATCTCTACTAAAAATACACAAAAATTAGCTGGGTGTGGTGGCCAGTGCCTGTAATCCCAGCTACTCAGGAGGCTGAGGCAGAGAGTTGCTTGAACTCAGGAGGCGGAGGTTGCAGTGAGCCGAGATCATGCCACTGCACTCCAGCCTGGGTGACAGAGCAAGACTTCATCTAAAAAAAAAAAAAAAAATTAGCCAGGCGTGGTGGCATATGCCTGTGATCCCAGCTATTCGGGAGGCTGAGGCAGGAGAATGGCTCGAATCTGGGAGGCAGAGGTTGCAGTGAGCTGAGATTGAGCCATTGCACTCCAGCCTGGGTAACAAGAGCAAAACTCCATCTAAAAGAAAAAAAAAATTAGCAACGTGGAGGAGGTAATCACTTCTCAGTGAATCTCTCTTTAAACATTTACATATTCATGAAAGGGCACAGGAGGTTGTCTGAAAGTTAATTCATTGTCAAAACATAGTATTTTTTTCCTCCACTTAACATTGTGTGGTCTGACTCCATGTCTGCAACATCTTCATGCAATCCAGCAGCTCCTGCATGAGAAATATTCTATTAACTTTCCATCATTGGCTGGCCCTGGTGCCAGCTTCCTATTTGACAGTGAAATCTGTTAGAGCAGATACGTGACCTACTTTGATGTGGCTACGGACAGACGCTCCAACCTCCTGGAACATTCAAAACCTTCTTTTGTCCCTGGAGGGAAAAAGTTAGCACAGCTACTCCAGTTGACTTTAATGAGTGGCTCCTACCCACAGTATTTCTCCAAAAAGTTTTCAGCCTTGTATGACCCCTTATTAACCAGGAAAAAGAAATGACAACAGAAGAGCATGTTTTGAATATTTACCACTTTTCTCCCTTTGCTCCTTCCTTCAGAAGGGAGATCTGCATTACTTTTAATCCTTGGTAAGCATGGAACATAACTTACCATATCCACCTCTTCTAGTTTGAATCCTTGATTTTTATTGTTACTCTGTTCAGGACAAAGAAGCAAACTCCAGATACTTAGAGTCAAAGAAGGGAGGAGAAGGCGTAAAGAGTTTTTTTTGTTTGTTTTTTGTTTGTTTGTTTTGGAGATGGAATTTTGCTTTGTTGCCCAGGCTGGAGTGCAGTGGCGCTGTGTCCAGAATTGGTGGGTTCTTGGTCTCTCTGACTTCAAGAATGAAGCTGCGGACCCTCGCGGTGAGCGTTACAGTTCTTAAAGGTGGTGTGTCCGGAGTTTGTTCCTTCTGATGTTCGGACATGTTCAGAGTTTCTTCTTTCTGGTGGGTTCATGGTCTCGCTGGCTTCAGGAGTGAAGCTGCAGACCTTCACAGTGAGTGTTACAGCTCATAAAGGCAGTGTGGACCCAAAGAGTGAGCAGCAGCAAGATTTATTGCAAAGAGCAAAAAAACAAAGCTTCCACAGTGTGGAAGAGAACCCCACTGGGTTACCACTGCTGGCTCAGGCAGCCTGCTTTTATTCTCTTATCTGGCCCCACCCACATCCTGCTGATTGGTCCATTTTACAGAGAGCCAATTGGTCTGTTTTACAGAGAGCTGATTGGTCCATTTTGACAGGGTGCTGATTGGTGCATTTACAATCCCTGAGCTAGACACAAAAGTTCTACAAGTCCCCACTAGATTAGCTAAATACAGAGTGCTGATTGGTGTATTTACAAACCCTGAGCTAGACACAGAGTGCTGATTGGTGCATTTACAAACCTTGAGCTAGATGCAGAGTGCCGATTGGTGTATTCACCTTATAACCCTTATGACCTTATAACCTTATTCACCTTATAACCCTTAGCTAGACATAAAGGTTCTCCAAGTCCCCACCAGATCAACTAGATACAGAGCGCTGATTGGTGCATTTACAAACCTTGAGCTAGACCCAGGATGCTGATTGGTGTGTTTACAAACCTTGAGCTAGATACAGAGTGCTGATTGGTGTATTTATAACCCTTAGCTAGACATAAAGGTTCTCCAAGTCCCCACTAGACTCAGGAACCCAACTGGCTTCACCCAGTGGATCCCACACCGGGGCCGCAGGTGGAGCTGCCTGCCAGTCCCGCACCTTGCGCCTGCACTCCTCAGCCCTTGGGCGGTCGATGGGACTGGGTGCTGTGGAGCAGGGGGCGGCTCTCATCGGGGAGGCTCAAGCTGTGCAGGAGCCCATGGTCGGGGGTGCTCAGGCATGGCAGGCTGCAGGTCCCAAGCCCTGCCCCGCAGGGAGGCAGCTAAGGCCTGGCGAGAAATTGAGTGCAGCACCAGTGGGCCTGCACTGCTGGGGGACCCAGTGCACCCTCCGCAGCTATGGCCCAGGTGCTAAGCCCCTCACTGCCAGGGGACAGCGGGGACGGCCGGGCCGGCTGGCCTCTCCAAGTGCAGGGCCCGAGCCCACGCCCACCCGGGATTCACGCTGGCCCACAAGCACCGCACGCAGCCCCGGTTCCCACCCACACCTCTCCCTCCACACCTCCCCGCAAGCTGAGGGAGCCGGCTCCTGCCTCGGCCAGCCCAGAGACGGGCTCCCACAGTGCAGCGGCGGGCTGAAGGGCCCCTCAAGTGCGGCCAGAGTGGGCACCGAGCCCGAGGAGGCCCTGAGAGTGAGCGAGGGCTGCCAGCACGCTGTCACCTCTGAGCTCTATCTCCACTCACTGCTACCTCAGCCCCCCGGGTTCAAGTGATTCTCCTGCCTAAGCCTCTTTGCCAAAGTGCTAAGATTATAGGCTTGACCCACCGCACGCGGCCCTTATCCGCCAGGTTTGTGCAGGGCAGTGAGGCAGGAGAATAGGGTTGGAGGCAGGGAACCTAAGGCCAATTCATGATGACTTCCTAGAACTAAATCAAAAGGAAAACCCCAACTTTCCACACCCAAGTAACAAAAGGATCAGAGGCTACTCCCTTTGCCACCCCCACCCTCTTTTTCCATGTGGCTAAAGAAAAATGGAAAGTACCTCTGATTGGTCCCCTCCCAAAACCAATCAAGCTGGTGGTGGGCCAAATCTTCATTTGCATAAGGCATAATTTTGTAATTTCACTTCAGCCTCTGACTGGTCCCTTCCCACAACCAATCAGACTGATTGTGGGCCATTACTTCGTTTACATAGGGTGTACACCAAGTAACCAATGGAAAACCTCTAGATGGTATTTAAACCCCAGAAAATTCTGTAAGCAGGCTTTTCGGCCATTTGCTTAGGCGTGCTTTCTACGCTGTGAAGTGTGCTTTTGTTTTCAATAAATCTCTGCTTTCATTGCTTCATTCTTTTCCTGCTTTGTTTATGTGTTTTGACCAATTCTTTGTTCAAAACACCAAGAACCTGGACACCCTCCACTGGTAACAGAAGTAAAAGGGAACCGTTAACTTTGAAAAGTCAAATGCCATTTCCAAGGTCAGAGAAAAGGATGAGAATTGTTCGCACTTCAGAATTCTAATCTAGTTCTCTGTACAGCCAGGCTTTTTTTTTTTTTTTTTAACTTACTTATGCCTAATTCAGCCTATATTGTGGTGTCATCAGAGAACATTATACAAGACTAAGTGACGGTGGAATTTGTTTTGTTTTGTTTTTGCAGGGGCTCAAAATTGATTTTCCATGTTGTCATTTGCTGGAGCTGTACTGAAGAGGATCTGGTCAGTCTGATAAATAAGTTAATTAAGCAGACAGCTTTTTCCCCCCTTCTCATTGCTCTATACATGGATTTGGACAAACCCTTTCAGTTTCTCAGAAATTCTTTTTGCTAACAAATAGCTCCTTTCTGGTTTCTGCTTTCTGAATAAATATGTATGCAGGTTGGTTTGTCCAAATGCACTTCAGGTCTATTTAAGGCGCTGCCTGATCACAGATTGGGAGGAGTGTCAGAGAGAGATAAATCAAAGAGCTGTCACCTTCCGCGGCAGCACATTGCAAGGGACATTAGCTCACCTCCAAACCAGACAGAGGTGGCCTGTCTCTATCTGGGTAAAATCTCCCACTGCTGGAGGTTGGGGTGGGAGTTGGGACAAGGAGCTGTAATTGTCTGCATCAACCTTGGCTCTGGGGAGCTGACAGCCAGGGGACCTCTCCTCTCTGTCTGGAGTTCTCTCCCTGCACCCTCCCCCACATTTCCTTGTAGTACATTGGTTCCTTCTGGTCCTCCAGGTCTCAGCTTCGGTGCCACCTCCTCAGAGAAGCCCTCCCTGACCACCTCCACTGTTCCCACCACTCACCCTGTTGATTTCCTCCACAGAACAAAGGTATCTCAGTTTGCCACGATGCACACTCTTGTTTCTTCCAGATGGCCAGCTCTAGGAAGGCAGGGGCTCACCCATCATATTCATCCGTACTGACCATCCACGCTCAGGTTTCAGGAATTTGAGTGGCTCCGTGGGAACAGCATCTCTGCTCCTCAATGTCTGGGGCCTCATGTGGGGAGCCCTGAACGGCTCCACTGGGGTCATTTGTGTGTGACCTGGTCTTCTCCATGAGGTGTCTACAGTGCTGAAGTGTCCAGGAGCTCCTTTGCTCACGAGCCTGGCTTCTTGGTGCTCCTGGTTTCTTCCTGTCTCTTTCCATGTGGCTTGTACCCACCAGGGTCTGCCCCACCTCTGGTGGCTGGGTTTCTCACAGCCTGGTGGTCTCAGGGTAGCCAGGCTTCATATACGATGCCAGATTTGAAGGGGCAAGAAGCAGAGCCTGCTAGGCCAGGTAGGCTCTTCCCCCGAAGCTGACCCAGCCTCACTTCTCCATATACTATTAGTCAGAGCCGTCCCAGGGCCGCCCCACACCCAAGGCCGACCTGCCTCTTGATGGGGCCATGGCAGAATCATTTTGCAGAAGGGCATGTGGGGTGGGAACTATTACTGCAGCCATTTTTGGAAACTTCAATCTGTAACATAGAAAGTGGAGGGAAGGGGCCGGGTGCGGTGGCTCATGCCTGTAATCCCAGCACTTTGGGAGGCCGAGGTAGGCAGATCACCTGAGGTCAGGAGTTCGAGACCAGCCTGGCCAGCATGGTGAAACCCTGTCTCTACTAAAAATACAAAAAATTAGCCAGGCATGATGGTGCATGCCTGTAATCCCAGCTACTCGGGTGGCTGAGGCTGAAGAATCACTTGAACCCAGGAGGCGGAGGTTGCAGTGAGCTGAGATTGCACCACTGCACTCCAGCCCGGGAAACAGAGCAAGACTGTATCTCAAAAAAAAAGAAAAGAAAGTGGAGGGAAGGGCTGGGCATGATGGCTCACGCCTGTAATCCCAGCACATTGGGAGGCTAAGGTGGGCGGATCACCAGAGGTCAGGAGTTTGAGACCAGCCTGGCCAATATGGTGAAACCCTTTCTCTACTAAAAATACAAAAATTTAGCCAGGTGTGGTGCACATGCCTGTAATCCCAGCTACTCGGGAAGCTGAAGCAGGAGAATTGCTTGAACCTTGAACCCAGGTGGCGGAGGTTGTAGTGAGCCGAGATCACACCACTGCACTCCAGCCTGGGTGACAGAGCAAGACACTGCCTCCAAAAAAAAAAAAAAAAGAAAAAAAAAGAAAAAAAGAAAAGTGAAGGAAAGAAATGCAAGGTACTTCGAGGAGGTAGCCTCAGTAAAACAACAGTGTAGTAACAGGAGGTAGAGAGGTGAACACCCATGTGGGGAAAATGATGAATCTAGATAGGAAAAATGCTTCATAAAATAAATATTATTTTTGAAGTTTGGAGGAGGTGTTATTGAAACATCAGTTCAGCCTAGGTTCTGCTGCTCACTGCACAGAAAGTCAATCACTGAGTCAATTTTTGCCAAGAAAGAAGGCTTTAATTAGGTGCTGAAGCTGAGGAAATGGGAGCTGGGTCTCAAATCCATCTCCCTGACTAAAACTAAAACAAGGGCTTCATATAGCAAGGAAGAAATGTAGCAATAGGTAAAAAAAGAGGAACTAGGGAGGAGCAAGGAAGCAATCATGATGAATGAGGGATCCAGTGTCTCATTGTCTGGATTTGGTGATCTGGTGAGTTTCAGTTCTTTGATACCTTTTTTTTTTTTTTTTTAAGAGGACTGGAGGAAAGAACTCACATAAAACAAATGTGAGTTTCGGCCAGGCGCAGTGGCTCACGCCTGTAATCCCAGCACTTTGGGCGGGTAGATCACCTGAGGTTGGGAGTTGGAGACCATCCTGACTAACATGGAGAAACCCTGTCTCTACTAAAACTACAAAATTAGCTGGGCGAGGTGGTGCATGCCTGTAATCCCAGCTACTCAGGAGGGTGAGGCAGGAGAATCGTTTGAACCCAGGAGGTGGAGGTTGCGGTGAGTCGAGATTGCGCCATTGCACTCCAGCCTGGGCAACAAGAGTGAAAATCTGTCTCAAAAAATCAACAACAACAACAAAAAACAAATGTGAGTTTCAAGCTGTAAAACCAGAATGGTTAATTTCTATGTTATCCAAAAAACCATCTATGGGACTATTTGGTTGGTTTCAGAGAAAGAAATTACTTGTATCTAGGGGCAGAGAAGGCAACTGCATTTGGTTGTACAGGTTGTGCACTGCACAAGGGTGTAGCATTTCCAACTGCATGCAGCAAGCCCTGCAGAGGAGAATCCAGGAAAATTCATAGAAGAGGCGGCACTTGAGACTAAGATTTCAAAGGGTGTAAGAGGTTGGCAGATGGCATTCTAGGAAGAAGGAAAAGTACAGGGAGCGCTACAGAAGTGGGGGCCCATGGGTGGTTACGGTTGTGTGAGCGCTCTGCTTTTGGGAAAGACAGTAACTTGTGATAAGACTCAAAAAGGGGCTTCAGGAAAGATCACGGGAGGCCTTGAATGCCAGGTTCAAACCGCAGTTTATTCTCTCAGCCTGGGGTCAGCCAATTACAGCCCATGGGCCAAATCTAGCCTATAGCCTGTTAGAATAAGACCTGTGAACTAAAGCTAGACACAGAAAGACGAATACTATATGATCTCATTTATATGTAGAATCTAAAATAGTCACACTCATAGAAGCAGAGAGTAAAATGGCGGTTGCCATGGACGAGGGGGGAGGGGAGATGGGGAGGTGATGGTCAAAGAGGATGAAGTTTCAATTATGCAAGACAAATCAGTTCTGGAGATCTACTATATTGCATAGTGCCTGTAGCTAACAGCACTGTACTGTGTCCTTAAAATGTGCTAACGAAGGTCGGGTGAGGTGGCTCACACCTGTAATCCCAGTACTTTGGGAGGGTAAGGCAGGCAGAGTGCTTGAGCTCAAGAGTTCGAGGCCAGCCTGAGACATAGCGAGACCCCATCTCTACCAAACATGCAAAAATTAGCTGGGCCGGGTGTGGTGGCTTACGCCTGTAATCCCAGCACTTTGGGAGACCGAGGAGGTAGTGAGAGGTGACAGCGTGCTGGCAGTCCTCACAGCCCTCGCTCGCTCTCGGCGCCTCCTCTGCCTGGGCTCCCACTTTGGCGGCACTTGAAGAGCCCTTCAGCCCGCCGCTGCACTGTGGGAGCCCCTTTTGGGGCTGGCCAAGGCCGGAGCCGGCTCCCTCAGCTTGCAGGGAGGTGTGGAGGGAGAGGCGCGGACGGGAACCGGGGCTGCGCGCAGTGCTTGCGGGCCAGCGGCGAGTTCCGGGTGGGCGTGGGCTCCGCCGGCCCCGCACTCTGAGCCGCGGGCTGATGGCCCGGGCAGTGAGGGGCTTAGCACCTGGGCCAGCAGCTGCTATGCTCAATTTCTCGCCGGGCCTTAGCTGCCTTCCCGCCGGGCAGGGCTCGGGACCTGCAGCCCGCCATGCCTGAGCCTCCCCACCCCCCGCCCGCCACCCCGTGGGCTCCTGTGCGGCCCAAGCCTCCCCGACGAGCGCGGCCCCCTGCTCCACGGCGCCCAGTCCCATTGACCACCCAAGCGCTGAGGAGTGTGGGCGCAGGGCGCGGGACTGGCAGGCAGCTCCACCTGCGGCCCCGGTAGGGGATCCACTGGGTGAAGCCAGCTGGGCTCCTGACTGGTGGGGACTTGGAGAACCTTTATGTCTAGCTAGGGGATTGTAAATACACCAATTGGCACTCTGTATCTAGCTCAAGGTTTGTAAACACACCAATCAGCACCCTGTGTCTAGCTCAGGGTTTGTGAATGCACCAATCCACACTCTGTATCTAGCTACTCTGGTGGGGACTTGGAGAACCTTTGTGTCCACACTCTGTATCTAGCTAATCTAGTGGGGATGTGGAGAACCTTTGTGTCTAGCTCAGGGATTGTAAACACACCAATCAGCACCCTGTCAAAACAGACCACTGGGCTCTCTGTAAAATGGACCAATCAGCAGGATGTGGGTGGGGCCAAATAAGAGAATAAAAGCAGGCTGCCTGAGCCAGCAGGGGCAACCTGCTCTGGTCCCCTTCCAGGGTGTGGAAGCTTTGTTCTTTCGCTGTTTGCAATGAATCTTGCTGCTGCTGTTTGGGTCCACGCTACCTTTATGAGCTGTAACACTCACCACGAAGGTCCGCAGCTTCACTCCTGAGCCAGTGAGACCACGAACCCCACCAGAAGGAAGAAACTCCGAACACATCCAAACATCAGAAGGAACAAACTCCAGACACGCCGCCTTTAAGAACTGTAACACTCACTGCGAGGGTCCGTGGCTTCATTCTTGAAGTCAGTGAGACCAAGAACCCACCAATTCTGGACACAGTAGGACGGCTTGAGACCAGGAGTTTGAGACCAGCCTGGCCAACATGGTAAAACCCCATCTCTACTAAAAAACACAAAAATGAGCTGGCCATGGTGGTGCATGCCTGTAGTCCCAGCTACTCAGGAGGCTAAGGCACGAGAATCACTTGAACCCAGGAGGTGGAGGTTGTAGTGAGCAGTGATCACACCACTGTACTCCAGCCTGGGTGACAGAGCAAGACTCTGTCTCAAAAAAATAAAATAAAATAATAATTGGCCAGGCATGGTAGTGCATGCCTGTGGTCCCAGGAGGCTAAGTTGGGAGGTTGGCTTCATCCTGGAAGGCAGAGATTGCAGTGAGCTGTGATAGCACCACTGCACTCCAGCCTGCACTCTACAGAGCCAGACCCTGTCCCAAAAAAATAAATAAATAAATTGCTAAGAGGGTAAGTCTTAAGTGTTAACACATACGCATTATTATTTATCAAATAATATATGTTATGTATATATTATTTATCAAATAATAATGATAAAGGGACTGGGAGGAAACTTAGGTGACAGAAATGTCATTGACCTTGATGGTGGTGATGGTTTCACGGATTCACACTTATTCCCAAACTCACCAAGTTGTGTGTACAGCTTTTTACATGTCCATCATACAACGATCAAGAGATTTTTTTAAAAAAAATAAATAGTTGTAAAAACAAAACAAGAAATTATCAACAGAGATAGCAGATGGCTGACAAAGCCTAAAATATTGACTATCTGACTTTTTACAGGAAGAGTCTCGGAAGGTTCCACTGCTGTGTTTGACAGAGTGATTTGATGATGGATTCATCAGACACAGGAGAATAGAGGAGGCTGGGAGACCAGGTAAGATGCTGCTGTACTTATCCTAGTTCCAGCAAGGGAGAGCTTGAGCTAGGGGGGGTGGTGGCGGCCAGACCGCCAGACAAATGAGCCCACCAGGACCAGGTGCCTGTTGTCTCGTTGTGGCTGATAGGATTGCTTTCTTCGCCATCACCATCATCCCTTACAGGGAGATGAGGGACGTGCCACAAGGCTCCCCATTCTATTGGGTCCCCCATCTCCAACTTGCATCAAAAGTTCTTCATCAAGTTCTATTCAAGATTTTTTTAGTGATGTTTTGCTAAAAATAGATTCAGTTGGAAATCACTGGTAGAAAAGACATGGTCGGCCAGGCGCAGTGGCTCACGCCTGTAATCCCAGCACTTTGGGAGGCCGAGGCGGGCAGATCACAAGGTCAGGAGATGGAGACCATCCTGGCTAACACGGTGAAACAGCGTCTCTACTAAAAAATAGAAAAAATTAGCCAGGCATGGTGGCGGGTGCCTGTAGTCCCAGCTACTTGGGAGGCTGAGGCAGGAGAATGGTGTGAACCTGGGAGACAGAGCTTGCAGTGAGCCGAGATCCTGCCACTGCACTCCAGCCTGGGCAACACAGCGAGACTGTGTCTCAGAAAAAAAAAAAAAAGAAAAGAAAAGACATGGTCCCCCTTTCATTTCCAGGAGCTGAAGGAGCTATTTTGTTGTTGCTGTTGTTGTCGTTATTTTTTGAGAGCGTCTCACTCTGTCGCCCAGGCTGAAGTACAGTGGTGAAATCTTGGCTCACTGCAATCTCTGCCTCCTGGGTTCAAGTTATTCTCCTGTCTCAGTCTGCTGAGTAGCTGGGATTCCAGGCGTGGCACGCCCGGCTAATTTTTGTATTTTTATTAGAGTTGGATGTTTCACCGTGTTGGCCAGGCTGATCTCGAACATCTGACCTGAAGTGACCTGCCCACCTTGGTTTCCCAAAGTGCTAGGATTACAGGCGTGAGCCACCACACTCAGCCATCAGAGGAGCTGTTTCTAACAAAGAACTGCCAAGGAATTCTATCTTCCTGCCCGCTCTCTCCAGAGCTCTTGGCTTCTGGGTGGTTCTAGGTGTTGATGGTAGGACAGCATGGCATAGTGGCCTCTGAATGGATGTATCTCACTGGGCACCCAGTTTCCCCTGTGAGCACGAGTGCTCCCCAAGGGAAAAACAGGCATAGAAGGGCCTGTCTGGGATGGAGGTTTGGAAGGTGTATGAAAGGTACCTGGCTTGTGGCAGCAGGAGCTCACCAGGTAATTATTATTATTATTTTATTATTATTATTATTATTTTCATCTTCTTCATGGCTGACATCAGCCTAACACGTGTGTCTATAGCCACATGACTTGAAGAATACCAGGGTTTAAAGAGATCTGAGCAGGCCAGGTGCAGTGGCTCACACCTGTAATCCCAGCACTTTGGGAGGCCGAGGCCGGCAGATCACTTGAGGTCAGGAATTCGAGACCAGCCTGGCCAACATGGTGAAACCCTGTCTCTACTAAAAATAAAAAAAGTTAGCCAGTCATGGTGGCACATGCCTGTAACATCAGCTACTCGTGAGGCTGAGGCAGGAGAGTCACTTGAACCTGGGAGGCAGAGGTTGCAGCGAGCCGAGATCCTGCCACTGCACTCCAGCCTGGGCAACAGAGCAACACTCTGTCTCAAAAAATAAAAATAAATAAATAAATAAAATTAAAGAGATCTGAGCAATGTGAATCCCCAGGGCCTGAACGCAGCCCCATCTCCATAGTGATTTCTAGCAATTAGGTTGGGGCCCAGTTGGAATGGGCTGCCTTGCAAAATGTTGCAGGTGAGAGGCCAAGGTGGACGGATCACTTGAGGTCAGGAGTTTGAGACCAGCCTGGGCAACAGGGTGAAACCCTGTCTCTACCAAAAATATAAAAATTAAGCCGGGTGCGTTCCTGTAATCCCAGCTACCGGGGAGGCTAAGGCGGGAGAATTGTTTGAACCCAGGAGGTGGAGATTGCAGTGAGCCGAGATCATGCCACTGCACTCTGGCCTAGGTGACAGAACGAGACTCCATCTCAAATAATAATAATAATAATAATAATAATAATAATAATAATGTTGCAGGTGGTGTTCAGGCAGAAACCGTGCCACATCACCAATTATCAATGGCCAACTCCACCCAGAAATCCAGAGGGCAGAGCAGCCGGTTCCCTTTGGGAGGGTGAAATCCCAATGAGTAGGAATACTTAGAATCATGTAGAGCCATCATCTTCTACTTGCTGGCTCTGGGCTTCCCGCAGCTATTCTGATTTTGCTTCTATCTCAATGTTTCCCCCACGTCTTTTCTTCCAGACTAAACATGAATTCTTTCTGCATTTGCTGTCTGCTGTTTGCATATTCTCCGGTGGTGAATATCTTTTTGTTCTTTCTGTCAGGACCTGCTTGTAAAGGGACTTGCTAGCCAGTTCCTGAGGCTGGGGGTGGGCTGCCAGCTGCCGGTTTTGTGTAAAGATGAATGATTGCAGGACTTCTGTGAGGCACAAGGAGAAAGGGGAGACAGCAGCCATCAATCCTCGATTATATATAACTGTCCACCCGCAGCTGAACCAGCCGTGCCAGGGCCCAGGCAGCTTTGCTCGTTTTTTCTAAGGCCCCACTCCAGAGGGTGGGGCTGGAGAGAGTGGGAGACAGGGTTCTAGGTCCCTCTGCTCAGCAGGGCTGAATGCTTAGCTTCTCAGAACAAAATTCTCTGCCTTGCTACTTACATCTTGTTCTTTGAATTTATCCCACCTCTTTCTTCAGCTTGGAGAGGGGCAAGAGGGAGAAGTTAGGTTGAACAGAACTGAGCTGAAGCACAGTCATTGGCTGTGTGACTTTGGGGAAGCCACTTAACCTCTCTGAGCTGATTTTTCCATCTGTTAAATGAGCTTAAATATTTATCTTTTGGCTGGGCGTGGTGGCTCACGCCTGTAATCCCAGCACTTTGGGAGGCCGAGGCAGGCAGATCACGAGGTCAGGAGATCAAGACCATCCTGGCTAACACAGTGAAACCCCGTCTCTACTAAAAATACAAAAAACTAGCCGGGCGTGGTGGCAGGCGCCTGTAGTCCCAGCTACTCAGGAGGCTGAGGCAGGAGAATGGAGTGAACCCGGGAGGCGGAGCTTGCAGTGAGCCGAGATCACAGCACTGCACTCCAGCCTGGGTGACAGAGCGAGACTCCGTCTCAAAAAAAAAAAATATTTCTCTTTCATAGGAGTATTGTAAGGATTAAATGAGTTATGTGTGTATCTGTATATGTATACATGTGTGTATATACACAGTTGATTCTTCTTATTTGAAGTCATCGTATTTTCTTCTTTTTTTTTTCTGAGATGGAGTCTTGCTCTGTTGCCCAGGCTGGAGTGTAGTAGCACAATCTCGGCTCACTGCAAGCTCTGCCTCCCGGGTTCACGCCATTCTCCTTCCTCAGCTTCCTGAGTAGCTGGGACTACAGGTGCCCACCACCACAGCCAGCTAATTTTTTTGTATTTTTTTAGTAGAGACCGGGTTTCACCATGTTAGCCAGAATAGTCTTGATCTCCTGACCTCGTGATCTGCCCGCCTCAGCCTCCCAAAGTGCTGGGATTACAGGCGTGAGCCACCATGCCCGGCCAAAGTCATCATGTTTTATAAAGTCATCTTGAACACTAATTATGAAATACTATACTTGTTTCCCTAGGAGAAACATAGGGCTAGGTTCTTTGAGCCTCTGGTTACATTTTTATCTATCAGTACACAGCCTTGTTTTATGTATGTTACTGTTTAAAAATACCTTATTTAGTATATATTGTTGCTTCATTAATGTTGAACTTGCTTACAGCATAACTCACGCCTGGATAAAATTTTTTTTTTGTTTCTTTCTCTCTCTCTTTTTTTTTTTTTTTTTGGCAGGGTCTCACAATGTTGCCCAGGCTGGTCATGAACTTATGGGCTTAAGTGATCCTACTGCCTTGACCTCCCAAAGTGTTGGGCTTACAGGCATGAGCCACCATGCCTGGCCTGGATGAAGCTTTTCTAACACACATATTTTCTCCATAAGGAACATCTCCAGCTTCTTGCACTTAGGAACACTAGTCAGCACTTCACATGCATAGGGGGCATTTTCTTTTTAGTTTTCCTTTTCTTTTTTTTGAGACGGAATCTCTCTCTGTCGCCCAGGCTGGAATGCAGTGGCGCCATCTCGGCTCACTGCAACCTCCACCACCCAGGTTCAAGCAATTCTCTGCCTCAGCCTACCGAGTAGCCGGAATTACAGGCGCGCCACTGCACCTGGCTAATTTTTGTATTTGTAGTAGAAATGGGATTTCACCATATTGGCTAGGCTGGTCTCAAACTCCTGACCTCGTGATCTGCCTGCCTCGGTCTCCCAAAGTTCTGGGGTTAACAGGCGTGAGCCACCATGCTCGGCATAACTTTGAAATTTAAATCTGCATCTTCTGCTTTGGATGCCTCAATGGGGAAGTCCTGAGGAAGCTCAGAGACATTGAATACTGGTTTCACTGGGCAACAGTTTGGTGGAACCACTGTGAGCCCCTGAGAGCGGCCCACTCTGCTGAATGGGACAAGTTAACTTCAGGTGGGCACATTTTTGGATGGTGGGGATGAAGCTACTCAGGATATTCTCTTTTCTTTGATGAACTTGTCAGCTAACTTACTCTGGGGTTCTTTTGGGTTTTTTTCTGTCATCACACAGTGAGAACTCTGGGATTCTAATTCTTTCATGTAGCAAGTATTTATTGATTGCCTGTTATGTGCCAGGACTGTGCTAATCCAAATAGCATAGTAGGCTGGGTGCGGTGGCTCGTGCCTATAATCCCAGCACAGTGGGAGTCGGAGGCAGGTGGATTGCTTGAGCCCAGGAGTTCGAGACCAGCCTGGCCATCATAGCAAAACCCCATTTCTACTAAAAATACAAAAATTAGCCAGGCATGGTGGTGCACACCTGTAATCCCAGCTGCTAGGGAGGCTGAGGCATGAGAATCATTTGAACCCAGGAGGCAGAGTTTGTAGTGAGCCATGATCACACCACTGCACTCCAGCCTGGCCCACAGAGTGAGACTCTTGCCTCAAAAACAAAATAAAGCCGGGTGCGGTGGCTCATGCCTGTAATCCCAGCACTTTGGGAGGCCAAGGCGGGCAAATCACCTGAGGTCAGGAGTTTGAGAACAGCCTGGCCAACATGGTGAAACCCCGTCTCTATTAGAAATACAAAAAAATTAGCCAGGCATGGTGGCATGTGCCTGTAGTCCCAGCAACTCAGGAAGCTGAGGCACCAGAATTGCTTGAACCTGGGAGGCAGAGGTTGCAGTGAGCTGAGATTGCGCCACTGCACTCCAGCCTGGGCGTCGGAGCGAGACTCCATCTTAAAAACAAAAAGCAAACAAAAAACAATCAGCACAGTGGACAAGACAGAGCTAGTCCTGTCTTCAGTAATCTCCTCCTGCAGGGAGGAGGGATGTTCAACAAATGATATGGCATTGATTAAGTACAGTAGTGAGGCGGGTAGATCACTTGAGGTCAGGAGTTCGAAACCAGCCTGGACAACATGGCATAACCCCGTCTCTACCAAAAATTGCCTATATTGCACCATTGCACTCCAGCCTAGGCAACAGAGTGAGATTCGTCTCAAAAATAAATAAATAAAAATAAACAAAAAATTTTTTAATGAAAATATGTGCATCAAGGTATGTTTCTACTTCTGGAGGTCTATGTAGTCTTCTTTTTTTTTTTTCTTTTTTTTTTTTGAGATAGAGTTTCACTCTTGTTGCCCAGGCTGGAGTGCAATGGCGTGATCTCAGCTCACCACAACTTCCGCCTCCCGGGTTCAAGCAATTCTCTTGCCTCAGCCTCGCGAGTAACTGGGATTACAGGCGTGTGCCACCACGCCCAGCTAATTTTGTATTTTTAGTAGAGACTGGGTTTCTCCATGTTGGTCTGGCTGGTCTCTAGCTCCCAACCTCAGGTGATCCACCCACGTTGGCCTCCCAAAGTGCTGGGATTACAGGTGTGAGTCACCGCGCCCAGCCCAATAGTCTTCATTTTTTAATTAATTTTTTTTGAGACCGAGTCTTGCTCTGTTGCCCAGGCTGGAGTGCAGTGGCGCGATCTTGGCTCACTGCAACCTCTGTCTCCTGGTTAAAGTGATTCTCCTGCCTCAGCCTCCCAAGTAGCTGGGATTACAGGGGCACACCACCACACCTGGCTAATTTTTTTTTTTTTTATTAGAGACAGGGTTTCACCATGTTAGGCAGGCTGGTCTTGAACTCCTGACCTCAAGTGATCCATCTGCCAAAGCCTCCCAAAATGTTGTGATTACAAATGTTTGCGCCACCATGCCCGGCCAATGTAGTCATTTATCCTGGTGGATTAAAACTGAACCAGGGAGGTACCAGTCAGTGGCTTCGTTATCATCAAATTGATGACTAAGGTCAACCTTTTAGAATCTTCTAGAATAAATATGTCTTACACCTCTAACCAAATACACAGGTTTTTAAAAAAAACAAATCTATAACATAGGCCGGGCACAGTGGCTCATGCCTGTAATCCCAGCACTTTGGGAGGCTGAGGCGGGCGCGTCACCTGAGAGCAGAAGTTTGAGGCCAGCCTGACCAACATGGAGAAACCCTATCTCAAAAATACAAAAATTAGGCCAGGGGCGGTGGCTCACACCTGTAATCCCAGCACTTTGGGAGGCCGAGGTGGGAGGATCACGAGGTCAGGAGATCGAGACCATCCTGGGTAACACAGTGAAACTCCGTCTCTACTAAACATATAAAACATTAGCCGGTGGGCACCTGTAGTCCCAGTTACTCAGGAGGCTGAGGCAGGAGAATGGCATGAACCCAGGAGGCAGAGCTTGCAGTGAGCCGAGATCGCGCTACTGCACTCCAGCCTGGGTGACAGAGTGAGACTCCGTCTCAAAAAAAAAAAAAAGTACAAAAATTAGCCAGGCGTGGTGGTGCATGCCTGTAATCCCAGGTACTTAGGAGGCTGAGGCAGGAGAATCGCTCAAACCCAGGAGGCGGAGGTTGCAGTGAGCTGAGATCGTGCCATTGCACTCCAGCCTGGGCAACAAGAGCAAAATTCTGTCTCAAAAAAAAAAAAAAAAATCTGTAACATGTAGTTTCCTAAAACAAACATTCATAGATTGTAAGTCACAGTCCTTACATCTATCATTATTATAAGAAAGAGGTTCAATTTTCACTATTATAAGAAAGAGTTTCCCCTCTTGGTGAATAGACAACATACAGAGTAAACTTAGATTTAACATAAATATGAAATGGTAACTGGAATGCACAGACTTGCTGATCTTCTCCACAAAAGCAAACTGTTCACTGAGTCCTTTGCATTCTCAAAATCAGCGTATTATGTTCTCTTGAGTGTCCTGCTACAGTAATCTCTAATCATAATTTATATTCATGCTAAATTCAAGATACATGGGTCTTGTCATTTTTTAATTCTATAGTGTAAAGCACAAACTTTTTTTTTTTTTTTTTTTTTGAGATGGAGTCTTGCTCTGTTCCCCAGGCTGGAGTGTAGTGGTATGATCTCAGCTCACTGCGACCTCTGCCTCCCAGGTTTAAGCAATTCTCCCTGCCTCAGCCTCCCAAGTAGCTGGGATTACAGGCACCTGCCACCATGCCCAGCTAATTTTTTGTATTTTTATTAGAGACAGGGTTTCGCCATGTTGGCCAGGCTGTTCTCGAACTCCTGACCTCAGGTGATCTACCCACCTCAGCCTCCCAAAATGCTAGGATTACAGGTGTGAGCCACCACGCCTGGCCTTTTCTTTTCTTTTTTTTTTTTTTCTGAGATGAAGTCTCTCTCTGTCACCCAGGCTGAAGTGCAGTAGCGCAATCTTGGCTCACTGGAACCTCCACCTCCCAGGTTCAAGCAATTCTTCTGCCTCAGCCTCCTGAGTAACTAGGATTATGGGCGCATGCCACCAGGCCTGGCTAATTTTTGTATTTTTAGTACAGACGGGGTTTCACCATGTTGGCCAGGCTGGTCTCCAATTCCTGACCTCAGGTGATCCACTCGCCTCGGCCTCCCAAAGTGCTGGAGATTATAGGCGTGAGCCACTGTGTCCGGCCCAAACTTTCTTTTTACTAGTTTAGGCAAATGACTATTTCAAGGCAGTTACATTGTGGGCATTTAATAAATATTTTGGACTGAATCAATGAGTGATTGAATGAATGAACACATATGAGAATCGAGAGGTAGTTTCGACTAAAGCTTGAAGAAGGGAATTTGAAAGCTTTTTGCAAAGAGGAAAAGGACTGTTGATTTTAAGGGCTAACCTGGTCCAATGAATACATCCCTGATCCAGCATCTTGGATTTTCAGAGCCAGGATCTCTTCTGCACAAAGCATTTGAAGAGTATCTAGTGCCTATCCATGTATGTTTATTGCGGCACTATTCACAATAGCAAAGACTTGGAACCAACCCAAATGTCCAACAATGATAGACTGAATTAAAAAAATGTGGCACATATACACCGTGGAATACTATGCAGCCATAAAAAATGATGAGTTCATGTCCTTTGTAGGGGCATGGATGAAGCTGGAAACAATCATTCTCAGCAAACTATCACAAGGACAAAAAATCAAACACCGCATGTTCTCACTCATAGGTGGGAATCGAACAATGAGAACACATGGACACAGGAAGGGGAACATCACACATCGGGGCCTGTTGTGGGGTGGAGGGAGGGGGGAGGGATAGCATTTGGAGATATACCTAATGTTAAATGACGAGTTACTGGGTGCAGCACACCAATATGGCACATGGATACATATGTAACTAACCTGCACGTTGTGCACATGTACCCTAAAACTTAAAGTATAATAATAATAATAATAATAATAATAAAAGAGTATCTAGTACCTATCACCGTTCATTCTCATGACTGCCTTAGGTGAACATATACTTTCAAGACCTCACTTCCATCTCAGAGCAAGCTGCAGGGGTCACCCCGAGGGTCTAGGCTGGATACTGGCCCTGTATCTGCCAGTTGTCATAAATTAGAGCTCTGGTCACCCTCTGAACAGAGAGCAAAGAAGCCACCAACATCACGTCTGTCACCCTGGCGCTCGGAGCTGTCATAACTGCCAGCCAGTGTGACTCAGGCATGACCATATTCTCAGGTGTAACAAATCCCCCAGGATGAGGCGTGGCTTTCAGCAAGAGCCAGAGAAGAGGCAATGCAGAAGGAGCTACACACGGGGCTCAAAGCCAGAGCAACAGAAGTCCGTGGTCAAGAAACACCCTTTGCCCTTTGTCTGACTGATTATACAGTTTGGAGCTCTGTAGACTCTTCCAAAGATACCCTAACCCCCAAAAGGGGGTTGCAGATCTCATTGTAACAATAATATTTAATATCTAAACAGTTATTTCTTTTTTCCTTTCCTTTTTTTTTTTTTTTTTTTGTTTTGAGATGGAGTTTCACTCTTGTTGCCCAGGCTGGAGTGCAATGGCATGATCTCAGCTCACTGAAACCTCTGCCTCCCGGGTTCAAGCGATTCTCCTGCCTCAGTCTCCTGAGTAGCTGGGAGTACAGGCATGTGCCGCCACACCCAGCTAATTTTGTGTTTTTTTGTAGAGACAAGGTTTCTCCATGTTGGTCAGGCTGGTCTCAAACTTCTGACCTCAGGTGATCTCCCACCTTGGCCTCCCAAAGTGCTGGGATTACAAGTGTGAGCCACCACGCCCAGCCTCTAAACAGTTGTTTCTAAGGAAGAAAGGATTTGACATTCTTGCCTTGGGCAAGTTTCTCAACTTCTCTCTGCCTGTTTCCTCAACTGTAAAATATGGAAAATAGAGTAATCCACCTTGTAGGGTTGTTGTGAGCATTAAATGAACAAATGTGCACACAGCACTTAGAGCAATGCATGCTCAATGCACAGTAGGCGTTATCTGTTATTGTGTGTGTGTGTGTACAGAAAAATTGGAACACAATTATTGTTATTATGAGACAAGATATCCCTTTGTCACCCAGGCTAGAGTGCAATAGCACAAACACGGTTTACTGCAACCTCAACCTCCCAGGCTCAAGCGATCCTCCTGCCTCAGCCTCCCAAGTAGCTAGGACTACAGATGTGTGCCACCCTGCCTAGCTAATATTATAATATGATTTCTGTTTTGAGGCTCAGGAAAGAGTCTTGTGGTTCCCTATCATTTTACAGCCATCTTGCTGAGTTAGGCAGAGTGGGAAGAACGCATGATCTTTTCTTCACAGTTGAGGAAACTGGCTATATTAGTGGCATCGGTATCTCCTGTTCCTCCCCTCCCCGTCTCTCAAGGAGTCTGGAGCCACAGTGTCTGCAAAATTCTGTTGGTGTTCTCCCTGCTGCCGACCTCTGGGAGGCAGTGATCTCACTAAGAAGAAAAAGAACCTCAATGTCCAGCAAAGAAATCTCCGAGTTGGCTACCAAAGAACCAAACAAAGAAATCCTAGTGTGAACACTTTCAGGGCCAGATGGTGGTGGCAGTTTTCCAATCTGAGATTATTGGAGTATAAACCCCTAGGCTCCTCCAGCAACTCAGATAGGGAGTTGGCTCAGACAGTTCCTCCTGTTGGCAATGTTCCTACTGAGTAAATGTGAACTCCGTGACCTTGCCCTTACTCCACAGAATTAATGGGTGATGATTCTTTTCTGTGCATTGACTAAGTAAGCCTTAGCTCCCATCTTTCAGATGGCCACACTGAGGCCTGGTGCGATGAAGGCCAGACAACTTTGCTTTTCAATCTGATCAGGGTTACCAAATTCAAATTCAAAATATCAGTTCCAAATTTGATTCACTTCATATCCAGTAAAGCCACAATGAGTATAAGTATGTCTTAAATATTGGAGGAGATATACTGAAAAGTTAGTAGTTATTTTTTTTTTTGAGACGGAGTCTCAGTTCACTGCAAGCTCCACCTCCCAAGGTTCACACCATTCTCCTGCCTCAGCCTCCCAAGTAGCTGGGACTACAGGTGTCCACCACCATACCCAGCTAATTTTTTGTATTTTTAGTAGAGATGGGGTTTCACCGTGTTAGCCAGGATGGTCTCGATCTCCTGACCTCGTGATCCACCCACCTTGGCCTCCCAGAGTGCTGGGATTACAGGTGTGAGCCACCGCGCCTGGCTCTTTTTTGTTTTGTTTTGTTTTTGAGATGGAGTTTCGCTCTTGTTGCCCAAGCTACAGTGCAATGGCGCAATCTCAGCTTAATGCAACCTCCTCCCCCGAGGTTCAAGCGATTCTCCTGCCTCAGCCTCCCAAGTAGCTGGGTTTACAGGTGCATGCCACCACGCCCGACTAATTTTTTGTATTTTTAGTAGAAATGGGGTTTCACCATGTTAGCCAGGCTGGTCTCGAACTCCTGACCTCAGATGTTCCACCTCCCACAGCCCCCCAAAGTGCTGGAAGTACAGGTGTGAGCCACCGAGCCCGGCCAAAAATTATAATTCTTTCTTTTTTTTTTTTGAGACAGAGTCTCGCTCTGTCACCCAGGCTGGAGTGCAGTGGCGCAATCTCAGCTCACTGCAACCTCCGTCTCCCAGGTTCACGCCATTCTCCTGCCTCAGCCTCCCGAGTAGCTGGGAGTACAGGCACCGGCCACCACACCTGGATAATTTTTTGTATTTTTAGTAGAGATGGGGTTTCACCGTGTTAGCCAGGATGGTCTTGATCTCCTGACCTCATGATCCGCCCGCCTCAGCCTCCCAAAGGGCTAGGATTACAGGCCTGAGCCACCGCGCCCGGCCAAAATTATAATTCTTTAACTAAAATTTAAATTGAATGGGGAGTTGTGTCTTTTATCTGGAAACTCTACGTCTACTGTACTTCCATTAAGCTGGTTGTTTTAGACAGTAGAACAAAAAGAAAGATACTGGAAGGTGCTAGGCCAGTGTGTGAGCTCTGAGTTTAATCTACCTGGGTTTAAATTCTAGATTGATAGCTAGGGATGGTGGCTCATGCCTGTAATCCCAGCACTTTGGGAGGCTGAGGCAGGTGGATCACTTGAGGTAGGAGTTCGAGACCACCCTAGCCAACATGGCAAAACCCCAGCTCTACTAAAAATACAAAATTTGGCCAGGCGTGGTGGTGTGTGCCTGTAATCCCAGCTACTTGGGAGGCTGAGGCAGGAGAATCACTTGAACCTGGGAGGTGGAGGTTGTAGTGAGTCAAGATCGTGCCACTGGACTCCAGCCTGGGGGACAGAGCAAGAGTCTGTCTCAAAAAAAAAAAAAAAATCTAGATTTACCCTTTTCTAGCTTTGTGACACTGGATGAGTTATTTATCCTCTCTGCGTCTCTTGTGTAAAATGGAAATAATAATTGTACTTTCAGGGCTTTGTGGCAAATTAAATAATACCCATAATGCATATAGTAGGCACTTGACCGGTGATATTATTATTATTATTTCTAGTACTGGGTAAGCTAGGAATATTATGTAACTATGCCTGGGGTTCAGCTTCACTTCCAATCTTCCCTTAGTTTTCGTTGTCATTTGCTAACAATCCCAGACCCCTCACACACAGGCACAGAGGGCAATGACCTCATTAGGACTATGTTCAATAATGTCCTAAATCAAGCTTGTCCAACCTGTGGCCCACGGGCCACATGGGGCTCAGGATGGCTTTGAATGTGGCCCAACACAAATTTGTAAACTTTCTTAAAATATTATGAGATTTTTTTGTGAGTTTTTTTTTTTAGCTCATCAGCTATGATTAGTGTATTTAATTTAATTTTATTTATTTATTTATTTATTTGAGATGGAGTCTCACACTGTTGCCCAGGCTGGAGTGCAGTGGCACAATCCCGGCGCACTGCAACCTCTGCCTCCTGGGTTCAAGCGATTTCCAGCTAATTTTTGTATTTTTAGTAGAGATGGGTTTCACCATGTTGGCCAGGCTGGTCTCTCAAACTCCTGACCTTAAGTGATTCACCTGCCTCGGCCTCCCAAAGTGCTAGGATTACAGGCATGAGCCACTGTGCCCAGCCATTAGTGTATTTTATATGTGGCCCAAGATAATTCTTCCTCTATTGTGGCCCAAGGAAGCCGAAAGACTAGACACCCCTGTTATAAGGCTAAACCCCATACCCAGTCTTGGAGTAACAAAAGCAGCTCAGGGCTGGTAGATGGGAGACCTCAGAAGAGATTTCTAGATGCCTCTCAATACCCATTCTCCCCTTCTTCCCAGTTGAAAAACAACGATAACATTTCAGCTAGTCACATTACTCCCCAGCTAAATGACATTTCCCAGCCTCCCTTAAAGGAGTTATGGCCTGAAGGCCAAGTTCAAAACAGTAAGAAACAAACCCAAGTGTTGTGTGGAACTTTGGGGAAGTCTTCTTTTTTAAAAAATTTAATTAATTACTTTATTTATTAGTTATTATTATTTGTGGGGGGAGATGGAGTCTCACTCTGTCACCCAGGCTGGAGTGCAGGGGCATGATCTTGGCCCACTGCAACCTCTGCCCCCTGGGTTCAAGTGATTCTCCTGCCTCAGCCTCCATAGTAGCTGGGATTACAGGTGCCTGCTACCACGCCCAGCTAATTTTTGTATCTTTAATAGAGACAGGGTTTCACTATGTTGGCCAGGCTGGTCTCCAACTCCTGCCCTCAGGTGATCCGCCCACCTCAGCCTCCCAAAGTGCTGGGATTACAGGCGTGAGCCACTGGAATTCCTCTTAAAAGGGAGTGGGGATGCCCTCCCCCTTTCCCTTCAGTTCTTTCTTCTTGCTGGCTAGGATGGTGAAGTGATGACCAGAGTACAAGCAGCCGTCTTGGACCATGAGGTTCCTGGAAGCCAGAGCCACAGTGAAAAAAAGCCTGGGCTCCTAGAATTGTGGAGTGGCCAACAAGTCCTCTACTGACCACCCAGTCTGAGAGAGAAATAAGCTTCTATCCCGTTCAAGCCACTGTTATATTTTGTTGTTGTTGTTGTTTACTTGTCTGTTGTTATTTGTAGCCAGATTCAATCCTGAGTAATACACAGGGGTTTTCCTCCTGCTTCGCCATTAGCCAGCTTTATTTCTTTCTTTCTTTATTTTGAGACAGGGTCTCACTCTGTTGCTCAGACTGGAGTGCAGTGGCTCAATCTCAGCTCACTGCAACCTCTGCCTCCCAGGTTCAAGCAATTCTCCCACCTCAAGCTCCCGAGTAGCTGTGATTACAGGTGCGCACCACCACACCTGGCTAATTTTTTTGTATTTTTAATAGAGACGAGGTTTCATCATGTTGGCCAGGCTGGTCTCGAACTCCTGGCCTCAAGTGATCCACCTGCTTCGGCCTCCCAAAGTGTTGGGATTATAGGCGTGAGCCACCGTGCCCGGCCACCATTAACCAGCTTTATAACTTTACTACAGTCATTTTGCCTCTTTGTGCTCAATGTGCACATCAGCAAAACAATGTGGGAATAAATTAGTAGAAATGAAGTAACTTTCTTGTTCTAAAATCCTAATTCCAATCAGTCTGAGACATAAGCCTTCCATAGCATGTATAGGGTCATTTTCTTAAGGTAGATGGAAAGTGGGATGTGGTTGTCACGGAGATGCCCCAGGGATGTTGCTCAGTGCCAGCTGTAGCAGAGAAGATGCGCAATGCCTGTTTGCTGAACAAACAGAAGGAACTTGTGCCAGCGTGTGGTCAGAAAGCCACTAGTGGGCTTTATAATCAATCGGAAGGATGACAGCCTTTGTACTGGCCAAAGAAAGCCATTGTTCTTGCCTCAGGAACCAGGGGAATGGAGCAGGGTAACTGTTGAAAGTGAAGTTTTCTTATGCAAGAAAGCCAGAGATTGCTCAAACTAGACCACAGGCATAGATGCCCAGAGGAGGGAGTTCCAGGACACCTTGAAAAATGGACCCTACAGGTTTAGCCCATCCAATGCCCCGACTCCCAGCAGCAGGTGAGGCTTCCCTGATAGGGGGAGGGATGTACCCCAGAAAGGGGTGGGGTTTCAGCTCAAGGGAAGGGCTTCCTTGCCCGGGTGGCTCTAGGTCCAGGAGCTGCCTCCATCAATGGGTGTCCTCTCTGTTTTGGAAGTTCTAGCTGTATTTTATTTTTTTATTTTATTTTTTGAGACGAAGTCTCGCTCTGTCGCTCAGGCTGGAGTGCAGTGGTGCAATCTTGGCTCACCACAACCTCCCCTCCTGCGTTCAAGCAATTCTCCTGCCTCAGCCTCCCGAGTAGCTGGGATTACAGGCGTGCCCCACTATGCCCGGCTAATTGCTGTATTTTTTTTAAAAGAATGTTTATTCAAGACTTGGCAGGGCCAGGCGCTTACGCTTGTAATCCCAACACTTTGGGAGGCCGAGGCAGACAGATTGCTTGAGCCCAGGAATTCAAGACCAGTCTGAGAAACATGGCGAAACCCCATCTCTACAAAATATAGAAAAAAAGAGTGGGGCGTGGCAGCGTGTGCCTATAGTCCCAGCTACTTGGGAGGCAGGGGTGGGAGGATCACATGAGCTTGGGAAGTCAGGGCTGCAGTGAGCTGTGATCAAGCCCCTGCACTCCAGCCTGAGTGACAGAGGTGAGTCCCTGTCTCAAAAAAAAAAAAAAAAGACTGCTATCTTCCCTTTCCATATGGGAATTGTGTGGAACCATCAGAAACAAGACTTGGGGTTAAGTCGGCCAAGGAGATACAGAAGTGCTTCTTATTTCTGTTTCTTTTTCTTTTCTTTAAAAACAACGTATTTCCATTCTTTTCTAGGGCAGGGGCTGCTCCCCCGCTGCCTCCCCACTCTCAGCCCTAATCACCCACTGCACTATTTATAGTCCTCATGCAGGATCCCAGCAGAAAGGAGGGCAGGACTGCAGTCGCCCCTGGGATTGCGACTGATCCTCTGTGTCTGTAGCACCGGAGCTGAGTTCTCCTCCCAGCACCCTGACCGCTCAGGGCGATAGAGCTGCTGCTGCCTGTGAGGTCACGACCAGCACAGAGGGCCCCAGAACCTTGGGCTTTCCAACGTTCTCTCTCTCCGCAAATTAAGATCTCAAGGAGATTTTTTTTTCAGACTCTGAGGCAGTAGCTGCACAGGGAGAAATCCCAGGCTTCTATTAATAGTCCCTAGACAGGAAGGTCCTGGAAGACGTGCATGGTGTTCTGAATCTCAGGAAGAAAGACAAAGTTAGCCAGGTAGTGGTTCCTCAGGAATCTGGTGTCTATTTACCCACTGAGGAAACGGAGGCCCAGAGAGATCAAGTGACCGGCTTAAGGTCAAAGAGCATTCCAGACCGCTCAGCAATAAAAAGGAATGAACTATTGATACACGCAGCAACACGGATGAATCGCAAAATAGTCACACTGGGTGAAAGGAGTCAGGCCAAAGGGGAGAACGTACTCTATGGTTCCATTTATAAAAATGTTAGAAAATGCAAATCTAAAATCCCCTATAGGGACAGAAAGCAGATCAACACTTGTCTGGGGATGGGATGGGGAAGAGGGAAGGATTCCAGTGGGGAAGGAGGAAAGCTTTTTGGATGGGAACTATGGTCATGATCTTGACTGTGGTGATGATTTCATAGGGATAGATAGATGACAGATAGATAGATAGATAGATAGATAGATAGATAGATAGATATAAAATTATATTCTTTAAACATTTTTGCATGTCAAATATATCTCAATAAAGCTGTTAAGGGCTGGGCGAGGTGGCTCACGCCTATAATCCCAGCACTTTGGGAGGCGGAGGCAGGATTGCTTGTGCTCAGGAGTTTGGGACCAGCCTAGGCAACATAGTGAGACCCTATCTCTACAAAACAAAATAAAATTAGCTGGGCGGCATGGTGGCATGCTCCTGTAGTCCCAGCTGCTTGGGAGGCTGGGGCAAGAGGATCACTTGAGCCCAGGAGTTCAAGGTTGCAGTGCGCTATGATCACACCACTGCTCTCCAGCCTGGGTGATAGAGTGAGACCCTGCCTCTAAAAAAAATAAAAGGTTGGGCTTGGTGGCTCACACCTTGTAATCCCAGCACTTTGGGAGGCCGAGGCAGGTGGGTCACCTGAGGTCAGGAGTTCAAGACCAGCCTGACCAACATGGAGAAACCCCATCTCTACTAAAAATACCAAATTAGCTGGGCGTGGTGGCACATGCCTGTAATCACAGCTACTTGGGACGCTGAGGCAGGAGAATCACTTGAACCCGGGAGGTGGAGGTTGTGGTGAGCCGAGATCACACCATTACACTCCAGCCTGGGCAATAAGAGCAAAACTCCATCTCAAAAAAAAAAAAAAAAAAAACCAACACAGCAAAAACAACAACAACAAAAATCCGCCCCAATCAATCTTCCATGATCCACTCCCTCCCCATCCTTTCAAATAGCATTCAGAGAACAGATATCGTCTTTCATTCCAATCTCCTGATACTCACTGGCTTCTGACCAAGATGCCTTTCTCCTCCCACCCCCTCTAATGAAATTACTACACATTTTGCAGCTTAAAAACAACACCCATGTATTGTCTCCTGGTTTTAGAGAGTGGGGAGTCTCAGCAGAATTTAATCATGCCGTCTGCTCAGGGTCTCACCAGGCTGCAACTGATGGGTAAGCTGGGGCTGGGATCCCATCTGAGGCTTGCAGTGGCAGAATTCACTTCCTCGAAGCTGTACAACTTAAAGCAGCTTGCTTTTTCAAGGCTAGCAGGAGACAGAGTCTCTCTTCAAGATCTTCCTTTACAGGGCTCACCCTATAGTTCAGACTCACCCAGGATAACTTCTCTTGGATTGACCCAAAGTCGACAGCTGCAAAATCCGTTCACCTTTGGCCACATCCTATAACCTTATCCTGAGAGTGAGATCCATCATATCATCCGTCCCACCCACACTCAAGGGGAGGGGATTAGGCAGGGTGTACACACCAGGGGGTGAATCTTGGGGGCGGTCTTAGAATTCTGCCTCCCTGCGGCGGAGCTTGCAGTGAGCCGAGATCGCGCCACTGCACTTAGCCTGGGCGACAAAGCGAGACTCCGTCTAAAAAAAAAAAAAATTCTGCCTCTCCGCTATTCTAGCTCTCTCTCTCTCCAGTAATACACAAGTAAACAAGTAAGTAAATAAAACCTTACCTACACCGCTTTAGAAAGAAGAGCAAAGCGGCTTGGAGTCCCAATCTGGTGGCACCATCAACTCCCTGCTTGCCCTCCTTCATTTCTTTCTTGGTTCTGAGTTATAATAAGCTAAGTGTCTCCCTTACCTGTGAGTTAGATTTCTGGGGTTCCAGTTACCCAAAGTCAACCATAGTCTGAAAATATTAAGATATCTTGAGAGAGAAGAGACCACATTCATATGATTTTTATTACAATATATTGTTATAATTGTTCTATTTTATTAATTATCATTGTTAATCTCTTACTGTCCCTAACTTTCAAATTAAACTTTATCATAGATATGTATGTATAGGAAAAAACCTAGTATATTTAGGGTTTGGCACTATCTACAATTATTTTTCTTTCTTTTTTTTTTCTTTTTTTTTTTTTTTTTTGAGACGGAATCTCACTCTGTTGCCCAGGCTAGAGTGCAATGGCATGATCTCAGCTCACTGCAACCTCCGCCTCCCAGGTACAAGCGATTCTCCTGCCTCAGCCTCCTGAGTAGCTGGGACTACAGGCATCCACCACCATGCCTGGCTAATTTTTTGTATTTTTAGTAGAGATGGGATTTCATCATGTTGGCCAGGCTGGTCTCAAACTCCTGACCTCAGGTGATCCACCCGCCTCAGCCTTCCAAAGTGCTGGGATTACAGGCATGAGCCACGGTGCCTGACCGACTATCCACAATTTCAAGCATCCACTGTGAGTCTTGGAATGCATCCATCTCGGATAAGGGGGACCTACTGTATTGCATTAAAGAATACCCCCATCTTTTGAGGGATCTCAGGCCCCTCTGCTGGCTTGGAGTATACCTGAGAGCTCCCACCTAGACAGCAGGAGGTGACAAGACCTGGGGAACACGTCAAAGCTGAAACCATGCTGGGGAACATAGTCACTTTTCTGGAGACCCATGACACAAATGGCCAATTTTGAGGAGCCACAAGCATGGCTGGAGTTTGCAAATAAGGAGTCTCGACTGCAGCCCAGGAAATATCATCAAGGAACTCAATTTGGGAGTAAAATGTGAAGAGTCAGCGGTGAGCAGGGGGCAGCCCTTTCGGAGGGCAAGTGTACACCTTGCCAGCAGGGACTGTGAATTGGAGCCACCATTTGCTGCAACGCCTGCAGTTGGAGTTACATGCTAGTGCATGCCTGTGCCATCTGGTAAGAGTATAGAGAGCCGAGGGGAAGGAGCTGCATCCCTTCCGTAGATCTCCTGGCTGAGACCAGGCTCCCCCTTACCCCGAGCCTTGCCCTCCTAAAAACAACCCATCTTCACCCCAGCTGGGTCAAAGCAGGTGTTTTAAGAGCTTTGCTTCCTTTCCCCAGAGTGCTGGCCTCCCTGTTGGGGCATGGTTCAGGACCAGACCCTCCACTAAAGATAGGCTGTGACAATGAGGACAGGAAACGCTGCAGCCAGAAGTTTCTTTACCTGGGCCTCATGATGGGCCCTGTTTCACCTGAAAGAACCTGGACCTACAGCCTCACATGTAGAAACCCAGGCGGCTCTCAGTTACCTGCCCTGGTGAAGTGTTTCTCAGCGGTGCTTCAAGAAGAGCAGGGGTTGCAATCTGAGCCCCTGAGGTTGAGGCGTTCTCTTCAACTTATGAGGTTTTCTCACCAGCCTCCAAGAGGAGCTGGAGAGGAGTCTGGTACCACTCTGTACACAAAGCCAGAAGCAGGGAGGGGTAAATGGGATGAAGGGACAAGGAGCCATGCGCCACTTCACACCCCCAGGGTGGCTGGACTCAAAAAGATGGACCATAGCCACTGGGGTTGAAGATGTGGAGAAACTGGAACCCTTGAACATTGCTGGTGACAATGGAAAATGGTGATGTCACTTTGGGAAATAGGCAGTTCCTCAAAGCATTAAACAGAGTTACCGTGTGACCCAGCAATTCCACTCCCACATATACACCCAAGATAAGCGAAAACATATGTTCATAATAACAATATGTACATAAGTGGGCCAGATGGGGTGGCTCCCACCTGTAATCCCAGCACTTTAGGAGGCTGAGGCAGGTGGATCACTTGAGGTCAGGAGTTCAAGACCAGCCTGGACAAAATGGTGAAACCCCGACTCTACCAAACATACAAAAATTAGCAGGGCATGGTGGGGCACACCTGTAATCCCAGCTATTTGGGAGGCTGAGGTGGGAGGATTGCTTGAGCCTGGGAGTTTGGAGCTGCGGTGAGCCGAGACTATGCCACTGCACTTCAGCCTGGGTGACAGAGTGAGACCCTGTCTCAAAAATAAAAATAAATGTATACAAATGTTCACAGCAGCATTATTCACAAACCAAAGAGCAGAAACAATCCAAACGCCCATCAGCTAATGAATGGGCAATCAAAATGGAGTCTATCCACACAGTGGAATATTATTCAGCCATAAGAAGGTAGTGCTGGCCGGGTGCAGTGGTTCACGCCTGTAATCCCAGCACTTTGGGAGGTCGAGGTGGGCAGATGGTTTGAGCCCAGGAGTTCAAGACCAGCCTTGGCAACACGGTGAAACCCCTTTCCTACCAAAAATGCAAAAATTAGCCAGTGTTATAACCCAGTCTCAAAGTAAATAAAAATTTAAAAATAAATTTTTGTTAAAAGGAAGTACTGATCCATGCTGCAACATGGATGAAGCTTGAAAATGTGGTGCTCAGGGAAAGACGCCAGACACCCAAGGCCATGCACTGTATGATTCCATTCATAGATGTCCAGGATAGGCAAGTCCACAGACACAGTGGTTGCCATAGATTAGTGGCTGTCAGAGGCTGGGGTAAGGGGGGAATGGAGGTGACCACTAATGGGTAGGAGTTTCTTTCTGAGGTGATGAAATGTTCTGGAATCAGACAGTGGTGATGGTTGCACAACCTTGTGAATACAAAGAACCACTGATTGTACACTTTAAAAGGACGAACTTTATGGTATGTGAATCATAACTAGATTTGGGTTTGTTTTAGTCTTCCTAGTGCTCCAAAGGAATGGTTTTTGTTTGGTTGGTTGGTTGGTTGAGACACTGTCTTGCTCCATTGCCCAGGCTGGTGTGCAGTGGCACGATCACAGTTCATTGCAGCCTCAACCTCCTGGGCTCAAGCCATCCTCCCACCTTACCCTCCCAAATAGCTGGGACTACAGGCGCATGCCACCATACCCAGCTAATTTTGGTATTTTTTGTAAAGGTGGGGTTTTGCCATGTTACCCAGGCTGGTCTCAAACTCCTGAGCTCAAGCAATCCACCCAGCTCAGCCTCCCAAAGTGCTGGGATTACGCGTGTGACACATCACACCCAGCCTAACTCTGTTTTTAAATGGGGGCTCGGGGAAGGCGTCAGCAGCACCATCGTGGAGGCTGGGACAGCCCCAAAGCAGCCCCTTAGGGAGAAGGCAGGGCAGGCTGAGAGCCAGCTGGGTAGAGCTGATTGGGAAGAGGGAAGGAGGCTGGATGGGTTGGGAGCAGCTCCATTGAGGTCAAAGACTCTTGACACCTCGGTGAGAGGCAGTCACTGGGGATAAAAAGGGCTGGGACGGCCTTGCGCCGCCAGGGTGGACCAAAGACCTCCCCCCCTTTCCGACTCCAGCCTGTCCAAGCCTCTTTTGGCTTCTCCCTTATTCTCTGCTTGGAACATTCTTGCCTGCCCTGCCTCTGTGCCTCATACTCACCCACGAAGCCGGGCTAACTCCTGCTCAGCTTTCCAGCTTCAGACATAATGCCCCTCCCACAGCACCAAAGAGAAACAAAGCCAAGTGCGAGTTAAAGCAGTGAAAACAGATGATATCCAAACAGTCGCCGAAAGGGCCGAGCTCCATCCTGATTTGTGCAGAGGGGACCGGGTGTCCTGAAGGCAGAGGGAGGGAGGGAAAGACAGGCTTAGCAGAGCCTAGAAGCAAAAAAATCACAAAAGGTTGGTTGGTGTGAATGTGACGAGACCAGTGTCTTCAGGCTTGCAATGACTAAAGTCAGGATTCTAATTCCTACAGAGTCTGGGAATTGGAGGTCCCATCCTTCCTGATTACATTTCAAGGAATGGCTGTAAGTCCTGGAGAAAGACACTTCTGAGTTGCAGGAGATACAAATGTATCTCAAAGGGACAGAAGAAGAGTTTCCTATAAGCCCCTTTCAGTAAATGCTCTAAGAAAGGGAGGCCAGGGTCCTATGTCAGTTGTTGGACTGGCAGCCCTGGGCTTTCCTAGGCAGGCATCTCAAGTGGGTGCTGGCGTCGTCATGCTAGAGTCCAGCCATCTCTGAGTGCAGGTGTTTGGACGGAATCGTTATGTGCCAAGAGTTCTGCAGTTCTTGCCAGGGACCCTTTTCCTGACCCCTGACCCTGAGATGGTCCCAGTTCTAGGCTCCCCAGGCAGCCCGTGTTTCCTATTGAAACTCATTACATTTGTTGCAAACCCTTGTTTGTTTGTCTTCTCTGAAAGAAAGCTGCTTGTGGTTAGAGACTGTGTGTCCTGTTTGCTGCTCTGTGACCACTCCCTTGCACGGGTTAATACTTAATAAATCACGAATGAATGAATGAATGAGTCTCAAGTCAGAAGCATCTAGGATAAGGAGGATTTAGTCAGGACAAACGGGGGAAATGGGGGAAAAGTGCAGACTCAAATAACATGGGTGCATATTACACCCTCCCTTGAAGCACTGGAGGGCTGGGAACAGGTACCATGGGCATCAGGTGATGGTTTGAGGGTCGATGGGAGCTGTGGGGTTTTTGTTTTGTTTTGTTTTTTTGAGACAGTCTCACTCTGTTGCCCAGGCTGGAGTACAGCGAGGCAATCTTGGCTCACTGCAATCTCCATCTCCTGGGTTCAGGCAATTCTCCTGTCTCAACCTCCCGAGCGGCACGATGGCGGCTCACTGTAGCCTCCGCCTCCTGGGTTTAAGCGATTCTCCTGCCTCAGCCTCCCAAGTAGCTGGGATTACAGGTGCCTGCCACCATGCCCAGCTAATTTTTATATTTTTAGTAGAGACAGGGTTTCACCATGTTGGCCAGGCTGGTCTCGAACTCCCAACCTCAAGTAATCCACCCGCCTCGGCCTCCCAAAGTGCTGGGATTACAGGCGTGAGCCACCGCACCTGGTAGTGGAAGCTATAGGTTTTTATGCCATGCTTGAACTTCTGCACCGTGGACTGGGTTGCTCCATGCTGGCCCTTCCTTGGATGTAAGAATCAGAGAGGGGACCCCAAAACAACAGAAGTGGTTAATTCCGCACCGCACAGCTGACATGGTGCATCCCCCTCCCTCCCTCTCCTGCTCTCACACTTGTTTCCCCCATCAGGCAATCAGTCACCAGAAGATTCAGGATTAGTGAAAGAATAAGCTCTTCGAGGGAACCCATCAGAATGACAGTCATGGCTCAGAATCTGAGACAGAACAGATCTTTGGGAAATTGAATAACCCACACCACGTACCACCTCCTTCCTCCAGGGACAGGTGGTGGACAAGGACAGATGAAGGACATCCCCTTCCCGCTGTCCCTGGGTTTTAAGCCCTTTTGGCACAGAAAGCCTGTCCAAGTAATTAACAGAAGTAATTAGAGGTCAGATGGTCACAAATGGAAATCACTCAGTGCCCAGCCACCGATGCCAAGGCTGGCAGTGCCAAGGAGGCAGGAGGGCTCAGAGAGGAGAGGGCGGCCTGACCAGACATGGTGATCCAACTGAGGGGCTTATTCTCCCGGCCTCTCACAGGAAAGGCAGGGTGTGAAGTCTGGGGGTTTGCGTCTGTAATCAGCAGCCTGAGGTACAACAGGAATAGGCAACTGCTAAGAAAGGAAACACCACAAACAGCTCCTGCTGTTACTACAGCCTTGGGTTCAGAACTGTGCCCTCAGCAAGATGAAAAAGAGGAATTTGTCTTTAATGAACTCAGTGTGAGTCTTGTAAATCCTTCCTTGGTCATATTTCTTACACATTATGTGTGGCTTTCACATCTTTGGAAAGGATAGGACATTTATGACCCACCTATCTACCCATTCACCCATCCATCTACCCACCCACTCATCCACCCACCCACCCATCCACAGCTCAGCCACCTATCCATCCATCCATTCATCCACGCACCCATCATCCACTTCACAAATATTAATCAGGCTCCTGCCAAGCTCAAGGCAGGTCTAGGCTCTGGGCATACAGGGTAAGCAAGACAGGCATGGACTTTCCTCTTGAGGTTTATAATCTAGCAGAGGAAAACAGTATACAAGCAAGCAATCAAAACCCACGAAGCCCACTCAGTTGTGAATGCTGTAAAGACAAACAGGGTGACAATGCATTAGAGGGTGTATTAGTCAGGGTTCTCCAGAGAAACAGAACCAATTGGATAGATAGGTAAATAGATGATGATGATAGATAGATAGATAGATAGATAGATAGATAGATAGATAGATGATAGATAGATAGATAATAGATGATAGACAATAGATAGATGATAGACAATAGTTAGATGATAGATAATAGATGATGGATGGATGGATACATAGATAATAGATGATGGATTGACAGATAGATAATAGATGATAGAATGATTATAGATAAATAATAGATGACTGACAGATGGGTGGATAGATAGAGAGAAAGAGAGAGAGAGATTTTTAGGAGAACTGGCTCATGGGACTAAAGAGGCTGAGGAGTCCCACAGTAGGCTGTTTTCAGGCTGGAGAGCCAGGCAAGCTGATACTGTGGCTCAGGCCAAGTTCAAAGGCCTGAGAACCTGAGGGTCGCTGGTGCAAGTCCTGGAGTCCAAAGACCAGAGACCTGGAGTTCTGATATCCAAGAGTAGGATAAGAAGGCATCCTAGCGGCCGGGCGCAGTGGCTCATGCCTGTAATCCCAGCACTTTGGGAGGCCAAGACAGGTGGATCACGAGGTCAGGAGATCGAGACCATCCTGGCTAACACGGTGAAACCCCGTCTCTACTAAAAAATACAAAAAATTAGCCGGGCGTGGTGGCGGGCGCCTGTAGTCCCAGCTACTTGGGAGGCTGAGGCAGGAGAATGGCGTGAACCCAGGAGGTAGAGCTTGCAGTGAGCCGAGATCTCGCCACTGCAGTCCAGCCTGGGCGACAGAGTGAGACTCTGTCTCAGAAAAAAAGAAAGCATCTTAGCTCCAGAAGCCAGAGGGAGGAGTGAATTTGCCTTTTCTCTGCCTTTTTGTTCTGTCCCAGCCCTCAATCGATCGGATGGTGCCTGCCCACATTGGGTGAGGGCTGATCTTCCTTACTCAGCCCACTCACTCAAATCCCAGTCTCTCTGGAAACACCCACAGGCACACCCAGAAGTAATGCTTGACCAGCTACCAGGGTATCCCTTAATCCAGCCAAGCTGACACCTAAAATTAACCATTATAGACAGTGGCAACAAATGAGGGTTTCTTTGGCTGGGATGGGCAGGGAAGGCCTCTCCGAGCCAAGACAGTGATCTGGAGGCCTAGAAGGAGCAAAGATCTCAGGGGAAAGCATCCCAGGCAAGGGGACAGCCAGGTGCAAGGACCCTCTGGCTGGAGCAAGCTAGGCCTGGGTCAGAAACCGAAGGAGGACCAAGGGGCTGAAGGACATGAGTTATGGGGACAGGGACAGGGCAGGCTGGCAAAGTCTGGGACCTCTCACGACAGCACTACAGAACCTAAGGGCCAGCTGGGTGGGCAGCGGGCCCAGCTCAGCTGCCCCCTAAATACTCAGGTAGAATGTGAATACTCTGATATTCAGTTCGAATATTTTGTTACTCTGCTATTCTAATACTTGGGTAACACTACTTCCAAATATTCTATTATAACCACTTCAATAGTTGTGGGTTTCTGAAAAGATCAACTGCAATAAACTCTAGTTTGGGCCCTAGCTTGGGCTCTGCCATGCCTCCTCAACCCACCTTGGACTTAACTTCCTTAAGGCAGGCCACACGGTATGGTCCTCTGCAGGTTAGGAGCTGCGTCCGTGTTCCTCAGTTCATGCTACAATCGAGGGTTCCTGTCTGCCAAGCCTGCATCAAG
This sequence comes from Homo sapiens, assembly GCF_000001405.40. NCBI lineage: Eukaryota > Metazoa > Chordata > Mammalia > Primates > Hominidae > Homo > Homo sapiens. The sequence continues at coordinate 13,467,317 of NC_000001.11, forward strand.
GCTTGGTATTTACTGATGAGTGACACCCATTAGTCATGACCTCATGGAGCTTACAGTCTAGGGCATCTCTGGGGACAGAGGATTCCATGGGGAGGAGGGGAGATGACCCACGGGGCCCCAGGCCCTGAATTTCTCACCGTTTCACGCAGCAGCTCCTAAGGGTGTGTGGAGTCCACGGCTTTCTGGTCACCAGCAGCAAGAACCCCGCAGCTTCCCTGGTGATCAGGAAGGAGCAGAGGTGCAGGCTCACAGCCATGTACTGTCCCACCTGAGCCTGATCTGGAGTTAGGAAGCTGGCCAGCTGCTGTGGCTTCAGGACCTTCCCTGCCCCAGGGAACCTAATTTCTTACATTAATTAACCTGAGTGGAGGAGGCCGATGAAAGGGAGGTTTTGATGTACAGATAAGAGACTGGAGAGATGGGGAAACTGGGGCGATAGGAGGAAATCTGGCCCTGAGGTTGGCCTAGGGAGTAGGTCTGACCTCGCAGAGGGGACACTGTCCCTGTTTCCAGAAGAAACACTGTGGTCCTGTGGGGTGAGTACGAGCCAAAAGGAAGCTCATTCTATGAGGGCACCTCCGGGATTGGCAGTTTGGGATTAAACACCTGGGCAGGGGCCAGGTGCAGTGGCTCACGCCTGTAATCCCAGCACTTTGGGAGGCCAAGGCAGGTGGATCACCTGAGGTCAAGAGTTTGAGAGCAGCCTGGCCAACATGGTGAAACCCTGTCTACTAAAAATATAAAACTAGCCAGGCGTAATGGTGCATGCCTGTAATCCCAGCTACTGGGGAGGCTGAGGCAGGAGAATCACTTGAACCTGGGAGGCAGAGGTTGCAGTGAGCCAAGATCATGCCTTTGCACTGCAGCCTGGGTGACAGAGCGAGACTCGGTCTCAAAAATAAATAAATAAACACCTGGACAGGGTGGACAGTTTGAGGAAGGGGACCCCAAGAGGGCTGGTGGAGGCCATACTGCCCCAGGGTAAGGGTGGGCCCTCAGCAGATACCCTGGACACTCCGTGGTCGCGAGTTAGGCTTCGCTTCAAACCCAAGAAAGCCTCCCCATCCCCAGAAGTCCTTAGTGCCCACGGGCTGGAGCACAGAGCATGGGAAGGCGCACTTTCACTGGGGTGAAATCTTGCATTCAGGTGGTGGGATGACCAGGACAGCATAATTTGGATATTCATGTGGCCTCATTTGTACGCCCAGGTGAGTGGACTCTGGGGATGTGTGGGTCACATGTGACAAGCCGCCTCTGACATTTATGCAGATTCTCAAGCACTGAAGTGCAGCTGGGTCATTAAGTCAACAGCAGGGGGGCCTGGGGACTAATTATGAAACAGTAAAAATGAGAACTAAGGTCTTCAGGCTGCCGGCTGTCCATTCTGTTATCTGACGCTGGGATTTGGGCTCTGATGCTAGGGTCCTCTTGCCACCGCATCCTCTTCCATGCACCTGTGAATTCTCAAGGAGGCACCACCAGGATTCTGAAGGAGGAGAGAAGGGAACCCACGTTTGCGGGGAAGTCCCTCTCGTTACCTCATTGTGCTCTCACTGACTGCCGAGAAGTCAGTGTGACTGTTTCCCAGAGGAGGACCTGTGGCCCTAAGAGAATCCATAGCATGTCCAAGGCCACTCGGCTATAAGGACAGAGGGGACGCTCCATTGAAGGGCTCTGTTGGAGACCAGTTAACAGGCGATTGCTTCCTGCTGTAATTATTCACAATCAGAGACTCAGATAGGGATGAGAGCTCTGTGCTGAGTGTCAAACTCTGAGAGAATGATTCTCGGAAAACCAACTCCCAGCTTGGGTTCCAATGGAACTACAGAGAGCAATGACTACTGGTCCTGAATGTGGGTATAAAGTTTTACCCTAAAAGTACCTTGTATTTTTTTCCAAGGCCAAAATATAACAACTCATTTGCACCCTGGAAAGGTATGTTTATTTAAAAAAAAAGATTGCATTTGCAAACAGTAGAGAACACTGCTCTTTTTTATTTAAAAAAATCTTTACCATGGAAAAACAATAAAGTTTGCGTGTGTGTTTATTGGTCTGGGGACTTAAAGAACAAAGATACCTTGTGGATTGCAGACAAATGAAACCCACAGAGGTTTGCTTTGGGTAGGTTTCACCATACAGGTGTTTCAATAGACCACTTTGCAAATAATAAATTACTTAACACTCAAGGCCGCTAGAGGCCACTAAAAAGGAGTTTATGGCCAAGGCACAGGGCTGGTGGCTGGCTCAGTGAGCGGTGGCAGGATATTAATGAGACTCAGAGCCTGGACGTGCTCTGGATCCAGTTAAATGTAATAGAGTTGGAAAACCACCTGCCCCCAGCCACTGACGGCACCTAGGATTCATGCCTGTAACTTTGACCATCTGAGCCTGTAGGGACATTGGGGAGGAGGGGGAGGGTGAGAGGAGGCAGTGGCAACAGCAGCATGGATGTTCCATGCAAACCCTTCTCTGTCACCAGGGAAAGCAGTCTGAGCACATGAATTTCTTAGCCTCTCTTCCAGGATGAAGCCTAGTTTGAACCAGCACTGCCAGGTTGAAGTGTTACTGCATCCTGCAGCCAGAGCCAGGGCATGTGGCCACCCCCTTGGTCCCTGCTGTGGTACCCAGAGTCACTTGGAACATGTGTGAAGCCAGGATGAGGGTGCATATACCCTCCAGATGCTGATATCTAAATATTTACAAGTCACAAATACAGAGAAACTGTTTTTTTTTTGTTATTGTTGTTGTTGTTTTGAGAAGGAGTCTCGCTCTGTCGCCCAGGCTGGAGTGCAGTAGCGTGATCTCGGCTCAAAGTTCTGCCTCCCGGGTTCACGCCATTCTCCTGCCTCAGCCTCCCAAGTAGCTGGGATTATAGGCATGCACCACCACGCCTAGCAAATTTTGTATTTTTAGTAGAGATGGGGTTTCTCCATGTTGGTCAGGCTGGTCTCAACTCCTGATCTCAGGTGATCTGCCCACCTCAGCCTCCCAAAGTGCTGGGATTACAGGTGTGAGCCACCGCACCCGGCCAACAAAAGTACCTTCTTAATGACTTCGAAGACTAGGTTTAAATGGTAAATTATTAAATTCTTGGAAATCTGCCACAGAATATGGCATTGTGGGGACAGCTGAGCTGATTGAAACCTGCTCCCTTTCTCTTCCCACTCCCAGCTCCATCCTGCACCTTAGGGGTCTATGCACACCTGTGTGGACATCCCACCCTCACATCCAACCTCTATTCACATTCCCCACCACCATCCTGTGTGGCCACTCAGCCTGCTCTAAAGCAGGGATGCTGGGAAGATGCCCACATCCAAGCTTGGAATCGTTTTTGCCAGAAATTGGGGGCCCTAAGTACCCAAAAAATGTTCTAGAAGGGGACATGTTCTGGATGGCCATGGACTCCTTGCTCCCTGGGGAAGAGCACAGCTGGAGGAGGACTGGAGCAAGGCCCCCTAAAGCACTGGACCCAAGATAATGCCCCTCTTGCCCAGGTCCAAGGGCTGTACTAGTGGTACCCGCTGTCATCACAGCATTCATTACTGATGAATTTGATTGTGAAGCTGGAATCCTCTAGTCATAAGGTCTTGAGAGCAAGACAGTAAGACATTTTGGTGGCTTTGACTCTTCACTGGGGGGAATCTGAGATGTTGGATTTGAGGCTTGGAATAAACTCATCTTGGGTGCATATGGCAACTGCAGGCTGCTTTTCCAGAAGCTCAGCATGCAGCCTCAAGAAATGTGTCCCTCCACGCTGTTCTTGCCAGGCCTGCACCTGCTGACCTAAGAAGGGAATGCAGGTGGCTAAGAGAGGCAGTGAATGCAGGGGTCAGAGCACCTGTGGCCAACTCCCGCTCCATCACTGACAGGCTGTGTCCCCCTGGCAAGTTACTCCCAGACCCAAACCAGCTCTCTCAATGGCAAAATGGAAGTGATGGAATTGTAAAGACTAGGTAATAATGGTACCTGCCTCATACAGTTTGAGTGGCTTACAGGAGGAAATCCGCATAAGGGCTTGGTCTAGCATCTCATACAGAGAATGCCTCTAATACACATGAACTATGAGCAGAACCAAGAGCACAGGCTTTAGAGTCCAATAGCCACAAGTCTTTTTGGGGTCAGTTGCTTCCTGTAATCTACCTACTTTCTCTGAGCGTCAGCTTCCTCATCTACAAAACTGGCACGATAGTGGCTCTTACCTGGAGCTGTAAGGATGCCTACATAGACCTCAGGTTTGTGGGGTAGCTAATGTGGCAAACCATTTGTTTGTTCTTTCAACCAATACCTATGCTGGCTGTGCCACTGCTATGTGCTGGGTATGGTTCTTTTTTTTTTTTTTTATTTTTTATTTTTTGAGACATAGTCTCGCTCTGTCACCTGGGCTGGAGTGCAGTGGCACGATCTCGGCTCACTGCAACCTCCACCTCCTGGGTTCAAGCAATTCTCGTGCCTCAGCCTCCTGAGTAGCTGGGATTACAGGCATGCGCCACCACACCCAGCTAATTTTTGTATTTTTAGTAGAGACGGGGTTTCACCATGTTGGCCAGGATGGTCTCAATCTCCTGACCTCATGATCTTCCTGCCTCAGCCTCCCAAAGTGCTGGGATTACAGGCATGAGCCACTGCACCCGGCTGTGCTGGGCATGGTTCTAAATGCTGGGCACATGAGCTGCCCAAGTCTCTGCCCTTGGGGAGCTCAAGTTCTAGTCCAGGAAGGTAAACAATAAACATGCAAACAAACACATAGATCAGATCATGGTATGAGCTGTGCAGAAAATAATATAGGGTGGTGTGATAAGGCTGACACTGAGGAAGTAATGTTTGAGCGGAGACCCAAATGACACCTTTGGAGATGTGGGAGACCCTAAACTGGTATGTAGCATTGTCACTATTAATAATGGCAATAACTTGAGACCCAATCAATGGCAAGTCAGAGAGCTCTAAATCATTGCCTGTTGTTTGTGCAATGTCACGTCTCAAAAGGCATTTCCTCAGTTGAGCTGTGGCTCCTAGTCAGTTTATTTTCTTGGGCCTGACTGCAGATCCTCCCCACCCCCAGGTCCCCCATGTTCTCAATGTTTTATAAAAATTTTATATCCAGGCAGTAAGGGACCATTTTAACTGAACATCTTTTAAAGCTCCTGTTCTTCCCAAGAATCATGTTCACTCCAAAACTCTTTGGTACAGCCAGCAGAAATGACTGCCCCTCCCCTGCTCACTAATTTATTCTGTGAATGAATCCTGGCCCCTGCGCCATGCAGGGCTTGTGCTTTTTTTTTTTTTTTTTTTTTTTTTTTTGAGACAGAGTCTTGCTCTGTCACCCAGGCTGGAGTGGTGCAGTGGCAGGATCTTGGCTCACTGCAAGCTCCACCTCCCGGGTTCATGCCATGCTCCTGCCTCAGCCCCCCGAGTAGCTGGGACTACAGGCGCCCGCCACCATGCCCGGCTAATTTTTTTGTATTTTTAGTAGAGACGGGGTTTCACAGTGTTAGCCAGGATGGCCTCGATCTCTTGACCTCATGATCCACCTGCCTTGGCATCCCAAAGTGCTGGGATTACAGGCGTGAGCCACCATGCCCAGCCTGGCTCATGCCTTCTAAGGAAACAACTGAACCTGCTGACCAGCATGAATCACCTGAGGCAGACAGAAGGAATAAAGCAGACTCATTAAACGGGAATTCACCCACTAGAACCTATTAGAACAAGGGTCTAGTGCTGTTTCCCCAGCTTAGGGTACCATGTCCCCAGGACTCTTGGAGGTACACATTATGACTTTGGTGGAGGCCAAAACCCAGTTGGGTTCATGCCTTTGAGTCTCAGGTAGTGGTGCTCCTGAGGTGGAGAGCGGGCCATGGCAGCAATTCCAACCCCACGTAGTTCTCAGCTGAATCTGGGGCCAGGCTGGGGAGGTGCTGACTTTAGATTGTGTTGTTTTGCACAGGGGGAGCAGTATGTGCACTGAGGGTCAGAGACCATAGATGGGGCTCTCACAGGAGCTGAGGTTGCCATGGAGTCCTGGAAGATGCCACTCACTTCTCCGCTGGCCCAGGGTCTCTGTAAGAAGGTAGCCCTCCTGAGCCAGGGGTCTCCTCCACTGGAGACTGCAATGCTGGGGAGCAGAGGGGTGACCCAGAGTCTCCTCTAGGCTGAAGGGGAGAAAAGAGTGGGAGAGTAGGAAAGAAGGGAGGAGGTCAGGAGGCGGGAGAAGGGGGAAGCAGGATTCAGCCCAAAAGCCACCCAATCAAAGGCCTTCTGCGATGTGATGGTTAATTTTGTGTCAACCTGACTGGGCCATGGGGTGCCCAGATATTTGGTTGAACTATTTCCAGGTGTGTCTGTGTGTTTTTGGATGGGATTAACATTGGAACAGGTGGACTGAGTAAAGCAGATGGCCCTCCCCAGTGTGTCGGGCCTCATCTAATCCAGTAAGGGCCTGAATACAACAAAAAGGTGGAGGAAGGAAGAATCCACTGTTTTTCTGCCTGACTGCTGAGCTGAGTCTTCTCCTGCCCTTGGCCTGGGACTACACCATCAGCTGTCCTGTCTCCAGCTCACCAACTGCAGATCATGGGACTTCTCAGCCTCCATCATCTCCTGAGCCAAATCCTTACGATAAATCTCTTTGTCTGTCTGTCTGCTGTTGGTTCTGTTTTCTCTGGAGAAACCTAACACACCCCACTACCTCCGCTGGAGTGTCTTCTCCCAGTGACTCTCTGTTAAAGGACCTCGCTTATTTCCTTCATGATACTTATCTCTGCCTGCAATGGTAGTTTTGTTTCCCTGTTTGTTTTATGTTCTACCCATAAGAATATAAAGCACAAGACAGCAGGGAACCTGTGTTTCCTATCCAAAGCATAGCCACAGTGCCTGGACCAGTACCTGGCACTCAAGCACTCAATAGCTATTTATGAGGGCAAAGATGGAAGGGAGCAATGGAGGAAAGAAACAGGAATATATGATAGGAAACAATGGAGAAACGATTCTCAAAAATATCTCGAGAGCTGGTGTGAGGCCCTCATCCAAGTCTCAGCCCCCAGCCTCATCCAATGCTGCTAGCACAAGCTATCTTGTATTAACCCACTGGGGTGTAAGACTTGTTTGTTTCATATTGTCTCTGAACCAAAGTGCTGCATTCCACATCCTGGAAAACACTTTTTTTGGTGCCTGTCATAGCCTGTGCACCAAAGCAATGTCACATACACCCTAAGGGCCACTGATGGAAGTTTTTCAGAGCCCAAGTCCCAGTGTTTTTTGTTTTGTTTTTTTGTTTTTTAAGCATTTGGTTGATCCGGTGCAACATGCTGGTTGGAATACTGGCCTCCAGGCAAGTTTACCAAAAGTTCTGGAGATAGAGAACTGTGCTGACATAGAGAGTAGCTGGGAAGGAACTCAGGAAGCGGGTGATGGAGGGGAACAACCTGTCTGTCCTTCAGAAGGAAAAATGATGCTGAGCAGAGAGACCATCACAACTGTACAAAGCAACTAATCCTTCCTCTACAAGTCGCTACCGCTTAGGATAAAGATCAGGGTTTGAGTTATGTCAAGTCAAAGTTTTCCCAACCAGCTTACCAAAATTAACAACAGACACCCTCTGACCAGTTGTTAGCTTCTTCATGGGTCCATTTCGACCACTATAACAGAATACCAGAGATTGAGTGGCTTACAAACAACAGACATTTATTTATTTCTCCCAGTTCTGGAGGCTGGAAGTCTGAGATCTGGGTGCCAGCATGGCTGGGTTCTGGTGAGGGCCTGCTTCTCGGTTCATGGGCAGCTGATTTCTTGCTGCATCCTCAAGCATTGAAGGGGTGAAGGAGCTCTCTGGGGCCACCTTTCATGAGGGCACTAATCCCATCATTTGGGCCCCATCCTCATGATATGATCTAAACCTAATCACCTCCCAAAAGCCCCACCTCCAAATACCATCACATTGGGGATTAGGTTTCAACATATAAAATCTGGGGGAACATAAACATTGAGTCTATTGCACACGAGTTTATTAGTTCCCAGTATAACATCCCAAGGTTGCTGAGGCCTATTATATAAGGATCAAAGTTCTCGTTCTTGTGGTGAATGATCCGAATTTGAATCTCCACTGTTTGAGCTGCTGTTTCTTGGGAGGAAGGCAGATGTTTCATGATCTCCCAGTACAGGTCAGAAAAAGAATGGCGTAAAATCATCTTTGCCATTGAAAGCTGCCAGTCTTCACATTTCCTGGGGGAGGCTTTTAGTCATCAGCTATGAAGCCTGACTCGGTCATCTTCTCCCCCAACACACACCTCGATCTGAGAGGCAGGTTATGCTCCAGGAATAATTCCCTCCATCCTTCCTGGGCTTCTGTGCTCTGCTGATTCTAAACTCTGAGATCAGTGGTCCCAGCAGGTGTACCCAGGGGCCAAGACACGGAACAGGCTCTGTTCAGTTCACAGATGGTGGCCAGTGCTTTTCCATTTTCAGCATTTCCCTCTCGTCTTGGAGAGAGCTTCTGGTTCGGTGCTGGAGAGTAAGAGGCAGGAGGGAGGAGGTGGCTCAGTCATCCTTGTCCTCGTCTTCATCCTCCGCATCTTTGTTGGGTGCGCACCTCTGGAGGCACTGCACCACAGTGGCCAGGAAGAAGCTGGAGATGATGGCCGCAATGGACACGGCCACACCGGAGAAAATGATGATGCAGAGGTCTGTGAGTGACAGGCTGAACCTACACTCGCTGAAGCTGGCCTCCGACAGCTCACGCAGGGATATCCTCCTGCTCTCCATGGGCAGGGAGCACTGGATTTCATCAAGGCCTGAGAAAAGGCAGGCAGAGGAGAGAGAGATTTAGACTGCAGCTCAAGGTTGCCTAAAAGTTGACAAGGCAGGTGCTTACAAAGCCAGCAATGTGCAAGCATCCTCCCAAAAATAAAAGGGGGGAAAAGGCTAATTTAAATGGAATTTAAACTTGAAAAAAAAAAAAAAGCCTTAGAGTGATCACCATGGGAAAAGTTGGAACGTGCTGGTCTTCACTGACCTATTTTCAGGTGTTTGTTTTTTGTTTTTTGTTTTTGAGACGGAGTCTCTGTTGCCTAGGCAACATGGCGTGATCTCGGCTCACTGCAGCCTCTACCTCCCGGGTTCAAGCGATTCTCCTGCCTCAGCCTCCCAAGTAGCTGGGATTACAGGTGTGCACCGCCACACCTGACTAATTTTAGTATTTTTAGTAGAGACAGGGTTTCACCATGTTGGCCAGGCTGATCTTGAACTCCTGACCTCAGGTGATCTGCTCACCTCGGCCTCTGAAAGTGCTGGGATTACAGGCGTGAGCCACTGCACCCAGCCAGGTTTATTACTCTTTTGATTTTGAATTACTCAGAGCGGGGATGGAAGGGCATCATTATCTGTTTCGGGTTTAGGACATCTGTAGACCCTAATCCAGACCCGACTAGTAGCAGGGAGTGGAGGTTGGGGCAGATGCAGTGGGATGGGTCAGTGCCAACTAGCGGACAGACCCTCCACTTGGTAGTGCCACTTTCCAACTTAGATACTATCCTCCTCTTCACTGTCCTCTGAGTGGAAATGAAAAGAGGGTTAGCATGGTCAGGAGTTCGGGACCAGCCTGGCCAACATGGTGAAATCCTGTTTCTACTAAAAATACAAAATACAAAATTAGCCGGGCATGGTGGTGTGTTCCTGTAATTCCAGCTACTCAGGAGGCTGAGGCACAAGAATCACTTGAACCCAGGAGGCAGAGGTTGCAGTGAGCTGAGATCGCCCCACTGCACTCTAGACTGGGCGACAGAGCGAGACTCCATCTCAAAAAAAAAGAATGTATTGAAGATGGATTTCGCCATGTTGCCCAGACTTGAACTTGTACTTCTCCTGGGCCAACAACCGGGTTGGTGATATACAAGGCAACTAAGTCCTCTACTCTCAGAGAGTTTAAATTCTAGTGCGAGAATATAGACATTCATTTATGCCACAGATATTTTTTAGTATTTGCCATGTACAAGGCCCTGGGGATACAGCAGGAAACAAAACAAAGCCTTTGCCTTCATTTAGCTTACATTTTAGACAATAAATGAATAGTTCAAGACATGTAAAATGTTTAGGATGAAACGTCAGGGTAGAAAGATAAAGAAAGTCTGGGACAAAGAATTGTCTTTAACAGGGGTGGTCAGGAGGTATTATTTCAGCTAAGGTCAAAAGGATGAGCTGAAACTAGCCATGAGAAGAACATTCTAGGCAGAGACAAGAAGCTGGGAAAAAGGCCGGGTGTGGTGGCTCATGTCTATAATCCCAACACCTTGGGAGGCCAAGATGAGAGACTTACTTGAGCTCAGGAGTTCGAGACCAGCCTGGGCAACATAGCAAGACCCTGTCTCTACAAAATTTTTAAAAATTAGCCAGGTGTGGTGGTACACACCTGTAGTTCAAGCTACTCAGGAGGCTGAGGCAGGAGGATCATTTGAGCCTGGGAAACTGAGGCTATGATCACGCCACTGCACTCTAGCCCAGAAAACAGAGACCCTGTGTCAAAAAGAAATGTTGGGAAAGAGCTCAGCATTCAGGGAACACAATGTAGCCAGGGGTAGCTGAGTGAACATAGGAGAATTTAGCATCAGCTTAGGTGAGAAACACACCATGTGTTGAGATAAAGTCCCTGATGGTTAAGTTCTCTGAATAAATATTATGAACAGAGCCCCATCATCCCCAACACCAGCCCTCCTTGGACATGAACCAAAGAAATAGCTTATGTGGTACAGAGCTGCTAAAGACTGTTTGTTACCAAGCATAATCATCCTGACTGATACACAATACGAGCTATGTGCAAATTCAAATGACGACCATGATTTTACAAACCTCAGTTATAAGAGAATGAATGGTATTAGAATGCATAAAGAGCTCAGATCTTTTGTTTCTGATCTGGAAGAGAAGAGAAAAATAAATAAAGTAGTAACTAACAGTCATGTTGCACTTACTATGTGCAGATCTTGTTCTAATCACTACACACGTTTTTACTCATAACAATCTTATGAGGTAAGTACTGTTATTATGCCCATTTCATGGATGAGAAAACTGAGAGCATGTGCATAGCTTGCCTTTGGCAATGCAGCTTCACAGTGATGAAGCCAGGATTTGAACCCAGCCATTTGGCTATGGAAGCTTACTCTTATCCTTTGATTAACAAGGTGCCCTTTTCCCAGTGAGAATAGCCAGAGAGATGCAAGGACACCATTTTGACATGAAGCTCAACTGCCTTCAGCCTCTGCTTGCCTCTGGCTTCCTTCAACTCTCAGGAAAACCTTCACCTCCTCTCTTTTTTGGTGCTTCCAGGTTTCAAAAGGCTGACCCTTAACCCATTTCCAGCATTATGTGAAAGTTGAAATGATTTCTTCACACCTCGCTAATTAGCAGGCTTCTGTCCTGGAAAAAGCAGCCCTGCTAATTACACAGCAACCCTGCAACCACCCTGGGGGGGTTTGTGTGTCTTTTTTTCTCCATCTCAGAAACAGGAGATGGAGGAATAGTATCTGAGCATCCTCCTTCCTTCTGTCCTGCCCCATCTTTTATGTAGTCTACAGCCAACCCATCGATGCTTCTGTCCCATGGGAACCATTGCCTAGCAACCAGACTCTGCATTCCCTCCTCTCCCAGAATCAGTGTCTGCTTTATATACCCAAGGAATTAGCTGGACCAGAGCTCTGCAGGCCTCCCCAATTTATACTTGATTACTGTTTTTGACTGTTTCTTTTTCTTAAAGAGGCCAAACTTCTGAGAATTTTAAATGCATTTGAATAAAACAGGAGAGCTTTATCTTTTAAAAAATAAAAATAAAAATAGGAGCACTTTAAAACAAAGTTATACTGGGCTTTTTTTTTTGCAGACACTCATGTCTTCAATGAAAAAATGGAAAAACATCAATCAACCTGCCTCCTAACAGCCTACCCCGGCCAAAAACGTTATGAAAATAAGTAAGATGGACACCAACAGACTGTGTGAAGCACAGACAGTTTCTAAAGCCAGCAGATTATTTGCAGCCTCCAAACTAGTGACAGATCATTATTTAGCTGGAGAAATTTTCTAGAAATCCTCATCTTCAGGAAGCGGTATCAACCGGAAAACCACCACAACCCAACAACATAAGCCCACGGCACCTGCCGTTTAAATCCAACCTTTGCAAGCCACCACTTCCCAAGTCAGTTCTGATTTCCACAATGTTCTTTGTGCCTTGAGACTCATCTTGGCATTTTTACAAAGTGACAATTTTAGAAAATGTCATCTCACATTTCTCCGTGGCTAGAAGAAATGGGCTTGTTTGAAAAACGGTGCACACAAGCCCACCAGGGGCGGGGACTTTAGAACGGCAGTGCTTAGTGGGGCTTTCATGATAAGATCCACTGACTTGATGAGCTTTCATAGCTCACAAAGGGCAGAGAAAGAAGAAGAGTTGGACGAAGAGAGTCTGCCAGGCAGACAGGGCCCAGCACAAGGCTGAGGGTATTGCTACAAAAGCTGGCTACAAAGGCTGTGAAGCCAACAGCACAACTCTAGACTTGGCATAGGCAGACTCCAGGGTCCCCTCTTCTCTCCTGGTAGACCCTTGTTTAAACCAGGGTTTCTCAACTTGGCCATCACTGACATTTGGGACAGGAACATTTTTTTGACATAGGGGCCGTCCTGTGTCCTGTAGGATGTTCAGCAGCATCCCTGGCCTCCACCTACCAGATGCCAGCAACACCTCCCACCCAGTGTGACAATCAAAACTGTCTCCAGTCCGGGAGTGGTGGCTCATGCCTGTAATCCCAGCACTTTGGGAGGCCGAGGCGGGTGGATTACCTGAGGTCAGGAGCTCCAGACCAACCTCGCCAATATGGCGAAACCCCACCTGTACTAAAAGTACAAAAATTAGCTGGGCATGGTGGCGCATGCCTGTAATCCCAGCTACTTGGGAGGCTGAGGCAAGAGAATTGCTTGAACCCCGGAGGTAGAGGCTGCAGTGAGCCGAGACCACGCCATTGCACTCCAGCCTGGGTAATAAGAGCGAAACTCTGTCTAAAAAATAAACAAACTGTCTCCAGACATTGCTACGTGTCCCCTGGGTGGGGAGGACAAAGTCACCTCAGTTGAGGATCACTGCTTTAGAGTGAAATGCTCTACTAAGTATATAGCTATTATGTAGACTTTTAAATTTTTTTGTAAAGACAGGGTCTCGCTCTGTTGCCCAGTGATATGGTTTGGCTGTGTCCTCACCCAAATCTCACCTTGAATTGTAATAATCCCCAGCTGTTAAGGTGGAGATAATTGAATCACGGGGTTGGTAGGTTTCCCCCATACTGTTCTCCTGGTTGTGAATAAGTCTCACTACCATGATGTTTTTAGAAATGGGAGTTCACCTCTACATGCGCTCTTGCCTGCCACCGTGTAAGACGTGAGTTTGCTCCTCCTTCACCTTCCACCATGATTGTGAGGCCTCCCCAGCCATGTGGAACTGTGAGTCCATTAAACCTCTTTCCTTTATAAATTACCCAGTTTCAGGTATGTCTTTATTAGCAGCACGAGAACAGACTAATACACCCAGGCTGGTCTGGAACTGCTGTCCTCAAGCAATCCTCCCACCTCAGCTTCACAAAGCTCTGAGATTAAAGGCGTGAGCCACCAGGCCCAGCCATTAGGTGGCTATTATGGACTAAACATTTAGATCCCCAGAATGTATATGTGGAAGCCCTAGCCCCCAGTGTGATGGTATCTGGAGGTGAGGCCTCTGGGAGGCAGTTAGGGTTAGATGAGATTAGGTAACTAGGGTGTGGCTGTCCTGATGGGATTAGTGTTCTTCCTCCCCACCCCCTCCAACAAGATGGAGTCTCACTCTGGAGGGCAGTGGCGCGATCTCGACTCACCACAACCTCTGCTTCCTGGGTTCAAGCGATTCTCCTGCCTCAGCCTTCCAAGTAGCTGGGATTACAGGTGTGTACCACAATGTCCAGTTAATTTTTTTGTATTTTTAGTAGAGATCTACCTTGGCCTCCCAAAGTGCTGGGACTTCAGATGTGAGACACAGCATCTGGCCAGGGATTAGTGTTCTTATGTTTTTTTTATTTTTTTTTTTTTGTTCTTTTTTTGAGATGGAGTCTCGCTCTGTCGCCCAGGCTGGAGTGCACTGGCATGATCTCGGCTCACTGCAAGCTCTGCCTCCTGGGTTCACGCCATTCTCCTTCCTCAGCCTCCAGAGTAGCTGGGACTACAGGCACCCACCACCACGCCCGGCTAATTTTTTTTGTATTTTTTTAGTAGAGACGGGGTTTCACCGTGTTAGCCAGGATTGTCTCCACCTCCTGACCTTGTGATCCGCCCGCCTTGGCCTCCCAAAGTACTGGGATTACAGGCATGAGTCACCGTGCCCGGCCAATGTGTTCTTAGAAGAAGAGACACCAGAGAGCTCTCCCAATCTGTCTCTGCCTCTCACTTTCTTTCCCTCTCTCTCCCTCTCTCCCTCTCTCCCTCTCTCTCTCTCTCTCTCTCTCTCTCTCTCTCTCTCTGCCATGTGAGGACCCAGAAAGAAGGCGACCATCTGCAAGCCAGGAAGAGAGCCCTCTCCAGAACCCAGCCCTGCTGGCACCCTGATCTCAGACTTCCACCCTCCAGAACTGTGAGGAAATAAATGCCTGCTTGTTAAGCCACCAATCTATGGTGTTTTCTTATGGCAGCCTGAGAAGACTAAGATAGTAACCTTCTAAGACAGGCCTATTTTTAGTCAATAAATAGACATTTAGTTATTAAATGGCTTCCTTTAATTCATGCATTAAGCAAAACAGGTGAGGCTTCATGCTACATGCCATGCAGGATACAAAAGGAAGGAAGGGAAGATGGAAGGAAGGCAGGGAGAGTGGGAGGAAGAGAGAGAGACAGAGAGAGGTGGCCCTGGCCTCTTGGAGCTTAGGTCTTACAGGAGAGGCATAGGGACACAGGCACAAAAGAGGACACTTAAAGGACAAAGTGCAAAGCCTGGCCAGGCACGGTGGCTCACACCTGTAACCCCAGCACTTTGGGAGGCTGAGGCGGGTGGATCGCCTGAATGCAGGAGTTCAAGACCACCCCAGGCAACATGGTGAAACCCTGTCTCTACTAAAAATAACAAAAAAACTAACCAGGTGTGGTGGCGCACGCCTCTACTCCCAGCTACTTGGGAGGCTGAGACAGGAAAATTTCTTGAGCCCCAGAGGCAAACGCTGCAGTGAGCCAAGATTACGCCACTGCAATCCAGCTTGCGCTACCGAATAAGACTCCATCTCGGAAAAAAAAAAAAAAAAGAAAGTGCAACGCCCCACAAGACAGGTCAAGGGCAAGCTCACAGAGGGGGCTTTGGGGGCTGGATCAGCAGGACAGTGGAAGGATGGGCTGGCATGCGGCACATGGAGGTGACCATGGGATCCCTGCAATGTTCCTACCTGACCTTGGAATGTTCTCCTTTTCCTGACCTATCCCGTCAGCTGTCTAAGTTAAGAATAGTGAAGGAAAGCCAATACTTCACAGCACCTGGTGTGTGCCTAGCACACTTCAAGCTTCACAAAACATACTAGCCTTGTTTATTCCTCAGGCCAACCTGATCAGAAGGCCACTCTAAGTATCCCCATCTTATAGCTGACCAAACTGAAGCACAGAGAGGGCAAGTGACTTGCCCGGGGCCATGTAGCAGGGAAATGCCAGAGCTGGGCCTGACCCCAGCTGGTCTGGCTCTGGAGCTTGGCCACTGCATCGTGCCTCCCACTCTCCCAGGCACGAGACCTAGGGCTGCACCAGCCTGGCCCAGCCCCTCCCAACAAGCTCCCTCGAGGCACAGTGTCTTTTTTTTTTAATTTTATTAATTTATTTATTTAATTTTGAGACAGAGTCTTGCTCTGTAGCCCAGGCTGGAGTGCAGTTGTGTGATCTCGGCTCACTGGAACCTCTGCCTCCCAGGCTCAAGCAATTCTCCTGCCTCAGCCTCCCGAGTAACTGGGATTACAGGCACATGCCACCACCCCCAGCTAATTTTTGTATTTTTAGTAGAGATGGGGTTTCACTTTGGCCAGGTTGGTCTCAAACTCCAGACCTCAGGTGATCCACCTGCCTCGGCCTCCCGAAGTGCTGGGATTACAGGCGTGAGCCACCACACCCAGCCCAGGCAGAGTGTCTTCTAAAGAGATGGCCTAGAACTCTCCAGCCACCCTCCTGATCCCACCATGAGCTGGAAAGGCTGGGAAGATGAAGCCACTGGGCATCCAGGGAGCACAGCTTCTGGACACCCTTGTCAGAAGGGCTCCCTGGATGCCCTGAAATACAGAATGAAGAGATGCTGCCCACGTTAGGGTTAGGACGGACCCCAGGCTGGGCCACTTCACCACCTGGTGCCTGTGTGACCCTGGGCCAGGCCCAGCCACCTTGAGTGCCTCCTCGAGATGATACTGTGAACATGAAATAAGGGAATATCTGAAAAGCTCTCACCACAGTACCTGGCCACGTACGTGCTCGAGAATCCCGTGGTTAGCATTGTTCAGATTTTTGAAGTTTCAGACTGAGCCTGCGTTTGACTCCAGATATATGAGAAGGGTGCCCATATTAGGGTGTTCCAGAGAAACAGAACCAACAGAGAGGAGAGGAGTGGGGAGGGGAGGAGCGGGGAGGGGAGGGGAGAGGAGAGGGAGCGAGTACGCATGTGTGTGTGGAGAGAGATTTATTACAACTACTTCTAGTCATTCCTCTGCTCAACATCCCTCCAGTGGCTCCCCATCTCTCTTAAAATGAAATCCACAGCCCGCATCACCCCTGCTAAACCCCTCCACTCCGCCTTGCTTGCCGTTCCTCAAACGCCCCGCGCAGGCCACCGTCAGGGCCTCTGCACCTGCCTGCTCTGCCTGGCTCGCTCCTTCCTTTTCGTCAGGTGACTAGGCAGTCACCTTCTCAAAGAGGCCTCCCTGCCTCCATTCAAAGCAGCCGCTCTCCCCACCCCATCATCCTCCATCTCCCCCTTCCCTCTTTGTTTTTCTCTGAGCAGGTATTTATTTTCTGTCCCCCTGCTCCTCCCCCACTCCCATGTCGGCTATGTGAGGTCCAGCGTTTTGTTTTGTTACCTGCTGTATTCCTAGTACTAGAACCTGTAAGTGATATTTTTGAATCAACATGTGAATAAAGACAGGATCAGAGAACGTGGCTTAGACCTGTGGCCACAAAGGGGTTCTGAAACCAGCTCCCCTATCAGACAGATGGATCCCCAGAGGCCGATGGTGCTGGACCGGCACAGGCCCCTGCCTTCTAGGACAAAAGTTCTTTCCCCCAAATTCACCAGCAGGTAACTTGCAACTCTCTGGAGTAGAGAGAAGCTGTGTATGTTTTCATGCTTTCCTCTCTTGGGAGGTGGAAACTCTCATTGATCTTTGGAAACAGACAGAGTGGAGATGCATCAGCCAACCTCTCTTGCAGCCTCACCATATGCCAGATATTCTTCTAAGCACTCTGCATTGCCTGCACTCCTTTAATCTACAAAACAAACTCTGCAGCTGGTACTGGGATGATCCTGGTTCGCAGATAAGCAAACTGAACAATTATGTTACCTGCTTGAGGTTATCCAGCTAAGAATGGAAGAGCCGGGATCTAGAATCAGGTGGTCTCACCCTAGTGCCTATGCAGTTAGACAATACCCTTCCCTGTTGCCTTAAGAATGCTTGCACAGGCCAGGCACGGTGGCTCACGCCTGTAATCCCAGCACTTTGGGAGGCTGAGGCAGGGGGATCGCCTGAGGTCAGGAGTTCAAGACCATCCTGACCAACATGGAGAAACCCCGTCTCTACCAAAAATACAAAATTAGCTAGGCGTGATGGCGCATGCCTGTAATCCCACCTACTCAGGAGGCTGAAGCAGGAGAATCGCTTGAACCCGGGAGGCGGAGGTTGTGATGAGCCAAGATCGCGCCATTGTACTCCAGCCTAGGCAACAAGAGCAAAACCCCACCTTAAAAAAAAAAAAAAAAACGGCCAGGCACAGTGGCTCACGCCTGTAATCCCAGCACTTTGGGAGGCCGAGGCGGACAGATCATGAGGTCAGGAGATTGAGACCATCCTGGCTAACACGGTGAAACCCTGTCTCTACTAAAATACAAAAAATTAGCATGGTGGCGGGCGACTGTCCCATCTATTCGGGAGGCTGAGGAAGGAGAATGGCATGAACTCGGGAGGCGATGTTTGCAGTGAGCCAAGATTGTGCCGCTGTACTTCAGCCTGGGCGAGAGCGAGACTCCATCTCAAAAAAAAAAAAGAAGAAGAAGAATGCTTGCACAAGTTATTGCCGGGACACTAAGACCCAGAGGGTCCTACGATTATGCCAAAGCTGCACAATGTCTTGTCAATCTGGTTTGGGGCCCATGCTACCTCCATTGGTGGCCTGAGCCTGGAGTACTCAGGGCAAAGAGCACTAAAATGTCATTCAAGGGGGTTGCATGCTGTGTTTGTTTTTTGGGCTGCTGTTACAAATTACCACAAACCGAGGGGCTTAAAACAAATTTATCCTCTCATAGTTTGGGAGGCCAGAATTCTGAAATTAAGGTGTCAGCCAGGCTGGGCTCCCTCCAAAGGTTCTGGGGAGAATCCCTCCTGGACTCCTCCAGCTTCTGGTGGTTCTTTCTTTTTTTGAGACGGAGTCTCGCTCTGTCACCCTCACCCAGGCTGGAGTGCAGTGGTGTAATCTCGGCTCACTGCAACCTCTGCCTCCCGGGTTCAAGCGATTCTCCTGTCTCAGCCTCCCGAATAGCTGGGATTACAGGCGCCCACCACCACGCCCGGCTAATTTTTGTAATTTTAGTAGAGATGGGGTTTCGCCATATTGGCCAGGCTGGTCTCGAACTCTTCTGGTAGTTCTTCACATCCTTTGGCTTATGGCCGCCTCCCTCCAGCCTCTCCCTCTGTCTCCATACGGCCTCTGCTCTGTGTCTCCGTCTTGCAAGTCTCCCTCTGCCCTTCCCTTACAAGGACATCTGCCATTGGATTTAGGACAGTCCTACCCTCAGTCCAGGATGATCTCATCTCCAGATCCTTCATTTAATTACATTTGCAAAGACCCTTTTTCCAAATAAGGTCACATTCATAGGTGCCAAGGCTTAGGACCTGGACACGCCTTTTCGGGGGATACAATTCAACCCACTATAGGAATCACATATTTCATACCCACCTGTTGCCCTCTGGCTTCTCCCCCTTCATCTCTCCTGAGGCAACTCCCCAGCTTCCTTTTGGAGCAATCATCTCTCACCCATTAAATATGTCTTGGTGTACCTTTTTTTTTTTTTTTTTTTTGAGACAAGGTCTCACTCTATCACCCAGGCTGGAGTGCAGTGGCACGGTCTTGGCTCACTGAAGCCTCCACCTCCTGGGTTCAACCGATCTTCCCACCTCAGCCTCTCAAGTAACTGGGGTTACAGGCACACACCACCACGCCCAGCTAATTTTTGTATTTTTAGTAGAGACGAGATTTCGCCATGTTGCCCAGGCTGGTCTCGAACTCCCAGACTCAAGCGATCCACCTGCCTCAACTTCCTAAAGTGCTGGGATTACAGGCGTGTGCCACTGCACCTACCCTAACTTTCTTAAAATGTGTGGCCCTCTCCTGACATAGAGGTCGGTACCCAACCCACACTGAGCCACAGTCTGTCTCTCCCAGGACACTGAATCTTGGGTGGATTGACTAAATAGATGGCTGGAACCCGTTCAGTCCAGCCAGCAGCCCCACCCTGCAGAAACTGTCCATTGGTTCTGCGTTCTCCACCTGCAGACCTGCCCCATTCTCTTCTGAGCCTGCTTCTCCAGGCTTCTCTTCAATTCTGTGAACTATCTGACATCCCTGCAACAAATTCCTTCCCTGCCTACATTAGTCAGAGTTGGCTTCTGTTGTTTACGCTCAAGATACCCAACCGATGGATTCTAGGACAACGGAATTCAAGAACGAATTGGGCTCCTGTCCTAACTGTCAGCCTTTGTCCCACAGCCACAAATCATTTAACTGGGTCCTGTTGTTCTATAAAACCATGTGCTTGGTGGCATGAGGGCTTTGGGAGGCAGCGGGAGTGATGCAGCTCACCTCCCCACAATAGGCAGGCTCAACTGGTGGGAAGTCAACTTCCCACCTTTCGTCTTGCGATGGGTCTACCTCCAACCCACTGAAACCAAAGTGGGCTCCGTCTCATTCTGGCCTAGGCAGAACAGGGCCCACAGCGCCCTCCCCTTATAACCACGACTTCCTTCTCTTCCAGGGCACATTCAGAAGAGACAGGCATCTCCCTTGTGCAGGGCGGCTCCGTGGCCTGCCCGTCACCACCTGTCTGGGCTCCCTCCCCTTGAGTGATGACTTCTCCCCAGCAGCTGACACCTGAGCTGGAGAGGGTGAAGAGCTGCCATTCTCCAGAAATAGACAGTGACACAGCGGATGTTAGATTGAGATTAATCTCTTGCACCGGACCGGCCCCTTGCCAACAAACAGGCCTGCAGCCAGAGGATCTCTCAGGCCCTTTCCCCTGATCTGGCCTCCTGGGAACTGCGTAACTCAGATTAACAACAGGCTCTGGTAAGCGCTTTTTGTCATTAAAAATATTTTTTTGTTTTCTTATCTCCACATATTAGGCAAAGCTCACATATATACTGAGACAATAAAAATAATCAAAAACAAGGGAGAATTAAAAAAAAAGTTAACACTTGGCTTATACCTTTTCTAGATTGTGTGTGTTTGTGTGTGTGTGTGTGTGTGTGTGTGTGTGTACATAAATCTACCAAGCAGAAATGCACTCCACCACTCTGTCGGATAACCATACTGGGAACATCTTTCCATTCAACAAATATATCATTTTCAATGGCTGCAAGGCATTTTATTGTGTAGATGAGCCATGATTTACTTACCCAACCCCAGGATCTTTCCAGTTTTCTCTCTTAGAACTAATGCTGCTATGAACAGCCTTGCACACTTTTTTTTTTTTTTTTGTCTGAGACAGAGTCCTGCTCTGTCGCCCAGGCTGGAGTATAGTGGTGGTGGGATCTCGGCTCACTGCAACCTCCGCCTCCTGGGTTCAAGCAATTCTCCCGCCTCAGCCTCCTGAGCAGCTGGAATTACAGGCACTTGCCACCATGCCTGGCTAATTTTTGTATTTTTAGTAGAGATGGGGTTTCACCATGTTGGCCAGGCTGGTCTTGAACTCCTGACCTCATGATCCACCCACCTCGGCCTCCGAAAGTGCTGGGATTTCAGGCCTGAGCCACCGTGACTGGCTGAACACATTCTTAATTATTTCCCTAAGATACATTCCCACAAGTTGAAGGTTGTGGGTGAGTCCTTGAACTTGCGCCAACACTGGATTTTGTCACTCTTTCATCTTTATCAATCTGATAAGCCATGAAAGGGTATATTGTTGATTTAGTTTGCATTTATCTGATTATTAGGAGAGCTGAACATTGTATTACGTGCTCACTGGAAATTTGGATGTGTCCTTCTGTGAACTGCCTGCCCAGGAGCTATGACATGAGCTTTGCAAGTCTTCCCAAGGTGAGAGGCCGTCGTGCGAAGGGGGGATTGGAGAGAAGTATGGTCGATCCAGCCCACCCAACCTCATCCATTTCCACAACCTTCAACTTGTGGGAATATGTCTTAGGGAAATCATGAAGAATGTGGGCAAGGCTGTTCACAGCAGCATTGCTTCTAGGAGAGAAAACTGGAAACCTCCCGGGCTGAGTGGGGCTGAGTAAGTAAATCGTGGCTCATCTACACAGTAAAATACCCTGCAGCCATTACTGCAGCTACAACTTCCAGAGAAGGCAGATTCTTCCTCCCATGGCCTAGAGGAAGGACAAACATGGAAGGTTCTCCAGGGACCACTGGGCATTGGTCCCTCTGCTCCTGGCAAGAGCTTACTACTCCCCATCACTCTCTTCTGCCTTCCCCTCCCTGGCTAAGAGAGCCCAGCCTATGCTGGTAGAACAGCTTCCCCTGCCCTCCTTGCCAGCCTCCAGGAACTCCAAACCCAAAGGCCCAAGAAATAACAGTAGCTTTTTGGCCTTTCACGCCCACAGCCAGCCTTGGTTTCACAGCATCATAGAAGATCTGAAGTCACCTTTGATATCTCTCATTTCCCCTCCCTCCCCACCCCTCTCCTTTATTTTACAGATGAGAGGCCCAGAGAACTTGGGCAATTTGTCTAAGGCCACTTGGAGTCTGGACTGGAACCCAGGTCTCCTGACTCCCTGTGTAGTGCTCTTCCCAGGCACCAGGTCCTTAATTCACCCTGAGCATCTGGGGAAGCTGCACGTGCTACAGTCGCTGCTGCAGCCGCTTCAAGCCGCAGAGAAATGTTCTTCGTAAGGAGGCAGCCGAGAAGGGACTGCAGGGCTTGCTTCTCTCCTGGGGACAGGGGTGCCAGGAACACCAGCTTTAATTTCTGATAGTGCTGACCTGTGTTCTCCACCACCACTTTCATTAAATATCGACAGTTGCATACAGGGAAAATTCCCAATTAAACTCCCGTCTCGTCTCCACCGCAGACACTTCGTCTGATTGAGTAATAAGCTGATTTTGCTAAGAGGAAGCTACATCTGCAGCTTCGGGTCAAGGGCTCACCCTGGCTTGTCCTGGCTCCACAGAGTGTGTCCTGTAGAAGGGGCAGTGCAGTAAAAGGGACCCTGCACCAGGGGTGTGACCTGTGTCTGAATCCCACATGCTAGCCTGAGTCCCACCCCTCATCTTAAAACACTGACATAAGTCGCACACATAAGCGAGGAAAACCGACTGACTGTTCATGTGATTTTTGTAATCTGTCCTTCCCCTGGTAAGAAAGGAGCAGAGAATGATCATAGTGTTTTTTTTGTTTTTTGTTTTTTGTTTTTAGACAGAGTCTCACTCTGTCGCCCAGGCTGGAGTACAGTGGCGTGACCGGCTGGCTCACTGTAACCTCCGCCTCTCGGGTTCAAGCGATTCTCCTGCCTCAGCCTCCCGAGTAGCTGGAATTACAGGCAGTTGCCACCATGCCTGGCTAATTTTTGTATTTTTAGTAGAGATGGGGTTTCACCATGTTAGCCAGGCTGGTCTTGAACTCCTGACCTCAAGTGATCCGCCTGCCTCAGCCTCCCAAAGTGCTGGGATTACAGGCGTGAGCCACTGCGCCCAGCCTTATAGAAAATTATACTCTTGGGAAAAAAGCATGAGTTTCCACTATCCCCACTGATGTCACCATCACCCCTGTCATCTCAACCATCACTGCCACTGCTGCTCCCACCACCTCCCCATGTCCACCTCCACCCCCACCCGCTCCATCATCCAAAATAAACACTTCCTATGAGTTGAGCCCCAGGCTGAGTACTAGGGATACTAACCTGTGTCTGGTGACTATGGGTGATTTGGTTAGAGAGAACCTTCTGGTTAGGCAGTGTGAGGAAATCTAGGAATGGTCCATGAGTCTGGTACCTCCCATAGCCTGTCATGGTGCTCAGAGCTCCACACGGCCTCTGGATGGTCAGGCACCCACTGTGGCTCCCTCCCAGGCCTGCCATTCTAAAGCACCCACTGTCCCAAGTTCATCTGTAATGGTGGGCTCGCCGGCACGCTAGAAAAAGAGATGTGCTGTGTGTCTCAGGATACGCAGGGGTGTGTGTGTCCCCTCCCATGACACTGTCAAGCAGGCATCCTATTGGGAAGTAATATTTCTAGAAACTCCTGCTATTTATCAGGAACTACGATGAGTACTTCCCGGTTACCATTTAACGTAACCCTCTTGCCCAACAACCCTTCAGGGCAATGGTTCTCCGCTGGGGGTAATCTTGCCCATCGGGGGATTTGTCGATGTCTGAAGACATTTTTGGTTGTCACACTGGGTGGAGCGCCAGTAGCATCTGGAAGGTGGAAGACAAGGATGCCATGGAACGTCCCACACTGCACAAGACAGCACCCACAACACAGAAGTAGCCAGCCTCACTCACGCAGCAGCCGTGCTGAGCATCAGATGCCCTGCCTTGGGGTATTTTTTAAATCCAGTTCAAAATTTTTTATTTTTTATTTTTTAGACAGGGTCTTACTCTGTCACCCAGGCTGGAGTACAGTGGCGTGATCTCAGCCACTGCAGCCTCGACCTCTTGGGCTCAGGCGATCCTCCCACCTCAGTCTCCCGAGTGACTGGGATGACAGTCATGTGTGACCCCACTCCTGGCTAATTTTTTGTATTTATTTGTAGAGATAGGGTTTAGCCATGTTGCCCAGGCTGGCCAAAAATATTTTTAATTGTGGTAAAATTTATAACACAACAATGTGAAGGTAGCTTCATGCTAGAGAAACAAACTGTCCACTTGAAAATGGCTAAGATGATATATTTAAATCTCAGCCATTTTCTTTTCTCTCTTTTTTTTTTGTTTGAGACGGAGTCTCCCTCTGTCACTCAGGCTGGAGTGCAGTGGCGACATCTCGGCTCACTGCAACCTCTGCCTCCCAGGTTCAAGTGATTCTCCTGCCTCAGCCTCCAGAGTAGCTGGGATTACAGGCATGTGCCACCACGCCCAGCTAATTTTTGTATTTTTAGCACAGACAGGGTTTCATCATGCTGGCCAGGCTGGTCTCGAACTCCTGACCCCAGGTGATTCACCTGCCTCGGCCTCCTAAAGTGCTGGGATTACAGGTGTGAGCCCCAGCGCCCGGCCAAATCTTAGCCATTTTCAGGTGGAAAGTTTCTCTAGCGTTGTTACATTCACACCGTTATGCAACCATCACCACCATCCACCTCCAGAACTCCTTCCATCTTCCCAAACTGAAACTCTGTCCGCATTAAATACTAACTCCCCATTCCCCCTCCTCCCAGGCACAGGCAAATATTATTCTACTTTCTCTTCTGTGAGTTTGACTACTCTACGTACTGCGTACAAGTGAAATCATACAATATTTGTCCTTTGTGATTAATTTCACAAAGTAGAATAATGTCCTCAAGGTTCATCCGCGTTGTAATGCATGTCAGAATTCCCTTGCTTTTTAAGGCTGCATAATAATCCATTTCATGGATAGACAACGTGTTGTTGTTACATTTATTTGGAGGAAAAATATAATGCAAAAAATAGAGAAAATTTTCATTCTTAAAAAAAGGATTTTTGGCCGGGTGCGGTGGCTTACGCTTGTAATCCCAGCACTTTGGGAGGCCGAGGTGGGTGGATCACCTAAGGTCAGGAGCTCGAGACCAGCCTGGCCAACATGGCACAACCCCCATGTCTACTAAAAATACAAAAATTAGCCGGGCCTGGTGGCGGGTGCCTGCAATCCCAGCTGCTCAGGAGGCTAAGGTACAAGAATCACTTGAATCTGGGAGATGGAGGTTACAGTGAGCTGAGATCGCACCAGTGCACTCCAGCCTGGGTGACAGAGTGAGACTCCACCTCAAAAAAGAAAAAAAAAAGGACTTTTTGAAAACATACCATTACCCAGCCCTGACACTCTATGAATTCTTCTCTTACTCATCCAGGACCTGTTTGACTGGCACCTCTGTGGACCCAGCAGATCTCAAAGTGCAGACAAGCCAACATAACACAGCATTCACGATTCTATTATAAAAGATGTGACGCATCTCTGCTCTGCCGCTCCCCTCTCCCCCCTGACCCAGGCCTAACCTCCGACCACGTGAGTCCCGTCGCTCTTGGGAGTTCCCTGGGGGCCACGCTATCCCTGGAATGGGGACTCCCCTTCTGTCTCTGTGCTGTGTGCGACAGTCATTCCAGGGATATCTTCCCGTGAGTGCAGGCATCTCACCCTCGGCTCACGAAGTGCTCTCTATGCTTCAAATAGCTTCAAAATAATTTACCAATACAAGCAATTCTGATTTTCCTGGCAAGTCAGAAATCAAGTTGCTTTTTTTTTGTATTTATAATTTTTCCAGCAGCAGGGGCCAGGGAAGACCCAGGTTCCCAGCACCAGATATCTGCACCTGGTGGCCTTCAGCGGGGCTCGGTGCTGCAGCAACTGCTGTCACCAGGGCCAGGGTTGTGGTACGGGGAAGTGACCTCGGGGTGGGGCCTTTGGGGTGGGCAAGGAGAGGTTTCATGAGAAATGAGCCTACACAGGTGGAGAAGACCTCGCCATTATCTGACCTTCTACTGTCACAGGTGGGGACACAGAAGTGAGGTTACTTCCCTGGAGGAGATCCAGGCCGACCCCCTAAATCGTCCACATGCTAATCCTCAGAATCTGTGAATATGCTGCCTTGTAAGGCAGAAGGGGCTTTGCCGATGTGATTAGATAAAGGTTCTTGGGATGGGGGGATTATCCTGGATTTGCAGGCAGTCCTGATATAATCACAAGGGTCCTTATAAAAGGGAGGCAGGCAGGTCAGAGCAGGAGAAAGAGATATGCCGATGCAGAGAGGTCATGGGGACGTGCCTGAGAGCCGAGGAGTGCTGGAAGCCTCTAACCTGGAAAGGCAAAAGGACACAGATGTCGTGATTTTAGCCTCTAAGACACACTTTGGGCTGGGCATGGTGGCTCACACCTGTAATCCCAGCACTTTGGGAGGCTGAGGTGAGTAGACCACAAGGTCAGGAGTTTGAGACCAACCTGCCCAATATGGTGAAACCCCATCTCTACTAAAAATACCAAAATTAGCTGGGTGTGCTGGCGTGCACCTGTAATCTCAGCTACTCGGGAAGCTGAGGCAGGAGAATCACTTGAACCCAGGAGGCGGAGGTTGCGGTGAGCCAAGATCGCACCACTGCACTCCAGCCTGGGCAAGAGAGGGAGACTCTGTCTCAAAAACAAAAGAAGCATTTTGGATGTCTGACCTCCAGAACTGGAAGATAACAGATTTGTGTCATTTTAAGCCCCTACAACATGATAGTTTGTTCCAGCAGTAATAAGAAACTCACACATACCCCTAGGTTGCACAATGAGTCAGTGACAGAGCCGAGCCCGGGAGCCAGGTGTCCGCACCCTCAGTTCCACCCACGTTCAGCAGTTCCTCATTGAGACACATTTGTAGCTCAGCGTGAGCCTCAGGAACTGAGTCCTTTGAGTGTTAACACTGATTGACTGCAGTGACAATAACAGTGGCATTGACATGCTGTGTGTGCCAGGCACTGTGCTAGACTTTTTTTTTTTTTTTTTTTTCCATTTCTTCCTTGCTATATAATGTGGTAGGCTTTTTACAGGGACTCTCTCTCTGGCCCTCATGATAGACTTGTGAATATTTTTGTCCACGTTTTATACATAAGAAAACTGAAGCACATAGCAGTGAAGCAGTTTGCCCAGGCTCACACAGCTGGTAAATAAAGGCACTGAATTTAAACCATGGTGGATCGAAATCAAAAGCCTGTGTTCTTAGCCACTGTGATGTATCTATCCCCTTCTAAGGAGTGTCATGCAATATGAGGGGAGCAGTGCTGAACCAGGAACTGGGGGGCTTGGCTCTTGCCTCAGCTTCTCACTAGTTCGCTGTGCGGCTTTGTGCAAGTCACTTGGTCTCTCTGAGCTGTGCTTTCCTACCTGAAAATGAAGAAAGGCAGGTTACATGACCCTACAGTCTAAGCCATTTGTCTTCTGGAATGTTGGCTCCAGGAGGGCAGAGCCATGGTCAGCCTCGCTGTCCCAGGCAGCTGGACTTGAATTTGCTTTCGGCAGGTGTTTGGTCTGCTCTGGTTTCTGCTAACATGTTCAGGTCACCTTTGGTTTAGCCCCTACGAGGCCAGGTTCTGAAGCGGGGAAGCTAAGTTTGGCTCAGCCTAAAGCAGGAGCCATGGACACAAGGGGGTGGGGATAGATATGATATGAGATCTGAGACCACAGAAGGGTCAGGGACAAAGATCCTGGAGCCAGTCTCTCTGGAGCACAGAGCAGAAGCACGACAAATATTCACGAAGGAAAGAATGAGGATGAGCTGGTGACATACACGGTGGGACAGCCCCAGTGTGTCTGGGAGCCCAGGCTGCACAGGCCCACAGGAAGAGCTGTAGAAGGTCAGTGTTCTGGCTCAAGGGGAGCTGAACATAAACTAGATGTACGTGATACATATTTAGAAGCCGATTCTGGTTGCTGGTGGGTGATCCAGTTTCTGACAAGGATCCGTTGTGAGCAGAATGAGACCTGAGACGTGCAAGAGGCTGGGAGCTTTGCATGTCCTCTGCTGCAGGCTTAAGGGCTCCGTCTATTTAGGTTCAGAAAGGAACATGGTGGGGAGGGGGAGGGAGGGAAGAGGAGTGACTGCTCTGGGTATCAAAGCAGGTGCAGTCACTGGTTTTTAAGCACCCTGGACCCTCCTTCAAGACCTACTCCTTCGGCCAGCAGAACCAGGATAGGAACGCCAGAAAGAATCACAGGACTCAAGCACCCTGGGCAGAAATCCCACCCAACACCTGATGCTCCTTGCAGCACCACTAAAAAGTGGTCATTTGGACTCTGCTTGAATGCCCCTGGTGATGGCAACCTCATTACCTCCCAAAGGCAGCTCATTTTCAGAGCCCTAATGCGGTTAGACAGTTCTCATTATGGTACATCGAATTCCGTTTCCTTGTAATTCTCAATCATGGGCCCATCTTCTGAGGTCAGAACAAGTCCCCTGTGTTCAGTGACAGCCCCTCAGGTGCCTGCAGACAGGCACTATGTTCTTCCAAGTCTCTACTTTTGAGAGTTGAACATCAATTTTCCTATATCAGCACAGTCTTACTCTCCGAATACAAAGAGTGTCTGACATTTTCTAATGAACAGGAAACCCAGGTAACGGCTTACAAATTGTGATTAGAAGGGGTCTGGGGGCCTCAACCTTCCTACTCTCTGAACACCCCCATCCAAGCATCACCATGTCTGAGATTCTATACAAATTCATGCCTCAATGATCAGCAGCGCTGATCAAATATATATATATATTACGGAGAGAGAGAGATAGAGTGTCTCGTTCTGTCACCCAGGCTGGGGTGCAGCAGCAAGATCCTAGCTCACTGTAACTTCAAACAATCCTGGCCTCAAGTGATCCTCTTGCCTCAGCGTCCCAAGTAGCTGGGACTACAGGTGTGTGCCACCAAACCTAGCTATTTATTTTTTATTTTTTTTGTAGAGACAGGGTTTCACTATGTTTCCCAGGCTGGTCTCAAACTCCTGGGCTCAAGCAATCTTCCCGCCTCAGCCTCCCAAGTGCTGGGATTACAGGCTGAGCCACCTTGCTCAGCCCCCTTCTGTCTTTACTGCATTTATCTCTGGTTAAGCCTCAAGTTGCTAACACTCCAACAAGAACCAGTTTACCATACTGGCTTCTCTCAGCAAGGGGACAGTTCTGGAGGCCTCTTCCTCTCCATTTTTCCTCCCTTTGCCTTGGCTCAGCATCCACCCACCGAGTCATTCATCCCTTCAACACATACGTATGGAGCACCTATTACCTGCGAGCACAGTCCTAGCACTGTGGCTAAAACACTGAACAGAACAGACGAGGCCCTGCTCTTGTGGCTACAACTGAGTGAAACAGACAATGAGTAAATGAGTAAAATGTATAACATGACCCATAGGGACTGGTACAAGAGGACGAAGAGGAGCAGGGGGACAGGGAAGGAGAGCCAGAGGTGGTGGGGTGCAGGGTTCAATGGGGCTGCGGCCCAGGGAGAAGGTGGCATTTGAGAAAGGGTCTGACGGGAGGGAGGGGCCAAGTCATGCTGAGACCCAGAGGGAGGTCATCCTGGCAGAGGAAGTAGCAGGTGCAAAGGCCCTGAGGTAAGAAGGTACCTGATGAACTCAAGGAATGACAAGGAATCTGGGGTGCCCAGGCCAGCGTGAATGAAGGGAGAAGAGCAAGAAATTCGGTCAGAAAGGAACTAGGAGGAGGACAGATCACAGGAGGCCTTGTGAGCCTCTGGAAGGACTTTTACTTCTGCTCTTCATGATACGGGAGCCCCTGGAGAGCTCTGAGCCGAGGTGGAACATGACTTGATACCTGACAAGCAGGGAGGGGCCGCTGCTCCAGACAAAGCTCTCATAGCAGAAGAAGGTAGGAGTCAAATTTGTTTTTAACAAGTGTTTAATGCACCCTGGTTTCCACTAATATGGTCAGGTCACCTTGGATTTACCTCCCTCCGAGTCAAGGTTCTGACTCAGGAAGACACTACTTTTGGGTTCTCAGCCTGAAGCAAGCGTGGGAGCTTGTGGCTGAGAGACTCTAGTTTCTGATGTGAGATTTGAGGGGCCACAAAATGTTCAGCAACAAAGATCCTGGAGTCACACCTCACCTCTGCCACTTCTTGGCTGGTGACCAACTTACATTAACCTGTTGGCACCTTGGCTTCCTCTCTGGGGGAATCACTCCATATAAACTGGAGCGATTCTGAAAACTTCATATGCAAAAAAAAAGGAAAAATAGCTCATGATTAATTTTTCCGTTGATTACACGCTGAAATGACATTTTGGGCCAAGCACGGTGGCTCATGCCTATAATCCTAGCACTTTGGGAGGCCGAGGAGGGCAGATCACCTGAGACCAGCCTGACCAACATGGAGAAACCCCGTCTCTACCAAAACTACAAAATTAGCTGGGTGTAGTTGTGTACGCCTGCAATCCCAGCTACTCAGGAGATGAGGCAGGAGAATCGCTTGAACCCTGGAGGCCGAGGTTGCCGTGAGCCGAGATTGCACCATTGCACTTCAGCCTGGGCAACAAGAGTGAAAAACTCCATCACAAAAAAAAAAAAAAAAAAAAGAAACGACATTTTGGATATGCTGGATTAAAAAAATATCCAAGTTCATCTCATCTGCTCATTTTTCTGTTTTAAATATGGCTGCTGGAACATCTGAAATTATCTCTGCAGCTTGCATTCTATTTCTATCAGGACGCGCAGCCCAAGCGTTTTCAGCTCAGCGCCTGGAATCGAGCAGATAATTGACAAAATGAAGTCAGGGGAGAGGAGCCTGCTCTGGGGCAGGAAGCAGAGACGACCCCCAACCAAAAAACAAAACAAAACAAAACAAAAAAAAAAAGAGCCCAGTTTGTGTTTTAGCGCTTATTTCCCCACACGCAAACCAAGGAAAGCAATGTATTTGGATATTATAAAATCTGAAGGCTGAGAGGCCAGGCACAGTGGCTCACACTTGTAATCTCAGCACTTTGGGAGGCTGAGGCAGGGGGAATCACAAGGTCAGGAGTTCAAGACCAGCCTGAGCAACATGGTGAAACCACATCTCTACTAAAAATACAAAAATTACCCAGGCGTGGTGGTGCATGCCTGTAGTCCCAGCTACTCAGGAGGCTGAGGCAGGAGAATCGCTTGAACCTGGGAGGCGGAGGTTGCAGTAAGCCAAAATTGCGCCACTGCACTCCAGCCTGAGTGACAGAGCGAGACTCTGTCTCAAAAAACAAAACAAAATAAAAACCAAATAAACAAAAAAACCTAAGGGCTGGACCCATTCTAGAGGCTGTAACCCACTCCCTGCCTCTGGCAAGTGAGCTGTTGGCATTATCCCCTGCAGGTGTTTCCTGGGGTGGCTGCAACACAATACCACCAACTGGGTGGCTTATACAACGGAAATGCTTGTCTCAGAATTCTGCAGGCTGAACATCTGAGATCAAGGCATCGGCAGCGCTGGTTCTCTCCAGGGGCTGTAGGAAGAATGTGTTCCAGGCCTCCCCACTGGCTCCGGTGGTTTGCTGGGAATCTCTGGCTTTCCTTAGTTTGTAGGTACAGCACCTTTACCTCTGCCTTCATCTTCACGTGGCCTTCTCCCGGTGTGCGTGTCTGTCCAAATTCCCCCTTTTTATAAGGACACCAGTCATACTGAGTTCAGGCTAACATCTACAATGATGATCCCACTGCATTTTTTTTGTTTGTTTTTTTGAGACAGAGTCTTACTCTATCACCCAGGCTGGAGTACAGTGGCATGATCTCGGCTCACTATGCAACTTCCGCCTCCCAGGTTCAAGCAATTCTCCTGCCTCCATCTCCCGAGTAGCTGGGATTACAGGTGCCCGCCACCAAACCCAGCTAATTTTTGTACTTTTAGTAGAGACGGGGTTTCACCATGTTGGCCAGGCTGGACTCAAACACCTGACCTCAAGTGATCCACCCGCCCCGGCCTCCCAAAGTGTTGGGATTACAGGCATGAGCCACCGCACCTGGCCAGATGATCCTATTTCTAAACAAGGTCACATTCTGAAGTATTTAGAGTTAAGACTTCCATGTGTGAACTTGGGGGTAACAGGGAGACACAATTCAACCCATAGCATCCTTTTCCATTGCTCCTTGCTCAATTCCTTGCAGGAATTTGCTTCCTTTGTCAGGATCCCAGCATGGCCCACTCAAACAGGGTTATTTGAAGTGAGTCTAACAAAGGGGCTGGTTACAAAAGTGTGTACTGGATTTAGGAAGTCAACAGGGATAGTGCGGTACCCCAGGGCTCAGGCCAGTGGGAGGGGTGGTCTCACGGCCCCAGCCTGAAAAGATAAGGGGAGCAGGCAGTTAGTTACATGAGGCAGAGAGGCAGCAGGACTGGAGCTGTGTGCAGGCTTCCAGACCACAGTGCGACCCACGGGAGGTTGCTCGCAGTAGGTATGCACGCTTTCCGTATGTGTATTGTGAAAGGAAAATAAATCTCACCCAAATCACTAAGCCAAAGGGAAAAGTCAAGCTGGGAACTGTACAGGGCGAACCTGCCTCCCATTCTATTCCTAAATAAGATAGCTACAAAGATTGGCTGGGCTTGGTCTCTCATGCCTGTAATCCCAGCACTTTGGGAGGCCGAGGCAGGCAGATCACCTGAGGGCAGGAGTTGGAGATCAGCCTGGCCAGCATGGAGAAACCCCGTCTCTACTAAAACTACAAAAATTAGCCGGGCTGGGTAGCATGTGCGCGCCTATAATCCCAGCTACTTGGGAGGCTGAGGCAGGAGAATCACTTGAACCCGGGAGGCAGAGATTGCAGTGAGCCGAGATCATGCCACTGCACTCCAGCCCGGGCGACAGAGTGAGACTCTGTCTCAAAAAAAAAAAAAAAGCTGCAAGATTTAAAAAAGAAAAGAAAAAAGCTACATACCTCCCTCACAATTTGCCCACAAGGAAATTCTCTGTGGACAAAGCGCAGGAAGAACTCAAAGTCATCTCTCTGCTCATATGAGATGAATGCCCATCTGAATGCTTCCTTTGCCCTACTGTTTCACTAAGCCACACTGTGGCATAAGTGACTATTCCTGTAAATGGTGCATTCAGCAACAGGCTAATCAGAAACTTAAAAGAATGAAACTGTCTCTTATTTACCTATGACCTGGAGGCCCCCTCCCCACTTCAAGTTGTCCCACCTTTCCGGACCGAACCAAGGTACATCTAACATATATTGACTGATGTCTCATGTCTTCCTAAAATGTATAAAACCAAGCTGTGCCCCGACCACCTTAGGCCCATGTCTTCAGGACCTCCTGAGGCTATGTCATACACGCATTCTGAACCTTGCTAAAATAAACTTTCTAAACTGATTGAGACCTGTCTCAGATACCTTTTGGTTTACAGTGTTATACTAAAATAAAAGGTTATAAAGTGAACGCCAGAAAGCATACGAAAGAGAAATTTTAAATGATACGACGTTCTGGAAAAGGCAAAGCTAGAGGCAGCGAAAAGATCAGTGGTCATGAGGGGTTGAGGAGGGAGGGGAGAGGAATGAATGAGCGGGGCACAAAGATTTTGAGGGTCAGTAAAACTATTCTGCGTGATTCTATGATCGTGAAGGATTACATGACGTAATCCCTTTGTCAAAACCCATGGAACATGCAACACAGAATGAACCCTCATGTAAACTTGCTGTGGGCTTTAGTGAATAATCACAGTGACACTGGTTCATCATATTGGTTTATGCAATATATGGTACTGATGTGGCATACTAATATAGATATATATACGCATATATATTAGTATATACTAAATAGTATGTGGCATGCTAATATATATGAATATATACAGCATATAAATACACTATATATACTATATATAGTACATATGTATTTATGGCACAGATGTGACATACTAATGCAAGATGTTAAAAGAGGGGAAACTGTGCAGGGTAAGGGGTAAAGGGAAATCTTTACTGTCTGCTTAATTTTCCATAAACCTCAAATTGCTCTTAACAAAGTCTATTAATTATTTTATTTATTTATTTATTTTGAGACGGAATCTCACTCTGTTGCCCAGGCTGGGGTGCAGTAGAGTGATCTCAGCTCACTCCAACTTCCAACTCCTGGGTTCAAGCAATTCTCCTGCCTCAGCCTCCCTAGCAGCTGGGATTACAGGTGCACGCCACCATGCCCGACTAATTTTTGTGGAGTTTTTTGTTTTTTGTTTGTTTGTTTGAGATAGAGTCTCACTCTGTTGCCCAGGCTGGAGTGCAGTGGCACGATCTTGGCTCACTGCAACTTCCAACTCCCAGGTTCAAGCAATTCTCCTGCCTCAGCCTCCCTAGCAGCTGGGATTACAGGTGCGCGCCACCATGCCCGGCTCATTTTTGTTTTTGTTTGTTTGTTTGTTTGTTTTTTGAGATAGAGTCTCGCTGTGTTGCCCAGGCTGGAGTGCAGTGGCACGATCTGCACCATTCCTGGGTTCACACCATTCTCCTGCCTCAGCCTCCCGAGTAGCTGGGACTACAGGCACCTGCCGCCACACCTGGCTAATTTTTTTTTTTGGTGGGGGATGGAGTCTTGCTCTGTCACCCAGGCTGGAATGCAGTGGCATGATCTTGGCTCACTGCAAGCCCCACCTCCTGGGTTCATGCCATTCTGCTGCCTCAGCCTCCCCAGCAGTGGGGACTACAGGGGCACGCTGCCACGCCCAGCCAATTTTTTTTTTTTTTTTTTGTATTTTTAGTAGAGACGGGGTTTCACCATGTTAGCCAGGCTGGTCTCAATCTCCTGACCTCAGGTAATCTGCCCGCCTCGGCCTCCCAAAGGGCTGGGATTACAAGTGTGAGCCACCGCACCCGGCCAAAGTCTATTGATTATTTAATAAAATAAAATAAAATAAAGCCACCTTCTCACCCAGACAAAATCACTATTGACACTAGGCTGTCTATCCTTCTGGTCACTTTTCCAGGGAACTTGCTTCTTTCCCCTGACCTCGGGGCTCCCATACCTGCCCCCACTTGCTTCCCCAGCCTTGCTGCTCCCAGGCACTGGCTGGGAGGGTTCCTCACCCGCTCACCACCTCCTCCCTCTGACTCCTGCACACACAAATGAACTCTGGAGCCGGGGTTTCCCATCAGCAAGCAGTTCTTGTGGCCTGGACCGTCACCCTCTCTCCTTGTCTGGCTGCCCTGTTGCTATTCTGTGGCTTGCCATGTGACTTGGAAGGGGAGATGAGGAATGGTCTATAAACCACTGTCATTTTACTGGGCTAACACAAGCCCTCCTCATTTGCAAACATTCCTCCATTCTCTTCTAAAGATCTTTCACATCTGTGTTTCCTCGATCCTCTCGACAAACCTCAGGATGACGGGCAAGGGAACAAAACCCCAGGGAAGTTAGGTGACCTGTCAAGTGAAGGAGGTCCTGACCTTCGGCTCTAAGCTCCTTGCCCCACTCCAGGTGACCACCTTCAACTTTCACTTCTGATGTAGATGATCATTTCTGATGTAGATGATCTAAAAGCACACATCATCTCATTGGGGTCTTACGAAAAAGCAATGCTATTCTTTCCAATAACTCAAGGAGGGAAGTATTCTTTTCAAATGAAGACAGGAACATACTCTTGCACCTCCTGATTTGAAAGGGAGCTCCTGGGGTGGTGGGACATTTGCCACAGGGACCCACCCAGGGGACCTTTGCTGGGAGCCTCAGACTCTTTCATCTGCCCTGGAGGAGGCTGACACAAGAGGTCCCAGCATCAGCTTACATCAGAATGAAAAGGGGCCCTCTTGGTCACCTAGAGCAGGGATCTACCACTGGTGGCCAGTGGGAGGAACATGTTTTGGAGTTCAGCCAGCACTCTAAATTGTTTATTTATTTATTTTGTTTTTATTTATTTATTTATTTTGAGACAGTCTCACTCTGTCACCCAGGCTGGAGTGCAGTGTGGCACGATCTCGGCTCACTGCAAGCTCCGCCTCCTGGGTTCATGCCATTCTCCTGCCTCAGCCTCCCGAGTAGCTGGGACTACAGGCATGCTCCACCATGCCTGGCTAATTTTTGGATTTTTAGTAGAGACGGGGTTTCACCATGTTAGCCAGGCTGGTCTCGATCTGCTGACCTCAGGTGATCTGCCCGCCTCAGCCTCCCAAAGTGCTGGGATTACAGGCGTGAGCCACCACGCCCAGCCCATTCTAAATTGTTTATATACCTATATTCTCTGCTGACTCCAACTGGCTGCTTCTGCTAACCTCACCCAGCTGACCCTGGGGGCATCTGGGGTCTCATTCCTGCACTCCTTACCTGGGAAAATCCACTCTCTGAGAGATGAGAAGGCTGAAGCCGAGAAAAGCACGTGACTCGGAGGACCCACTGGGAGCTAATGTTGGAGCCCGGATTGGGACCACGATCCTTGGCTGTTCGGTTTCTGTTGGCCTTTGAGAAGCTGCCCCTTCATCTTCAATGGCCCATAGCTCCCTCAAGGTCCTGACTCCCTGACCTTGACATTTACCACGTATCCAGCTGGGAGGATGGAGAAGATGGGACACCAGAGGACTCTTAATTGGCAGCCTCCGACGTGCAAGAGCCGGCCAAGAGCCGCTGGGAGGATGCGCTGTCTCAGATACTGCTGTCTGCGTGGGTTGTCACACGTTTGGGATTTGACAGGCAATTCCTTAGTTCATTGGGTTTCATATATCTGTATACGTATCTGGTCTGTTTGGCCACATTTCTGTGCTTTAAACGAAGACAAAATAATAACAGCTTCTATACGTGGTGATGGAGGAAATTGCTCAAAAGCTTCTTTATATGACTATCACTTGAGGTCAAAGGAGAGATGCTATCACCTACATTTGACCGGGGACACTGAGGACCAGGAACATCAGGGGACTTATCTGCCATCGGACAGCTCATTGGAAGCACAGACAGTCATGGATGCCGGGGGTGGCCTGCCCAGCCCTGCCCCAGACCCATGGTAACCACGGTACATATTTTCTGCCACACAGATAGGAAAACAGAAAGCCCATCAATACACAGAGAGAAAAATAAGAAATCAGCATGAGGCTGGGCACAGTGGCTCACGCCTGTAATCCCGGCACTTTGGGAGGCTAAGGTGGGTGGTTTACTTGAGGCCAGGAGTTCGAGACCAGCCTGGCCAATGTGGCAAAACCCCGTCTCTACTAAAAATACAAAAAATAGCTGGGTGTGGTAGTGTACACACCTGTAATCCCAGCTACTCAGGAGGCTGAGACATGAGAATAGCTTGAACCCGAGAGGCAGAGGTTACAGTGAGCCGAGATTGCGCCACTGCACTCCAGCCTCGGTGACAGAGTGAGACTGTGTTGAAGGGGGGAGGGGAGGGGAAGGGAGGGGAGGGGAGGGGAGGGGAAGGGAGGGAAGGGGAGAGGGAAAGAAAGAAGAGACAGAGAGAAAGAAAGAGAAAAGAAGAAAAGAGAAAGAAGAAAGAAAGAAAAGAAAAGAAAAAAGAAAAAGAGAAAGAAAAGAGAAACAAAGAAAGAAAAAACAAACAGTATGAGAAGCGGAGACAAGCATATGAGCGAGGAAAAGGGGTGCTGTTTCCTGTGCCCCAGTTCTGCTCCCACGACTTCCTGGGGCTTGACTGTTCAGGACCAAGTGTTCCTGGACACACCTGCATCCTTAAGAGTAACCCTCCTATTTGCTTACTCCAGATGACATTGGTTTGTTTCTGTGAATTGATAAGCAAAGCTGTCCGATTCAGCTGGAGTTAAACTGAGACCTGTGGCCTCGGCATCCTGAACTCTGTCCATCAGCCACTCCCGCTGTGCTTAGCAGAGGAGGGAAGAACATTCCAGCAGCCTCTCCAGGGCTCCTCTCCTCTTCCAGCACCACTCCCGCAGCTGGGGGCAGAGTAGCCGCTCCCTCCCTCCTGCATAGCAGGAGCTGCGGCTCAGGGGGCTACCGGGGATTTGACCAAGATCACAACAACCCAACCTAGGAAAGAAACCCTGAGAACATGCATTCTGGGCCCTGCCTTGGCTGAAGGCAATCCGGATATGCTTTGCTGACCCAAAGCCACCGAGGGGTATTTGCTGAAAACAAAAACAAAGGCCAGTGATTTGGGCCCGTCCCTGGATGACCCCTAGGAGTGTGCATTCCTTGGCTCACTCACTCCCACAGCCTCACTGAGACCCTCCTAGTCTCCTACGCAGGGTGCGGCTGACAGCAGCAGGCGTGCTGGCCTCTTGGAGCCTGCATTTCTAGTGGGACAAAATGTATGAATTTGATAATGTCAACCTCAGTGAATGTTACGACGTAACTACAACAAGAAGATGTGACCAAGAGTGATGGGGTAGGGGTGGGATGGTCAGGGAAGGCCTCTCGGAGGAGGTGATGCTTGATGGAAGACCTGGTGATGAGGAAGATCGGGGTCGGGGGAGGTGTCCTTCCAGGCAGACAGCAGCAAGTTCAGGGGCTCCGGCTGGATACTGGCACTTGGGCGTGTTCCGGGGACAGAACAAGGCTGGTGTGGCCTGGGTGGGGAAGGGGCAGGGAGGGAGGAGAAGTGATAAGGAGGGGCCCGTCTGGGCTGTGGGAGGGAGCTCGGTTGATTCTAAATGCAATGGGAGCCACTGGAAGGTTTCCAAATATGCCCTGTGTTGTACGAGCCTCTGGGGATTCAAGGAAGAACAAGACACATGTTGCCTCCTCAAAAAGGGTCAGACGTGACCTGTAACGTCAGGCAGTGGTCACAGGATAAGCACAGCATCCCACGAGATCGCACAGGATGGGCTCCCAACCCAGCCTCAGGAGCCCAGGGAAGAGGTGGAGCATGGAAGGTTAAGTGGGAACCAGAAGGGTAAAGAAGTCAAGGCAGGGAATGGGGAGGAAGAAAGAACCCCAGGACAGGTAACAGCACAGGCATGGACCTGCGGCATCACAGCCCATGATGTTTCCCGGGACCGAAAGGGATGCACTCGGCTGGGATCTTACTGTGGCCGTGCTCAGGATATGAGTTGACTCAGAACCACCAATGCTCCTGACCCAGGGACTCACCACAACTCCCAGCACATGGAGGTCCTGATGCATTTCTTTTTCTATTTTCTTTTTTCTTTTTTTTGAGACAGAGTCTCGCTCAGTCGCCCAGGCTGGAGTGCAGTGGCATGATCTCGGCTCACTGCAACCTCCACCTCCCAGGTTCAAGCGATTCTCCTGCCTCAGCCTCCCAAGTAGCTGGGATTACAGGTGCACGCCACCGTGCCCAGCTAGTTTTTAGTATTTTTAGTAGAGATGGGGTTTCACCATCTTGGCCAGGCTGGTCCTGAACTCCTGACTTCAGGTGATTCGCCCGCCTTGGCCTCCCAAAGTGCTGGGATTACAGGCCTGAGCCACCACGCCTGGCCCTGATGCATTTTTACAGCCCGCACCAGCCCGAAGGCTGATAAGGCCGGCCAAGCACCTCATCCCTGCAAACCATGTTCCAGACCACAAGATGCTAGGACAGCAGGAACTGTGCAGCCACTTGGCTTAAAGGGCTTAACCCTTTGGGTAACTGAGCCGGCTGGAACTTGCCTGATGTACCTACTGGCGATACTGTCCTCTCCAAACCAAATCCCCTCCTGGGTTCCCCTGGGGCTATCTGTCCACTGTCTTATGTTGTTCAGCAAAAAGCGTTCCCTTTGAGTTCACTGGTAGAGTAACTGGATGAGTTGAACATTTTTAGAAAGATCTGGTTTTTGGGGCCAGAGTAGGATGACCCTGTGGGGGCTCTCCAGGCAGCAACCAAGGCAGACCCCTCGGTGAGGTTACCTTAGGTCAAGCTTGCAGTTGGCTTGGCACCAGAAGGCCAGACCACAGTGCCCACAAGAGCTGGCACCTGGTTCCTGGACACTGGTAATGGTGAGAAAGGTGACACCCCAGTGACTCAACTCTAAGGGACAAGTTAAAGGTGCAGTGGACTGTGGCACACAGGACATGCACCGACTCATCAACAGCAGGACAGAGGTCACTTGCATGAAAACCGAGACTTCAGTAAGCCTCTGCCCAGGAACACAGCTCTCTCAGGTATAAACACACACAAAATGTTCACTCGACCAGTGAGCAAATAATGCAAATTAAAGCAATAAGGAGATGTTGTTGTCTTGCCCATCAAATTGAAAAACATTTTTAAAAAATGAGAATAAAAAACACTGGGGGCCAGGCGCAGTGGCTCACGCCTGTAATCCCAGCACTTTGCCAGGCCGAGGTGAGTGGATCACCTGAGGTCAGGAGTTTGAGACAAGCCTGGCCAACATGGTGAAACCCCATCTCTACTAAAAATACAAAAATTAGCTGGGTGTGGTGGCAGGCGCCTATAATCCCAGCTACTTGGGAGGCTGAGGCAGGAGAATCACTTGAACCTGGGAGGTGGAGGTTGCAGTGAGTCGAGATCACACCACTGCACTCCAGCCTGGGTGACAGACCAAAACTCCATCTCAAAACAAACAAACAAACAAAAACAATGGGAAAGGTGTGGCTACACCTGTACTCTCTGCTAATGGTGCCAGGCAGCTGGCACCATTAATGCATTCAGGGGTTTAAAAAAAAAGCATAGACTTGTCTGGGCTCAGTGGCTCACGCCTGTAATACCAGCACACTTTGGGAGGCCAAGGCAGGTAGATCACCTGAAGTCAGGAGTTCGAGATCAGCTTTGCCAATATGGTAAAACCCCGTCTCTACTAAAAATGCAAAAATTAGCCTGGCATGGTGGCAGGTGCCTGTAATCCCAGCTACTGGGGAGGCTGAGGCAGTAGAAGAGCTTGAACCTGGGAGGCGGAGGTTGCAGTGAGCTGAGATCATGCCACTGCACTCCAGCCTGGGTGGCAGAGCAAGACCCCATCTCAAAACAACAAAAAAAAGCATAGACTTTCACCCTGTGTTTCCACCCCAAATAAAATAACCAGAGGTTTCCACAGACTTTCCATGTGTAAGGATATTCGGCTCAGCACTGCCTACATACAAAAAATAAAAGGAAACAACCCACACTTCTAACAACAGGGGATGGGTCCAATTAATAAATCAATAAAATGACCTATTCTCAAGGCCATTTCAAGTTAAATCCTCCGACAACTGTAATGACAGGAAATGCTCCCAATTCAGTAACAGAAAAAAATCATTTTGCGAATGTACAGTATAATATCAATCTGTTTACATATATGTAAGAATAAAACTAGAATAAAATATAGCAAAACTTTCATAGCAATGGGATTCTGGGTACCTTTTATTTTCTTCATGATACTTTCGGCATTTCCCCAGTCTAATAACAGGAGCCTGTATTTTTATCATCAGGAACATAAAGCTGCTTTTATTTTCTCAAAGAAGAAAAAGAAATAGAGTCACCTGGGAGAAAGGACCAGTGTGACCTTCAGGCAAGCGCCGGGTTTGTCCCTTAGGCTGAAATACCATTTATGTTGTCAGTATAACAAGAACTCCTCATTCCTCTGACCAAACCAGGCCCTCACAGTGTCTGACATCAGAAAACGGAAGTGGAGCTTCGGGGAAATGGGGAGAGGCTCCCCCAGCAAGCCCCAGGTCAGATCTGGTAATCTGATGGGGTTAAACGACATGACCTGCCTGCCATGATGCCCTTCCTAGACAGGATGTTATCTTCAGGGTCTGCCCCATGGGGTACCCAAGCCCCCGAATGCTCAGATGCTCCAGACGCTCTTTAGTGGATCTTTTCTGGGAAGCTGTCTCCACCCAGGAGACAGGGTTCACAGACCCAAGGCATGACATGTGGTTCTGTTTAATTCCGCCCCAGTCCATCCTTCCTCCCAGCCTTGCCCTCCCTACACCTCCATGCGTCAAGGTTGTAGAGCGAGAGAATCAGCTCGAATCTCTTTCCTAGTGCTGTAAGCTGTGACCTTCAGGCCACACGTGGCTGCAGCTAGAAAGGGAGGTGCAAGAGGGTGCCTGGGTGAATGCAGCCTCCCACCTTGACAGCTGCAAGTGCCCCTCCTGTGATACACTCCCAGGCATGTTCTGGGCTGTGTCAGATGCTCTGTGCCCCTCCAAAGCCAAGCCCAGAGTCCAGTGACCCCTACCAAGCCTCATGCCCACTGGCCTCGGTTTCTCAAACCCAGCGGCATATTCTCCCTATGGCCCAGGACCAGGGCTAGGGACAGCAAGTGTAAAGTCCTTCCACACTGTGACAGCATCTCAGGCCCATGAGCCCAGAGCCCCAGTGTACCCAAGAGCTCTGCCCTCCCTAATGCCCAGAGACTACAGCCCCCTGAATTCCAGCAGAGGGGTCTTTGGAGGTCACGTGCCTCCCCAGGCCTTGACTTCCCAACTTTTAAAACCAAGTCAATGTCCCCTTCCCTAAAACTGTAGAACTTTAGACTTAGAAGGAGACTTACGGTCCTCCTACCTACACTCTTTGTTTATAAGAGAAAAATTGAAGGCACAGAGGACAGGCAACTTATACACAGTCCCACCATGAGTGAGTTACTGCACCACAGAG
Source organism: Homo sapiens (assembly GCF_000001405.40). NCBI lineage: Eukaryota > Metazoa > Chordata > Mammalia > Primates > Hominidae > Homo > Homo sapiens. Next base: position 13,509,857 of record NC_000001.11, read on the forward strand.
CCAGCGAAAAGCCCCATGCACAGGAATCCCCTGGAGGTGTGGAGCTTGCTAAAATGCAGATCCCCAGGCCTCAGCCCCCTACCCCCAGGCCCTCATTCAGTCGTAGATCTGGGGTCCTGTGAATCTGCACTTCACACAAGCTCCCCTGGCGATTCTCATGCAGGTGGTTCTCAGGTGACGCTTTGAGAAACACCACGGTGCTCCCCACTTTTGTGTCTTTATCTCCTCCCCACTTCGCTGGGCTCTGTCTTGCTTCTCTGGGGGACAAGGGGGCAGGGAGGCAAGGGAAAGCAAGGGTAGGATCCTCTTTGCTCCTTCCTTCAATTTCCTCCCCCGGAAGAGGCAGAAGGCCTGCCTAGAAAGCCCTGGACCTTGTACCCTCATGGAGCCTGGTTTTCTCCGGCAGGAAGTAGGTGGTCCTCACGGAGGAGGTACTGGGAGCTAGGAGATCCTGGTGCACCCCCAGCTCTGGGTTTAACTCTCTGTGTGATCTAAGGCAAGTTACATCGCTTCTCTAGTCAAAACAGGATAATAACAACAGCGCCAATTAAAACACTTACATAGTATATACTGTGAGCCAGGCACTGTTCTCGGTCCTTTATAAATAATGCCCTTTTAATCCTCCTAACAAGCCTAGAAGGTGGATACTGTATCAGCCCCATTTTACAGATGAGGAAACGGGTACAAAAAGATCACACAATCAGTAAGAAGTAGAGGCAGGATTTGAAGGCAAGCAGCTTGGTGCCAGTCTGGGCTCTGAGCTGTCTCTGTGAAAAGTAGAAAAAGCACAAATGCAGGAGGAGGAGGGAGGGGGCGGGGAACACCTGTTGAGCACCTACCACACGCCAAGCAAGACGGTGTTCTTTACAGAGATAATCTCATTTAAATCTCACAGCAAGCACGGCAGAGGACACCATTACCACATTCTGAATCCAGATGCAAAGAAACTGAGGCTTGGAGAGGTCAGGGACTTGCCTAAGATTATAAACCTGAGTCCAAACCTGAATGCGGGTCTCACTTCAAGGTAACTGCTGGAACCTCCACCACCCACCCTGCATGTGGCTTACAGTTTAGGAGATACTCTCGGGCCACACAGCATGGACAGTGGCAGTGAGACCAGAGCTGCTCATGGCACTGCACCCTGTGAGGTGCCCTGGAGCTGTGTCCGTCCTCTCCCTACTGGCTGAGACAAAGCCATACCCCCAAACCCTGTTCCCAGGGCTCTGGACATGGCTCCTTGCTCTGAACCTGTCCATCCTTCCTCCCGTCTTTCCTATCTGAGTCCAGTTTCTTCCCCACATCACAGACAGCAGGAGGAGGAACATTTCACTTCCATTGCTCGTTACTTTCACTCACATCACCTTGTTTGGATCTCGACAACCACTGGGTGGGATGGACTATGCAGCATTACCCATGTCTTGATTTCACTCAAGGGAAAGGTGAAGCTTAAAAAACTGGAGTGACCCACCCAGAGTCCCCCAGATTTTAGGCCAGGACTTAAATCCATGTCTTCAGATTCCAAATCCAGGGCTCTTTGGAGATCTCAGAGGTCAACGCAAGAATTCTAGAGATGAGGAAACTGAGGCCCAAATGGGACAAGTGGCCTGTTCAAGGTCACAGTCACCATGGCAGAACTGAGACAAACCCACAGCTCCTGACTTCATAAAACCTTGCCTTCACCTGGAAGACAACTGGAGCCAATAAACCAACCCAACCAACAACAGGGGTGAATGGTGCCAACCCCACTGAAAAGGAAAGGCAGAAGCAAGCAGAACCGAGGTGTACCCCATCCCACCATGAGCTTTTCATCCGGTCACTCCTGTCTCCAGGACCGAGTCTACTGGTGGGCAGGGTCTGGGAAACCAGACAAGTGGATGAGGACAAAGTTTAAAGGTGGGGACTCTGCACCCTGCAGGCCAGATCGTTTTAGGAATTTCAGCCAGCCTGGGCTGAAAGTGATGGCTCAGGGGCCTGCATTTGCTGAAGAGTGAGCACCCCGAAGCATGGGGTGTGTTTGATGACAGTTGGGAATGAAGATATGAATGCAGGAGTTCAGCACACAGATGAACAGCATCCTTGATTTCTCCGTAAATGGAAAAAAAAATATTCTGAAGCTAAATCTGCATGTATGTCACCTTTGATGATGTGCGCCTTGCAGCTGTGGTCCCAATTCTGCTGAAATCTTGGGAGCAAGGCAGGAGGCAGAGTTCAGCTCTGAGAGGTCACTGCGGGCACTGGTGCTCACAGGGTCACAAGTGGGAGGCTGGAATCCACTTGGGGGAAGGACACCCACCTGCCACCTGCCTCCTCACTCTGGGTGCTCATCCCTGTGGATGCTGGGGTCCCCTCCTTCTCAGCTCCACCCGTGCTCCCTTCCTGCGGGCCTTAATGGAGCCCCTTAACTCCCTCCGCCCTGGTGTTCCCATCTGCCAAGTGAGTTTTTATGCCCACGCCGCCATTGGAAGCGTGCACCAGGAAAGCAAAGGGGGCACCAGCCCTCTACATTTTGGTTCAGCTTTTTCACATCTGGCTGAAAAGCCACAGAGAACTACAAATCATTACTGCATCATTGGCTCTTAATGGGCTGCCATTATTCCACATCAGAAATCTTCCTCACCCATATTAGACAGAAGAGCAAACTGGAGCTGAGAAGCTGAGAGGCCAGGTTAGGCTCGGGAAGCTGCTGGAGAGCCCTTGGAACTGGCTGACTCCCCGTGCACGGTACTGAGAATACGGCCGTTTCCCATAGAGTAGGCTGCATTCCGCTTACCAGGGACGCATAAGTAATCCACACCCGCCAGTCCTAGGACCCAAAGCCCAGGGAGATGATCCTGGGCATCCCGAGAAGGGGAAGGTCCCTAACTTGGTAAAGTGAGTTACTGGAGAAACAGGGGAAGAAGTACAGCCTCAGGGTTCAGAAACTCCAAAGAATTCCAGATGCGTCCCTCTCCACCCACTTCCCCAGCAGAGACCCAGGAAAAGTTCAGGATCCCCCAAGCCTCCTCTTCCAAACTCAACCCACGGCTCCTCCCACCCAGACTGGGGTCTGGGGTGGCCTCTCCCTGCCCCCCTCCCTCCCTCCCCCAGCCTAGCCGGCTCGGCTCACCTTTGGGCAGTTTGGATGCGTTCTCCTGGATCCAGGAGAAGAGGTGGGCGAAGTCACAGTCGCACAGCCAGGGGTTCCCGTCCAGACGCAGGGAGCGCAGCGCGGGCAGCGCGGCCAGGGCGGCCACGCTGAGGCTGCGCAGGTTGTTGTCGTTGAGCTCCAGCACCTGCAGCGACTCCAGGGTCTCGAAGGCGTCCTCGTGCACGCCCACCAGGTTGTTGTTAGCCAGGCTAAGCTTCACCAGCCTCCCGGCCGAGCGGAAGGCGCCGGCGCCCAGCTGGGTCAAGTTGTTGTAGCTGAGGTCGAGGAACACGAGCTTGGCCGAGCCGCTGAACGTGCCCTCCTCCAGCGAGCGCAGCGAGTTGTTCCTGAAGTCCAGGTAGACCAGGTCGCCGTAGAAGATGAAGAAGTCCTCGGGGATCCGCTGGATGCGGTTGCCGGCCACCAGCAGCTTGCGCACGTCCAGGGGGAAAGGGTCTGGCACGCTGGGCAGCCCGCGGTCGCGGCAGTCCACGGTGTGCGGGTCGGTGCAGGCGCAGCCCGCGGGGCACGCGTGCCCGGGCGCGAGCAGCAGCAGAAGGCTGCAGAGCCCGAGCGCCGCGGCGGCGCAGGCTGGGGCTCGGGGGCGCATGGCCGGGGGGCCCGCGCCGGCCGCGGCGAGAAGGAAGCGGCTCTCGGAGCGAGCCCTGGCGCGGGACGGCGCGGTGAGGCACTGGCTGCCGGGCGCGGGGAGCCAGAGGGCGGCCCGGGCGGGGAGGGCGTGCGCCCGGGCGTGCGGGGGCGATGGAGCGCGGCGCGGACGGACTGGGGAGCCGGGACAGCAGGGATGGAGAGGGGAGGGGCGGGGAGGGAGGGGCGAGGGACTCACCAAAGGGTTTACCCGGACAGGAAATTAACCCGCTAGAAAAATCTCTTGGGAGAGGCGGGAGCGGCAGGGGTGGCCGAGTGGCCGTCGCCAAAACGCGGCCCCACCCTGGCAGCTGATTTCCGAGATCTGGCAGTAAGACGCCGCGCGCACCGGGCGGGCTGCACTCGACGTCTAAGTTCAGCTACCAAGCCCAGGAGCGGTTTCCCTAAGGCGTGTCCCGGGCGTGCGCCCTGCCCCCTCGCGCCCGCCTGGTGCCAAAGCACGCTCCCTGCACGCCACCCTATGTCGCCAAAGGGAGTGGGACCTGGGTCACTCTGACTCTGCTCCGGGGGCAATCCCTGCAGGTTCTCGGGTGCCGCGCCAGGGTCTGCTGGTCTGAATTTGGGCGGGGTTCCAAGGGGAGAGAGTGAGTGACTGGTCTTCCCTCTTCCCTCCCCCACCTGCACTTGAACCATCTTAGGCTGGAGGGTGAGCGAGGCAAGTGGCTGCCAGGGCCCCCGCTGTGGCCTGCAGGGCCAGTCAGCACTTTCCATGCCGGCCCCGAACTTCTGGATGGAACTGGCATCCATGCAAGGATCAGCTGCTGGTCTGAGAGGTCCAGCTGCTGAGGCTCTGAGGCCTGGAGTCACCAGGCCTGGCTTCCAAGCTGTGTGGCCTCAGACCAGTACCTCTGCCTCTGTGGACCTGGTAGCTCCATTTGTGAAATGGAAAAAGGTAATATATATCTCATCAGCTTTGGGGGAGGACCAAGAAGTCAAGAACAAAGTTCAAAAATTATCTTTTCCTCTCTCCCCCTCAAAACCCCACCTTGGATAGCCTAGGGAGGCAGTCAGGAACGTGCCAAGGCTGAGATGAAAGGACAGTGAGGAAATGCTGATGTCAGCCTCTGACACTGGCAGGAAAATTCCCTCTTCACCACCCCGATGCCAAACTCCTTTCTTTCTGTCCCACCTCATTCTAGAAACTTCTATATGGGGAGGGGTCCCCACAGAGCTACCAAGAGATTGTCCCGCTGTTGGCTATTTTGGTCCAAATGCCCTAGAATTGACAGACTCCCACTAGACCAAAATAACCCAGGGAACAGCTGTTGGGCAGCAGGCTCCCAGAGACCCTTCCCTGGCCCCTGGCCATGCTGGGGATTGGTGGAGCCTCGGATTCTGAAGCCATAAAGCTAAGCCCTCGGCCTTCTTCCAAAGGTACAGGCCGACTTGATGCCTCTGAGCCATGGGATGAAAAAACTGATCCCCTGGGATGGAGCCAAGGGCTCAACAGATGAGCATATTTGCAGGAGCCCTGGGGAAGAGGCGGGGGAGACCCAGGGGGAAGCTTTGAGGCACCTGGAGTCCTGCAGCTTTTCCCCTACTTACATTCCAGGCCACTAAGCCAGACCTCCCTCAGTTCTCCGTCTCTGTCTCCACTCTCCCAGGGTGCCCAATTTGCCATTGCCATCCCCAACTTCAAGGGCTCAGCTTCCCCACCCCAGTCTCATGCTCTTGAAGAGGCAGGTGTCGGGAGGAGTGGTCTGAATGCTCCCAGAGTGGATGAAAATGCTTCTGCCTACATAAATGATGTATAAATTATTGAAGAGTCACACAAAGTGCAGGCAGGTGGCAGAATAAACACATCTCCCACCCTTGCAACTCTGCAAAAGCAGCCTGAACCGAACTGTTGCACTCTGCCAATCTCAGGCTTGGTTCTGCCTGCTCCCTCCTGTACTGAGGGGAACCTATTACTGGTTTGAGCCCTTAGCATCATGGTTTCATGACACCCGCATTTGGTTGGGCTGCCATCTTGCACGTGCATGCCCGCGTGTCTGTATGTCTGGGTGTGTACACAAGCCCTCCCTGCCAAGTGGTCTGGTTGGCTGGAGCACTGACCTATATGAATCAAGACCCTGGGTCTGGTCCTGGCCCCACCACTAGCCACAGAATCTTTCACAAGCCACTTGATCTCTCTGGGGACTTCTTAGCCTGGGTCCCCAGATACTATGAAGAGGAGGTCTTTTCAAAATTTAAAAAAGTCTGGTGAAAATTAGGCCTTTATCTTTGAGGAGGTCTCCCGGATTAAATACTGCAATTCTTGCCAGTGAACTTAATGGTAGCACTAGTCCTTTTGTGCAGAACCGGCATTCATAGGTGACTTTAAGAAAAACAGAGATGAATTTCTACTGAATAAATGCAAGTATTTAGTTGACAAGGACTTGCAAAACAGGGGAATGCATGGTACTAAAATATTAAGAGGGGCTCTTGGTAACAAACCTATTGAGAAATACCACTCCTAGCCTTGATTTCCTCATCCTGAAACTAATGAAAAAATACCTTTCTTCTTCCTTTCCACAGACAACGTGAGGGCCGCATGGGGAAGTATTTGTATGGGAACATGATTTGAAAGGTCTTTGGAGAAATATTGCCAATAAAAGTGGCCACAAATCTTGCGATGGCAGGAACAATTTGTTTCCTCGAGTGTCCCCCAAAGTTCCTTGGATCCAAATGTAAGCATTCTTTTCATTAATATCAGCAGAACTAGACATGGTTGGGCTTTGTAGGGAGCAGGGAGGTATCTCAGATTCCAGAGCTCCCATCCCTTGGGGGAAATACAAGCTTTGCCACCTCTAAATTTTTCCCCCAACAAATAAAACAGAGCCATGACCTCAGCAAGGTCACAATATGAGTCAGTGATAGGCGCTAGAAATAGAACACAGGCATTCTGAGTCCCCACCTGCACCATTCACCAATTCACCCACTCACCCCCTCTCCAGGAAGGGAATCTCTTACCCTTGAGGGCAAACATTGCAGGTAACAAACATTGCAGGTAACAGGGAGGAACGTTGAGAGATTCCACTTGTCAGCTCTGTCTCCGTATGTATTCTCAGAGTCTGCACACTTTGTAATTCCTATTCAAAAGGCTCAAAGCAGGAGCGTGGCAAATACCCAAGGTATCCCTATGATTTAAACACCTGACGTCATGCCTTCCCCATCCCCCACCCCCAGCGGAATCCTCACTCCTCCCTGTGTTCTCCGAACTACAGAGCACGTCATGTCTCACTCTCCATCCCTGTCCAATTTCCCATGAGGTTGGGCCTTGGGAAGCTATGTGCAAGGCGGTCCCCAGGAAACCCACCACGCGATGCCAGGTTGCTGTAAGCAAGAAAAATTCAATAAGAAGAATATCCCCCTTTGTTCACCAGACTGACATCTAAATTAGCCAAAATCCTATGCCTTAAGTCGTAAACAAGATGCTGCCAGTATTTTATGTGCAGAAGTTGAATTTAGGTGCAAATGCTAGGTTTGAATAAGAGTATGGCTGGTGTCTGGTGATGTCATTTGCGTTACTGGCGTATTTCACCTCTGATCAGCACCTGACTGGCCTGGCCAGGGAGCGTGAGGACATCTCATGGGCCCCAGGAAAGGAGACACTCTCTAGCCTTTTACTTGGGGCAGCCTGCCTCGATGGAACAGGCTCCCTGCTCCACAGACACAATTGCGACTTTGTCACCAGCCCGTTAACTGGCTGCAACAGCAGCTCCATGTTCCCGTCCCACGGCCGCTGCCCTTTTTAGCTACCACCGCTAGGGAGCACCACCTGCGGCTCGCACTGCTCAAAACTGAGCGCTTCTCTCAACGCAGTTTACTCTCTGGAGCAAGGCTGGACCCCACGTTTTAGAAGAAAAACTCCCGCCCCTAGTTTTGCCTCTGGAAGCAGGAAATGAATCTTTCACCAGCCTAAATGGGAGCCAGGGTGGTGGTAGCCGTTGGGAATGTGGGTTTGAAGTTAAACAGATCTTGGGCAAGTTGTTTAACTTTTCTAAGCCTCAGTTTTCCCATCTAGGAAATGGGATAATAGTAATGTCTATTTCACGGGGTTGTTACGAGGATGAAATGAGGTGTCTGTTGAGGGCTTAGCAGTGAGACCTACACGTAGTGGAAACACAATACATGGTAACTGCATGATGATCTATTTCTCTCTCTTTCCACATGGAGCAAATAAAGGTTTCGTGTAGACAGATATTCCTCAGATAAAGAGCTGACGTGTTTGTTTCTCTGGAATATACTGACTAGTGATGCCCTAACATTCTAGGGTCAGCTGTAGTAACTCTCCCTGCCCTGAACCACTCCCTTCTCCACGTGTAGCCCATCTGAGACAGACACAGACACACATACCCCTGAGCCCTCTCCAGCTCTGGTTGACTTTGTGATCACAGTTATGGGGGCGCGGCTTCCCTCCCTCTGGCCCGCTAGCTTGGTTGGTCTGAGCGTGGGCAGGCTAATGAGACTGAGGACACAGGGTCAGTCTCTCAGCCTGGTACAAGGAGACATCTGCTCTCTGCTCACAGCCGGGGCTCCTAATGCTGGCCAGCCATCCAGCAAGTGTGCGACCTTGGGTAGGGTTGGAGGAGGGTGGAGAGAGTTTCACCCTGTCTGTCTCAGGAGGAGAAAAACGAGAATCCAAAGCGCCATCCTCCCATAGGTACAAGTTGCAAGCCCTGGGAAACCTGGGAGTCATCCCCAGTTCCTCGTTGTGTGACCCTCTCTGGATCCACTGGCAAGCCCCCCTTGCCTCTACTCTGCATCTCCACCACTACCTCCTGAACCCAAACCAGCATCGTCTTTTACAGCAGCCGCTGGCTGGCCAGCTGGCTCCCACTCTTGCCCATCCCCCACCCACACAATACTTAAGGAAGCCAAAGTGACCCTTTGAAAATACACGTCAGATCAAGTCACCTCCCTGCTTAGACACCTCCAGTGACTTCCTGTGAGTGGCAGGCAGCCTTCTAAGATGACCCCCAATGATCCCCACCTCCAGGTATTCCTTGAGTGGAGGTGGGACCCTGACTTGCTTCTAACAAATAGAATATGGCAGAGGCAATGAAGGTCAATTCTGTGTTCAGGTTCTGTCTTGTGGGTAGACTGTGTCATCTCCCTGAACGATTTGTCTCCTGCACAATTTGATGAGGAAAGCTATTCTGTTGGAGAGACCCTCATGGTGAGGAACAGGGTTGGGGGTGCTCAGATCAATAGCCCCCTGAGGAGCTGAATCCTGCCAACAACCACGGGAGCTTGAAGTGGGGCCTTCCCCAGTTGAACCCAGAGAGACTACAGCCCAGCCAACACCTTGACTGCAACCTGTGACACTCCCTGAAGCAGAAGACCCAGAGAAAGCCTTCCCAGACTCCTGACCTGCAGAAACTGTGAGCTTTGAAATGTGTTTTGTTTAAAACTGCTAAAAGGGGGTAATTTGTTACACAGCAATAGCTAACTGATACACTAAGGAACTTGGAACAAGAGCCCACCAGATCCTGCATGGCCTGGCTCCGTGTTCCTTCCCCCACCCCCCTAATTTGGGACCCCTCTTCTCTTGGTTCACCACACTCTAGTCTTTTCATACATGCAATTCCTCATGTTTGTTTCCACCACCAGAGCTTTGCCCTTTGCTGTGCCCTCCACTGGAAGTACTTCCTTCCCAGCTCCTGGCATGGTTGGTGCCATTTGGTCATTTGGGCTTTCTCAGCCCATATGTCACCTCCCCAAACTGGCATTCACTGACCTCATATCTTTCTCCAGTCAATCTCCCTTGTCTTCCTAAGTTGCTTCCCTTCTTTTCCTGGCTTCAACTTGTTTATTATTACCCCCTGGCATTTCTCAGCTTGCTGGTTTGTTTACTTATTCACGCTACTTTCCACCACTAAAATGGAACCTCTATAAGGGCCAATCTTTTTATTCATTCATTCTTTCTTATTTATTTATTTAGAGATAGGTTCTTACTCTGTCACGCAGGCTGAAGTCCAGTGGGGCAATCATGGCTCACTGCAGTCCCAACCTCCCAGGCTCAAGAGCTCCTCCCACCTCAGCCTCCCAAGTAGCTGGCACTACAGGCACATGCTACCACACCTGGCTAATTTTTTTTTTTTTTTTTTTTTTTTTTTTTTACTTTTTGCAGTGATTGGGGGTCTCACTATGTTGCCCAGGCTGGTCTCAAACTCCTGGGCTCAAGTTATCCTCCTGCCTCAGTCTCCCAAAGTACTGAGATTACAGACGTGAGCCACTGTGCCAAGTCAGGCTCGATACTTTATTCCAGTTCCTAGAATCAGCCCCAGAACACTCAAGAATTGATTAACTAATTGTCACCTGTAAATGATGCCTGTCAACTAGGCTACCAGTTTCTCAGCAGTATCTCACCTGGAGAAACTCATTCATCGTTTCTGGTAGAGCAAGGAACTTCATCCCTCCAAAGACAGCCTTGGCTCTATTTCCCAGGAAGGAATGAGATTTACATGGAGAGCACAAAGCACTCCAACTGTACCCCTGAAGTAGCCTGGGAGTTTGGGGCTCCCCCAAACACATATCTAGTTCCTCTTCATCAAAAGCATGTGGCACCCCATAAATGATGTCATCATGTCCACCTTTGCGCCTTTATTCATACCCTCTTCCTGGCTTGCCTCCCACCATGTTCCCAGTTTGCTTAATGAAATTTGGCCTCCTCCAAGAAGTCCTTCTAGAATTACCCTGAACAATTCCCTGGTCCCCTTTATTCTCCATTCCAGGAGACTAAGTGCTGTGCTAGGTATGGAGCATAAAGAGGGCGCGGGTGTAGCCTCATGCTCAAGGAGCTCAGGGCTCAAGAGACAGCCACAAGAAGAAATAACCACTGTTTCATTAGAGTTGGGACTTATGTGTTGGTCTCTAAAACTCGAATTCATATAGTGTTATTAAGTATACCAAAATAGAAGCTGTACATTTGGGTAGAGTCAGAGCTAAAACCCTTGGCCCTTGAGCCAGTTAGCCCATATTCAGATCCCGGCTCCATCCCTTCTAAGCTGCTGTTCTGCAAGTGAAGTCATCGCCATAAGCTTCGGTTGTTTCATCTGTAAAATGGAGACCCGCCGTATCTACCTCATAGGGTTACTGTGAAGATTCAATGAGATAATATACAAATTAGCATTCGGCACAGCACCTGTGGGATTCTCAATACATAGTAGCATCTGAAGGTGGGAACATTCTCATCCATTTGGACACCTCCAGCAAAAAACTTTTCTTGCCTGCTTAATATTCTAAAGGAAGGCATTGAACTGGGTCCCGGGGAGACCAAGACAGAGTAGACAGCCTCAGTTCTCAGGTGACTCACAACCTCCTTGAAGAGACAGGCCACCCGCAGCAAGGACTTGTCCTGTACAGTAACTGCCAAACAAGTACTGTGGGTTAATAAATGTCGCAGGCATTTGGAGGAGTCAGGGATGTCTGGGCCAGGATGATTGGAGAAAGCCACATCTTGACACAGCGGACCGTATTTTCCAAATCAGCTCTCGGAGCATACGGCCATGTGGCTTCACGCTTCTCTACCCCAGCGCACAGGCTTCCCTGCCAGTCCACTTGGCAGGCCCCTGCTCACTCTCAAAAATGACATGCGTTCCTCCGTAAGCCTTCGGCCTCCCCACGTACAGCCAAATTATTTTCTCCCTGGTATCTTTCCTCCGTTGTGTTACTGTCCCTTGCATGCAGTGTGGTATTTATTGATAACATGTTTCTCTCCTTTCCTGGATTATTACTTGGCTCTAGTGTGAGAAAGAACAGGTCCTCCTGAGCAAAGACCGTGTCTTCTCCGTGTTTATATCCTGGAACCCAGCATAGGACCCCACACAGGGCAGGTGCCCAAGGTATCTTTGCCAAATGAACGAATGAGCGCATGCGTGACAAGCAAATGCTTCTGCCGTGTGGAATGATTGGCAGACCAAGCATTTGAGGTCAGGATTGCTTTGGAAGGCTCTAAAGGTGTGGGTCTCTATGATGCTGCTGCTGTACTATCTGTTTAACCCCGCAAATACTGCAGAAGGCGGCCTCAGGACTTCCCCTCCTTCCTCATGATCTCCTCTCCTGATAATAATGATAGTGACCTGTGCGCTCTCACACCCATATGCAACACTGCAAAGACCCCTTACTCCCATGCTCTCAAGTGAGCCTCACAGCAGCTGTGTCGGGGGCCCACGTCTTTGTGCCCATTTTACAAAAACCTCTGGTGGGTGGCTGATTACTCACCCTTTCACAGCTGAGTAGCCCTAAGGATACTTGACATTTCAAACCCAAAGACAAGTTTCCTGAGCTCCTTTTGCAGCCCTTGTGGAAATCTACAGCGCAGGGTTATCTAATGATGGGAGGTCATTAGTGGCTGTTGATCGCATGGACTGACTGATTAGAGGTAGGGCCTCAGAGCCTGGAGTTTTACATTTTATTTTGGATCAATAAAATAAAAATTTAACAGCTGAAACACTGCTCAGCAAACATATCTGATTGCTGAGCAGTATTTCCGCTGTCATGACTGGCTGCTGAGCAGTATTTCCGCTGTCATGACTGGCTGCTGAGCAGTATTTCCGCTGTCATGACTGGCTGCTGAGCAGTATTTCCGCTGTCATGACTGGCTGCTGAGCAGTATTTCTGCTGTCATGACTGGCTGCTGAGCAGTATTTCCGCTGTCATGACTGGCCTCCTCTGCCCTCCCCCGGCCCATCCTGCAGACGTGAGCACACACTCATGTGCACGCACCTCCCTCCTTCCAGGTAAGTCTTTCTGAAACAGCGGAATACAAAATGGCATAACCCAAAGGTAGAATTGTATAAAGCCACCAGAATTCTTTCTAGTACATGCGGAGGCACACACAAGGCTGTTTTCTATAAATTTGTGTGCAATTTGCATACATTTGCATATGCTCCCAAAGCTATCTCATTGAGTTCTTGAAACAGGTAACAGGTAAAGCCACTCCACCTATGCCAGCCAATGGCAGAAGTAGAGACACATTTGCCATCCAGGCAGCCGTGGCTTCTTCTACCCTGTAAGTTATTCTAAATTAGCATAAAATCATTGTTAAGTATTAATATTACTGAAGACCCCAAAGGCTGGAGAAAACATGACATGGATGCAATCATAATAATAGTGCTGCCCGGCACAGGGGCTCACACCTGTAATCTCAGCACTTTGGGAGGCTGAGGCGGGTGGATCATGAGGTCAGGAGATCAAGACCATCCTCGCTAACACAGTGAAACCCTGTCTCTACTAAAAATACCAAAAAAAAAAAACAATTAGCTGGGCGTGGTGGCATGTGCCTGTGGTCCCAACTACTTGGGAGGCTGAGGCAGGAGAATCTCTCGAACCCAGGAGGCAGAGGTTGCGGTGAGCCAACATCGCGCCACTTCACTCCAGCCGGGGTGACAGAGCAAGACTCCGTCTCAAAATAATAATAATAATAGTGGTAATAATAATCTCTAATACTGAGCACATATATGTCAGGCATTTCTCTATGAGCTGTGAATATATTATCTTAATCTCCTCAATAATCCAAAAGGTAGGTCCAATTATTACCATTTTACTGGTGAGGAAGCTGAGATCCACAAGGTTGAGGCCACATGGCTTGTCAGTGATTCAAACACAGGCATTCTGACTCCATTCATTTATGGGCCAGTATTAGTTTAAGCACCTACTATGAGCCAGATATTATTCTAGGCACTAGGAACACTGCAGTGAAGGAAAAAGACCAAGTCTCAGTTGTCACAAAGCATTAGTATGTGTAAGTTAGGGTAAGGTTGGGTGGGAACAAATAGACTCCAAAATTTATTAAAGAACAAAGAAGTGAATTTCTTTTTTCTTTTCTTTCTTTTTTTTTGAGACAAAGTCTCACTCCGTGGCCCAGGCTGGAATGCAATGACACCATCTCAGCTCACTGCAACCTCCGCCTTCCAGGCTCAAGTGATTCTCTTGCCTCAGTCTCCCGAGTAGCCGGAATTACAGGTGAGCACCACGACGCCTGGCTACTTTTTGTATTTTCTGTAGAGACAGGCTTCCGCCATGTTGGTCAAGCTGGTCTCGAGCTCCTGACCTCAAGTGATCTGCCCGCCTTGGCCTCCTAAAGTGCTGTGATAACAGGCGTGAGCCCCAGCATCCGGCCTGAATTTCTTTCTTGAGTAGTAATTCAAGGCATATGTCCCAGACTGATGGACAATCTTGCCCTAGCCACATGGTCATGTGGAAAACCCTGGTCCCTTGCACATCATTGCTCTTCTAAGCACCTAGGACACTGTCTTCACCTGCTTAGGTGAGGCTGGGCTGCTGCCACATCCTTGTGTAGCCACGGGAAGGTGGAAGGGAATTCGGAGAGGCCACGCCTACCATGCTCAAGCCCGGGCCTGGGAGGGGCAGCATTTGTTTCTGTTTCCTTTCTGTAAGTGAGAACCTAGGCCTGTGGACCCATCCTGCTTCAAAAAGGGTTAAGGAATGGGGTTTAATCAAGAGCCAGGGAAAAAGGGAGAATGGATTTGGTTGGGCAACCAGCAGCCTTTGCCATGAAATGACAGTCACAAGGCAAATACATTTGTTGGATGATGTCACAGAGCAATAAAGGCAACGAAGATAAAGCAGAGGAAGGGCTGGGGAAGGATGGGGTCACATTTTTAGACACAGTCATCAGCTCTTAATCACCATCCTTAACTGACCCCTCATTCCACCCATCCTCACAGTGACAATGACGAAGGCTTAGGAGAGCCTCAAGCACTTCCTGAACCAAATAAGGTCAACTTATGTCCAGCCGAGTAGCCAGGTACCCTGGCCAAGCAAGAGTTTACTAGACTAGACTTGACCTTCGTAGAGTCTCTCATGCCTTTTGTCAAGGAATTTTTATTTATTAGTCATTTTATTTTCATTAAAAAAAACTTTTAGAGTAGCTAAGGAATGTATTGTCATCTCCCTTTGATGAAAGGAGAACTTAAGGCTTGAAAATGTTCAGATAAAAAACAAACAATTAGTCCAGGTGCAGTGGCTCACGCCTGTAATCCCAGCACTTTGGGAGGCCGAGGCAGGTGGATCACGAGGTCAGGAGTTCAAGACCAGCCTGGCCAATATGGTGAAACCCTGTCTCTACTAAAAATACAAAAATTAGCTGGGCATGATGGTGCACTCCTGTAGTCCCAGCTACTCAGGAGGCTGAGGCAGGAGAATCACCTGAACCCGGGAGGTGGAGGTTGCAGTGAGCCGAGATCGTGCCACTGCACTCCAGCCTGGGCTACAGAGTGAGACTCCACCTCAAAAACAAAAGCAAAACAAAACTATTGAGCTCCTATATCTGTATCCCAAAGCTCCAGTGCCTTGTGATACAAAGGCAAATGGGAAGTAGTTCCCTAGAAAACTTGACGTGTAGTGTGGTATGCAGACGTAGAAGCAAATAATTTTTCAAAATATACAATAATAAAAGTGTGTACAAAATACAGCAGTACAGAGGAGGAAGGGAATAATAATTCTACTTGGGTGGAAAGGATCAAGAGAAGGTATTACAGTAGAGGTGATGGCTGACCAGGGTTTTGAAGGATGAATATGAGTTCTCTAAGCAGATGGGGAATCTGTTCTAGGTAAGGAAAATATGTTCCAGAGAGAGAAAACTGCATACATAAAGGCATAGAGGTCTAACAGTATGAAATGTTTCATGAATTTGGCTATGAACATTTGAGAAGGGCTCACTAAACCTTTACAGTGGGTGCTAGAAAATAACCCAGGTCTCCCAATTCCTAGTCCATATTAGTTTCTGACCTTTTTTGGCAGCCATCCCAGGGTCTGATGGCTATGCACAAGCATTTCACACTTAACCTTTGCCAAAGGGCCAAGAAGCAGTATGTACAAGCATTTTAAAAGCTGTGATCACAAATCTGCAATTTCCACTCATTCATCCAACGATGCCTACAAAGTGCTTTCTAAGTGGATTCCAACATATGGACTCACCCATTGGGGATACAATGGCACACCTGGGTAAGCCTGATACCCAAGATGAGAGATGGGGCAGAAGAGGAGCTGCGGAGGGGCTGGAGAGGGGCTGAGCTGCACTGGGAAAACCAGTATATTTTGCAGGGTCGGGAATCTGGACTTTGTTCTGAGCTCCTGAAAGGCTTTAATCTGGGAAGAGACATAACCAGGTGTGCGTTTTTGTTGTTGTTTTTTTTTGTTTGTTTGTTTTTTTTTTTTGGAGACGGAGTCTCTCTCTGTCGCCCAGGCTAGAGTGCAGTGGCGCGATCTCTGCTTACTGCAAGCTCCGCCTCCCGGGTTCACGCCGTTCTCCTGCCTCAGCCTCCCGGTAGCTGGGACTACAGGCGCCCGCCATCACGCCTGGCTAATTTTTTTGTATTTTTAGTAGAGACGCAATTTCACAGTGTTAGCCAGGATGGTCTCGATCTCATGACCTTGCGATCCACCCAAAGTGCTGGGATTACAGGCGTGAGCCACCGCGCCTGGCCCGGGTGTGCATTTTAGGGAGCTGACACTGGACGCAGTATAGGGGTTGAACTGGAAGGAGAGCCAGTTTTGGAAGATGCTTTCAGAAATTCAAGGTAGGAATAACCTCACCCTGCCCTCCTAGTAATCTGCCCAAGAGAAAAGAAAACGTAAGCTCACCCGTGACACCCAGGCTAATGCTCCCAGCAGCACAATTCATAATAGCCAGAAACTGGAAACAGCCCAAACAGTCTTTAGCTGATGAATGGATAAAACAAAATGTGGCATATCCATTCAGTGGAATACTCTGCAGCAATAAAAAAGAGCAAACTACTAGTGCATGTCACAACATGGATGGACCTCAAAAACGTGGTGTTAAGAAGCCCAGACGAGGAAGACTACATACTGTATGATTCCATGTCTGTGAAATGCTCAGAAAAGGCAAATATGCAGAGACAGACAGCAGACCTGTCTGGGGCATGGAGTGGGGATTAACTGTACTCAAGCACAAGAAAACTTTCCAGGGTGATAAAAATGTTCCAAAACTGAGGCTGGGCACAGTGGTTCATGCTTGTAATCCCAGCACTTTGGGAGGCCAAAGTGGGCAGATCACTTGAGGTCAGGAGTTCGAGACCATCCTGGCCAACATGGTGAAACCCCGTGTCTACCAAAAATACAAAAATATACAAAAATTAGCTGGACATGGTTGTGCATGCCTGTAGCCCCACTACTCAGGAGGCTGAGGCAGGAGAATCGCTTGAACCCAGGAGGTGGAGGTTCTGAGCTGAGATTGCACTACTGCAACCTCCGCCTCCTGGGTTCAAGTGATTCTCCTGCCTCAGCCTCCCAAGTAGCTGGGACTGCAGGCACACGCCACCACACGCAGCTAATTTTTTGTATTTTTAGTAAAGACAGGGTTTCACCATGTTGGCCAGGATGGTCTTGATCTCTTGACCTCATGATCCACCTGCTTCAGCTCCCAGAGTGCTGGGATTACAGGCGTCAGCCACTGCACTCAGCCAGAAATCCTGTTGGTTATATTATTTTATAGCTGGGTGTGGTGGCTCCCCGCACTTTGGGAGGCCAAGGCGGGAGAATCAGTTGAGCCCAGGAGTTCGAGATCAGCCTGGACAACATGGTGAACCCCCGTCTCTACTAAAAATACAAAAATTAGCCAGGTGTGGTGGTGTACTCCTTTAGTCCTAGCTACTCGGGAGGCTGAAGTGGGAGGATCACTTGAGCCTGGGGAGGTCAAGGCAATAATGAGCTGTGATCATTCCACTGTATTCTAGCCTAGGTGACAGAGTGAGACCCCGTCTCAAAAATTTAAAGAAAAAAAAAGGGGGCCGGGCGCAGTGGCTCACGCCTGTAATCCCAGCACTTTGGGAGGCTGAGGCGGGCGGATCGCGAGGTCAGGAGGTCGAGACAATCCTGGCTAACACGGTGAAACCCCGTCTCTACTAAAAATACAAAAAAATTAGCCGGGCGTGGTGGCAGGCGCCTGTAGTCCCAGCCACTGGGGAGGCTGAGGCAGGAGAATGGCGTGAACCCGGGAGGCGGAGCTTGCAGTGAGGCGAGATCGTGCCACTGCACTCCAGCCTGGGCAACAGAGCGAGACTCCGTCTCAAAGAAAAAAAAATGATAGTTTTAGAAGACTATTTAATGATATAAAAAGTCATACAATTAAGTGAAAATCAACGGTTTACAAAACCTTACGTGGGGTGTAGTTCTAATTTTGTTTTATAGACACACACAGAGACAAAATAGAATAAATATTAACCGAGCATATCTCTAAGTGGAATCTGATAATCCAGAAAAAGATACTCAAACCAAAGAAAAAACTTCTCCTGACTCACCTTCACCTTTAAAGTGAGTCCAAACACTGATCAAAGATTTCAGTGTCCAGATGTGACCTCATGAGGACAGGGTCTTTCCACCTTCATCTCCGGCCCCCCTCTCTCCTGCTTACCAACGTGCTCGTCATTCTTCCCTCTGTGCCTTCACCGTGCTATTATTCTAACCCCTCTTGCCTGCCTGGGATAGAACAGGACAGGAAAGGACAGAAAAGGTGTGTGGGGTGAGACTTCAGAGCGTGTGGAGAGTGAAAGGGTTGGAGCCTGCGAACAGCTGTGCAGAATTAAGCAAATTGGAGAGAAGAGAACCAGAAAGAGAGAGGAGAGAGAAACTGAATGTGCCTAACCCAGCCTCTTTTCTCTTCCTTTGGAGGCTTGTTCTCCTCCCACCTGGGGGTTTGCAGAGGTGGCTCCACCTTAGGAGTGGGGAGGCCCACGCTGGCCCCACTCTGCCTATATCCAGGCAGGTACATCTGTGTGTTTCCATTGCAGAATATGCGCTTGCTTTCAGATTTAAACAACTTCTTCTCCACTGTCACCTATCTGTGTTCCCGTAGTGCTTGGTACTGACCTCTAATGCACCTCTAGCCTCACTGAGCTACAGAGATTTGTTTATGTGTCCGTCTCCTGAACAAAATCATGAGCCCTGTCAGGGCAGACTGCAGAGACTGTGACTCGCTCTTCTCATCATACCCTGTCCCAGCATCTGGCCCATTACAGGTGCTCAGAAAAGACCAGACCTGTTCTTGTTGTTGTTGTTGTTGTTGTTTGTTGTTGTTTGAGACAGAGTCTCGCTTTGTTGCCAGGCTGGAGTGCAGTGGCGTAATCTCAGCTCACTGCAACCTCCGCCTCCCGGTTTCAAGTGATTCTCCTACCTCAGCCTCCGGAGCAGCTAGGACGCAAGCCACCATGCTGGGCTAATTTTTGTATTTTTAGTAGAGATGGGGTTTCACTATATTGGCCAGGCTGGTCTCAAACTCCTGACCTCAGGTGATCCACCTGCCTCGGCCTCCCAAAGTGCTGGGATTGTAGGAATGAACCACCACGCCCGGCCTGCTGTTTTAGTATTTTGGATAATCCAGTTATAAGCCAGGAATACATGCAAAGAATCTCTATGGTGTCAAATTCAAAGAAATGCCATCGCCATCTTGCAAACTAAAGTAGCTAAAATATAAATTCAATCTTTGCTGGCACTTCTTGAATAACATTAAGGAGTCTCCGAGTAATAAGCCTCAGCAACTCTTCAAAAATCTCTCCTCTCTCTCTCTCGCTCGCTCTCTCTTTCTCTCTGGTTCTCTTCTCTCCAATTTGCTTAAATCTGCACAGCTGTTTCAAAGCTCCAAGTCTCACTCTCCACGCTGTCTGATGTCTAAGCCCACTCACCTTTTCTGTCCTTTCCTGTCCTGTTTTCTGATTTTCTTTACTCATTGTCCCCATTTGGTATCTCAAAAGCCCAGAAACCAGGCTAGAAAAAGCAGAAGTCAGGCCGGGCATGGTGGCTCACGCCTATAATCCCAGCACTTTGGGAGGCCGACGCAAGCAGATCACCTGAGGTTGGGAGTTCAAGACCAGCCTGACCAACATGGAGAAACCCCGTCTCTACTAAAAATACAAAATTAGCTGGGCATGGTGGCACATGCCTGTAATCCCAGCTACTCGGGAGGCTGAGGCAGGAGAATCACTTGAACCCGGGAGGTGGAGGTTGTTGGGGTGAGCCTAGATCGCGCCACTGCACTCCAGCCTGGGCAACAAGAGCAAAACTCCGTCTCAAAGGAAAAAAAAAAATGAAAAGGCAGAAGGCTCCGAAGGAGGTGAAGGAGAAGGCAAAGCCACAATCGCTGCTCAGCCCTGGGGCTGCTGGCATGAAAGGGGACTTGTTTCTTTCTAGTTCCTGTTTATGAGATTGCACATCGTGCTGTGCTGAGTTAGACACAAAATACAGGGCTGGTTTAGAAACGGGCTGTGCAGCCCACTCCCCCCCAACCCCCCCACCAAGGCCATGCCAGCCAAAACCCCCAAAGAGCTGATGTTTCTGTTGGGGGGTGATGTTTCCTGCTAGTGAGGGAGCCGCTCTTGGCCTTGGCACCCATTCCTCCTGTGGGAAGAAGGGCAGCTTGGAGAAACTGAATGTGCCTAGCCCAGCCCCTCCTCTCTCTCTCTCTAACTTTTGGGGCTTGTTCTCCCACCTGGGGGTTTACAGAGGCAGCTCCACCTTAGGAGTGGGGAGGCCCACGCTGGCCCCACTCTGCCTATACCTGGGCAGGCACAGCTGTTTCCATTTTGCAGAATGTGCACTCGCTTTCAGATTTAAATGACATCTTGTTCATGGTCAGCTTTCTTCGTAATAAAAACAACGTGGCTGGGCGCGGTGGCTCACGCCTGTAATCCCAGCACTTTGGGAGGCCCAGGCAGGCGGATCACGAGATCAGGAGATCGAGACCATCCTGGCTAACACAGTGAAACTCCGTCTCTGTTAAAAATACAAAAAAATTAGCCAGGCGTGGTAGCAGGCGCCTGTAGTCCCAGCTACTCAGGAGGCTGGGGCAGGAGAATGGCATGAACCCGGGAGGCGGAGCTTGCAGTGAGCCGAGATCGCGCCACTGCACTCCAGCCTGGGCGACAGAGCGAGACTTCATCTCAAAAAAAAAAAAAAAAAAAGAATGCTTCAGTCCTCTGTCCACTAACAGTTCTGTTATTTCTCCATTGATCTGAGCCCTGGTGGGGACGAGGGATGGTATTAATCAGGTCTCCCCAGCACCTCCCTGCTCGTGCCTCCCTCCCTCTACCTGTCTACCAGTTACCAGGAAACCTGATGTATGCAGCCTACGCTTTCTTACTTCCTTTTCTAGCTATGCAGTTGTTACTAATAGCTGTAACCGTTCCTCCCTGAAGGGACTCTTTTCATCTCCGGGCATCGTGATTATTAGAAACTTGTAAGTGCAGACCGGGCGCGGTGGCTCACGCCTGTAATCCCAGCACTTTGGGAGGCCGAGGCAGGCAGATCATGAGGTCAGGAGATCAAGACCATCCTGGCCAACATGGTGAAACCCCGTCTCTACTGAAAAATACAAAAAAAAAAAAAAAAAAAATAGCCGGGCTTGGTGGCAGGGGCCCGTAGTCCCAGCTACTTGGGAGGCTGAGGCAGGAGAATGGCGTGAACCCGGGAGGCGGAGCTTGCAGTGAGCCGAGATCGCGCCACTGCACTCCAGCCTGGGCGACAGAGCGAGACTCCGTCTCAAAAAAAAAAGTTGTAAGTGCAACTCCTTCTCCCTTTTATCAGTTGGGCCTTGCTTGTCTTCTGGCTGGAATTCAAATCTGACTCCTCCTGAAGTTATATGAAGAGAGATGAAACAGCCTCTCCCTCCAAGCCCCCGTTTCCTCACCCCATGTAGAATATTCCAACAGCACCCTTTTCTCAACTTTGCTGCAAGGCTTAGATTGGATAATCTGCAGAGCTCCTGGGAAATTCTAAAATGCTTTGCAAATACAAGGCCCGTTTTCTCCTGTGCCTCTGAAGGCTATGACACATTCATCCTTCGCTCAGATATATAAGAGCAGAAGAGTTCAACACACCTGATTTATTTTAAAAAGAAAACTTTTTTCTTTTTTTTAGAGATGGGGGTCGCCTGTTGCCCAGGCTAGTCCCGAACTCCTGGCCTCAAGCAAGCCTCCCATCTCAGCCTCCCAAAGTGCTAGGAATACAGGCGTGAGTCGCCGCACCCGCCCTGACACACCTGATTTCTACTGAGAAGTTCTCTTCCTGGGGTGGCTTGAAAAATCGGATGAGCTCTGGGGAGGCACTTTGTACTGATGCTTTTGTAGAAATCCTTCCATTTTACTTAGTATGATGTTTTTAACGTCAATCCATGTTGTTGCATGTATTGATACTTCATTTTTAAAGCCGAATAATATTCCTTTTTATGAATATAGCACACTTGATGATGTGCTTCTCTTGAAAAGCATACAAGGAAACTATAGATTATTTGTGTGCTAATTGGTTTTGCTCCGAATTTGCTGTAACACACGCTAACCAAGACGCAAGGGTTGTTTTGTTTGTTCATTTAAATATTAAACAACTTAGTTCCCTCACTCGTCTCTGGGAGGCAAGGAAATTTGAAGAATACATGGTGGCTCACGCCTGTAATCCTAGCACATTGGGAGGCCGAGGCAGGCAGATCATGAGGTCAGGAATTTGAGACCAACCTGGTGAAACCCCGTCTCTACTAAAAATACAAAAATTAGCTAGGTGTGGTGGCCTGTGCTTGTAATCCTAGCTACTCCAGAGGCTGAGGAAGGAGAATCGCTTAAACCTCGGGGGTGGAGGTTGCAGTGAGCGCCAAGACGGTGTCACTGCACTCCAGCCTGAGCCACAGAGCAAGACTCCGTCTTGAAAAAAATAATAATAATAATAATACACTGCAGACTGCTCCTCTGGGTGGAGAGAATGAATTTGTTTCTACTGGCAGATGGAGATAAATGGAACTTACTTTTTCCACCTGGTGCCAGTCCCGCTTACTCTCTATGCTGCCAACATTTTGTTTCTGGGTCTTGAAAATAATTTATGATAGTTCTTTTTTTCTTCTTCTTCTTTTCTTTTTTGAGACAGAGTTTGGCTCCTGTCATCCAGGTTGGAGTGCAATGATGCGATCTTGGCTCACTGCAACCTCTGCCTCCTAGGTTCAAGTGATTCTCCTGCCTCAGCCCCCTGAGTAGCTGGGATTACAGGCATGCACCTTCATGCCCGGCTAATTTTTGTATTTTTAGTAGAGGCAGGGTTTCACCATATAGGCCAGGCTGGTCTCAAACTCCTGACCTCAGGTGATCTGCCCACCTCGGCCTCCCAAAATGCTGGGATTACAGGTGTGAGCCACCTCGTCTGGCCAGTTTATGATAATTCTAATGGGGTTGTTGCATTTGGGGAAAACTTTGAAAAACGTTACCCATTTTTTAAGTTGGATCCCATCATGCCTGGAAATGTGTTGTAACCAGCCATGCACTGGTAAATGTTTCCTGATTCTCCTGAAAAAAATTGTATATTATATATAAACATAAATAAGTATCAGTTTTTGTGACGATACAATAATTTACAGGTAATAATAAATTATATAATATTCTTTATTCTATAAAGAATAAATCCCGTATAGCCAACTGATTCACGCAGAATATTATTGCTAATTTTTTGCTGAACTCTTGATCTGTAGTCAGCCTATGGTTGCTATTAAACCAGGTCTTGCCAAAATCGGACTACAAATCACTGCTTGATCGCTATCTAATTCAGCAAGGAAGATGCTTACATCATTGACTACTAAGGACAATTCCAGCATGAATGTTGATTAGTCCCTTCATGTGCATTGGTGAGTGAAATAAAACAACAAAGATATACATTAGAACCTCATTAATGATACAATTTCTTTGCTAAATTAGATAGGTTTTCAAATACTAGAATATTTCCTCAATTGTTTTGCTAATCACAATGTAACAGCTACAGACACAACACACTTTTCAGTTTAACCTACATTATTAATATTTTCTCCATCCGTTTCTTTTCTTTTTCTTTTTTTCTTTTTTTTTTTTTTTTTTTGAGACAGAGTCTCACTCTGTGGCCCAGGCTGAAGTGCGGCAGCACGATCTTGGCTCACTGCAACATCTGCCTCCCAGGCTCAAGCGATTCTCATGCCTCAGCCTCCTGAGTAGCTGGGATTACAGGCATGTGCCACCACACGTGGCTAATTTTTGTATTTTTAGTAGAAACAGGGTTTCAACATGTTGGCCAGGCTAGTCTCAAACTCCTGACCTCAAGTGATCTGCACACCTCAGCGTCCCAAAGTGCTGGGATTACAGGCACGAGCCACTGGGCCTGGCCATATTTTCTCCATCCCTTTCTTAACTGCACCTGGTTTTTTAAGAACAGTGTATTAAGTCCTGATATGTAGTGCTTTCCAATTGCTGTGGTGTCAGTACTCCCACCATTGCTGGTTTCAAGCCGCCAAGATGCTGTCGCCAAACATGGACTTGGGAATAGATATGGATTTTTATTTTGCTCTTACAATCCTATTCTATTCTATTCTATTCTATTCTATTCTATTCTATTCTATTCTAATTTCTATTCTATTTGAATTTCTACCATACAGATACACAGATATCAATAATCACAAAAGCACAGACAATAGTAAAAGTAGTAAAATGATTAGGACAAGATGGGTTTTGAGTATATATTACCTTTTCTATTTTTTTCCATTCTAATCATTCCTTTTTTTTTTTTTTTTTTTTTTTTTGAGATGGAGTCTTTCTCTGTTACCCAGGCTAGAGTGCATTGTTGTGATCTCAGCTCACTGCAACCTCTGCCTCCAGGGTTCAAGTGATTCTCCTGCCTCAGCCTCCCGAGTAGCTGGGATTACAGGTGCACACCACCATGCCCAGCTAATTTTTTTGTTTTTAGTAGAGACAGGGTTTCGCCATGTTGGCCAGGCTGGTCTCAAACTCCTGACCTCAGGTGATCCACCCACCTTAGCCTCCCAAAGTGCTGGGATTACAGGTGTGAGCCACCATGCCTGGCCTCATTCTAATCATTTTCTTTGTACAATTCAGTATTATTAAGTATATTCACAGTGTTGTGAAACCATCACCACTATTTAGTTCCAGAACTTTTTCATCATCCCAAACAGAAACTGCCTACTCAGTAAGCAGTTATACCCAATCCCTTTTCCTCTGGCAACCACTAATCTGATTTCTGTCTCTATCAATTTGCTTATTGTAGATACTTTGTATAAATAGAATTCTACAATATGTGGCCTTTTGTGTCTGTCTTTTTTCACTGAGCCTAATGTTTCCGAAGTTCATCCATATTGTAGTATGTATCAGTGCTTCATTTCTTTTGTTTTAGAGATAGGGTCTTGCTCTGTTGCCCAGGCTGGAGAGCAATGGTATGATAGTGGCTCACTGCAGCCTCAACAACCTCCTGGCCTCAAGCAATCCTCCTTCCTCAGCATGGGTAGCTGAGACTACTACCACCATGCCCAACTTATTTTTTTTCTTTAATTTTCTGTAGAGACAAGATCTTGCTATGTTGTCCAGGCTGGTCTTGAACTCCAAGCTGGTCTTAAACTCAAGCTATCCTCCTGCCTTGGCCTCCCAAAGTGCTGGGATTATAGTCCTGAGCCACAGTGTCTGACCCCAGTACTTCATTTCTTTTTATAGCTGAATAATATTCCATTGTATGGATAGGCCACATTTTGTTTATCCACCTGCTGCTGGCCGTTTGAGTTGTTTCCACCTTTTGGCTATTGTAAATAGTGCTGCTGTGAACATCCATGATTACTTTCCTTTTTAATATAATTCACTTAGTTGTAAGTTTATATAATTTAATTTTTAATAATAGCTGTGTTTATCAACTGCCTTGCAAAATTCCTGGACATGATTGGCTCGTAGGAGGGGCAGGCGTTGGCCCCAGCACACCCATGGTTGTCACTATCTGTACAGCTCTGGGCAGATGACAAAGCCCAGAATTACGAGTCAGCAGGTCGGTCTTCTGGGGCCAGTGCAGCCTCTAACTCACTTGTCATTTTGAGCAAATCTGTCACCGCTCTTGTCTTCTGTCTTGTTTCTAAAATAAGCCTGTTGGGCTAGATGATGCCTGAAGTTCCTTCCTAGGGAATCTTCTGTCTAATAAGTGGCCGGGCTAGGTCAACAGATGAAATAAGCCCACAGTAACTTACCACCCGGCAGGTCAGAGAATGGTACACTCACTGTTCCTCTGAAGTTGAGGGTTGTTGGTTCCATCCCCAAGACATGTTTCAATTGTCTTCTCACTACGCTTTCTGTCTTCTCTTCCCAACAGTTTTCCTGTCCTCCCCCGCTCCCCCAACTCTTTGGCTGTAAATGCTCGCTTTTCTTTGTACTGGGAATTAAGCCAATCTTTCTCCACTACTGCAAAACCCCATCACAGCAATCCCTATACCTGTCCTGATAGTCCAGAATAAAGCCTGCCTCACCGCTTTAACAATTGTCATGAATGATTTTCTTTAACAGATCCCATCCTATCTCCAGGTGATGGGTTCAGACATGAACACATGTCCTAGCAGTTTACAGGTGGGGCCTTTGATGAACAAGGTAGAGCAGGCCTTGGAGGGGATTGAGTGGCAGAAGGGAAATAGGTGGGGCATGGCAAGCCTAAAATCATTTAAGAAAAGGAATAGATTAAGCAAAATGAGCAAATTGTATGTCTGAAGAACCACGTTAGTCTGTAAGCATTTATTGAGCACCTCCTGTGTGCACACAGAGCCCTTAATCAGCCCTGGACCAAGTACTTCGGAGGAAAGGAAGGTAATGGAAGGTATAATTCTCTTTTATTGTTCTTGTTGTTGTTTTGAGATGGAGTCTCGCTCTGTCGTCCAGGCTGGAGTGCAGTGGCACTACCTCGGCTCACTGCAACCTCCGCCTCTTGGGTTCAAGTGATTCTCCTGCCTCAGGCGCATGCCACCACACCTGGCTAATTTTTGTATTTTAGTAGAGATGGAGTTTTCGCCATGTTGGCCAGGGTGGTCTCGAACTCCTGACCTCAGGTGATCTGCCCACCTTGGCCTCCCAAAAGTGCTGGGATTACAGGCATGAGCCACCGCACCCGGCTGGAAGGTACAATTCTGAGGACCCCAGGGCTCAGTCCCACAAGACTGTCCCCACTCCAGAGGCCAGTTCCATGGGTGTGAGTTCTTGGTTCCAACAGTCCTTCAACTCTAATCCAGACATGGTTGGCTCATCAGGGAAATGCTGTTAATCATCTCTGGTTTTAAAGGGAAGCACTTAGGCAGAGCCACTCAAATCAGATTGGAGACACTGAATTTGGAAACTGTCCAGCGTCTAACAGGAGGCCAGCCGTCTGATTCTTTAGGGAGCGAATGACCTCAGCAGAGGGTGGATGTTATCGCTGGAAAGGATGAGAGGAGGTGAGGGGGAATGCCTCATTGGAAGTGACACCTAATTACCAGTTTCCCATCCTGTTTCCAGGCCCTGCAAAATAGAGTCCTTCTGGGTATCTGGTCTACCTTTCACCTGCAAATGCAAGACATACATACAAAGAGGGTGAATCTGGGCTGTTTCCTCAGCTTAATCACGAGCTCCTGTAAGGGCAGAAAATGACCCTCGCATTGTGACGCTCCATTTCCCCCTCCTGCTTAGTCATTCGGGAGCTGTTGATGGGTGACACTTGCCTTGGAATTGCGGTGACTTTCAATACCCCTAAGTGTAGAATTTAAGGAGGAAGGCCTCTGCACAGAATGATAATGCATATTGGGGTGGAGGGCGGGGGATTGCTGCCTGGAAAACAGGAATATATCTTAGATGAGAAAGCACCTGCTGAGACTCTCAGAAAAGAACTTGGGAGGTGATAGTTTTTGCTAAAACATACCCATTGTCCGATTATGAAGGAATGGATGAGCAGAAAGGGAAGGAAGCGACTTCTCATCTCATCTGGGATATACAGGCCCTCGCTTCATGGATGAGATGTGTTCCTGGAAAGGTAACTGCAAATTGGAATTTTTATAGCCCGAATCATCTTTTCCATTACTTTCCCTGCAAAAATGAGTCCTCAGAATATTCTTAGGCTCTAGGATGTAATAAAACCACAGCTAAGGCTATAGCAAATTTTTCACGTTATCACTTTTTAGCTGAAACTGACCGTTTTCTTATATTAAAAAAAATCACATTCCGAAAACATGACATAAAATAGCTGGGGTTATTTCTCCATGTGGTACAATCATTTCAGTGTCAACAACCATTTACTGGAGAGCCTGTAAGCATTTTCACACAGTATCTCACTTAGCCGCCTCCCCAATTCTGTGAGCTAGATATTATCTCCTTTTTGGGAGATGTAATAATAAAGTTTAAGAAAATTGAGGAAGGAATCCATGTTCACAAAGCAGCAGTGGCAGAGCTGGAATTCAAACTCAGGTTTGAGCAAGTGTGGGCCTGGATACTTCACCTCTACCACAGCTGCCTAATTTAAGGCGCTAAAATAAGAAACCCCATCAACGATAACCCCAACAGTAACAACCTCAGCTACGATATGAGATAGGACGCGGCCCCAGTTTCTAACAGGTTGCTTTCTCAAGGATCCTTTAAGAGGGTGAGGAAAACAGCTTTTGCCATTCAGACCTCAGGTCCAAACTCTTTCTGAAATCTATTGGCTGACATAACAGCTTGGGCAAGGCTGAATGGGTGATTAAGACAAGGACCCAATCACTCAAAGCCAATCTGGAAAGGACCAGGAGGAGTGCGCATCTCTAGGACCCATGTGAGTAGTGAAAGAGCTCAAATGCTAAAACTCCCGAAGGCCTGAGGGGTCTAGGAAGCCCAGGCTAGCAGATCCAGCAATTGACTCCCACATTTGCTTTTCTTTTCTTTTCTTTTTTCTTTTTTTTTTTCTGAGATGGAGTTTCGCTCTTGTAGCCCAGGCTAGAGTGCAATGGCATGATCTTGGCTCACCGCAACCTCCGCCTCCTGGGTTCAAGCAATTCTCCTGCCTTAGCCTCCTGAGTAGCTGGGATTACAGGCGCCCGTCACCACACCCAGCTAATTTTTGTATTTTTAGTAGAGACGGGGTTTCTCCATGTTGGTCAGGCTGGTCTCAAACTTCCGACCTCAGGTGATCTGCCCGCCTCAGCCTCCCAAAGTGCTGGGATTACAGGCATGCACCACCACACCCAGATAATTTTGTATTTTTAGTAGAGATGGGGTTTCTCCATGTTGGTCAGGCTGGTCTCCAACTCCCGAACTCAGGTGATCTTCCCGCCTTGGCCTCCCAAACTGCTGGGATTACAGGCATGAGCCACTGCACCTGGCCCCAAATTTGCTTTTCTAAGGATGCCAGTACTCCTTAGCTGTGTGGTGGTCAGCCTCTAAGATGGCCCCAATGGTCCCCGCTCCTGCTATTCACAGCCATGTGGAATCCCCTCCCACACTGTGCTATGGTGTTCCCCATGACCAACAGCATATGGTACGCCAATTCTGACATTAGGTTATAAAAAGACTACAGCTTCCAGCTTGGGTTCTCTCTCTCTCTGTCTCTCAACCTCTCTGGGGAAAGTCAACTGCCATGTGGTGAATACATTAAGTCTGTGAAGAAGCCCACCTGGCAAAGAGCTGCAGTCTCCTGTCAACAGTCAGCAAGAAACTGAGGCCTCCTCCAAAAGCCACATGAGTGAGGAGCTTGGAAGCTGATTCTACAGCCCCAAAAAACTGCAGCCCTTTCTGATGTCCTGAACACATTCTCTGGAGAGATCTTGAACCAGAACCATCCAGTGAAGCTGCTCCCAGATTCTGTTTTTTGTTTTTTTTTTTTTAGATGAAGTCTTGCTCTTGTCGCCCAGGCTGGAGTGCAGTGGCATGATCTCGGCTCACTGCAACCTCCGCTTCCCAGGTCTGAGCGATTCTCTTGCCTCAGCCTCCTGAGTAGCTGGGATTACAGGTGCCCACCACCACGCCTGGCTAATTTTTGTATTTTAAATAGAGACAGGGGTTTCAAAACGTTGGCCAGGCTGGTCTCGAACTCCTGACCTCAGGTGATCCACCCGCCTTGGCCTCCCAAAATGCTGGGATTGCAGGCCTGAGCCACTGTGCCCAGCCACTCCCGGATTCTTGACCCACAAAACCTGCGAGATCATAAATGTTTGTGGTTTCAAACTGCTAAACTCTAGGTTCCTTTGTTCTACAGCAATAGCTAATATAAGTTTGATAAAACCATTTTCTTTCCTATTGTTGGCATTGAGCCTTTTCTGGCCAGGTGGTGCCCATCCTTGATAATTTCCCTCCTTCCTCCAGCTCATTTTACCCTCTCAGCCCCTTTATTTTGAATGACCTCATTAAGGCAATGAATCTCAACTGAGGGCCACTGCATACAGTAAGAGTGCAATTAGCCATTGTGTGACTGCAGGAGATAGTAGTTTCCATGGAGTGGTGCCCCCTGGAGGTGTGCGGTATATAACCTGCACAGTTCTATGTGGCAGTCCAGCCAGCAATACACCTGAAAAAGTGCCCAATGCCAGGTTTTTCTGCTGGACAGAGCAAATGGGGCAATTCCTCCAAAGATCACAGACAAGAGAGGTAGTGGAAGGAGGTTAGTTTTCACTGGGGCTGGCTGACCGGCTGACCCATCATGAGGTTGCAGGCAAAGCCCATGAGTTTAGGTCATTTTCTTTCTTCTCAACTCAGGAAAGAACTTGCAGGGCATGATGGGGTGGTGGTGGATGAGCCTGGACCCTGGAGTTGGACCCATGGGTCTCGTCCGAGCTGTCCATGTATTCACCGGGTGACTCCTCACACAGCTTTGCACTCAGGAAGCCATGGAATCTAGGAATCTAGCACTCAGATTCCTCAGCTGTCAAATGGGAATCATAATAACGCCCCCTAGAGAGTGGCTGGAGGACACGGTAAGCTCACACACATATTATACCTACGTCAGTGTCTGACACTGAAACAACAGATGAGGTCTTGCTATATTACCCAGGCTGGTCTTGAACTCCTGGCCTCAAGTAATCCTCCCACCCAAGCCTCTCAAGGGCCTGGGAATTATAAGTGTAAGCCGCTATGCCTACACCAACAGCAATTTTTATTCTCTTTCATTTCCCCCAAAAGTGAGCCTCACACTCTGCTTGTTCCAGAGTGGAGGATCACTAAGGATTTCTTGAATGAATTAAAGAGACTCCATCTCTCCAAGAGGGAGACAGTCCTATCTTCTAGTCCTGGGTAAATCAACAACCAACAACAACAATCCTAATAAGAAAGGCACATCCTTAACTGAACAATACAAAGCATACGGTACCATTTGAACCATTTGCCCTCACAAGCCTTAAGTCAGTCATTTTTTTTCAGACTGGAGAAATTGCAGAAGAAACTTCATCCGTTAGCAAAACATAGGCGCGGAGGCAGCAGCTGTGCGCTTCCGGATGTCCTTCAAGGGCTCTGCTGCAGGATGACTCTAACCTGGAGATGC
Source organism: Homo sapiens (assembly GCF_000001405.40). Lineage (NCBI taxonomy): Eukaryota > Metazoa > Chordata > Mammalia > Primates > Hominidae > Homo > Homo sapiens. The sequence continues at coordinate 13,540,905 of NC_000001.11, forward strand.
ACAGGCAAACATTTAGTCAATAACTCAAGCCTGACTTAACTTGCATCAAGCTGCCGAGCACGCAGAAGCTATAAACAGCCCTGCCTGGATGGACAGCCCTTCCTTTGTCGCCGGGATTGGGTCTGAGAGGCTCCAAGTTGGAAAGAAAATGCCAGCCTGTTTCTTCTCTGGCTTAAGGACAGTCAGATCAACCACTGACGTCAGAGGAGAATTCCCTCCCCCCAAGTTATCCGGCCCAAGAGGTCGTGCCAGGTAATGGGACACAGAGCAGAGCAATGCTGGCGTGGTCCAGGGGAACTGCCTTGCCTGGGCCTGCACTCTAAGGCTGAGCAAAGATTTTAAAAGAAGAGAAAACAGCCTGACTCTATTATCCATTCATGGAAAGAAGCTCAGATCATCAAAGATAATCAAAACCCACCAACCAAACAGCACACTCAAAAAGGCTGAGTGTGGTGGCTCAGGCCTGTAATCCCAGCACTTTGGGAGGCTAAGGTGGGGGGACTGCTTGAGGACAGAAGTTGGAGACCAGCCCGGGTAACCTAGCAAGACCTCCGTCTCTACAAAAAAATTAAAAATTTGCCTGGTGAGGCGGTGTGCACCTGTAGTCCCAGCTACTGGGGAGGCTGAGGCAGGAGGATCACCTGAGCCCAGGCAGTTGAGGTTGCAGTGAGCCATGATTGCTCTGCTGCACTCCAGCCTGGGTGACAGAGTGAAAGAAACCCTGTCTCAAAAAACAGAAACAGAAACAGAAACAAAATCAGCCTGACCTTCCTCCTCCCAAGCCTCAGATGCTGGTGCTAACTCATCTCTAGGTGGACGGTGGGCGATTGTTCTAATGATGACTCTGGGCCTCCTGGAAAGAAATCCTGCTGAGTGACCCACAAGCAGATAACACAATGATCCTGCACGGCAAGTGAACAGGGTCCTACTAGAGACCAATGAAATGACTGCTGACTGCACTCAGAGAGGGCAACTATTCCACAGGGGTTAAGCAGAAAGCCCCCCAGCCCCTTGACTGCTCCTTCCTGAGCCCCCAGGCTTCCCCTGCCGCATCGGACCCAGCACCCACCCTCCTCCCAAGCCTGTCCTCTTCATGCCACTCACAGGCACCAGGTGCTGACGGGGCCACCAGCTCTGAGCTCTGAGTCAGGGACATCGCTGCAGGCAGGTAGGTATGAACAGGACAGGGCAGACAGCAGACAGGGAGAGAGCTGAAGGATGGGGTCACTTCGGGTGGGATGGTGTCGTGAGGAGAAGAAAGCGGTTCTGGGGTGGAGGGAGACCAGTGGAGCTCCTTCAGACAGATGGCCAGGGAAGGCCCTTCGGAGGAGGTGACATTTGAGCAGGGAAGACCCGGCTGACTGAAGGAGCCAGACCCACAGAAAACAGCGCGTTCTAGTTAGAGGTAGGACTCGCTACACATTCACAGGGCCCAACGCAAAACTAAACGTGAGGCCCCGCTCAAAAATTATGAGGAATTTCAGGATGGCAAGACAGAGTGTTCGGGGTCCACGCCCGAGAAGCAGGCCCTGGTAGAAGGAACAGTAAGTCCTATAGCCCTAAGGCTTGGAAAGTTCCAGAATTTGAAAGGAGGCCAGTGTGTTCTGGAAGGCAGAAGGTATGAGAGGCTGTCAGAGGGCTGTGCAGGAGATATCTGTGGGGCAGACTGTGGTAGCCCCTGAGACCGGTAAGCTGGGAAACCACTGGGGGAGCTTTGCATGAAGGATGGGCTTGATAGAATTAATGTTTTTTTCTTATTTATTTATTTTTTACAAAAGAGAGGGAGCCTTGGTATGTTGGCCAGGTTGGTCTTGAACTCTTGGCCTCAAGCAATCCTCCTGCCTTGGCCTCCCAAAGTGCTAGGATTACAGGTGTGAGTCGCTGTGCCTGGCCGGGATTAAATTTTTTTCTTTCTTTTTTTTTTTTTGAAATAGAGTTTCACTCTTGTTGCCCAGGCTCACTGCAACTTCTGCCTCCCAGGTTCAAGCGATTCTCCTGCCTCAGCCTCCCAAGTAGCTGGGATTACAGGTGCCCACCACAATGTCCAGCTAATTTTTTGAATTTTTAGTAGAGGTGGGGTTTCACCATGTTGGCCAGGCTGGTCTCGAACTCCTGACCTCAGGTAATCCACCCGCCTCGGCCTCCCAAAGTGCCGGCATTACAGGCATGAGCCACCGCGCCCAGCCTTTTTTTTTTTCTGAGACACAGTCTCGCTCTGTTGCCAGGCTGCAGTGCAGTGGCGCGATCTTGGCTCACTGCAACCTCCACCTCCCAGGTTCAAGCAGTTCTCCTGCCTCAGCCTCCCGAGTAGCTGAGAGTAGCATAACACCACCACACCCAGCTAATTTTTGTATTTTTAGTAGAGACAGGGTTTCACCATGTTGGCCAGGATGGTCTCGATCTCTTGACCTCGTGATCCGCCCACCTCGGCCTCCCAAAGTGCTGGGATTACAGGCGTGAGCCACCGTGCCTGGCCCGGGATTAATATTTTTTAAAGACCCAGCTAGCTGCTGGGTGAGGCTGGTGTGGAGTGGGGGTCTGAGGAGAAGCAGGGAGTCAGACTAGAAGGCCAGGAGGATGGTGGCTCAGGCCCAGCGATGACCTAAACTGCCCAGGGCCAGCTCCTGACAGCCAGCTCAATGTCATCGCTCACGACCCAGCCTCTGTCTGAAGTTTCCACTCTCCTTGCACCCTTACGATGTTCACTTGCACTGTCAGGTCCATCCTTCAACCCTACTTCAGTGACACCTGGCCTAGCTCCTACCTACGCCCCTACTGGCACCCACCTCCCCAGCTCCCCCCGGGAAGTCCTTAGCATTCTTGGTGTCCCCACAGAGTGCCCGGCTTGTCTCGATACTGAGCAGCCTGGTATGTGCTCGAAAACTTGCTGCCGAGTGAGTGAATGCATTTATTACTTCATATTAGAAGAAACAGGGCTCTGTTCCAACCAGGCAAATCTGAGCCTAGACCCTGACCTGAAAAAGAGGAATTCTATTTCCAAACACCCGGCTCATTTCCCTCTCATTAGATTTAAAAAAAAAAAAAAATTCAAAAAAGAAAGAGAAGAAGCTGGCCTCCGAGGCTGTGGCGCTCAAATTGCAGCCTTCGACTATTGTTTACGCTATATTTGTCCTGTCTCCAGGCATCATGCTGGGGGACAGAAAGGAAAATGCCAAACCATTTCTTCCTGGCCTGGCACCCACGGCGGAATGTTGCCCTGCTGCCGTCTCGCGGCCAGGACAGTCACTGCAAATGTCCCAGAGTGATCATTTCCAGAGACTGCAGGAAGAACAGGCTGGTTTTGATGGCAAATGATTTAGCCAGGAGAGGTCCAGGCTGAGGACCTCTTGGGCTGGTGGCCTCCAGTAACCTGAGCTGTTATTTATCCTGGGTGGTGTTACGGTCCTAGAATTGCCAACTGCACAGTAGCTGGATGACAGCTCTGCTGGACAGGCGACTTGCAGCCCTGGCTAAGGCCAGAAACACTGAGTCTTTACAAGTCTTTTTATGGTTCCTCCACAGGGCTGTTTTATTTACCTGCTGTGCAGATGAGGCCTAAGAAAAACCCAGACCGAACGTATAATTTGGAGCTAAGTACATGATGGATGCCCAGAGATTTAAAATTAGCCGAGTAAACTTAATACTGGGGCATTATGCTTGCTTTCCAGCGCCTGAATGTCTGTTAGAGACTCATCACTTGGGAATAGCTCTTGATAAAATAATCAGACTCTATTCTTCCTGGAAATTAAAAAAAAAAAAAAGGATCCACTCTGAAGGGGACCAGTTGTCCCAAATGTCCTCCAACCAAATCAGGGAGGAGAGCTTGTTGTCTGTGCACACTCAGGTCCAATGTGTGGGATCATTTGGTGGTTTGCACAAATGAAAGTGAGATTTGGGTGATATTTGGGTGATTTTCAAAAGGCAAATATGTATTCACTATTTTATGTTGTTGTTGAGATGGAGTTTCACTCTTGTCGCCCAGGCTAGATAGAGTGCAATGGCATGATCTCAGCTCACTGCAACCTTCGCCTCCTGGGTTCAAGCGATTCTCCTGCCTCAGCCTCCCAAGTAGCAGAAATTACAGGCGTGAGCCACCACACCCGACTAATTTTTGTATTTTTAGTAGAGACAGGGTTTCACCATGTTGGTCAGGCTGGTCTTGAACTCCTGACCTCAGGGGATCCACCCACCTCGGCCTTCCAAAGTGCCGGGATTACAGGTGTGAGCCATGATGCCTGGCCTTTGCTATTTTATAGGCATATCCCACTTAGCTTGCACAACCGAGGTCCTCCTCTATTGCCCACCCTCTGGAAGGATGAATGATAGGTGGGGTGGGGTGGGGCGATGAAGGGGTGTGTCCCCCAGCACCTTCTGTGAGTTCATGATAGGAGATGGCAGAAATTCATGTTAATAGCTCACACACCTTACATTTTTCACATGCATTATTTCATTTGATCCTTACAACAATTTCATGAGGTCGGTATTATCACCTCCTTTCACTAAATGGAGAGGCTGAGGCTTAGATTGCTGACATGGCTTGCCTATGATCAGGCGGGAGGAAGCAACTGCAGAGCCAGGATTCCAACTGCCAGATGGGTAATCAAATACCCTGCACTGTTTTCATCCAGACTAGGGCGTAGTCGACCAGGTGTTACACCTCTGATCTCGTCATCTGTTGAAACTGTAGGGAGCCAATCAATAACACTCTTTTTTTTTTTTTTTTTTTTTTTTGAGATGGAGTCTTGCTCTGTCGCCCAGGCTAGAGTGCAGTGGTGCCATCTCAGCTCACTGCACCCTTTGCCTCCCAGGTTCAAGCGATTCTCCTGCCTCAGCCTCCTGTGTAGCTGCGACTACAGGTGCCCACCACCACACCCGGCAAATTTTTTGTATTTTTAGTAGAGACAGGGTTTCACTGTGTTAGCCAGGATAGTCTCGATCTCCTGACCTCGTGATCCGCCTGCCTCAGCCTCCCAAAGTGCTGGGATTACAGGCATGAGCCACTGTGCCTAGCAGTAACACCCTTTAATCCCCTTCAGAGTACAGTAACAATTGAGACATGCAGTGCATTAGTTATATATAACAAAGGATCCCAAAATTTAGCAGCTTCAAACATCAGTAAATATGTATTGTCTCAGTTTCTGAGAGTGAGGAATCTGAGAGTGGATGTGTTGGGTGATTAGAGGGGAGGGATTCTTAGGAGGTTGCAACGAAGAGGTCAGCCAGGGCTACAGTCAGCTCAAAGCTCAATTGAGGCTGGAAGACTTGATTTTAAGCTCACTCACTTTCCTGTTGGCAGAAGGCCTCCTTCCTTGACATGTGGGTTTCTCTCTAGGGATGCTCATGATATGAGTTCAGGCTTCCCCAAAGCAGGTGATGGGAGAAGGAGGGGGTGGAGAGAGAGAGAGAGAACCCAGCAGTGACATACTATCATTTTTGCCATATGCTAATGATCACATAGACCATGCCTCATACAGTGTGGCACTATACAAGGGCATGAGTACCGGGAGCCTGGAATTATTGGGCACCATCTTGGAGGTTGCCTACCACATGGACAGAAAAGTTGTAAAGATAGAGAACACAATGAAACACGGCTTTAAAACTGAAAAAGCCTGTAATCCCAGCACTTTGGGAGGATCACGAGGTCAGGAGATCGAGACCATCCTGGCTAACACGGTGAAACCCCATCTCTACTAAAAATACAAAAAATTATCTGGGCGTGGTGGTGGGCGCCTGTAGTCCCAGCTACTTGGGAGGCTGAGGCAGGAGAATGGCGTGAACCCGCGAGGTGGAGCTTGCAGTGAACCGAGATCGCACCACTGCACTCCAGGCTGGGTGACAGAGCGAGACTCCGTCTAAAAAAAAAAAAAAAAAAAAAAGAAAAAATTGAAATAGCTGCATTAAAGGAAGTGGCATAAGAAGTGTGGGCACAGGGGCTTCTTAGTACTTCATCTCTGAAGTAGAGACACTTAGCCACCTGGCCACAGGTGGGGCTGGAAAACCAAAGCCTCTCCTGCAGGAGCACAGCAGCCAGGTTAGGCTTAAGGTGTGGAGCAGTAGAGAACCTCCACTGAGGACCAGACATTCTGCAAAGAGAATGCACTGAGCTGGACAGGCTCAGCAACGTCTCCCAAGGGCCAAACTCGGGTCATGCCACTCCTCTCCCGGCAGGCTGGTAATGCTTCTCTTGAAGACATGCCCAACATATGGCAAGTGAATGGATTTCTCCCTCCACCATCCCTGGCCCAATCCACTCTCTGTTCCAACAAGGACTGCTACATCTGATGGATGTTTTATGGACCCCTGTGGGCAAGGACTGTTTCTCATTGATGTGGGTGTCCCCAGAACCTATCATGGGGCATGACATGTGCCATCTTCCTCCTCCCCCTCTTCCATCATTGAGTGCCTAGCATGTGCTAAGCAGTGTACTAATTCCTCCACAGGAATGATCTCATTCGATCATCATCACTTTCTCTTATGTGGCAGGTACCAATACTATCCCCATTGAAAGGATAAGTCAGCATTAGAGAAGTTAATGTGCCAATGGCCACAAGTTAGCAGGTGGCAGAGGTGGGATCTGGTACCAGCCAGTCTGACTCCACTGCCACGCTCTTAAACTCCATGCCAGAGAGGCTGTTCAGTAAATATTTGTTGAAATAGATTCATTTAAAAAAAACCATTGACTTAAAAAAGGAAAGAAAATCTAAGCAAGTAAAATTGTTGGACCATAGCAAGTTCTAGACAGAAGCTAATCCCCACAGTTCTTTTTCCAGGTCCCAAGAATAAACTTAAAATGGAAAAGAGGAACATCCTGCAAATAAATCATTAGTTTCCAAAAGGCAAAAGCATGAGCCAGGAAACCACTTCATTTTCAGAATAGACCTTCTTCTCATTCCCATATACTTCTGTAGATGCTGCCTCCATGATTAAAAGAAGGGCTGCTGGCCAGGCGCAGTGGCTCATGCCTGTAATCCCAGCACTTTGGGAGGCCGAGGTGGGTGGATCACCTGAGGTCAGGAGTTTGAGACCAGCCTCAACATGGAGAAACCCCATCTCTACTAAAAATACAAAATTAGCCGGGCGTGGTGGTGCATGCCTGTAATCCCAGCTACTCGGGAGGCTGAGGTAGGAGAATTGCTTGAACCCGGGAGGTTCACTGCACTCCAGCCTGGGCAACAAGAGCGCAACTCTGTCTCAAAAAAAAAACAAATAAATAAATAAATAAAAGAAGGGCTGCTGATGAGACCTTAGCAGGCAGGAGTACGTGAGAGCCTTACTCCCCGCTAAGTCCCCACCAGAAGTTCAGCACGATGGTCAGTGCTGATGGCTTGTTGGCTCTGAGCACCAGGAAGTGGGGATGGGTTTATACTCCACTTCCCAAGAAACACAATTTCAGAGTTTATGAGACAAACAAATGAAAGGCCAAGAGCCAGGCTGCTCAAGGCATTAGTGCCTCTACTCAACTTGTTGGCTTGTCTGGAAACAACAACTCATTTGCTGGTATGCAGTGGTGCCCGGCCTGCTGCTTAGATGCTCCCCACAACCCCACCCACTCGTCTAATTATGTCAATTCATGTCACAGTTCCCACACCAGAGCGGACCAACTGCCACATGTGCACCAACTATGAGTAAGGCATAAGGCAAAGTTTCACGGGGACACAAGGTCTCATGGGGAGCTATGAGGAGATAAGATTTCATGAAAATACAGGCCAGGCGCGGTAGCTCACAACTGTAATCTCAGCACTTTGGGAGGCCAAGGAGGGTGGATCATAAGGTCAGGAGTTCGAGACCAGCCTGGCCAACATGGTGAAACCCCATCTCTACTAAACATACAAAAATTAGCCAGGTGTGGTGGCACGCGTCTGCAATCCCAGCTACTCGGGAGGCTGAGGCAGGAGAATCGCTTGAACCCGGGAGGCAGAGGTTGCAGTGAGCCGAGATCGTGCCATTGCACTCCAGCCTGGGTGACAAGAGCAAGACTCCATCTCAAAAAGAAAAAAAAAAAAAATTTCATGAAAATACAAGGTCACATGGGGGAGACAAGGTCCTGTGGGGATACATGGGCAGACAAGGTCACATGAAGATACATGGGGAGCCAAGGTCTCATAGGGAGACCTGAGAAGACAAGGTCATGTGGGGAGACATGAGGACATAAGGTCATGTTAGGAGACGAGGTCTCATAAGGACACATAAGGGAACAAGCGCACAAGGGGCGAAATGGTGTCTTAGTTCATCTCGTGCTGCTAAAACAGAACACTTAAGACTGGTTAACTCATCAGAAACAGACAGTTATTTTCTCACAGTTCTGGAATCTGGGAAGTCCAAGATCAAGGTGCAGGCATCCGGCGACAGCTGTCCAGAGGGTGGAATGCAGTGTCCTCACAGGGTAGAGGGTGGAAGGGCAAGAGAGAGTGAGAGAGCAAACTCCCCTTGTCAAGTCTTTAAAACTGCACTCATTTATTCACAAGAACAGAGCCCTCATGACCTAAACACCTTCCAGCAAGTGCCATCTTCCAACATTGTTGTATTGGGGATTGAGTTTCCCACAAAACAATTTGGGGGGACACATTTAAACCACACCACACGGGGAGATGAGGTTTCATGAAGAGACATGGGGAGGCAAGGTCTCGGGGGAGACAGGAGTAAGGGAGCACTTCCCCTGTAGGGATTGGATTTGGGTTTTTATTTGTCCTCCCTCAAGGAGCTTGCTTCAGTCTTGGGGTGAATTGGGGTGCAGGGCGCATGACAAAGGGATGATTAGCAGGAGAGAGGCTGAGAGGCACTGGCCACAATGCTTTCTTTCATCACTCAGAGGAAGGAGGGGCGCTGGGGCTGGACTGCAAAGGGAAGCTTTGACCAAGGACATGCAGCCTGAGGAATTGGGAAGATGCAGACCAGTGTTTCCCAGCCCTCATTCTCATATGACTTTTGCAATAGTTGATGACAACCTGTACTACTGTTTATTTAACAATTTATCTAAATTGAATTTTTTTTTTTTTTTGAGGCAGAGTCTCACTCTGGCACCCAGGCTGGAGTGCAGCAGCACGATCTCCGTTCACTGCAGTCTCTGACTCCTGAGCTCAAGCGATCCTCCCACCTTAGCCTTCAGAGTAGCTGGGACCACAGGCACACACCACCACATCCAGTTAATTTTTGTATTTTTTGTAGAGATAAGGTTTTGCTATGTTGCCCAAGCTGGGCTCAAACTCCTGGGCTCAAGCTATCTACCTACCTTGGCCTCCTGAAGTGCTGGGATTACAGGTGTGAGCCAACATGCCTAGCCCATTTATATATGTATATACATATACATATATATACACGTATACATATATGTATACGTATATATACACACATATGTGTATATATATACATATATAAATGGACCAGGCATTAAATTAGTTTATACATATATATATATAAATTCCTCTTTAAAGAAACTTCATATCTCTATAGTCAATGGAAAACCAGTATCACTTCCCATAATATAATGTAACCATAGGATAAAGATAATGCAAACAAAACAATTGTATTAAATTCTAGCTGGATACTGTTGCTGGTGCAGTATCCCTTAACAGGTGTTGAAGAGGTGTTTAAGACACAACACATAATTCACATAAGAACACATGATTCAGACTTTCTCCTTGATATGATTCAAAGATTAAAAATGAACTGAATTCCTCTTCGAGAAGTACGGCATATCAGTTCCTCTGAAGGCTCCTCCTCTGTAATATAACTAGGTCTCAGGAAAATTACAATAAACATAGTTTTATGCGCTGCTAGGCTTGTATGAAAATAAAGGCTCTCTAAGGTTGGTGGGGAGATGGGAGGAGAATACTAAATTGACAGTAGATTGGGAACAGTCAGCAAATGTAACCGGAGGAGACAGTGTGAGTACCAGCCCTGGAATCCGCACACTAAGCCTTGAGCTCTCTGTGAGATAGGGAAGCTAAATCTGAGACTCTTGCCTTAAGCCCTGATTCTTTCAAGGGAGCTTAAATGTATCCAGTGTGGTAACAGCCTCTGGCTCTTGAGAAAAGCAAACACAAATTCTCTCCGGAATAAAGCATCACCAATAAATGCTCCCAGGATCCCTACAGATTATGTTCAACCAATAAAAAAAACACACACACAATAAAAATTTCACAATAAAAAACATTACCAAACTTGCCAGGAAACAAGCTTCGCTGAGTGAGATCAACAGAATTAACTAAATACAGATTTAGAGTCATATAAATTTCTGATGCTGGAACTGTCAGATACAAAATATAAAGTATGAAGTGTTTACAGAAAAAAATATGTAACTAAAAACTGAACAAAGACCAAGAGACCATAAAAATTGATCAGGCAGATTGGAAAGAAACCACATAGAAATTTTAGAATCGAAAACTATAATCATTGAAACTCAATATATTTGTTAAGCATCAAATAAGAGAAAGATGAGTAAACTAAGAGATAGATCTGAAGAAATTATCCAGAAGGCAAAACAGAGACAAGCAGATGGAAAATATGAAAGATAAGGAAATTCCAATGAGAAAGCATTATACACACCACATTAAATTAGTTAATATATGTAAACACTCAGAATAGTGCCTGGCAATTAGTATCAACAAAGCCAAATGTTGGTTCTTTGACAAAATCAAGTGTTGGTTCTTCTGATGATAACAATTTAAAAACCTCTGGCAAGAAGAATCAAGAGAAAAAAAAAAAGACATTGCCCAAATAAACAAGATCTGGCATTAGCTGAGACAAAAAGATAAGCATATACTATAAACATTATGGTAATACATTGGAAAATATAGATGAAATAGGCAAGATAATAGAAAATGTCATTTACCAAAACTGACTAAAGGGGAAATAGAAAATTTGAACCATCATATAAACATTAAGGAAATTGAAGGTTGAATTAATAGTTAAAATTTGACTAAAAGTGCATATACCAATCCCAGGGATATTCACAAGGGAATTTTAACAAACTTTCAAAGAACAGAGGAATTGGAGGAAACATTCCCCAATTTATTCTATAAGGTGAATAAAACTTTTATATTAATGCCAAGCAAGAATAATACTAAAAAGGAAAATTGGTCGGGTGCAGTAGGCCACATCTGTAATCCCAACACTTTGGGAAGCAGAGGTGGGAGTATCACTTGAAGCCAGGCGTTCCAGACCACCTTGGGCAACATAGTGAGACCTTCATCTCTAGGGAAAAAAAAAAAAAAGTTTCTGAGCATGGTGGCACACTCTTGTAGTCCTAGCCTGGGAAGTTGAGGTTGCAGGGAGCCGAGACTGTGCCACTGTACTCCAGCCTGGGTGACAAAGCGAGACCCTGCCTCCAAAAAAAAAAAAAAAAAGAGTTTAGCAAAGTGGCTGCAAATAAGAGCTAAGGCAGGCAGATCACGAGGTCAGGAGTTCAAGACCAGCCTGGCCAACATGGTGAAACCCTGTCTCTACTAAAAATACAAAACAAAATAGCTGGGTGTAGTGGCATGTGCCTGTAATCTCAGCTACTCGGGAGGCTGAGGCAGGAGAATTGCTTGAACTCAGGAGACAGAGGTTGCGGTAAGCTGAGATCACGCCATTGTACTCCAGCCTGGGTGACAGAGCAAGGCTGTGTCTCGGGGAAAAAAAAAATCAATATACAAACATCAATTGTACTTTTATACACAGGCAACAAATGGAAATATTATTTTTGCCTAATCTCACATCAAGACTTATGATGAAGTTATGGTAAGTAAAACAGTATGATATTGATGCAGTTACAGACATAATAATCAATGCGCTGGGCGCGGCGGCTCACGCCTGTAATCCCAGCACTTTGGAAGGCCGAGGCAGGCGGATCACCAGGTCAGGAGACCGAGACCATTCTGGCTAACACGGTGAAACCCCGTCTCTACTAAAAATACAAAAAAAAAAAAATTATCCGGGCGTGGTGGCAGGCCCACATGTAGTCCCAGCTACTCGGGAGGCTGAGGCAGGAGAATGGCATGAACCCGGGAGGCGGAGCTTGCAGTGAGCCGAAATAGCGCCACTGCACTCCAGCCTGGGCAACAGAGCGAGAAGCCGTCTCAAAAAAAAAAAATTATAATCAATGCAACAGGCTAGACCCCCAATTATTTGCAAACCTTATACATGAAGGGGAGCTATATCAGTTCCATGAGTAAAAGATGTACTATGAAACTAATCTTGAGATAAATGGTTAGCCACCTGGGGTGGGGATGGGGGTGATTGAACCCTTACCTGACACCACATACAAAATCAATTTCGAGTGGATTAACAACTTAAAAGTAGGACATAAAAGTTTAAAACTTCATAATAAAATATGAAAGAATATTTTTGTGACCTAGAGATAAGGTAAGAGTTTTTTACACGACTTAAAAGAAAAACTTGGCACATTGAGTTACATTAAAATTAACCATTTCTGTTCATCAAAAGATACCATAAAGAAACTGAAAAACAAGTCATAAATTGGGGGTATATTTGCATACACATAACCACGAATAAGTGGCAGCATATAAAGGATATAGACATGTATTAACTTTGACAAATCAATAATAAAAAGACAGTCTAGGAACAAAACGGACAAAAGATATGAGCAGACCTTTCAATGAGAAAATGCATATGGTGGATAAACATATGGAACGATAACCAATCTCACTAGTAGTTGTACTAATTTGCATTTAGCACCCAAATGAACTGTACTATTTTACACCCTCTAGGTCTGCATAGTGCAGGAATTAAGAGCACAGACTCCGGAACCAAATCCTGGCTCCTCCACGGCCTTGGGAAGGTAGCAACATCTCCATACATGCCTCAGTTTTCTCTATGGAGAAAGGAATATTAACCCAGTAAAATCCGATTGGAAGTTGGCTACCATTATTCCCCCTGCTCCTGTTTCCATTCTGTCAACTTCAAATAGTGCTACCTAGTATCTTAAACGATTGGATATTTTGGACTTCATTTATAGGATTATGGCAGGATTTGGCTGTGGTAACTAATTCATAAGTATTGTAGGAAAATTAATATATATGAAACTATGTCACAGTCATTCTCTACCCCAGTGGGCTTCACATTTTTATTCTGCTTACATATATTTAAAAATAATCTTGAAAAATGATGTACCCTCTCTGCACACTTTAAAACTTAGATTTAAAATTCCTCAGCACGGCCAGGCACGGTGGCTCATGCCTGTAATCCCAGCACTTTGGGAGGCCAAGGCAGGCGAATCACAAGGTCAGGAGTTGGAGACCAGCCTGCCAATATGGTGAAACCCTGTCTCTACTAAAAATACAAAAAAAATTAGCCGGGCGTGATGGCAGGCCCCTGTAGACCCAGCTACTAGGGAGGCTGAGGCAGGAGAATAGCTTGAACCCGGGAGGCAGAGGTTGCAGTGAGCCAAGATGGCGCCATTGCACTCCAGGCTAGGCGAGAGAGCAAGACTCTGTCTCAAAAAAAAAAAAAAATTCCTCAGCACAAGTTCAAATAGTTGCACAAGATACAATTTTACACCCAGCATAGTGTAAATGTTGACCTTTTAAAATAAATGATTACATTACTCTTTTAAATGCACCCAACAGAATCTGAAAATCTGCAATTAATGCCCTTAAAAATATGGATATTGATTTTAAAAATCATATATGATGAAAAAAAATTTTTTTTTTTTTGAGACGAAGTCTAGTTCTGTCGCCCAGGCTGGAGTGTAGTGGCTTGATCTTGTCTCACTGCAACCTCCACCTCCCGGGTTCAAGCGATTATTCTGCCTCAGCCTCCTGAGTAGCTGGGATTACAGGTATGCACCACCACGCCCGGCTAATTTTTTGTATTTTTAGTAGAGACAGGGATTCACCATGTTGATCAGGCTGGTCGCGAACTCCTGACCTCGTGATCTGCCCGCCTCAGCCTCCCAAAGTGCTGGGATTACAGGCATGAGCCACTGCGCCCGGCTGAAAAAAATCTTATGCTGATGGCACTATCACGTATCTCTGCAACAAAAGTATATCTAAAAATGGAAATGGATGGCCGTGGTGGCACCCGCCTGAGGACAGGAACGCCAGCCCGGTCAGGCCTCGGCGGGGCCTACACGCTTCGCTGGATCACTGGCTCCCGCCTCCCGCCCCGTGCCCGGCCGTGGCAGAGCCCTTGTCCGCCCAGCGCCTATCGCGGAGTCAAAGCTGTACTTCCTCATCGCCCGGTACCTATCGGCGGGCCCGTGTCAGAGAGCGGCCCAGGTACTGGTGCAGGAGCTGGAGCAGTGGCAGTTGTTGCCGAAGGGGTTGGACTGGGAGGGCAACGAGCACAACAGGAGCTACGAGGAATTGGTCTTGTCCAGTAAACATGTGGCTCCTGATCGTCTATTGCAAATCTGCCAGCGCATCGGTCCTATGTTGTATGAAGAAATTATGGCTGGGCACGGTGGCTCACGCCTGTAATCCCACCACTTTGGGAGGCCGAGGCGGGTGGATCACCTGAGGTCGGGAGTTCGAGACCAGCCTGACCAACATGGCGAAACCCCGTCTCTACTAAAAATACAAAAAAATAGCCAGGCGTGGTGGCACTTGCTTGCAATCCCAGCTACTCGGGAAGCTGAGACAGGAGAATCGCTTGAACCCGGGAGGCAAATGTTGTGGTGAGCCCAGATCGTGCCATTGCACTCCAGCCTGAGCAACAAGAGCGAAACAACATCTCAAAAAAAAAAAGAAAAAGAAAAAAAAAAAGAAATTCCACCCAGTATTTCAAGAGTCGCTTCTTTCTTTGGTGCAGGAAGGCAGTCTTTGCTACTTACAGCAAAAGGTAACTTAATTTGAAGAAGTGTTCTGCTTTGTATTAATAGCTTAATAATGATTATAATTATGAAGTAATGTAAGCATTGTGAAAGAAAGGTGATAATGTAATTGTAAATCATGCTTTGGACTATAAAATTCTCTGCATTTAGCATAGAACATTGAATTTTATTACATAAGTGTTTAATGGGCCCTTCTGTAGTAAAAAGTTGATAGAGATATAGATGTTAAGCTAAAAAGCTTGAATTTATTCTGAGATGTGTTTGAGGTTTTATCAATGTGAGTTCTCAATTTTCCATTTTGTAGCTCACTCATAACTTCATTGAATGTAATTGTATGTGTCTAAAAAAACTCTTTAAATGCTAGAAGTATTTCATTTGATATTTAGATTCTGAAAGCCCTTTGTTATAAAGGGAAGTGATTTTTCTTTTGCAAAGTTATGTGCTAGCAAAATGTTGGAAATTGCTATTCTTTTTCTGTTAGCTTGGTATATATGATTTAGACTAAGTATATGTATGTGATATAATCTATGCATACATGTGGCTAAACTGCTAATGGGCAAAGATTGTTGGTTCTTCTGTTGCTGAGCATACATTAAGTTCACCCCATGATTATTTTTTATTATGAGCCATTGCTGATGTGATGCCGCCTCTTAGATCCATCACCAATATAAAGCTTAACTGAGAAAGAACAGCCCTCCCTCTCGGTTCCATGCCAGACTGGTTTGTTAGCTTTAGTTGTTTCTTAGTGCTCTAGCCATACCGCCCTGAGGCACTAATCAGGACACTGTTTATATTCTTCCTCTTCCGTGTCCCTATTCACTTTGTAATTATTCTATTTTAGCTGGTTCTATGGTAGTAGTAATTTGGTAGCCTGCTTTCCTTTGTTTTCTATACTCGTGTCAAGCTCCACGTCATTGTTTTATGATGAGCAGTGATTTAGAGCTGGCAGACCTTAGAAGGGACTTCAGCAAGCTGCCCTAGGGTAGGGGCCATATTCTCTGTTTGTTTTGTACTAGTACCACAAAAGGATGCCTTGTAACTGCTCTTTGGTCAGGATAGTGGCAATGAATCCATCCATGTAAAATACAATATGGCTGTTAGTTTAGGGAACCGGAGGCTCAGTAGAGGTTTAGTATGATGTCTTCCCTCTCTTCTCTGAGTTGTGAAGAAACTCATTTCTGGCACACTGTGACTGCTTCAAACCTATGTTCTGCTGTTATCTCCTATAAAGGAGAGTAGACTTTTTTTTATTTTAAGTGCATTGCTGGTAGGTCAAGCAGGGATGGACTTTGAATTAGTGTTCAGACTCACAGATCCTGCATATGTGCTGTCCAGTAGAGGATTTTCTGTGACCCTGAAATGAAGGGAAAGCTGTATAATTTATCAGTACTTCCTAAAGAGAGAGACTAAAGTCATGGCAGTATCGGCCAAATTAATTTTAAAACTGAACAAGACATGAATTTTCATAGAAATCAAAGAAATTAAATTTTTCCTTATAAAAGCTTCCATTTTTGAGAAGTTGGATCAGTTGTAAGACCTTTTATTTTTAACATTGTATGGTATAATTCTGCATTGAAAAATAAACACTTATAGCCGGGTGCGGTGGTTCACACTTGTAATCCCAGCACTTTGAGAGGCCGAGCTGGGCAAATCACCTGAGGTCGGGAGTTCTAGGCCAGCCTGATCAACAAGGAGAAAGCCCATCTCTACTAAAAATACAAAATTAGCCGGACGTGGTGGTGCATGCCTGTAATCCCAGCTACTCAGGAGACTGAGGCAGGAGAATCGCTTGAACCTGGGAGGCAGAGTTGTGGTCAGCCGAGACTGTACCATTGCACTCCAGCCTGGGCAACAAGAGCGAAACTCAGTCTCAAAAAAATAATAATAAAAATAAAAATAAACACTCGGCATGAAATGGAACCTGGAGTCAAAAGATCTGGTTTTATGGTCCATCTTTACCAATCACTTGCTGTGGATCTCCCTAAAGGTCCTGGAACCTCTGAGCCTCAGTTACCTCACTTGTAAATTGGCAAAAATCCCTACCTCACAGAGCTGTTGTGAGGATCCAATGAGATAACGTATGTTGAAAGCACTTTGTGAATCGTAAAGTGCTACACAAATACTAGTTGTTCTTGCTGCCGTATCTGAGATGTCTTAATTTTTTTTTCCTTCAGAAATAGTCTAATAAACCTCCAGGGCTTTTCTGTTAAAGTATATTAGTTGGTAAAATGTTGAATAAATCATTTGTTACAATATTAAAAAATGGAAATGAACAGTTTTTAATTGTCTAAGTTAAATTTTTTCTGGATTGAACTATTGTAATTTTTTTTTTTTTTGAGACGGAGTTTCACTCTTGTTGCCCAGCCTGGAGTACAATGGTGCGATCTCAGCTCACTGCAACCTCCACCTCCTGGGTTCAAGTGATTCTCCTGCCTCAGCCTCCAAAGTAGCTGGGATTACAGGCATGCGCCACCACTCCTGGCTAATTTTGTATTTTTAGTAGAGATGGGGTTTCTCCATGTTGGTCAGGCTGGTCTTGAACTCCTGACCTCAGGTGATCCACCCCCCTTGGCCTCCCAAAGTGCTGGGATTATAGGCATGAGCCACCGCACCCAGCCAAACTATTATAATTATGATACAATTGATACACACTGATACAAATATTACCAATTTTAATAAATAAATATACTCCTAATATTTTTATGCCAATAATAAATAAAGAAAAAATAATAAAAGTAAAATCTTATTGGAAATGTAGCACTTAATGAGATGAGTATCTCCCCCAATTAACTCATATACCCATGGATGTCTATTACTCATTGCTAGAATAAGATAGGAGTCGATATTAATTTATTCCAATTAAAAAATTTGTATAACTGTAAGTTTGAGGAACTATGTTCACATAAATACAAATATTGGAATAAAAGGAATGTTGTTATCTCACTTCTTTGAACTCATGAATTTATCAAAGATAAATTATTAAAGATTAGATGGTGATCAATCGTTAAATGACAAGTTAATGATGGCAAACGGATTAAATTTTGTTGGAGAAAAAAAGAATTGTGAACATTTTGGTTTGCAAAAAGACATATCTCTGAGTCATTTGGGTCATTTTCAGTTTCTGGAAAGCAAACCGAAAGGCCCAGTGGTCCCCTTTTATCCTCAGGGAATACATTTTGAGATTCTCCAGTAGATGTCAGAAACCTTGAATGAACCTCTATACAGCCAGCTCCCCTTAGCTATGGGTTCTGCACCCATGGATTCAACCAAGTGAAGACTGACACTATTTGGCCTGGGCATGGTGGCTCACTCCTGTAATCCCAGCACTTTGTGGGGCCGAGAAGGGCGGATCCCTTGAGCTGAGGAGTTTGAGACCAGCCTGGGCAACATGGTGAGACCTTGTCTCTACTAAAAATACAAAAAAAAATAGCTGAGTGTGGTAGTGTGCACCTGTGGTCCCATCGGGAGACTTAAGTGGGAGAATCACCTGAGCCCTCGGGGCGGAGGCTGCAGTGAGCCGAGATCGCCCCACTGCACTCCAGTCTGGGTGACAGAGCAAGACTGTCTCAAGGAAAAAAAAATTTTTGAAAAATAATTGTATCTGTACTGAACATGTACAGACTTTTTTCTTGTCATTATTCCTTAAGCAATATGGTATAACAACTATTTACATAGCATTTACATTGGATAAGGTATTATAAGTAATCTAACGATGATTTAAAGCACATGGGAGAATGTGCATAGGTTATATGCAAATACTACACCATTTTATACCAGGGACTTGAGGATCCAAGGATTTTTGTATCCCTGGGGGTCCTGGAAGCAATCTCCCATGGATACCGAGGGATAACTTACCTATACATACATACATATGATAGCTTATCATATGTATAGCTTATATCATATAATAGCTTATCCTATACATACATACGTATGATAAAGTTTAATTTATAAATTAGGTGCAGTAAGAGATTGTTAGGTATGAGTTCTAAATTCCTTTTCAAAAAATTACTATGTCAGTATGTTAAATTCTTCGCCTTCTACTTTTAAACTTAACTTCCTCCCGAAGCAACTTTTTCGATTACCTGCTTCACCCTGACTCATTCTGATCACCTGCTCCACCCTACATTCAAATCACCTGTTCCACCCTAACTCATTCCAATTACCTGCTACCTGCTCTGCCCTGATTCCCGCCAAAGCACTCACCCCGTCATGCTCTTTAAGTTAGCCAATCGGAATTAGTTTAGCCTGTGCAGTCTAACCCTAGTCAATAGCAGAACGACACAGCAGCAGGGGACACGTGCGTCAGGAATATGAACCCCTTCCCCTCCTTGTCCAAGTGTGCGCTCACTATGGTTCCATCTGTAAGGGCGCACCCTTCTATAGAGAAGTAACTTGGCTTGCTGAGAATTGAAAAGAAAGTTTTATATCAAGTGCTATTTCTTTTGCGGCACTGAAACTTTATATATAACAATTTGGGGTCTCACCTGGGATTACATTCCCTTCCGGGGACAGTCTCTGGTTCTCTCTCGTGAGGAGGTGCACCCCACCCTATTGTGGCGGCCTCAGGGGTGAGAAATCATGACCCACCCAGTGCGAGGAATAACCTGAGCTCTCAGCAACGTGGGAAAAAAAAAAAAAAAAAAACTGGCCAGCAACATAGCTTAAAGGATCCTCACATACGGCAGCCACAACTCTGTGCACAGACCAAGGAAGGAGAAGCCGCAAGAGCTGGTAAAGTATTTCCTTGGTGGTCAAATTCTGGAGGGCTAAATGTGTGTGTGCGTGAATGATCACAAACGACCCTTCTTGCGGTGTGGTTCGTGTGGATGGTGACAAGTCCTACTGCTGGACGGAGTGAGTGGATCCTCTCTGCGGTTCCGTAGCTACCTCATATGGCTTAGGGTGGATCCTGCCGTGGGCACACCCACACTAAGAAGGACCTGATTCTACCTTGAGGGAGCGGCCAGAGAGGACAGCACGAGTAGCAAGTGTGCAAAGGACCTTCAGAGGGAGAAAGGGGAGAAACAGGTCAACCTTCCAGGACAGGCAAGACACCCCTGGGTTGAGGGGCTGAGCCTTCCAGGACAGGTAAGACACCCCTGGGTTGAGGGGTTGAGCCTTCCAGGACAGGCAAGACATCCCTGGTTTGAGGGGTTGAGCTGTCAGGCCTCTGAGCCCAAGCTAAGCCATCATATCCCCTGTGACCTGCACGTATACATCCAGATGGCCTGAAGCAACAGAAGATCCACAAAATAAGTGAAAATAGCCTTAACTGATGACATTCCACCATTGTGATTTGTTCCCGCCCCACCCTAACTGATACGATATATTCTCCCCCCGCCCTTAAGAAGGTACTTTGTAATATTCTCCCCCACCCTTGAGAATGAACTTTATACGCCTATCCCAAACCTATAAGAACTATTGATAATCCCACCACCCTTTGCTGACTCCTTTTTCGGACTCAGCCCGCCTGCACCTAGGTGAAATAAACAGCCTGTTGCTCACACAAAGCCTGTTTGGTGGTCTCTTCATACAGACGCACGTGACATTTGGTGCCGAAGACCTGGGACAGGAGGACTCCTTCGGGAGACCAGTTCCCTGTCCTCGCCCTCACTCTGTGAGGAGATCCACCTACCACCTTGGGTCCTCAGACCAACCAGCCCAAGGAACATCTCACCAATTTCAAACCGGGTAAGTGGTCTTTTCACTCTCTTCTCCAGCCTCTCTCGCTACCCTTCAATCTCCCTGTCTTTCCAATTCCAGTTCTTTTTCCTCTCTAGTAGAGACAAAGGAGACACATTTTATCTGTGGAACCAAAACTCTGGCGCCGGTCACAGACTCGGGAAGACAGGCTTCCCTTGGTGTTTAATCACTGCAGGGACACCTGCCTGATTATTCACCCACATTTCATTGGTGTCTGATCACCACGGGGACGCCTGCCTTGGTCATTCACCCACATTCCCTTGGTGGCAAGTCAATTATGGGGATGCCTGCTTTGGTTGCTCACCCACATTGCAGCCCAGGGCTGTTCACCACCCCCTTCTCCGTGTCTCTACCTTTCTCTTTAAACTTGCCTCCCTCACTATGGGCAAACTTCCGCCCCTCCATTCCCCCATCTTCTCCCTTAGCCTGTGTTCTTAAAAACCTAAAATCCCTTCAACTCACACCTGACCTAAAACCTAAATGCCTTTTTTTCTTCTTCAATACCGCTTGGCCCCAGTACAAACTCAACAATAGCTCCAAATGGCAGAGAACGGCACTCTCGATTTGTCTATCCCACAAGACCTAGATAATCTTTGTCGAAAAATGGGCAAATGGTCTGAGGTGCCTTACGTCCAGGCATTTTTCACACTTCGTTCCCCCTCTAGTCTCTGTTCCCACTGCGACTTGTCCCAAATCCTCCTCCTTTCCCTCCCGCCTGTCCCTTCAGTCCCAACCAAAAGCGTCGCTGAGTCTTTTGAATCTTCCTTTTCTACTCACCCATCGGACCTCTCACCTCCTCCCCAGACTGCTGCTGCTCAGCTCGCTCCCCGCCAGGCTAATCAGGCCCCAACTCTTCTTCAGCCTCTGCTCCCCCACCCTATAACCCTTCTATTACCTCCCCTTCTCACACCTGGTCTGGTTTACAGTTTTGTTCTGTGACCAGCTCTCCCCCACCTGCCCAACAATTTCCTCTTAGAGAGGTGGCTGGAGCTGAAGGCATAGTCAGGGTACATGTGCCTTTTTCTCTATCAGACCTTTCCCAAATCAGCCAGTGTTTAGGCTCTTTCTCATCAGACCCCACGAAATATATACAGGAATTCCGATATCTAACTCTGTCCTACAAGTTAACCTGGAGAGACTTACATGTCATCCTGACTTCCACCCTCTCCCCAGATGAACGGGAAAGAGTTTTCTCTCTAGCCCAGTCTCACACTGATAACCACCAGCTTCATGAGCCAGGCCTCCAGGAAGGCATTAGAGCAGTTCCCCAAGAGGACCCCCTATGGAACTATCAGGCAGATTCCCCAGGTATAGCTAGGCCAGATTACATGGTTTCCTGCCTAGTTGAAGGGCTCAAAAAGGCAGCATACAAAGCTGTTAATTATGACAAGCTAAAGGAAACTACCCAAGGTAAAGATGAAAACCCAGCCCAGTTCATGGCCTGCTTAGCAGTTAGACACTTTACCGCCCTAGACCCAGAGGGGCCAGAAGGCTGTCTTATTCTCAATATGCATTTTATTACCCAATCCCCTCCTGACATTAGAAAAAGCTCCAAAAATTAGATTCCAGCCCTCAAACCCCACAACAGGACTTAATTAACCTCACCTTCAAGGTGTACAATAATAGAGTAGAGGCAACGTATTTCTGAGTTGCAATTACTTGCCACTGTGAGAGAAACGCCAGCCACATCTCCACACACGAGAACTTCAAAACGCCTGAACCGCAGCAGCTAGTTGTTCCTCCAGGACCGCCTCCCCCAGGATCTTGCTTCAAGTGCCGGATATCTAGCCACTGGGCCAAGGAACGCCCACTGCCCGGGATTCCTCCTAAGCCATGTCCCATCTGTGCTGGACCCCGTTGGAAATTGGACTGTCCAGCTCACCCGGCAGCCACTCCCAGAGCCCCTGGAACTCTGGCCCAAGGATCTCTGACTGACTCCTTCCCAGATCTTCTCAGCTTAGTGGCTGAAGACTGACACTGCCTGATCACCTTGGAAGCCCACAGGAGCATCACAGATGTTTTGGGTAACTCTTACAGTGGAGGGTAAGTCCATCCCCTTCTTAATACGGAGGCTACCCGCTCCACATTACCTTCTTTTCAAGGGCCTGTTTCCCATGCCCCCATAACTGTTGTGGGTATTGATGGCCAGGCTTCTAAACCTCTTAAAACTCCCCAACTCTGGTGCCAACTTGGACAATATTCTCTTATACACTCCTTTTTAGTTATCCCCACTTGTCCAGTTCCCTTATTAGGCCGAGACATTTTAACCAGATTATCTGCTTCCTTGGTTATTCCTGGAAAACAGCCACATCTCATTGCCACCCTTCTTCCCAACCCAAAGCCTTCTTCACATCTTCCTCTTGTATCCCCGCACCTTAACCCACAGGTATGGGACACCTCTACTCCCTTCCTGGCAACCGATCACATGCCCCTTACCATCCCATTAAAACCTAATCACCCTTACCCCGCTCAACGCCAATATCCCATCCCACAGCATGATCTAAAAGGATTAAAGCCTGTTACAGCATGGCCTTTTAAAGCCTATAAACTCTCCTTACAATTCTCCCATTTTACCTGTCCGAAAACCGGACAAGTCTTACAAGTTAGTTCAGGATCTGCGCTTTATCAACCAAATTGTCTTGCCTATCCCACCCCATGGTGCCAAACCCATATACTCTCCTGTCCTCAATACCTCCCTCTACAACCCATTATTCTATTCTAGATAAACCTAGCAGACCCCGTAAATCCTAAATCCTTTCCCCACTCCCCTTTCCATTTCTTAAAAAGCAGCCCTAAAAGCTGCTCCCACACTAGCTTCCCCTAACTCAACCCGACCTTTTTCATTACACATAGCCGAAGTGCAGGGCTGTGTGATTGGAATTCTTACACAAGAGCTGGGACCACACCCTGTAGCCTTTCTGTCCAAACAACTTGAACTTACTTTTAGCCTAGCCCTCATGTCTGCGAGTGGCAGCTGCCGCTGCTTTAATACTTTTAGAGGCCCTCAAAATCACAAACTATGCTCAATTCACTCTCTACAGTTCTCATAACTTCCAAAATATATTTTCTTTCTCACACCTGATGCATATACTTCCTGCCCTCCGGCTCCTTCAGCTATACTCACTCTTTGTTGAGCCTCCTACAATTACCATTGTGCCTGGCCCCAGACTTCAATCAGGCCTTCCACATTATTCCTGATACCACACCTGACCTCCATGACTGTATCTTTCTGATCCAACTGACATTCACTCTGTTTCCCCATATTTCCTTCTTTCCTGTTCCTTACCCTGATCACACTTGGCTTATTGATGGCAGTTCCACCAGGCCTAATCACCACTCACCAGCAAAGGCAGGCTATGCTATATAGTATCTTCCACATCTATCATTGAGGCTACCGCTCTGTCCCCTCCACTACCTCTCAGCAAGCTGAACTCATTGGCTTAACTCGGGCCCTCACTCTTGCAAAGGGACTACATGTCAATATTTATACTGACTCTAAATATGCCTTCCATATCCTACACCACCATGCTCTTCCCACACAAGGCAAATGGTTCTTAGACCAAGGAAAATATCTCCTTCCAGCCTCACAGGCCAATTCTATTGTGTCGTCATTTCATAACCTCTTCCATATAGGTTACAAGCCGCTAGCCCACCTCTTAGTACCTCTCATTTCCTTTCCATCATGGAAATCTGTCCTCAAGGAAATCACTTCTCAGTGTTCCATCTGCTATTCTACGACTCCTCAGGGATTGTTCAGGCCCCCTCCCTTCCCTACACATAAAGCTTGGGGATTTGCCCCCGCCCAGAATTGGCAAATTGACTTTACTCACATGCCCCGAGTCAGGAAACTAAAATACCTCTTTGTCTGGGTAGACTCTTTCACTGGATGGATAGAGGCCTTTCCCACAGGGTCTGAGAAGGCCACCGCGGTCATTTCTTCCCTTCTGTCAGACATAATTCCTCAGTTTGGCCTTCCCACCTCTATACTGTCCAATAAAGACCGGCCTTTATTAGTCAAATCACCCAAGCAGTTTCTCAGGCTCTTGGTGTTCAGTGGAACCTTCATATCCCTTACCGTCCTCAATCTTCAGGAAAGATAGAATGGACCAATGGTCTTTTAAAGACATACCTCACCAAGCTTAGCCTTCAACTTAAAAAGGAATGGACAGTACTTTTACCTCTTGCCCTTCTCAGAATTAGAGCCTGTCCTTGAGATGCTACAGGGTACAGTCCATTTGAACTTTTATATGGACGTACTTTCTTGCTTGGCCCCAGTCTCATTCCAGACACCAGCCCTCTAGATGATTATCTTCCAGTCCTCCAGCAAGCTAGACAGGAAATTGGCCAGGCTGCTAATCTTCTCTTGCCTACTTCAGATTCCCAGCCACATGAAGACACCCTAGCTGGACGATCAGTTCTTGTTAAGAATCTGACCCCTCAAACTCTACAACCTTGATGGACCGGACCCCACTTAGTTATCTATAGTACCCCAACTGCCATCCGCCTGCAGGATCCTCCCCGCTGGGTTCACCATTCCAGAATAAAGCTATGTCCATCACACAGCCAGCCTAATCTTTCCTCTTCCTCCTGGAAGTCGCAACTACTCTCCCCTACTTCCCTTAAACTCACTCGCATTTCTGAAGAACAGTAATAATCCTTATGAGCCTAATACATCCCTTCATTCTGTTAGGTCTGTTCATCCTTACCCTACTTTCTGCAACAGGGCTTTACGCAGTCACCCCCACTACTTGGACTGTGCACCAAAAACTTGTCATCCCTACTATCTTCTGTCTAGTCATACTCCTATTCACCATTCTCAACTACTCATAAATGCTCTGCTTTTGTTTACACTGCTGGTTTACACTGTTTCTCCAAGCTATCACACCTGATATCTCCTGGTGCTATCGCCAAACTGCCACTCTTAACTCCCTCTTAGAGTAGATAGATGATCTTTGCTGGCAGGGCACCCTCCAATACTTTCACCCTGATAAAGTCCTATTCCTTAGTTTTATACTCACTCTTATTCTCATTCCCGTTCTTATGCCACCCTCCACCTCTCCCCAGCTACCTCCACCACACTATCATTCTCACTCTTTCCTAGCCATTTCTAGTCCTTCTTTAACAAACAATTGCTTGTTTTGCATTTCTCTTTCCTCCAAAATGGCCGAGGCCCCAACTTACTCACTGCTTAAAAAAAAAAAAAAAAAAAAAAGGGATATTCTCTATATTTTTAAATGAAGAGTGTTTTTTTTTTTTTATCTAAATCAATCTGGCCTGTATATGACAACATAAAAAAACTCAAGGATAGAGCCCAAAAACTCACCAGCCAAGCAAATAATTATGCTGAACCCCCTTGGACACTCTCTAATTGCATGTCCTGGGTCCTCCCAATTCTTAGTCCTTTAATATCTATTTTTCTTCTTCTTTTATTTGGACCTGTGTCTTCTGTTTAGCTTCTCAATTCATACAAAACCGCATCCAGGCCATTACCAATCATTCTATATGACAAATGCTCCTTCTAACAACCCCACAATATTACCCCTTACCCCAAAATCTTTCTTCAGTTTAATCTCTCCCACTCTATGTTCCCACGCCACCCCTAATCCCACTCAAAGCAGCCCTGAGAAACATCGCCCATTATCTCTCCATACCACCCCCCAAAATTTTTGCCACCCCAACATTTCATCATTTTGTTTTGTTTTTCTTAATATAAGAAGATAGGAATATCAGGCCTCTGAGCCCAAGCTAAGCCATCATATCCCCTGTGACCTGCCTGTATACATCCAGATGGCCTGAAGCAACTGAAGATCCACAAACTAAGTGAAAATAGCTTTAACTGATGACATTCCACTATTGTGATTTGTTCCCACCCCACCCTAACGATACAATAGGTTCTTCCCTGCCCTTAAGAAGATACTTTGTAATATTCTCCCCCACCTTGAGAATGTACTTTGTACACCTATCCCAAACCTATAAGAACTAATGATAATCCCACCATCCTTTGCTGACTCCTTTTTTGGACTCAGCCTGCCTGCACCCAGGTGAAATAAAACAGCCTTGTTGCTCACACAAAGCCTGTTTGGTGGTCTCTTCACACGGACGTGTGTGACAGAGCCTTCCAGGACAGGCAAGACACCCCCCGGTTTGAGGGATTGAGGCTTCCAGGACAGGCAAGGCAAGACACCCCCTGGTTTGAGGGATTGAGCCTTCCGGAACAGGCAAGGAGAGACAGCCCTGGTTTGAGGGGTTGAGCCTTCTGCTAATTTCAAGGGTTGAACTTGACACAACCTCCCCAACCTTTCCTTTCTTCTCAGGGGAAGAGACAGTAGCTCCACTCCCACAGGTCCCTACCCTAGGGGAAGAGAGACACAGAGAGGAGAGAGGGAAAGAGAGGCAGAGAGAGACAGGGGAAAAGAGAGTAGCTCCACTCCCGCAGGTCCCTACCATAGGGGAAGAGAAAGAGACACAGGAGAGAGGGAAAGAGAGGCAGAGAGAGAGAGGGGGGAAAGAGAGGCAGAGAGAGAGGGGAAAGAGGCAGAGAGAGAGGGGAAAGAGAGGCAGAGGGGGGAAAGAGGCAGAGAGAGAGAGAGGGGAAAGAGAGGCAGAGGGGGGAAAGAGGCAGAGAGAGAGAGAGGGGAAAGAGAGGCAGAGGGGGGAAAGAGGCAGAGAGAGAGAGAGGGGAAAGAGAGGCAGAGGGGGGAAAGAGGCAGAGAGAGAGAGAGGGGAAAGAGAGGCAGAGGGGGGAAAGAGGCAGAGAGAGAGGGGAAAGAAGCAGAGAGAGAGGGGAAAGAGGCAGAGAGGGCAAAGAGAGGCAGAGAGAGAGGGGAAAGAGGCAGAGGGGGGAAAGAGGCAGAAAGGTGGGGGAAAGAAGCAGAGAGACAAAGAGGGAGTCAGAGCGAGAGAAAGAGAAAGTCAAAGAGAGAAAGAAAAAGAAAAATAGAAGTAGTAAAGAAAAAGTGTACCCTATTTCTTCAAAAGCCAGGGTAAATTTAAAACCTATAGTTGATGATTGAAGGTCTTCTTGACCCTATAACACTCCAATACCACCTCATTGTCAGTGTAAATAAGGGCGTAGCCTGAAAGCACTGAGGCCATTGACAATGCGTAGCCTTCCTATCAAAAATCCTTAACCCAAAGTGGCTGGGTGCGGTGGCTCATGCCTGTAATCCCAGCACTTTGGGAGGCCGAGGCGGGCAGATCACGAGATCAGGAGATCAAGACCATCCTGGCTAACACGGTGAAACCCCGTCTTTACTAAAAATACAAAAAAATTAGCCGGGCATGGCGGCGTAGGCCTGCAGTCCCAGCTACTCAGGAGGCTGAGGCAGGAGAATGGTGTGAACCCGGGAGGCGGAGCTTGCGGTGAGCCGAGATTGCGCCACTGCACTCCAGCCTGGGCGACAGAGCAAGACTCTGTCTCAAAAAAATCCTTAATCCAGTAACCCACGTATGGTCCAAATGCATTCAATCTGTAGCAGCAACTGCTCTGTTAACAGAATAAAGTAGAAAAATAACTTTTAGAGGAAACCTCATTGTGAGCACCTCACCAGTTCAGAACTATCATAAGTCAAAAAGCAAAAAGGTAGCTTACTAACTCAAAAATCTTAAAGTATAGGGCTATTCTGTTGGAAAAAGATGATTTATCATTAACCACTGAAAATTCCCTTAACCCAGCAGGTTTCCTAACAGGGGATTTAAATCTTAATTACCATACAAAGGTCCGACCAGACCTAGGAGGAACACCCTTCAGGGCGGGAAGATAGATGGTTCCTCCCTGGTGATTGAGGAGGGAAAAAAAACCACAATGGGTATTCAGTAATTGATAGGGAAACTCTAGTAGAGGCTGAGTTAGGAAAATTGCCTAATAACTGGTCTGCTCAAACATGGGAGCTGTTTGCATTCAGCCAAGCTTTAAAGTACTTACAGAACCAGGAAAGAACCATCTATACCAATTCTAAGTTAATTTAGACTAAACAAGGTCTTATTAACAGCAAAGGATAATTGAAATCCCAAACTTAAAAGGTTTTCAACAAAAGTAAAGTTTGCTAACAGTTAACAGTGTAACGTGTATTATCCTAACTTCTAAACTTATGGCCTTAGGCAGTCTAGTCCACAGACATGAAGGAAGTTCGCATTAGAAAAGAATGGTTATCTTCAGGAAAATTAAAAAAGAAAAAGAAAAAAAGGGGGGGATAATTAATGTAAAAAGAATGTTATATGGTAAATTCTTGTTCTAAAATAAATTAACTGGTTTTTTTTTTTTTAAAAAAAAAGATGTTTGCGACAAGTCAAAGTTGAGACATGTCGAAAAATTATCTGTAAAAGTCATGGGGGAAAAAAAGGTTATAAGAGGAAATTTATGCAAGAAATGTCATATAATTTAAAAGTAATTAGGCCTCCTAAATATAAAACTATTGAAGAAACAGTTTATGTGCAAGGTGTGTAAGGAAAGTAAAATATACTTTTGGTAAAAAGATTATAAGGAAGCATAAGAATATGAATTTTTACCTACATTAAAAGGTTAAAAAATATATTTTGTTTTAAAAGTTTAAGCAAGTTTTAAAACGTTAATTGTAAAGGAAATTCTGTGTGTAAACATATTAGCTAAAGTTAAAGAGGTATCCAGTTTTTCTGTGAACTGGACATTAAAATAAAAGCACAACAGGTTTTTTTAAAGCACTAATCTGCTCTTTAACAAAAATTATAAAAAAGGTTAAAAAGAGTCTATAAAAATCTTACCTTATGGTCAGACATTAAAAATTGGATAAATATGTCTACAAGGTTGTATTAAAATTAAGTTTAACATTAATAACACACTAATATAAAGGTAAAATTTAGCTTATCTGGTATAAAATCATACAGAAAGCACTGTTAAATATAAAATGGTGTTTGGCTTTCTTTGGTCTAAAAACTAATAAAAATAGGTGCTAAAGGAAATTTCTCAGTAAGAAGGCACCAAAGACTACAAAAGCCACTGTTGATGTCCCCACATTTAAAACAAAAGGTCAATTTCTTAAAAATTATATGCTTGGTTTGTCTTCCACTTTCCTTTCCCTCAAAACTAAGTCTTTTAGCACGGGTACCACCCCTAGAATTTCCAGTAAACCAGCACCAGCCTGAAGATCACCTTCTCATCAAAGGGTGGAAAGAAGAAAAACTCGAGCCAGCCTGGGAAGGACCCTACCTTGTGCCGCTAACCACCAAGACTGCTGTTCACACAGTGAAAAAGGGATGGACTCATCACACCCGAGTCAAAGCTCCACCCCCTCCAGAGTCGTGTGCCACAGTCCCAGGGGAAACCCCTACCAAACTGAAGCTAAAAAAAATATAACTCTTTCATCTATTCTATTATTCTTTCTTCTTTCCTTGCTCTATTGCTGACCATCTAGTTATTAACGTAACCGAGTCAATTTTGCCTCAAACTATTGCATTTAATGCTTGCCTTGTTATACCCTATGGGGACTTGCCAAGTCAAAAACAGCTCTCTACTTCAGAAAAGTACCTCTGTCCCTCCTGACTCTCCTCAGACTGGGCATTAGTAAATTGGAACCATTTAATCCGGGGAGATTTCAATAAAGACCCTAGTGTCAACCAGGAGTCTTGCCCCCGATGTAAAGCTTTTATGCCGTAGTTGGTCCAATGTTCTGTGGACCACTAAAGAGCAAGGATAGACTGCCCCAATCAGTTTTTGTAATTTCCTAAAACCATGCATTCATTTCACTAAAGGGACAGCACCCCCTAACTGTCAGCTAAAGCAGTGCAACCCTATACAGGCTATTTCAAGTCCCCAAAGTTCTCCCCTTTTCTAAGCCGGTTCCCTTCTTTAAGCCAGTTTTATGGTGTGGGGGCTGAGTTTTCAAGGACAGACCCTATTGGATTCTTTAAAATGCGTTTCTTTGATTCCCCTGCTGCCTGCACCTGCCTCTAAGCCTTCTTCCAAAATCTCTCCCAACAGAACCATTGTTCCTCCTCCATCTAAAGACAAGACCAAGATAGCGATGGTAAAAGTTAAAGACTTAAAACAAACTTTGGCAATTGAGACAGGATACCAAGATGTAAATGCCTGGTTGGAATGGATCAAATATTCCGTCCACGCGTTAAACAAAAGCAATTGTTATGCTTGTGCGCACGGCAGGCCAGAGGCCCAGATTGTCCCCTTTCAACTAAGGTAGTCCTCCAGTCGACCAGGCATACGCTGCATGGTAGCTCTTTTCCAGGATTCTACAGCCTGGAGTAATAAGTCATGCCAAGCTCTCTCTCTGCTATATCCCGAAATCTGGCACCCTGCAGGTCAGCCCCTAAGGGCCATCCAGCCTCCATCACCCAACACTAAGTTCGCTTCATGTCTCTCACGACAGGGAGGAAACTTAGCGTTCCTTGGAGACCTGAAAGAATGCAGTGAGGTTAAGAATTTTCAAGAGCTTATCAATCAGTCAGCCCTTGTTCATCCCGGCAGACGTGTCGTGATATTATGGTGGACCTTTACTGGACACTCTGCCAAATAACTGGAGTGGCACTCGTGCTTTAGTCCAGTTGGCTATCCCTTTCACCCTGGCATTTCATCAACCAGAGGAAGGAAAAATAAGACATCGTAAAGTGAGAGAAGCCCCTTGTAGGTCTTTCAACTCTCACGTCCATTTAGACACAATTAAAGTCCCATGGGGAATACCAGATCGATTTAAAGTCCAAAATCAAATAGCTGCAGGATTTAAGTCAATATGTTGGTGGGTGACAATTAATAAAAATGTACATTGGATAAACTACATCTATTACAACCAACAGCGATTTATTAACTACACTAGAGATGCTGTTAAAGGAATAGCTGAGCAATTAGGGGCCACTAGCCAGATGGGTTGGGAAAATAGGATAGCCCTAGACATGATATTAGCAGAAAGCGGAGGAGTTTGCATCATAATTAAAACTCAATGTTACACCTTCATCCAAAACAACACCGCCCCTAATAAAAGTATAACAAAAGGATTGCAAGGTCTGACTGCTCTGTCCAATGAGTTAGCCAGCAATTCAGGGGTAAATGACCTCTTTACAGGATGGCTAAAAAAAGGTACTTCGGTAAACGGAAAGGAATAATAGCCTCAATTCTTACTTCCCTCGCGTCCGTAATAGGTGTACTTATTCTTGAAGGGTGCTGTGTCATACCATGCATCCGTAATTAAATGCAGAGGCTCATAAAAATGGCACTTACTAAAACCTCCCTTAACTATCTTCCACCTTATCCAGAGAAGCTTCTTCTTTTAGAAAATCAAGCAAAACAACTAAGCCAAGACATGTTAAAAAAAAAGTTTGAAAAGAAAGCTGTAAGGAAATACAAGGGGAGGGATTGTTAGATATGAGTTCTAAATTTCTTTTCAAAAAATCGATATGTCAGTATGTTCAATTCTTTGCCTTCTACTTTTAAACTTCCTCATAAAGCAACCTTTTTCAATTACCTGCTCCACCCTGACTCATTCTGATCACCTGCTCCACCCTAACTCATTCCAATTATCTGCTACCTGCTCTGCCCTGACTCCCTCCAAAGCACTCACCCCGTCATTCTCTTTAAATTAGCCAATCGGAATTAGTTTAGCCTGTGCAGTCTAACCCTAGCCAATAGGGGAAGGACACAGCAGCAGGGGCCATGTGTGTCAGGAATAAGAACCCCTTCCCCTCCCTTGTCCAAGTGTGCACTCACCATTGTTCCATCTGTAAAGGCACACCGTTCTATAGAGAAGTAACTTGCCTTGCTGAGAATTAAAAAGAAAATTTTATATTTGAGTGCTATTTCTTTTGAGGCACCGAAACTTCATATATAACAAGATTAACAACAATAATAAAATAGAACCATTAACATACCAGCATCACTACTTTTGCGCTTTGGGGGCAATTATTAAGTAAAATAAGGCTGGAACACAAGCACTGCGATACCACGACTGTCAATCTGATCACCTAAGATGGCTACAAAGTGACTAAAAGGCAGATAGCATTGACAACGTGAATACGCTGGACAAAGGGGTGACCCTTGAGTCCTGAGACTCAAAGACTTTGGTGTGCTGAGAGAAAGGGAGCACAACAGCTCAAGATTTCATCTGCTACTCAGAAAGGTGCACGACTTAAAACTTATGAGTTGTTTATTTCTGAAATTTTCTATTTTATGTATATGCATTTCTTTTTAATTAAGACAGTCTCACTCTGTCACCCAGGCTGGAGTGTAGTGGTAGTGGTGCAGCCTCCACCTTCTGGACTCAAGGTATTCTCCTACCTCAGCCTCCCAAGTAGCTGGGACTACAAGCATGCACTACCACACCTGGCTAATTTTTTTTTTTTTTTTTGTATTTTTGGTGGAGACAGGGCTTTGCCATGTTGCCCAGGCTGGTCTGGACCTCCTGAGTTCAAGCTATGTGTCCACCTCCGCCTCCCAAAGTGCTGGGATTGCAGGCTTGAGCCACTGCGCCCAGCCCTACATTTGATATTTTCAAACCACAGTTGACTACAAGTAACTGAAACCTTGGAAAGCACAAGCGTGGATAAGTGAGGACCACTAAATCACCAGGACTTATTAGATGACTACACGTTTACCTATTATTCTTTCACTAAGAGGTCCTTAGGTTAACTGGATATACTCAGAAAATGGGAAAATAAAGACATTTCTAATCTCAAGAGAACTTTGCCAATGCATTTAAATAAATTGACTTTATCTTATCACATGCTTTATATTTATTTTCTTTCTTTCTTTTTTCTTTTTTCTTTTTTTATTTTGAGATGGAGTTTCGTTCTTGTTGCCCAGGCTGGAGTGCAATGGCACGATCTCGGCTCACTGCAACCTCTGCCTCCTGGGTTCAAGTGATTCTCCTGCCTCAGCCTCCTGAGTAGCTGGGATTACAGGCATGCGCCACCACGCCTAATTTTGTATTTTTAGTAGAGATAGGTTTTCTCCATGTTGGTCAGGCTGGTCTTGAACTCCTGACCTCAGGTGATCTGCCCGCCCTGGCCTCCCAAAGTGCTGGGATTACAGGTGTGAACCACCGCCCCCCACCCTCCCCGCCCTTTTTATATGTGTTTTAGATACGACGTCTCAGTATGTTGCCCAGGCTGGTCTCAAACTCTTGGCGTCCACCAACCCTTTCATCTCAGCCTTCCAAGTAGCTAGGATTACAGGTGTGAGTCATGGTACCTAATTTACATTTATTTTTATTTATTTATTTATTTATTTATTTATTTATTTATTTATTTTTGAAACGGAGTCTTGCTCTGTCACCCAGGCTGGAGTGCAGTGTGGCGCGATCTCGGCTCTGCTCACTGCAAGCTCCGCCTCCCGGGTTCACGCCATTCTCCTGACTCAGCGTCCGGAGTACCTGGAACCACAGGCGCCCGCCACCACGCCCGGCTAATTTTTTTTGTATTTTTAGTAGAGACGGGGTTTCATCGTGTTAGCCAGGATGGTGTCCATCTCCTGACCTCGTGATCTGCCTGCCTTGGCCTCCCAAAGTGCTGGGATTACAGGCGTGAGCCACCGCGCCCGGCCCCTAATTTACTTTTATTTTTTAAAAACCCATAGAGCTGCAAATTTTACTCATTGAATTAATGGCAAATCTCTCCCATGACACATAATTGTCAAAGCCAGTCTTTATCAAACCATATTTCTTTCTGTCAAGAGTCTAACTTTATTTTCAATTCAAAATAACTTTATTATTATTTGAGGCAAGGTCTCCTCTGTCGCCCAGGTTGAGTGCAGTGGCTTCGTCTCAGCTCACTGCAACCTCTATCTCTTAGGCTCAAGCAATTCTCCCACCTCAGCCTCCCGAGTAGCTGGGACTACAGGTGTGCACCACCATGCTTGACTACTTTTGCATTTTTTGTGGAGACAGGGTCTCACTATGTTGCCCAGGCTGGTCCCAAACTCCTGGGTTCAAGTGATCCTCTTGCCTCAGCCTCCCAAAGTGTTGGGATTTCAGGCATGAACCACAGTGTCCAGCCCAAGATAACTTATTATACACCTTCTTGAGAATTCTAACAGCATCTGAATTCTAATTCTAACATGGATACATGGATAAGGAAGGGAGCCTCGGCCATGAGCCTGTCTCCTGTTTGAAGTGGTTGCTGCAGACTCCACGGTTTCTTGTCATTCTGCCTTCGCTTCGGTCTTTCAGGCTCTCCCTTGGCAGCAACACATCTGAGTCAAGAGCCAGCCTTTGGAAGAGGTCAAGTCATAAAATTAAAATTGTCATCACTCTCGCCGTCTGAATTCAGAATAACCCAATGTGGGTCAAAATATCCCAATTCTAAAGCTGGATTTCACACTTAACAGAATATCCACACGTGAGGAAAAGACAGAACGCTCTCCTGCTGCCCACCATAGGGTACTCTGCTTAAGGGAGGCTGCGCATACACCGGTATTTCAAATTGTCCCTTAAATGCCCTTAGAAGGTTTTTAGCATCCCTTAGGCAATGCACTATTCTAGGATTAAGGAGGACTGAGAAGTTTGTCTTTTTTTTTTTCTTTTTGAGATGGAGTCTCTCTCTGTCGCCCAGGTTGGAGTATGGAAGCACTATCTCGGCTCACTGCAACCTCCACCTCCCAGGTTCAAGCGATTCTCCTGCCTCAGCTTCCCGTGCAGCTGGAATTACAGGCATGCACCACTACACCCGGCTAATTTTGTATTTTTAGTAGAGACAGGGTTTCACCATGTTGTTCAGGCTGGTCTCGAACTCTTGACCTCACGTGATCTGCCCACCTCGGCCGCCCAAAGTGCTGGGATTACAGGCGTGAACCACCGCACCTGGTCAGAAGTTTGTCTTTGTATAGCAAAGTGGAAGAACAAACAATGGGATGGGGAAGTAGATCTGTGTTGAAAAGAACACATATGTTAGTGGAGAATTTGGAAACTGATGCCCTTTGAACTTTTCTGTGTGCGTATGTGTCGCCTGGAAGGGTCACGCTGCCTTCCCGCTCGGAAGACTGCTGCCCTACTCTGTTGACTTTTATTTTTTCTCAGAACATTCAGCATAACCTCTCCTTACCTTTTTTATTTCTGCTCCTATCATCTCTCTCCCACACAGAATGCAAGAGGCTCAGAAACCAGGACCTGGATGCCTTGTTCCCTGCTTTGTCCATGGAGTCTAGGACACTGCCTGGCATACAGCTGATACTCAATAGATAGTAGTCAAACAAAAGAACAAGTAATCGGTGTGGTAGCTCCCTGCTGTTGGTGCCAGTAATAAATATGTGATCAGGCTCCTTGGCTCTGCTAAAGAAAACAGTTAAATATCTCCAGTAACATCTTCCAGAAACCCCTTCATGCCTCTCGCCCATCTCCAGAAACCCTAAACAGGCTGCTCCCATGCAAGGAGAGTTCCGCCCTCTCCAACGCCCAATTCCCCCCTCGCTAAAGGCAGCTTCGAGGCAGGGGCTCTGGAAATCGGATGCTAACACAAAAACTGTTTTCTTCCAACTTTATTAACTTTTAAGCCTTTTCCTGTTTTCCTGTCATGGCCAAACCCACCTCTTGGCAGCCACTGAAGTCTGAATATTTGAATTAGATTCCCGAACAGTGATTAAAACAGATTCGGGACCTCAACAAGACGTTCCAAAATACCAACAAGATCCAGACTATTCCAAAGGGATTGCACCCATTGGAGGGAGGCAGGGTGGGGGCTCACCCGAGGGCCTCATGGCCTCATCTCTGCAGGGGCACCGTCTGCGCCGGGGAGAGAATTCCAGGCTGGGATGGCATGAGGCTTGTGGCGGTGGTGGTTTGCTGTCATCACCTCAGCTGGCAGGATGAAGGGAGAAGTTGCTCTCATGAAGCCTCCAGCAGAGAGAGGCTCCTGGTTAGGTGTTACCAGGGACGCGCGGAGACCTTACCACCATCATTTTCACAAGCCCAGTTTCCACCCAGGGAAACTGAGCGAAAGAAAGGCTGGGACTGGGATCTGCAAGGCCACCACCCTTCCAGAGGGCAGGAAGGTAAATACCAGCCTCCCTCCTGCCTTCCCAGACTGTCCCTGCGTGACTTCCCCATCTCCCACACTGAAACACATTCATTCAGATTGTTTTCCAAGCAGGGTACTGAGTCTTCATAATCAAGGGCTCTCTGAACACACCAATGAAAGGAGCTTTCTGTGTGTATTGGTCTGAATTATAAAAAACATCAACCTCCCCAATGCTTGCCTGTCCATTAAAACTGAGTATTTATCTTAAAAAAAAACAACAACAAAAAACTCACTCCGACTCTATGCTCCCAACCCATTAAAGACCTTGATGACCATCAGAGATACCTGATTCAAATCTGATGCATAGGTCCAGCCAATTTTTTCTTTTGGCTTGGGGGATGGGTACTTTGTAAATAAGCAATGTGTTGTTATGAAGAAAAATTACCAATGGTCTGAGTTCTTTTTTTGCATTTCTTTGGTGTAGCATGGAGCCCAGCATCAGATGTGGAGTAAATAAAATGGGGCGTCTCGCCTTCCCTGCAAAGGTCACGTTCACCCCCTTGACCAGGTCGGTGCTCTTGGTTCTCCTGGAGTGTGTGGTGCTCACTCTGTACACACAGCCACGTCCAGCAGTGGGGCCCAAGGCTTCCTTGGGATGACAAACAACACAGAAGCCTGCTGATCTGCAGAGTTGAATGTTTTCCTTTCTGTTTCATGCAAAAGCCCCATGCTTTTAATAGACCAGTGGAAAACTAAACGTCGCACCTTATTCCTTGTCCTGAGATGCCGCAGGGCCCTGCCTCAGCCACAGAAGATGCAATTGGTGAAGACTCAACCTTTCCCTACCAAGTGAGTGGGTAGAGCTGCCCACTGAGGGGTCGACCACATGTGACGTCTGTCAGATAAGAGGACAGAGAGAGGGTGACTGGCTCAAGCCAGATTCAGGAGACATCACAGCCAGCAAATCCTGTTTGAGCAAACTGAAGTATGCAATGGATGGGATGGATGCAGTGGCTCAAGCCTGTAATCCCAGCACTTTGGGAGGCCAAGGTGGGCGGATCACGAAGTCAAGAGATTGAGATCATCCTGGCCAACATGGTGAAACCCTGTCTCTACTAAAAATACAAAAATTAGCTGGATGTGGTGGCGGGTGCCTGTAGTCCCAGCTACTCGGGAGGCTGAGGCAGGAGAATCTCTTGAACCTGGAAGGCGGAGGTTGCAGTGAGCCAAGATCGCACCACTGCACTCTAGCCTGGCGACAGAGCGAGACTCCGTCTCTATAAATAAATAAGTAAATAAGTAAATATAAAGTATGAAATGGGTACAATGTGTCTTCAGCAGCCCCAGGCTTTCTACTTTGTGTGCTTACTCCTTGGCAGTATCCAAGAATCAAGTACCCATGGTACCTCATCGAAACATCCTCCTGGGAAAGGGAGAGAACCCCATACACGTCGAGGTCTGTGAGACGGACTGTGCTAAGTGTGTGTCCGACTGTGCTAAGTGTGTGTCCTCCCGAGGTGTACTGGCAGCCTAAAAGGCATCCTTAGCCATCAGTGAGTTTGCAAGGGGGAGGGGAAATGTACTGAGATTTGGGGAGGTGCTGGCAGGGCTCTCCCAGCAGCCCCCAAAAACACAGAAGTCACTTACTTGTTTCGTCTTTGGCTGATTGTACATTACATGTCATTGACTCCACCTCCAGCCTCAGGCTGGGCTGAGGTTCTTTCATGGTGAGGGTCTTCCGGTGGGCTAAGGAAAATTACAAGCTTGACTTTCACAAGTATTTATGGAGCAGTGGTAGAGGCAGAGGCCAGAGAGAGACAGAGAGAGAGATAGCTCTCAAAGCTAAGCTCCTGGCTTTGGGAGCTTAGG
The DNA here is from genome assembly GCF_000001405.40 of Homo sapiens. NCBI lineage: Eukaryota > Metazoa > Chordata > Mammalia > Primates > Hominidae > Homo > Homo sapiens. The sequence continues at coordinate 13,579,180 of NC_000001.11, forward strand.
ATATCATCAAAGGGGGCAGAGATAAAGCATAGCTGGGAACACATTGGGCTCAATCCTTTAACTACAGTGGGGTGGCATGAGACAGCCCTATTGCTGGGAGGAGATCCAGCTCCGCAGGGGTACAGGGCAGGGGCCTTCAAATGGTAGATGCACACAGATTTCCCCAGAAGAATGCCAGCAAGGATGGGTCCAAGGGGATCAATTTCCAATGCCTCAATGTTCCTAAGTTTTCTTCTATTTTATAATTTTTTATTTTTTATTTTGTAGAGACAGGGTCTTGCTATGTTGCCCAAGTTGGTCTTGAACTCCTGGCCTCAAGCAATACTCTTGCCTTGGCCTCCCAAAATGCTGGGATTACAGGCATGAACCACTGCCCTGGCTCCTAAGTTTTCTTTTCTTTTTTTTTTTTGAGACAGAGTTTCGCTCTTGTTGCCCAGGCTGGAGTGCAATGGTGCCATCTCGGCTCACCGCAACCCCCGCCTCCCAGGTTCAAGCGATTCTCCTGCCTCAGCCTCCCTAGTAGCTGGGATTACAGGCATGTGCCACCACGCCCGGCTAATTTTGTATTTTTAGTAGAGATGGGGTTTCTCCATGTTGGTCAGGCTGGTCTCAAACTCCCGACCTCAGGTGATCTGCCTGCCTTGGCCTCCCAAAGTGCTGGGATTACAGGCATGAGACACCACACACGGCCCTGGCTCCTAAGTTTTCTACTGAAACTTCTGGGAAAATGTAGCACCTTCCCAATAATCCAACCCCAATTTACAAAAAAACAAACAAAAAAAGCAGATTCTTATCCATCCCATATCTTCTTATGGAGCATTTCCTGGGGTGAAAAAAATCTCTTTAGTCCCAGGTTGGCAGTGTGAAACTGTCTTTCCCCGTGCCGTCCAGAAAACCACCAGGATGGCTCATATTAGAAAGGCTAATATTAGTGGCGATGTCAGTTTACAAATGAGAAAGAGACTGTCTCCAGCTGGACCAAAGGTGCTGTCTTCAAAGACAGCAGGTTGAGTTTTCTGCCTTCCAGGGCCTGTGTTCCTATGTAGCAGGTTTGAAGGAAAGGCTGTCCATTTACACGAGGGGAGTCATGTGCGTGCACGGTGGGTAAACATGCTTGTAACTTACATCTCATGTTCACTTCGGAGCGGGGTTTTAGTTAAAATGAGGTGGCATTTGGTTCTTTACGTCAAAATGTGAACTATAGGACACAAAGACAGTTCGTATGCATCCTCTCTCAGCTGCTGAAACTGGCTTGAGGTGTGCAGTAGCTTATCAGGAGAGAATGTTTGTAAGGCCAGTCCTCTGTCCAGTCAGAGTTGTAGCGGTCTGGGTTATAAATCAGAATTTTGGTCCCACTCAAACCCGTAAGTGTGTTACTTATTCCTGGGCCATAGAGCTGCCTTTGCTGTCAGAGATTCAGTTGTGGGTATCTCAGCTCTGGAACATGGCATATTGATTTTTAAAGTTATTATTATTATTATTATAGAGTAAGGGTCTAGCTCTGTTACCCCAGCAGGAATGCAGTGGCATGATCATGGCTTACTGCTGCCTTGACCTCCTGGGCTCAAGTGATTCTCCCAACTCAGCATCCTGAGTAGCTGGGATCACAGGTACGTGTCACCACACCTGGCTAATGTTATTTTTATTTTTTATAGAAGCAGGGTCTTGCTATGTTGCCCAGGCTGGTCTCAAACTCCTCACCTCAAGTGATCCTCTCGCCTCTGCCTCTCAAAGCATTAGGATTACAGGTATGAACCACTGCGGGTTGGGGGGCTGGTGTCCCATTGTGTGTTGAGAAGCATCTTCCCAGCCAGGTCAGCCCAGGCTGCCTGGAGCAGCTCAGCCAGGTGCTCTCTGGACTCTGCAGAGCCCTCAGAAAAACACAGAGCTTGAGGAGACCCTGATGTGTCATCTCCAGCATCCCCCAGGGTGGAAGGTACCAAACTGGCAGCTCTGGCTCAGCTCCTCATTCCACTGCTGGTCCACACCTTTTGGGGGTCCTCTTGCTTCCTAAAAGCAATTTACAGACGTTTCCCACACAGTCCTGCAAGGCACAGGCACAGTGCTAGTAACAGGCTCAACTCCTGCTCTGCAATGGAAATGCATGACCCCACCGCTCCTACCTTGTAGGATCCCACACAATTTGCATGGTGGCCTCTAAACCCACAGTCCTCAAAGTGGGGACCCAGGACCAGTAGCTTCAGCATCACCTGGGAACTTGTTGGAAATGCAAATTCTTGGGCCCCACCCCTTACCTATTGAATCAGCACTTTGGCAGTGGAGCCCAGCAGTCTTGCCTTCCAGGCAAGCAAGCCCTCCAGGTGAATCCACTCTCAACCTCACTTGTGTAGGAAATGGGTATCATCAATGTTTGGAAGCCAACCGTTGTTTTGGGGCTGAAAGGAAATAGTGCGTGTTCCTGGCAGGAAGATAAAGGCCAGTATGTAGCAGCTGCTGTTATCTCACCAGTAACGCATCATCATTCATGGCCATGGCTTTCTGAGCTTAAGCTGTTTGCCAAGAATGGAGCCACATACCCTCCTTCTTTCCCTCTTCCCCTCAGCTGAGCAGGGTCTCATGCTTCCAGATCCCCTGTGTTTCACTTCAGCTCCTTTAGCTAACCGAGTCTCGCTGCCCAAGGCCCATATTCCTTCTCTCATGAGCTGCTGGCTCTATCTGGTCCAGGAGGGTGAGTTCTTTCTTCCCTCTGGTCTTCAGGTTCCCCCTCCCAAGACCCAGCTTTTCTCTCTAGGTTTTCAGACCAACAGCACCCAGAGCCGATCCACTAACTCCTTCATCCTGGCCCCTCTCCCCACCCCAGGACCCCCAGCTGAATGCAATTCCTTATTACCTCCCACTCCTCCATCCTGATCAAAAGGTCATGTGACCAACCTTCTAGATTCTAGACACATCCGGGGGTGTGGGATAGAAGGCAGGTGTCCTTGAATCATGACCTAGCCTCAGCATCCCTCTAAATTAGTTGCATGTAACCCAATCTCCCCCACCTAGGCTTCACTGTGTTTCAATCTTTTTGAATAAAGCGGGCCATCTTTCTTTCTGTGTGTGACCTTGGAGTTACACATAAGCAGAATAGATGTGCATCTATTCTCCATCTAACAGGCTCAACAGACAATGCACTATTCCTCCTGTCAACAGACATTATTGACACTAGAGTCATAAAATGCATCTCCAAGATGGGGAAGTCAGTTCAAGAAAGAGTATCTGTATCACGAGTTTTCTCTTTACATTTCCAACTCCTTGGCTCTAGGGGTGTTGCCGCTACCCCTCATCTTCTAGGTTCAGGTGCTCAGCTCCTGTTTGTAGCCCCAGGACAAGACGTTACCTGGGAGATCTTTAGAAATGCAGAATCTCTCCCTATCCCACAACAGAATTGCACCTGCATAACCAGTGCCCCAGGTAGATCTGGCTGAGAAGCTATGATGAAGGGCAAGGTTTGCCAAATGTTCATGGGGACAAGTTCTCCAGCGACACTGGTTTAAAATAGGAATTCCGAAAAGGTCTGATTAATGAGTTTGGGGTGGAACCCAGGAAACTGGGCATTTATTTAAAACAATCTCTCCTGTGATTCTTAGAAAGTAAATTTATAATGGGGAGGGGTCAAAGATAAGCATCTGAAAACAATTTTCACGCAATGTGGAGCTTTGAGACAGCGTTAGTCTTCAGGTTCTTTTGTTGAATGGAATTTGTGGCATCTGGGAGTGGAGCAGAGACCACTTCCCAAACTCCTGTTCTTATTTTTTTAAATTCCAGCAATTCAGAAGGAATTAAAGTAAAAGACGTAAGTTCTCTGGTTGCTGATATCTGGTACCTGAGATCAAGGCAAGATCGCTTAAACCAGTAAAGTGAGGATTATGGGAGCAAACTCAGGAATAAAGAGGGTGAACCAGGCCTGGAAGGGGACACAGGTTTGGCGACCAGACGGGTCACCGCTTGGCCCGGCCTAATCCAACTGCGCACGTCGGTGGGCCACAGCATCGCAGCGCTGGATCCCCGGGTCGGCAGAGGCGGATGGAGTTCAGCCTCTTTTTCAAAACTGCCAAAGCCACCCGGTCTGCCAAACTCCCCCACCAGCCAGCTCTGGGGCAGCCCCCCGGAGCCCGCCCGCTCCGGTCCCCGGGACAAGGGCGCAATTGACCAGCGCGGGCCGCCTCTGGCCCACCCAGATGACGGCCAACTTTTTTTGTTTTTAAGCCATCAAATTCAATATTTACAGGAAAAACCCCATGCTTGGTTCTAAAACTACTGGCCACTCAAGAAACAGTTTACTTCTCACTTCTGCCCATAACAAGAAAAACATAGACTTGTGCCTTACTCTTAAAAAAATAATAATAATAAATATAGGTTTTTTAAAATTTATATATAATTTTTAAAACCCCGTTTGTTGCATGTGGTCCCTTTCCCTCCTGTTGTTGAGCAGAATAAAAGCCCATTTTGCCAGGGCCCGCAGTCCTGGCGGCCCCCGCAGCTGCGGCCCTGTAACTTTAAACCTGGCCTGAGATCATCGTTTTGGCGCCGGCCAAACAGAGCCCGAGGGCGGGCCTAGCGCGCCCGGACGGAGACCACCTTGCGGCCGACCCCGCTCCCCCGCCTCCTCGGGAGAGATAAATGCTGACTCCGCTCGGAAAGTTCTCAACTGCAAAGTTTGCTGTCCGGCTGCCTAGGGTCTGGGAAGCTCGGGCACCCTCCCTCTCCGGGGCTCCTGCTCCCACCCCTCCGGCCCCCCCACCGTCGCGCTCCTCCAGGCTGGGCCTGTGGCCGCGGTGCTTTTTAATTTTCCCCCAGCTCAGAATCTTGCTGCTCGGCCCCCAGGAGAGCAACAACTCAACGGGAACGATGTGGAAGGTGTCAGCTCTGCTCTTCGTTTTGGGAAGCGCGTCGCTCTGGGTCCTGGCAGAAGGAGGTAAGACCCAGCGCAAGTGGCTTCCTGCCGTCGCTGATGGGGACGAGCGAGCAGAGACTTGCTGGAATGCCCGGGCCTGGTATTCGAGGTTGTCCAGGGGAGCGCGGGGGAGCTGAGGGTGTGTGCGTGTCAGGCGGCTGAGCGCCGGAGGAGGAGAGGCAGCGGCTTAGTCGGTGCCAGGTCCCAAAGACGCAGCTGCGCGGGTGTGCCGGGAGGAGCCCCGGAATCCACAGGCTGCGAGGTGGGCAGCACAGGGGGCCTCCCTCCGAGTCGGCAGCACCAGAGAGATCGGGTGGAAGGTTCACAGTAGGCAGCCCCGCTTGCTGGCAGCAGTGGCTGGGGTTTCCTTCCCATAGAGCGGTGTGTTGGAGGAATACGCACGCCTCGGGAGAAGCTGGCCTCGTAGAATCAGGAGGGACGTTCAGGAGGGCTTGGGCCAAGGGGAGGGTTCCCCGCCCTGCGGTGGCCCTGGTCCCCCTTGGGACTACCTAGTCTGGCGCCCTGCCTGTTGGACACACTCAGCACCCCGTCACTGGACTGGAAGAGGCCTCCTTTATCCTCTTTAGAGAGGATAGTGTGTGTGGAAAGGATCCAAGTGGAGGCTTCCGAGGAGTGTGAGTGCATGAGGATTGTTACGCGTTACGAACATTGAGGTTTAAGTGGGTTTGAGCCACGTGTTCATCTTGGGCAACAACATCAGTGGCTGAATGTCTGTTGGTGACTCCTTAGGCTTTAAATATTTTGTATCCCATGTTGGGGTGGGGGCGTCCACAGCTTCCATTACCCTTTGTCCTCTCCTGGAGCCTTACCTCTTCCCGCTGGGTTGCTGTGTTGGTGGTCTCCATTGACATCTGTCAACATTTTGTTTTCTTTTCTTGGGTTTTTATTTTTATATTTCCTCAATAGAACATATGTTCTGCAGGACGCAGCTACATCCAGCCATGATTCCCCACGGCCAAAACAATGCCTGGCACATAGTAGTTGCTCACTAAATGTTGGTTGAAGGAATTGTAACCTAACTCGTGATCTTTGGGGCTGGAGGTTGCTGAGTTATGCTGTGAAAAGTAAACATTTTCCAAAAATTGAGGATCAAGGTAGGCCTAGGCCCTGAGGAATACTTCTTGGAGAGGGAGCGGTTTGCAGGAGGGGTGCGCCTAACCTGGCCTCCTACAATGGTCCACACAGACAAAAATACCCAATCTCAGGGAAATGACAGAGTTCTGCTCTATGCTGTGCTGTCTGCTTCAAAGGGACTGAGCAACTCTTTTTATAGGGGCCGTGGGTTATTCGTAGCAGTCCTATCTTTGGAACTTCTCTTTCCACTGGAATATATACAGTTCTGTATTTTCAGTTACATTTCCTTTTTGGCGAGACAATGTGCAAATGACACCGTTTTGTGCTCACCAGGGCAAAGCAAGGGAGCGCCCTCACTTCAGCATCTCAGCCCTGCTAAAGAAAAAGCTGCTGGGTAACATCCTTTGTTTTTGCCCAGGGAAGCTTTAGCTGTGATTCCCTTCAGCCGGCTCCTGAATGTCAAAGGTACTCCTAAAAGATGGCGTTAAAACCGAAAAACCATCGTTGGTGCTGGAAACTCCACTACTAAAGAAAGAAGTGGTATGCGGGGCTGGCTGAGTGAGGGTGGGTGCTGAGTTGCCTGGCTGCCAGAGGAGCAGAGGCCCAGCAGGGTTTTTGTCTGAGAATAATGAGCGAGGCGACTTGAATATGGATGAATAACATCATTGAGCGAAGCTATTGTGGGCTTTTGTTGGGGAGCTGGGCTGGGGGGTAATTATGGTGATGAATTTTATGATCCTTTTCATAAGATCCTACGCCCTACTGGGTTTCCCTCCTCCAGGGTTATAATCTGGTTCAGTTTTATAATCTGGTCCCATGTGTCATCCCTTTGGGTGTTAGTGGATTCAAAGGAGGTCTGTTGTCCACACATCTGGCATTTTTTTCCATTGTCAGGCGCCACCCTCATGCTGAACTTTCATCAGGAAGGCACGTTTTGGGGGCCACTTCATTAGAGAGTTTATTTTGTGAGATTCTGCAAGCTGCTGCTCGCTGCTAACCCACATGTGCTTTTCCGGGACCAATCCACCCAGGATTAATCATGCGGCCAACAAATTTCCCTGTGATTTCCCCGAAACGCTTGCCAGTTTGGAGGCCCTGAAATCCTCATGAGTTGTTAAGAGTTTTTGTTGCACTGAAGGCACTTAATAAAGATCAGGTCTGTTAGAGGCTTTGTGAGGGAGGCCTCTGCATTGCACTGGTGTATAAGATCCAAAATAGCATTGAATATAGAAAAGCACAATTTAAAAAATGTGTCCGGGCATGAGAAGGCTAAGTCTGGACGTGGCCAAAGGGACTAAACTCCTTCCTTTCTTTGGCTTCTGTAAAATGAGCAGCACGCGAGTGACTCTACACTGTAGAATTATAAGGACCTCAAGCCTTGGCAAGACAGTGGAGGGTCAGGCCAAAGGACACAACCATCCTCTCATTCCCATCGCCTGCCATGTGCTAGGAATATTGCTAGCTACTTCTTTCAATCATCATAATACCTGTAAATTACATACTCTTATCTCGGAATATACCAGAACTGGGTTTGAAAAATATGTCTAACTTCAAACCTGAAGATCTTTTTACTACACTACTCTGCCATTAAAAAAAAAAAAAAAAAAAAGAGGCTGGGCATGGTGGCTCACGCCTGTGAGGGGCCGAGGCGGGCGGATCATGAAGTCAGGAGTTCGAGACCAGCCTGGCCAATATGGTGAAACCCCGTCTCTACTAAAAATACAAAAATTAGTTGGGCATGGTGGTGCGCGCCTGTAGTCCTAGTTACTTGGAGGCTGAGGCGGAAGAATCGCTTGAACTCGTGAGGCGGCAGTTGCAGTGAACCAAGATCACACCACAGCACTCCAGCCTGGCAACAGAGCGAGACTCCGTCTCAAAAATATATATAAAAACAAAGTAAAGAGGTTGAACTTGAAATTAAAGGTTAACCTCACTTTAAGCCTCTTAAACGTAGAAACAAAATTTTCTAAAGATACGAGAATTCCTTTACATTAAATGCTCCCCATAATGTTCTTTTAAGAATGAAATTGTCATAATACATTAAAATAGGATTTATTAATTCATTCTGCAAATAGTTATTAAGCATTTCCTGAGTTCTTGGTGTGTTACTAGATGCAGAATTTGAACTGTATGCACTTTTGAGAGAGGCACACCTCACATGCTAAAGTGTGCCCTGCAGTCCTCACCAGCAAAGCAATGAACATGCACTTTCAAATTCCATCGGCTTATCTGAATATTTGTCATATTTCTGGCTTTGGAAAGGAGGCAGGCCAGGTTATAACTTGTGGAAATACGACGGGGGAGGAGGAGGAGGAGGGAGAGAGAACTCAACTACTCAGGATTACCCTGGTGAAATTTATTTGACGAATCTGAATCAGATGCTGTAGGGCTTTTCCAGGAAGCCTTGCCACTCTTGGTGCCCCAAAACTTCTCAGGGAAGTACCCAGTGTGCACGTTTTATTGAAGAGAATCAACTGATGGAGGGTGCTGGACACTTCCAAGTGGACAGTTACTGTGATGAGTCTTAGGATTCTCATTTGCTGGGCAAGAGATACAGCTCCGTGATTAGGCATTTTATCTGGGGCTGTGAGCTAGAGCCCCGGTAGGGAATAACTGGAATTCTGCCAATTCCATCCAAGGCAGGAAAACAAGGTGACTGTTTCCTTCCCACATGTCTAACCCCAGCCCCTGTCCACCGGCCTGTTGGCAGCCAGTCAGATGATGGCAAGCTCCCCTGAGTGTCAGCCGAAAGAGGTAGGAGGGCTCACCCTCCTTTTTGTCTGGCTGAGTGTCTTTGCCTTGAGAATTGCTCAGAGATGGATTTGTCCTTTGAAGTGAATCAAGCTAAGTCCAGGGGGAAGTACGCAGGTATGGCCAACTCGTTCATGTAGTTTTTTGAGGAGCTGAAAGCTGACATTGTGAGGCAATGCTAAATTTCATGAACCCGCCCCCCCAAACACACATACACACACACACACACCCCTGGAGAAAGATGTGATGGGCTCTTGACCCCCATCCAGAGAGGCCAGGCCACAAAGTGCCGTAGGCAATAGAGGGAGACCAACCCTGAGCCACTGGGGTAACAATCACCATTGTTAATGTTTGCAGCATGTACAAATGCCAGATACACAGAGTGTAAATGGGAAGCAGGAAAGGGGCATGCTAGAATATTTTTAACATATTATTGATGAGAACAGGGCACTTCCCACAATTCATCAGGGTGTCTCCATCCGGGAGAACAGAACACAACTCATTTAAAAAGCTGTGATACAGCGAATATTGTCCTGCCCCAAAGAGAAGGGAATCAGTTTGCCTAGAAGAGGAGAAGAATGAGAATTTGTTGATGTTTAAACCTTCCCTGCCCAAAGAATTAACTGATTTAACAAATATTTTTATTATATATAATATAAATATATAACTATATATTATATATTTACATATATAATATATAATATAAATATATAACTATATATTATATATTTACATATATATAAAATATATATATAATATATGTATTTTTTTGAGACAGGGTCTCACTCTGTCACCCAGGCTGGAGTCCAGTAGCACTATCTCGTCTCACTGTAGCATTGACCTCCCAGGCTCAAGCGATCCTCCCACCTCAGCCTCCTGAGTATCTGGGACCACAGGTGTGCACCACCACACCCAACTGTTTTTGTATTTTTAGTAGAGATGGAGTTTCACCATGTTGCCCAGGCTGGTCTCGAACTCCTGAGCCTGCCTTGGCCTCCCAGAGGGCTGGGATTACAGGTGTGAGCCACCATACCCGGCCAACAATTCATTGAATAGCTACTATTCAATAAATATTTATTGAACAGCTATTTATTGAATAGCTACTGTGTAAGTCAGGCAGTGGGGAACAAGGCAAACCCCATCCCTGCTTACCGTTAGTAGGAAAGGTGTCATATGTGGTGACTGGGGATATTCTGATCTCAATCAAGGTGGTTCTGTGATGAATCAGATGTCTTTGTTTTGTCACAGTCTGGAAATTTATTCCACCCGACAGCTCCACCCTTTGCTTTTGTTGTAAATACAAAAAATAGCATCTTGTGGGGTATCTCACCCCTGAGAAGGGCATGCCTTGGACAGCAAATATGCATACAAAGCGTTGGAAAACAGTTTCCTGTTCTAAATAAACTATTTGGTTTTCTGGCCTCTTGTGAGCTTGGCTAATGGGAAACAGTTTGTTCTGAGCCAAATCTCCCCATAAGATTAAATGTGAATCTGTAAAGCTACAGGATCTAGATTCTGAATGGCTGGTGTTAATAGCGCTAACAATATAATAACAGCTAGCGTTTACTGAGTGCTTAGCGTGTGTGAACCCCTTTCTAAGCCCTGTTTCTTTCAGTCCTCACAACAGACTACTCGGCTGGAGCTTCTTGTATTTTATAGAGGAATTAAGAGACTCAGTGAGGTTCAGTAGCCCACACACAGACACGGAGCTTGTAAATGGCAGCAGTGAGACTGAACCCAGGCTGCTCAACCCTAGAGCCCACACCCCTAACCACTTAGCTACACAATCAGCTATGCTTGGAATAGCTTGAATCCGTGCCACTGAGGACACCCAGAAAAGCGAGAGGTTGATTCCTTCAAGTACTTCTTACCTTACGGCAGCAAACCACTTGTATTGATTGATTGATTGATTGATCGATTGAGATGGAGTCTTGCTCTGTCGCCCAGGCTGGAGTGCAGTGGTGCGATCCCAGCTCACCGCAACCTCCGACCCCCAGGTTCCAACCATTCTCCTGCCTCAGCCTCCCTAGTAGCTGGGATTACAGGCATGTGCCACCACGCCTGGCTAATTTTTCTACGTTTGGTAGAGATGGGGTTTCACCATGTTGGCCAGGCTGTTCTTGAACTCCTGACCTCAAGTGATCCACCCGCCTCAGCCCTCCCAAGTGCTGGAATTACAGGCGTAAGCCACCGCTCCCTGCCACCATTTGTTATTTTTACATACATGATTTCTTTCCAGCTTGTATTAACTTTGTTGGTTGCATACATAATGCTGATGATGTGTATCCCCAGTGCTGGGAGTACTGAATCGAAGGATGCTGTCCCTGTCCCCTTAAGCATTTACAGAGCACACACATTAAGTTAGAGAGGAAGCATATGCTGTGATTGTAGCTTGCAAAGAGAGGCAAGACAGGTGCGTGTTTTCTACACATGTAGAAAGAACATACAAGCAACAGATAAAGTCGTGTCCTGCGCGGCACATGCTATTATTGTCTGTTGCTAGGGATTTAGAGATAAGAGAGAATCTTGGGGTTGGGAGGAGCTAGAAAAAGCCTTGTGGGGAAGATGCGACTTTATCTTGGCTGTGAAAAATGGTGGGGTTGGTTGGAGCAGGTGGCAGGGACAGTTGGTCTAGGCAGAAGAAATGGCTTGAACAAATGCATGGAAATTAGATCAGTCCGGGCTTTTTGTGGGAATAGGCGTGGGCATTGAGGGCTGGCAAGAGTTGTGGAGGCTGGGGGTTAGAAGGGTTGAGTTGGGCAATGGCAGGAAACTGGGGAGACAGATGAGTCCGTGCTGAGTGGAAGAGGCGGGACCTTTTTCTGTAGGCAGAAATAGAGAATGGGAGTGGCCCATGAATGCTGGTTGTCAGAAGATAATGAAGAAGGAGCCATAGGAGATTGAATCTAGTTTGTGGGACCAGTCTAGGGGCAGGTGCGGTGGAGGGGCGGGTGGGGGTGGTCAGGAGGTAAAGAGACAAAATGTGGTGACAACAGAAAGCGAGAATGAGACCAAATTTCTTTTCTTTTTTTTTCAGATGGAGTCTCGCTCTGTTGCCCAGGCTGGAGTGCAATGGCGCGATCTTGGCTCACTGCAACCTCTGCCTCCCGGGTTCAAGCGATTCTCCTGCCTCCGTCTCCTGAGTAGCTGGGATTACAGGCACGTGCCACCACGCCTGGCTAATCTTTGTATTTTCAATAGAGACGGGGTTTCATCATGTTGGTCAGGATGGTCTCGAACTCCTGACCTCGTGATCCGCCCACCTCAGCCTCCCAAAGTTCTGGGATTACAGGCGTGAGCCACCATGTGCAGCGAGACCAAATTTCTAGGAATAAAAGCCAGCAAGACTTAACAGTTCAGCATTTCTTGACTTGTTACTAGTCACCTCTTACAGCACTCATGACTATATTCACACGTTTAAATTGATATGTAATTCACATACCATAAAATTAACCCATTTAAAGCAAACAATTCAGTGGTCTTCAGTAAAATCACAGAGTTATGCGACCATCACCACTATCAATTTTAGAACATTTTCATCACGCCCCTTCCCCAAGAGCCCCAAACTGTCAGCAGTCATTCCCATTTCCTCCTCCCCCTAGACCCTGACCGCCATCGATCTACTTTCTGTCTCTATGGATTTGCTTATTCTGGATATTTCTTATCACTGGAATCACACAATATGTGGCCTTTTGTGCCTGGCTTCATTTACTTAGCATGATGCTTACGAGGTTCATCCATGTTATAGCATGCACCAGAATTTCGTTCTTTTAAAAAAAATTTTTTAGAGATGAGGTCTTCCTCTGTCACCCAGGCTGAATAGCAGTAGCACAGTCATAGCTCACGACAGCCTCAGATTCCTGGGCCGAAGCCATCCTCCTGCTTCAGCCTCCCAAATAGCTGGGACTACAGGCGTATGCCACCACACCAAGTTTGTTTAACTTTTTGAGGAACTGCCATTCTGTTTTCCAAAGTGGCTGCACCATTTACAGTTCCACCAGCAATACATGCTGTTCTGGTTTCTCCACATCCCCACCAACACTTGTTCTCTTTCTCTGTGTGTGTGTTTACGTTGTAGCCATTCTAATGGGTATGAAATGACATCTGGTAGTTTCAATTTGCATTTTCCTAATGATTAGTGATGCTGAGCATCTTTTTATGCACTTCTTCGCCAATTGTGTATCTTTGGAGATATGTTTGTTTAAATCCTTTGCTCACTAAAGTTGAGTTAAATCCTTTGCTAACTTTATATTGTTGATTGAAAGCCTCCTTTATATATTCTAGATATTAGACCCTTAAATATATGAATTGCAGACTTTTCTCCCATCCTTTGGACTGGGTTGTCTTTTCAATTTCTTGATAGCAACCATTGAATAGCGTTTAAAATTTTGGTAAAGTTAAATGTATCTGTGTTTTGTTGCTTGTACTGTTGGCGTCATCTAGGAAGCTGTTGCCTAGTCCAAGCTTACAGCGATTTACTCTTACAGTTTTAGCTCTGATATTTGGGTCTTTGATTCATTTAGAGTTCATTTTTGTGTGGGCTATGAAGTAGAGGCCCAACTCCATTCTTTTGCATGTGGGTATCCAGTGGTCAAGGTACCATTTGTTGAAAAGATGATTTTTTTTTTTTTTTTTTTTTTTGAGACAGAGTTTTGCTCTTGTTACCCAGGCTGGAGTGCAATGGCACGATCTTGGCTCACCGCAACCTCCGCTTCCCGGGTTCAAGTGATTCTCCTGCCTCAGCCTCCGAGTAGCTGGGATTACAGGCATGCACCACCACACCCGGCTAATTTTTGTATTTTTTAGTAGAGTCGTGGTTTCTCCATGTTGGTCAGGCTGGTCTCAAACTCCCGACCTCAGGTGATTCGTCCGCCTCTGCCTCCCAAAGTGCTGGGATTACAGGCGTGAGCCACCGCGCCTGGCCAAAAAGATGATTCTTTCTTCGCTGAAGAATCTTGGCACCTCTGTCAAAAATCAATTACCCATAAATGTATAGGTTTAATTCTGGATTAAATTGATCTATATGTCTATCCTCCTACCAGTAGCACCGTCTTGATTACTGCAGCTTTGTAGTAAGTTTTGAAATGGAAGTATGAGTCTACTTTGTTTTTACCAAGATTGCTTTGGTGATTCTCCTGTCTGTATTTTAATTATTTGTGTACATAACTTGTCTCTTAGAGAAGAGAGCACTTAAAAGAGCACGAGGTAGGTACATAGTAAACATTTGGCAGGAAGAAGAGGGAGGAAACACGATAGACACATAGGAATGACAGAAAGCAGATAATAAAAGCATAAAAATCAGGTAGGAGGGATGAGAGATTAGGAACCAACTTGGTAAGGAAAAGGTATTTATACGCCCGGCTTTAGATATGATGAGTTTGAGGTAAATAGTAAGACACCCAATTTGATGATCTGATGAGTACCTGGGAAGACAGTCATCTAAAAGAGTGCCAGAGCTAAGCACTGGAGATGAAGTTTGCTGCTTGAATTTCCCCTACATTAGAACAAAGGGAGAAAAATGGCAAGGGAAGAACAGAAGAGATCCTCTTAGCCAAAAACAACTATTTTCTAAAAATCTACCAAAGCACACTTCGAGGTCCGAAACCAGGCTTGAGATTGAGGCCAAGGGACGCTAGTGGAAACGGCCACATTCTGCACATTCCTGCAGGCCTCATCCTCCTGGGCTCACAGCTGGGCTGTCTGAGCTGCGTGGGGTGGACGGTGAGGTCAGATGCAAAGGGGCTTCTTTTCTCCCTCTTGCAAAATCAGGGCATGCTCAGCTGACAGCCATGAGTGAATCAGCTCAGATTTCCATTCAGTTTCCGAGCAGACGGCAAGTGCTTCCCAAACACACCCCATTGAGAAGCTCTGCTCCAGGACAGCACTTCTAAAGCAGGTTTTTGTCATTTGGTACTAAGTGGCCCTCCCTAGAAGGGGAATGTTCGTGACACCAGCCCTAGCTGAGTTCCAGAAAAGTTTATTACAGAGCTGTGATTTCAGTCTACAAAACTGTGAACTCATTTCCTCTTGGACTGAGAATGTTCTGCTTTGGTCAAGAGAAAAACGTCTCCCCATGTTGAGTAATCTTGGTTGAGGTTGTAATCAGCAGCCTCTAATGTGAACACTGAGCAGTTCTGAGCCATGTTTGTGCTTGATGAGTGTGTTGATTCACTCCCATGAACTCTGAAAACTGTGAATGTCATTCATCCATTCATTCAGGCAGCAGAGACTGTGCTAGTGGCTGGGCCATAAACTTACAGCAGAATGGGGCCTTACCCTCAAGGAACTTGTAGATGCTGGTGGGGAGGAGGTAGTAAATGCCAAAATGTTATCAAATTCTATACTAGTTTAGAGGAGATTACTTTCTCCTGGCAACTTGGAAGAGCGCTGAAGGGAAGGGGATTTTACCTGGGCAATGAAGGAGAGGTGGGGTTTGGAAGGGCACTGATTGAGCTAAAAGGTGAACCTGCAGGTGCCCTTGGCAGCCCCTCCTCAATAATCTACAGAAGCCACCATCTAGGGCAGCTCAGTCTACTCCAGACCTTTCTTTAGAAGTAGAGAGGAATATAACAGGGAGCTGGTCAAGAGTATTCAGTGCCTGTGAAGACACAGTGGTTGGGAGCATGGGTTTGAGAGTCTGAATAGATGGCAATGTCTAATCCATGCACTGGCACTTGCTCATTTCATGGGCAGTTGACTTAACCTCTTAGCCTCACCATTGTCAGCTAAAAAATGAGGATGATACTAGTTTGCAAGACTTCTGTAAAGAACAAGAGAGCTGCTGGGTACGGTGGCTTACGCCTCTAATCCCAGCACTTTGGGAGGCCGAGGTGGGCGGATCACCAGGTCAGGAGATCGAGACCACCCTGGCTAACACGGTGAAATCCCGTCTCTACTAAAAATACAAAAAAAAAAAAAAATTAGCCGGGTGTGGTGGCGGGCACCTGTAGTCCCAGCTACTCGGGAGGCTGAGGCGGGAGAATGGCGTGAACCTGGGAGGCAGAGCTTGCAGTGAGCTGAGATTGCGCCACTGCACTCCAGCCTGGGCGACAGAGCGAGACTCCTTCTCAAAAAAAAAAAAAAGAAAGAAAGAAAAAAAAAACGAGAGCATGCACCTGACGCCACAGTTTGCACATTCTCCCATAAATCCAGCAAATAGCACTTGTTATTAAAACACCTCGTGGATTGTCTTAGAGGTTAAATGCAAAGATCTGTGAAAGATACACATGAGATTTCAGTTCTTTCCCTCTTAAAAGGGGAGAGAGGATAGATCTGATTGAGAGATAATGTCATACCTGTATTATGTCATAAGGATCTTATATCCTGTCCCTTCCTGATGGTGTGGCTGTGAGCAAAACATCAATATTCAATTTGTCTAGTGACTTAATGTGACTCCTTGCTATTGAAAGGAAAATGGAGTCGCTCTCATTGGCCCCTCTTCTTCATTGCCCAGTTCAGCTGCAGAAACCCTCAAAGTGCTGCCCTCAACTTTGGGAGGTGACCCAGAGGGGACACCTCCCCCCCACCCCCAAGACCCCAAAGCAAACTCTGGGGCAGGGGGTACTGTGCAGACTGCCTCCCAGTTTGTAGTCAGGGAAAGCGGTTTCACATCTTCACGTGCTGGATTTCTCCTGATTTCTCCAGAGGAACTAGTGACACGTGTCTGATCTCCTCAGCTTTGACATGTTTCTCTTACATTTTACAGAAGAGTCACACGCCCCCAGTGCCGTTAGCACACAGTCAGGTCTCATCTCGTCATTGGTCTCATCCCACAGGGGTTGACAGGACCTGCCACAGTGAATGGGCATGGCGCTGCTCACACGAAATTGAACGGCAGGGCAGCCAAGTTCCCCTTTGCAGGTGCCGTGCTATCTTCAGCTATGCCGTCTCTTTCATTACAGGGGAAGGCGTTTAACAACTCGGGGGTGAAGCCTGGTGGACAGCGGCAGGGACATCATAAATACAGAAGATAATTTTAAAGAAGTGTTCCGGCCGGGTGCAGTGGCTCACAACTGTAATCCCAGGACTTTGGGAGGCTGAGGCGGGCAGATCACCTGAGGTCAGGAGTTTGAGAGCAGCCTGGTCAACATGATGAAATCCCGTCTCTACTAAAAATACAAAAAATTAGCTGGACATGGTGGCAGGTGCCTGTAATCCCAGCTACTTGAGAGGCTGAGATGGGAGAATCGCTTGAACCCAGGAGGCGGAGGTTGCAATGAGCCAAGATTGCACCACTGCACTCTAGCCTGGGTGACAGAGCAAGACTCCGTCTCAAAAAAAAAAAAAAAAAAAGTTCTACCTGAATGTATAAATGTACTTAGCTGTCACTCAAGAGGCATCTGCTAAATACCTACCATGGTGCCAGACTCTAGGAATCTATGGGGCAGTGTGGACTTCAGTTAGCGCTATGTACGCCTGGAGGAAAATTCAGTGAGGGGACATGTCTGTGGGTACAGAGTGGCAGGCAGGCCAAAGCCTAGATTAATTCACAGTTCTCTAGATTTTCCAGGGCCAAACTTTTGGTCCAGTAAGCAATTTACCAGACTCCATGGAAGGGGTGAAGGGGGAAAAAAGTTCACTGGCCACATCAGTGATTATGTCGATCACGACCAGTGGCTGCTTGAAGTTGAGGGCACACAGCTCTGGGTTAGGGAGTGGCTTTCTTCGTGTAAAGGAGCTTTGGGACTTCAGAGGTTAGTGGTTGCATCAATATTCAGACGAGGTCAGGCGTGTTCAGAGTGGTGTGGCTGTAAGCAAAACATCGATATTCCAAAGGAAGCCTTCAACAATAGGTCAGGAGATGGGCCGGGCTACAGGACACAAGGGACAACTCAAAAGGTACAGCTAATAGAGGGAAAATTCTAATGCCTTTCTCCTGATTGCCGGAACCCACTTCAGGTTGACTGAGGGAAGCAACAGCAAACAGCTAAGTTTGGGACATTTTTGAACTGAGCTGAAGGACTGTAGAGAGATATGAGCACCTCAGTGACTGCAGTGGGTGGCCGGCAGAGTGCTGGAAAATGTTGGAGGTTGGCACCTTTCTACTGTTCGGGGTGTGTTTATTTTCAGGCTTCTGGGCTCAGTTTTGAGACGTGATAGAAAAATAATATACAAAAGCCTGTGTTTGGGCAAAGGAACAGAAGTCGGTGTTTTTGTTTTCAAATAGACATTTTAACATCTCTTCAAAAGCATAACTTTATCTCAAATGTAATTGGGGAGGTGCTAGAATTAATTAATAGTTATCCTAGAGTTTGTTCTATAGGGGAAAACCAGAGCTTCCCAGAATATGAATTTTAAAAATATTCTGCTTCTCAATAGCCACAAGTCATTCCAACACCATTTCGTCATCCATCTACAAAGACATTTATTTGCACATTTAGACACTAGGGCAGCGCAAGATGCTACAAAACACTGAGCAACGTGAAAGACCCTTTTAATCTGTTGACTAATACCCTGGGTTTCCTTTGAAAATCCCGAGGGTAACTCAGCTTGTATCTTGTTTACTTTAAAAATCAGCATCACCAGTTCAAGATAAAATGCTGTAGAAACGGCTTCTCCAGCGTTCAGATTAGGGAGCTGCAGGTCTGCAGAAATAGGAGTGGAAGAAACTTCTCACTCACGTCAAGATGGAAACAGCACAGGAGCTCTTTAGCTAAATTTTATGTAGAGGACTTAACGAGAGGAAGTCCCCATCTAGACTCAGCATCGCAAAGGGGCAGCCTTCTTTGTTCAGTAGATCTGTTTCTACTCTAAATGTTGTTTGTCAGTAGAGCTGTAACAGGTGGTAAAATGAATTCTCACTTTGGGAGGCCAAGGTGGAAGAGTCGCTTGAGCCCAGGAGTTTGAGACCAGCCTGGACAACATAGTGAGACCCTGTGGTCTACAAAAAAATAAACCCAATTAGCCAGGCATGGTGGTACGCACTTATAGTCCCAGCTACTCGAGAGGCTAAGGTGGGAGGATCACTTGAGCCTGGAAAATCGAGGCTGCAGTGAGCCAAGATTGTGCCACTGCACTCCAGCCTGGGTGACAGAGGGAGACCCTGTCTCAAAAAAAGGATTCTACTGGGTTAGCATTTCTTTTCTTTTTTTTCTTTCTCTTTCCTTTCTTTTCTTTCGTCTCACTCTGTTACTCAGGCTGGAGTGCGTGGCACTATCTCGGCTCACTGCAACTTCTACCTCCCAGGTTCAAGCGATTCTCGTGTCTCAGCCTCCCAAGTAGCTGGGATTACAGGCACAAGCCACCACGCCTGGCTAATTTTTTGTGTTTTTAGTAGGGAAAGGATTTTGCCATGTTGGCCAGACTGGTCGCTAACCCCTCACCTCAGGTGATCTGCCCTCCTCGGCCTCCCTAAGCACTGGGATTATAGGTGTGAGCCACCATGCCTGTCCCGCATTTATTTCTGATCCTCAGTGGGTAATGACTTCAAATGCTCCCCAGCCATCACCTGTCCAGTTCTTATCCCTCCTCACTGCCAAGGTCCTGGTATAAGCACCAACCCCTCTCCACTGTCTTTCTTAGATAACAGAAAGAATCTAAGCTTCTCCCTGCTTCAGCCTGATCCTGGCACCTTCCCTGATACACACACACTATTCACTTACTTGACTTAGAGTGGCCTCTGGGACTCAACTGAGGTCATCCCCTCCTCAACATCTCCTGGCTTCCCTTCACACGCCAAATGCAACTGAAACCCCATCCTTAAAACAGTTCTACCGAACCACCGCTCCACACCTCTCAGCCCCATCTCTGTCCTCCTCAGCCCCTCCACCTGGCCACACTGACCATCCTCCCTCCCGTGCAGCGCCCCATGCTCGTTCTGGGCTTTGGGGTTAGTTAGCACCAGCTGTTCCCCTATCTGGAACTCACCCATTCACTCAACAGCTACTTACCGAGTGCCTGGTATGTGCCAGGGATTTCAGACATTGTGGACATTGAGATGAGGCAGCCTTTATCAAGCTTATATTCCAGTAGGACAGACAAGTAGCGAGCAGGTAGCAGGGTGGGGGTAAGCATTCAGGTATATGTGCCGTGGAAGAGGGGAGGGGTACTCGCTTAAATGGACAGTCCAAGAAAGTGCCCCCCCTCCTTTTTTTTTTTTTTTTTGGAGATGGAGTCTCGCTCTGTCACTAGCCTGGAGTGTAGTGGCGCAATCTTGGCTCACTGCAACCTCCGCCTCCAGGGTTCAAGGGATTCCCCTGCCTCTGCCTCCTGAGTAGCTGGGACTACAGGTGTGCACCACCACGCCTGGCTAATTTTTTGTATTTTAGTAGAGACGAGTTTTCACCATGTTGGCCAGGATGGTCTCGATCTCCTGACCGTGTGATCCACCTGCATCAGCCTCCCAAAGTGCTGGTGGGATTACAGGCGTAAGCCACCATGCCCGGCCAGAAAGTTCCCTGAGATCTGAAGGCATGAGGGAAGCTATCTTGATGTGTTCGAGAAGCTATCTTTTTTTTTTTTTTTTTTTTTTTTTTTTTTCAGACAGAGCCTTGCTCTGTCACCCAGGCTGAAGTGCAGTGGCGCAATCTCAGCTCACTGCAACCTCCACCTCCTGGGTTCAAGTGATTCTTGTGCCTCAGCCTCCTGAGTAGCTGGGATTACAGAGGCCCACCATCACGCCTGGCTAATGTTTGTATTTTTAGTAGAGACGGTTTCACCATGTTGGCTAGGCTGGGTTCAAACTCCCGACCTCAAGTGATCCGTCTACCTTGGCCTCCCAAAGTGCTGGGATTAATAGCTTATCTGATGTGTTGCTTATTTTTTTATGGTGACCCCACCCCACTCCAAGAGTACTCTAGTCCTTAAGAGTGGAGATCTTCCTTACCTATTCACTTCTCTGTCTCTAGTGATGAGAATGTGGCCCAGCTCTTGGCAGGTGCTTGGTAAATATTTGTGGAAGGAATATAAATGCTGGGAGCTGGGGCTGTAGAGGTGAACTCATGCAGGCTTCAGTCTTGGTTTTTGCTGCTGCCTTAACTTGCACAGTTAAGCGGGGAGAGGGCTGCTGCTGCTCAAAGCAACACCTCCTTTAGAGTGAGTCATACCTTCCTTCTAACCTGCCATTGCTGAAAGTTTAGATTCGTCCAGATTTCTCCTAGTAAGGGGACACACTGGAGGAGGTCAAGACTGTGGTCATTAAATAAGACTGGAAGATTCTAACAAGATGGGATTTCATAAGAGGCAGTGAGGTACCAGGGGAAGCAATTGTTCCTGACTACCAGGAACGTGATTTCTGGGAAGATGAGGATGGCACCTGGGCAGAAGGGGAAGGATCTCAGAACCCAGGGAGGGAGGCAGCAGGCATTTTAGCCCAAAGCTGCCGGGAGAGCACATCACGAAAATGCACAGCTGCTTTTTAGTTGTATGTTGGTGAGTCCAGGGATGCGGTTAGAATATTTGGCTTTGTGTCCGCTAATGAATCATGAACTTGGCACATCACTTAACTCTTTTTTTTTTTTTGAGATGGAGATTCACTCTTGTCACCCAGGCTGGAGTGCAATGGCACAATCTCAGCTCACTACAGCCTCTGCCTCGGTTCAAGCGATTCTCCTGCCTCAGCCTCCCAAGTAGCTGGGACTACAGGCCTGCGCCACCATGGCCAGCTAATTTTTGTACTTTTAGTAGAGAAGGTGTTTCACCACGTTGGCCAGGCTGGTCTTGAACTCCCGACCTCAGGTCATCCACCTGCCTTGGCCTCCCAAAGTGCTGGGATTATAGACGTGAGCCACCGCGTTGGGCCACATCACTTAACTTCCGACCTTGTTAAAGAAACACTAATTCTGACACTTGTTGAAATTGTACGGAAGACTTTAGTCAAGACCCCTGTAATAAGGGGCATTGCAGTAGGGAGGAGAGCTCAGGTTCACCTCTGGGTGAAAGGAAAAGTGGGGATTTGTAGCCCACAAGCAGAATGAGGGGATCAGTGGGTGGAAAATTCCTAAGAGATGGGGTTGGGGGGACTCTTGCTAAACTGGCCTAACAAGATTCTTTGTGAAGGCAGGCTAAGGGCCTAGCCACCACAGCGCTGTTGTGAAATAAAGTCAGCTGGGAGACGCCATGTAAACCCTACATTGTGAGTAGCAAATGTGAGAGGGTGTTAGGACAATGAGGTGTCTTCCACGTTAAGTGGAATTTACAATGCTGCGTCAGTGCCAGATCTTGAACGACCCCAAATGCACCTGTTTGAATACTTACTTTTCCTCCTTGCCCTAAACACTGAGTTTTATTCTAGCTACTCCCTGGTCACTGATTTAACTCAGCAGCTGTCAGCTGATGTGAGGAGGAAGAGGGAGCTTACAGTGAAGAGAGCACGGATTTAGAAACAGCTTCTGGAGACTCTGCAGACAGAGGGCCCATGTGGAGTGGGGATAGTTGGCAGTGTCCAGGCCACTTAAGCTGGGCCTTGTGCTAAGTTTCTCCTGTAACTGTGACATAGTATTTGTTTGTTTTGGGACCATGTCTTGCTCTGTCACCCAGGCTGCAGTGCAGTGGCACAATCTTGGCTCCCTGCAACGTCTGCCTCCTGGGTTCAAACGATTCTCCTGCCTCAGCCTCCTGAGTAGCTGGGACTGCAGGCATGTGCTATCCTGCCTACTTAATTTTTGTATTTTTAGTAGGGACAGCATTTTGCCATGTTGGTCAGGATGGTCTCAAACTCCTGGCCTCAGGTGATCTGCCTGCCTTGGCCTACCAAAGTGCTGGGATTACAGGCCTGAGCCACTGCACCCAGCCATGACATAGTATTGGAAAGAAAAGATTTGTCTCAATGACAGCTGGTTTTGAAGCAGTGGGGAAAAGAGGATTTATCAGGGTGATTGGCTAATCTTTTGGGGGGAAATTATATTTCTCTTTTATTATAATACTTCAAAATAAACAGACAAAAATATTAAACGTAAGTACAATACCATAAGGAAAACATAGGTGAATATTTATGTGATCTTGAGGAAGAGTTTGTGAGTGTGATGTCAAAGAGAAAACAAGTTTAAGAAGTTTGACTACTGATAGCTTGGTCATTTGCAAAAGAAAGATGTAGGCCGGGTGCGGTGGCTCATGCCTTTGGGTGGCTCATGCCTTTGGGTGGCTCATGCCTTTGGGTGGCTCATGCCTTTGGGTGGCTCATGCCTTTGGGTGGCTCAGCACTTTGGGTGGCTCAGCACTTCGGGAGGCCGAGGCGGGTGGATCACAAGGTCAGGAGATTGAGACCATCCTGGCTAACATGGTGAAACCCTGTCTCTACTAAAAAATACAAAAAAATTAGCCGGGTGTGGTGGTGGGCACCTGTAGTCCCAGCTACTTGGGAGGCTGAGGCAGGAGAATGGCGTGAGCCCAGGAGGCAGAGCTTGCCGTGAGCCGAGATCGTGCCACTGTACTCCAGCCTGGGCGACAGAGCAAGACTCCGTCTCAAAAAAAAAAAATGCCAGCAGCATTTAGGCCAAAGAATACATTCTTAAGGTATGAACAGTGCTTATAAGAGGGAATGCCATGTGACCATTACAAAAACGGTCACAAAAGAAGACAAATGGATGAAACAACTCGCTCCACAAATCAAAGAAGTGTAAATAAAACCAGAAGACTGAAATCACTTATTTAAAAGATTTTTATTAAGAATTTGGACTATTACAATAACAGCCTGATTGAATGTTACATCTAAACTCAAAAGTACTTCTTTTTTTTGTCTCCCAGGCTGGAGTGCAATGGTTCAGTCTCGGCTCACTGCAATCTCTGCCTCCTGGGTTCAAGTGATTCTCCCGCCTCAGCCTCCCCAGTAGCTGGGATTACAGGTGTGCACCACCATGCCTGGCTAATTTTTTTTTTTGTATTTTCAGTAGAGACGGGGTCTCACCATGTTGGCCAGGCTGATCTTGAACTCCTGACTCAGGTGATCCACCCGTCTCAGCCTCCGAAAGTGCTGGGATTACAGGCGTGAGCCACCGTGCCTGGCCAACTCTAAAGTATTTTTAAAGAAATGGCAGGCTGGGCACAGTGGCTCATGCCTGTGATCCCAGCACTTTGCAAGGCTGAGGTGGGAGGACTGCTTGAACCCAGGAGTTTAAGAGCAGCCTGGGCAATGTAGTGAGACCTTGTCTCTACAAATATATATATATATATAAAAATAAAATGAGATGTCATCTCTATAAATACAAAGGAGAGAGAGAGAAAAAAACAGAGAGAGATAGAAAGAAAGAAATTCTGTTTAAAAAAGAAATGCCCACTTTGGGAGGCCAAGGCAGGCGGATCACCTGAGGTCAGGAGTTCGAGACTAGCCTGGCCAACATGGTGAAATGCCATCTCTACTAAAAATATAAAAATTAGCTGGGCGTGGTGGTGCACACCTGTAATCCCAGCTACTTGGGAGGCTGAGACAGGAGAATCGCTTGAACCCAGGAGGCGGAGGTTGTAGTGAGCCGAAATTGTACCATTGCACTCCAGCCTGGGTGACAAGAGTGAAACTCCATCTCAAAGAAAAGACAAAAGAAATGCCATCCTGTAATGTGTGCAATCTAGCGAGTTATTAGACATGAATGCAAAGATAAAAGTTATTCATAGTTAGTGATTTCATATAAATAAGCATTGCTTACGTTTATTTGTTCTCAAAAATTAAGAACCCCAAGTGACAGTTGATTTATCAAATCATCTTCTCCTAGGAAATAGAAACTTCAGCCTAGCTTTTTTTTTTTTTTTAAGACAGAGTCTCACTTTGCCACTCAGGCTGGAGTGCAGTGGCATGATCTCAGCTCCCTGCAACCTCCGCCCCCCGAGTTCAAGTGATTCTCCTGCCTCAGCCTCCCGAGTAGTTGGGGTTACAGGCACCTGCCACTGTGCCAGGCTAATTTTTGTATTTTTAGTAGAGACGGGGTTTCACCATCTTGGCCAGGCTGGTCTTGAACTCCTGACCTCGTGATCCACCCACCTCCACCTCCCAAAGTGCTGGGATTATAGGTGTGAGCCACCGCGCCCAGCCCTGCCTAGCTTTTTTAAAATAATCACAACAACAACAAATTTCAAAGTAAGTGGATCGTTTGCTGCCGCATTTGGAAACTTCCACTGAGCCGTGTTTGGCTGAGGCTGGGTGTGGCAGGAAAGGGTGTTTATGTGAGCACGCTGGTACACCACTCCAGAACTGAACCTGCAAGCTAGGTTGTGGGTATTGGTTTATGATGGCAAATTCGTCACTCTACACTTGTAGAAACAATTGTGTGTCTGCACATATGTGCATCCCTGTATGTGTGTGTGTATGCGTGTGTGCGTGCATATGTATGCCTGTGCATACATATGTCTTGGGGAAAAGAGGATTGGAAAGTGAAGGCATCCATGATTTGAATTTCAGGAGGAAGGGGAAAAGACATGAGATGCTGGCTGGAAACTCGGCAGCTGGCCTAGTAGGAACTCTTCACCCAGGGAATCCTTCAGCCAAGATACTAAGAGGGACAATTGGGGATCTCTTGTTAAAGTTCAGCTTTCCCATGGAGCAAAAAGAATGCTAGGGCGGTGAGACAAAAGACATGCATCTTAATCCTGACTATCATTCATAAAACGCCTTTTGTCCATTCAGAGCGATTTTAGTACTTGGCTCTGTGGGCCAAGGGTAGAAAAGAACAAGAAGGAATTTTTATAAAGTTACGCTTTCAATGAACTGAGCTTTCTATGAAAGAATTCAATCTAATTTCATTGAGCACTTGATTTTTTTTTTTTAAAGCAAGGATTGTTTTAAGTTAGATACACCAAATAAGTAAGTGATTGTACTAAACCGCTCCAGAAAACGTTTTTAAAATTGATGATTTGTTAACTAAGTTCAAACCAGGTGAGGAAGAAATAAAATGGGAAGCTTAGTAAGTTTTTTAATAAGGACTACTTGTCTGGCAAAGGGATATTTCCCATTGAGCTCAATAAATACACAGTAAGCGTTTGCCTACACCACAAGTCATACATTTTTGTAGGAGCCAATCACCAACCCTCACCTCTACCCCTACTCCAGCAAAAGGCCACATGGAGAGGCAAACCATTTGCATGCATGGAAATATTCGGTTATTGCTAACTGGTAAACCCCTCGCTGTACACCCCCAGATTAAAAAAATGTGTAGGTAGCTCATCCAAAGCCATCTCTACTGGATTAGGACTCTAGAATAAAAGAGCAGGCTCATAGAACAAGTGAACTAACTTCAGAGGCTTCCTCTAGGCATCAAAGAAGCTATAATCAAATATTTATTAGCTGTGCCTCTGGCTGGGCTGTCTAAGCAGTGGGGAGAATAAGGTATCTTAAGGCAAGGAATGGATTGCTGATATAAGTGCTGTCTAAGCAGTGGGGAGAATAAGGTATCTTAAGGCAAGGAATGGATTGCTAATGTAAGTGCTGCCTAGAGACAAACAAACATCTGCTCTTTCATTACACAAAGAAATTTCCAAGCACCTCCCTCCCCCTCGCTCCTGGGATGTGTATGCTTGTTTATTTTGCAACTGTATTTAGTCATGGAATTTCCAGAACCACTGGAGTTTAGGGAAGAAGCCCATGGCCAGTGAGTCACATTTTTAATGCACAAAGAGGGTTGTTTGGTGATTTTTGGAGATGATAATTGAGCATGGTCATGACTAGTTTGGGTCACTGCAACAGAAGTTGAAGAAGAGGATACTGCTGTTATCTGCTCTATCTCTCATTGTAGAATTCAGCCTGGTAGTCCACTCCAATTCCCTGCTCCAGCAGAAACCTTTTTTTTTCTTTGAGACGGAGTCCTGCTCTGTCACCAGGTTGGAGTGCAGTGGTGTGATCTTGGCTCACTGCAACCCCCACCTCCCATGTTCAAGCGATTCTCCTGCCTCAGCCTCCCAAGTAGCTGGGACTACAGGCATGCAACCCCATGCCCAGCTAATTTTTGTATTTTTAGTAGAGATGGGATTTCACCACGTTGGCCAGGATGGTCTCGATCTCTTGACCTTCTGATCCGCCCGCCTTGGCCTCCTAAAGTGCTGGGGTTACAGGCGTGAGCCACCACACCTGGCCCAGAAACCTTTCTCATTGGCATGACACATCATTTGTCCAAATGTTAATGCGGAAAAGCCAGGGCCAAGGGCAGTTCATTAGTTTGGCTCTTTTTTTTTTGGAGATTGGGTTTCGGCTGGAGTGCAGTGATGCGATCTCAGCTTACTGTAACCCCTGCTTCCTGGATTCAAGCAATTTTCCTGCCTCAGCCTCCTGAGTAGCTAGGATTATAGGTGCCCACCACCACACCAGGCTAATTTTTGTATTTTTAGTAGAGACAGAGTTTCACCGTGTTGGCCAGGCTGGTCTCAAATTCCTGACCTCAAATTCCTGACCTCAAATGATCCACCCACCTTGGCCTCTCAAAGTGTTGGGATTACAGGCGTGAACCACTGCACCCAGCTAGTTTGGCTCTTGGTGTACTAAGTGTTCTGTTGGTGTCTTGGCATCCCTAAGCATATTACTGACCCTCCCCTGTAGACAGTAATCTCAACTGTAAAGTAAGAGGTAAAACTCCATGTAATCTACGAGGTCTGTGGTCAGAGCCTGTGGTTCTAATTGTCCAAGTGAACAGCAGTCTTAAAATTAAATGGAGAGAGAGTTTGCTTTTAAAAAGATGGAAGTTGGGTGTGGTGGTGAGCACTTGTAGTCCCCGCTACTTTGGAGACTGAGACGGGAGGATCGCTTGAGCCCAGGAGTTTGAGGTTATAGTGAGCTATGATTGTGCCTCTGTACTCTAGCCTCAGCAACAGAGGGAGAGCCTGTCTCTTAAGAAAAATTAATTTGAAAAGGTAGAGAAAAAAATAAAAAAATAAAAAGATGGAGACCCCGCTTTTGCATCGGGTCTGCAAAGGGGTGTGTTTAGAAATCTTTCCTGTTGACTCTAATTTAGAGTTTTTAGGTCCAGATGAATATATTAATTCATCATATGAAATGACACCAGGAAGAATCTGGTTCCTTATTGAAAAGGAAAGATGTACGTCCCCTGTCCAGGCCACCTCGATGGGGCCCCAGGGAGGGGCTGGCTGCTCTACCTTTTAATGTTTTCATTTTCCTTTGCTTTGCAACGGAGATAACCAGGGTGTTGATGTGTCAGAAGTGCTGCAAGGAGAATGGTTTGGTTTCTGGCACCACAGTAAGCCACAAAAAGGACCAAAAATAAAACAAAAATTTCCAAAAGAAATGGAAAAGAAAATAATCCGAATGTAGCCGACAAGTTGGGTCTGCTTATGCAATTTCCACCTTAAGCTCTGACTCAATCTTTCTTCTTCAGCCAGCACAGGCCAGCCAGAAGATGACACTGAGACTACAGGTTTGGAAGGCGGCGTTGCCATGCCAGGTGCCGAAGATGATGTGGTGACTCCAGGAACCAGCGAAGACCGCTATAAGTCTGGCTTGACAACTCTGGTCAGTGTCCTGGGAAGAGAGGAATTTTTTCCGTAGGCATGTGATCACATGCAAGGCTATGATGTATATTAATTTACTTTATATAAAAATATATCTATCTATAAAATCAGCATGAGCCACCATACCAAGGAATAGTTACGTGGCTCAACAAAGAAGAATAAGTCCTCACTTAATGTTGTTGATAGGTTCTTGGAAACTGTGACTTGAAGCAAAATGACTTAGAAAGAACCAACATTATGTGAGGACCTGCTGCATGTCATTTTCCTTAAAGTCGCAGTTTCCAAGAATCTATCAACAACGTTAAGTGAGGAGTTACTGTCTTTCCCAATTTCGTCCACTTAGCTGGTGTGCTGATCACAGGTGGTTGGAGAGTAGAAGCCAGAGCTTCTCAAATTGGTAAAAGGAGCCAGGATTTTACATTTCCAATCTGTTACAGCCCAACTTTCAATACAATGAAAGTTTTCTTGGGTGTTGTGGCAATGTCATTGCTATAAAGGGTTCTAAATATATCTTCTCAGCCGGGCGTGGTGGCTCACACCTGTAATCCCAGCACTTTGGGAGGCTGAGGCAGGTGGATCACCTGAGGTCAGGAGTTCGAGATCAGCCTGACCAAGATGATGAAACCTTGTCTCTATTAAAAATACAAAAATTAGCTGGGCGTGGCTGTGTGCACCTGTGATCCCAGCTGCTCGGGAGGCTGAGACAGGAGAATAGCTTGAACCCGGGAGGTGGAGGTTGCAGTGAGCCGAGATCGCACCACTGCACTCCAGCCTGGGCAACGAGAGTGAAACTCCGCCTCAAAAAATAAATAAATAAATAAGTCAGTCAGTCTCAATTTGTTTTCTCACTATAGACTGGTAATAAACAGGACTAGAATCAGTCCACAGACCACAAGATGATAGACTATTTAGCCTCTCGACCAACACATTCTTAACCTGATGAATTTTAATTAACTCCTCATATGTGTTACATACCTACCATAGACAAGAGAAGGTGCCAGGCATTGGGAGGGATTGAGGAGGTCAATGAGCCACATCCTCGACCTTTGAGGGAATCTATGATTTCTTTGGTAACAGAACGGAGGTTCCTGCCTGCCTATCTGACCTGTACACCAGCATCTCCTTAACTTTCTCTTTTTCTGCCATCTTGGCCTTTCTGACCTTTGAACACACTAAGCTTGTTCCAACTTAGGCTTTGGTTTTCTCTGCCTAGAACACTGCCCAGATCTTTCCATGGCTGACTTTTCCTTATAATTCTCAAGTTTGATGCCATCTCAAACAGCCTAAAGTAATCTCACCCCCACATCTGTTGGAAGTAAAGCTCAGAGTCGCAGAGAAAACGAACACTTAAACAAAAGATTTTTCACCAAGGCCAATTTATTTCTGTAGAAGGTTGTTTCTCGCAGGACTGGTTGTCACAAGAGCACACCGAACAAAGGCGGGAAAGGGTTTTTTTATTCTTAATGCAGTTTGTCCCTACTACTGTGTCCATTGGCTGGAGTTGGACAGCACAATTTAAACTGAGCCCGATTGGCTAACTTGAAAGACAGTTTTGGCGGGAAGAGTCGTTACAGCGGGAGGGGTAAATTACAGAACGGCTGCCTTTTTCTTACGCATCTCAAGGTTGATGCCATCTCAAACAGCCTAAAGTAGTCTCACCCTCACCTCCATCAGAAGTCACCCTCTAGCCCTTAGGTCAGCAAACTACCCACCAGATTTGGCCCGCCCACTGTGTTTGTAAATGAAGTTTTATTGGAACACAGCAATGCCCATTCAGTTGAGAATTGTCTGGCTGCTTTCCTACTGTAAGAGTAGAGTTGATTAGTTAGAATAGAGACTGTGTGGCCTGGACAGCTGAAATATTTACCCATCTGGCCCTTTACAGAATAAATTTTCCTAAGGCTAGTCTAGTCTAGTCTAGACAAGGCTAGCTTGTATTTCTTTCAAAGCACTCAAAATCATATCAAACCACCCTTTGTACTTATTTACCTACTAAATGTTCATATTCTGCTACCCCACCCCAGAATGCCAGCTTCAAGAGAGCAGAGAATTTATATTATTCACATTATAGTCCCAGGGCTTGGAACCATGCTGGGCCCATAGGAGGTGCTCATTAGCATATGTTTTTTATTGTGGTTAAAAAAATAACATGAAATTTATCATCTCAACCATTTTTAAGTGTACAATTCAGTAGTGTTAAGTATATTCACATCATTAAACCGATCTCCAGAACTTTTCATCCTGTAAAACTGAAACTCTATACCCATGAAACAATAACTCATTCTTCCCTTCCCCCAGCCCCTGGCAGCCACTGTTCTACTTTCTATCTTATGAATTTGACTCCTCTAGGCACCTCATGTAAGTGGAATCATATAGTACTTGTCTTTTGTGACTGGTTTATTTCACTTAGCATAATGTCCTCAAGGTTCATCCATGCTATGGCATGTGTCAGAATGTTCATCCTTTTTAAAGCTGAACAGGCTGGGTGTGGTGGCTCACGCCTGTAATCCTAGCACTTTGGGAGGCCAAGGCAGGCATCACCTGAGGTCGGGAGTTCGAGGCCAGCCTGACCAACATGGAGAAACCCCATCTCTACTAAATATAGAAAATTAGCTGGGTGTGGTGGCGGGCGCCTGTAATCCCAGCTACTCGGGAGGCTGAGGTAGGAGAATTGCATGAACCTGGAAGGCAAAGCTTGCGGTGAAACGAGACTGCACCATTGCACTCCAGCCTGGGCAACAAGAGCGAAACTCCATCTCAAAAAAATAAAAACAAAAAATAAAAAAATAAAGCTGAATAACGTTCTGTTGCATGTATAGACCATACTGTGTATCCATTCTTCTGTCTGCAGACGCTTGGGTTGCTACCACTTTTGGCTGTTGTGAATAATGCTGCTATGAACATGTGTGTACAACCGTCTCTTCAAGATCTAATTGTTCTGTTCATTTTCTTCTACTTGCAATTCATGCCATCATATGTTCCATATTTTTATGCCACCTTAAATCCTTTTATAAGGCAGGGGATATATTTTAAAGACAGTAGGCTTTATTTCCTGTTTTTCCTCATTTACACCTACAATAGGTGGCAACAAGTGTCAACAGTGTAACAGGCATTCGCATCGAGGATCTGCCAACTTCAGAAAGCACAGTCCACGCGCAAGAACAAAGTCCAAGCGCCACAGCCTCAAACGTGGCCACCAGTCACTCCACGGGTAAGAAAACCAGCCACCTCCATGGGGGCTGATCTACTTTTGCATAATTGGTGCATTCCAAAGTCCATCAACAAATAGAATAATCAATAGGGGGCATATTGGGATGCAAGAGTGACTTCTGAACCAAGCTTTATATGGTAGGTTCAGAATTCTATTTCAATTGATACATTTGGTTTAGTGGGTTGCTGAACGTACCTCTCTACCTAGAATAACTAGTGATAACACCTGCACAGGGTGAGTTAAGTAGCTACTGAGATTGCATGGCGGACTCCAAGTGGATAGAATGTGACGTGAAGAACTTTGTGTTGACACCCAAGGGCACGACACTCAGCCATCCTCTGTAAATCTTAATAGATTCTATATGAATACTTAGCACGTTACCTTGAGTTCATGTCTGCATGCATGGTGCAAGAATCTGTTCTCCGCCTGGCGCGGTGGCTCACGCCTATAATCCGAGCACTTTGGGAGGCTGAGGCGGGCGGATCACAAGGTCAGGAGATCAAGACCATCCTGGCTAACACGGTGAAACCCCGTCTCTACTGAAAATACTAAAAATCAGCCGGGAGTGGTGGCGGGCGCCTGTAGTCCCAGCTACTTGGGAGGCTGAGGCAGGAGAATGGCCTGAACCCAGGAGGTGGAGCTTACAGTGAGCCCAGATGACGCCACTGCACTCCAACCTGGGCGACAGTGCGAGAATCCGTCTCAAAAAAAAAAACAAAACAAAAAAACAAACAAACAAACAAAAACAAGCTTTTTTTTTGTACCCCCATGTTTATAGCAGCATTATTCACAATAGCTAAAATACAGAAACAACTCAAGTGGCCATGGATAGTTGGATAGATAAGCAAAATGTAGTGTATATGACGGAATATTATTCAGCCTTGAAAATGAAAATGCAGACACATAATACAACATGGAGGAAACTTAAGGACATTATGCAAAGTGAAATAAACCAGTACAAAAAAAAATACTGCATGTCTCTACTTATATGAGGCCCCTTGAATAGTCAAATTCATAGAGACATAAAGTAGAGTGGTGGTTTGCCAGGGGCTGGGGGAAGAGGAGAATGAGGAGTTACTGTTTAGTGGGTAGAGTTCCAGTTTTGCAAGATGAAAGGGGTTCAGGAGGTGGATGGTGGTGATGATTGAACAATAGTGTGAATGTACTTAATACCACTGAACTGTACATTTAAAAATGGTTAATTTAGTACATTTTATCCTGTATGTTTTACCACAGTGTTGGCGGGGAGTGGGGGGAACCTTATAAAGGGCTTTGAGATAAAACCTGAAGCTCACTCCAAGCTGTTAAAGAAATGGTTAACATTTAAACACCAGAGAAAGCCAAGTTGAGCTAAGCAAAGAAAGAATAATCAATATAAATGATCATTGGAAAACATTTCAAAATTTTGGAGAATTGCTCATTTGTAACGTGGGTTGACAGCTAATTAGCAGCAGAAAATTCTGCCATCCATGTTGAATATTCTGTCATACTTCATACTCATTTTCTGTTCCTTTAAAAAAATTCTCAGTTGCCTGGGAAGTAACTCATGTTACTGTTTCTTCCTGTCCCCTGCCCCACCCTGTCACAAAATTGCCCCTTCCTGTCACAAAAAAATTGTGACTGAGTGCACATTCCTACTTAATACATCGTTATTCCAAGACATTTTCACATGTGAGCCAAAATGTCATTATAAGCACTCAGTTTTGAAGGGGTAATTTTATTAGGGCAGCAGATGTTCGGTTTTGCTGTGAAACACCCAAATACGATGACGTGCACATGTATGATGCATGCTTATGATCACAGT
The DNA here is from genome assembly GCF_000001405.40 of Homo sapiens. Lineage (NCBI taxonomy): Eukaryota > Metazoa > Chordata > Mammalia > Primates > Hominidae > Homo > Homo sapiens. The sequence continues at coordinate 13,612,321 of NC_000001.11, forward strand.
GCCATTGGGAGGGAGATGGGAAATATGGCACTAATAAGCTCTAATTTAGTAACAAATCCTCCACAAACTTTAGTAATATATTTTCTAACCAATGGTGTCTTTGATAATGGTATATTAAGAGCCTGGAATCAGCTGCCACGTGGTAGGACGTGATAAGCAAATGATTGACTTATCTCTTCGGGCAGTTGACTTCTATCAGTGACATTTGGGGAGTTGATTTGATACCGTCTTTGTTCTGGGAAAGCTCAAATCCAGCCGTGTCCTATATGGTGGGGTAGCACAGTCAGCATGAGCTCTTACGTGCTCTATACCCATGGGCTCAGCTTGTGCAGGGAGTGCTGGTTTCTGGGACCTCTACCCTGGGGCCATCTTGTGGAGGCGCCTTGTGCTGAGGAGAACCTTGGCACAAAAGGGATGGTTTTCAAACCCAACCATTAGAAAAAGTAGGCATCTTTTACATGATAGTTGGCTAGTTTTACCACTGATTAGGGAAGCTACTGGATATCTGGGGTATTTTGCAAGCTGTGAACTAAGATTTTAGGGCAGGGCCTGATTGATGATTAACTTCTAAATCAAGGCATCTTGACTTTTTCTCTATCTGCAAACTAGTCAATAGCCACCACCCAGAGGAGTTAAGGACTCGTTATATAAAGAGGTCAAGAAGAAAAGACATTTTTATTTTTAAATAGGTTATTGCATAAAATTATTCAAAAGAAACTCACAATGACAAATACTCACCTTGTAACTATTAGACTGGGTTTGACTGCAGATAGAGACCCTAAAATAACAGTGGCACAAACACAAAGGGTATATTTGCTCATGAAACTTAGCTGGGCCTATTGTTGCCTTGTAAAAATTTGGATTTTGCTACCAAAGAAGTAGCAGGAAATAGATATTGAGACTAACCACAATCTTGGTCACATCTTCCCAAACTAAAGTATTAATCTCAAAGTGAGTAATACCTCTTCACAGTCTGTCCCTTCTCTGTGATCTTGACATTGGACTAAGAATCCACAGCTCTGGATTCTTCTGCTACCTTAACCTCTGATACTCCTTGATCATTTATTTAAGATCTTTGTGGCTCAGTTTCCTTTACTCTGCTTTCTAAACTATAAAATTAATACGTAGAAAAGTGCTATGAACCCATTGGTGTGAATAAGGGTTCATAAATTAGATAATAATAGTTACAAAGACAGTGCCACATCGGGGCTTGTTTAAAAATCCCTGGATCCAATTTATTTAAGAAGCCATCCTCTTGGTTTATGTTTTGCTGCTTTCCACTTGGGTAAATTCATCTTTTGCCAGTTGTTAAATTATAGTTATTAAACCCTAATAATTCTACATTATTATATCTTTCTATTCACAGAGAAAGTGGATGGAGACACACAGACAACAGTTGAGAAAGGTAGGCTAGATTTTGGCATCAAAATACTCTTACTGGGGTTTTTTAAAAATTTCTTTGAAGCTAATTGTTGAGACGAATTGCGTTCTTTTCTGGATTGCAGTCAATGAGAGCAGAATAGAAAACATTCCGAGAACAGATTTCAAGCTTTTTTTTTTTTTTTTTTTTTAAAGAGAGAAAAGGGAATTTCTTGTATTTGAAACTAAGCAAACCTCAGATGAGTCTATTCCCTTAATGTCAGATATGGGGAATGGTGTCATATCACAGTTCATCATTACTAAGGATGAAAATAGGGGCCAACTTAATAGTCATACGTAAACACTACCCAAAAATTAACACTTAAGCCAATGTGAATGTTACGTTGATAGATCCTCAGACCCAGAAATCTTCCCATTTGTAAAATAGGATTAGACTAGCCCAAATTTTCTCCTTTTGGAAGAAATGCTCCATGCTCAAACAACATAGAGCAATATTTGCTATGTGCAGTAGGGCAGTGGCTTTGTTTATATGTTACATATTTTATCACCGATGTATTTTTTCCTCTGGGGCTCATGCTTTTTTTCTCTCTCTTGTTCAGATGGTTTGTCAACAGTGACCCTGGTTGGAATCATAGTTGGGGTCTTACTAGCCATCGGCTTCATTGGTGCAATCATCGTTGTGGTTATGCGAAAAATGTCGGGAAGGTACTCGTAAGTAAATAGCTTACACCCATGTGATAGGCAAATGAAAGCCATCGTGTCTAGAACTCAAATCTTTGAACTAATAGAAATCTCTGATATAAGCTGGGTGTGGTGGCTCGTGCCTGTAGTCTCAGCTGCTGGGCACCTGCAGACCAGCCTGGGCAACATAGTAAGACCCTGTCTCAAAAAAATAATCTCTGGTACAATGGTCATGTTCCAAAGTTCCTTACTTGGGCCTCTTGAGTGCAGTGGCTCACACCTGGAATCCCAGTGCTTTGAGAGGCTGAGGCAGGAGGTTCACTTGTGCCCAGGAATTTGAGGCTGCAGTGAGCTATGATTGTGCCACTGCACTCCAGCCTGGGTGACAGAGCAAGACTGTGTCTCTTAAAAATAAGAAAGAGCCTCTTCATCTTCAAAAGGACTACATCTGAAGTTTCCCCAGAAGGACAAATGTCTACTTAGACCTTATAAATTTCCAAAATAAGAGAGTCAGAGCCAGAGGTGGCTTGTAAGTTGACTTCTGTTGAGATCTGACCACATTTGATCTCTTGTTTTAATTTTCCAACTAACTGAACTTGGAAGAAAACCCAAACCAAGTTTTAATCTGATGCCTAATCAGCCCGTCTCCAACCATCAGAGAAAAGGCTTCTAGAAAACCGCCTGTCACAGAGTCGGCAGCCCATTCGGATTAGGAGTTCCACTGAGGATGGGGTCTTTTTCATTGAGATCTTCCGCTCTTGCCCTGCGTGCACCCACATACGTGGTCATAGACTCCTAGCTTTGACTGTTGTTGAAGGGAAGGAGTTTTTTCTCCTTATTAAGCTTCCTTAAGAATTCAGAATATCTACACTCATGGCCAGAGGAAACCTTTTTCTTTCTCTTTCTTTTTCTTTTTCTTTTTTTTTGAGACAGTCTTGCTCTGTCACCAGGCTGGATGGAGTAGTGCGATCTCGGCTCACTGCAACCTCTGACTCCCAGGTTCAAGCGATTCCCCTGCCTCCGCCTCTCAAGTAGCTGGGACTACAGGCATGCACCACCACACCTGGCTAATTTTTTGTATTTTTTAGTAGAGATAGGGTTTCACCATGTTGGCCAGGATGGTCTCAATCTCCTGACCTCGTGATCCACCCACCTCAGCCTCCCAAAATGCTGTGATTACAGGCATGAGCCACCGCACCCAGCCAAAAACCTTTTTCTTATATGAGTTGGAGGGATGATATATGATGGAAGGGAGGGGAGAGGACAAGTGATAAACACCTGGAGGGTTGAGGGATACAGGGGACAACACAGCTGTGGACTTAGCGTGTTTGGAAAAGCCAGGCAGTTTGACCCTGCTGTGTGAGGACGAAGGCATGGAGGAGGAATGTCAGGAACAAGAGATGATCACCAGGTGTCAGAACTTGGAAGATTTAGAGCAAAGGACAATAGGAAAAAGGACTCACGGAGTTACTATTCACAATGCCAGTAAGAGACACGACCGTCACCCTTCTCTATTTTCACAGGCCCTAAAGAGCTGAAGGGTTACGCCCTGCTGCCAACGTGCTTAAAAAAAGACCGTTTCTGACTCTGTGCCCTGTCCCTGAGCTCGTGGGAGAAGATGACCCGTGGAACACTTGCCTGGCCCACTCAGAATCCACGGTGACCTCTCCGCTTGCCAAAATAACCGAAGGAAAGACCGTTCACCAGACTTGGCTCCTCTAAACATTTGCTGTTCAAACATGTTTTTGAATATACATTCTATAAAAGATTATTTGAAAGACAAAATTCATAGAAAATGGAGCAAAACTGTATAAACTGATTTGTAACTAACACTGGACCATTGGATCGATATTATATGCTGTAACCATGTGTCTCCGTCTGACCATTCTTGTTATTGTTAAAATGCAGAGGAATCTGGAAATATTTATATCCACGGAGTCCTTGGATCCAGTGCTACGTCAGTAAATAGCACCAGCATTTTGCAATTGCTGATCTGCTGAAATGTACACATTCTGGTCTAGTTTGGTCTATCTTTTAAAGCCTGATCTGGTGTGAATAATCAACTAGGAAATCTAAACTTGGATAACACGTGGTGAACAACTGCCTTTAGCTGGTCCAGATTAATCATTTCAAAGACATCCATTTTAGATCACAAGCAGGAAGTCGATAGTCTCAAAGGCACTTTGTTTCTCCCAAGTAGGCCACCAGGCAGCCTCTAGAGTTGCTTTACCCAAATCCTTCTCCAGCCATGACTTGGTGACTCTAAGCTTGCTCCCACCTGCCCCCTCCACTTCCCTCAGATGATGAGGAGCCAGGGCTAAGGGGGCAGCCTTCTCTCTTCCCAGTGATGCACATCCTTCACATTGGCTGCTTTGTTCTGGAATATGGATATCTCAGCCTGGATGCCGAGGAAGCTGCTGGATGCTTAATGGTGCTAGAGGCTCAAGTGTGTTTGAAACCAAGAGCCAGTTGTCCCCCATGCAGAAAGAAATCCTGTGTGAGCCTCTGGTATGAGAAATAAAATCTGCCAGTTTTATAACATTCACTTTCTGCCTCTGAGGAAAGATACAGGGAACAAAAATCAATTTGTACAGTCTTAATATTAAAAGCAGCTTGACTAAATACCTGATTTAAAAATAGAAGACATCCCCAGTCCTCATGACATACCGCAAATATCTGTGGGGTCCTGTTGAAAAGAACAAAATAAAGGAGCCCAAGGGGTCATTCTGTCTCAGCACCATCCAGCCTGGCACTTCTCTTCCCATATATCCATTGGATTTTTTTTTTTTTTTCCTAAACAAAGTTTTTACACTGAGCAGATGCTCTGTCATGATGGCGGTTGTGCAATTCTGGTATCCTCTAAATTTGTAAGCATTCATAAAACAGGAAAAAGTAAACTATCATTCGGAAGCACAGCCCATTCCTCCCATTTTTTGCAATGATGTCTGGATGTTATTTTAAACAGTGTGTCTGTGTGTTCCCAAATCCAGCTGGCCCCACCAGCTCAGATTCCATTTTTTTTGTGTGTGTGTGTGAAACGTAGTCTGCAACTCTGCCTCCCGGCAATTATACATGTGTCAGGATGTCAAAAAGCAATTCTCCTGCCTCAGCCTCCTGAGTAGCTGGGACTACAGGTTCCTACCACCACACCCGGCCAATTTTTGTATTTTTAGTAGAGATGGGGTTTCACCGTATCGGCGAGGATGATCTCTATCTCTTGACCTCGTGATCTGCCCGCCTCGGCCTCCCAAAGTGCTGGGATTACAGGCGTGTGCCACTGCGCTCGGCCTCAGATTCCATATTTGAACACCAGCTGATTGAGAGAAGGGGAATGAGAAGAGCTGGATGAGTTTAAATAACTCATTGTTCAGATTCCTGAACAGGAGTTGGGATAATGGCCATCTTTTCTTTCCTATCCTTTCTTCCCCCCTCACTGTGAAAAATAACAGTCCACCCCAAGTCATACACTGGACCCAGTGCCTGCGGGGACAGGACTGTGGGTTTCTTGGTCACACCTGTGTTGGTGCTCAATGCAGTGTAGACATGTTTTCAAATAAAACAAATGATTGTGTACAACAATGAGTCAGACTTTTGTTGGAAAACACAAGTCTGGGCCACACTTGGGAACATCTCCAGATAAGATTACAACTTAGGTAAATGCCTGCCTGTTGCCTTGCTTGAGAGTGGATTATAGATGGCCAGGGGAATGAATTCCACAGGAGGAAAACACACCTACACCTTTCAGCTAGGTCTGCCAAAGTAGAGAGGTCAAGTAGAAGCATGGGCATGGGAGACACGTGGCACCTGGGGGCTCTCTCCCTCTCTGGTCCCAAAGGGTTAATGAGGTTTTCCCTGATTTTTTCTGTTTTGTTTTGAGATGGAGTCTCGCTCTGTCGCCCAGGCTGGAGTGCAGTGGCGCGATCTCGGCTCACTGCAGCCTCCACTTCCTGGGCCCAAGCAATTCTGTCTCAGCCTCCCAAGTAGCTGGGACTATAGGCGTGCACCACCACACCCACCTAATTTTTGTATTTTTAGTAGAGACGGGGTTTCACCACATTGGCCAGGATGGTCTTGATCTCCTGACCTCGTGATCTCTCCCTGCCTCGGCCTCCGAAAGTGCTGGGATTACAGGTGTGAGCCACTGTGCCCAGCCACCTGATTAATTTCTCAGCACTGGAGGGTAAAACCAGGTGAGGGGGCAATTTCATCTTGCCCCTGCTAGTCCTCCCTAGAAACCTCACCTCAGGAGAGGTGAATCCCTGTTGCTGGGGGACGCCCCACGGTTCCTTGCTCACCCCGACTCTGTCTGGAGATTGCCCTGGCCAGCTCCTGGGTGGGTGCTGCAGATCTCCTCCTCCCGACCCCACCGCACCACTCCATGTGGATTTATCCTCCTGATGCGGGTCCCTTCCCTGCCAGCGTAAGGATCAGGTGCTAGGAGCGGGAGAGCAGTTAGCCCCATGACTTCCTCGAAATAAATATTCAATATTGTTAAATTAGGACTGTTGAATTTGTCCGTTGTCAGTAATCCTGGGTGCCCATTTGAGTTCCAAACAAGGAACCATATTGTATGCCTGTAGTTCCAGCTGTTTGGGAGGCTGAGGTGGGAGGATCGTTTAAGCCAGGAGTTCAAGGCCAGCCTGGGCAACAAAGTGAGAGCCCCATCTCTTAAAAAATGGACCAGGGTTCTAGTCCTGTTCTGCTCCTCCACACCTGTAACCCTTCAGGGAAGTCATTTAACTTCTTTGGGCTGCAGTTTCTTCTAAGAACTTTCATGAGATGTCAGAAAGCATCCCTTTTCTAGCAGGAAACTAACCACGTCTACCTAGTCCAACAGATTGAAAGAGAACGGACCCTCAACTATGTTACATGTAAATTTACATTCCATTACATGCCACCCCCAGGAGATGACTGGAAACTGGGGGAGCTGCCAGGGTTCTGAAAGTTTAGGGAAACAGCTCTATCAGAGACATCTGGGAGCAGGGGGTGCTGAGGTTAGCTCTTTGCATGATATAAAGGCCTTGTTTTTAACCCCTACTTTTTCCCCTCAACCTGGGAAAACCAGTTGAAAAACCAGGGCTTAGTTCTGCTTCATGGGCCACCTTCAAGGCTTGGCTTTCATGAATAGGAAAGAGCAAGGAACTGTTAATCCCTTTGCTGTCTCTATTTTTATTTTAATTCAGATTTATTTAGTATTCAGGGCATGGGGCAGTTTGTGACATGCTTCGATTGGGGAATGGTGCACGTTTTGATATTAAAACTTTTGCCAATTAAAAGTCCATTGGAAGTGGAAAAAGAATCCTCCCCAAAATATAGCTGCATGTTAACACATGCACTAAAAATAGAGTCATCCCCTTGTGTGCGCTGGAGGACTTGTTCCCTGAAACATTGCCTTTTTCTTTGCTCTTCCTGAAGCTTAAAATCGGGTTAGAACATATAATAGATCCTGGATTTTTCAACTCAGTAAATATAAATGATGTAAGTGTGGTTATTGGTCAACAATGCAGAATGAGTCTAAAATCACACTCACTGGTGTGAATGGGAGTTTTTTTGGCTCAGGGGCCCAGCATGCAGGTACGTACCTGGTACAGGCAAAGCCAGCCTGAAAGCACTAAACACTATTCCTCAGCACTGTTTCTTACTCTGAGATTATTTTATCAGATGCTGACTCAAAGCACAGCGTGTTCTATTTCTACATCCAAGGGCTCCGGGCCATAGTACAGACAGTCCTATGCGTGGTTCTGAGACCTTGCTCCTCCTCCCATTTTTTCTTTCCTACCTCCTTCTCTACTGCTGCCTCTGCCTTTCCACTGATGCAAATTTTTGAGAAAACAATCACGTGCTGGTCACATACCAGGGCGATCAGCAAATGTTTCTGAAGTGACGGCTTCCCTCTGGATGCTGCTGAAGTAGTCAAAGAGGTCGTCTGAAATATTTGTTTGAATAAATGAGCTTACGGTCCTCCGCATGTAACCTCAGGAAGGTGTGCAGGTGTCCTGACCGAAGCAGGAGGTGGACCCCTTCCTGTTGCTCCTGTTCCCACCCTTCCACAGAGCATCTGTAGGTGAGGCTGGATCTGTGGATGGCCCAGGGCTCACTGGAAAGGGAGTAGGATTCTTGTCCAGCAAGATCCAGAAACAAAAGACACTCCCTTGGGTATAACTGCTGAAGAACTCTCATGGGACAGGAGTAATCTGTTCCTTCATTTATTTATTCATTCAAATATTTATGTTCAGGCCCGTCCCAGGTGCTGGGAATCCATAGTGCATGAAACCAACAAAAATTCCTGCTCACATAGAGCTTACATTCTAATGCTGGAGACTGCAAAAAAAAAATAAGTAAATCATAAGAGTGTGAAAATGAGAGACAATGGAGAAAAACACAGCAAGGAGAGGAAGTTCAAGTTTGGAGGAGCTGCAGCATGGAGTCTGGGGTGGGAGAAGGCCTCTCTGAGAGTCAAGCCATGTTCCTGAAGTGGCACGGCGAGGAGTGATCCTGATGGGTACCTGAGGGAAAAGTATTCTGGGCAAAGGGCATAGCAAAGGTCTGAGGCAGGAGCACCCTTGGCATGTTTTAGGGAATGCAGGGAAGCTCAGAAGGCTGGAGCAGTCAGCGCAGGGGACCATGGTAGGAGATGACGTCAGAGAGGTGGAGTGCCCTTGGAAATGGGGAGCCATGGGAAGCTTTTGAGCAGAGGAGTGACATGATCTGACTTACATTAAAAAAAAAAAATCCTCACCTCTGGTTGGGAACTGGCCAGTGTGAGAATCCAAGCAAGAGATGATGGCAGTTCAGACCAGGATGATAGCAGTGGACGTGGTTTAAGGTGGTCTGGTTCTAGTGATAATTTGAATGAAGTCAACAGAATTATCTGATAGATTGGATGTGGGATATGAGAAAAATGGGAGGGTCAAGGTGACACTAAGGATTTTGACTTGGGCAACTAGGATAATGGAGTTGCTATCAGTTAATAGGGCAAGGCTGTGGATGCTGCAGGCTTGATAGGGCAGAGTTGGAGTTCTGTGTTGAACATGCAGAATTTGAGCTGAGTACAGATATCCAGCTGGGGGTATGAAGCAGGCAGTTGGGCACATGAGTCTAGAGTTTAAATGAGAGTTGACTGGAGACATAATTTGGGACTTGCTAGAACCTAACAACCATGATGCTGATGAGCTCACCATGGGCAGAGTATAAATAGAGAAAGGCAAGTCCAAGAACTGAGCTTTGGTGTACCTCAAGGTTAAGAGTCAGGGATATGCAGAGAGATCACCAAAGGAGTCTCCCACCATGGATTGGATGAAATACATTTCAGGATTAGCCATTCCTGTTGTTCTCTTCCGTACCATCTCACAGTCTTCTGATTAAAAATCCAGCTTCCGGCCGGGCACGGTGGCTCACGCCTGTAATCCCAGCACTTTGGGAGGCCAAGGCGGGCAGATCACGAGGTCAGGAAATCGAGACCATCCTGGCTAACACGGTGAAACCCTGTCTCTTCTAAAAATACAAAAAAAATTAGCCGGGCGTGGTGGCAGGCGTCTGTAGTCCCAGCTACTCGGGAGGCTGAGGCAGGAGAAGCACTTGAACCCAGGAGGCAGAGGTTGCAGTGAGCCAAGATCGCGCCACTGCACTCCAGCCTGGGCGACAGAGCGAGATTCCATTTCAAAAAAAAAAATAATAATAATAATAATAATAAATAAATTAAAAAATCCAGCTCCCCAAGTAGCTTAATACTGGAACGAGGGTGTCCTGGATAATGGACACAAATATTCCCACCACTGGAAAATATTATTAGTTGAAAATTACTAACTTGACATTTGGGGTTATAATCAGTTTCTTATGAGTTGATTGGCATGAGTTAGGTCCTAGGACCTGCTCAACCCCGGTTACTGTTATGCAACTAGGATTTTAAAACTATAAATCTTCAGGCCAGAATGATGACCACATCAAAATCCTCCTGCATGCTGGGCGTCCAACTCTCTTCCCTAGACAGCACTTCTATTGTAAGTCCCAACTATAATGGTTCCTACTGACCTCTCAGTTTAGCATCCATCCGCTGCACTGAGTTGCTCTGATCAAGCTTCCGAATGACCTCCTGTATGTCAATTCCAGGCCCTCTTCTTGGTCTTGTCTTCATTCATCCTCTGCAGCCATCAGCCCTGTTTTTGGTCCCCTTCTTGAAGCCGTCTTCTCTCGCTTGGCCTGCATGACATGCTCCCTTATTGGTTGCCCTTCCTGGTTCTCTGCAAGCTGTTCCACTGGCTCTTTTCTTCACTTCCCCCTCTTTGCTCACAGGCATGCTTCAGGCTTACTTTTTGCTTCTCTATGGTCTTTCCCTTGGAGAACTCATCTATTCTTAGAGCTTCAAATGGCATAAGCTCCAGAAGAGCAGGCATCTGTTTGGTTCTCGGCTACATCCTTGGTCCCTGCAGCAGTAACTGGCACATAACAAGTGAACAGTGCCTCCCCCTTTACATGTGCGCCATCAGCCTCCTAATTCAGATCCTCAAGCAAAATCTCATCACAATTGCAAACTTACATGCCCACATCCCCTCCTCCAATCTGATCTGCATTCTACCAATGGGATCTTCCTAAAATGTACTTTTTTTGTTTGCACATGTCACCACATTCTAAAAGTGATCCAGTGATTTCCTACAAAATAACTTGATGGTCAAGGGCTTCTACACTTTTTTTTTCCCTTAAGAGATAGGGTCTTGCTATGTTGCCCAGGCTGGATTTGATCAAACTCCTGGACTCAAGCAATCCTCCCACCTCGGGGTCCTGAGCAGCTGTGACCACAAGCATGCACCACAGCACCCAGTGGCTGATATACTCCCATCCAAGTACCAGCCAGGTCTGACCCTGCTTAGCTTCTGAGACGCATCCAGAATGGTATGGCCGTAGGCGCCGGCAGCTTCTATACTTTATCATGGGGCTGATATCACATTTGTACCTCCACTGTAGTCAAGTGAAAAGAGCATGGCTCTAGACCCTGGCTATTGCAGCTTTGGTTCCAGGCTGTCCTACTTCCAGTGTGGAGGAAATTGCTTAACGTTTTTACGTCATCGCACTCTTGATTTAAAGGAACCAAGACTCAGAAAGAAAGCATCTTTATGCAATGTTATGTGTTACATATATACACATTCCCATGTGAAAACATGGGAAATAAATCCTACGGGAACCCCCAAGCAACCACATAGCTCAGCCTACAGGAACTGAGAGTTTTCTACACAGCACTGGACTCTGGATTATCTTGACACCTCTACCACTGTTCTGGACAGTTTTCCTGTGCCCTGGTGAGTCTATTCTCCACTTTTCTTCCCCTGACTCTGTGACCTGAGAGGTTGACTTGAATAGACTACATCAACCAAGCTCTCTTGCTCTCAAGGTTCTGGTTGGGTTTGGCCAATGGAAGGCACTGAGAGGTGATCCAAGGGCAACAGAAGAGACAGGCTGAAGTATTTATTCTTCCGGCTTCTTCTCTGCAAGGCCACATGCTGCCAGTCATTGTGTTTTTCTTTTTTGAGACAGAGTCTCACTCTGTCACCCAGGCTGGAGTACAGTGGCACGATCTCGGCTCACTGCAGCCTCCACTTCCTGGGTTCAAGCAATTCTCCTGCCTCAGCCTCCCGAGTAGCTGGGATTACAGGCGCACACCACTATGCCTGGCTAATTTTTTGTAATTTTAGTAGAGACGGGGTTTCGCCATGTTGGCCAGGCTGGTCTCAAACTCCTGGCCTCAAGTGATCCACCCGCCTCGGCCTCCCAAAGTGCTGGGATTATAGGCCTGAGCCACCACGCCTGGTCCAGTCATTGTGTTTTTCTACCAAAAACCCCAGCTCCTGTTGGGTGGCCCTTTGCTTTTACCATAAGTCTCACCAGGTTCCAGGAACAAACTCCTCTTTTTGTGTCTTTAAACCTATGGATGCTAAGGGCTTCTTACGATCACTAACCTTCAGGTGCTTCACCGTCCCTTTTTGGTTTCCTTAACCCTGTGTTGCCACTGGCAAACAGTTCCTTCATCCAACTCTCTGCCATCACTCTTTTGAGGGTGCCATGTGTTTCCTGCTGGCACCCTGACTGATAAAACCACATGGGCATGTGTTGGTGGCCAATATTAGGGTGATCTAGCCCTTCACGTTTCTTCCCTTTGTGATTCCTACCACTACCAACCAATGATTTATTTTCTGCTCTGAGCATCTATTCTCTACTTCCTGGTTTCTGCTTATTGGTAATGTCCACTGATTCACCCCTTAAATCGCACATGGACTCTTAAGGCCCCACCCTGCCTCCATGGCCTCTCTTTGTGTATTCTCTCAGCTTTAGCCTTGGCTACCAGCAGACTGATTCACTCTACATTTCCGGGACTTCTGATGTCTAAGGAAATCGGGTTGGCCTGGCTGGTCACCATGGCCTCTGTTGGCCAGAGCTTCCTGTGCCAGGCCCCAGGTCACTGCTTACTGCAGATACCCACTCTGCCCCCGCAAGTCATTGTCCGTTCCTTGTTGACAGGGGTAGCTATGGGAAGATGAACGCCTGAAAAGGTGTGAAAAATAATACTCATATCACAAAGTTTTTATCAGCTTTAAAGTAAATAATGAATGCTTAATGCCTGTATGAAAACACAGAGACTATTCTGTAATTAACACAATTATTCCAACAACCACTTCTTACTTCTATTATTATAGTCAGTTACTCTTATATCATCCCTGTGAAGCAGGCAGGGCAGAAATTATTTCCAATTTACAAGTGAAGAAATTGAGATTCAAAGAGTTACGTAAAACTAGAGTTACCCAATGCCCGAAGTACAACCAGGATGCAGGTGTCTTTATTTGTTCTCCATCCCTCTTTTGTTTAGTCCACTTGTCCTTTTCTTTTCTTTTCTTTTTTCTTTTTTCTTTTTTTTTTTTGAGACAGAGTTTCGCTCTTTTTGCCCAGGCTGGAGTGCAGTGGAGCAATCTCGGCTCATTGCAACCTCCGCCTCCCGGGTTCAAGCAATTCTCATGCCTCAGTCTCCTGAGTAGCTGGGATTACAGGTATACGCCACCAGGCCCGGCTAATTTTGTGTTTTTAGTAGAGATGGGGTTTCACCATGTTGGCCAGGCTGGTCTTGAACTCCTGACCTCAGGTGATCCACCCGCCTCAGCCTCCCAAAGTGCTGGGATTACAAGCGCGAACCATTGCGCCCGGCCCCACTTGTTATCTTTAAAATCAGTTGTCTCCCCATCAGCTCAACAGTTGTGCATTTCAAAGACATCATTTCTGCAGCCAGTGGGGAATAGGGAAGTTCTTTCTTTATTTATTGAGATGGAGTCTCGCTCTGTCGCCCAGGCTGGAGTGCAGTGGCATGATCTCAGCTCGCTGCAAGTTCTGCCTCCCGGGTTCTTGCCATTCTCCTGCCTCAGCCTCCCGAGTAGCTGGGACTACAGGCGCCCGCCACCACGCTCGGCTAATTTTTTTGTGTTTTTAGTAGAGACAGGTTTTCACCGTGTTAGCCAGGATGGTCTCGATCTCCTGACCTCGTGATCTGCCCGCCTCGGCCTCCCAAAGTGCTGGGATTACAGGCGTGAGCCACTGCGCCTGGCCAGGGAAGTTATTTTTTAAATTATAAAATATTTTAAACATATAGAAAACTACAGAGAGTAATGAAAAAGCCTCCTATACCCCACCGTCTGACACTAGCAAATCTTAACATTTTCTTGTATTTTCCATATAATTTTTTTTTTAGAAATAAAAACTTATTCATGTTATCCCTCAGGAACCCTCCTGACATCAGTTCCTCTCTTCCCTCTTTCCCAGAGGGACCATTCTCCTGAACTGGGTGCGTTTCGTATGGAACATGCACATTTTCTACTATTCTTATTTTGTACGTATCTGTTGATAATCAAGATGTAGCATGAATGTGCATGTTTTCAACTTTTATATTCACAAAATTATTCTTTGCAGCTTGCTTTCTCTATTCACAATATTGTTTTAGATTTATCCTTGTGGATGCAAAGAACTCTGACGCATCTACATAGCTGGTGTCGTTTTTGAGTCACCATTTACTTATGTTTTTTCCTGTCAGTGGATATTTATAATGTTTCTAGATTTTTGAATTACAAACAATGTTTTGACAAAGGGGGTCATAATGAAAGAACTTTTATTTCCCTAGAGAGCAGGATTTTGCCCCCTAGGAAAAATAAAAATAAAAATGATTTAATTTTTTGGATATTTAAATATCCAGTTCAGGTACAATGACTCGTGCCTGTAATCTCAGCACTTTGGGAGGCTGAGGCAGGAAGATCGATCGCTTGAGGCTCAGAAATGGAGGTTACAGTGAGCTGTGATTGCACCACTGCACTCCAGCCTGAGGGACAGAGTGAGGCCCCATCTCTAATAAATAAATAAATGAATAGTAAATATTCAGACATGACTAGGAATTACCTGGCATTTTTCTTAGAAGAGTGATGCTCAGGCTGAGGCAGGCAAATTGTTTGAGCCTAGAAGTTTGAGACCAGCCTGGGCAACATAGTGAAACCCTGTCTCTACAAAGAGTTAGCCAGGTGCGGTGGCTCATGGCTGTAATTCCAGCTGCTTGGGAGGCTGAGGCATAAGAATCTGTTGAATCCAGGAGGCGGAGGTTGCAGTGAGCCAAGATCGCGCCACTGCACTTCAGCCTGGGCAACAAGGCAAAACCCTGACTCGAAAAAAAAAAAAAAAAGTGATGCTCATAGAAAGGTGGTTTAATTAATTGGATTTAAGTGGCCAATAACTTCACAATGATCCTTTGTCTCTATCCATCTATTTTCCCTCAGATGACCACCTGATCTGACTTTTTTCTATATGAAAGCATATGAATAAAATGTTTATTATTTCTTTTCAAAATGATAGAAGTGTCTCATCTACATTCCATGAAAACATTTGTGGAGCTAATTAATTATTTCTAATGAAAACATGACTTAGTGCAAAGTCAGCAGTTTTTATAGTATAAGGTGATTTTTTTTTGTTAAGTACAAGGTGATTTATCAGATGTTGGAAGAGATTTGCTTAATATGTAAAAGAAAAAGAACTTGAAGATGTGAAATTGGCCCCAAGAGAAATCCTTCTGGTCACCAGAGTCCAAAAAGATTTATAAGAAATATGTCAAAAATGGAGAATTTCATAATAGGCACCTTCTCTGAAATAAAAAAGAATTGCTAGGCACACAAAATTAATTCAACATTTTTCTTTCTTTCTTTCTTTCTCTCTCTTTCCTTCTTTCTCCTTTCTCTCTCTCTCTCTCTCTTTCTTTTTTTTTTTTTGACAGAGTCTTTCTCTGTTGTCCAGGCTGGAGTGCAGTGGTGAGATCTCAGCTCACTGCAACCTCTGCCTCGTGGGTTCAAGCGATTCTCATGCCTCAGCCTCCCTAGTAGCTGGGATTACAGGCATGCACCACCATGCCCGGCTAATTTTTGTATTTTTAGTAGAGAAGGGGTTTTGCCATGTTGACCAGGCTGGTCTCAAACTCCTGACCTCAAGGGATCTGCCTGCCTTGGCCTCCCAAAGTGCTGGATTACAGGCGTGAGCCACTATGCCCAGCCTTTTCTTTTTTCAAATAGGAAAGGAATATTCTTGATGTTGATTGGGAATTTCTCCACATAACATTTTATTCATTTTATTTTATTTACTTTTTATTGGTGAATGGTAGATGTACATAGTTTTGCAGTACATTGAATACATTGATCTTTGAATACATCATTGAATACATTCATATAATGTGTAAA
Source organism: Homo sapiens (assembly GCF_000001405.40). NCBI lineage: Eukaryota > Metazoa > Chordata > Mammalia > Primates > Hominidae > Homo > Homo sapiens. The sequence continues at coordinate 13,628,124 of NC_000001.11, forward strand.
GATCAAATCAAGGTAACTAGGATATCCATCCCCTTGACATGTATCATTTGATCATCGTCACTTTCAGAAAGTAACTGGAGCCAACTCCACTTGTAATGGGTTGAATCGTGGCGCCCAGAAAGACAGGTCCAAGTCCTTACCCCTGGTCCCTGGGAAGTTGACCTTATTTGAAAAAAGGGCCTTTGCAAATGCAATTAAGTTAAGAATTTTGAGATGAGATCATCCTGGCTTAACTGGCTGGGCTCAAGTCCAATAACAAGCATTCTCATAAGAAGAGGAGACACAAACAGGAGAGGAGAAACACAGGGAGAAGGCCACACTAAGAGGCAGAGACTGGAGTGATGCTGCCACAAGCCAAGGAACACCTGGCACCCCTAGAAGCTGCAGGAGGCCAGAAGGCCCCCCTAGAACCTTCACAAAGAGATGGCTCTGCTGACACCTGGATTTCAAACTCGATGCAAGAATACATTGCTGTTGTTTTCAGCCACCCAATTTGTGGTCATTTGTCACGGCTGCCCTAGGAAATGAATATGCCTTCCAAACAACCATCTGTGAGGGCAGCTTCCCGCTACCCATCCAGCCCATCCCAGATGGAAAGCAGCACTGACCTTTGCATTCTGACCCCACACCATTCCCTTGATCCTTCCAAACAATGGATTGGCAGCCAGCATGCTTCCTTTGTGACAGACAGATGTTACCAGATCCTTCCATACTGTCATTCCAATTTGTCACTCATGCTGGAGGAATCCATGGTGAAAGAAATGTGGCCGAGAACAATAGGCAGAGCCCACCCTTGCATGACGAGCGGAACACACAGGCAGACCTCGCTGCGTTAATTCCTCCACCCCATGATGACTAACCCTGAATAACTTCCTTACCCAACATTCACCTTTAGTGGTCAGAAACACTTTGATGAATGAAATCCCAATGTCTAGTTATTTAGTGAGCATTGAACAAATATTCACTAAGTGTCTCCTCTAAGTTAGACACTATGCCATAGATGCTAACATTGAGATGAAAGTACTCTAGGCAGGGCACGGTGGCTCACGCCTGTAATCCCAACACTTTGGGAGGCCGAGGTGAGCGGATCACCTGAGGTCAGGAGTTCGAGACCAGCCTGGCCAACATGGTAAATCAGCCGGGCAAGGTGGTGGGCACCTGTAATCCCAGCTACTCGGGAGGCTGAGGCAGGAGAAGCACTTGAACCCAGGAGGCAGAGGTTGCAGTGAGCCGAGATCGTGCCCCTGCACTCTAGCCTGGGTGACAGGGTGAGACTGCATCTCAAAAAACAAAAAAACAAAAAAGAAAGTACTGTAATAATCCGTAAAGCATGCCAGTAAAAATATTCCTTTGAGTCTGTTGCTAAAGAAGAAATTGTTTGGTCTGGGAGTATTGTTCATTTATGGAGCACCAGTGGGACTAACTTACATTATTGATGCTGTTTGCAGATTACAGTCAGGCAGCCAACCACACAGCAGCACAGTTTCAAAATCGAGGGCTTCTTTGCCACCTGCCCACCTCCTGTTTTTTCCCACTCACCCCTGGCTCCTAGTCTCTGCCCTATTCCCATGGGGTCTACCCTCAGCAGGCTGCCAACTGATCTCCTAAGAAGAGAAAACCATGCAGTAGCAGCAGTCAAGTGTGAGAAGACCTGATTTGCAGTTCACGTGCAGAATATTACCTGTCTGTTTCTTCATCTGTAAAACAGAAATAATAATACAGTCCGGTCTAGCTCAGAAGACTTCATCTGGAGCAAACAGATAGTGCTTGTAAATGTTTTGTATATTATAAAGCAACACACAGCAGCAATACAAGCTACTGTTTGGCAACCATCACGTCCAGGCACCACGCATTCTCTACACACATTGCATCTGATTCTTACAGCAACCCTGAAATGTGGGTATCATTTTTGTCCTTCTTCAGGTGAGGAAACCAAGAGCTGGAATGGTTGAATTACCAAGGCCACCCAATAGTAGGTAGAGGGGCTGGGCCTTCAGCTATGCCACTGTGTCCCCAGTATAAGGTATTATATCTGCAGAGGCTCACTCAGATGAAATACTGTGTCTAGTCTAGAGAAATAAATTGTTTTAAAAATCCAAGTATCAAAGGAATATCACCAATGGTGGAATTTCAGGCACTGGGACCGGTAGTAAAATATCTTTTTAAAAGAGGCCCTGCCGGACGCGGCGGCTCACGCCTGTAATCTCAGCACTTTGGGAGGCCGAGGCAGGCGGATCACGAGGTCAGGAGATCAAGACCATCCTGGCTAACATGGTGAAACCCTGTCTCTACTAAAAATACAAAAAATTAGCCGGGTGTGGTGGTGGACACCTTTAGTCCCAGCCACTTGGGAGGGACTGGCGTGAGGCAGGAGAATGGCGTGAACCTGGGAGGCAGAGCTTGCAGTGAGCCAAGATCGCACCACTGCACTCCAGCCTGGGCGACAGAGTGAGACTCCGTCTCAGAAAAAAAAAAAAAAAAAAGAGGCCCCGCGGGACGTGGTGGCCCACTGCTGTAATCCCAACACTTTGGGCGGCCAAGGTCAGGAGTTCAAGACCAGCCTGACCAACATGGTGAAACCCCTTCTCTACTAAAAATACAAAAATTAGCCAGGCGTGGTGGAGCATGCTTGTAATCCCAGCTACTTAGGAGGCTGAGGCAGGAGAACTGCTTGAACCCAGGAGGTGGAGGTTGCAGTGAGCTGAGATCACGCCACTGCACTCCAGCCTGGGTGACAGAGCAAGACTCTGTCTCAAAAAAAAAAAAAGAGGCGCTGCCAGAGTTACCGATTTTATGGCATGGAAGTGGCCACCTGCCCTCTGTATACACTTGATGTCTATGTCAGACCTGGGATGTGGTTTAATGCAGTCTTACTCTTTGTTGCAGCCCAGTCCACCGCTGCCACCTCTCCTGTTTATGAAAGTCAAGTCATTGCTATAGTGAATGTGTATTGTGCAGCCATAAAGCCTCAGGTGGGCACCACAGCAGGGCACACAGAGGAGTGTCCCTACTCATCACTCACACCCCAGCACACAGCAGCTACCCAGAGCATATATCTGTAGCATGCCATGCACACTTGGTCTCTTAAAGTCAGGTGGAGCTTTTAGGGTGCCTTCAAAATGTTCCTATTTTTCTTATTTAGTGGGTATGGCATGGTTCCTCCAGGGAAGGGCCTGACAAAGGGCATGGCAGGTGGTAAGGAGGGGACAAGAGAAATTCTGGGGAAGAGGGCTCACTTTGCTAGGTTTGGGCTCAGATTCTATTCCCAGGATCATCCATTCCCAGCTCAGTGCCCCAAATCATGATAATCCATATTTTCCAAGTCTCCAAGAGACTTGCAAAAATCAAAACACAAACTTATTGAGCTTCTGCATGTGCCCTGGGCTAAACTAGGTAAGAGTGTCAAGTTTGATTAGCCAAGCATGGTGGCTCGAGCCTGTAATCCCAGCTACTCGGGAGGCAGAGCTGGGAAGATCGCTTGAGCCCAGGAGTTCAAGGCTACAGTGAGCTATGATGGTGCCACCGCACCCCAGCCTGGGCAACAGAGCAAGACCCTATCTCTAAAAAAAATTTAAATTTGATTATACTAATCAAAAACTTTTTAAAAAAATTGAGACAGGGTCTCACTTTTTGGCCCAGGCTGGAGTGCAGTGGCATAATCTCAGCTCACTGCAACCACTGCATCCCGGGCTTAGATGACCCTCTAACCTCAGTCTCCTGAGTAGCTACTGCAGGCATGCACCACCATGCGCGGCTAATATTTCTATTTTTTTGTAGAGATGGAGTTTTTCCATGTTGCCCAGCCTCTGATAAAAAAAACTTTTGAGCACATGTCCCTAGGAGTAAAAGATCTGTGAGCACTCACTCCTAATATGCTGTTAGGTCGAACCATATGAAATTGCCATTTTTGTAGGGTCAAAAAAAAAGTCCAACAATGACGATTCCATACTGTCCAATCCAATATATCGAGGGAAATTCAGCCAGATATCGGGTGAAATTCACCCCCAATATTTCACGTAGGTTCTTTTCTATTTTCCCTAAGTGTTGGCCGGTCTGAGAAATAAAGGGACAGAGTATAAAAGAGAGAAATTTTAAAGCTGGGCATCCGGGGGAGACATCACATGTCGGCAGGTTCCGTGATGCCCCACAAGCTGCAAAACCAGCAAGTTTTTATTAGGGATTTTCAAAACGGGAGGGAGTGTACGAATAGGGTGTGGGTCACAGAGATCACATGCTTCACAAGGTAATAGAATATCTTTTCTATTACCTCGCTATTGTGGAATAGCAAATGGAGGCAGGGTGAGATCACAGGACCACAGGACCGGGGCGAAATTAAAATTGCTAATGAAGTTTCGGGCACACATTGTCATTGATAACATCTTATCAGGAGACAGGGTTTGAGAGCAGACAACCGGTCTGACCAAAAATTTATTAGGCGGGAATTTCCTCGTCCTAATAAGCCTGGGAGCGCTATGGGAGACTGGGGCTTATTTCATCCCTACAGCTTGACCGTAAAAGATGGCCGCCTCCCGAAGTGGCCATTTTAGAGGCCTACCCTCAGGGACACATTCTCTTTCTCAGGGATGTTTCTTGATGAGAAAAAGAATTCAGCAATATTTCTCCCATTTGCTTTTGAAAGAAGAGAAATATGGCTCTGTTCCACCTAGCTCACTGGTGGTCAGAGTTTAAGGTTATCTCTCTTGTTCCCTGAACATTGCTGTTATCCTGTTCTTTTTCAAGGTGCCCAAATTTCATATTATTCAAACACACATGCTCTACAAACAATTTGTGCAGTTAACACAATCATCACAGGGTCCTGAGGCGACATACATCCTCCTCAGCTTACGAGATGACAGGATTAAGAGATTAAAGTAAAGACAGGCATAGGAAATCACAAGGGTATTGATTGGGGAAGTGATAAGCGTCCATGAAATCTTCACAATTTATGTTCAGAGATTGCAGTAAAGACAGGCATAAGAAATTATAAAAGTATTAATTTGGGGAACTAATAAATGTCCATGAAATCTTCACAATCCATGTTCTTCTGCCATGGCTTCAGCTGGTCCCTCCATTCAGGGTCCCTGACTTCCCACAACACCAATATATGTCTCTAAATTGTAAATACAGTAAATACATGGACCACTGCTAATTTTCCTGTTGAATATTAGAAAGGCTTAATTTCTTTCTTTCCTAAAGATACAAACTAAATATAAAGAATTCTTGGCTGGGCATGGTGGCTCACACCTGTAATCTCAACAGTTTGGGAGGCCAAGGCGGGAAGATCACTTGAGGCCAGGAGTTTGAGACCAACCTAGGCAATATAGTGAAACCCCATCTCTACAAAAAATTAAAAACTATTAGCCAGGCATGTTGGCACACACCTTTAGTTCCAGCTACTAGAGAGACTGAGGTGGGAGGATTGCTTGAGCCAGGGAGGCCGAGGCTGCAGTGAGCTATGATTGTGACACTGCACTCCAGCCTGGGTGACAGAGTAAGACCCTGTCTCAAAAAAAAAACAACAAAAAAAGAATTATCACATCTTGTATTCCAAAGAACCATGGTGTGTGCACTCCACACTGGAGACCACTGCTGCAGAGGTAGGAGTGCCATGGATGCTATAACATGAAGGAGGGATATTTGAGCTGAGCCTTCAGAACGGGTGAAATTGCCTTTGTCCAGTGGAGGGACTTCCTGAAAACAGCAGAACCTAATCACAGAGGCGTGAAAGGGCAGTAGGCTGAGGGGTGATGGCAATTGCGTGTCAATATCCTTAGGGCCAGCCAACCACTCACCAACATAAACACAGCCAGGACAGAGCCCCTTTCTGGAAAACCCTATTTGGCAGGATAGATAGCAATTAGATTTGTTTTCCCCACATTCTGCTCTCTAACATTCTTGGACTAAGAGCACAGAAGAGAATGTGTCTGGCTATAATGGGTTCCATGGTGGCCACCCCAAAAGCTATGTCCATGTCCAAGTCCCTAGACCCCTTAAATGTGACTTTATTTGGAAAAAGGGTCTTTGTGAATGTAATTAAGTCAAGGATATTGAGGTGGGGAGATCATCCTGGATTACCCAGGTGGGCCATAAACCTAAAGACAAGCGTCCTTCTAAGGACAAGACACAAGCAGAAGAGGAGGAGGCCGTGTGACCATGGAGGCAGAGACTAAAGTGATGCAGCCACAAGCCAAGGAATGACCAGCGGCCACCAGAAGCTGGGAGAGGCAGGAGCGATTCTTTGCTGGAGTCTCCAGAGGCAGTGCACACCTTGATTTCAGACTTATGGTCTCCAGAGCCATGAGAGATTAGATTTCCTTTTTTTTTTTTTTTTTTTTTTTTGGCAGAGTCTTGCTCTGTCACCCAGGCTGGAGTGCAGTGGCATGATCTCGGCTCACTGCAAGCTCCACCTCCCAGGTTCATGCCATTCTCCTGCCTCAGCCTCCCGAGTAGCTGGGACTACAGGTGCCCGCCACCACACCCGGCTAATTTTTTTGTATTTTTAATAGAGACGGGGTTTCACTGTGTTATCCAGGATGGTCTCGATCTCCTGACCTTGTGATCCGCCTGCCTGGGCCTCCCAAAGTGGTGGGATTACAAGCGTGAGCCACCGCACCCAGACAAGAGATTAGATTTCTGTTGTGTCAGGCCACTGGACTTGTGGTACCTTGTTATGGTGCCTCAGGAAACCAGTACAGTAGGCAAATGCCCTTCAACCCCCTGTGCAAAGATCATCTACCTTTGCTACATTAATGCAAAACTGGGTGGGGGAGAGAGGAGATCTTTGAACAGCTCCAATCCAGCCCGCAGAAGACCCTCCAAATGCAACCATCTTAGCATCACATTCAAGCCTCTGATGGAGCCTGCTCTTCCTGTTCCCCAGTGCTTTGCACCAGAGCATCACTGTTCATTGGGGAAAAACTTTGCTGCCAGGCAGCCCACTTGGGGTCAGACCATGCTCAGTAATCCGAGCTCTGAAATCAGCTCCGGCTAATCCCAGCCCACCTTGGGAATCAATCCGTGGTTCATGAAGGACTTCCACGGTGGGCAACAAGATGAAGAGGGGACACTCAGCTGGGGGATGGGAAACCATCAGGGTGGGTGCTGGTAGCAGCAAGGATCTAAATCACAGCCTTGGCTGCCCTCCAGCTGCAGCAGAGCCCACTCAGTAAATTAACCCCACATTACACCAGCTATGTGTCTCTTTGCATTTGTGGATTTAGGCATGGAACCAATCTTACAGACCCCTCTCGATAACAAACAGTTGGGTGAAAGTACAACCTCCTTGCTTGTTAAGCTCTCGATGCTGAGGAGAGAGTTAAACCCCTGTGCAAATCACATTTGAGGGCATTTCTATTTCATACCTTTGCTGGCATATGTTTCCAATATCCAAGGGAGTCGTTCCCATCGCTTCTGCCTGGAGGCTGTCCCTCATGGGAATGGAGCATCCTGGGCATGGAGTGGGAATGAGCATGGGGGAAGAGGAGCTGGTGTTTTTTAAATTGAATCAGGAAGGTTCTCTGTATTCAGTAAAGAGGTAATATATTTAAAGCACCAATCCCCTGAGGTCGTTGAAATGAAAACATCTTATCACATTGAATGCATCTTTCAGACACCTTGATATGGAAAGCAAAGATCTGCTGGAGAGAAAGCCCCGTGTCCTTTAAGACTTCCAGGATCACTTTGTCGTGACTGGAGGGAAGCCAGAATTCATGTGTAGTGTGAGTGATCTGAACCCTGTGCCTGATCAGGTATACCGAATTCCTTCAGAGACTTGGGTTTGTACCCCCCACCACTTGCCCTCCAAATGGTTTCCATCTTCCACACAGGACTCTCTTCTCTTCCTCAATCCCAGCTTCCTTCAACAGAACTCTCCAAGCTAATTCACTTTCTTCTTCAAAGCTTTAGTGAGGTTTTGTTTGCTAGAAAATTCACTGTGAAGACTTTTGGAAATTAAAACCCCAGGATCTGAGCTGGGCCCCAGGATCTGAGCTGGACCCCGGGATCATGAGCTGGGCCCCGGGATCTGAGCTGGGCCCCGGGATCTGAGCTGGGCTACGACCCTAGTGGAGACAGCACTCAGGTTATTTGAGGCTCTGAATAGTCAGGAATAGAGAAGCAAGAAGCAGAGCATTCCACACCCATAAGGAAAGAAAGGCAGCAGCGGAGAATGTGAATGAAGAATCCGTTCACTGCTTTGTGAACTTCAGGCAGGAGCCACCATAAATAGCTTATTTCACATTAATGATGACTTCTTGAATTTCTATGGTAGAAATTCAATACAAATGAACAATTACAGTATAAAGAGTGCACTCTTTGGTGGCTTCAAAAATACTTAAAATTCTATTTAAAACATTATATACATCCAGTGGAATCTCGTTTTAGATAGCAGCTTGAGAAAATACAATTTTACATCCAAATACTATAGTCCAGAGAAGACCTCAAAATCTCTTTTGATGACACATAATTTATTCTGGCACAACACTGAAATTTGAGCTTTGGATTCTGGGCTCTCTGGCTTTTTTTTTTTTTTAGACAGAGTCTCACTCTGTCGCCCAGGCTAGAGTGCAGTGGCATGACCTCAGCTCACTGCAACCTCTGCATCCCGGGTTCAAGCGATTTTCCTGCCTCAGCCTCCAGAGTAGCTGGGATTGCAGGCATGTGCCACCACACCTGGATAATTTCTATATTTTTGGTAGAGATGAGGTTTCGCCATGTTTGCCAGGCTGATCTCGAACTCCTGACCTCAGGTGATCTGCCTGTCTCGACCTCCCAAAGTCCTGGGATTATAGGGGTGAGCCACTGCGCCCAGCCCCATGACTCTCTTACATAAGAGTCATTCCACCTCATTATGTGAAAAGAAAGATAAAGTCTTGACCTAAACCTTCAGAGTCAGGGTATGTATTGCAGAGGACACGGGATACAAACTTGGGATACTCATTTTATCTAAGATGAAGCAAGTAATGCTGTAATTTCAGAATTTATCTTTAATCCTTCATCAGTCATCATTTATCCTGAAAAACTGTAATTGCATTTAAATAATTGTTTCAGTGGCAGAAATGGGATCTGGATTTGATACACTTTTGGATCAAAGCTGACAAGCTATCTTTACAATGGGTGATATTTTAAAGTTAGCTTGTCAGCTTTGATCCAAAATTATATCTAGATTCCATTTCTGCCATTGAAAAATTACGGATGATTAGTTTGTGGGATGTGCTGCACGTGGTTCACCATACAAGTTCAACACACCCAAACTGGTCTATAATGGAGACTTTTTATTGGCTTCAGTAAGATCAGTCACTGGTCATAAGCTTGGATGTCACAGTAATGTCAAAGTGCTATAAAAATTTCTCAATGTTTACTCTCGACTTCTGTGTATTTTTTTTTTTTTTGAGAAGGAGTTTTGCTCTTGTTGCCCAGGCTGAAGTGCAATGGCGTGGTCTCAGCTCACTGCAACCTCCATCTCCCAGGTTCAAGAGATCCTCCTGCCTCAGCCTCCCAAGTAGCTGGGATTACAGCCGCCCACCACCACGCCCGGCTAATTTTTGTATTTTTAGTAGAGATGGAGTTTCACCATGTTGGCCAGGCTGGTCTCAAACTCCTGACCTCAGGTCATCCGCCTGCCTTGGCCTCTCAAAGTGCTGGAATTACAGGCGTGAGCCACCACATTTGGCCCTGATTTCTGTACTTTTTGGTCTTGAATGAGTAACAAACAGTTCTTAGGATAGCACTAGTCTACAAACTGATCTAGTCCAACCTCTCCTTTTTTGCAGATTTATTTATTTAATCATTCGTTTATTCAGCAAATAGCAGTTAAGTATCCAGATTGTATTAGTCCATTCTCACACTGCTATAAAGACATACCTGAGACTTGGTAATTTGTAAAGAAAAGAGGTTTAATTGACTCATGATTCTGCAGGCTGTATAGGCTTCTGCTTCTGGGGAGGCCTCTGGAAACTTACAATCATTGTGGAAGGCAAAGGGGAAGCAGGTACACTTCACCTGGCTGGCAGGAGAGAGAGAGAAGGGGAAGCAGGTACACTTCACCTGGCTGGCAGGAGAGAGAGAGAAGGGGAAGCACTACACACTTTCAAACAACCAAATCTCGTGAGAACTCTATCACAAGAACAGCAAGCGGGGAATCTGCCCCCGTAATTGAATCACCTCCCACCAGGCCCCTCCTCCAACAGTGAAGATTACAATTCAACAAGAGATTTGGGTGGGGACACAGAGACAAACCATATCAAGCATCTACCAGGTATTGTTCTAAACACTGGGGCTAGAGCAGGGAACACTTCAGAGATGGTACCTACCCTCTTTCTTGTGGTGGAGACAAATTATAGAAACAACAAATATGCAATATAATTTTAGGTTGTGACAATTGCTATTCAGAAACACCAAGCTGAGCAAAGTAATAGAGAGTGAAGGGGTGGAATTGAGTGCTAGGCTGAAACACAGTGGGGATGGAAGGACTCTCTAAGGAGGTAGAAGAGGTGAACATCTAAGCTGAGCCACAAAGCGAAAGGTGGGAGAGAGTAATGCAGGTGCCTGGGAGAAGAAAGATCCAGATTGAGAAAGCAGCAAATGCAAAGTCCCTGGGAGAGGAATGAGTTTGGTGTCTTTGAGAAGGAGAATAAAACCAATGTGGCTGGAGTGGAGTGAGTGCGAGAGAGGGGAGTTAAGAGATGAGGATAGTTTAGTAAGGAAGGGCTGGATCACATCAGGCATTGAGGCAAGAAGTTTGGCAAGGACTTTAGATTTTCTTCTATGTGTTATGGGAAGGCTAATGGGGATTTGTAGGCAGGAAAGTGAATTTTTGATTTGCAAAAAAAGAAAAAAAAAAAGGCTGGATCCAGTTCAAGTTAAGCAAGTTTATGGGAATGACCCCAGTGATTCTCACCTTGTGATGGTCACACCCTCATGGAGACCTCTTCAACATTAGATAGGTCCAATCTCTGTAACCAACAGAATATTGCAGAAATGAAGGAGTGTGACTTTGAAAACTAGTTCATAAAAGACATTATGGTTTCCTTTTTGCTTTCACTTTTAGATCATTTGGCCTAGGGGAAGTCAGCTGCCATGTTGTGAGGATGCTCAAGCAGCCATATGGAGACACGCACATGACAAAGAACTGAGGCCTCCTAACAACAACCAGCACTGACTAGCCAGTCATGTGAGTGATGCCACCTTGAAGTGGATTGTCTGACCCCAGTCAAGCCTTCAGCTGACCACAGCCGAAGCTGACATCTTGACTGCAACCTCATGAGGGACCTTGAGCCAGAAACACCCAGCTAAGTTGCTCCAGAATTCCTAATTCACAGAAACTATAAGAAAATAAGAACTTATTGTTCTTTTAAGATGCTAAACTTTGGAGTAACGTGTTATTCAGCAAATAGCAGTTGAGGCTAGAGCAGGGAACACTTCAAAGATAGTCCTTATCCTCTTTGTTGTGGTGGAGACAAATTATAAAAATAACAAATATGAAATATAATTTCATAGTAACTTGTTATGCAGCAACAGATAACTTAGTATGGGGAACAGTTTTGAATTTTGGAGACTAGTTTACCAATGCAGCTTGGAGGATAGGAGATCCTAAAAGGAAGGTTTTCTGGTACATGAAGGTAAAGATGAATAGTGAGTGTTTAGAAAAGCACACTAAACTCAACCCCTTGTCAGTGAGAGTCCTACAAAGCAGGATGAAATGTTCATTAGGGAAGGTGGAGGAGAATGCATACTTTGGCTATCACACAAAATACTTGGGACAGCTCAGTGAAGATCTATTTCCCAATATAAGCAATCTCTGAAAAGAGACTAATCAGCTTTTCTGAAATAAGACAGGAGAATTGTGAAGATGACTTCATTCATCCATTCAAGAAATTTTTATTGGTAGCCAACTCTGTGCCAAGTGCTGTGATAAGTATTGGAAATCAAGCAGGAAATACCATTTTGGCTCATGTTCATATGAATATTTCTGTCATGGGATAGGAAGACTAACAGCAATCAAATAATCACACTAAAAACTAGTTGGTGCAGTGGGGTAAGTACATTGAAGGAGAAGGAGGTAAAACATGCCAGTGTCTTAGTCTGTTCGTGTTGCTATAACAAAATGCCCAAGACTGAGTAATTTATAAAGAACAGAAATTTATTTTCTCACTGCTCTGGAAGCTGGAAAGTCCAAGATCCAGGAACAGGCAGATTCAGTGTCTAGTGCGAGCTTGCTCTCTTCTTCTAAGATGGTGCCTTGCTGCTGTGTCCTCACGTGGCCAAAAGCAGGAGGGTAAAAGGGACAAATGTTGTGTGCTCACATGGCAGAGGAAATAGAAGGGCCAGGCAGCTCTCTGAAGCCTCTTTTATAAGAGCATTAATCTGGCTGGGCGCGGTGGCTCACGCCTGTAATCCCAACACTTTGGGAGGCCAAGGCAGGCGGATCACGAGGTCAGGAGATCGAGACCATCCTGGCTAACACGGTGAAGCCCCATCTCTACTAAAAATACAAAAAATTAGTCGGGCGTGGTGGTAGGCACCTGTAGTCCCAGCTACTCGGGAGGCTGAGGCAGGAGAATGGTGTGAACCCAGGAGGCGGAGCTTGCAGTGAGCAGAGATTGCGCCACTGCACTCCAGCCTGGGCAGCAGAGTGAGACTCCATCTCAAAAAAATAAAAAATAAAAATAAAAAAATTAAAAGAGCATTAATCCCATTCATAAGAGTGGAGCACTTGTGACTTTTAATCACAAAAGTCCCTACCTCTTAATATTATTACCTAGGGGTTTAAGTTCCACCACATGAATTTTGGGGGGACATATACACTCAAAGCATAGTACACAAGGACATGAAAGCTAGTTTGGGGGTTCATAGAGGTCTCCCTGAGGAAGTGATGTTTACATGGGGTCTGAGGGGCTAGCAGGAGTCAGGCCAAGACAGGACAGATGGAGGAGCATTCTCAGCAGAGGAAATAGTATGTGACCAGGCTCTCAGGCAGGAAGGAGCATTCTCAGCAGAGGAAATAGCATGTGGCCAGGATCTCAGGCAGGAAGGAGCCAAGGAAGGCCAACGTGGCTGTAGTGCAGAGACCTAGGGGAGCAGCAGGAGAGGAGGCTGGGCCAGTGAGTGGAGTCAGGTCATGCCCAGCCTCACAGGCATGTGAAGGATTTGGGTCTTGATCTTAGTGTCAATGGGAAGCCTGATGATCCCGATTCTGCCATTGGGCCTCTGTAATATCAATTTAAACTCCTTCTTATTGACTCTCCAATTTGTTTTTGTGTGTTTTCCTAACAAGGTAACACATCCACACAGACCTTTGGCCAAGTCCTAAAAATGAGAAGAGTGTTGGTTGATGATGGTAGCAGCTGGTGCCCAAAGGACGCCCATTTGCCTTCAGTTATAGATCAGTGCATGCTCTGAGTTATCCACACCACAGCTGCCCCAGAAATAACACTGCAAAGAGTCAATTTGTGGTCTGGCAGCATTGCTCCAGCTTGAGCTTTGGATGAAATTCAGTCCATTTATCCATATTTTAAAGAGGCTCCTTTAGAATAAAGGCTAAGCGTCTCCAGCCTTGCATTCAGCCCTGAAAACACAAACAAATATTTGCATGTACTGACCTTCCTAAATTTGTCAGATGACTTTTCGCATAACCTATGATTACTGCTAATTTTTCTTCAAAGCACACACAGTTTTCTTACCTCTGAACATGCATTCAGGAAATGAAAATATGACCATTTCTTCAACTGAACTGTTGCTCTGGAAAATTACATTTTGTGCTGTTGTGAGGACAGTCAACAGCTATAGATTAGGAGGCCAGGGCAACACCATTAATACATCTATCAGAGTTGTATTAAAAGGACTTTGATATGTCCAGCAGTCATTAAGGTACCAAGCCTGGCTGTCAAAGGAAGAAGAGGGACATTGAGCCTGCTCTGTAGGGCCCTGAGGCTGCCGTACCTGTGCCCAGCTCACCTGGTGATAGTCTCCAACCACTGAGAGCTGAAATCATGGAATGAATTTTGCTATTCAGTGAGAATGGTCTAATCCACAGTGAGATGCTGCACCTGTCTCTGGCCACTATTGCTGTACAGACTTGTCATTCATGAAGAGAGGTGACAATCTGTCGTCAACTCTCCAACATCCATTATTCCCAAGCAGTCAATCTAATTCAATCTGGATCTCATTTCCCTTGCCAGTGATTGATTTAGAAGAGGCATGGGGACTAATCCTGACCATGGAGAAGAGAAGAGAATTCTGTTGTGGGTGGGAGCCTCTGGGAAAGGTTTTCTTATTCCTAAAAAGAGGCCCAAGAAAAAGATGGCTTTTTTCATTTTAGAAGTGGTTATTTCTGAGTGTGCTGCCTGGAACTACTGCTCCCATCTGGCATCCACCCATGGGACTGAGGCTCAGCCAAGAACAGAAGAGATGAGAGAGACAGAGAAACAAGGCCAGAGCCACAACAGACTAAGCCTGCAGCCTGCCTTACCTGTGGACTTATTGCTATGTATGAGAATTCATTCCCTTATGTTTGTCTTAGTCCATTTGTGTTGCTATAAAGGAATACCTGAGGCTGGGTAATTTATAAAGAAAAAAGGTTTATTTGGCTCATGGTTCTGCTGGCTGGAGGACTGGGCATCTGGTGAAAGCCTCAGGCTGTTTTCGTTCACAGCAGAGGGCAAAGAAGCAGGGCAGGCATGTGCAGAGATCACATGGCAAGAGAGGAAGTGAGAGAGAAAGGAGGTGCCAGGCTCTTTTTATAGGTTGGTGCAAACGTAATTGCGGTTTCAAACCATGAATTTTAAATCATTATAACTAGGCTCAAATACATCTTTATTAATCAAAATAGAAACCATTACAATCAACACATTTTTGCCAATGAGAAATAAGTTTGTACATTCCTGTAGCATAAAAATTCATGCATCAGGATTCAACAAACTCTTGGAAAGTGTTTTCTGCATCCTGCCGGTTGTGGAAGCATTTTCCCTGCAAAACGTTGTCGAGATGTTTGAAGAAGTGGTAGTTGGTTGGCAAGAGGTCACGTGAATATGGAAGATGAGGTAAAACTTTGTAGCCCAATTCATTCAACTGTTGAAGCATTGATTGTGCAACGTGCAGTCAGGCATTGTCGTGGAGAAGAGTTGGGCCCTTTCTGTTGACCAATGCTAGCTGCAGGCATTGCAGTTTTTGGTGCATCTCACCGATTTGCTAAGCATACTTCTCAAGTGTAATAGTTTCACTGGGATTCAGAAAGCTGTAGTGGATCAAACTGGCAGCAGAGACCACCACACAGTGACTACCACACAGTGACCACGACCATTTTTGGTGCAAGTTTGGCTTTGGGAAGTGCTTTGGAGCTTCTTCTCGGTCCAACCACTGAGCTGGTCATCACTGGTTGTCGTATAAAATCCACTTTTCTTTTCTTTTCTTTTTTTTTGAGACGGAGTCTCGCTCTGTCACCCAGGCTGGAGTGCAGTGGCGTGACCTCGGCTTACTGCAACCTCCGCCTCCCGGGTTCACGCCATTCTCCTGCCTCAGCCTCCTGAGTAGCTGGGACCACCACACCCGGCTAATTTTTTTTTTTTTTTTTGTATTTTTAGTAGAGATGGGGTTTCACCGTGTTAGCCAGGATGGTCTCGATCTCCTGATCTCGTGATCTGCCCACCTCAGCCTCCCAAAATGCTGAGATTACAGGCATGAGCCACCGCGCCCGGCCTTAAAATCCACTTTTCATTGCACATAACAATCCAGTTGAGAAATGGTTCGCTGTTGTTGTGTAGAATAAGAGAAGATGACACTTCAAAACGATGATTTTCTTGATTTTTTGTCAGCTCATGAGGCACCCATTTATCAAGCTTTTTCACTTTTCCAATTTGCCTCAAATGCCGAACAATCATAGAATGGTTGATGTTGAGTTCTCTGGCAACTTCTCGTATAGTTGTAAGAAGATCGGCTTCCACGATGGCTCTCAACTGGTCATTGTCAACTTTCTATGGCCAGCCACTATGCTTCTCATCTTCAAGGCCCTCGTCTCCTTTGCAAATCTTGAACCACCACTGCACTGTACATTCGTTAGCAGTTCCTGGGCCAAATGCGTTGTTGATGTTGTGAGTTGTCGCTGCTGCTTTACGGCCCATTTTGAACTCGAATAAGAAAACTGCTCAAATTTGCTTTTTGTCTAATATTTCCACAGTCTAAAATAAACATAAAATAAACAGCAAGCAATAAGTCATTAGCAAAAAAATATATATATATAAAGTGAGAAATGCCCATTAAAATGATGCATAACATAACCACATTTATTTAAGAACGTATTCCAATATCTAATGGCAAATTCCAACAATGCGAAAACTTCAATTGCTTTTGCACTCACCTAATAGCAACCAGGTCTCTCAGGAACAAATAGAGTGAGATCTCACTCTCACCCCCACCCCTGAAGGGTGGGCATTAACCTGTTCATGAGAGATCAACCCCTGTGATCCAAACTCCTGCCATGAGGCCCCACCTCCAACACTGGGAATCAAATTTCAACACGAGATTTGGGGGCAAATATCTAAACTGTAGCACCGCTGGTCCTTGCAACTGAAGACATGGTAACTGATACATCATGCAAATTTCTTACTGCTTTAGCAAACAACTGAAATGATGGGGAATCCGTTGAATCAACTTGGTATGTGGAGAACAAGCAAGGATTTCAGTTCTGATCACAGGTTAAGTTTGGTTGGGTTTCAGCCAGGGTTCTTTAGTGTGTTTTAATGTAATCGGATCGAGTCACTAGTCAAAAACACATCCTTGGGAAGAAGAGCTTTGGCCACTTTGGTGGCAAGCATTGCCTGGTGGTTAATAGGTGAGGCCATGCAATCAGGCTGGTCTGGATTGAACTCTGGTTCTGCCACTTACTCTTTGTGTGTCCCTGAAAATGGAGCTTTATTTCTCTGAGAGTCCATTTCTTCATCTGCATCTTCCCTAAAGAGCTGTTGTGAAGATTAAGTGTCATGCCTACGAAGATGTTTTGCTTGACATGACCTCAGGACTTTTTTTTTTTTTTTGAGACGGAGTCTCCCTCTGTCACCCAGGATGGAGTGCAGTGGCGTGATCTCGGCTCACTGCAACCTCCGCCTCCAGGGTTCATGCCATTCTCCTGCCTCAGCCTCCCAAGTGGCTGGGACTACAGGCACATGCCACCACGCCTGGCTAATTTTTTGTGTGTTTAGTAGAGACGGGATTTCACCTCGTTAGCCAGGATGGTCTCAATCTCCTGACCTCGTGATCCACCCACCTCGGCCTCCCAAAGTGCTGGGATTACAGGCGTGAGCCACCACGCCCGGCCTGGACCTCTTTATACACAAATATTATTAAGGCCCACAGAGAGAGCTTTTGTTTATGTGGCATATTTGCCAATCGTTAACATACTAGAAGTTAAAACTGAGAACATTAAAAATATGTATTTATCTATTCATTTTAAAATGACAATAGTAAACCCATTGCATATTAACATAATGCATTTTATGAAAAATAACTACATCTTCCAAAACAAAAACAATTTGTGAGAAGAGTGGCATTGTCTTACACTTTTGCAAACCTCCTCCATGTCTGGCATAGTAGGGGATAGCAGGATTCTCATATCTGCTTCTGCATTCAATTAGTCAGCTTTTGGTTAAAGTATATGAAGAAAATCTTGCCTCACACAGATAGGTTGGAAAAGGGAAAGGAAGTCCTAGGTTCTCTTCCTGGGACTCCATTTCTTAATCTGTGTCTTCCCTAGAGAGCTGTTGCAAGGATTAAGTATCATGCGTAAGAAGAAGGTGCTTTGCTTCTGTAACATGATCTCATGTTACATGCAAACATTTACTTTACATGCAAACATTTCTTGGCCCCAGAACCCTTAGAAATTCTTGGACCAGGCTTCCTAGTGTGCTCTAGAATCATTGCTGTAGAAAACCAAACATTGATCAGTCAATCCAGAAACAAGCTACTGTCTTTCATGGAAAGTAAGTACTCCAGATAGACGAGGTACGATGGGCCGGGCGCGGTGGCTCACACCTGTAATCCCAGCACTTTGGGAGGCCGAGGCGGGTGGATCATGAGGTCAAGACATCGAGACCATCCTGGCCAACGTGGTGAAACCCCGTCTCTACTAAAAATACAACAATTAGCTGGGCGTGGTGGCGTGCACCTGTAGTCCCAGCTACTGGGGGGCTGAGGCAGAAGAATCGCTTGAACCCAGGAGGCGGAGGTTGCAGTGAGCCGAGATCGCACCACTGCACTCCAGCCTGGGGACAGAGCGAGACTCTGTCTCAAAAAAAAAAAAAAAAAAGAAGAGGTACGATGGCTGATCCAGTCACAGACAGGACACCTGTCGGCCTACAGAGCTTTTTATTTGTGAACATGCCTCTGTGATGTACTTTAGCCTGACACATACATTTGACATGTCAATGGGCAATGCATGCATTAAACTGGCAACTGAGTCAGATAATCAGAAGGTCTCAGAGTCAACGGGAACCTACGAATGACCTTGTAGCTCATGTTCTGTTCATGAATCTCTTGGAAGGAGAAACTCCCTGCTGCATGAGAGAGTGGTGTGTTCAAAGAAGCAACGAAGTTGGGAATCCCCTCAATGCCATCTCACACACCATGACGCAACTTGCTGCAGGCCACACAGTCTGTGATTGGCACAGCTCAGCTCTTCTTATTCCCAACCCAATGTGTTCACTGGTTTTCTTACGTTCGCTTTTTTTTTTTTTTTGAGTCCAGATCATAAAAACATGTCTTTTTACGTGCTTGCACTAAAGAAATATTTCTTTCTGGGAATGAGCAAACCAAATTGCTTGGTTTTGCTTTATATATTTTAGGCAGCCAAGGCAAGTCTGGGGACTATGGGACACATTTGCTAAATGAATTGCATCATCCTGTTCCATTGAAGTAAAGGAGGGTTTGGAAATAAAATGTTTCTTTAGTACATAATGAAGACAGAGCAGTTCCACAAGAGCCCCTCTCACTGACTCTTACTGTGTGCCTCTTTTTTTGGCCTGTATGGAAAAGCCATTATCAGCACAGATGTGACCAGATGGTCCATCCGGAGGTGATATATTGATCATCTGCAATATTTTTGGCAAAGTGCCGTAACGATTGACTTTTTCTTCTTCTTTTTTTTTTTTTGAGATGCAGTCTCATTCTGTCACCCAGGCTGGAATGCAGTGATGTCATCTCAGCTCACTGCAACCTCCGCCTTTCTGGGTTCAAGCTATTCTCCTGCCTCACCCTCCTGAGTAGCTGGGACTACAGGCACCCACCACCATGCCCGGCTAATTTTTGTATTTTTAGTAGAGATGGGGTTTTTTAGTGGACATGTTGGTCAAGCTGGTCTTGAACTCCTGATCTCAAGTGGTCTGCCCACCTTGACCTCCCAAAGTGCTGGGATTACAGGCATGAGCCACCATGACCAGCCAATGATTGACTTTTAAAAACATTTTATTGGCCAGGCGTGGTGGCTCATGCCTGTAATCCCAGCACTTTGGGAGGCCGAGGCAGGAGGATCACAAGGTCAGGAGATCGAGACCATCCTGGCCAACATGGTGAAACCCTGTCTCTACTAAAATACAAAAAAAAAAAAAAAAATTAGCCAAGTGTGTGCCTGTAGTCCCAGCTACTCAGGAGGCTGAGGCAGGGGAATCGCTTGAACCTGGGAGGCAGAGGTTGCCATGAGCCAAGATCGCACCACTGCATTCCAGCCTGGTGACAGAGCGAGACTCTGTCTCAAAAAAAAAAAAAAAATTTTATTATAAACATTTTCATCACAAAAATATAGTAAATAGGATAATTAACCCCTATAGACCCATTCCTCAAATTGAACAATTTCATTGTTTTGATTTTCATCACACTTGCTGGATCTAACCATTCTTTATCTCTTTCTCTTTCCGTGCCTTTCTCTCTTTGTTTTCTTAGTTCGTCATTTAAGGCGTATCTTTGACACCATGTCACTTCACCTCAAAATATTTATGCCTTTGTTTTTTTAAATTGCTTTTAAAATTTTTTATTTCAGGTTTGGGGGTACATGTGAAGGTTTGTTGTATAGGTAAACTCGTGTCATGAGGGTTCGTCGTACAGATTATTTCATCACTCAGGTATTAAATCTAGTACCCAATAGTTATTTTCTTCCTTCAAGTAGACCACAGTGTCTGTTGTTCTCTTCTTTGTGTTCATGAGTTCTCATCATTAAGCTCTCACTTGTGAGAACATGTGGTATTTGGTTTTCTGTTCCTGCATTAGTTTGCTAGGGATAATAGCCTCCAGCTCCAGCCATGTTCCCACAAAAGACATGATCTCATTCTTTTTTATGGCTGCATAGTATTCCATTCACCTCAAAATATTTCTAAAAAATAAGGCCATTTCTCATATCATTATCATGTCTAACTTACATTAAAAAAATCCTAAATAAGAATGATTAGTCAGTTTATACTCAAATTCCTCCACTCATTGCATTTGATTATTATGGCTCTTAAGTCTTTTTATAACCAAGAGCATCCCCCACTTCTTCTGCCCCCTGTTTTCCTTATGTCCTTGACTTGTTTTGAAAATTGGATCCGTTTTGCTGTAGAATGTCCCACATTCTGCATTTGTTTGATTACTTTAACTTGCTAGTTTGGCCCTTGTTTCTCCCATAATCTGAAAGTGAGGTCTAAAGGCTGAATTCAATTTGGTTCAACCTCTTCGACAAGCGCATGTCATGAAAAAAATCCTATTTATGCATCCAACAGTGCATAATCTGGTGCATACATTTAGTGAGGTGAGATGAGTCATTTGGTTCAGGTGGTGACAGTCTGATCCTTCCACTGTAAATTTCCCTGTCCACCATTTTCCATTAGGTTTTGCATTAATCTCATCTCTGGACCTATTATTCAATAAGGGCTTGAAAAAGATGATTTTTTTTTTTTTTTGAGACGGAGTCTCGCTCTGTCGCCCAGGCTGGAGTGCGATGGCACGATCTCGGCTCACTGCAAGCTCCGCCTCCCGGTTTCACGCCATCCTCCCGCCTCGGCCTCCCCAGTAGCTGGGACTACAGACGGCCGCCACCATGCCCAGCTAATTTTTCTGTATTTTTAGTAGAGACGGGGTTTCACCGTGTTAGCCAGGATGGTCTCGATCTCCTGACCTCGTCATCCGCCTGCCTCGGCCTCCCAAAGTGCTGGGATTACAGGCGTGAGCCACCGCGCCCGGCCAAAAAGATGATTTTTAACCATTTTTGTTCTATTATTCCTTCTAAGTATATTAGCTGGAATTCTCCGGTAAAGAAGAACTTTCCCTGATCAAGTAGACCTTTTTAGTAACCTGGAAATACAGTTCAGATGTAACAGGCAGGATAAATGTTAAATTCTTTTTCTTAAATTACCAGTTCTCAGAGTAAGGAGTTGGTTCCCTAGCTTCCTTCAATAGAGCCCTGTGATTTTTTTTTTTTTTTAGCTGCTATTGTTTCTGTCTCTGTTTCAATTTCTTTCTCAATCTCACCTCAGTTAGCATTATAAATATATTGATTTTTTATATACTTGCTATGTTTTAGTCAATTATGGTCATTCTTCTTTTTGATGCTCTAATTATTTTATCTTAGGCCAGGGGAGCCTCACAAATTGGCTTTTTGATGTGACTCCCATTAATCTTTGATATCATCCTTGCTTTCTAGTACAAGAAGCCCCAGGACCAACTCATACTTTGCCTGCCTCCAGTTTGTGCTTAGCCATTTCTCTAAGGAGCCCCGGCTTGTTTTAGTGGGGAATGGTGTATTCATCACTGTTGTTATTGCTTCTGTTGACTAACCTAGGAAATGAACATTTTTAAAGCCTCAAAAGTTAATAATAATTTCTCCATTTCAAATCTGACATCATTAAGTTTTGACTGAACTTTTTTTTTTTTTTTTTTTTGAGATGGAGTTTCACTCTTGTCGCCCAGGCTGGAGTGCAATGACATGGCCTCGGCTCCCTGCAACCTCTGCCTCCCCGGTTCAAGCCATTCTCCTGCCTCAGCCTCCGAGTTCCTGGGATTACCGGTGCCTGCCACCACGCCCAACTAATTTTTGTAATTTTAGTAGAGATGGGGTTTCATCATGTTGGCCAGGCTGGTCTTGAACCCCTGACCTCAGGTGATTTGCCTGCCTTGGCCTCCCAAAGTGCTGGGATTACAGGCGTGAGCCACCATGCCCGGTTTGACTGAACTTCTTTAATTTTATATGTATGTGTCTTTTCTGTTACACACACAAAAATCTTGATTTCTAGCAATAGTTTTTATTGCTGTAATAATGAATTAATCTTCAAAACATATATAATAATTCCAAAATTATAGTACCAACATTGCTACTAACAGAAAGACTACTGAATGAAGTTTACATATTTTTGCAGTTCTTTTTTTTTGACCTTAGAATACATTCTACTAATGATGTACAGTCCAAATGGAGCATCCAAAAGTAACTTGAACTAGCTCTTTTATCTTTGTGGTACACCGTCAATCTGATACATAATTTAGTACCTATTTTGGTTCATTTTCAAATTTTAGGAAATGCTTTATTTCCTATCTTTTGATTTGATTTAATTTTTGAATATATGAAATATTTAAATGATTTCAAAGTCAAAGCTTTAGAGCAAGATACATTCAGAGAGGTCTCATTTCCATTACTGTTTCTGCCTCTCACTCTTTCCTGCCTTCTCCCAATATTTCTCCCACTGGTTTATCCTTCTTGTGTGTTCATTTGAAACTATGAGCAAATTGTGTGTGTGTGTACATATGTGTGTATTTCCCCTCTTTTTTACTGACAAGGTGGTGCACTGTTTTGCAGGTGATATTTTATTTCCTTTTACTGATATACTCTTTTTATTCTTTTATTTATTTATTTTTTGTTTTTGAGGCAGAGTCTCGCTCTGTTACCCAGGCTAGAGTGCAATGGCGCAGTCTCTGCTTACTGCAACCTCTGCCCCCTGGTTTCAAGCGATTCTCCTGCCTCAGCCTCCTGAATAGCTGGGACTACAGGTGTGTGCCACCATGCCTAGCTAATTTTTGTGTTTTTCGTAGAGACGGGTTTCATCATGTTGGCCAGGCTGGTCTTCAACTCCTGACCTCAGGTGATCCACTGGCCTCGGCCTCCCAAAGTGCTGGGATTACAGGCTTGAGTCACCGCTCCTGGCCTTACTGACATATTCTGGATATCACTCCACATCAATGTCTATACGGATTTCTTCTTTATTTTTTATAGCTTCATTGTGCTCCATTATGTAAATTGTTTTATACTTTAGTCAACCATTTCTTACTGATGGATGTTTGGGTGGTTTCTAATCTTTCGTCATTACAAATAATGCTGGAATGTATAATACAAATATGTCACTTTCTTGTGGTTTGTTTGTTTGCAAATGTATCACCGGATTAAAGTCCTAGAAATAGGATTGCCACATCAAAGGATAAATGCATATGGAATTTTGCCAGATATTGCCAAATTCTCCTCTAGAGAGTTTATATTATTTTGTATTACCACTAACAATGTATGAGGGTTCCTATTTCCTCCACAGCCTCACTCCAGGCATCTGATGTCAAAGTTTTGAATTTTTGTCAGTCTGTTAGAGTCTGAAAGAGTGTCTTAATGTAATTTTCTCATTTCTCCTATGAGTGAGGCTGAGTACCTTTTCATATCTTTAAAGATAATTTGCTTTCCATTTTCTGTGAATTACAACTTCCATCCCTTTAAAAAAAATCAGTCTTTTCTCAACTTTTAGGAACCCTCTCTATAAATTCTTTAACATAAGTGGCAAATATTTTCCCGGTTTATGATTTGTCTTTTGGCTTTGCCTATAGTATTTTGACTATTCAGAAGACTTTGCTGTTGTTATTGTTGGGTAGTTCAATTTACAATCTTTTAAAAAATTCCTTCTGGATTTCAAGTCATTGTAAGATTTTTTTCCACTCCTAGACTACAAATGACCTTTTTTCCTGCTATTATGGAATTTAATTGATAACATTTAGGTCTTTGGTCCGAAAATCATCTTGACTTGCTGTGTGATTGATAATTTTTTTCCTTTTTTCTAAAAATCTATGATTGATTGTGCTTTTGGTTCAGTTAATTAAAAGGATTGATATTCAGATCATTAATATCTTTAGTGAGAGTGAAATATTATCTTTTTCAAACTTTCAGCACATTATGATTGACAGGCTAACACTGAAGAATTTTCTAAAGGTCACAAGTCAACATCATAGGAAATTGTTGCTACTTTCTTTCAGCCCTGTTGTTTTGGAGTTCCCTAACTACACCACTCACATTCCTCTCTCCATATCAGTGTGGTATGTAATGTTATACAGGAAACCAGGAAGAGTATATTCATGATTTTTTTGTGTGGTTATCTTTCTACCCCACCACTAATGCCTACTTATATGATTGACATTTAAAGAGTGAGTCAAGCTGACAAGACTGTGTGCTTCCTCTCCATTTCTTTTTTTATTTTATTTTATTTTTTGAGTAGGAGTCTCACTCTGTCACCCAGGCTGGAGTGCAATGGCGCAATCTCAGCTCACCGCAACCTTTGCCTCCTGGGTTCAAGCAATTCTCCTGCCTCAACCTCCCGAGTAGCTGGGATAACAGGCGCCCATCACCCCGCCCAGCTAATTTTTGTGTTTTTAGTAGAAACAGAGTTTCACCATATTGGCCAGGCTGGTCTTGAACTCCTGACCTTGTGATCCGCCTTCCTCAGCCTCCCAAAGTGCTGGGATTACAGGCGTGAGCCACCACGCCCAACTGCTCTCTCCATTTCTGATGCATATTATACACCAGATATTGTGAGGGATAGGAGAATCTAACACATGCTGTTGACAAAAACAATAACTCACATGCATCACAAAACACTGCCCATCAGAACACCCTCTGTCTCTGATCGCCACCAGAGAGAACCACTCTAAGTAACTCTTAGAAATGCCATAGCTGACACTTTAGGTCAACTAATTATGCACATTGCAAATAATGATATCTCTGACCTACTTTAATAATTTTTAAAGCAGAATGTATAATGACAATAGTATAATAAAACAAAACTCAATTTGTGAAAATGTCTTAAGTATTTTGAAGGGTAATAATATACACGCAGCTCAAACAGAAATGGAATTATCAGGATATTTTTACCAACAGATAAACCATTTCTTCTGTGATTTTTGATCATAAAATCTTCTATCTTTCACTTGTTGAAGATAACAGAAGTGGCCAAAAGGTAGTAGAATGTAAACTTCTGTATTTTTTTCTCTTCAGTAATGGTGAAATACTTACAATGCTCCAAAGCTATAGCAGTATTTTCATTGACCTCTGTAAAGTGGCTGACTGTAGCCATGGGCTCAAAGGAACTGCACCAGACCAAGAAAGAATCAAAAGTTTGACTTTAGCCTAATTAGTGGTATACTCTAGTCAACCAAACCAGCTATATTCTAACTGGAATTACAGTTAAGCAACTATTATCTATTACCAGGAAACTGATCACTATTTAAATGTCAATGAAATCATAAGTAGGCATTAGTGGTGGGGTAGAAAGATAACCACACAAAAAAAATCATGAAGAAGAAAATAATAATAAAGAACAGAAATAAGAGGTAATAACTATACATTAGAGAGAATCAATAAAGCCAAAAAGTTACTTCTTTGACATTATAACATTGACAAACTGCTGTGATTCAAATCAGAGACAGAATTCACAAGTCATTAATGCCAGGAATGAAAAAAGGGGTATCATTATAGGTGCCACAGTCATTCAAAAGAAAATAAAACATTATCAAAAACTATATGACAATAAATTTGAAAATTTAAACCTAATGGACAAATTCTCATGAAAAATGACTTAGCAAAACTGATTTCAGAAGAAATAAAACACCTAAAAAGTTCTAAAGTTTCCTCAATAGGGTAAGTCTAACCCTACTGAAGAAACTGAATTGGTAATTTCAAAAGATTTCCATTAAAATTCCAGCCAGCCTCCATATGGTGGCTCACACCTACGATCCCAGCACTTTGGGAGGCCGAGGCAGGAGGATCACTTGAGCCCAGTAGTTCAAGACCAGCCTGGGCAATATAGTGAGACCTCATCTCTATAATTTTTTTTTTTTTTTGAGACGGAATTTTGCTCTTGTTGCCTAGGCTGGAGTGCAATGGCGTGATCTCAGCTCACCGCAACCTCCACCTCCTGGGTTCAAGTGATTCTTCTGCATCAGCCTCCTGAGTAGCTGGGATTACAGGCAGGCACCACTGCACCTTGCTAATTTTGTATTTTTAGTAGAGACAGGGTTTCTCCATGTTGGTCAGGCTGTTCTCTAACTCC
Organism: Homo sapiens; assembly: GCF_000001405.40. NCBI lineage: Eukaryota > Metazoa > Chordata > Mammalia > Primates > Hominidae > Homo > Homo sapiens. Next base: position 13,654,424 of record NC_000001.11, read on the forward strand.
CGACCTCAGGTGATCCACCCGCCTCAGCCTCCCAAAGTGCTGGGATTACAGGCATGAGCCACCAGGCCCGGCCAATTTTTTTTTTTTTTTTTTTCTTTTTGAGACGTAGTCTTGCTCTGTAGCCCAGGCTGGAGTGCAGTGGCGTGATCTCAGCTCACTGCAACTTCTGCCTCCTGGGTTCAAGCAATTCTCCTGCCTCAGCCTCCCGAGTAGCTGGGATTACGGGCATCCGCCACCATGCCCAGGTAATTTTTTTTGTATTTTTAGTAGAGATGGGGTTTCACCGTGTTAGCCAGGATGGTTTTCATCTCCTGACCTCGTGATCAGCCCGCCTCGGCCTCCCAAAGTGCTGGGACTACAGGCGTGAGCCACCGGGCCTGGCCCAATATTTTTAAAATGAAGCAGGAGGATCGCTTGAGCATGGGAAGTTGAGGCTGCAATGAGCAGCGAGCACCACTGCAATCTCACATGGGTAACCAAGCGAAATCCTGCCTCAAAAGAAAAAAGAAAGAAAGAGAAGGAAAGAAAGAGAGAAAAAGAGAGAGAGAAAGAAAGAAATCCAGACTTAGATGATTTTACCAGTGGTTTTCACCAAACGTTCGTACGAGACATTATTCTAGTTTCACATATACTCTTTCACAGAAAAGAGATTTCCCAACTCTTTTTGTGAGGTTAGCATAACCTCAATTCTACACCAAAACAAGATAGCCGAGAAAGAAAAAATAAGCAGACAATCTCACTTGTGAACATGGCGTCAAAAATCCTGATAGAAAAGTTAACCAATCAGATCCAGCATTAGATAAAATGGATAAGCTATGTGTTGGGTTTATACCAGGAATGCCAGGTTGTTTTCTCATTTAAAAACTTCGTTAATGTTATTCACAATATTCAGAAATTAAAGGAAAGATAGCATATGCTTGCTTCAATAGATGCAAAAGAAGTATTTGATAAAATTTCACCCACATTTATGAGAAAGCTTAGCAAAATAAAAACCTACACCAAATACATTAGTGGCAAAAGCTCTTTCTTTGCTATCAGGAGCAGGACAAAGATTCCTGCTATCTATCACCATCACTACTCATCATTGTAAAGGAGGCCAAGAAAATACAGTATAAGAAAAATAAAACACAGTTTTATTTTTCAGGAAAATATAAATAGGCAACAGAGGAAGAGAAGAGCTTGTGTGTCTAGTTGAGGGTATAATAATACATTTATCAGAAAATGTATCATGTAAATATCACAATGCAAAATAATAAATAGTGGTAAATAGTAAGTAGTAAAAGAGAGCTCTGGGTAGCTAGTTCTGTTGGCTTTTTTTTTTTTTACGGAGTCTCTCTCTGTTGCCAGGCTGGAGTGCAATGGTGCGATCTTGGCTCACTGCAAACTCTGCCTCTTGGGTTCAAGCGATTCTCCTGCCTCAGCCTCCCGAGTAGCTGGGATTACAGGCATGTGCCGCCACGCCCAGCTAAGTTTTGTATTTTTAGTAGAGACGGGGTTTCACCATGTTGGCCAGGATGGTCTCGATCTCCTGACCTCGTGATCCGCTCACCTTGGCCTCCCAAAGTGCTGGGATTATAGGTGTGAGCCACCGTGCCAGGCCAGTTCTGTTACTTTTTTTAGGGAGGACTTTTAACAGCACAAATTTGGGGATTAGTATTTTTGTTATTTATTTATTTATTTTGTTTTGTTGGGGAGGGTATTTTTATTCAGATACCTTTGTCTTTAAGCTCTCTAGCCAAAAATAGGTACCATTTATATTATAAAATTCAAGACTAATAAAAAATAAGTTTATGTGTTCGAGGTGGAAACAATACGAAAAACAGAAAATTCTAGTGTTGAAAGAGAGTTTAAAGAGCATCGCATTCAAAAGGACCTCTCTTCGGTGTTTGTAAGTGAAGCTACAGGCTGCAAACACCTGGGCAGGAATGTGAGAACTGCTTCCTCTCTATTGATAAGCCAGACTGTGGACATGATTTAAGGGCATTATGCCAAACAAAGAGGAACGACCCACACAGGTTGACAAATCGTGGCCAGTTCAATGTCACTGCATGCTTACTAAATGGTAGCCTAGCACCAGCTAGTAGCAAGAATCAATGAAGACATTATTTGCCACGAAAAATAAAGAGAACATTTGTCATAGGGAAATCTTGTATCTCAATGCCTTAACCTCTTTTTAGGTGCCTTCCACAGTACATAATTTTTACCCTCTTGACTAAATAATACAGACATCTTCATTTAAAATGGTGAAGGATGCTGTTCACCTGAAAAACCAATGAGCAACTAGAGTGACACGGTTGTCAGAATCCTGGGAGGATAGTTGAGGATGGGGTGGGTAACGAAGGAAATAAAAGGTCCTTGTGTTTGGAAACAAACAAACAAACAAAAAACTGCCCTTAAATCTGTGTAGCTTTCACACATCTTGTTAGCACATTGCAGTTTCTCGGTATTTCACCCTAATTTAGCCTGAAGGATACTCTAGCTGTCCTTGATGGCTGCTATTAACCATCAGACCCCAGCCCATTTATCACATCTAATACTATGATGGAAAAGCTGGAATTTCAAACAGACTCACCAATCACAGTCTATGAGCCAGCTCTGACAACATCTTGCTGGGTCTATACAGACAGAAAATTAAGGACTTCTATGGTGCACTTGACATTGGTGGCTATGTTGGCAGCTAACCTGCTTTGCCATTATTACTGTTTACACACCCAGGATATCTAATGAGTTGATACAAGTACACCCAGCATTAGTTCATGATGATTATGAGGTAGGATTAAACTGGATGCAATATCAATAGCTATTTTTTGTGGCTATAAAGAAAAGGATTGGAAAATGCATTTGCTATCCAAAAAAGGTTCTTTTATTTTTTAACAACAGCAGCAAGTTTTACTCCATAAAGCTTAAGATATTTTAATGAGAAAACAAAAAGCTTAAGATATTTTAATCTCCCTCTCCCTCTCCCTCTCCCCACGGTCTCCCTCTCCCTCTCTTTCCACGGTCTCCCTCTGATGCCGAGCCGTTGGACGGTACTGCTGCCATCTCGGCTCACTGCAACCTCCCTGCCTGATTCTCCTGCCTCAGCTTGCCGAGTGCCTGCGATTGCAGGCGCGCGCCGCCACGCCTGACTGGTTTTCGTATTTTTTTGGTGGAGACGGGGATTCGCTGTGTTGGCCGGGCTGGTCTCCAGCTCCTAACCGCGAGTGATCCGCCAGCCTCGGCCTCCCGAGGTGCCGGGATTGCAGACGGAGTCTCCTTCACTCAGTGCTCAATGGTGCCCAGGCTGGAGCGGCAGTGGCGTGATCTCGGCTCGCTACAACCTCCACCTCCCAGCAGCCTGCCTTGGCCTCCCAAAGTGCCGAGATTGCAGCCTCTGCCCGGCCGCCACCCCGTCTGGGAAGTGAGGAGCGTCTCTGCCTGGCTGCCCATCGTCTGGGACGTGAGGAGCCCCTCTGCCTGGCTGCCCAGTCTGGAAAGTGAGGAGCGTCTCTGCCCGGCCGCCATCCCATCTAGGAAGTGAGGAGCGCCTCTTCCCGGCCGCCATCACATCTGGGAAGTGAGGAGCGTCTCTGCCCGGCCGCCCATCGTCTGAGATGTGAGGAGCGTCTCTGCCCGGCCGCCCCGTCTGAGAAGTGAGGAGACCCTCTGCCTGGCAACTGCCCCGTCTGAGAAGTGAGGAGCCCCTCCGCCTGGCAGCCACCCCGTCTGAGAAGTGAGGAGCGTCTCCTCCCGGCAGCCACCTCGTCCGGGAGGGAGGTGGGGGGGTCAGCACCCCGCCCGGCCAGCCACCCCGTCCGGCAGGTGAGGGGCGCCTCTGCCCAGCCGCCCCTACTGGGAAGTGAGGAGCCCCTCTGCCCGGCCAGACGCCCCGTCCGGGAGGGAGGTGGGGGGATCAACCCCCCTCCCAGCCAGCCGCCCCGTCCGGCAGGTGAGGGGTGCCTCTGCCCGGCTGCCCCTACTGGGAAGTGAGGAGCCCCTCTGCCCGGCCAGCCGCCCCATCCGGGAGGGAGGTGGGGGGGTCAGCCCCCCGCCCGGCCAGCCGCCCCGTCCGGGAGGTGAGGGGCGCCTCTGCCCGGCCGCCCCTACTGGGAAGTGAGGAGCCCCTCTGCCCGGCCAGCCGCCCCGTCTGGGAGGTGTACCCAACAGCTCATTGAGAACGGGCCATGATGACAATGGCGGTTTTGTAGAATAGAAAGGGGGGAAAGGTGGGGAAAAGATTGAGAAATCGGATGGTTGCCGTGTCTGTGTAGAAGGAAGTAGACATGGGAGACTTTTCATTTTGTTCTGTACTAAGAAAAATTATTCTGCCTTGGGATCCTGTTGATCGGTGACCTTACCCCCAACCCTGTGCTCTCTGAAACATGTGCTGTATCCACTCAGGGTTGAATGGATTGAGGGCAGTGCAAGATGTGCTTTGTTAAACAGATGCTTGAAGGCAGCATGCTCCTTAAGAGTCATCACCACTCCCTAATCTCAAGTACCCAGGGACACAAACACTGCGGAAGGCCGCAGGGTCCTCTGCCTAGGAAAACCAGAGACCTTTGTTCACTTGTTTATCTGCTGACCTTCCCTCCACTATTGTCCTGTGACCCTGCCAAATCCCCCTCTGCAAGAAACACCCAAGAATGATCAATAAAATAAATAAAAAATAAAAATAAAAAAAAAAACCTCTCGTTAACACATAATAATGCCCGCACTGAGCAGGTGTTCACTAAGGTGTTGAATAAATAGTTGAAACTGTGAAAAAAAAAAAAAAAAAAAAAAAAAAAAAGATGCTTTTAAAATATGAAAAAAAAAAAAGATATTTTAATGAGAAAAGCTGAGTGTTGGGAGAGAAGCTGATGCAGGGCTTGCATGTCTGCTAGACTTGCTGGCTCCTTGCTTCTAGCACTCCCATTATCTCAAGCAGCCATATGTTTCTCATTCACTTGATACACTGTTTCCTTTCAACCCCCACATCCTCACCACCTGTTTCTTTGTTTGATCATCAATAAATGGTGTGGGCTCCCAGAGCTCCGGGCCTTGGCACAGCATCCACACTCGCGATGGCCCCCTGGTCCCACTTTCTCTCTCAAACTGTCTTTTTCTCATTCCTTTGACCCCCTCGGATTTCATTGCCCCCACGACCTGGTGTTGGATCTGATCACCCCAACAAAACCAAATCTTAGTCTCGTGTTTCTATCTAAAGACACTCAAAACTAGTTTTTTTTCTGCCCATCCCTTTCCTAGCTGCAACTTTATTTGTGACCATGTAATAAAGGGCAGTTTAAAGATTAAAAAATAAAAAAGTTTAAACCTTTTTTAAAAAAACTAAACAATTCAGGCTAGCAAAAAGATACTCAATACATATTTTCCTTATATCAAACAAGCTAATACAATATAACTATACAGAATATATACAATACACTTAAGTTTCAGAAAGCAAATACTATAGGCTCATTACAGATTTGAAAAAACATGATATTCACATTGATTACAATAACTCTAAAAATAACTGCAACATTGAAATGGCATTTAGTTTACAAAAAAAGTTATATATATATATATATATATATATATATACACACACACACACACACACACACACACATAGTCACCAAGAACTATGGTCCCTGTAAAATACTAATAGCCAGATACTAGTCTATAAAATGTGAAGTTTTGACATGGTATCCATTTTTTGGAAATAAAATCCAAAACCATTTTTGTTATTGTCAAAAGTCAAACATGCCAAGTAACTTAGCTATGGCCAGTGTCACCAAGTAAAGCCATACTTGAATGAGATGACAACTGGATACAAAAGCTGGTGAACTGGGGCCTGGCACAGTTAAGAGTTGTACTAGATCTAGGAAAGGGGTAGAATACATAAAAAGACTCGTCTATGTAATTTAATTCACATTTTCTCCCCTGCATCACCTTCCCTTGAGGGTTTCACAAAATGCCAGTGCCCAGAAAGAATCATAATGCTGTAAGTGGCAGGGTAAAAAAAGTCCCCCCACCCCGACTTCCTTGCTGCTGGGCTATAGGCAAATATTAAAGCATGCATCAGTTACACAAAGCCATCAGTCACCCGTCTGGAAGACTGTGGTGTACAGTTTCCGCCTATGCTGGCTGCACTTTTAAAACTAAAATCCCAGGAAACAGAATTATCTTGTTAAAGTTAAAACTTGCATTTTAAAAGGTCATTATCAAAAAATTAAAACTTTACTGGTAGAGCATTTTGTTTTATAGTATTTCTAAGATCTGGCATATATTTTAAAAAGAGACATACAAACCCACAGAGTAATGTGTTTGTATTAAGAAATTATATATGTGTGTCAGCCGGGCATGGTGGCTCACGCCCGTAATCCCAGCACTTTGGGAGGCTGAGGCGGGTGGATCACGAGGTGAGGAGATCGAAACCATTCTGGCTAACACAGTGAAACCCCGTCTCTACTAAAAAATTAAAAAAAAATTAGCTGGGCGTGGTGGTGGGCGCCTGTAGTCCCAGCTACTGGGGAGGCTGAGGCAGGAGAATGGTGTGAACCCGCAAGGCGGAACTTGCAGTGAACCAAGATCGCGCCCCTGCACTCCAGCCTGGGCGACAGAGCGAGACTCCGTCTCAAAAAAAGAGAAATTATACATGTGTGTCTATAGGGATATATTTATAAAATCCCAACACACAATGAACTTCCTATTGGTGTGCTCTGGCCTCTGAAAAGTAATTGACTCAATGGTAATTGGCCTTTAGTGACAATGTACTTTAATGATAGTGGCTTATGTGACCTGCAAATGTTAAAGTCCCATGTCTTGCTGAGTTCCTTTGTGATAGTGAGTGATATAGTTTGGTTGTATCCCCACCCAAAATATCATCTTGAATTGTAATCCACATAATCCCCATAATCACCATTTGTCAAGGGGACCAGGTGGAGGTAATTGGATCATGGGGGTGGTTCCCCCATGCTGTTCTCGTGATAATGATTTTTCATGAGATCTGATGGTTATATAATCATCTGGTACTCACTCCATCCTGTCACCCTGTGAAAAAGGTGCCTGCTTCTCCTTTGCCTTCTGCCATGATTATAAGTATAAACCTCTTTCCTTTATAAATTACCAGTCTCGGGTATTTCTTCATAGAAGTGTGAGAACGGACTAATACAGGTTAGTTCTTCTGCAGCTCATCTGCTACTCACAAGTGGAAAGAAGCAGCTCACAGACTCTTCATCTCCAAGAGTCAGACTTTCAGGGCCTCCCTCAGCAAACCTGCACGGCTTCCTCCAAGGCAGAAGTCCAGGGAATTACTTATGACTAATGCGGTCAGACCCAAAGCAGTCACTCCACCCAGTCGGAGGGAGTCCTACGCTGGTTGCTGCCTCCCCACCTTCCTCACCCCCATGCTCAAAACTGTGACACCCAGGTCATTGACACCTGTGTCTGCAGCTGGCAGGGCCACAGTTCTGATCACATTCACACATTCCTTCATTCATCATTTCATTCATTCACACACCTTTATTTGAAAACTGACATATGGTGGATACTGATGTTTCTGAGATAAAGTACCCAGTTTGCTGTTAATGCAAACTCAATACGGCCTGGGAAGGACTCCGTACTTCTATATTCGAGCCCCTGTGGACGAACTGTAACCTAGCTTAATAGGCAGACAAGGTTGAAAACCTAATTTAGGAGTATACACCTGTAACAATTACAATAGTTGAGTCTTGGCCAATCCCAGCAGCCATACTTCAACCACTCAGAGACTGCTAAGTGTTCAAACTGTGTTCAAATAAGACAAACACCAGCCTGTAACCAATCCAGCTGTTTCTGTACCTCACTGCCGATTTCTGTATGGCACTTCCCTTTCTTTGTCTATAAATTTGTTCTGACCAGGGGGCATCCCTGGAGTTTCTCTAAATCTGCTGTGATTCTGGGGGCTGCCTGATTGGGGAATCATGCATTGTTCAATTAAACTCATTTAAAATTAATTCAGCTGAAGTTTTTCTTTTAACACTGCCCTTACTAACTTCGCAGCCTAGTGGGGAGAAGTCATGTGACAAATACAAAGTGAGGAAAAAACTCCTTAAACTCCTAAACTGTGCTACCAGTGTGCTAATAACAGATTTACGGGGATTATTTCATTTAATCCTCACAACAACATGAGGAGGTGGATACCATTATTATCTTCATTTCACATAGGCACCCCACCCCCCCAAAGAAAAGAGGATTCAGCAACAGGCACAGCAATTTGCCCAAGATGACAAAGCTAGAAATGGTGGAAATTAGCCAGGAAGTCACGCTGACTCCAGACTCTGTGTAATTTACATGTCTCAGGCATTTTTACAAGAAAAAAAAAAAAAACCAGGCACAGTGTCTCATGCCTGTAATCCCAGCATTTTGGGAGGCCTCAGTGGGAGGATTGCTTGAGCCCAGGAGTTCGAGACCAGCCTAGGCAACCCCGTCTCAAAATAAATAAATAAATAGCTTTTTAATCCTCTAACCTAGCAATTCTGCTTCTAGAGGAATTGTTTTATAATTGTTTATAATGGCAAATAAACTGTCCTACATGTCCATCAAGGAGAGCGTGTTTACAAGACTTGTAGTATGCTCACCCCATGAAGTATTTTACACACAGTGATGAAAATGAATCCACGATGGCCATAAATGTTAGAAACGTAAGACTGAATTTTTAAAAGCCAAAGACCACACACCATATGATGACATTTTGAAAGCTCAAACCCAGTAAAAGAAGATAACACATTGTTTTGACAACACACAGCTTAGGTAAGCAGATTTTTTTTTTTAAGTCAGAGAGTGATAAAGACAAACTTTAGGGTAACGATCATCTGGGAGGATGGATCTAGGGAAGCAGAAGAAGGAATTAGGGGTGGGGGTTGTCCAAGTAAATGTGAGGCCTTTTGTAATGGTTTAATTCCAGGATTGACAAGCTAGAGCCTGCAGGCCAAATCTGGCCCTTCAACTGTTTTTGTAAATAAAGTGGGTTTTTTTGTTTTGTTTTGTTTGAGTTGGATTCTCGCTCTGTTGCCCAGGCTGGAGTGCAATGGTGCAATCTCACCTCACTGCAACTTCCACCTCCTGGGTTCAAGCAATTCTGCCTCAGCCTCCTGAGTAGCTGGGGTTACAGGCACCCACCACCATGCCTGGCTAATTTTTGCATTTATAGTAGGGACAGGGTTTCACCATGTTGGCCAGGCTGGTCTCTTTGGTCAGGCTGGTCTCGAACTCCTAACCTTGTGATCTGCCCGCCTCAGCCTCCCAAAGTGCTGGGATTACAGGCCATAAAGTTTTATCTGAACACAGACACACCAATTTGTTTACATATTGTCTATGCCGGCACTCACTCTACAATAGCAGAAATGAGTAGTTGCAATGGAGACTATATGGCCCATAAAGCTTAAAATATTCGCTATCTGACTCTTTACGGAAAAAGTTTGTTGTGACCTCTGTTCTTGCCTTGGATTGAGTAATAGAGTCCTCTCTTTAATAGCGGTAAGACATTCACCTCTCTGGGTCTCAGTTGCCCTATCTGTAAATAGGGATGATACTACTCTGTGAAGTAAGAAACTGTATCATCCTTTAATGTATGGAAAGTGGATTAGTGGTTTTTTAGGGCCAAGAGGTGGCGCTGGGGGGAGATGAGAATATGGAAATAGGGACTGACTACTAATGAGTAAAAAGTTTCTCTAAGGGGGATAAAAATATTGTAAATTAGACTGTAGTGATGATTGCACAACCCTATCAAAAGATCCACGGCTTCCTGCGGGATTTCTCAACCTCAGCACGATTGACATTTGGGGCTGGATACTTCCTTGTTGTGGGGCTGTCCTGTCAATGTAAGATGGTGAGCAGCCTCCCTGGCCTCTACCCATTATGGGTAGTGATGCCAGTAGCACTCACCAAGTTGTGAAAACCAAAATGTCTCCAGACATTGCCACATATCCCTGGAAGCAGCTAGGGGGAGTAAAATCACCCCCAGTTGAAAAACCACCGTTCTATAATAATAACCTGAGAAATTTCCTCTGCACAGCATTACCATAGAAAGGAGAGTCAAAAGTCTTGGAGTAAATAGTAGGACCTTTTTACCATGGAAAATGATCAGCTTTGAATCACTGGGCAGGGACTGAACTGGGCAAGTCTTTGCAAGGGCAACTTCCAAGGAGCAACAAAGGTGGCACTTGAGTAATTTGGAAAGTGATACTAAGCAAGTTGGAAGGCTGCTGTGTTCCGCTCATGAAAACATCTGCACCTAAGTGGTAAGAGTTAGCTGTGTGGTCCTGGCCAATTTCCAGCCCAGGTGACTGCAGTCTCCTGTTCTTAGTCTTCCCTCCAATTTCTGTAGGGCATGGTGCTTTTCTTTACTTCCTGTTCCATACCTGATGACTAAGCCATCATTAGTCTCTTCTAGTGATTAGTTAGGAAATATTAATTTTAAATCAGCAAAGCACTAGGGGAAGAAAAGGACAACTTGGGTTTCCCTTTTCATCCCCAAGGGATGTAACAGCGCACCCGTCAAATCCTTGGTGGAGAGAGAAACCTCCTTGAAATTATCTTGCCAAAAGAGAAAAACGGATTAGCCAATAGTTCATAAATTTGAAAGCATAGGGCTTTCTTTTGATGAAGGCCACTTCCTAGAGGAATGGAGAGGAAGCTTGATCACAGAGTTTAGACACAGTTGAAGAACCCAGTGCTCCCCATTTCCCCTCCCATACATGTCTCTAATCTGATGGTCCCCTTACATCCCATCCTTGCAGGAAATTGATTCTCTTTCCAGCCTTTGCTCAATCCTTGCTCCCATTTATTTATTTTATTTATTTACTTTGAGACGGAGTCATGCTCTGTCACCCAGGCTGAAGGGCAGTGGTGTGATCTCGGCTCACTGCAACCTCCACCTCCCGGGTTCAAGTGATTCTCCTGCCTCAGCCTCCTGAGAGCTGGGATTACAGGCAGCTGCCACCACACCCTGATAATTTCTGTATTTTTAGTAGGGTTGGGGTTACGCCAGGCTGGTCTCGAACTCCTGATCTCAGGTGATCCACCCGCCTCGGCCTCCCAAAGTGCTGGGATTACAGGCGTGAGCCATCATGCCCAGCCCCTTGCTCCCATTTAAACCGTCAGCCCCGAGCTTCAACCCTTAGAGGCCTGGTTTCTGCCCAGCATCAAAGTGAATGGGATAGTCCTAAAGGGACCAATTTGTCTAGATTGGTCCAAGACTTGGTGGATTTTAGCACTGAAGGAGGTCCCGGGCAATCTTTTGGTCCCCAGCAAAACGAAAGGGTTGGATAGCTTAACTCCCTGAAGGCCTCCTCCATATTTCATCTCTTGTAACCTCGCAGCATCCAGGTCAACCAGTGATTGTGCGTCTTAAAAAAACAGAGCAAACCACTTGAATGAGACAAGCAAATTGCAAATTAACTGCAACTCTTCCTGATGCCCACCAGAGGGCTCCTTCTTCCACATAAACAGCCCTGCTGTGCCCAAAGGAACAGAACCTTCCGGACTAGGAGCAATCAAGTTAAGACGGCTCTGACAGTCACTGCCTCACAGCAGAAGTAAAAGAAGAGGGCTACGTCAATGTCATTTCTGCCTCTGTTAACAAACAGAAAGCACTGCTTATGAAATGGGTTCTCCATTCGTGTTCCAGGAATAGCCTTTATTCCAGGTCCTCACCGGAACCTTGCAAAGTGGGAACCGCTGGTGAATGGCCTAAGGTCACAAAACCATCAAACTTCAAAGACCGCAGTCTTTCCACTGTACCAAGTTACCTTGTTATTTCAAAGAACAGTGAAATGAGAGCGTTACAAGCTGTTCCCTGGGCTTAGGGCTGTGGGTGTGGACAAGGGAGGCTGGATGTGGACCCAGTGCCTGAAGGGGAATTTGGTCAACAGCCATAATGAAGAGCAGGAATGGGGGTGGGCGTGCAAGGGCATCGCTTCACCATGTGGACACCAACAGGAGCAAGAGAGTAATGGGGAGGCAGGGACAACCAGCCCTTGTAAATTCCCAACTCTAAGACAGCTGACAGCAGCAGCTACCATGGCTGCCCCATCTCAGGGAGCTCAGAGCACGCAGCAGATGGGATGCAGGCAGAGAGTTCAAGGCTATTAGGCCTCAGCACTAACCAGGGAGTCCTTAAGGGAACCAGGTGGGACTGCGTGTGCCCCAGGCTCCAGGCCACCTGTGACTGCCATCTGCCAAAGGAAACCGACAGAGTCACCCCAAACCAAATTAAGAACCAGAGTGCCAAGAGTACCCATAAAAAGAAAGGGTATCTGCCAGTTGTTGTTAAAGCAAAGAAAAAGGAAGAACATGGCAAGTCTACAAATGAGCCATGATATGTGTTAACCCTGGAGTCAGTGCAGAGAACACACAACATTCTAGAAAGGGTTGGGGTAGTTGCGTGGGGAACTTCTCTTAGAACCGAAATCTTTTTTTTTTTTTTTTTACTTTTTTATTTTTTAATTTATTATTATTATACTTTAAGTTTTAGGGTACATGTGCACAATGTGCAGGTTAGTTACATATGTATACATGTGCCATGCTTAGAACTGAAATCTTGCAATTCAGTTCGATTTAGACTCCTCTGCTGCTTTCACCCTTTGCAGACAGGCCCAGCAGCCCTGGGGTTTGCTTGTTCTCACTTTCTTCTTTTTTGGAGAAAAATTCAGCATTAGGTTTCACTATGGCATAGAATAGTTTTGGTTTTTTTTTTTTCTTTTTGTTTGTTTGTTTGTTTTTTAGTCAGTCCCTACCATTTTGACAATCACACTTGGAAGACCAGCTGAGCTGTCAGGAAAAGGACTCCTTTCTGCATTACTTTAACCAAAACAACTATGGTTTTTAAAACTATACATTAGGCCAGCCGAGCGTGGTGGCTCACACCTGTAATCCCAGCACTTTGGGAGGCCAAGGCGGGTGGATCGCTTGAGGTCAGCAGTTGGTGACCAGCCTGGCCAACATGGTGAAACCCCGTCTCTACTAAAATTACAAGAATTAGCTGAACGTGGTGGCACATGCCTGTAGTCCCACCTACTTGGGAGCCTGAGGCAGGAGAATCGCTTGAACCCAGGAGGCAGAGGTTGCAGTGAACCGAGATCGTGCCACTGCACTCCAGCCTGAGCAACAGAGTGAGACTCCGTCTCAAAAAAAACCAAAAAAACCCAACAAAAAACCCCCTATACATTAGATTACTTTATCAGCCCTAGCTTGCCACCAAACGAACTAGGTTATCATTTCTGAGTTGCAAATAATTCTTTCCCCATGGATATATTTTTATCCAGAGTAACATCTGTCTAATTCAAGACTTGAAAAATAAAGCCCACGTGATTTCAAGAAAATGAGCACTTTTAAGTCGTGAAGTATGTTGTAGCCTAAAAAAGAAAAACGTAGTCTTCCAAGAGAACCATCTCTCCAGTAAGAAAAAAAAAAAGTTCTTTGACTGACAGCTCTTTTCAAGTGCAAATGAGAGTGACAGCAAGAAGAGGTTTAAAATTCTCATTGGGTTGGAGGATACTTCTGCTTTTTTAATGTAAATATTGATATGTAATCTGGGTTTGCCCTGTCAGAAAGCATTCATGCATACAAACATGCTCAGGTTTTTTCTGTTTTGTTTTATTTTGTTTTTTTGAGACAGAGTCTCGCTCCATCACCCAGGCTGGAATGCAGTGGCATGATCTCAGCTCACTGCAATTTCCACCTCCCGGGTTCAAGTGATTCTCCTGCCTCAGCCTCCCAAGTAGCTGGGACTACAGGCACACACCACCACACCTGGCTAATTTTTGTATTTTTAGTAGAGACAGGGTTTCACCATGTTGGTTAGGCTGGTCTCTAACTCCTGACCTGGTGATCCACCCGCTTCAGCCTCCCAAAGTGCTGGGATTATAGGAGTGAGCCACTGCGCCCGACTCATGCTCAGGTTTTTTTTGTTTTGTTTTGTGTTTTTGAGACAGAGTCTTGCTCTGTCACCCAGGCTGGAGTGCAGTGGCGCGATCTCGGCTCACTGCAAGCTCTGCCTCCAGGGTTCACGCCATCATCCTGCCTCAGCCTCCCAAGTAGCTGGGACTACAGGCGCGTGCCACCACCGGCTAATTTTTTGTATATTTAGTAGAGACACGGTTTCACCGTGTTAGCCAGGATGGTCTCGATCTCCTGACCTCGTGATCCGCCTGCCTCGGCCTCCCAAAGTGCTGGGATTACAGGCGTGAGCCACCGTGCCCGGCCTCATGCTCAGGTTTTTATACATATGCTCCAGTTCCTTTCCTCGGTAGACCCTGTATTCTTTTCTTTCTGTTTTGAGATGGGGTCTCACTTTGTGGCCCAGGCTCGTCTCAAACTTCCAAGCTCAAGTGATCCTCCTGCCTCAACCTCCCACATAGCTGGGATTACAGGCACTTGCCACTGTTCCTGGCCTGTTTCCTTTATAATGCCCTTCTGGGAAGGCAGAGAGTGTGCATTGTGGCTAATTTCAAGAAGGCAACTCTAAAGAGCACCCCAAAAACTTGCCCATAAATCAGTGAAAGAGCCAATATGATTATATAAGTGACGATCTCATTGTTTTTCTATCTGGTTAAAGTTTTTTTCACCAGACTTGTGAAAAAAGGAGTTGAATATACCGATGTCCAAAACACACACTTCCATATAGAGCGGGAGGGAATGTTGTGGAGCCACCATGGACAGAAGGGTGGCAATACGAAAACCTCAATCAGTGTTTCTCAGACTAGCTGCATCTGTAGGGTATTTAGTGGAGCTCTGCTGTACAGGCAGCTATCTGCATTTAGGTCAACATATTTTAAACTTCATTATAGTTCTTTGATACTTAAGCACTATTGATATTTAATAGTGCTTTGATATTTAATATTTGATATATAAATATATGTTTGATTTCATATTTGATTTACTATTTGATATATAAAAGCACTTTGATATTTAAGCACAAAGAGGCATTTTAAAATTAAGAATAATAATTGTTTATATTAGTGAGCAGGATAATACTCTCTTCTCTTTTAAGAAGGCGTCCATCTTTTTGTTTTTTGCTTTCTAGTTAACACATAAAGTTTATTTTTTTAATTTATTTTTAAATTTTACTTTAAGTTCTGGGATACATGTGCAGAACATGCAGGTTTGTTACATAGGTATACATGTGCCATGGTGGTTTGCTGCACCCATCAACCCATCATCTAGGTTTTAAGCCCCACATGCATTAGGTATTTGTCCTAATGATCTCCCTCCCCTTGCCCCCCACCACCCGACAGGTCCTGGTGTGTGATGTTCCCCTCTCTGTGTCCATGTGTTCTCATTGTTCAACTCCCACTTATGAGTGAGAACATGTGGTGTTTGGTTTTCTGTTCCTGTGTAAGTTTGCTGAGAATGATGGCTTCCAGCTTCATCCATGTCCCTGCAGAGGACATGAACTCATTCTTTTTTATGACTGTGTAGTATTCCATGGTGTATATGTGCCACATTTTCTTTATCCTGTCTATCATTGATGGGCATTTGGGTTGGTTCCAAGTCTTTGCTATTGTGAATAGTGCTGCAATAAAGATATGTGGGCATGTGTCTTTATAGTAGAATGATTTATAATCCTTTGGGTATATACCCAGTAATGGGATTGCTGGGTCAAATGGTATTTCTGTTTGTAGATCCTTGAGGAATCGCCACACTGTCTTCCACAATGGTTGAACTAATTTACACTCCCACCAACAGTGTAAAAGCATTCCTATTTCTCCACAGCCTCGGCAGCATCTGTTGTTTCTTGACTTTTTAATAATCAAGAAGGCCTACATCTTTCGTTGATGATGGACAGGTTGAACCAAAATCTGGTTCCAAATCCAGTTGGTTTTGTCTTGTATTTCTTACTAGTTGATATATTGGTCAGTCTGCTTTCTGTTGCAAGTGATAAACCTCAAATTAGCTTAATTTTTAAAAAAGGAATTCATTGACTTGTGTAATAAAAAAGTTCAGGGATACATCTAACTTCAGGCACGATGTCATCAAGAAACGGTCCCTCTTCATCTCTTGACTGCCTGTTTTTGTTTTTGTTTTCTGTGTTGCCTTTATTCTAGGCCTCTGTTCCAGTGATGGCAAAGATGACCCCAAGCTGCTCCAGACTCACGTGCCTTACTGCCTATGCTTTGAAAACGACAGAGAGTGTTCCTTTCACAGAAAACCCTGTGGCCGGGTGTGGTGGCTCATGCCTGTAATCCCAGTACTTTGGGAGGCCAAGGTGGGCAGATCACCTGAGGTAGGGAGTTCAAGACCAGCCCGATCAATATGGAGAAACCCTGTCTCTACTAAAAATACAAAAAATAATTAGCCGGGCGTGGTGGCACATGCCTTGTAATCCCAGCTACTTGGGAGGCTGAGGCAGGAGAATCGCTTGAACCTGGGAGGTGGAGGTTGCAGTGAGCCGAGGTCGCACCATTGCCCTCCAGCCTGTGCAACAAGAGCGAAACTCCGTCTCAAAACAAGAACAACAACAACAAAAAACAACCCTGCAAAAATCTCCCACAGGGCAGATGAATCACTGATCCGTCTTCCCAGATGTAAAGCCATCGCCATGCCCTAGAAATGCTGAGCTCATTGGACAGGTAGCCATCCCTCAAGCACGGGAGGGCGTCTACATGGACCACACAGCCTGGAAGCAGGGAGGGGTAATTTCCCAAGAAAAATGTAGGATGCTGCTGTCAAAAAAAGTGGGGCCTGTCTGGGTGTGGTGGCTCACGCCTGTAATCCTCTCACTTTGGGAGGCCGAGGCGGGCGGATCACCTGAGGTCAGGAGTTTGAGACCAGCCTGGCCAACATGGTGAAACCCTGTCTCTACTAAAAATACAAAAATTAGCCAGGTGTGGTGATGTGCGCCTGTAATCCCAGCTACTCGGGAGGTTGAGGCAGGAGAATGGCTTGAACTCGGGAGGTGGAGGTTGCAGTGAGCCGAGATCGTGCTACTGCGCTCCAGCCTGGGCAACGAGCAAGACTCCATCTGAAAAAAAAAAAAAAAAGTGGGACATAATGCCTCATAGGTAAAAACAACACTTGTCCACTTCATATACTAACTTAAAAGTTCCTAATTCATAATTTGTGACATTGAGAATGGCAGCAAGCATTTGGTGGCTCTCCCAGGCAGCTCTGAAGATGCAGCTAGAACAAGGACTAGAAATCACAGACCGATCTCTCAGGGAAGTCTCCTTCCCAGGCTGCTTCCCAGGCTCACCCAACCAGCAAGTCCATTTGAAGCTGGAAGATTCTGTGTCCATTTGGGAGGTAGTCAACTATGAATTCCTCTCTCCACTTTGGCTGCTATTGTCAGGTAAGCATTCCTTTTTGTTGTGTTGCATTTGAATGTGTTACTAAGATTATTTCCAATAATACTTCATTGAGTTACTTCTTCATGGAGTATAGAAAATTCCTGATTTTTTTTTTTTGTACTTTTTAGTGGAGAGGGGGTTTCACTGTGTTAGCCAGGATGGTCTCGATCTTCTGACCTTGTGATCCGCCCGCCTCAGCCTCCCAAAGTGCTGGGATTACAGGCATGAGCCACCACGCCCGGCCTTTTTTTTTTTTTTTTTTTTTTTGTGAGACAGTGTCTCGCTTTGTCGCCCAGGCTAGAGTGCAGTGGTGTGACCTCAGCTCACTGCAACCTCCGCCTCCTGGGTTCAAGCGATTCTCCTGCCTCAGCCTCCCAGGTAGCTGGGACTACAGGTGCCCACCACCACACCCGGCTAATTTTTGTATTTTTAGTAGAGACAGGGTTTCATCATGTTGGCCAGGCTGGTCTCAAACTCCTGACCTCAGGTGATCCGCCTGCCTTAGCCTCCCAAAGTGCTGGGATTACAGGCGTGAGCCACTGCACCCAGCCTGAAAATTACTGATTTGTAAGGAAGAAGAAATCAAACTCTTTATGATTAGACCAGGTGCATCACAATTTGATCTTAAAAATCTGAACCTCTTATAGCTTCAGTGCTAAAATCATGCAGTGTCATCCCTTGAGTAGGAGGCTCAGGTTGGCTGTGAAACTCAACACACACAGCACCAGTCTTGATAGAAGTCGTTCTGATTGTATTATCAGAGCAAGGAAGAAATATTTTTATTATCATTCAGTGTTGAGAATGTTTTAGTTTCCCTTTTGTTTCCTCTACAATCTATGAGTTGTTTCTTTCTTCTTTTTTTTTTTTTTCTTTTTTGAGATGGAGTCTCGCTCTGTCACCCAGGCTGGAGTGCAATGGCACGATCTTGGCTCACTGCAACCTCCGCCTCCTGGGTTCAAGCGATTCTCCTGCCTCAGCCTCCCAAGTAGCTGGGATTACAGGCATGTGCCACCATGCCCGGCTCCTTTTGTATTTTTAGTAGAGACGGAGTTTCTCCATGTTGGTCAGGCTGGTCTCGAACTCCCGACCTCAGGTGATCCACCCCCCCTCGGCCTCCCAAAGTGCTGAGATTACAGGAATGAGCCATCGCGCCCAGCCAAGTTGTTTCTTAAAGTTATTTAGTTTTCCAGACATATGGTATTGCTGTGGTCATCTTTTGTTATTAAATCCTAATTTTATTGCATTATAGCTGAAAAACCTGGTCAATATGTTATGTATGATCCTGTTCCCTTGGAATTTATTGAGGTTTCTTTTATGGCCTAATTTATGGTCTATTTTTATTAATATTTTTTCCATATGTACTCAAAAATGTGCAGAAAAAGATGATATATTCTGGCCAGGCACAGTGGTTCATGCCTGTAATCCCAGCACTTCAGGAGGCCAAGGCAGGAGGATGGCTTGAGCTCGGGAGTTCAAGACCAGCCTGGGTAACAGCAAAATCCCATCTCTACAAAAAGTATTCATAAGGCCGGGCGCGGTGGCTCACGCCTGTAATCCCAGCACTTTGGGAGGCCGAGGCGGGTAGATCATGAAGTCAGGAGATCGAGACCATCCTGGCTAACAAGGTGAAACCCCGTCTCTACTAAAAATATAAAAAATTAGCCGGGCGCGGTGGCGGGCGCCTGTAGTCCCAGCTACTCGGGAGGCTGAGGCAGGAGAATGGCGTGAACCCGGGAAGCGGAGCTTGCAGTGAGCCGAGATTGCGCCACTGCAGTCCGCAGTCCGGCCTGGGCGACAGAGCGAGACTCCGTCTCAAAAAAAAAAAAAGTATTCATAAAAAAATTAGCCAGGCTTGGTGGCATGTGCCTGTGGTCCCAGCTACTCAGAAGGCTGAGGTGGGAGGATGGCTTGAGCCTAGGAGGCGGAGGTTGCAGTGAGCTGAGATCACACCACTGCACTTCAGCCTGGGCAACAGTGTGAGACTCTGTCTCAGAAAAAAAAAAAAAAAGGTATATTCTATTCTTTAATATACAGAGTTTCTTCTCCCTCTCACAACTGTATACATACATATTATACAAACATATATTAATATAAGTAATATGTATTCTATATAAACATATGCATGTGTACATATGTTTATATATGTATATTTATATAGCTTGAATTTATTAATTATATTTTTTAGATCTTTGCTATCTGTGTTTTTTTCCCAAAGAGAAGTTTTTGTTTTTCTTTTTAAGAGACTATGGGTCTTGCTGTGTTGCCCAGGCTGGACTCAAGCTCCTGGACTCAAATGATCCTCCTGCCTCAGTCTCTAGAGTAGCTGGGACTAGAGGTGGGCACCACCATGCCCAGCTTTTATCTGTATTTTTGATCTCCTTGTCCTATGAGTTTCTATGAAGGTTTGTTGACATCTCTAATGATACCTCTTGATTCATCTATGTTTTAAAACTCATTACTCATTGCTTGATAAATGTTGGAGCCGTAGAGTTAGCAGCATGTATGCTTACAATTGTACACTCTCAGTGAGAAGCAGGATGAAGAGGAGGCAGTTTGTCTGGACTGAGATCCACGAACCCTGGGAATCTGGAGGCAGAGGGTATTGTTGAGATGACCAGAAAGCAGCCAGTTGGCCCACATCTATTTCATCAAGTCCTCAGCCCAGTGGAGGTTTGTGCTGCCCTCAGACACCAGTGACCTGGGATTTCTGCAGTCAAGAGGGAGCTAATAATGGTGCCAGGGTCACTTGGGGGAAGAAGCAAGAGCAGGACTTAAGATCTTTCCCCCAGTCTGAGCTCTTCATGCCACCGCCAGCTGCTTCTGCCCCGGCTGGAATCACCAACATCCCACAGCCCCTCCTGGGCAGCTTCAGTTAGGATGTCTAACTTCAGTTCCTGTTTTCGTTTGTTTGTGGAAACCATACTCTCTGTTTTTTAAGAAATCGTTTCTCACAGGAGGCTGAGGCAGGAGAATCGCTTGAACTTGGGAGGAGGAGGTTGTGGTGAGCTCAGATCATGCCATTGCACTCCAGCCTGGGCAACAAGAGTGAAACTCCATCTCACAAAATAAAATAAAATAAAATAAAATAAAATAAAATATAAAATAAAAATCATTTCTCCAAGGTTGATTTTGGGGGCAAGGAAACTGCAACCTGCACTGGTTTGCCATTTTGACACAAATCAGAAAAATTACCCCTGCATCCAAAAAAAAAAAAAAGGTGTTCACTTAGTTTTCCCTTCAGTCATCTGTGGTACTTTCCTTCTCAGCCTATGTATTCAAAGTGTACTTACAGCTTAGTTTATTGCACCACATGCTCAAAGGATGTAATTCAGTGATAGAGATTTGATTATCTTTGCAATTTTAAAAATGAAGGTAGAGTTGGCATACCATAAAATCACTCCATTAAACTACACAATCCAGTGATTCTTAGCATATGCAGGAAGTTGGACAGCAATCACCAAATTGCAGAAAATTTTCATCACCCCAAAAGAATTGCAGAAAACGTGCATCACCCCATTTGCAGTCATTTCTTTCTGTCCTCAGCCCTGGCAACCACACATCTATTTTCTGTCTCTGTGGATTTGATTTGGTATTTTGGCTAATTTGTATACGTGCAATCATACAATATGTGGCTTTTGTGTCTGGCTTCTTTCACTAGTATAATGTTTTCAAGGTTCATTCTTACTGACTATTGGTGCTTCATTCTGTTTTACAACTAAATAATTTGCATTTTTGGGCTATTAGAAATGATGCTGTATTGAATCTCTGTGTGCAAATTTTTGTGTGAACATATGTTTTCGATTTTCTTGGATATTTATCTAGAAGTAGAATTGCTGGGTCACACAGGAACTCTTATGTTTAACTTTTTGAGGACCTGCCAGACTATTTTCCAAAGCAGCTGCATTATTTTACATTCCCATCAGCAATGAATGAAGGTTCCAATTTCCCACATCGTTGTCAACATTTGCTATTGTCTGCCTTTTTGGTGATAGCCATGTCAGTGGTGTGAAGTAGTATCTTATAGTGGTTTTGATTTGCATATCCCTAAAGACAAATGAAATTGAACATCTTTTCATGGGTTTATTAGTCATTTGTATATCTTCTTTGGAGAAATGTCTATACAAATCCTTGGCCCCTTTAAAAATGGGGCTATTATTCTTTTTATTGTTGATTTGTAACAGTTCTTTATATATTCTGGAGATCGGACCCTTATCAGATATATGATTTATAAATATTTTCTCCCATTGTCTGGGTTGCTTTGTACTTTCTTAATAATGTCCTTTGATGCACAGGAGTTTTAATTTTTTTTTTGGACTAGGGTCTTGCTCTGTTGCCCAGGCTGAAGTGCAGTGGTGCAATCTTGGCCCACTTCAACTTCTGCCTCCCAGGCTCAAGTGATCCTCCCATCTCAGCCTCCCGAGTAGCTGGGACTACAGGCACCCACCACCATGCCTGGCTAATTTTTGTATTTTTTGTGAAGATTGGGTTTCGCCATGTTGCCCAGGCTTGAACTCCTGAGCTCAAGCAATCCACCTGCCTCAGCCTTCAAAACTGCTGGGATTACAGGCATGAGCCACTGCTCCCAGCCAAGAGTTTTTAATTTTGATGAAGTTCGAGTTATTTGTTTTTTTCTTTAGTTGTTTTTGCTTTTGTTATCACATCTAAGACACCATTGCCTACCAAATGCTATAGAGATTTACTCCTCTGTTTTCTTCTACAAGTTCTATGGTTTTATCTCTTACATTTAAGTATTTTGAGTTAATTTTTTTTTTTTTTTTTTTTGAGATGAAGTTTTGCTTTTGTTGCCCAGGCTGGAGTGTGGAGTACAATGGCGTGATCTTGGCTCACTGCAGCCTCTGCCTCCTGGGTTCAAGCAATTCTCCTGCCTCAGCCTCCCGAGCAGCTGGGATTACAGGCATGCGCCGCCATGCCCGGCTAATTTTGTATTTTTAGTAGAGACGAGGTTTCTCTGTGTTTGTCAGGCTGGTCCCAATTGAGTTAAATTTTATGTACAGTGTGAGAAGTAGGTGTGTTGTTCCATTTTGCATTACTATAAAGGAATACCTGAGGCTGGGTAATTTATCAAGAAAAGAGGTTTATTTGGCTCATGGTTCTGCAGGCTGTATAGGAAACATGGCACCAGCATCTGCTTCTGGTGAGGAGCTCAGAAAGCTTCCACTCATGGTGGAAGGTGAAGAGGGAGCAGGTGTGTCACAGGGTAAGAGAAGGAGTTTGTTGGAGGATAGTACCATACTCTTAAACAGCCAGATCTCCTGTGAACTCAGAGCAAGAACTCACTCATTACCATGAGGATGGCACCAAGCCATTCATGAGGGATCCACCCCCAAGATCCAACACCTCCCACCAGCTCTACCTCCGACACTGGGGATTACATTTCAACATGAGATTTGGAGGGGACAAGCATCCAAACCATATCAGTTGGGGGTCCAACCTCACTTTTTGCATGTGGCTATGCAGTTGTTCCAGCACCATTTGTTGAAAAGATTATTCTTTCCCCATTGAATTTTCTTGGCAATGTCAAAAATCAATTGACCATAACTGTATGGGTTTATTTCCAGTCTCTGGATTCTATTCCACTGATGCATGTCTGTTCCTATGCCACCATCACACTTTTTTTTTGAGATTGGATCTTACTATATTGCCCAGGCTGGAATCAAACTCCTGGATTCAAGCAACTCTCCCACCTCAGCCTCCTAAGTGGTTGAGACTACAAGTGTGCACCACTGTGCCAAGCTTTTATTTTCAAATTGTATATATTTAAGGTGTACAGTATGATGTTTTGATATACATATACAGAGTAAAATGATTACTATAGTCAAGAAAAGATTACTACAATCAAGCCAATTAACATATCCATCATCTCACATAGTTAACTTTCTTTTTTATGGTAAGAGCACCTAAAATTGTCTCTCTTAGCAAATTCTCAGTATATATAATACAAAATTATTAACTGTAGTACTCATGGTGTGCATTAGATCCCTAGACTTATATTCATAACTGCAACTGTGTGCCCTTTGACTTGTGTCTCCTCATTCTTTCCCTCAAATCCTGCCTCTGGTAACCACTGTGTTACTCTCTGTTTCTATGTATTTGACTTTTTTTAAAAAGATTCCACATATGTGAGAGATGATACAATATTTTTCTTTCTGTATCTGGCTTATTTCACTTAACATAATGTCTTCCAGTTTCATCCATGTTCTTGAAAATGGCAGGATCTCCTTTTTATGGCTGAATAATATTCTGTTGCCTATATATGCCACAAATCATCATCCAGTCATCCATTAAACGACACTTAGGTTGTTTCCAGTACTGCACTCTTGATTGCTGTAGCTTTGTAGTAACTTTTGAAACCAAGTAACCAAGTAAGAATCCTCTACCTTTGTTCTTCTTTTCTGAGGTTGTTACATCAGTATTTGATATTTGAATATTTCATGCAGACAGCATGGATTACAATGACATCTGTTTCTTTTTACTCTTTCAGTAATTGCCACTAGAAAATTTAAGATTATGTATATGGCTCACATTCTATTTTGATTGGACAGCACTGATCTGAGGTAGGGCAGGTTCCTGGGATTGGATGTTCTGGGCTGGGATCTTTTGTGATTCTCTCGGCCCTTCTCTCTTTTCTGTGTAAGTGTTATGCTCAAGCTGTTTCATGTAACGTCACAAGTGACTGCAGGTAAAATTGGGGTGACATTCTTTTTTGTTCATGTCTAACAGGAAAGAGGAAAAGAGAAAAACAGACTATCAATTGTGGGATTTTAGCTCTTCCCTTCACTTGAATTGTCTCCAGAAATAATCATATGTCCAATCCCAGTACAATAACAGCTTCCAGGAGAATGGCACTGTATTAGTCCGTTCTCATGCTGCTAATAAAGACTTACCTGAGACTGGCTAATTTATAAAGGAAAAGGTTTAATGGACTCATAGTTCCAAATGACTGGGGAGGCCTCACAATCATGGTGGAAGGCAAAGGAGGAGCAAAGTCACGTCTTACATGGTGGCAGGCAAGAGAGAGCATGTGTAGGGGAACTGCCCTTTATAAAACCATCAGATCTCTTGAACCTTATTCACTATCATGAGAACAGCACAGGAAAGACCCACCCCATGATTCAATTACATCCCACCAGGTCCCTCCCACAACACGTGGGAATTATGGGAGCTACAATTCAAGATGAGATTTGGGTGGGGACACAGCAAAGCCATATGAGGCACACACTGATTGGCTGCATTCTGATTTTCCCACCTATTATAGAAAAAGGAGTGGGATTATCATGATTAGATTAGCCTATTCCAGCTCCACCTCCAAGACGATATCCTCTTGGGGAGGACAACTGAACAAAATATGGCTTCTGTTATGTAAGCAAAAAAGGTGAAGACAACCTGGGCAGACAAACAGCAGAGTCTGCTCCATCTAATTTCAAACTTCTTTCTGTTGGTGTTTCTCTACTTAAAGAAGCAGGGTTATTCATTCTATTCATCTTTATATCCCTAGCAGCTAACATGGAACTCATGATGGTGGAGGTCATCTGACTCTGGTGGTAACAAAGCTTCATTGATGAGTTTTGGGGTTCCCATGGACAGCAAGCAGATCTCATATAACTGAAGATCCTAGCTTCTTTCTCAGGTTTCCTGCAGTGTTTATTTGGAATTTAACTTCTAATGCAGACAAGAAAATAGAATCAAGGGGCCAGAGCTAAAGTGTCTTCACATTGTATCTTTTTTTGGTGTTTCTAACTGGATCTGTGATTTAAAGTTAAAACATTAATCTGTAAGTTCATACAGACCCTGGTTCCATAGTAAAAAGCTGATGGCAGGTACAGCTTGCTTTCTAGATCTTACTGAGGTTAGGCACAGAATTTAGCTTTGATAACCAACTTCTCCATCTCTAGTTCATTCTGCTGTCATGTGACACCATACCTTCCCACAGGGTGGCTCCTCTCTACCCCATAGCCATATTACTTGACTGCTTTCTTCCCAACTTTATTGCCACCAAACTCATTTTCTTCTAATTGGAAAAACAGTTTCTTCGGAAATCATTTTCTCTGCCAAGGTTGGCGTCAGTTTCATTTTCCTGCATACTTTCCATGGGTTTGTTTGAATTACAGATGGCTTAACCTCTCATCTCAGTCTCTTCCAGCATCAGTACCTCAGAGCTCTTGGAAATAACTTGATCCTCGGAAAAACAAAACTCCACTTTCTAGTCTGACTTTCAGTATCATTCATAAATTGCCAGTGTTGCATGGAATTTTCCTGCCTGATCTCTAAATGGAAAAGAGAGTCATGGTATTGGGAACAAAAATTGGCAATTTGATTTTGATTTTTTTTTTTTTGAGATGGAGTCTCACTTCGTTGCCAGGCTGGAGTGCAGTGGTGCAATCTCGGCTCACTGCAATCTCCACCTTCTGGGTTCAAGTGATTCCCCTGCCTCAGCCTCTTGAGTAGCTGGGATTATAGGCGCCTGCCACCACGCCCGGCTAATTTTTTGTATTTTAGTAGAGACGGGTTTTCACCATGTTGGCCAGGATAGTCTTGATCTCCTGACCTCGTGATCTGCCTGCCTTGGCCTCCCAAAGTGCTGAGATTACAGGTGTGAGCCACCGCGCCCGGTCTTTGATTTTGATTTTTAAGAATTTTTTTCCTTTGTAAAGAATTTTAGGCCAAGCATGGTGGCTTATGTCTGTAATCCCAGCGCTTTGGGAGGCCGAGGTGGGAGGACGGCTTGAGCTCAGGAGTTTGAGACCAGACTGGGCAACATGGCAAAATCCCATCTCTACCAAAAATAGAAAAAAATCAGCCAGGCATGTGCTTGTAGTCTCAGCTACCCAGGAGGCTGAGGTGGGAGGATTGCTTGAGCCTGGAAAATCAAGGCTTCAGTGAGCCATGATTATGCCACTGTACTCCAGCCTGGGCAATGGAGTGAAACTTCATCTCATAAATTTTTTTTTAACCTTTAACATAGTTTTATCCCTGAAATGCTGAGAGAAGTAATAATCATGAGATACTTTCATGCATTTTTATTATCTTGGCAAGATTCAGCTTAGCTTCAGCCTTGTTCTGGCTTCTGGCTCTCTGCCAAAGTGAGGGGTGCTCTTCACTTTCATATTCAAGAAGACACAATTTTTTTTTTTTTTTGAGACGGAGTCTCACTTTGTCGCCCAGGCTGGACTGCAGTGGCGTGATCTCGGCTCACTGCAAGTTCCGCCTCCCAGGTTCACGCCATTCTCCTGCCTCAACCTCCCGAGTAACTGGGACTACAGGCGCCCGCCACCACGCCTGGCTAATTTTTTGTATTTTTAGTAGAGACGGGGGTTTCACTGTGTTAGCTAGGATGGTCTCAATCTCCTGACCTCGTGATCCGCCCACCTCGGCCTCCCAAAGTGCTGGGATTACAGGCATGAGCCACCGTGCCCCGCCAAGGAGATACAATTTTTACAGCACACTGAACTCATAATCCCACCCCTCCCATATTCAATCCACAAACATGTTGAGTACCCGCTATGGGTAAGGCACTGTGGCAGAGGTAGAGGAGATATCCCTCTTTGATGAACACATGCCACCATGTCCTACTATGTGAGAGATTCCATCATAAATGGCTTATTTTTATGTGCATTGTCTCTAACTTCATAACCTCCCACTGAGGCAAGTATTATTGTTATTAAACCTTTGGCACTATCATTGTTATTCATGGAGAGCTTGTAAGGTTTAGTGACTTGTCCAAGGTCACACAGCTAGTAAGTGGTGGAGGCAGAATTTAAACCCAAGACTACTAAGTGCAGAGCGTAAAGCTGACTTTCACACTGCTATGAAGAAATACCCAAGACTGGGTAATTTATAAAGGAAAGAGGTTTAATTGACTCACAGTTCTGCATGTCTGGGGAGGCCTCAGGAAATTTACAATCATGGTGGAAGGGGAAGCAAACACATCCTGCTTCACAAGGCGGCAGGAGAGAGGAGTGCCAAGCAAAGGGGGAAAAGCCCCTTATAAAACCATCAGCTTTCATGGGAACTAATTCACTATCATGAGACCAGCATGGGGGAAACTGCCCCCATGATCCAATGACTGCCCACCGGGTCCCTCCTATGACACATGAACTACAGTTCAGGATGAGATTTGGGTGGGGACACAGCCAAACTATCTCAGGTACTAATTAAAAAGTGCTTTAAACAGATGCCTATTGCAGGAGACCCAAGAAGGAGGGCTTCCACCTGGGAGGTCAGGAAAGGTTTCTCAAAGAAAAAGGCAGTAAATTGAATTGTGAAGGCTAAGAACATATTTAGGAAGCAGAAATAGAGGAAAAGAATTCTGAGGAGCAGTCATATTCTGAGCAAAGTTATGCAAGTCTGTGATGGGTTAGAGGAAAAGTGTGAACTGGAATTTGATGCATCTGGATGTGTAAGGTGTCAAGTCTGGACAGGGAGGTGAAATAGATCTGTGGAAAGATCACAAAAGGATTAGGAAAGCATCAGAGAAGGGGTGATTTGAGATGTGAGGGAAGGGAAATGGGAGGAATAGATTTCTGCTCCCGAGGAAGATGAGTGTCAAGATTGATATTGTCTGACTGAAGATTGGTTGGGTCTGAAGAAGGCAGGGACTGAGGGCCAGAAAAGGTTTCTCTACACCCTTTAAAATCAAGGTTATGGATCCAGATTTCTACATAAGATTGAGATATTAATCATATCCTTCAATATTTAAGGGGAAGTAGGATGGAAAGTTGTCATTGCAAACATTTCTAGAACTGGAATGTTGATGTTTGCACCCCAACTCACTTTTCACATCAGACTAAATGAGTTTAAGTGATTTGCCCATACCCATTCATTAATGTATTTGTCCCACAAGCATCTGTCACACGCAGGGTGCTGTGACAGGTACAGTAACAGGAATAAATAGCCTTGGATCCTGTCTTAAGGGAATTAACAATCTAGTGGTGGAGGTAAGTCATGCGTGCAAATACAGCTGGTCCCCCACTTACAGTGGTTCGATTTATGATTTTTGACTTTACAATGGTGCAAAAGCAATAAGCATTTAGTAGAAACCATATTTCAAATTTTGAATTTTGATCTTTTCCCAGGCTATCACTATGTTTCACTTTATTCACTTCATTATAAAATAAACTTTGTGTCAGATGATTTTGCCCAGCTGCAGACTAAAGTGTGTTCTGAACATGTTTAAGCTAGGCCAGGCCAAGCTCTGATGTTCTGTAGGTTAGGTGCATTAAATGCATTTTCTATTTATCATATTTTCAGCTTAAAATGGGCTTATCAGGTTGTAACCCCATGATAAGTTAAGGAGCATTCATACTGAAATTATAAGACAGAAAGTTCTAAATGGGATCAAAGAGGACTGATGAGCTCTAGGAAGAATAGACAGTTTAGAAATGGAGGGGGGGCATTTCTCCACACTGTTGGGTGAGGAAGAACCAGGAATGGCTCACAAAGAGGCAGGTGGGCAGGGTCTTGAAGAGTGAAGAGAATGTGAACTCGTGGACAGGCAGAAGGGCTTCCCTGGAAATGGGGAGTTAGGAAGAGAAGCCATATGCCAGGGGCGGGAATGAGTGAAGGGAATAAAGGCAGATGAAGCTGGAAGGTAAGTTAATGTGATGGCGTGCGAGGCCTTGACTTCCAGGCGGAATACACCGCCTTAATCAGCAGATTGTAAATCCCAGTCCCATAAAGGCAGGGCCAAGGTCTGTCTTGCTCACACTAAATCTCCCAAACCTTGCACGGTGCTCAATAAATCTACACTGAATGAATGAATGAAGCTGGAATAATTGAATCTCACTTTGACACCTAGTTAATTTAGTGATACCCATAACAATTTTTTTCACAGCTCTGGCTCATTCCATCTAAACCTGAACAGTGGGGTAAAAATAGGTAAAGGATGCAAGGTGGAAGGAAAGCAGCAGATTCTGTTCTTCCAGAACCCTCAAGAGAAAAAGGTTATTTAAGAGAAATAATAATTTTGACACTTGATGATGTTACATTTGCATTCTTCTTTTTGCTCTTAGTAACATCATTATAAATTTTTTCCAATAAATGCCGTGCGTGTGTACGTGTGTGTGCACTAGAACATAAGCATATTTTGTGTGAGAAATATACATATTTCTAACACAAATATGTATATCCTTTAAAAACATTATCAACCAATAAGAAATGTATGTGCATATTTGTATATATAAATATATTTACATTAGTATATGTAATTACATTTACATTTGTAATTACATATACATGTCTGTCTATTGGTTGATAATGTTTTAAAAGGTGTTTATATTAAAAATAAATACTTTATGTTATATAATAGTACTGAAGCAGAAACAAAAATTTCACTAGACCTCATGTCAAGACTCATCTGAGGCCGGGCACAGTGATTCACACCTGTAATTCCAGCACTTTGGGAGGTTGAGGCGGGTGAATCACCTGCCGTCAGGAGTTTGAGACCAGCCTGGTCAACATGGTGAAACCCCGTCTCTACTAAAAATACAAAAATTAGCCTGGCATGGTGGGGGGGGCCTGTAATCTCAGCGAGCTGAGATCGTGCCATTGCACACCAGCTCGGGCAACAACAGCAAAACTCCATCTCAAAAAAAATAAATAAATAAAATAAAATGACTCATCTGAATGTCACACAGTAATCTGCAGCTAAAGACATGAAAATACTAAAATATCTATAAACATGATCACACTTGTCTTTACTGTAATGTATTTTTTTTTCATAGTAAGAATCTTTACTGGAAATTTTACACGCACAGGAAAAGAACAAAGTGTAACCAAATGCAGATTTGGCAGCAAGCATTTAGTGCTACCCTTTCAGATGAAATATTGTAGATGTGAAAAACCAATAAAACCAACTTTAGCTACAAGCTTGGCCTCCAATACAGAAATAGTATTAGTGTATCACTGTATCATTGTTTTGGTTTATTTATTTATTTATTTATTTAGAGACGGAGTCTTTTTCTGTTGCCCAGGCTGGAGGGCAGTGGCGTGATCTCGGCTCACTGCAACCTCGCCTCCTGGGTTCAAGCAATTCTCCTGCCTCAGCCTCCCAAGTAGCTGGGATGACAGGCGTGCACCACCACGCCCAGCTAATTTTTGCATTTTTAATAGAGACGGGGTTTGCCACGTTGGCCAGGCTGGTCTCAAACTTCTGACCTCAGGTGATCCGCCCACCTTAGCCTCTCAAATTGCTGGGATTATAGGCGTGAGGCACTGTGCCTGGCCTGTGTGGGTTTATTTTATGTATCAACTTGGAGGGTGTTTCTGCATGAAATCAACATTTAAATTGACAAATTTAGGGTAAAGCAGATCGTCTTCCATAATGTGTGTGGGACTCATCCAGTCAGTTGAAGGCCTGAATAGAACAAACAAACAAACAAAAAATGGCCTCCACGAGCAAGAGACAATTCTCCAGCACACTGTTTTCAGACTTCATCTGCACCCTCAGCTCTCCTGGGTCTCAAGCCTGCCAGCCTTTGTACTGGAACTGGACTGTTGGCTTTCCTGGATTTCAAGCCTGCCAGCCCATACTGCAGATTTTGGACTTGGCAGCCTCCACAATCACATGAGCCTATATGCAATTAGCATATATACATATATATTATCCCGTTGATTCTGTCTCTCTGGAAAGCCCTGACTAATACAATCTTTTTTATTTTTATTTATTTATTTGGACATGTTTAAGGTAGGCTAGGCTAAGCTCTAATGTTCAGTAGGCTAGGTGCAGTAAGTGCATTTTCTATTTAGGATATTTTCAACTTAAAATGGGTTTAGCAGGATGTAACCTCACGATAAGTCGGGGAGCATTGGTAATGAAATTATAAGGCAGAAAGTTCTAAATGTGATCAAAGAGGACTGATGAGCTCTAGGAAGAATAGAGAGTTTAGAGATGGGGGTAGTTTCTCCACACTGTGGGATGGGGAAGAACCAGGAATGGCTCTTCTCCATCCCACAATATCATTGAGTAGCAATGTTGATGTGATTTTAGTGGTAGCCCTTGGCAGAACTGCGTTTTCTGATCTTAACTCTGTTGTTATGCTCCCGCTTGGGGAGGTTACAAAAATCAGGTGTAGGACACACAGTATATTCAGACTATAAGGATGCTGCTGAGATAATGGTATAGAAACATCTGTTGTATTCACTTCTTTTTTTCTTCTGTTTTGCTTTCTTTACCTATTTTCACCCTATCATGCTGTATGTACGTGTGTCAGCCAGCCAGGTTATTTTAGGAATTAGATGGAATAGGAAAAAAAACCCAAATGAATGTGTTAATGACTTTTCCTTATACATTTAGCTCAGAAATCTTAGCAGAAAATTTTCAGCGAAACTAGCAAAATTGAATCACCATTACGATATTGACTAGCCTCATACATACCACTCTTATAATTATATTCAGGCTTTTTGTATTGTAACTGCTTGTTAAATATACATTACAGACCTAGAGAAGATTTTTTTTTTTCTGTTTTCAAGTCAACTTTTGTTCTATTATTTAGTAATCTTCCAACTCCGGGAGAGAATATGAATTTTTTGAATTAAAAAGGATGTTATAAGTGACAGTACTTTTGTTCTCTGATTCAAAATAGTGACTATATATATAACATATACATTTTACGTTATATAAATATATTTGCCTATTTCATATTGTACTTTCATATATTTACATTTTTATTTTGTATTTTACATACGTATTTATATGTATATTTTTACATATCCCTATACATATAAAGTAATGAGTTTTTTTTTGTCATTGAAAGAACATTCTCATTTAACTGCAAATGTAGTTAAAATTTCGTAGAGACATCTTAAGAGGATTCAACATGAAGTCTCAAGTTATATAATTGTGGTTTTCTTTGTTTTGCATTGTTCCCCATATGTCACCTGTGATAAAGCTGAATTGCATGTGATTTTTACTTCACTAGTTTTGTTGAAAAATACCAAAAGTTTTTAGAAAAATGTGTATAAAATGTGTATTTTAGAGTGTTTCTCACAATGTAAGAGACAGCCTAACTACTACTCTATTTCTAACTCAAAATATCTCTCATTGTCAAATATTGCTGGTTTAGTTTTCAATTATAAAACAGTCCTGGGGTAATTTATATAAATACAACCAGAATAATAGATTTTAGAACTGGAAGGGATCATAGGGGTTTAGTCTAGCTTCTTAATGTTACATATATAAAAATCAGGCCCAGAGATGTTAGGTATCATAATTAAAATCATACAGATTCTTAAACCACGAATTCTTAGAAACAAAAAACACTAAAAAAGTTTTTAGTGGCTGAAAAAAATGTTTTAAAAAGAAACACAGGAGTCAATTTTATAGGTAAGAGTCATTTATAATGTTACATCAAAGATGGGTTTATTCCCTGCTAAAATATTTGTTTGCTGTCATCTAACTATAGCCATAACATTTCACCATGGTCAACTAGAAAAAGCAGTTGAGGTATTGTGATTTGTCAAGCCATGTGGGATATAAGAAACAATTCATAAGAAGGCCTATTGCTAATTTTAATCATGTCAGAAGAAGGAAAGTTTAACAACATTGTCCAGGGAGTGCGGCTTCCTCTGGCGTTGGTTTCTCTCTCTGAAAGTAGACATAATCCTGACTGGCATAAGAGAATGTTAATGAGGCTTCAGTCTTGCTAGTAAATTTTTTTGACATTTGCTCTCAGAGTAGCATGCATAAAAAGAGTATTATTAATATTTAGCTTTCCATAGTGCCATCATTATGCATTGCATCATGAAATCAATCTAGGAGACAAGGTCCCCCTCCAGTCTGCATGAAGCATGAGTTTGTTGATATTTTTAGATCAGGTACCCGCAGTAAGCGGAAATGAAGCTCTGGTTTTCTCATTGTAAGGGGGTTTTAGTTGGTTGTCGGGCATGCTGCCTCTTTGCCTCTACTAAGCACAGTCTTCACGGATTTTATAATGAGGAGCCAGGTGGCATGAAGAACATTCATTATTAAGAATAATGAGAAAATGGTATAATACAGAAAAATAAACTACAACATCCCTATTTTGACCAATGTATTTAACCTTTGCACTAATCAACTGTTTCCTCCCTTAATCAGAATGTTATTGATTAGAGTTCATGCACTTTCAACAGGGGCAAAAACTGGTTCTTGAGGGTCACAAAATCTTAACCATAAAACAGTAAAAAATTCCTGGCCATAAATTCTCATAATAAAAACCAAACACCAAAAAGTTCTCAAAGGCTGAAACAGATATTTTAACCAGAAGCACGGGAGCTAAACTTATATTTTAAAACTGTTTATAAGTCCAGAAGTAAACCCACCCATATATGGCCAAATGATATACAAGGGTATCAGGATCATTCAATGGGGAAAGACTGTTTTTTCAACGGATGGAGTTGGGAAAACTGGATATCCACATGTAAAGGAATGAAGCTGGACTCTTACCTTACACGATAAACCAAAGTTAACTCAAAATGGATCAAAGATCTAAGCATTAAGAGCTAAAAGTACAAAACTCTTAAAAACTTCGTGACATTAGATTTGGCAATAATCTCTTGGATATAAGAATAAAATCACAGGCAACAAAATAAATTATAGATACACTGGTCCAGATCAAAATTAAAATCTTCTGTGCATCAAATGACACAATCACCAGAGTAAAAAGGCAGCCCACAGAATAGGGGAAAATATTTGCAAATCATATATCTGATAAAGGATTAATAAAGAATCCTACCATCCAACAATAACAAAAACAACCCAATTAAAAAATGAGCAACAGATTTGAACAGACCTTTTTCAAAGAATATATACAAATGACCAGTAAGCACCTAAAAAGATACTCAACATTACAAACCATTAGGGAAATGAAAATCAAAACCACAATGCAATCGCATCCCACACCTATTAGGATGGCCACTATCAAAAACAGAAAATAAGCATTATTGAGCATATGGAGAAACTGGAACCTTTGTGCACTTCTGGTAAGAATGTAAAAATGGTGCAAACCCAGGCATGGTGGCACATACCTGTAGTCCCAGCTACTGGAAGGCTGAAGTGTGGGGATCGCTTCAGTCTAGTAGTTTGAGTCCAGCCCAGGAAACAGAGTGAGACCCCCATCTCTAAAATAAATAAATAAATAAATAAGTTGCAGTCACTACAGAAAACAGTATGGCAGTTTCTCAAAAAATTAAAAATATAATTATCAAATGATTCATCAATTCCACACCTGGGTATATACCCCAAAACATTGAAAGCAGGGTCTTGAAGATATAGTTGTACACTCATGTGCATAGCAGCATGATTTACAATAGTCAAAAGGTGGAAGCAACCCAAATGTCCATGGGCCAATGAATGAATAAATAAAATATGATATATACATGCAATGTAATACTATTTAGTCTTTAAAAGGAAGAAAATTCTCACACATGCTACATCATAGATGAACCTTGAAGACACTATGCTAGGTGAAATAAGCCAGTCCCAAAAAGACAACTACTATATAATTACACTTACATGAGGTAACTCATCAAATTCATGGAAATAGAAAGTAGAATGATGGTTGGCAGGGATTGAAGGAAGGGGGAATGGGAAACTATTGTTTAAATGGTATATATTTTCAGTTTTGGGCCGGGTACAGGGGCTCACGCCTGTAATCCCAGCATTTTAGGAGGCCAACACAGTAGGATTGCTTGAGTCCAGGAGTTTGAGACCAGCCTGGGCAACACAGTGAGACCCTGTCTCTATAAAAAATAAACAAAAATTAGCTGGGCATGGTGGGACGCTCCTGTAGTCCCAGATACTTGGGAGGCTAAAGTGGGAGGATCACTTGATCCTGGGAGGTCGAGGCTCCAGTGAGCCGAGATCATCCACTGCACTCCAACTTGGGTGACAGAGCAAGACTGTGTCTCAAAAAAAAGTTCGGTTTTGTAAGATGAAAAGAATTCTAGAGATGGATGGTGGGATGGTTGTCCAACAATGTGGCTGTACTTAAGTGCCACGAAACTGTACACTTAAAAATGGCTTAGATTGTAAACTTTACTTGGCATGTATTTTTGCCACAATTTTTTTAAAAAAGCTCTTTATAATCTTACATAAAAGATTAGCTTATTGCCTGCTACAATATGTTTGCTCTCCAGTAACTGTAGCCATTATACCTCACCAAAGTGTCTAAAGCACAGATATTCTATTAGTCCATTTATCATGCTGCTGATAAAGACATACCTGAGACTGGGCAATTTACAAAAGAAAGAGGTTTAATGGGCTCACAGTTCTACGTGGCTGGGGAGACCTCACAATCATGGCAGAAGGTGAAGGGCACGTTTCACATGGCAGCAGACAAGAGAAGAGAACTTGTGCAGGGAAACTCCCCTTTATAAAACCATCAGATCTCATGAGAATTATTCACTATCACAAGAATAGCATGGGAAAGACCCGCCCCCATGATTCAATTACCTTCCACAGGTTCCCTCCCATAACGTGGGAATCGTGGGAGCTACAATTCAAGATGAGATTTGGGTGGGACACAGCCAAATCATATCAGATATTTATACAGTACATAAACAGATATACAGTACATCTATGATACTCAAATTTCACAGCAGCAGGAGGAGCAATTAGGGAAAAACTGTCTAAAGAAGTCGCTGGGGAGGGAAGGTAAGGGAAGAAGGGAGATATACTTCCTTTCCTTGATGAGTCTGCAGTCCATACTCCAACTGAGTACACAAATGTCTAAAGGTGAGACTTGAAAGTCACATACTGAATAATCTATAGCAGGGTTTTAAAAAAGACATTTTTGGCCTGGCACGGTGGCTCATGCCTGTAATCCCAGCACTTTGGGAGGCCAAGGCAGGTGGATCACGAGGTCAGGAGATCGAGACCATCCTGGCTAACACGGTGAGACCCTGTCTCTACTAAAAATACAAAAAATTAGCTGGGCGTGGTGGCAGGCGCCTGTAGTCCCAGCTGCTTAGGAGGCTGAGGCAGGAGAATGGCGTGAACCTGGGAGGCAGAGCTTGCAGTGAGCCGAGATTGCGCCACTGTACTCCAGCCTGGGTGACAGAGCGAGATTCTGTCTCAAAAAAAAAAAAAAAAAAAAGACATTTTCGATATCTGGGGCTGAATAATTCTGTGTTGTGGAAGGGGACTGTCCTGTGTATTCTAGAATACTCAGTGGCATTTCTGGTCTCTACCTGCCAGAGGCCAGTAGCAGCCCCCACCCAATTAGGACAACCCAGACTCTCTCCAGATTTTTTTTTTTTTTTTTTTTTTTGAGACGAAGTCTTGCTCTGTCACTCAGGCTGGAGTGCAATGGTGTGATCTCGGCTCAACTGCGATATCTTCCTCCTGGGTTCAAGCGATTCTCCAGCCTCAGCCTCCCGAGTAGCTGGGACTACAGGCGCCTGCCACCATGCCCAGCTAATTTTTGTATTTTTAGTAGAGACAGGGTTTCACCATATTGGCCAGGCTGGTCTCAAACTCCTGACCTTGTGATCCACCCACCTTGGCCTCCCAAAGTGCTGGGATTACACGTGCGAGCCACCGTGCCAAGTTCTCTCTAGATATTTCAGAATGTTCCCTTGGGGGCCACTGCTCTCCAATTAGTTAAAGTTAACTATAATTTGGCCAATGAATGAATTTCAAGTAGAGGCTCATATAGGTTGGTTAGCAGGCTTATGAACCTAGCTCAGGTGTCTCAGCCCTGGCAGGTGTTGGCAGGTGTTTGTCTTGGCTATGACACCTGTATGGTTCCCTCAAATTGTTTAAATGATGACTTAAATGTGACAGAGGAATGCCATGTGTTTTTGACCCTGTTTGTGCAGCTTTGGAAAGGTATTATTATTCTACTGTTAGCCAAAACATCTTATAATGACAATACAGTTTGAAGTCTTAGGGAGGGGTGGAGGAGGGAAACATATAGTCAAGTTAAATTGGAAGAAAAATGAATTCAAAGTGCAGGCCCTGAGTTCTTACTTAGCTATGGCTAATGTGTTTCTATTTCAGAGATCGTATTTAAATTACAAAATGGTTGTTATCAATCAACATTATTGACGGAGGAAAGACTTGTACTTACCACTGTTTGGATGGCGGAGATGTGTACCACTCTGTTCACACTCTCAGGGGCTTAAAATATGGTTGGGACTTAAGATACACACACACAGGCAGGGCTTGGTGGCTCACGCCTGTAATCCCACACTTTGGGAGGTCGATGTGGGTGGATCGCTTGAGCTCAGGAGTTCGAGACCAGCCTGGGCAACATGGCGAAACCTCGTCTCTACAAAAAATATAAAAATTAGGTGGGCATGGTGGCACATGTTTGTAATCCTAGCTACTTGGGAGGCTGAGGTGGGAGAATGACTTGTGCCTGGAAGGTTGAGCCAAGATCGCACCACTGCACTCCAGCCTGGGCCACAGAGTGAGATCCTGTCCAAAAATAAAAAATAAAAAAAGATACACACATACAGCAATTAGACCCCGAGGCAACACAGTGTATGGACAATTGCTGATGGAGGTTATCACTGGATTCATAAAATGAGGAAAGAATGAATGTGGGCTCCACTCCTGTACTGGGTTGAACACTGTCCTCCCAAAATCCATGTCCTCCTGGAGTCTCAGAATGTGAACTTATTTGGAAATACTGTCTTTGAGATGTAATTAGTTAAGATGAGAATGAGCTGTGGTCGCAGTGGCTCACGCCTATAATCCCAGCACTTTGGGAGGCCGAGGCGGGCGGATCTCCTGAGCCCAGGAGTTTGAGACCAGCCTGGGGCAACATGGCAAAACCCTGTCTCTATTGAAAAAAAAAAAAAAAAAAAAAGATGAGGTCATACTGGACTAGGGTGGGCCTTAAATCTAATGGCTGGTATTCTTATAAAGAAAGCCGTGTGAAGACAGAGAGACACAGAGAGAAGATGGCCAGATGAAGACAGGGACAGATTGGAATAATTTATCTACAAGCCACAGAATGTCAAGGCAACCACCAGAATCGAAGAGAGAGGCATGAAACAGATTCTCCCTTAGACTCTGCAGAAGGAACCAACCCTGAGACACCTCTGAGGCTGTAAGAGAACACATTTCTGTTGTTTTAAACCAGAGGTCCTCAACCTTTTGGGCACCAGGGACCGGATTCATGGAAGACAATTTTTCCACCGACTGCTGGGGAGGGGTGAGGTGGCAGGGATAGAGGGATGGTTTTGGGATGATTCAAGCACATTACATTTATTGCGTACTTTATTTCTATTATTATTACATTATAATATATAATGAAATAATTATACAACTCACCATAAGGTATTAGGCTGGTGCAAAAGTAATTGTGGTTTTTGCCATTAAAAAGAGAGCAAAAACCACAATTACTTTTGCGCCAACATAAAACAATCAGTGGGAGCCCTGAGCTTGTTTTCCTGCAACTAGATGGTCCCATCTAGGGGTGATGGGAGACAGTGACAGATCAGCAGGCATTAGATTCTCATAAGGAGCTCACAACCTAGATCCCTTGCATGCACAGTTCACAATAGGGTTCTTGCTCCTATGAGAACCTAATGCTGCCACTGATCTGACAGGAGGCGGAGCTCAGGCGGTAATGCCAGTGATGGCGAGTGGCTTTATAAATACAGATTAAGCTTCCCTGACTCGCCTGCTGCCCACATCCTGCTGTGTCGCCCAGTTCCTAACAGGGTATCGGTCTGTGGCCTGGGGGTTGAGGACCCCTGTTTTAAACCACTGAATTTGTTTTGTGGCTCTTGGTTACAGTAGCCTTAGGAAACTAATGCAACTATGGGAAGATTTCATCAAAAAGCTGGCTTCTGAGGAAAGGCAAAATTTGGATGCAGGAGAGAAGGGGTGAGGAGTGAATCTTAGACAGAAAGCGGGGTGAAGAAAAATGGAGAGCACGGCATTTCTAGAATGCAGATGGGGATGGTGAGAAGCACAGATCCAGGGTAAGAGATGGTTCACCTTGGTGATGAGTGAGCACTGACTGGGTAGGTAGGACGGGTCATCTCATCTACAGACGCCCCTGTAAGGCAACACACTACAGCTTCGAATCTGGGGAAACAAATCCAGGCTTAGCGTTTTACTATCTCAGTGCAATCTGCTCATTTCTGGACCTGATTTATTTTCTATTCCTTCTCATGCTGCTTGCTATTTCCAGCTGAAAAATATTTTCACTTCATGTCTTTGCTGTCAATGTATATGTTTTATTCATGTTCTCGGTGGCGTATTAGTGAATTCATTCTGCCTTCAAGGAAGGCTTAAACTTCCCTTTGTATTCTCTGGAACAAACTGCATGGGTCTTTGAGCTTGTTACACTAAAAGTTTTGAAAGGAGTGACATCTGTTTGGGAAATTCTGAACTTTTCACCTAATTTATTAATATGTTTGGTTCTAGAAAATGTGATATAAGAAATACAATGGAAAAACCTAGCAACAGTGCTCTGGAGTTTTTTTTTTTTTTTTTTTTTTTTTTTTTTTTTTTTGTAGAATGGAGTGAAGTTATCTCTAGAGCCACATATTTGAATTGGTTAGAAATTTTAGCATCTTGGGCCGGGTGTGGTGGCTCATGCCTGTAATTCCAGAACTTTGGGAGGCCGAGGCAGGCAGATCACTTGAGCCCAGGAGTTTGAGACCAGCCTGGGCAACATGGCAAAAACTCATCTCTACTAAAAATACAAAAATTACCCGGGCATGGTGGCATGTGCCTGTGGTCGCAGCTATTCTGTAGGCAGGAGGACTGCTTGAGCCTAGGAGGTCAAGGCTGCAGTGAGCTGTGATTGCACTACTGCACTCCTGCACTCTAGCCTGGGTGACAGAATGACAGAGTGAGACTCTGTCTCAAAAAAGAAAAAAAAAGAAATTTTAACATCTTCAAGTCAGTTTTCTTTTTTTTCTTTTTGAGACGGAGTCTCGCTCTGTCGCCCAGGCTGGAGTGCATTGGCGTGATCTTGGCTCACTGCAAGCTCCCCCTCCCGGGTTCACGCCATTCTCCTGCCTCACCCTCCCGAGTAGCGGGGACTACAGGTGCCCGCCACCACACCCAGCTAATTTTTTGTATTTTTAGTAGAGACGGGGTTTCACTGTGTTAGCCAGGATGGTCTCGATCTCCTGACCTCATGATCTGCCTACCTCGGCCTCCCAAAGTGCTGGGATTACAGGCGTGAGCCACCGCGCCCGGCCTTTTTTGTTTTTTCTTAAGAGTAATAATGAAAAGGAAAAAGGTGTGGGGAGCGAGCCATCACGGAGCACGCTGGGAGCACAGGAATGCGGTTCTGGTTTCACACCAGGACTAGCCTGCTTTGTAAGTCCTGTCTCCTCCACTGGATCCTAAGTTCTTGGAGGAGAGGGGTGGCGTCTTTGCCCCTAGTGCCTAAGAGCATCTTGATGACCCGAAGCTGAATGAACAGCGACTCATCATGGACTTTGACATCAGAGAAGTCCTTCAATCCTGCCCCCTTATTCCAGCCAGCTGTGTCTCTCAACAATCTGAGCTTCAGTTTCTTCATCTGCAAAATTAGCAGCTGTTGCTGCTGTCGAGATGATGAAAAGACAACGTAGTATAAAGTGCCAGCTCAGACTTGGGGCTCAGTAAAGGTCACCCCTTTTCCCTTTCTCACATAACTACATTTCACCACTGCCAAGATCTGCCTATACATTTTGAGGCTGCGGGGTTTTTCTCACAGAAACTACGCAGCCAAAAGTGCCTATGACGCGGTAAGATGTATCTTTAGCCCCCAGAGTTGCTATGTCTGGACTTCATGCGTGAAGAGCGCAAGTTTCAGATCTTTTAGTGGCTGGCGTGCTTGCTTGGATGCCATTCCTTGCTCAGGTAAATGACGTGGCACAGGGATGGCGGGTGGAGAGAGTAAGGTGATGTAACAGAAGAGACGCTGGATTTCATAGAACATGATTTGCAGTCGCAAGAAAAGGGTCTCTTTTTTTTTTTGTTAAAGGTAAGCGATGTGTTATCTGAACAAAAGGTGAGTTCATTTGATTCAGCTGCACTGGATTCTCTTCCTTTGCCCATGCCTATGATCTTTTAATAGCTGTTCTTGCCTGACAGTCCAGGGACAGGATTTAGAACGGTGGCTTTATGCATCCAATGTTTTCTAATAATTCTAGCAATGAATAAAAAAAAATGTAAAAAAAAATCCTTCCCAGCCCCTACCGTGAGTATGTCGATGGAGGAATGACTAGTTAGGCACATGGAGTAGCATGGTTGTGTGTACCAGTTCCTGGTCTAGCTCTCATGCTTGTGTGTGTGCATGTCTGTGTGCGTGCATGCATGCTCTGGGGGTGGGGAGGTTGCTTACTAGAGAGCTAAATGGTCTATGTTCAAAACCTGGTTCCATTATTTTTTTTTCCATCTTAAATTGTCCTTCTCTTGCCTTGCAGAGCTAGTCCTAGTCTTATGACAGCCTTCCTAAGCTGAGAGGGAAATGGCTGTGTGTCCTGCCAAACTACCCTATCAGCTTGGTTGTATTACTAATGAGGCAAGTCCTTTTTTTTTTGAGACAAAGCCTTGCTCTGTCGCCCAGGCTAGAGTGCAATGGCACAATCTCAGCTCACTGCAACCTCCACCTCCCAAATTCCAGCAATTCTCCTATCTCAGGCCCCTGAGTAGCTGGGATTACAGGTGTGCGCCACCACTCCTGGCTAATTTTTTGTATTTTTAGTAGAGATGGGGTTTCACCATGTTGGCCAGGCTAGTCTCCAACTCCTGACCTCAAGTGATCCACCCACCTTGGCCCCCCAACGTGCTGGGATTATAGGCATGAGCCACTGCGCCTGGCCAAGGCAGGTCCTTGAACCCTTCCTAGCTTCAGTATCCTCAGCCGTAAAGGAGGATAGTGCTTATCACACAGGTTATGAGGATGAGTGAGAGAGT
The DNA here is from genome assembly GCF_000001405.40 of Homo sapiens. Lineage (NCBI taxonomy): Eukaryota > Metazoa > Chordata > Mammalia > Primates > Hominidae > Homo > Homo sapiens. The sequence continues at coordinate 13,696,586 of NC_000001.11, forward strand.
GCATGTAAAATACCTAGAACAGAGCCCAACAGAGAATAAGTATTGTTATCATTCGGGGAATTTGAAGTCCACTTATTCTCATTGGCAATGTACGGTAAACTCTTGGATCTCAGCTGTAAGATCTGCAATCTTTTTGGAAGCGCTACAGGCATTCCAGCTGCTATGCAGGGCAGGAGTGCTGTGGTTCCTATTATAATAATATGAACAATATACTGTCATTTATAGGCACAAGGTGCAGTCTGCAACATACTTGCTGTAATACATCCACATTGAGAGGGCCATGGAGAAGCCTTTTTTTCCAATTAAAAATATCTATTTAGCATTTATCGTGTGCCAGACACTCTTCTGGGTAGTGGGATGTTGTGGTGAATGATGATCATGTCTTCCATCACGGTACTGCCGCAGCAAGGTACAAAACCGGCCAGAACTGGTACCAGGTGTACTGGGGTAGAGTGGAGTTTGATTCATGTTGTCGACTTGGACAAAGAGTATATTTTTATACTTCCATCCCCATACAGAAACAGCCTGCAATACATTTCACCTTTTCAAAGGGGCAAAAGAGTGATATTTAACATATCACATGGATAATAAGTGCTCATTAAATTGTATTCTTGATGGCTCACATCTTTTTTGGATTACATGAATTATATATAATTATTTACCCTGAGAAATAGCACAGGTTGAAAAATAGACATATGTTCAAGAAATACACAGATGAAAACCACACAATGGCTGATTAAGGGTGGGGGTACCTCAGAGGAGACACCCAGCGTGGTAGGCTAAACAATACATTTTACCTTTTCAAAGAGGCAAAAGAATGATATTTAACATATCACATGGATAATAAGTGCTCATTAAATTATTGTATTCTTGTTGGCTCTGATCTTTTTCGGATTAAACAAATTATATTTAATTATTTACCCTGAGAAATAGCACAGGTTGAAAAATAGACATATGTTCAAGAAATACACAGATAAAAACCACACAATGGCTGATTAAGGGTGGGGGGAACCTCAGAAACGCTGAGGAGACACCCAGTGTGGTAGGCTAAATAATGGCCCCATACCTAAATCCACATCCCTAACGTCCAGAATCTGCAAATGCTACTTCATATGTAGTCTTGCAGACGTGATTAAGTGAAGGATCTTGAGATGGCCAGATTATCTGGGTGGGTCCTAAATCACATGTATCATTATGAGAGGGAGGCAGAGGGAATTTGACCACATACACAGGAGAAGATGACATGAAGATGGAGATAGAGATTTGAAGATACTGGCCTTGAAGATAGAGTGATGCAGTCACAAGCCAAGGCATGCTGGCAGCCACCAGAAGCTGGAAAAGGGAAGGAGCAATTCTCTGCTAGAGACTCCAGAGGGAGCCCGGCCCTGCTGCCACCTTAATTTTGGCCTAGTGATACTGATTTTGGACTTCTAGCCTCTAGAGTTGTGACAGAATAAACTTCTGTTGTCAGGGTTGGGATAATTTGTTACAGCAGCCACAGGAAACTAATATAGCCAGTCACTTTGGATTAATGAATTAATAACCGGAAAGACAACTACTGGCTACTCTGTTAACCAACCATCTAGTATCCATTCTGGTTCACCGTGCCACTTCTGATTTAACATCCTTTATTTTCCTTTTGCATTCTATTGAATGCCAGGTGGCCCATAGCTTTTCTCTTAAAATGGTGATTTCTATGTCAGTGTTTTGATGGTGGATGGAACAGTGGGGTCTCCCTATTTTCTTCATAGATACCCCAGATAATTTCGATGCATGGATCCAGTTGGAAGGTATTAATCTAGGTAAGGGGTGCAGAAGTCTGATGACTTTGCTCCACAACAGAGAATACTACTTTGATGACAGGCACGTGGTATCTCCCAGATCTAGGGTCTCTTTTCCTTGAATAGCGGAAGAAATAAGCAAACCCTTGAGGTTTGATTTATTTCCTTATTTTCTTAAGCCCTGTCACTTCTCAAGGCCTTAATAAAATTTACTCTAATGAGGTGATCTTCATTTGTTTACTATAACCGACTCGATCATCAGCTATAGCCTCATTCTTTTTTTTTTTTTTTTTTTTGATACTGAGTCTCGCTCTGTCACCCAGGCTGGAGAGCAGTGGGGCATCTTGGCTCACTGCCAGCTCCGCCTCCCGGGTTCACGCCATTCTCCTGCCTCAGCCTCCGGAGTAGCTGGGACTACAGGCGCCCGCCACCACGCCTGGCTAATTTTTTGTATTTTTAGTAGAGACGGGGTTTCACTGTGTTAGCCAGGATGGTCTCGATCTCCTGACCTCGTGATCCACCCGCCTCGGCCTCCCAATGTGCTGGGATTACAGGCTGAGCCACCGCGCCCGGCCTAGCCTCATTCTTTTACAATAAGATAACATGATATATGTTGATACAACACGTTTTCTTTCTTTTTTGAGATGGAGTCTGTCTCTGTCGCCCAGGCTGGCGAGCAGTGGGGCGATCTTGGCTCACTGCAAGCTCCGTCTCCTGGGTTCACGCCATTCTCCTGCCTCAGCCTCCGGAGTAGCTGGGACTACAGGCACCCGCCACGTCGGCCGGCTAAATTTTTGTAGTTTTAGTAGAGACGGGGTTTCACCGTGTTAGCCAGGATGGTCTCGATCTCCTGACCTCGTGATCCACCTGCCTTGGCCTCCCAAAGTGCTGGGATTACAGGCGTGAGCCACTGCGCCCGGCCAACACGTTTTCTTAAGATTAAACCTGTTACATAAATGATCGTTCATAATTTTTGGAAGCACACCTGCCCTTAGTATCCTGTTTTTCCACTGGGTGCTTTCTGCAGATGGCCAACGTAGCCATCACATTCGGATTCTTCCTGACTTCATTCTCAGAGGATTACTTTATCTTGAAGTGCTGAAGGCTCCAGGCACCATCTATAACGACAACTCCCAACTTTCCAGCTCATCTCCAGCCTGTGCTTCTCCCCGACTCAACTCATTTTCAACCACGTGCTAGGCCTCCACCCTTGGATGTCGAAGAGCCATCTCCAGTTCCACCCAGTTCATCTTCATCAGAACATCTATGAGTCGTCGTCTCTGCAGTCCATTTGTTTGCCCGCTTGGGAACAGCAAGCTCCTTAAGGGCAGGACTACTACCGCGCTCTCAGAGGCGCTGCACTGGAACATCGCGGGCACAGGGCAGCGTTGGTCACTGCTCCTGGGTACTAGGGCAGCAAATAAACCCAGCAGCTGCGTCTGTCTGCCTGGAGTTGGATCTTTTTGGTATAGATCCAAACGTAGAAGTATAAGGTCTACGTTTATGTACTTGTCAGATATTTAATGACCTCCAACGATAGACATGCCCCCCCAACACCTCCTTCAGTCTTTTTGATTCTTTGAGAATCTTTGAACCACGCAGGATCCTAGCCCTAGGGTGCGGTCGGACTTGCCGCGACGCCAGCCGCCGGGGTTCCTTCCCGAGGCGCCGCCATGGGATCCGCGGTGACCTACGAGGGGCGGCTGGGTGGTGGCCATTGGGCGACGGCGCAGGGTCAAGGGCCGGGCTCTGGGATCGTGGGGAGACCGGGGGTCCCGGAGCCCCCCAGCCCCGCAGGCCACTGCCTCGCCGCCCGACGTCACTTCCGACTGGAGTCAAGATGGCGGCGGCGCGGCCGCGGGCGCCGGGGCCGGCGAAACAGCGGCGGCGGCGGCGGCCCTCGGTGCTCTGAGGCGCTGGCGCGGCGGGCGCGGGTAAGGAGTGGCGCGGGTGGGCGGCCTCTGGGCTCGCGCCGGGACGCTGGTCCCTCCCCCCGAGGAGCGCGGCGGCGACGGCGGCGGCGACACGCTGGGGACCCGGCGCCGCAGGGATGGCCGGGTCGGCGGACGCGCCCCCTCAGAGGTCCCGGGCGTGCCGGGGGCCCCGGGACGAGGCGCGGGCCTCCGGGTCGGTGGCCCCGCGGGTGGGTGGCGGCGCCGGGCTCCTCCTTGTCGGCCGTGGGGTCCCTGCGGCGAAGTTCGGGATTCGGTTTGTCGCCGTGAAGAGCCGCGCGCCCCGCGGGGGACGCGTGCGGGCTGCAGAGACTGGCCGGGTGCGGGCGGCGGTGGGGCCACCTGGGGCCCCACGTGGGGCCGGGCGCCGTCCCAATTGTCAAGCCGCTGTGCTTTTCTCTTTTGTGTTCCCACTGAGTGTGTCTTGCACATTTGCACTCCAAATTTGTTTTGTGTCTTGCGTCTTTGTGTTTCCCAAATAGTTTTTGTGTGGTTTTAACCTGGAGATTGTCTCCCTCAATGTTCCCATAGACCCACGGGTGTATGTGTGTGTGTGCGCACGCGCGCGTGTGTGTGTGTTACAGACGTGCAACTCTGTTACTAATTTTGCTAATAAAGCTATCAATGAACCTCTTTTGATGGTGGTAAGTGAGACATGAAGTAAACCTAACAGGTCAGTGTCATTCCCCAAACCTTCGTGGTTCTTTCGATCCACGCGTGAGCCACCGACCCTCCGGGCTTGTAGCTTTGTGTCGGGCTGTGAGCTGCGGCAAAGACCCCATAGTTAACCGGGAAGTCCTGATTTCCTTAACTACGCAGCTGAAATTTCCCCTAACAGAAATTTCGTGCTGGCCCCTCACTTTTCTTTTAGTGTTGTATTGAGATTTTGGGTGTATTTGAGACGTGGAACGTCTTTTGCTGAATCCCAGTAGGTCCTTAGATCCCTTTAACCAGACACTAGAAGAATCATTTTTACCCCAGAACTCGACTAAAATGTTTAAGTTTTTGTTTACTCCAGGTTTATTAAAAGTGACCGAAACTTTTAACAACAAATGGAACTCTTCAATGATTTCTTTTACAATGGTACACACTTCGCCTCGGTTTGATCAGTTGTGTCCAAGTATTAGAAAAATGTAGGCCTTTTAAAAAAAAACATGATAGGAAATTTACATATATTAAGGAGGAGGAACTGAGACACACTGTCATACGTTCTTTTTTAGTAGGGTTCTGTGTTTTTGAGATGGTCCAAACTGCCCCATCACTCTTGAGGCTTCCGGACTAACACTTATTGGCCAAATTTTTACATGTAGAATCTTAGTTTAGCCTTGAGATGACCTTTAAAGATCATTTTTATTAAACCCCCTCATTTCGAGCTATGGAAACAAATCAAAATTCACAGTGGAACTAAAACTCATTTACATTTTCTGTGATTCCAGGGCTCTTTTTACTCAACACATCTGTTTTGGTTTGATTGAAATAAGTTAATACATTTTAAGTGCTTAGAAAAGTGCCAGAACATGATAATACTGCTCAGTAAATGTTTGCTTTTGTTGATTCTGAAGGTGGTTTCTTTAATTGAAAGGTTGGTATGTTCAGGTTTGTTTTTTCCTTATTTTGTGGACAGGGCCTGAAACAGTACAGTTTAAATCTGTAAGAATGTATTAATTTTGTAAGTACAAAACATAACAAAAGATTCTCACTGTAGAAAATTGGAAAGTAGAGAAAAGCACAAAGAAGAAACAGAAATTGGGCATAACCTTCCCCTCTTCAGATAACCATTGTTAACGTTTGGCAGATCTTCCTGTCTCTCTTGGTGTGGATATGCGTATTTCTTTCCTTATTTTACAGTTCATTCACATATATATATATTTATTTACATTTTATACAGGATTGATAATATAGTGTGTATATTGTTTGCAACCTGTCTTGCCTTATGATACGGTGAGCATGTATCCATGCCACTAACTAGTCAATATTATGTTTAATGGCTATTTAATATGTGGATGGGCCGTAAGTTATCAATCAAGTCCATATTGATCTGTAAGGTTTCTCAAGCCTGAGTTTTCTTTTCATTAAGATTTGTTTGAAAGTTTTTTTAAAATCGTGGGTTTTAAAGTTCTGTAATCTTTTGAGATTACAGTGAAAAATATAAATTCTGCTTTTTAGCATCTAAATAAGCATTTTTCTTGCGGGTGCAGTCATAAGAAGTAACACTCAATTTCAGCTTCCTTTCTTCCGTTCTTGGCTGTGGCTGTGCAGTTATGTACATATATCTGCGCCTATTCTTTTGATGATTATTTTACGTTAGATGTTTATTTATTCATGAGACTGTTTCTTTAAGCAGCCTGTTTCTTTTCAAGTTCCAAACCTGATTTACAAACCCTTTTTAAGTCCTGTTAAATCATAGACTTTCCAGGATGGAAAGCACCTTAGGTTATTTACTATTTTCATGTCTTCTGAGTAGCTTTTCATGTTATTTTTAATACTCATGCAGAAAAAAAACCAAAACAGCGGACTTCTACTAGAAAACTCCATAATGGGGAGTGGAAGAGGAGGAGGTTGATGGTTGGGGGAAAATCGTCAAACTTGCATGACGATGGGTAGCTAAGGGAGTTTCCAGATGATGAGGGACATCACCTGACTGTCCTTACCACAGATAACTGCCGCCCTGTGTCTAGGGCTTCACGCTTTGTGCGCTGAGCACCAGCTATGCTGTCACCTATGGTTACAACATTTGGTTAGAGGCCTGGGGTGGTGGTCCATCTCTCTCTTTTTGAAGCTACAAGTTTCTAGTTAGAGCTATAAAAACCACCTTTATGGAGTGTCTGAAAGCTGTGGACTCCATTACTGAAAACAATACTTAGCTTCCATTAAAGCAGAGTTTCTCAACCTCTGCACTTACTGACATTTGGGTGAGAGAATTCTCTGTTGTGGAGGACGATCCTGTACACTGTAGGATGTTCAGCAGCATCCCTGTCCTCTATCAGGGAGATGCCAGTAGCACCTCCTTCCAGTGTGACAGCCAGTAAAATCTCCAGACATTTCCAAATAGCACTTGAACCGCTGCAGTGAAGGAAGGCTCATCTAACTGTATGGTTGAATTATTGAAACAGATTATTGAATCTCTTTAAGAACTGTAAGGATAGACTAGATGGTTTACACCTTGAAGCCAAGAAGTGGACTTCAGGTCTGTCCACGTTCCTTTCCACCTTTGGTTTTGTGACTTTATTGAATGGTCAGTTTCAGCACTTTTGCTTCGGCATCAGTTTTGTGGCATGAGGTAAAACAATGTGAGGTATCCTGGAGATCATAAAGGAGTTTTCATGACGTGGAATCAGCATTCTTAGTATGCAGATTAAATTATGAAATTTGAATAAATTTGCATAGAGTTGATGCGTGGTAAATAATTTAAGCATATAGACCATTATGCTGAACAGCGCAGAAACAACTGTCTTCTAGAAAAGCAACTTGGTCCAGCAACCCCTTGAAGATTGATGGTAGAGGCTATGCTGTAGTTTTTCCGAAACCTGTTTTTTTGAAAACAACCAATTTGAGGTTATGCACAGAAATGGTGAGTTTGCCCTGAGGCAATAAGGCTTACTTTTGAAGTGCTTACCTAACTTTAACTTAATACATTATAATTTAAAGATAGTTCATTGATCTTTGTGGAAAACATGCAGCATTAATGCAGCTTTCCTCTAGGGGGAAAAGTATAAGTTGCCAAATCCTTATTTGTAATCTTTCTAAGTGTAGATAGTATTGATTGAATTTTTATTGTGGCATACGTAATCTTTAGTCGGAATGTATTGATAAATAAAACGTGAAAAGAGATGTGCTTTTGGAGCTACATTTGGTAGGGGTGGTTTTCTGAATTACAGAACATCTGTATAATTTCACTGGAATGAATGCATGTGTCGTTTAAATATTCTTTCTTAAAGAGAATGCCTTTCATTCCCCACCCCCACCTTCCTGAGGCATGAATTAGAGTTATTGTATGTAGTAAATCTGGCTCATTTGGAATGAAATATGCTTACAGTATTTTTCTTAGTACTGTATAGTATTTATTCTTAGAGTCTTGGTTCATGTCATGCCTATACTGTGTTTTCATTTATTAGTCCTTTGGAACATGCAATAAAGGAGATTTTACTGAATACTTATTATTTTCCAGCCATTTTGGTGAAAAGAATATTTTGTAGCTCTTGCAATAAATCATACTCTGGGTTTTGCTTTGAAAGAGCTGAATTACTTCTTGGCACAGCTTGTCTGAAATATGTAAAGCTAAGTGCAAGTGTTAGTTTGATTATAGGGGGCAGTCTGTCTGGAAATTGGTAAAACCCACACATTTTATATGTGCTTATATGTAGTTCTATTAAGACCTATGTTAAACTCTGGTGGGATAATTCCGTGGCACTTTCACATAATTTAAATTATGCCATGTAAGAGTCACTAAACCCTTATATACTTCAGTATGAATCCTGTACATTGCCCAAGACCTTGTTAAGAGAATGTAAATTAAATATAAATTGGAGTATCAGTGTAAAAGTGACATTCTAAATGTTCCTCACTCTGCGAGGCTTATTTTTTAGGGACTTTGCTATAATTCTGAAAGACTTAGTTTTACAGTACATCTGAAAGTAGGAGTTTTCAGAAGTATGGCTCTTGGGATAAATTTAGATTCTTAATTGTGAAGCTCTGTTACCACTTGTTAGAAGGCAGGTCAGCTCACCTGCTTGGGGAGGTAAATATATGAATGCACTCTCGAGTAATTTAATGGAGCCCTACCTCAATGTACAGAATGACAGTATCACAGATCAAGAATGGAGTACGAGTGATTTTCGGCTATGGTGGGGGTAGGTAGGTCACTTGTCCCCTGTTGTCTCTTACTATTTGTAAAGTGAAGACTATGATTAGTCTTTTTGATCGGGATGGTTTGAGATGAATAAAGAATAGGCAGGCAATTTGGATACTTTAGGCTTTTCAAGAACATTAGTAACATTTTTTCTTAGATATTTCTCCTAATACAATGAGTGTTGTGAAATAACATGGCAGTTATTGTTGAGAGAAAAGCCTTCCCAGTTATGTATTGAGTCCTTAGGCGTTTTGACCTTCCCTCCACTCTTACAGAACTTGGTGGAAGGGGCCACTATGTTTTCTACCTCCTTCCGTGCCTTTCACAAAGCCACATCCTGCACCGTCTACCCTTCTCTGTGGATATTTTTCCGCTTGGCAATTTCCTTTCCTGAGGCACCCACTTGGGACATCTGAATCTCCATCTCCATGTTGATGGCCCGTTTGTGCTTGGACGTGTTCTTCCACTTGAGACTGAGGTACTTTTCCCGGGAAGGTCGGGCATCTCCTTAGAGTCAGTAAAATGGAGCTCACTGGCCAGGCGTGGTGGCTCATGCCTGTAATCCCAGCACTTTGGGAGGCCGAGGCTGGTGGATCACGAGGTCAGGAGTTCGAGACCAGCCTGGCCAACATGGTGAAACCCCATCTCTACTAAAAACGCAAAAATTAGCCGGGTGTGATGGTGGGCACCTGTAATCCCAGCTACTTGGGAGGCTGAGGCAGAAGAATCGCTTGAACCTGGGAGGCGGAGGTTGCAGTGAGTCGAGATCGCGCCACTGCACTCCAGCCTGGGAGACAGAGCGAGACTCCGTCTCAAAAAAAAAAAAAAAAAAAAAAAATGGAGCTCACCACCTTTTACTTAAATATTGTCCCTACTCCTGACTGCTCTGTCTTTAAAATATATTCAAACCACCATTCCTGCAGTCACTCACATTCCAATTTTGGGACTCATCTTTGCCATTTCTTTTTTACCTCCTGTTCAGTTAGCTAACATTCTGCCCATTCCTTCCCTCTGCAGTGTCAATCATATTTTTTGTTTCAGCTCTTGACTGCAATTCAAACCCTAATTGCCTGTTCTCTTGGATTCTGAACTGACTTGCCCAGCCCCAGTCTTTCTGGCTGCCCTCTCCTCACCTACTTCCTTATTCTTTTCTGTCAACGTAATCTTCCTAAAATATTCAATTTTTCTTGCCAACACTGCCTTCTTAGTCCATCCCAGGTGCTAAAGCTGCCTTCCTTCTGGGCTGCTATGAAACCCGGCTCCTCTTACAGGTGATCATAGGCTCTGCTTCTCAGTCATTCTTCTTCCATCTTTCTCCACAGACCTTTTGGAATAGGGTGTGGAATAGGATTAGCAACTCCTCACACGGTATCTGAGAACTCTACCACAAGGTCAAGTTTAGATTTAACCTGGAACTAAGAGCCCCCAAGAACTGCCCATCTGTTCTGTCCTTGCTCTGCACTGAAGCTCACTTGAGTTGCACTGTTTTGCAGACTAAAGCAGACAAACATCAAAAGACAGTCTTTCATCTTTTTTTTTTTAAATCATAAATGGTTAGGCATTTCTCTTTACCTTGAAACAAGAACTAATGATTTATTTTGAGGAAATATACATTTTTTTTCCAAAAAAAGCTTGCATGTATGTAGTTTTAAGGGCCTCTTAAACTGTAGAATAGTGTACACACTTTGCAAACAGTAGGCATTGCCATTATTTTTAAATGTTTGTGAGAAGTAGTAACATATTTAGAGAATAAATCCCAAATCTCAAATTATTTAAAATAGAAGAGTCACTTTCTACCAAAACTAAAAAAAAAAAAACTTAATAAAATCTTCGGAGAAGACCTATAGAATCTTGTAGTAATATAAGTGTGCCTGACACCGTAGCAAAAGAGTTTAAGTTGTCATTTTATCTATTATGACTTCCAGTTTTGCTTTAGGTTGTTCACCTGTGAATTCAGGAAGCCTCCCCACCATTTATGTGCAGGTTGTATGGAAAATGAAAAGAGCTTCGAGCAGCTCCTTGTAAGATGCCTCTGTTGCTCAGAGAGTCTTCATGTGAGACATGAAGACTTTGGTGCCAGGACCACTACCCTGCCCGTGCTGCTGTAGTGTTCTTCCGCTTTTCAGGAAATTCACAAATCTTTTGCAGGATTCCTAGACATCTCTTAATTTTAAAAGTAACATCTGCATTGGCAACTCCAGTGGAAAAATAGTACACAGGGGTCAACTGAGGATTCATTTTGTTTTGGGAATTGTGAAATGAGCTATCATATGGCATCTTGCTTTAGAAATTTTGTCTGAGTTAGAAGCTTGGCATTTGAGCCTTAGTCAAGAATTGATTTAATTTTCCTTTTATAAGTTAAAGTTTTTATACATCTAATGTAGGGAAAATGTCAGAAAAGAATCTTTCATGGAAACTTCTGTTACTTTAATACTGTTTTGCAGGAGGTAATAATGGCCTTGAATCTGAAGCATAGTTCTCATCAGAGAGCAAGCACTGATTGGAAAACTCTTGTATTCTGACCTGCCCCCAGATTTTTACATTTGTATTTCTTGGCAATTAGTCTTAAAAATAAGGAAAGGAAATTAACATTTTAATTCAAGAGTCCTTTGATTGGATGGAGTTACTTCATGCAGGAAAATTGACAATAATTCTTTTTTTTTTTTTTTGTACTGTTGGAGGGGAGGAATATCCTATAGTGAGAGCTAAGATAATATGTTTTAATTTCTTTAGAGAAACTGGGTAGTTTTAATAAGGGGGTTGCAGGGAATTATTGTAGGAACCCTAAACAAAGCTTGAGATTTGTGATGTAATAAATTACATGTTCAGTGGAATATGACTTAGGTGTATAAATTTAATCAAAAGTATGAGGGAGAGCATATATTAATAGCTGTCAATAACAGCAATCAATAATAAAGAATAAATAATCAGCAACTGCCATACGTTTACTTCTGAGCTGGCACATTATTAATGGATGCTTGGAGCAGTAGATTTTGAAAATTTCCCCTTTAATCTTTTTTTTTTTTCTTCCCAAGTAAAGGAAGAGTTATTCTGACAGGGAAAGAACCCTGGAATGCCACAATCTAAATGCGGATTTATAGTCCTTTCCTAGCATATCAGCAGGTCCCTTATTTGCCATTTTGATATGGTGTTATTTAATTGCTCTAGGCCCATTGGAGCCGGAGGGCTGTTGACCTCAGAGCTCTATAAACTTAAATATATCAAACAAAAGCTTGAATCAGTCTCATTTTCTCACTGGAGCTCTGCAGCTCCAAAGCCACTGAGAACAGCAGACCCTTGGTTTTTCTAATCTGTTACATGGAAACTGTGTTATTAGTATCAGATCGTCCCACCTGGAGTAAACTCGATACACTCCACTTCGCTATTTAGGTTTCTCTGCTCTATGCATTCGGGGAGTCAGGGCCTGCGATAGTTGTCTGTCTGTCGTGTTCTAGGCCTCACTGAGGAAACTGATCATTGAAATGGGAGAAATTACTGGTTTATTTGTGAACATTCTATTCTTGTATCTCTTATATATTTGTAGGTAGGGAAATTGCTGTATATGATATACTCTGTGTTAAACATTGTCTTTTGGTATTGGGAGAAATCCTTCGGTGGGTGAGAGGCGTGAGTGGTTTCAAGCAGAAGGAATTTATTGCCTCTGGTTCAGCAGCTTGCCACACCTTTCCTGTCTGCGCAGTCTCTCTCCACACACATAGAATCTCCTTATTCTTAACGTATCAGGTTTGATTTTTCACTTTATTTAATTTGGTAATATAGTCTGCACTTTAATACCAAGGTTGGGGCTGTATTTTTTTAGTACGAAGCTAGATGATTACTCTTGTGAAATTGTATTATTTTAGAAAAGGAAAACTGATGAATTTTCATTTAGCAAATTCCTGGGCAGATTCAATATCTGTGCTTTTGTTTAGTCTAACAAGTGGATACTACATGTTTTCATATTGACATCTGAAGTTTACAGTTTTTTTTTTTTTTACCCAAAGTATTTTTATTGCTATATTAGCAGTGGGTTTTTTGGATATGTTTTTAAGGGCCACATAAAAATAGATTCAAGGAACAAATTAAATTGAAGTCCTAGATTTAAATGTTTGGTTTAAAGAATTTTCTACAACAAATTTCAACAGATTCTAATCGTGGAGTCTTTCTGAAGAAAAAAAGTTCACAGATTGTAATTTAGGAATTGTGCGTGGTAGTTTTCTATGACAATGAATACCTTAATAGCATTTTAAAATCAATAAAAACTGTTTTTGAGAAGTTGGCATATTTCAGACATTTTTATTATTTTTCTAGAAGTTTCAGGATTGCAAGAATCTTTTGGTCAGAGTAAGGTCAGTGTTAGACGACACTACAAATCTAGTCTGCTAAAAGCTGCATCATCTCTGTATTTGCTACAGTATTTATTTGCCTTGAGAACTACTTTCTGTGGTGATTAGCTTTAGAATTTTTTTTGTGTTGGCCATGAACTTTCTAAGACTCCTTTCCCAAAATGGCAACTGTTTTTCTTGTGTCTAGTCCATGTTTTCATTCTGGTCTTTTAAATTTGATAAAAACGTATTCTCTTACTTATTTCTGTTTTACTCTTTATCCATAAACTTCCTGAATCATGAAAGTTAAAGTTTTTTCTGATTCTTGATGTCACAATGTAGAATTTTTTGTAACTTAAAATAATTATAAAATAGTATAAGTGACCTCTATGTGTCTATTGCAAAGTTAATTATTTTCCAGTTACTCCTCCCTCCCTGCCAGAGATCTAAAGTGATCCTAAAGAAAATTGTAAAAAATAATATCAGTGATTTAGAGGTGAATGTACAAATCAAATATGTATTTTCCCAATTCTGTCCCTTGCCCCACAGATGTAAACTAATCTTTAAAAAAATCTGTTCTCCTACTTTGCCTTTCATATAGATTTGTAGATTTTTACAAGTCCGTAAAGGGCAGATATGAAGACAGTTTAAGTGTTACATGCATTACATTAATGCTAGTTTGTGTCTTTGTTTAGATAAACCTGCTTTATTTCAGAGGATTGGTAATAGAGGGTGCTGGGGCTGCAGGGCTGGTATGACCCAGGGAAAGGGCTGTCCCACATGTGTCTAGATTTTCTGGTCTCTGGACTTCCGTGTCAGAAGACAGCAGCTTAACAGTTGTTGAGGTTGTGTTGACACTTTATGGGACTAGTGTCTTAGTAATGACTCAAATTATTTTATTGTGGTTATATTGATACTGATCATTAATCATCAAATCATCTTTATGCTATTAATAAATGTTTCTAAGACTGATTTGTCTAGAACTTGAAAGCAATATCTTGAAAAGTTAAGTGCATATACTCATGTTATTAAAAATGTTAGATATGTAAAATAGAGATCAAGCTCTTATTTTCTAAGAGTGCATGCTCTTCTGGGACTGATAAATATTAAGGTGGGATAGAAGGGATATGTTAGACTTATTCGAGGGGTGCTGTACAAATATTCAAGAAGGTTTGATTAGGCGTGGAAATGCAGAAAAGAAACTAAGGCATAAGCCAAGGTCAGAGAAGTCCTAGGGATTTAAAGATTTTCAGTATCTGCTGTTAGCAAAGCAGAGGCACTTAATTGTTTAGCACTTCAAAAAAGAGCATTTGGCCGGGCGCGGTGGCTCACACCTGTAATCCCAACACTTTGGGAGGCTGAGGCGGACAGATCACGAGGTCAGGAGATCGAGAGCTTCCTGGCTAACACAGTGAAACTCCGTCTCTACTAAAAATACAAAAAATAGCCGGGCGTGTTGACGGGCGCCTGTAGTCCCAGCTACTCGGGAGGCTGAGGCAGGAGAATGGCCTGAACCCGGGAGGTGGAGCTTGCAGTGAGCTGAGATCGTGCCACTGCACTCCAGCCTGGGCGACAGAGTGAGGCTCTGTCTCAAAAAAAAAAAAAAAAGAGCATTTGGTAGAATTGCTAAGGTTTCAGTGATACGCTTGGAAAGATTTTTCTCTGCCTCTGCACTGCTGGATTGATCATTCCGTTTCACACGTTTGATAAAACCTTGGCCTGGAGATACCATGTATTAGTTAAATGGGTGTGTAAAGACAGGACTGTTGAAGTCAACACTGAATATGAAGGTTATGTAGGATTGCCATGGCACTTCCACGGGGGTTTTGAGCAGTGCTGGAGGAATCTTAAGGAAGTTATTCCAAACATTTTTAGATGCTGTAGTTGCTTTAGTATTCTATTGCAGCTCGTCACATGGTTACCACATTCAGAGGTTCTCAGTTGGAAGGGCATTTGAGAATGTGTGTACGTATTTTCGATTGTCAAAATGATTGGAGGCACTGCCAGTGTTGATTGCTCAAAGCAATGTTAAGTGCCCATAAGGAAAGGGACAGTCTTGCTCAAGGAGTTGGCCAGTCCAAAATGCAGGGTTCCTCTGTTGAGAGACTCCGCCCAGGTCTTACTTCTTTTCCTTTTACACCCCTTGTTTTTGATATAGTTGAATAAAGAATTAAGTTTTTAAAATAACATTTGAGAATTCACTGTCAGATTTACAGTGCTTTTGTTGTTGTACAATATTTTATGTATATAGCTTGACAATTTTGTGAGTCCAAGAGGGAGAGAGGAAAAAATGAGAGTCTGGTTTTTAGCAATTAGGATTTGGAAGTAATAGGGAGGAGGCTCTCCCCACACAGATATATAGTGAATCTTTAAGAAAAAGATGTTATGATCTTTCTTTTCTCTGGAAAGAAATAAGTGCATTCTCATTTGGACAGAGAGGAAACAGGTAGTGTAGAAAGAGAAGATTATTAATTATGTAGCAGTCTGAATTTTATTCTAACCTTTTTTTATTAAGAAAAAGATGATAGCCTGGGTAACAAGGTGAGACTCCATCTCTACCCAAAAAAAAAAAAAAAAAAAAATTAGCCAGGCATGGTGGCGCGAGCCTGTAGTCTTAGTTATTTAGGAGGCTGAGGTGGGAGGATCACTTGAGCCCAGGAGTTCGAGGCTGCAGTGAGCTATGATTGTGCCATTGCAGTCCAGCCTGGGTGAGAGAGTACTACACCATCTCCAGAAAAAAAGAAGAACATGAGATTCCTTGAGATAATCAAATAATGCAATGTTTTAAGTACTATTGTAATTATTCAATATCAGATGTTAGGATATCTCAGTTGTCTGAATTGTGCCTACAAGCTAGCAATGACAAAAGGTGAGGAAAAGAAAAGAAGTGTTAAATAAAGAGGGAAAACATGAAAAGCAGATGGTAAGAAGAAGGCAGCATCTCAGAAAACAGCAGCTCCATCCTCCCATGCCCTCAGGACCAAAACCTCAGTGCCATCCCTGACTGACTTTCTTTCTTTCATGCCTAAGATCTAAAACTGCAGCACATTTTGGGTGCTCGAGACCATCATGGCCAACATGGTGAAACTCCGTCTCTACTAAAAATACAAAAATATTGGCTGGCCTTGGTGGCACGTGCCTGTAGTACTAGCTACTCAGGAGGCTGAGGCAGGAGAATTGCTTGAACCCTGGAAGGAGGTGGGGGCTGCAGTGAGCCAAGATCACACCACTGCACTCTAGCCTGGCGACAGAGCGAGACTCCGTCTCAAAAAACAAACAAAAAAAAGAAATAAAATCTATCCATCCATCCGTCCGTCTGTCCGTCCAGGATCCAGTTACTTTTCACATCTCTTCTACTGGCTGAGCCATGCCCCCATTGTCTCTTGGTTAGACTGGGCATCAGCCTCCGACATTGCCTCTTCATGCGCCCCTCACCGACTCTGCACCAGCCACACCAACATCCTGGCTCCCTCTCTGCTTCCCCAGGCTGCAGCCTTGTGAGGCTTCTCGCTTTTGCTTCCACCTCCACCTCCATATAACATTTCTCCCCATACTTTCCTGGTTTGAAGCTCGTCCCTTTCCTGGCTTTTATGTAGACTGCTCCTTCTCAATCCTTCTCTGACCACACTGTTGAATTTGCATAGAGATTGTAGTAACTATCTCCCTCTCCATAACTCTTTATTTTTTTCTAAAGCGCTTTCATTTTCTGGCATGCCACATATTTTACTTATGTATTTACTGTGACTGTCTTCCCCAAAAGGGCAGTGATCTTCCTCCTTTCCACTGCTCAAGGGCAGTGCTTGACACATAGTGGGTGCTCATGGGGAGGCAGGAGTAAAAAATTGGTGAAATGTAGTTAAGATGCATTAGCAGAAACCAAAATTATGAGACCTTGACCGAATTATCTTAAGCTCTTGTTAATTGAGGATACCAGTGCTGTGCTTATTTTGGTGAAGGGGACCTGAGCTGGTTCATTGAAGGCAGCACAGTGCCTGCAAGTCCTTGGAAGAAGCTTCATAAATGATAGTGATGATGATACCGATGATTCTTGTGAGAGGGAAAAGGCAAACAAAGGGAAATGGTAAAGCATTATAGCTCTTTCCAAACATCTTTTATTACAACATTTGCATTTTACCGCAGATGTTTTTTGTTCTGTTCCTCAAAGAGAACTCCCCTGAGCCAGTGTTAATAAATCTACCTATAAAAGCTTTGTCAGAGGACACGTGAAACCCCTAACATCTTATTCACCTGGGGGAATAAGGTGTCACGCAGGGCCACCACGTGGAACTGGATAGTAGTCAGTAGGCGTTTCTGGTCGAGGGTCAGGTGTGCACATCTGAGGGATCACTAACCTCATCACTGTTTAATACCAAAATATACATTTTTTTTTTTTTGAGACGGAGTCTCGCTCTGTCGCCCAGGCTGGAGTGCAGTGGCACGATCTCGGCTCACTGCAAGCTCCGCCTCCCGGGTTCACGCCATTCTCCTGCCTCAGCCTCCCGAGTAGCTGGGACTACAGGCGCCTGCCACCACACCCAGCTAATTTTTTGTATTTTTTAGTAGAGACGGGGTTTCACCGTGTTAGCCAGGATGGTCTCGATCTCCTGACCTCGTGATCCACCTGCCTTGGCCTCCCAAAGTGCTGGGATTACAGGCATGAGCCACTGTGCCCGGCCCAAAATATACATTTTTAACTTGATAACAATCTTATGTCTTAGAGAAGAGGGTTGATTATGTTCAATATGTGATGTTTACTAAGGCAGGACATGTAAATATAGATGAGAAAGATGCTCAGTATTAAAATGTAAAGGAATGGACTTCATGGTTTAACTTGCAATTCTCTGGCTTTTTTTTTTTTTTTCCTGAGTACTTGCTTACCAAGAGTTTATATTGGTTTGGCTAGCAGTGAGCTGTCTAACAAGATGCAATCTCATGGAATACATCCTTATGCCAATTATGAATAAAAGTAGTTCAGACGGCCAGGCCCTAACTTAAATATAGTGCCTTTGGTGGTTAAGGGTGATCAGGTGAGTGGTTAAATAGATCAAGAAAAGGAAAGAAAAATCCAACTACCTTATTAAAAAACAAGGGTAAAATGTCAAAACAGTGGGTAGGCAGTAGGAAGAATGTCACTAAATTATGTATTCTTTGGGTTATTAACAATTAGAACATAATGTTACAATGTAAGCAGAGGCTTGTGGGTCAAGGAAGGAAAGATAAGTTATAAGCAAGTGCATAAAGAAATAGGAGAATTATGCCTAATGGTATGTGTATGTAAACGTGGGAAATGTTTAGAACCTTACAGTGGAAGTTCTACTTAAAGTGTCATGATTTAATTTATTATGAATTACATCAAATGACTCAAGGCATACGTTGCAGAAAGGACCATTTTCAGAGATTATTATTTAGAAACAAGTATGTCATACGCATTTACAAGAAATAATTTTGTCTTTTTATTTTACTATACTATGAATACATGGAACATGGGTTTTTAAAGGGACAATGTAGCTGTTTCCCAACATCTTTTATTAAAACATTTGCATTTTACTGCCAGTTTTTTGTTCTTTTCCTCAGAGAGAACTCCTGGTGGCCAATGTTAGTAAATTCAACTTTCTAATTCAGGAACTTGAAAAACAGAATAATGTAATGGGGTCTAATGGTGTTTACGTACAACACAGTATTGGTAAAAGAAAAAGACACTTATATTGCATAATAAGGTACTCAATAATGCTTTGTATTTCTATTAAGAAAGCTAATTTATTTCTTCTTAGGAATGATGCAGTTCCAAAGCAAAGATTTGATGTCCTCCTAATGAGTCCGCTTTCAGTTGTAGAGTACAGTGAAGCCCTAGCAAAGAGTAGTAAGAAATCTATTTTACTGGAGATAATAAATCTGACAAGGAAGCTCTCAGCATAGATTGAAGTTGATTTGGCATAGAGTTGCTTTATAAATAGCCCTTTCAGCAAACTCTACAGTTCTGTATGTGGTTTTAAATCCCTGTAAATTTGTAGGCAGGTACATATTACAATTGTCTGTTTTTCTTTTTAGGGTTCATGTAATCAAAGAAGTTTCTTTGTTGTGTGTATCTTTACAGAACACAACAGGAATTGAAAATGAATCAGGTGAGTTTAAAAATCAGAATTTATACAAATACATGACCTAGATGTTAGACCAGCTCTTGATTTTTACAAGATAGTAGCACACACATTCATTTCTCCTGGATTCTCATTTTTGTTTCTTAATACCATTAATTAGTTCATTGTGTTCATACCGTGCATTTGTTCGTGCAGTGGAATGTGCATTGTTTGGGCGTGGGTTGGCGTTTCTGTGGTTCCCTGAGGAGAGGACTCATTCTTAGGGATTTTCATTAAGACTTTCTTTTTGACCTCTCCCTTGCCACACTCTAGTGTGAGTTTTTTGTGTGTGTTTGTTTTGAAGCTTATTAAGCTTTCATTTTTAGCGTTTTTTATTTTGTGATTATTTGTTGGTTAAAAGACACATGCACACGTATGTTTATTGCGGCATTATTCACAATAGCAAAGACTTGGAACCAACCCAAATGTCCAACAATGATAGAACTGGATTAAGAAAATGTGGCACATATACACCATGGAATACTATGCAGCCATAAAAAATGATGAGTTCATGTCCTTTGTAGGGACATGGATGAAATTGGAAATCATCATTCTCAGTAAACTATCGCAAGAACAAAAAACCAAACACCGCATATTCTTATTCATAGGTGGGAATTGAACAATGAGATCACATGGACACAGGAAGGGGAACATCACACTCTGGGGACTGTTGTGGGGTGGAGGGAGGGGGGAGGGATAGCATTGGGAGATATACCTAATGCTAGATGACGAGTTAGTGGGTGCAGCACACCAGCATGGCACATGTATACGTATGTAACTAACCTGCACAATGTGCACATGTACCCTAAAACTTAAAGTATAATAATAAAAAAATAAAAAAAAGAGAGGATTAAAAGTTATTTATAGAGACTGCAAATGATCAAAGAAGAAACTTTAAGCATTTGTCCTTGAAAAACCTGTTCTCAGAATAAAAACAAGAGGGCAAATATTGAAATGTAAGATGTGTTTCTCTTTACAGGAGATGTGGGATTACCTGGTGATTAAATTATTCTGCTATGGATATTTTCATAGCTTCAAGGGTGTTCTGATAAGTAGAGCCAGTTATGTGGATCTAATAATATATTCTAGAGTAGGATTCTTATTTTCTGGTTTCAATATCATCTCTCTTGTAGTTACAGAAATACGTGGGTGTCAGAAATGTTTTCTTTTTAAAATGTTCATAAGCACTTACTTTTAAAATATGAAGGACAAAACCCAAAATATGAAGTATGTAATTTTTTTTTTAGTCCTTAGCTTAAAACTCTCAGACTTGAAAACATTTTGTATCCCTCATCAACTGAAACTTTAGACACCTTTTTTTTCATGTACAGGTGACTCTACCTAGAGATCACAAGTTCAATTTAATTAGCTGGGCCAAGTTTAATACATTCAGTCCTGTGCTGCATTGAGAGATGTGAAATTTTTGGATTCTTTTGATTTCATTACTTTCTTTATCAGAAATGTTTATTTTAATGCAGAGGACATATGTCATAAAAAACGAATCTGGCGAACACATGGGGCACATGCTTTCTATTATTTTAAAACTTGCAGATTTATTGACATGCTTTTGAAGGCAAATTATTTTTGAAATGGTGAGATGGGGGAGGGAAAAGAGAACAGAGTGGATTTTCACAGTCATCGTCCATCAAAGTTATACTCATATATATTTCATAGATTTCATTTATTTTCCTATTTTAAGATTGATTCTTATTACGAACCTGGTCACCCAAAGGAGCTCGGTTCTCTGCAGTCTAGGAACTGTTTTGTTGGAGGAGTCTTGATCCTGCGTTAGAATGGTTGTGAGTTCTTCCAAAGTGGAATCTAAATGTTAATATTGTTCTTGTTGCATCGCTGTTCAGAAATCATTTATTTGATATGTCTACATCTTTAACCTTAGGATTAATTATGCCTTAATTCTTGTACAGTATTAGACTTGTAATATTTCTAGTGAATTAGACTTGACACTTCAAACTTTTGCTTTATATTTCCATTATATCAAACTTGTGTTTAAAAAAGTCTGCTTGCCAGTCAAAAAGTGGTAGCAATAACTACTACTTTTTTTTTTTTTGGCTCTTTTATAATTTCGTTTTGCTTTTGACAAGTTTTAATATCAGATCTGCAGAAGACCGCCTTTGATCCCAAATGCCAAGTATCAGTGGAAAAGTGTCCTCTTATGTTTCTAATGGTTAACACATTTCTGATTTGGGTGTAATTTAAATGGTCTGGTAGTAATGAAGCTTTTATTTGGATTATAAAAATTGCCCACTTTTTATGAGTAAAATTTTTAGCATCTTTTGTTATATTTTCATTACTAGAAGAATATTAGTTATATGCTGTTTAGACCCAATTGTTATGGCATAAAATCTATCAGTGTTTTTCAACAATCACCCCAGTCATTCTTCAGGGTTAAGACTTATTTCAGGATAATTTACAGTTTTCCCTTCTCGTATTTATTGCTGTCATTTTCAGACAGTGAAAATGAGCAGTAAATGCTTGAAAAACTGAAAAATAACCACACAACAAAATTCAGATATAAAAAAGTTTGAACTTGAAGAAGATTGACTTATAAATAAAATCCCGATGGTTATTTTAGGGTTAGGTTATTCTCCCCAGGAATGGATCAGCATTGCTTTGATGGGTTTTAATTGTCAGTTCTGTTTCTTATGATGGGTATGGTCTCAAAGACAATAGCATAGAATAATTTGTTGATATATGCCTGACAGTTGAGTTTCAGGGACTGCAGGATCCTCGTCATGGGCATATCATATTGTTTGTTATTGATTCCTTTAGAAGAAGCAGTAGAGTCCACAGCCTGCCAGTACTTTCAGCACTGACTATTGAGGCGGCATTCTGGACTGTTGCGCTCAGTTGTATCAGTGTGTTCCAAGTCGGTCCTAGTGTGATAGCTCCCTCTGAGCCCAGCTCTCACAAAGCTCCCCGACCTACATATTCTTTGCTTTCTTTCTCTTCCCTTCTGTTCTTCACTCAAAACTCACCCCTTTCTTAATATCTCTTAACCTCTCAATTAGAGCCCAGCTTGCTCTGCATGTGAGTCTTCGATCCTTCCGCTTGAGCCCATGCCTGGGTGGCAGCGAGAGCAGTAGTCATTGTGCCTCCTCCCCTGGCTCTCCATGCTCCCTTCTCTCCATTCTCAGATCGTAGGTATCCTACTTGCTTCATTAACGTTCCACACCCATCCTGATACTTAACTTTTGAGATGTTCCACTGTTTTCCTTCTTATTTTCCTAGACTTATCTAGGAATGGCTTTATCTCAGGAATGGTTCCATTATCTCAGTTGTCCCTAAAATTCATTCATTCCTTCCCTCATTCATCGTGGACAGACTGTATCCCAGCATGTTATGGGTTCTGCAGTGAACTAGGTGGGCAAGGGCTCTGCCAGTAACATACTCCAAGAGGGAGACAGTTAAAAAGCAGGAAGACAAGCAAGGTAATTTCAGATAGTGAAAAGTGCTGTGAAGACAATTAAACAAGATCTTGTTATAAAGGATGATGGGTAGAGGTGAAAGAAGGTCTTTGGATTACATGGTCAGAGAAGGCTACTCTGTGGAGGTGATTGCTAGTAGAACTGAAACTTAGGTAATAACCAGGAACCAGATAGACACATGAAGATCTGGAAAAAGAAAATTCCAGGCAGAGTGAACACACAGTAGTACAAAGACCCTGAAGTGGAAATGAGCTTGGTAGTTCATGAAACGGAGAGCAAGCTATGGTCTGGAGCTTGGCCCTATCAGGGGCTCTGGGATAAGAGGACATTGGTGTGAGAGGCAAGTTTTATAGGGCCTTTAGGGCTACGGGACAGTGACACAAGCTGATTTTCATTTTTAGGATGTCCTCCCCACTGTGCTATGGAGACTGGATTGTAAGGGAGCAAGAGTGTGGTGATAACGTGTGTTCACTACTGAGATTAACACCATGCTTTAGGACAGTTTCTTCAGTTGGACGACTTAATGGACCTGACAGCTTTTTGAAAGAGGGTACTTTTTTGTATTTCAGAACTAATTTGACTCCTGTTCTTTTTAAAAAATGGTGTATAAGCATTTCTTGGTTTGTGTTTTCATCTGTTTATTGTTATAGCAGTCCTGCTCATTTCTTAACCAAATAATTTAATGCCATTTCAGTAAACTGAAGCTTGTTTGATTTTTTTTTTCCCATCGTTTGTTCCAGCATAGTAGCTTAGATTCTTGTTTGCAAATCTATACAAAGATGGGTTCGTAGAATTTTAGCGATTTTAATATGGTATGATTCTAAGCTGTTTTTTGCTTGTAACAGTTACTTTGGTGATTATTATTAGTCTATTGTAGCAATAATATATATTTTAGTATGAATATACTATGAATTGTTCTTAATATTAAGGAAAATTGGTCTAATCTATTCCGTCATGTATTGCTGCCACTTTCCAGTTAGTTTTGATCAAGTCAATATTTGAAACTAGGTGCTTTAATTAAATAGATTAAACTGATATAATACTTGCTGATAATTCTCTGGGCAAAGCATGTAAAAGGAGTTACTTATATAAATTTAAATGAGACGCTAATAAAATTTGCTTATTCTTATATACTTTTAAAAATAAAAACATTAGTATGTGTTGACCATGTAAGATGGTACATGCAGCTTTATGTAACAGCAGCCAATGCCAATGTTATGCTGTAGAGCAGAGTTACCTTGCTGATTACAGTCAATGTTTGTCTAAAGAGTATGGAGAGAAGGGCTGGGTAGGGAGAGTGGAGGAGGTTGGTTCTGTGGTTCATGTACCTGGAGCAGACCTGAGGAGGGTGGAGTAAATGGTCAAAGAAGTGTGGGCTCAGCTCTGGGGTCGCCAGAAGGACAGAGTAGACTTTGCCAGTGAGGTGGGGAACCTTTGGAGGGTTTTGAGGAGAGGGCTGTTAGAGTTGAGTTAAAAAATTCTTAATAAATACAAATAATGAAACTATTCTACAGGGCAGAATCAGGACTTGGTTACTGGTTGAAAATAATAATAATAAAAAATAGTAACTTACCGTGTTTCATATATGTCAGGCACTAGCCTAAGTGCTTTCCGTTCAGTAAGTCATTTACTATTGATTGCAACCACATGGGGTGGGCACCATTACTATCCCTATTTAACAGATAAGAAAGTGAATACAATCGGAAATATTTTCTTGGTGCATTAAAGTTTCATTTTAACATGATTTAAAGATGAGAATTTAGGATTTATTGACCTGTTTAGTTATTTGACTTTAAAAATCAACTTTGAGGTATAAGCTGCATACAGTAAAAGGTAACTGTTTTAACTGTATAGTACAAGTTTCACACCCGTGTAACTATCACTGCTGTCGAGTCATAGGACATGTCTGTCACCCCAAAAAGTTCTTTTCTACTGCTCTGAAGTTAGTCTTTCCCTGCCCAAGGTCACTACTGATCGGCTTTCTGTTCCTACACATTGGTTTTTCCTATTCTGGGGTTTCATAGGAGTGGAATACATATAGTCCTTGCCCTTTGCTGTTTGTCTCATTTTGGTCTTTATACTGTTTCTGAGATTCAGCCATATTGTTGCATGTATCAGTAGTTCATTTCTTTACGGGAGCTGTTTTATGGGAGACCATCTGACCATGTAGATATGTCTATTCATAATCTTAATTCCAAAGAGTTAGCGAAACCCTGGGATGGCTTTCTATCTTTCATCTTAGTTATCTCTCCCCCTTTTTTCTAATTCTAAAAATATATATGATATAAAAAGTTGAAACCACTTTCACTGTTTTATCATATTATTAATATAGAAGTATATTTTTTATAGATAATTATAAATATGAATCTGATTTTTTCACTTTAAAAAAAGACTTCTAAGTAAGGTGGTTGCTATCTGTTTTGACTTAAACCTCAACTAATAAATGTGTAGTTTAGGAAATTAGCATGTTGAATGAATAGTGGTAGCCCTTGAAATCTCATTTTGAATCATGTATTCTACTAGATAAATTAGCAAATTTTAGAAAATCTGGGACCTTGTCTTTCTGAATGAAAATATTATTTGTGAAATTCAAAAAAAAATTAACAACCTGAATAGCATTTCCTTAAGTCAGTGGAATGAGCTTGTGGCAAGAAGCCTTTCCTCTTATGTTAGGATAGTAACACTTCGGCAGAGAAAAAAGCTGTGGGACTGTTTTTCTCTGCCTCTCCTTTGATGCCCTCTAACTCACTCTCCTTGGTCAGTTCTGGCAATGTCATTCCAGCTGTGTGACCTTGGGCAAGTCCTCGGCTTATTTGTGTTCACTTTCTTATCTGTTAAATGGGGACAGTAATGGTGCCTACCCCGTGTGGTTGCAGTCAATAGTAAATGAGTTTATAGATGTAAAGCCCTTAGGCTAGTGCCTGACATAGGAAACACCGTAAATTATTATTTATTACTGTTATTTTTCAGCCGGTAACCATGTCCTGATTCTGTCCTGTAAAATAGTTTAATTACTATTACTGCTTGAATTCAGACCCAAACATCCCTTCTCTGGGCTATTACAGAAAGCTCCTGATTGATTTCCTCGCCAACGTTTTCCTCCCTATGGGACCATTCTCCATAGGCCTTACAGAACATGCAGCTCACCATCTGGGAAATCAGAAAAGCCAGCGGTCGTTGCGAGTTGTTGGGAATGTTTTCGTGGAGGAGCTGGGATTTGAACTTGACCTGGAAGGATGTGGAGGATATTGATCGTCAGAAGAATTGAGGGCCAGGTGAAAGTCTAAATTGAGAAAGGCCCAGAGTAGCAAGGGGACCTAATGTGGTGAGGGTAGGAGGGGCCAGAGGGTGTGCCAGGAACCCAGATGCCTGTAGGGGCCAGGGATGACCTGTAAGAGTAAAATGGGGATTTTTCTGTGATTTCTTCCAATAGAATTTTTTTTTTTAAATCCATGGGTAGACCGAACAAACCCCATCTGAGATGAAAGGCTGTAGCCCACAGTTTGTTGCTTTGGATGAAGATAGTTTGAGAAGTTAAAACTCAGTCTCACCAGTAACAGCCTCAGTGGGAGGCAGTAGAAAGCTCCTTCTCCTGCTTACCAATCCCCTGTCCCCACCCTCACCCATTCCCATTCTGTATTAGAATCTTCTGGACAAGAGGAGGGGATGAGCCCTCAGGTGACTTATTTTCTTTGCTTCTCTTGAACGTTGACAGTCTCTAAAGCCAGCAGACCAATGACTAGATTTTATTTAGAAAGTTTAAAAAGCGTTTTGAATCAGATACTTTGTAGACTGCTTATTCAAGAAGACAAAAGGTTCAGAGAAGTTGAATGTAGAGTAGCCTAGATGCCAGAAAGCCTCACCCCATCTCGTCACTCTCCTGCCCAAACCCTCTTGTGTCATCCCACCGCTCTCTGAATTGAGTCCAGCTCTTTGCCCTGCCTTGGTTTTGCATGTTCCAGTGGTGGCTGCCTCTGCTTTCTTCCCGTCTCTATTCTGGTGCAGCCGCGGTGGCCTCTTTTTATTCCTGAACAGCCCAGGCCCCTTCTCTCCTTGGCATGTTTGCCTGGACTGCTCAGTTCTTAATACATGACTCATTTTCATCTCTCAAGTCCAAGTCCCTGTGTGACATCTTCTCTGAGAGGCCTCCCCCTGCCATCCTAACTAAAGCACTGCACTGTCCCCTCCTTATCTCTCCTACATCACTCTTTAGGTCACTGAGACGTTGAACACCCCTAGTCTGCCACATTAGCTTGGGGTGCAGGTGGGCAGGACCTGCCCCTTCTCTTGGTTGCTGCGTTCCCCAGGTAGCGCTGCTCCAGCACATGGACACTTGCTGCTAATATGTGCAGGATGATTGGAGATTCCTGAATAACTTCAGGTTGGAAGATGTCAGTGGCAATGGGAACTGGAGAAAGGAATTGGACGTGACAGATTTTGAAGGATCAGCAGCAGGGTTTGGCTCTGTTGACCACCCTCACTTCCTGGAGTCTTCCCCAGCTTTGGTGATGCCATGTGCTTGGTGCCTCTTTGGCTCTGCGATGACTTCTAGGACTGGGACTCATTTGCTGTGCTTCTTCTTCCGTTTCATTCTTTGATAAGGGCATTCTGAGGGCTTTGTTTTCGGCTGTTCTCTCCTCTGCTTTCCATCGAGGATTCTCATCCACTTCCATGGACTCCATGGCCAGCTGGGGCTGTACTGCTCTTACAGCCATCTCTCTGTGCCCAGACCTCTGGGCAGTTGATTGCCAGGCATTTGTTTGCCCGTTCGCAGTGACCACTGCTCTGAGCTGGGCACTCTGTGCCAGGCTGTATCGAGGCGAGTAAGCACAGCCTGCCTGTCTACAGCCCTAAACTTGCCTCTCTGGAGAGGTGATTAACCAAGCCAACCAGGAAGGGCTTTCACAATACACAGGGCACACTGTTGCAAGTTGTGGAGAGTGTTGTAACAGAGCCATAGGGGAAATCCTACTAGGTTAGGATAGTGGGGACTAGCTTCTAGGAGGCTAAAGTGTTCTCTGGGTAGAGCCCAGGCCTGGAATACAAATGCAAATTGGCCCCTTTTGGTAACCTCACCTTGCTGGGGTCTCAGCTTCACCACCCTGGGGTTTAAAGTATTGGGAACTTTTCTTCTGCTTTTTTCTCCATTCCCTGCAGGAGCCTAAACGGGCATTGACAGTAAGTTGTTGTGTTTATTAATACTCTGAAGCCATTGCAACTTATCTCAGTTTATTCTGGTATATTTTGCTTTTTCTCCTTTAGAGATTAGCAGTGAAACCCTTCAAATGATAAAGACTCTTGTGCCTGTTTGGGGAAAGCAAATGTCACAGCCATGTTTTGTCCCTAACTTTGCATACTTGACACTGCTCACACTCTTTTCACATGTACATTGATGTAGAAAGTTATAGAAATTCCTTTTCATGGCTTTTTTTTTTTTTTTTTTGAGACAGGCTCACTCTGTCCCCAGGCTGGAGTGCAGTGGCACGATCTCGGCTCACTGCAACCTCCGCCTCTCAGGTTCAAGCGATTCTCCTGCCTCAGCCTCCCGAGTAGCTGAGACTACAGGCAGGCACCACCATACTCAGCTAATTTTTGTATTTTTAGTAGAGACGGGGTTTCACCATGTTGGCCAGGATGGTCTCGATCTCCTGACCTCGTGATCCACCCATCTCAACCTCCCAAAGTTCATGGCTTATTTTTAAGGGAAAATGTATAAAACAAAGTATGGAAGAAAAAGATATTGCAGGGCATAAAGGGAGAAAAAGGAAGGAGGAGGAAGAGGGGAGAAAGCTTATAGTTGTAACGCTTGTAGTTTTTAATGTTAACAGTTGTACTCAGGAAGTGGGGGAGGTGCCCAGGAAGGGGAGAACGTAGGACATGAATGTTTGGATTAAGCCCCCCTGCCTCCCTCCACTCTTGTAGGTTTGGTCTCTAGGAGTCGGTCCTGTCTTCTTAGCCCTGAGAGGGGAGGTACGATGGAAGACTGGAGGCGGTCTTAGTGCAGTAGCAGCTTGAGCTTTTTGATGATGTTTGTTGTATCTATGGATGTTTACCATATTGGAAATTATAACAAAGTATTTTGAAATAGTTATAGATCCACATGAAGTTATAAGAATAGTGTAGAGAGTCCTATGTACTCTATTTATTTTTGAGAAGGAGTCTTGCTCTATCCCCCGGGCTGGAGTGCAGTGGCATAACCTCGGCTCACTGCAACTTCCGCCTCCCGGGTTCAAGTGATTCACCTGCCTTAGCCTCCTGAGTAGCTGGGATTACAGGTGTGCGCCACCACGCCCAGCTAGTTTTTGTTTTTTTAGTAGAGATAGGTTTTTACCATGTTGGCCAGGTTGGTCTTGAACTCCTGACCTCAAGTGATCTGCCTGCCTCGGCCTCCCAAAGTGCTGGGATTACAGGCATGAGCCACTGCGCCCGGCCCAAGTCCTGTGTACTCTTTACCCAGCCTTTTCTAGCAGTAACATCTTACAAAGCTTTAGTACAATATGAAAGCTAGGAAATTGATTTGGTATAATAATGCTAGTTAGACTACAGGCCTTATTCATAAATCAGAAAAATTTAAAACATAAGATTAAACAATCACACATTTCATAAGCCACCAGAATGATGACATTTTCACACATGATAGCCTCCAGAAAACTCCACTCTACACATCTGAGAGTGAAAAAGGCAGACAACATCTTAGTGTTGTTATAGCAATAGCTCTGACCTTGTGGGCCCCAGAAAGGGAATTCTCAGGTGTCCACGGACTGTGAGGTATGAGACCCCACTGGGTTGGTGGTTAGAATGTAGACTCTGGAATCTGTCTGGATTTTATCTTGGCTCCACTACTTCAAAACTATGTAGCTTGGGAAAGTTACTCAGCAGGGCTGCTCTGTGGCATAGTATTTGAGAATCCAGACCCTGAAGCGAGATTGTCTGGATTGAAATTACCTAGCTCTGCCACCTGCTGGCTGGGACTATGGGCAAAGTTTAGTTTCATCTGTAACGTGGAGATCATAGAAGTGCCTATAGCAATTGGTAGTGTGCAGATTAAATGAGGTGATAAGTGCTCACAGTTGTATCTGACACATCTTGAACGCTCCATCTGTGTTAGTTGTGATTGTTACTGTTGTGATGATTAAATGAGGTAATGCATGTAAAGTGCTTAGCACAGATCTTGGCTCAGAGGATGGAATAAATGTTATATTCCCTAAGCTCCTCACCCCGTCCAGCATGGAAAGGTCATCCTGGGTCAGAGAAAATGTATCAGGAAAGCAGTAGAAGGGCCCTTCAGAGGCTCCCCAGCAAGGTCAAAACTCGTGAATCAAAATCTG
Organism: Homo sapiens; assembly: GCF_000001405.40. NCBI lineage: Eukaryota > Metazoa > Chordata > Mammalia > Primates > Hominidae > Homo > Homo sapiens. The sequence goes on from NC_000001.11 coordinate 13,726,401, forward strand.
TCCAAGGTTTCTTGTCTCAGGGAGCAGGAACAGAGAAGTTCTTCCTCTAGCCAGTGGGCTTCATGAGGAGGGGGTCCTAGCATGGTGCTAGCTCTGAGCAGACACTCAGGGAGTATGTGTTAATGACTGACGGATGGGCTGAATGAAGGAGAGACGCTTTGGCGATTAATTGGGGGAAGAGAAGCGGGTAGTGACTTTCTTTGAGTTTGAGGTAGGAAGTTGGAAACATCGAATTAATGAGATCAATTAATAGTTAATAACTAAATGACATTAAATTGACTTAAATTTAACATGTTAAATTTAATACATACTGTTCCAGATCTGTTCATTGATACATGTTTAAAGACTGTACTTCATTAAGCAGTCAAATAATGAGTCCTCATTGAGGTCAGCTAATAGGGAAGCAGAGAAGTTCTTTAGCTTCTTTCATATCACAGTGATCAGTGTTAAAAACCCATGAGACAGGAACATACTTCTATTCAGGGGCAGCAAGGACAGGGCGTACTGGGAGACGCCAGCAGCTGGGGTGCCTTGCGGAGCTTGCGATCTGCTCTCTGCTCTCTGCTTGATGACTTCTATTCTGCTTATTCTGGGTAGACAAGCGAATGGCGATGAGTGTTTCTCAGAGACCTTACCCCTGCCTGCCCCTCCTGCCTCAGTTCTAGCTGCTTCTCCTACCTTCTCTGCTCTGGACACATGGGTCTTTTTGCCTGGATACTGCGTTTCCTCTTAATTTGAGATTTGGTCCTGGCTGTTTTCTTTTCCTGACATGTTTCCCCAATATTGTCACAGATTCCCTTTCTACTTCTAGAGAGGCCTCAGCATTCTGTCTGAACAGGCATCTCCATCCCTACTCCATGACTGTGTTCCTTTTTTTTTTGAGACGGTCTGTCAGCCAGGCTGGAGTGCAGTGGCACGATCTCGGCTCATTGCAACCTCCACCTTCCGGGCTCAAGCAATTCTCTTGCTTCAGCCTCCTGAGTAGCTGGGATTACAGGCATGAGCCACCACGCCCAGCTAATTTTTGTATTTTAAGTAGAGACGGGGTTTCACCATCTTGGCCAGGCTGGTCTCGAACTCCTGACCTCAGGTAATCTGCCCGCCTTGACCTTCCAAAGTGCTGGGATTACAGGCGTGAGCCACCACGCCTCGCGTTCCCCTCTTTTTTTTCATTCGCCACTGATCGGAAGGCATGTGTCCCCTTTTTTGTGCTTGAGTTTTCTACAGGGCATCAGCCATTGTATGTATGTGTTTAATTTTGTCTCTATTTCTTACCAGAGTGATGCCGTGTTGAGGCAAGCGTGCTGCCTAGAACATTGCCTGGCCTGTAGCAGGGATTTGGAAATATAGAAATAAATAAATAGAGTAGATGGTGCAACTTATTTTAGACAAGATCAATCTGGGAAATAGTGCCAGGATCAAATTGTGATTCTTTAGTATAAGAATCAAGATGAACCTGTTTAGATATGATATTACATCTTATCCTGTCAGGATATGTACCAAGAAGAGATCCCAGTTTATGAGTATGTGGGGGAGAGAATTTTTTGAAAACATTCCTTTGTTCCTAAGGTTCACTTGTACATTGGTTGCTTGGAATTAATGGCATACCACATTTTCTAAAAAAGGATTCTTATATTGATCCAGAAGAATACCTACCTCAATTTCAAGAAATTCAGGCACATGTGGAGGAGATACTTCCTGATAGATGACCCAGCTCTTTCATTTATTTCTATCCCTCCTTTTTAAAAAAAGCTTTAAGTTAGCTTACAAAGAGCCATGTACTCATTCAAGTATTTAAGTGACAACAAACATTTGAAATCTACTGCTAAGCTGGGGGAACACAACACTGAATAAGATAGACACCATCTGTCTTCACTGCAGTCTCACAGAGGAGGCACACAGTAAACACACAGCTATACAAATAAGCATTTAAAATTGTGGTAAGAGCTGTGAAGGAGAACCAAGGAAGAAAAGAGGGTGGTTCTATTTCAGAAGTCCAGCCCATGAATCTACCTTCTACTTCTCAAATCATTGATTTTCTAGAAATGTTCTAGGCAGTTTGCAGCCATAGCCACGGCCATGGAGAGTCCAGCGGGGCTGTGGGGAAGAAGGGAGGGAGGGCCCTGGGGCTGCCCAGCGTCTGGGTTGTGCTGCTGTGAACTGAGGTGCTCTGTTGTAGTTTGGTCTTTTTGTAATGTGAAGGATACGACAATAACAGAAAAAGCTTTCCTCTGCTGGGTGTATGAGTCCAAAAGGAAAAACCAATGGGTCTAGTGGGACAAGATGTGGAATAAAGGAGTAATTTAAAAGAAAAAAAAGACAAAAAATAATGGGTTGACTTAAAACAGATAAACAAATACATAGGATTTTTTGGTATTTCTTTTTCCCATGGCTTCTCTGCTGAGGTCCTTCATGTTCTCGGGCGCTTCAGAAATTTTAATACATGTGATCTCTAACTTGTACTCAAGTTACACATTTCTTGTGGGAGTGACCATTCCTGCCTTAAGCACCATCTCCTGCTGACATTTCCATGGAAATCTGGAAGTTTTAGGTCAGAGGTTCTTAGATGATATTCCAGCAGAATCTTAAGTGAAAACTCCTTGATGATTAGGACTGACTATAGGCACTCGAATCAGACAGATATTCAGATCCAGGCTTTGAGCCCTTTAAGCAATGTCTCTAAGCTCTAATTCCCTGCTCTGTGTGGAGAGGGGGAGACACTGATAATACCTGTCTCTTGGACTATTTGGAGTACATTCTACCCAGCATGTAAGACAGCACAGTGCCTTGAGCGAGGAAGTTCTCAGTAAATACGAAGTTGTCATTAGAATTACTGTGAAAGTGCCTGGAAGTATCCGTTTAGGTTAGCAGACATGGTGACTTTTCAAAGCGGCTGTGCTCCTGGGGAGGATAAATGGTGCTGAGTGTTTGCCTAGGGTCCCAGCTGAGACGGAAGAAGAAAATCCCCTTTTACTTTACTAAATGGCCAGTGCTGATAGGACATCACTCTGGCTAATATTTGTTAATGTCACTTACTTTATCAGTGTTATGAAATAATCATTATGTAGCTTAGGATGCCAATGCCAACTACCAGTGTAATACCTTTTCCCTCTTTGGAAATAAATTGTTCACATTTCCAAAAATCCAGCTTATAGATTAAGAATTTAAAAATGGGGACACTATATTTAGAAGTGAAAAATGTCTATGGTTAATTTATTCACACTTTAGCTAATTAAAAATACCATAAGACCATTTTCTGGGGCTAATTGGCTATCTTATGTTTTGGAAAATGTTTCAGGGATATTGTTGGGACAAAGGTGTAAATCAAGCAGGAACAAAGCATTTGTGTGTCTGAAATGGAGGCTCAGTTGGCTCGGCTCTGCACGAGAGACAAACCTGTCTCTAGATGCCCTCTCTTGGGCTCTCGAGCTTGAAGCAGGCCAGAGAGTAGATGACCATGTTTATAATGACTGTGAGATTTATTTCTCTTGAAGTAGACTGTTGATAATTAATAAGCCAAAAATTGAAATGCTGAGAGTATGCCAGTTTGGATGATATTCTTTTCTTGGTACATATATTCTTGAAGACGACAAGAGCTTCCTGGTTGTGGGAAAAATTAATCTTTTTTGTTTGGGGTTTACTTTTGCCTGTGTTGGTTCATTTAAAAGTCCTGGAGAAGTGTTTCCCTGTGCAGTGAAATGAAACACACTCAGACTACAAAGCCTATCATTCTTAGCAGTGCCGTGATGTGCACATCAGCTCCGTAGGATATATGGTGTACTGGTTACTAGACCCTTGGTGTTCCTTTGATTTGAAAGTTAATGAGAAAATAACAGTCATATTCTCCCAGTTGGCTCAAATCTCTCCCTTCCTTACATACATATCTAATAGTAATCTTTTCTTAAGATTATGATGAATTCCAGCCTAAACTTTGATAAATAATTTAAAAAAATTCTCTGTTTCTTAGCAACTCTGTGATATCCTGGTGACTTTGCTGTTTAGTGACTTGGTAAACAGTGGTAAATTACTGTTTCCTGGAAAGGTGGCACTTGCAGTAAGGGACCACAATAAGTTGTCGTGTTTTGGGGTGGAATATTCAAGCCCCATCCAGTTAGGGGTTGTTGCTGGAGGGCAACATGGATGGGGCAGGGTTGGAGGGCCCCAGTAGCCTTTGTGGTGTGTGCTGAAAGCATTCATTGAAGTGGGCAGTGTTGGTTTTTATTTTTTAAATGTGCTAAGGTACTGATGGTAGCCTTTGATTTAGAAGTAAGCTTATGCTATATTTTGCTGCCAGATTCTATTTGTGTTTAAAGCAGTATGGTGGCAGAGATTATCATATTTTGGAAATGGCCACAGGTGGCTGGAACAAAATAGAGTAACACAGACATGCTTGAAGGTTGCAGTGGTTTCCTTTGGACAGTTACAAACAAGCATCAAAGCAGCTCCTCAAATGCTTGACATCATCGTTTTGGTCTGTCTTGCCAGCTTCAGGTTTCGGTTACATTTTTGCATACTTGCTTATTGAACCAGAAAAAAAAAAAAACCCATGATTTGAGTTTTCTTTCTTTTGCTGTGATCCTTCCATTTCTTGACTTGCAGAACACTACTGAGCCTGTGGCGGCCACCGAGACCCTGGCTGAGGTACCCGAACATGTGCTGCGAGGACTTCCGGAGGAAGTGAGGCTTTTCCCTTCTGCTGTTGACAAGACCCGGATTGGTGAGTGCTCCTCCTGTCACGGAGCAAGTCAGGCAGTAAAGAGCAGGTGGCAGTGAGGCTTCCTGCAGGGGCATGTCAGGTAGGGAGCGCACCATAAAAGCAGCAATTTACCCTTGACTTAGAAGATTATATGGTGTTGATGCATTTTCTAGTCAAGAATCCAGGTTGGACATGGGTTGTAAAAATAAAACCAGGAACACACAAACAGACACACACACAAACACACACACACACACGTAGGTCCCATCCCTCTTGCCTGAGTGTCCTCCTCCTCTGAGTCTCCCTGCTGAGCCTCACCCCACAGAACGTGTTGTTCCCTTCTCTCTGATTTCACCATGAGGAGCATGATTGTACCATTATATTCACTTCATTGTTTTGTAATATTTTTACACTTGGCTCTGTTATTGCTTGTGAGTGCCTTTATTTCTTATGTATCTTTGTGCCTCCAGTACCAGATACTTTGTGGACCCTCAGTAGATACTTGAATGAATGACATGCTGTGAGTGTATCTAAATTCTTCTGGCTGGGATTTCTCCTTGAACACAAACCAGGCGCGTGTGTGTTTGGTTTTTATGTGGCCTAATCTTTAGACAGAAGCTAAGGAAGTAAATTGTAAAACTTTAGTCAAAATACAGTCTTGGAATATATCATATTTATATCCCTGTTTCTTTTTTTTAGATGTACTTCCGATATCCCAATTTATATGTACATATGTATGAAAAAATTTTAATACATGCTTTTAAAAATTCTCATTGGAAACTTATTCATTGAGCAGTTTGAACATATTGTTCAAATGAAAGTGGTTGATTTTATAGCTCAACTGATTGTTGACTTACATAGCGGACTTACAGAGAAGTGGAATTTGTACATCCTAGCAGGATAGGACTGGCCCAGCCTTTACCCCCCATTCTGTATATGAGGAAACTGAAGCCAAAAGGTGAGGGAACCGATCTAAAGTGATGCTGTTGACTGCTGGGCCAGACTCCTGCCATTTTACTGTCTGCTTGCTCATTATATCGCTTTCCGTTATGGTCAGTGCATAGTAAATAGAAACAACCCTAAGAATACTGTGGATGAACAGCTATTTTGGCTGTTAGAAACTCTGAAAAGTGAGCCGTTCCAGTAGCTAAGTTTTCAGGAAGCTTAGTTAGGCAGGAAAGGGTTTTCTACTTTAAAGCAAATGAACTTCAAAACTATTTATTCATAAAACTATATTTCTAACCCTTTATAAGAACAAGTCATGTTCATTAGAGACAATTTGAACTTTATAAACAAGCAGACAGAGGAGTTCAAAAATCAGTTGTAGTTTCACTCCATTCCAATATTTTTTCTCTTCAGTTGTTGTGACTGTGTTATTCAAGTATTTGTGATCCTACTGTACGGGTAGTGTTACATGTAAAACATTTTAAAAGTATATAAAACATTTTTTTCTAATCGTAAAACAATATAGGTTCTTTATAGAACAGAAGAGTATAAAGAAGAAAAATAAAAATCCCCATTGAGGACTTGACTTAATTTAACTTGATCTCAGGCTATTTTAACATTAGCTTGATTTAGGCAGTCTAGCCTTTTAACTGTTTTGTGAAACTTAAGCGATTTTAATGGTTTCAATCTTTAAAATAACCATGATACATTATAAAAATACTGATTTTATTTTCTAGGTGTCTGGGCCACTAAACCAATTTTAAAAGGCAAAAAATTTGGGCCATTTGTTGGTGATAAGAAAAAAAGATCTCAGGTTAAGAATAATGTATACATGTGGGAGGTAAGAAGTAATTCTGATTCTTTGTTTTTCAGAGTTTTATGAAATAATTATTCTGTTCTCTCAGAATTTGACATTTTGAATTTAAAACAATCATTTTAATGTGTTCTTTAAAGTCAAGAATATTTTTATTAAAGAGAAAATGTGTTTCCCTGGATACAGACTGCTATTTATATATGCTTTTGTATTTTGAAACTGCTTGGCTGTCCTCAACAATAAATGTCAAATCCATGTTTTACATTGCCGTGTCCAGGGTGTTTTGCTTTGCAACTAAGACCGTGACTTCCTGTTTGATGGTTTGTCACTTCACAGGCCGCCACATAAACCCCATAAAAGACACTCTATGGTGGCTGCAAAGAAAGCACTGTTAGGTTCTTCTCTATATTTTAGAAAGTAATTTCTATGTTGCTAGGATATTCAGTTGGATATATTTAGCATATGGCACATATATAGAGCTTGTAATTTTTCAGGAGTTTTTCATCTATTAATTTCATGTTTTCCCAGCAATTCTGGAAGACAGCAGGGCATCTGCACACTCCTTTGAGAGGAGAAGCAGTCAGGAGACAGAGCTGAGCTCTCCTTCCCTGGGGGGCTCCACCCGGGAGGCCTGTAGATGCAGAACTAGAATGCATCTCTCCTGCCTCACTGGGAGGCAGTTAAGGTTTTCATTGCATTGCCTGAGTTCAAATCCTACCTCTAGCTTCGTGACTTGCAGCAGGGGACATAGCCTCTGGGCTAGAAAACCCTCAATTAAAAAAATAGAGATAGAAGATATCTCCTAGGATAGTTGTGAAGATAAAATTTGTCGTTGTTGCTTTTGTTGTTCCCTGGGGTATTGCGTAGGAATTCAGCATTTGTGATGAATTTAGTTCAAGTCAGTGCCCCCTGGAAGCCCCCCTGAGTTCTTAAAGGAGCTCCATGGTGTGACTCCTTTTCAAAACAAGTTAAGTTTTTGGATGATGAGAAAAAGCATTCCTGTCAGATTGTCTGAAACTGAATCACATCTGTTTTTTCACACATTAACATAGAAAAGCCTAAAAATAAAGTATGGCTAGGAAGTGTGTGGACACTTTTCATCAAGAAGTTCTGTGGCATTTGTATGGTTGAAGTATGCTGCTATTTTTCTTTATGCTCTAAGCTGTTTCCCAACTTGAAAAATCTGACAGTTTCTCCCAATAATTTTGAGTTATTTGTTTCTTATGAATTTGTTATAATGTATCTTCTGACTATTAACGGGGGGTGTCTTAGGAAATGAGGATTTACCACAAGAGTCATTGCATTCTGTTATTTCACCACTTTTGAGGTGTAAGAGTTCTGTATTTGTAGAAAAACTGCCCGGCCAAAAAATGTGAATTACTAAAGATAATGCCTGCATGATTAAAAATGTCTTGACCACAAAATTATGCTCCCAAATAAACTGCATTTTTAATTTTAGATGTTTCCCAAGGGAAACTAACAAATTGGCTCACCAGGTTTAACACTACGTTTAGTGAGAATAATGTCAAGGAACCAGAAACTGCTTTCTCTAGTGCTGTGTTTATAACACTAATCTTGAACAAATGCCATCAATATTAAACTTAAGTTAGTAGTACCTATTTTATCCCATGTAACAACTTGATGTTGTTGGGCATATTGTATAATTTATTAATAGTGCTTTTTGTACATTAAGCTTCATTTGCATTGAGATTCATACATAGTATGACTTGATAGTTGTTGAAAATTTGGAACCATGACTTATTAGAATTTCTTCTATAAACCTGTTAACATCCCATTGTTAATGTAAGATACTTCTTATATACTGTACTACTAGAGTTTGCAAATCTTTGATAAGAATCCTAGTTCTTATCAAGGGTGCCTTTTGTCTTCCTGCAATTAAAAAAAATCTCATTCAAGTAGTTCTGACTACAAAATATACATCTGATATAGAAACCTGTAAGCCTTTTGCTCTGTTAAAATAAAAGTGAATAGATATGACATACATGTGTAAGTATGTATATGGCAAAGGAAGTATCAATTATAATGTAAATATTTCTTAGAAGAAAATGACATTGAGGTAAGACTTAGTAGTTTCCTACTAACTTATTCCAACTCTGCTCTTACCCTCAGACCTGCATCAGAATGCCTTGTATTAATGTAACAGAAATGGCTTATCATCAGAATCTCATCTTGGCATTTGTTCTTCCATCAAAGCCCCTAAGACCAGCTTATCTTTTAGCAGCAGGGTCTTAGACCCCAGCCAGAATTCCATTTTAAAGCTAATCTAAGACAAAGTGTTAAATTGCTCTCCTTGAGCCCTTGATTATCTAACCCAGTCTTAAGTCCTCTAAGCTTTCACTGAAAACATTCTGTTAAATCAGAAATAACAGGAGAGAAACAGTAGAGTATCCTCAGGGTGAATGCACAAAATAGGTTCTCACAAGAAGAGAGCGTTCTTCGATGAGTTTCTGGCAGGGAGCCGCTAGCTAGCTGGCGCTCGGGACTTGGTGTTTTCGTTCTCTTGACTCTCCCCATCCGCACTGAGTAATCTGCCATATTTTAAAACCACCTCTGATAAAAGCCTTTTAGATGTACTTTTATGGGATTCAAATTGCTTCTAATTAACAGAACTTTAGAATTGCTTGGGTAAGAATTATTTTAGTAAGCTTTTTTTTTCTTTTCTTCTTTTTCTTTCAAATACACTTAGTTGTTTTTGGAGCAGTTTTAGGTTCATGGCAAAATTGAGCAGACAGTACAGATAGTTCCCAAATACTCGCTGTCCCCACACATGCACTGCCTTCCCCATTATCAACATCCTACAGCAGAGCGGGGCATTGGTCAGCCCATGAACCTGCACTGACATATCATTATTACCCAAAGTCCATAGTTTACATTAGCGGTCACTGTTTCTGTTATATGTTCTAATAAAGCTTTTAAAATTTAAAATTAATACATGCTCACTGCAACATAATAGAAACAACACAGAAAAATATATACAAGAACATAAAAATCATTGAAACTCCTATCATCCAGGCGCAACCACTGTGAACATCTTCCTGAACATTCTTTTAACTCCCTGCTTAGCTGCTTCTCTATTTTCAGCCTCACACATACACTGGTACATTTACAACCTATATGTAGAAATTGATTCAATTGAGATCAAACAGCACATGCAGTTTTTAATGCTTTTTTTTTCTTTCAGTATCTTGTGGACATATCTATGTCTACTACTTATTTACGTTATTGTTTGTTTCTTTTCTTTTTTTTTTTTTTTTTGAGACAAGGTCTTGCTCTGTCACCCAGGCTGAAATGCAGTGGCATGTTCACAGCTCATCCTCTGCCTCCTGGGCCCAAGTGATCTTCCTGCCTCAGCCTCCCGAGTAGCTGGGACAGGCCTGTGCCACTATGCCACTATGTCCAGCTAATTTTTGTATTTTTGGTAGAGATGGGGTTTCACCATGTTGCCCAGGCTGGTCTTGAACTCAGGGGCTCATGGGCTCAAGCGATCTGCCCGTCTCAGCCTTCCAAAGTGCTGGGGTTACAGGTGCGAGCCACTGCACCTGGCTTATTTACATCATTATTCCTATGCCTACCCACAATTTCATTGTATACCATTCATGATTTATTTAACTAAGCCTTATGTTGGACATTTAAATTGTTTTAATGTTTTTATGATTATAAATAATTTTTCAAAGTATAAAACTCATTGTATATAAATATGTGTTGACTTGTCTGATTATTTCCTTAAGATGAATTTCTAGAAGTATAAATGTTGTCAAAAAGTTATATACATTTTAACTTTTTATAAATTTTGCCAAACATTTTCTCTCCAGAAGGACTGTACTATTAATTATTTATACAACCACCAAGAGTATATGTTTCTTGCCAGCCTTTTAAAATCCAGTATTGTTAATCTTTTTAATATTAAATTGTTAAAAATATCTATTTTTGTAGAGGAAAACCAGTGGTCACTGCTTCTATTAATATTTACATTTTATTCATTCAGGCAACAAATTTTGAGGTCAGGAGAATAGAGGGAAGAAGTAGAATTGCATGTCAGTTAAAATTGATAGAGAAATTGTCTCTGTATAATGAGAAGACTTTAATGTAATTTTTAAAAGATATATAAACTTTTTTATCAGTCAGCGCTGCTATGATTAAATATTAACAGGTGAGTTTTATAGTCTTCGCTATCTCAGTTCTTCTGATTTCAAATTATTTGTAAGTTAAAATTGCAGGCAAGAAGAGAAGTCAACCAGCTGATTCTGCAGAACCTTTTCTCAGAAAGTACTTTTCAGCTCTCAGTGCTGCTTTCTAGCAGTAGGGAAAGGTTTAGATCACCAGGGAAATCCAACCTGCCACCTGTTTATTACAGCGCTGGAGCTAAGAATGGTTTTTACATTTTTAAAGGGTTGGAAAAATAAAAATGTTTTGTGACATATGCAAATTATATGAAATTCGAATTTCAGTTCATGAGTAAAGTTTTACTGGAACACAGCTCTGGTCATTCATTTAAATATTATCTATGGCTTCTTTTGCCCCATAATCACAGAGTTGAGCAGTGGTGATGGAGACCATATGGCCTGCAAAACTGCAAATATTTGTGTGTGGCCCTTTACAGAAAGTTTGCTGAGCCCTGGTCTTGATGTGTAGGGAAGAGTAGCAGTAGGAGTGAATGTGGTGATGTCTGGTTTCAGGTTTGCTGAGAAGCTGAGTGGTTAATAGCAGTGCATAGGTTTTGAATGAAGTAATTAAAGGTGTGGGATGGCTGTAGAATTGGTTGTCATAGAAACAGATGAGCCAATTACATTCCTCTTCTCTCAGGAACTGTAGGACAGACAAGGACATTGAAGTACAGAGAATTAAGTGATCTTTTTGAACAGGTTTACTTGTACTCAGATTGGCAGCTTGGTCTGGTGTAAAAAAAAAAACTCTCTTTGGGAGTTTATTTATTCATTCATTTAACCCCTATTAAGCTTTTAGCACATACCAGGCACTGTCTTAAGTTCTTGAACACCATGCTTGGCATAAAATGTTTGTGGTGTTATAAACTACTGGTAATACCTCATGGAAATTTTTATTTGTGGAATAAAGATATACTAGAAGTGACCTAGATCTTTCCACAGGCAAGAAATCTGAGTTCTATGTGGCTTCATGAAGTTCCTAACAAATCTGTTAGGAACTTACCCTCATTTAAAAGTAGGAATAAAGAAAAAAAAAGATGATCTCACTTTGGTAAAAAAGTGTTTCAGTGAAAGCCTTTTTTAAATAAGGGCCTTTTTAAAAATAATATTGTTAGAATATTAGTCCTGGAATCAGGCCAGGAGCCCATTTCTTGGTTGCTTATTCAGTCTTCTTCCTGTTAGCAAAGCCCAGAGACTCTTACACTTTTTTTGTGTTGTGGACCCTTTTGAGAATCTCCCCCGAAAGTACACAAATGCACATATGTGCACAAAATTTTGCATGTTACTTATACGGTTATATGGGATTCTTAAACATCTGTGGTTCATAGATAGAATTTCTGATTTAAGAGTGAAAATAAATTATTTGTCCAGTGGCCGTTCACTGGGGGTCTACTGTGAACCAGTCAACATTTGTTGTGCATTTGTTGCTGGGAGATTTTCCAGAAACATTTGTGTAGTTGTAGTATAAAATCTAGTTAGTCTAATTTTAAGAGAGGGTCTGTTAGTGCGGCTTCAAGGGCTCGAGAGGCCAAGCTATTTATTTTTTAAACTTGTATTTTAGTATCTCTATAAAAGTAACCTATGTTTTGGGAAATGTCCTCTGACAAGTGGGCTTATTGAAATAAAATGTGCTATCACCTGTTAGATTCTCTTTTATTTCCTTATTCTAGAATTTTCAGAACATTTTAGAATACAGTGATGTATTAGAATAGTTCTTAAAAGAAGTCTCTGATCTCCTAAAGTAATCTGAGGAGTGAAGTAGTTGATACTGAAGACCCGTTTTTGTCTGTAGTCACCAGAAATTTAATTCTGTAGGATGTCAGTTTTATAATCTTCAACAAACCCTTCAGGTATCTAATTCTGTAACTGAAACACAACTGGAATTTGAACATACCAAGAAGGTATAGTATTTTCTCGGTAGCAATGTCAATAAAATCCTTTATTTAAAAAAAAAAAGGCTTTCATTGAAACACTTTTTTACCAAATTGAGATTATCTTTTTTTTCTTTATTCCTTTTTTTTTTCTGAGACAGAGTCTTGCTCTGTCGCCCAGGCTGGAGTGCAGTGACGCGATCTTGGCTCACTGCAAGCTCTGCCTCCCGTGTTCACGCCATTCTCCTGCCTCAGCCTCCCCAGTAGCTGGGACTTCTGGCACCCGCCACCACGCCCGGCTAATTTTTTTGTATTTTTAGTAGAGATGGGGTTTCACCGTGTTAGCCAGGATGGTCTCAATCTCCTGACCTCATGATTCCTCCCGTCTCGGCCTCCCAGAGTGCTGGGATTACAGGCGTGAACCACCGTGCCTGGCCTATAAATGCTTTATTCAATCATCAACGTATTGTGAATGCCTTTATGCTGATCAATGTATTTCCACAACATCTGGTTATCTTTGCTGTCTTCTAATTACAGAAATAATGCATGTTTATTGGAAAAAATTTTCAAGTATATAGGTATATCTAACAGGAAATAAATCGTGCCATATAATCTAATTAATCATTTGCACCACAGTACTTTTTAGTGTCTAAGGTTTCAGCTATATGGATGGACCATAATTTACTGAGTTAATTCCATATTGTTTTCCATTTAGCCATGAATTGGAAGCAATTTACAGTAAACCACACTTCTGTGAACATTTTTGTATATACATCTGGGTACAATTGTCCAATGATCTCATTAGAATGAATTCCTACAAGTGTATGTGCTGGTTAGTCTGTGTATATTTTAAATATATATATATATTTTTGGTCAGGTACTGCTAAATTCTTCACAAAATCAATTTGTTTTCTGTTCAGAGGTGTTTGGGGGAATATCTGTTTTTTCACACCCTTTCCTATCTTTAAGAAATTTTTTTTGTGTGCCCATTTAAAAGGTTAAAATTGTTTTGCTTTCAAGTTATTTTTTATTAACTAAGTTTAGTATTATGAGGTTTTGGCTACGTGTATTCGTTTGTGAATTACTTCTTGGCCTATTTTTAAAAATTGAAGTGTCATCTTTTTCTACAAAAGCAAGTATTCTCTTTTTGTACATCAGTCAGTATGACTTAGAAGATGCCTTAGTCTCCTTTGAAACAAAATGAGTTATGTATGAATAAAAATTGTACTCAACTGTAACACTTTGCTTTTTGCAAATGGCTGTATTGACCTGAGAGCCAGGAAGTTGTGGCACAACCTATATTTTTATCCTGAGGCAGGTAGATAGACTCCAGCTACCTTGTGAACTGTGTGGTTTTCTTGGCAACTATCTCTGTGTTTGTCTCCGTAGTCTCATCAGTCTCAGTAGCTGTGCCAGTATTTGGGTGGGGAGTGAGTGGGACTTTGCCATCACTGCAGTAAATTAAAATGAAACTTATTATCCCTGAGCCCAGGGGCAGTTTATGTTGCAGATGGGGTAATAATGTAAGTTACTGTGTACAGATACTCTCCTTGGTGCCTATGATGATTAAAGTAACTACAGTGCACCTTCTAGCATGGTACCTGTTACGCAGTAGGTGCTCATTAGATGTTGGTAGTTCAGTTAACTAGGATGGTCAAGGAAGGCAGTGATACACAGAAGACAAGGAGATCTGAGTCGAAGCCTTTCTTTATGACAATTAAACAGGTGACTTTGGGAAAGTTATTTAACTTTTGAGCCTCAATTTTCACATGTTGAAAGGAGAGCTAATAAGCCTGCTACATAGGGTTAAATGAGATAATATGTCAGGCATGTAGCATTATGCCTGATGTTTGACTTTCAAGAGGAAGAAGGCAGTGTTAGGGCCCGGTAAGGTGGATGCTGCCCCTTGGCAATCACAGGCCTAGACACCCAGGCATGCCCAGAAGAGCAGCATCCTCACCATCAGCGGGGGGAGTGGGAGCTTTGTTCCAGAAGGAAAGTTGCAGTAAAGAAAGGTGATTAATGTGGGTACGGGAGGGAAGAAGGCATGAGTGGTGGGAATAATGAGAAAGAAATGGAAACATCTAGATTATATCCTTTCTTCCTAAAAATAAAGTAAAAGACTCATTTCTTTTGCCCAGCACGTCTGTCAGCCAGTTGATTCTGCAGTTCTGTTTCAGTGCCTACTCGAGTGTTTTGTAGACTGGTTTTGGGAAAATGTGTATATGTATGCATGTATATACAAAATTAAAGTTAAAAATAGTTGCCAAATAGATGTTCTTTTAAAATGAAGGATGATAAATAAGTGCTGGAAGCATCTGTGGGAGGAATTGGTGTGGGTGAGAAGGGAAGGCTTCTTGCAAGAGGAGATTTGATTTGACTCCTGGAAGGGGTTGAGGTTTTGGTCCTTTTCTTTTTGAAGGCCACTGATATTTCCCAGAGTCTATTCCATCACCCCTTCATCCTTGCAGATGCTCTGGATGGAGTATGTTTTAAGGGTCAGTTGAGTTTGCAGAAGCATCATATCCTGTCACCCATGTGCCTGGTTCACAATGCGTGTTCACTCCTGAAGTCCCTGCCACCTCTGCCAGAAAGGGACCTGCTGAATTGTATAGCCCTGCAGGGCCAGGTGCCATACTCGATTAGCAGAGCAACCCAGAAAGCTTGGGATTTGGGTGCTGCTGAATACCACTGCAAGCTGTTTTCCTTTCTAAGTCACACTTTACAGAGCATAGTTGTCATTTGTCTCTGTGTACGTATTTGTAAAGCATTTGGAGATCCCAAGCATGCTGACTATAGCTCTTTAAGTTTGTGTGTGTGTGTGTGTGTGTGTGTGTGTGTGTGTGTGTGTGTGTAGGGGTGGGGGGCGCGGGGCAAACAAACCTAAATAGAAAAATAATGAGAATTACAGTTTCGAATTTCAGTTTTCACCTTGTATTTTTCTTTTCTCTGTCGCTTGTTTTGTTTTTATGAAATGCTTTATATAGAGTACTTGCATATAATGAAAAAGAATTATCCTTAAAAGTTAAAAATGGAGGCATTTTAAAGATACTCCTATTTTAACAAAAGTTTTTTACTTTTCTCCATTTTCAAGGTGTATTACCCAAATTTGGGATGGATGTGCATTGATGCCACTGATCCAGAGAAGGGAAACTGGCTGCGATATGTGAATTGGGCTTGCTCAGGAGAAGAGCAAAATTTATTCCCACTGGAAATCAACAGAGCCATTTACTATAAAACTTTAAAGGTAACAGCATTAGAATTAATTTACTGTTAGTTACGCTGCTTGTGTTTTCCTTTTTCTTTTTTTGAGACGGTCTCATTCTGTCTCTCAGGCTGGAGTGCAGGGGCTCCATCACGGCTCACTGCAGCCTAAGCCTCCCCAGCCTTGGGCGATCCTCGGACCTCAACCTCCCGAGTAGCCAGGACTATGGGCACATGCCACCACACCCGGCTGAGTTTTGAATTTTTTGTAGAGACAGAGCTTTGCTATGTTACCCAGGCTGGTCTCAAACTGCTGGGCTCAAGCGATCTACCTGCCTCAGCCTCCCAAAGTGCTGGGATTACCGGCACAAGCCACAATGCCTGGGCCTGCTTATATTTTTCTAATGCTGTCCTTAGTTGTGACTGACAATGACTTTGCAGACCTGGGAGGGATTATATTGGGAAGTGCTTTATCCACACTCTTAAGGTTCTGTGTTTTAATATATGGTTACCTGTGTGTGTCATGGAGCTAAAGCATGAAGATCGTGTTAAGTAATTACACACTGCATCTTGAAAGATACTGATGAGTTAAGCATGTGGCAGCTGCTTCCCTTCTCCTATGACACAGAGGCATTAGGAACTGTCTGGCAGATTTATCCTACTGTAAGAAACTATCAGTAGGTATGGTGGGTCTGTGTTAACTGAATACACACTGTTAGTCTCTGATATTAATGCAGCCTTGGATTAGCTTTTCTTTTCCCTAAATTTTACTCAGAATACAAATTGAACAGAACATGTTTCTTCCTTTCTGCCAAATTTTTCTTTGGAGATATTAATTGTTGAAAAGAAGAAGAAAGTCATGTTTTAGGATTGGTAATGAGGTTATGGAGCACATTCAGGGACATGAGTGTGAGGAAGCGTGGAGTGTTGCTGCATTTCTTTGTTGAGCAAAGGCCATATCTCCCTCATTTTCATGGGTCACATTCTTTAAGAAGACAGATCCGGACGGGCGCAGTGGCTCACGCCTGTAATCCCAGCGCTTTGGGAGGCCAAGGCGGGCGGATCATGAGGTCAGGAGATTGAGACCATCCTGGCTAACATGGTGAAACCCCGTCTCTACTAAAAAATACAAAAAATAAGCCAGGCATGGTGGCGGGCACCTGTAGTCCCAGCTACTCGGGAGGCTGAGGCAGGAGAAGGGCGTGAACCTGGGAGGGAGGGTTTGCAGTGAGCCAAGATCACACCACTGCACTCCAGCCTGGGTAACAGAGCAAGACTCTGTCTCAAAAAAAAAAAAAAAAAAAAAAAAAAAGACAGATCCTCACATTATACATGGAGATATTCTAAGGCAGAATTTCCAGCCTGTTAAGATGGATGGTTGTTGCTTTTTGCAATAGATAGCAAAATTGCTATAAGGCAAGTTTCTCTTTATTCACTTACTTCCATTAAAAATGTCATAGGTTGGAGAATAGTCTATGGAAAAAATGATCTCCATGGAGTTGAACACTTTTGATGAGCACACATTTCAAATTGTGGCCAGCTTTGCAGTGTGCTGTGTTTTGTTAGTGTAGTGGCAGTAGGCCTTCTGAAGTTTAGTTAACCTGTAGCTGTTTAATTTTGCTGCATCTTTCCTGACATTGTTAGCCAACTAGACTGCCTTTTATCACATTTATACCCAGGTCCTTGTATCCAGTCCCTGCAGATTTTTTGTTACACTTTCTTATTTAGGACTTTAAAAACCTTGTTTTCCATTTTTATTCTGCTGGATCGTAGTAGCATGCTTTTCTAGTAGGTATTACTCTACAATTTTCTTATATAGGAGTGTGAAGTTGGATTCAAGAATGCATTGTTTCTCAGAAGTATTTAAAGGAGAAATACATATGGTTGAATCAGTGAGGTTGAATCCTGGTGGAGATGAAATACTAGCTAGGGGATGAATATGAGACAATCAAGGTAATAGGAAGGAAGTTTTGGAGGCATGCAAGCTCATGTAGATATTAGGACACTGCAATTCCTTCATTGTACTTCAAGTTAAAATGTGTTCATCTCTGATGCAAATTCACAGAAACACTGAGAATCAAGATAGAATAGTGGTTAGGAGAGTGAACTCTGAAGCCAGACTGCCTGGGTTAGATCTTGACTTGCTGTGACCCAAGGCAAGTAGGTGTGACCTTATTAGCTTTGTAACCTTAGCTAAGTCCTTCTGTGTGCCTCAATTCCCACATTGTAAGATACAGGTAATTATGGTATTGACCTCATAGGATTGTTGTGATGATTGCATGGGTGAATACGGATAGAGCTCCAGCACCTAGTAAGTGCTTATACATGATTGTTGTTATTTTTCACAAGGTGGTATGGTGTCATGGTCAGGAGTGGGGACTCTGGAGCAGACTGACTTGTGAGCAAATTTTGGCTTCTAGATATGTGACCACGCAAAGGATCTCTCTGTGTCTTAGTTTTCTCATCCATAAAGTGGAGGTAATAATAAAACTGCTTCATAGTTTGTTGTGAAGGTTAAACAAGCCAATATATATATATATATAAGGTTCTGTGAACAGTTCTTAGTTCAGTGTAAGTCCTCAAGTGTTAACTAGCTATACTAGTACTATTATTTTTACCTTTGTCCGAAATAACATAGTTCTGATTTTTGCAGACCTCCCCCAGTCTTTATCTTTGATATCTGCTCAAGTATGTACAAAGCCTTTCAGATTTTTTACTAGTGATTATCTAACTCTATTCTTCTAGATTAAGTGTCCCGTGGGTTAGGCTTTGTGAAGAAATTACATGTGCTGCTCTGTGGGCTCTGTATCTTCTCAACTTATTATTATACCCAGATAATTGGGAAATCTCAACACTGGTTTTGTTTGTAATATGATTAGAAATGATTTAAAATTCCTGAAAGTTAGCTGTTAAATCTGCTATCTATTCATTTCTCTGTTCATTAGTTTGGTGAATATCTATTGAGAGTCTACTGTATACCAAGTACTCTCCTATAGTAGTGAACAGGACAGACAAGGTCTCTGGTCTGGAGGATGTTTCGTGTTATAGGGGAAGAGGCAGATAATAAGTAAATAAGAAAGTAATTTCTGGTAGCGATCAGTGTGTTAAGACAGGGAAATGTGATAGAGACTAGCTAGGTAGGAGAGGGCTGCTTTGTCTCCAGTGAGTCAGGGAAGGCCTTCCTGAGGACAGACGTTCGAACCCCACTCCTTGGATAGGAAGGAGCTGGCCATGCAAAAGGTCTGCTGGAAGAACAGTCCAGGAAGAGGAGTGGTAGGAGCAAAGACCTTGGAGTAGGAATAAGCTAATGGTTTTTTTTTTTTTTTTTGAGACAGAGTTGTGCTCTGTCGCCCAGGCTGGAGTGCAATGGCGTGATCTTGGCTCATTGCAACCTCCGCCTCCCAGGTTCAAGCGATTCTTCTGCCCCAGCCTCTTGAGTAGCTGGGACTATGGGCGCATGCCACCATGCCCAGCTAAATTTTGTATTTTTAGTAGAGACGGGGTTTCACCATATTGGTCAGGTGGTCTCGAACTCCTGACCTCGTGATCTGCCCACCTCGGCCTCCCAAAATGCTGGGATTTACAGGCGTGAGCCACCGTGCCCAGCCTTTTGTTTGTTTTTTATTTTAAAGGAATAGAACAAAAGCCCATGTGGCTGTAGGGAGGAGGAGAGGAATCTTAGGAGATGAGGCTGTTGAGGTCTGCAGGGATGGATGAGTTTTAGGCTTAAGTGCTGTTCACCCACTGGCGAGTTGAGGCCGAGATCTGACCTATGATTTTTTAAAAGACCGTGCTGGGGACTGGATCGTAGGTGGGTATGAGTGGATGTACTGTGTGTGTTTGAGTGATTCTGGAATACTTCTCTAATTTTCTAATATTTCTGACACATTTTTCTAATATTCCTTACCCAGTATAAGGAATATTAGAACTCTTGCTTCTTCCTGATTTGTTTGGTAAAATTTCAAGTTTTATTTTATATATGCTGATGTTTAAAGGAGAGAATATGGAGCAGATTCTTGGTTTTATACCTGTTTGAACCCAAAGAGAAAGTGGGAAGAGTTTAAAATCTTTGTTGTTGTTAATTTTTTTAATATTAAAATATATTTAAAAAGAGGTTGTTTGGTCTTTTGACTTTATTTTTTTAATGTGGATTTATATTTCCTTTGTTGAAGGGAGTAGTTTTTCTTTTCTTCTGAACTTGACTTAAAAATGCTAACCAGTACAGAAGAAAAAAACCAATATATTATAATATGGAAGAAAACAAGCCTTGGTTTAAAAAAAATACTATTATTTTTCCTCTTCATAGGGTCTATTGGTGTAGCTGTTTTAATATAAAGTTGCGAAGCATATATCGCTCCGTAATATAACCATTTCAAGTTGCTAATAATTTTTGTTTTGTTTTCTACTACTTGTTTTTATTTATTTATTTATTTATTTATTTATTTATTTATTTATTTTTTAAGATAGGGTCTCACTCTGTCTTGTGGGCTGGAGTGCAGTGACACAATCTTGGCTCACTGCAGCCTCCACCTCCCAAGCTCCAGTGATTCTCCTACTTGAGCCTCCTGAATAGCTGTGACTACAGGCACACACCACCATGCCTTGCTAATTTTTGTATTTTCAGTAGAGACAGAGTTTCGCCATGTTGCCCAGGCTGGTCTCAAACTCCTGCGCTCAAGCGATTCGCCTGCCTTGGCCTCCCAAAGTTCTGGGATTGCAGCCATGAGCCACTATGCCCGCTAATAATTTTGAAGGCTGTTTAGCAGCTAACGAATGTGTTCCTCTTGATCTAACACTTCACCAGTGCTAGAAATTTTATATTTGATTTGTGATACAGATTCTGGTGTGTTTTTACTTTGTGTGTTTTGCAGCAACAAGAATATCTTAGGACATGAGTGCCCTCCCAAGTAGAGTTTGTGTGGATATTTAACTTCACCAAGTTGCTAGTTCAGTTAGCACTTCACTGACAACTGCAGTGGAGTGAACAGGGAAACTTAAGCTCTTATTCTTAGAGGTATCTTGAAAATGTCCGGTGGTATCTTCTAGCCAGTTCTCTGGTTATACCATTTCAGTGGGGGAATATATGGGGAATACATTTGTCTTCACTCCTTCCCATGCTCTTTTTTGCATTGGTTTGAAGACTTTTCATATTTCTGAGAACTCTAGTCATTTCAAATATTAGTTGATACCACTTCAATATGTGACTTATAACAAAAAAATAGAGAAAGTATACATTTGGAATTTACACAATCTAGAAACAGTTTACTTTAACATAAGCCTGTTCTTTCAACAGATTAGTTCATCAGAATGCCAAAAGGCGTTCTTGATGGCTGTTTTAATTTATTAATATATATTAAAGTAAGTTTTTTGGTTAGATTTAACTGGTTCAAGAAGGGAAATCATGTATTGGTTCAAAAATAAGAAAAAGGCAGATTTTAGCCTTCTTAGGGGTGGGTGAGAGCCAAGGAAACAGCTGCCTTGTTTTAATTTAAAGAATTTAGAATATTTTTAAATTTGGACTGTGTAGACAGTGAGAGTTCTGCAGAGAATTAAACGAAGTAATATTCACTTTTGGGGGCTTTATCTAGACTAGAAGGTATGTTGAAGTGAGGAACTATTTTGTTTCTAAACCGTAGGTGGAATCTCCCTCCCCGCAAAAAAAAAAAAAAAAAAAAGAAACAAAAAACAAAAAGGATCACTCTCTTGGATAACCATTGTGCAATGATCCAAATCAGGAAGCTAACAGCAACACATTATTTTACTAGCTAATATGTACACCTTACTCAGGTTCTGTCAATTGTTCCAATCATGTCTTTGTAGGAAAAGAAAACGTTTCCACATTCAGTTGTTATGTCTTATGTGTTTGGCTGGTACCTTAGTCTTTGTCTTTTATAACCTTTCAGTTTTGAGAACTGGTTGGTTATTTTGTAGAATGTCCCAGAGTTTGAGCTTCTCTTATGGTTTCATCATGATTAGATTCGACGTATGCATTTTGGGCAGAAATCTACCAGAAGTGATGCTCTGTTTTCTGTGCATCGTATCAGGAGACATATGATGTTGGTATGTCTTATTACAAAAGTGTTGTTTTTTTTCTTTTGTAATTAATAAATATTTTATGGGGAGATATTCTGAGGCTATGTGTTTTGTTACTCCTCAAACTTTTACCTACTTTTAGCATCCATTTATGATTCTTGCCTGAATTAATCATTACTGTGATGATTGCCAAATGGCGCTTTTCTAATTCCAACATTTCTTTTTTACTGATTAGTTGGGATCTCCTTTAAGGAAGAGCTTTCCTTTTTATTTACTTGTTCATTCCTTCCTTTCTTCATTCATTCACATGAGGCTGGACTCACGGATTCTCATTTTATTCAGTGGGTTTTAGATAGAATTTTACTTGTATTGATACCCTTGTAACTTTTTTAACAGATCATTTGTTGTGAGAGAAACCAATAGGCTGTTTCCCCAAATTCTAGGGGTGTGAACTTTGCACTCAGTGGATCTTTTCTTCGGGATCTTGTTCTGGGTGGAATCAATTTGATGGTGGCCCTCACTACTTCCAGTCATACGTGGCTTAAGAATGTGATGGTTTAGGAGCATAATACATGGGAGATACTTCCTGCTGTATTTAAAAGTTAAAATGTGGAAGTTTGATGTCCGGTCCGAAGGGCGAGGCACGGACCTCCCTGGACCAGAGCAGGTTGGTGGCCCCGGGCGGCCTCCCGTTGGCGGCTCTGGGATAGAAACCGCGGCGCATTTGTAAGTGCTTGCGCGTGGTTCCTCCTCGTTGTCCTGTTGAAGTTGCTCTTGGTCTGGAACGCGCGCTAGTCGTTGTCTTTCAGCACTCCGCTTTCCACACCGCACGCTTTTCAGTTATGCTTTACATTTCTCCTCGACTTAGATTTCGTGAGCAAAATGGGCCCATGTTTTATTTTTTCTCGTGCGTGGGCCGTCGTGAGGCTTTAAACAGGAAACTGGGACAGCACCCGGGCTCCGCTACCCGTCACCGGGCCTTCCGCGCCCCTCGCCCCACGCCGCGGGTGCGGTCCTCCCTCCAGCAGAGGGTTCCGGGCGCCGGCGCGGCCCGCACGGGGCCGGGAGCCCTTCCTGCCGGCCGGGTGCGCGCGGCGCCGCCGACAGCTGTTTGCCATCGGCGCCGCTCCCGCCCGCGTCCCGGTGCGCGCCCCGCCCCCGCCAACAACCGCCGCTCTGATTGGCCCGGCGCTTGTCTCTTCTCTCCCCGCAGCCAATCGCGCCGGGCGAGGAGCTCCTGGTCTGGTACAATGGGGAAGACAACCCTGAGATAGCAGCTGCGATTGAGGAAGAGCGAGCCAGCGCCCGGAGCAAGCGGAGCTCCCCCAAGAGCCGGAAAGGTAGGAGCCCCCCGGCCCGCCCGCCCGGCCCCGGCGCCACGCCCGCCCAGGACGCCGCCCTGCCGCCCTCGCTGCTGCTGGCCCGACCGCGAGGCGGGTCGCGGGCTCGGGCGGCGGCGCCCGCGGCATCTCGGTGACCTTTTCCGGACTCGGCCCTGCCCCGGCCCCGCTCCCGCCCTGCGGTCCCGCTCGGGCCCTGCGATCGCTGCCCTCCCGCCCTGCCGACCCGGCCCCGCTGCTGAATCACGGCCGCCGCGCGCTCGGGCTGTTTCTTAACTTGTGACTTAGCTCCTGGGCGGCAGAAAGTGCGCGGACGGCGTTCCGGGGCCGGACGTTCCCCCGCTGGCACCCCAAGCCGCGCTCCGCAGCCGCGCGCACGGCGGGCGCCCGAGCTTTCTCGCGGCTAGCTTGACAGCCCCGGCTCCGCAGACTCGGGCCCGCCGCGCAGGACGCGGGCCGCGTCGGTCGCGGAGTCGGGGTGTGGGAGTGGGGGAGGCAGAGACAGTGAGAGACAGAGACAGGAGGCGGCGGGGAGGGCAGGGAGACTGCGGGTGCGGTGGGCTTCCGAAAGGATGCCCAGGGGGATGTGGAAGTTAGAGAGCGTGTTGTTTTGTCGTTTTGACTCAATTCTCATAGTTTTACGACTTCTGATGATTTCGAACAAAAGGTAAAGTGTAGTCACACTTAAAAAGGGAGGGGATAATTTCTGGGTAGGAAAATAGTTTGGTTGGCTGTATCATATTTCCAGTGGGCATACTGACACGTTGGGGCTTTTTTTTTTAATGAAGAATTTTAATGTGAATTGGGGAATAGTTCATAGATCCCAGTTTGAAAATATGCCAAGGCACAGTATGGTTAGTTTCTTATTGATACAAATACAGGTTTGTGTTTTTTGTTTTTTTGTTTTTTTGTTTTTTTTTTGCTCTCCTTAGGTCTTAAGTAGATTTCTTTTTAGTCATCTGAACGAACGAGTCCATCCTTTATCCAGAACATTGCAAAGTGAGTTGTGGAAGTCATACTGTAAATAAAATCATATCGTAAACTCGATTTGGGAAAATGTTAAAATCGGCATTAAGGAATGTAGGCAAGAAGTCTGTTCTGATTTTTCAAGTATGTATTCTTTGTATGTCACCACAAAATGGAAATAGAATTAATTCCCCCGTGAAACAGTTAGTAGGCCTATTACTGAATATGCATTGTCTATTTATTGAATGTGATGTAGTCACTGCTTCAGAGCATTAAATGCTTTTGATCCTGAATCAGACGATCAGAGTCTAGAAAATTCCCAGTTTTTTTTTTTTTTAACTTTTAACTGAGTTCTGGGATTTTATTGCTATTAGGCTTAGTGCTTAACTGTTTGTAGTGAAAACTTTTTATGTAATTCAACTTGTTTCTTTATTTAGTATTCATTTTGTTTATAACTAATGTTACCAGCCTTCCGGGTAAGTTATTTGTAGGGGGCTGGAGATGGGGAGGACAGTACCCTCTTTACTGTGCCACTAATCATAACTAACTCCTGTACTTAAATAGATTTGTAGTTTAATAGCAACCTTACTTTAACGCTTTTCTCTGTTTGGCATACTTTAGTGTGCATGTTTAGAACATATGTCATTACTCTTTTGCTTTTTTGTTTATCTGTTTATTTTTCTCTTGGTTGGATTTGGGGAAAAACTTGAACATATACTTTTTGTTTTATTAGTGATATATGAACTTAATAGCTGCATTTTTATACCTGCGTAGACTGTTGGTGTTTCGTATTAAATAGTTCATATTTCTTATTATCCTATTATTTTGTACTACTCTGGGCAGCCTATAACCCAGAATCCTAGGTTTTAATTAATTAAAAGACTTATGTTTATGCAGAGCTCTCTGTTGGAACTTACAGTCTGTTTTTAACAGCTTACTGGTTAAAGAGACCTATTTGCTCTTTAAGACTTAAACTTTGGAGAGTTTAAGTAATGAGTCAAACCTTTTTTACTTTTAAATTAAATACTCAGTTAAAACCAATTTATAGCTTGCAAAGACCTGAAATGGAGTCTTTTTTTTTTTTTTTAATTAACTCAGTTCTGTTTAGGTCTTATGTGTGACCTCAAACATTTAAATAATATCTTTTCAGGCAGTGATGTCAGAGAGTGAATCAACATAAATGTCATTCAGAGGCAGTGTTAACTTAGTATTGCTGAAAGCCGCATGTTGAATACATAGAGCCGACAGGTAGATTGACAGTGGGCTTGACTTCATTTTCGTTATGAGACAGAGAGAAAAACAAAGGGCTGAATTCTTCATAGTTCTGGACCTCAGCTCCTTTGCGTGACAGCTGCTATACTTACAGCTGTGCATTGCATGTGGTGCCTTTCAGAATTCATCAGATCGCTGGTGGATCATAAGGCGTGTTTGGGTAGAGCAAAGCCCTGATTTCTTTATATACAAAGTAGTGGCCCCTTCTCTCTCCCCTCATCACCT
This sequence comes from Homo sapiens, assembly GCF_000001405.40. Taxonomy (NCBI): domain Eukaryota; kingdom Metazoa; phylum Chordata; class Mammalia; order Primates; family Hominidae; genus Homo; species Homo sapiens. The sequence goes on from NC_000001.11 coordinate 13,751,951, forward strand.
TTCTTCTCTCCTCCCCTCCCCTCCCCTCCCCATATTCATTCATTCATCTAATGTTTATTGAGCCCCTGCTGTGTACTAGGCACTCTGCTGGGTTGTAGCACACAGTGATGAGCAAAAAAGCAGCGGCGACTCTTCTTATGGCGCCGACAAACGTTAAATCAGTAAATAGCTGATCAGTGCCTAGACAGTTGGCATGTAGTAGGCCCTCAATAAATATTCATTGATTGGCAATGACTCACACAAATGTGTTAGGAAGGAAAAGAATGCAGTGCTATGAGAACACAGTTCATATTGTCTGCGACCTTGGAGCGTGCATTTTTGCCATGGGCCAAAGATGGATATACATCAGCATTTTAAACTGGACTTTAATTTGGATTCCCAGATTTGTAATTGAGCTTCACTTTTTACATATCTGAGCAGCCTCTGTAAAATGGAAAATAAGTTCCTTAGATGGAATAGATTAATCTTTCAGGTAGAGAGCAAGGAGGGTTTTTAGTGTCAGGTGTTTCAGGCTATTTTAATGTGAACCACAGAAAAATTATAATTATAAAATAGCATAGAAACGGTCAAATTTAGAAGTATTTCTCATCTTCTTGATTTCTGTCCCCTGTTTGTTTTGGTGAGAAATGAGAAATTGAATTTGCTTGTTAGCAGTAAGCAATGACTGTTGGCAAATGCTCTTCCAGAGTGTAGATTATAATAGCAGAGTGTTTTCCCTGCTCTCTCAGTTACATAAGAGCCTTAACCTGAAGTTCTTTTACCTGGAGAAACAACAGTGGCTTTCTACAAATGGGCTTAGTGGAAGGAATGAAAAAGACGGGATGCCTGGGCGTTTACCAGGTGTGCGATCTTGGACAGCTCATGTCACCTTTCTGAGATGAAGTTTCCCTAGCCTTAAAAATGAATATCATCATATCGATGATGCTTGTGCCACCTAACCTCACAAAGTTGTCAAGAGCAAGTGAGATAATAGAAACATGCTCTGTGAAGCTGTGGGCTCTTGGGAACTGTAAGTACCACTCCTTAGAACATGGCTGGCGTTTACTTCCCTGCTACTTGCGGAGGAACTACTGAGTTGGTGACTCATTTAATCAATGGGGATTTATGGAGCACCTGTGTAAGCCCAAAATAAGCACTGGGTCTCTTCTTTCCCTCTTCCCTCCTACGTCACAGCCTCATTCTGTGCTGATTCACCCTTATTTTAGGTTCTAACCTATTGACCTCGCTGTTCACAGCAAATTAAGAGAGAAGAGTTTATAGCGGCAAGAAGTTTTTATACCTGAAAGCTGGATAGTGAAGAAGACAGAAAGTTTATTACAAAATCGGTAATGAATTATAAAGAACAAGTTCCTTAAGGTCAGTTAGTAGGTTCAGATAGTCCTTCCTAAAAACCGTCAGTAGTGCCTGAGAATATCAGCTATAGCTTATAAGTATTTATCTCAGCGACTCTTAGTCACCACAGAACAGTTAAATTATAATCAGCTTAGCAAAGTAATATTTTATCTGTCTCTACGATCAGAATTGTTTAAATTAAAAACCTTGGTACTGTGACGACACTCAAGTTTTTTGAAATTGTACATATTTGAAATTCTTCTCTAAAGGTGCGAAATAACAAGCCTTTAGAAACTTAAAATATAGGGAGGTAAGACAGCCACATGCAAAGATAACTCAGTCTAAGGTAGTCTAAAAAAAGTGCAACACGGATGGTATAGGCAGTAAGGACTATTGACCCTCCCTAAGAGAAGGAAAAAGGGATGCTGAGCTGGGCTGGGCTGGCTAGGGAGCCTTTATGTAGAAAGAGTGGCAGGATGGGGATGTTTCAGAAGAGAGAGAGGAAGGAGGAGGACATCAAGAGGAACCTTGGGGACTGAGAAGTTGTGACTGTGTGGATGGTCTTCCCTTCTGTTACTTAACAAGTATTCCTTGCATCTGTGTCAGGCACTATTCTGGGTGCTGGAGTTTCAGCAAAGAACTAAAATGACAAGGGTCCCTGTTCACATGGAATCACATTCTGGAGAGTGGGGAGTACAGGCCAACAGATGAAGTAGGTAAACCTTGTCATGTCAGTAGTGTTTTGCAGGGTGGGTGGAGGAGGTATGGCCTGACTGTAGGTGGGAGATCAGGGGTGACCATTCTGAGGTTGTGACATAAGTGACACAGGAAGTTCTAGGGGCTGAGGTCTCCAGGAAGAGGGACCTAGTTCTATTAGCAGTTCTACTCATGTAGAAACCTACATGAGTATTTTTGGATTATGAAACTCAGTTCTGCAAATGGACATATATTGGCCCTTTTTCTGCCAGGCGCTGCACCAAGTGGCTGGGTTGGTTGGTGGGGGAGATGAGAGAGATGACTACAGCAGGCAGCATCCTCCTCCAGTGCGGAGTCTCCAGTCCGTTTCATGACAGCCACGCACAGGTCAGACTTAGTGGGTGTTCTGGTTGATGTGGGAGAGAAGGAAAAGGACACTTTCCAAAATTGGATAACTTGTCCAAGATCACCCTACCAATGAGTGTCACAGTCAGAATTTGAACCAGTTTTCCCATGCCTTTTCTTCTACATAATGTGGAGCTTTTTGTCCACTCCTACATGCAGTTGACAACAACAGAAGTGACAGCATTGGTTCCATTTAAAGTTGAACTTAGAGAATACATTTAATAAAAGCAGAGAGTGGACGGGCTTCCGTGGAGTTTGATCTCCTAACCTTTCGTAGCAGCCAGCAGCTCTGTTTCAGGCTCTAAGCTGAATGACAGAGGCCTGGCTGTGGTGTCTGAGGATGATGGTAGATGGGCCCTATGCCTACTGGGTGCCTGGTGGGCAGGTCCTGTGCCCACTGACTTATAGGGCACTGGCCTGTGGTTCCTGTTTGCAGGTGCTGGAGCAGGATGTGGAGTGCTTGGACATGGCAGTATTCCTGTGTCTGGCTTTTTGCTGGCAAGCTTGTGGCATGAGACACAAATGAGCTGTTTCTGGGTTGGTCAGTCTTGGAGGGGCCTGTCTCTGCTGTAGCTTTCTGGCTGCCTCCTAGCTGAGGGTGCCTTTGCTGAGCATTGAATGTCCCGTCTCTGGTGGTTGCCTGCCAGGATGAACTCTGCTGCTGTTATGGTGGCGGTCTGTTTTTAAAAGCTCAGTACGGTTTTAATTAGTAGTTTTTCAACAGTAGGAGTTCGGGAATTATAAAAAATTTGCAGTTCTGCTGCTGCTACTGAATTGCTCCAAATTTAGATGAAAATGTTGGTCAGTATTTTCGTTTTGTGCCTTTGATTCTTATGTCTATCCTTGTTTACAGGGAAATTATGTGGATTAACGTAAATTTTTCAAAGCATTTTGCAAATTTTTTAGCTGTATTTTAGTGGGTGGATTTGCAAAAATCCTAACATATGCCATGATTAAAAAGTTTTAAATATCATAATTGAGTGTATTGGGAACCATGCTGTGCCCTATTTTTAGGTGGTTATTTTGGTTCTCTTGTCCATATGTAAATTGGAAGGTAAGACTTGCCTAATACAGAAATAAAGTTCGATTATGATTAAATTTTCTAAACTATATAAAAGAGGTAACAAGATCCTTATAGTTAGTTCAAAATACTTTAGTTGATTTTTACAAATCCACTTATAATTTGAAAGTAAAAAACCTAATTTCCTGTGTTTTCCTTAAATATGAACACTAGGTTATTTTTCTAAATGATGAATTTTTATTGTTTTTTTTTAAACTCGTTCAGTGTTTTTTTTTCCCTAGACAATTTCATGTTCCAGTTTACAGATAGCTGTTACGACATTCAAACCTAATGTTCGTGGGAGCATTATAGAGAGGAGGGTGTAGTTATTTTATTTTTCAATAAAATAACTTTTAAAGTTTATTTATTTTGTAGAGACAGGGTCTTTCTGTGTTGCCCAGGTTGGACTCGAACTCCTGAGCTCAAGCTGTCTCCCTGCCTTAGCCTCCCTAATAGCTGGTATTACAGGCTTGTACAGGGTGTAGCTTTGTATTTAAAGTTGCCTCTAAAGAATTGAGGAATTGGAGGCTGGGCGCAATGGCTCACACCTGTAATCCCAGCGCTTTGGGAGGCTGAGGCGGGTGGATCACAAGGTCAGGAGATCGAGACCATCCTGGCTAACATGGTGAAACCCTGTCTCTTCTAAAAAAAAAAAAAAAATACAAAAAAATTAGCTGGGCGTGGTGGCGGGCGCCTGTAGTCCCAGCTACTCCGGAGGCTGAGGCAGGAGAATGGCGTGAACCCGGGAGGCAGAGCTTGTAGTGAGCCGAGATTGCGCCACAGCACTCCAGCCTGGGCAACAGAGCGAGACTCCTTCTCAAAAAAAAAAAAAAAAAGAATTGAGGGCTTGGATAAATATCCCAAGAACACCATTGTGGAGGTTAAAAATAGACTTTTCTTTTAGTTAAATGTTGTATGGTGAACTGAAGCTGAAGTTTCAGGTAGACTGGCATGGTACTTTGTTGGCATTCAGATGGCTTGTTTATATTTCACATGCTGCCAAGTACAGGCCTGAAGTTTTATTTTGACCATCCATCTGGCTCAGAGTGTTTTATTAATATTCCTAATTTGGTTGAAATAGTTTAGAGGAGCTGAATGACATGGAGAAACAAAAGTTACTTGAAAATGCTATTCTCTAAGTGAAAAAGAGAAATACTGCAAGTAGCTGTTTTTCTTTTTGCCACCCAGATTAAACCAGTTTTCATACATTACAAGAGTTCTTGGATGAATTCATTTATTACAATGTATTTTGATGTGGACATATGTCATGACTTGACACTTATTTGCACATCATGTCATTATGCCATGAATTGCTCACTTCTGTTGATGGTGACAATGACAGCAGTTACACTCGTTTCTAGCATTATGTTGGTTGCTCTGTGTATACCATAGCTAATCCTCCCAATAATCCTGCGAAGTTGAGATCCATATCCTCATTTGTAGAAGAGGAAACTGATGCTCCGAGGGGTTATGTGCTTTGGCCGAGTTCACACAGGTCCTAAATAAAAGGCTCTGTCTGTCTAAATCCAGTTTTTATGCATGATGTTTCTAAGTAGGACAGTTATACTGTATAAATTGCAGTGTTTTATTTGCTTTACTAACTAGCCAAGGTGAATTTTCACTGCTCACTGTAAGAAGTGCCCACTTTAATTCTAAATACCAAGACTATGATTAAGTGAAGTGTTTGGTGTAGGAGAGACCAGTCATGGTGACACCTTCAGCTGTTTTTGCTTTGGAGATTTATGGATTGCATAGGTATATTGTATTCCTTCAAACACCCCAAATAGTTTTTAAAAACACAGATTGCATTTTTACTGCTTTCTAGCTATTGTCTTTCAAGTGTTTTTTAAATGACATATTTGTTGGTTTAAGTTTCTAATGAATATTTTCTTTCTCTTAGGTTTTATATTATTTTGGCATTAGTTTTGAAACCAAAAGAGCACAGTAAGACATTGCTTTTGCCTAACTCCCTCTGCAGTGCAGAGGATCGAGTTTAGGATTATAGAGCTCTTTCATTTTGTCTTATTGATGAGAAGCTTTAGCTGTCAGCTCTGCAGCACTGGTCTTGTGTTGAGACTGGGTTAACAGTCTGGTTGTTCCACCAATAAAAATACACATTTTAAAGTTTTCTTAAGCTGAATGTTATATAGACAATGAACATGCTTTTTAATTAATGTGTAGTCTAAAGATTAATTACAGAAACTGTAAGTGCAATTCTGATTTGTTTGTGGATATAATTGAGTTACATCATGCTTGTTAGTCTTTTCAGCTTTAGGTGGTGACATTTTGTTTTTTATTTGTTTTGCCAAAATGTTTATTTGCAGAGGTGGATAGCTTTTTTTTTTTTTTTTTTTTTTAACTTTCATTTAAGAGGAATGCACATGAACTATTTGAAGCAGTACCTTCCTAAGAGGTTTTGTTTGCTGATAAAGCTTTCCTATTCTAGCTGCTTGACTCATACCAGAGGAGAAGCATTAAAGAAGACCAGAAGGTGAAAAGAGTCACCCTAACCTATCCATGTGTGCTCTTGAATTTTCCTAAGGAGGGGCACGCGTTGATTTCCTCATTGTCTTTATCCCACAATAGATTCTTAGAATATGTATGTCTATATAAAATTTTTAAAACTGCTTGAGTTTGTAGCCAAATGTAATGTGGCTTTTTCTACTTGGAACTTTTACTGAGAGTACTTTATTTGATTGTTAAGACTTAGTAAGTCGTAGCCAGGCGCGGTGGCTCACACCTGTAATCCCAGCACTTTGAGAGGCAGAGGTGGGTGGATCGCCTGAGGTCAGGAGTTTGAGAACAGCCTGGACAACATGGTAAAACCCCGTCTCTACTAAAAATACAAAAATTAGCTGGGCGTGGTGGTGGCTGGAGCCTGTAATACTAGCTACTCGGGAGGCTGAGGCACAAGAATCGCTTGAACTTGGGAGGCGGAGGTTGCAGTGAGCCGAGATCGCACCACTGCACTCCAGCCTGGGCAGCAGAGTGAGACTTTGTCTCAAAAAAAAAAAAAAAAAAAGTAAGTAGTTAACACCCGCCCCAACCACCCAAACATACTGTAGGCAAGGCAGAACTACAGTTTGTAATCTATGCTTTCAATTTTCAAAGGTCTTTAGCATTTTTCTTTCTGTTCTAACCTGTTCTCTGAAAAATAGGAGAAGGTAACTTTGTTTAAAAGGTTAAAACTTGGTGCGTATATTAAGAAAATATCCTAAGGGATTCTGGGTAAGAGACTAGAAAATTCTCAGTGTTCTGGAGCATTTATTGTAGCTGCTTGCTATTCCTGCTTCTGTGGCCATGATCCTGAAATTTAAAAATATTTTGATGAAAGTTTTAATAATCTAGTCAACGTGTAGTTATTTTAGATGCTTATATATTAAAAGTACATACCATTTTTTATTTTTAATAGACTATTTGAATAGTTTCAGAGGCAAGAGATTTATTCTAATGAATAAGATAATGATACTGTGTGTGTGGTATATAAAAATAACAGTTTATAAGATAAGAATATAACATCTAAAATACTGCTAATTTGATACTTTTCATGACTTTCAATTTTATATGTTCTTGTTAGTTTAATCAGTGTCTGAATGATGAAAAACTAATTTCACTCTTAGTGAATTAGCTGTCTGTTACCAGTTATGGAGAGTAGCAAAGGATTGGCCGGTTAAAAAGAAAACTAATTCAGCATTGCTTAGGCTAAAATTCCCCTACCCTTTTTTTTTTTTTTTTTAAATGAAAACTACAGCGATAAACAATCTTTTTTCTTGTATTTATAAACCTACCTCTTGGGGCAGTCTTTTGTAGATTTCCTGAAACACCACATGCCAGAAAAATGAAGGCAAACTGGTTTGTTCACCCATGTTTAGAACCCCAAGACGGAATTATGTGCAATGTTTGAAGTTGCAATGCCGTTTAGAATGGGCAACAATGCAGTTTCTGAGCCTTTTGTTATTCTTTTTACCATTTGGCCTCTCAGGTTCAGTTTTCATTCTGTTGCCAGTTTGAGATGTAGGATATGCCTTTCTGGTTCTGTTGGCTACATTTTTGTCTTTCATGTTTGGGATTATCAGAGCCTGCTTCTCTGGAATAAAGAGATTACTGGCCATAAGCAGAATGTCTAAGGGCCTGTGAGAAATGAGAGTTCCTACTGTCCACCTCTTGTCTTGGTGCTTTTGCCATGACGATGTTAATGTTGGTCATAGCTGGGTCCCAAGTCTTCTAATCTTCTGTAGCAGGTTTACGCTGTGGGCAGCACCATGATGATAATAGTTGTAGTTTTGATCTTTTATATGTGGAACAATCTCCTTGACTGTTTACACACGATGGACTGTAATTTTTGTAGGATTAGCACTAATGTTGAAATTATAATTTCCCTTTGATATCCAAGAAAATAAGGAAAAAGTATCAATAATAATAATAAATATCATATGTTGTCAGTGGTCTCAATCTTGGATTTTTGGACCAGGGGTTTAAGATTCCAAATCTACTTGATTTTAGGAATTTTGTTAATTGCTAAAGGTGTGATCCACAGTGTCCTTCCCTTGTTAGGTGGGTCATGGGCTTGTTTGATAAGATCAAATTTGAGTGGTAAGCTTAATACCTATTTTTAGTTATTATAAATCCAGGAATTCAGGATAGAAGATAATGTAAATTACTGTTTGTATGCCAAGATAAAATTTGGGGTTGTAGTAGAGTGCAGAAAATATTAAATCAAGAAAAAGTGATACTTACTCAATTTCTGTCTGACCCTTTTAAGTTTTAAAGACAGGATCCTATAAATCTCATGGGTGATTGTCAGAAAGTACATGGAATTGGTGAACTTTGTTTTCATAGCAAATGATTCTTGTGCTTCCCCCTACCTTCAGTTTCTATGCTAAGCACATTAAAAAAAAAACCTGCCTAAAAATTTTTTTTAGTGGGTGGGAATATACTGCTTGGGCTTCAGTGTTGCTTTTGCATTAGATGCAGATTGATCAGTACTTTGAAAATGGATAGCTTGTTTAAAATGAGCCTGGAGTGTGCGTGTATGTTGGCTGGAGGGGAGAGGGGGAAAGTTGCTGACCCAGCTATACCTTGAGTGTTAGGAGATGTGCAGCATGCAGAATTTATTGTGATACACCAGAACATAGCTTTGGAATTAAGAGACCAGATTCACATACCAGCTGCACCAGTTAATTGCATTGTGACTTCGGATGGGTTACTCTCCATGTTTTGGTCCTTAATTTTTCTGTCTATAAAATGGGAATATGAGCTACCTACCCTACAAGGTTGCTGTGAGCATTAAGTGAGAACATTATAGGAACATTCCTGGCACACCAACCTTTGGTTCATCCCATTGTAATGGTGGGCACCAGCAAAATACATTCTGTGGTAACTGCCGTTCTCTGGCCGGTTGGCACACTTCTAAAAAAAAAAAAAAATGAGCAGTTTCACCATCTTGTGTAACAAGTTCTCTTAAAATCCATATATTTTCCTTTTGCATCGTGGAGTGAATTAAGTGGGTTTCAAATTAGTTAAGAGTAAAGGGCCTGTTTGGATCTGCACCTAAATAGCTACATCGTGGCACTAAGGAATTCTTCATGTGCAAGAAACCTGCTTCTCTCTTAAAAGCTGTCTTGTTTCACTGTTAACCAAACGAGGACACCTGTGGTGACATAGGTTGGTGCATTAGGTAACTCTTGGAATTTGATTTGTTCCATTTGCCTGGGCAGAAGCAAACACGTCTCACTGTTTGCTCGTCTTACCTTTATGTGGTCCAAAGCACTCATGACAGTTATAAGAGGATTTTATGTGAATGAATTTTTCTTAACATTTTCTTAGGTATTAAATTATCAGACAGCCCTGAAAGTAATTGTGTGGGAGCAGTTTCAGGGCTGTATATGACAAATTTTTTTTTACAGTCTTTCTGGGTGTGAAATCAGGAAAAAAACAAATGGACGAAAGGACAGTTTTCTTAGAAGGTGCTAATTAATTTGACGATACCAGTTTTCCGGGAAGAAATGTCCCGATGATCTGTGCAGCATCTTGACTGGGCTTTCTGAGGAGTTGGAGTTCTTTTTCAGCAGTCGCACAGGTACATTCCTTCTGTTGATACACAATGCTTGTACAAACTCACAGCTTAACTTTGTAATAACACAGGAGTCCCTGACCCCCAGTGTTGTCTACCAAATGTTGTGTTTACGTCCGTTTGTGACTGGGGAGAAGGGCCTTAGGTGTTACTTGATACTCAGAAGTCTCCTCTCCGAAAGATTAAGAACCACCACAGTGAACCAGTATGTTCAGTTTTCAAACTCAAGCAGAGACAGTTAGGAGCAATAAAATCAGTAGGTTACAGACTTTAAAAATGAAATACACTCACAGCTTACACTGTTAGAGCATTAGTATATACTGATGTGGACATGAGTGAGTGAGTGACAGAATTCTCTCTAACTTCTGTCTTCATTGGACTTGTACATTTTTATAATAATATCTGGGTGGGATCCTGTGAATCAGCGGAGAACAAATGAACAAAACAAATGGATGAATTAGGAATTGTTAGTGGAAGCAGAACGCCATTGTCTTCATATGAAGGAACATATGCCGACAATTTAGATTTGTAGGCGTGCACTTTCTGTAATTTGTTTAGTAGCATCTGTGGATACTCCTTACAATCGATTCCATTTATTGAGTCTGTGCCAGGCACTGTGTGGCATTCGTTTTGTGCATTACCTCATTTACTTCTCTTTGACAACAGTATCCGATCAGTATTACCAGTATATATCAGAGCTGGTTCCCATCTGCCTCGAATGGGATTATTTCTTGTTAATCAAATCATGGCCCAAGGGCTGCGCAGCAGTGTTTCATGCTATTTCACTTTTATGGGTATCTGTTTTTGTGGACCAAACTTACCTTGAGGACCTACTATTGTGAGTGCCACCACCACACTGGGGAAGGGGACAAGAGCCTAGCCCACTGTCTCGCCTCAGTTAGCGTCAGCTCTTTGCAGGGAGCACGAGTAACCTTGGAGACACAGGAACCTGCTGGGAGCAGGTGAAATGAGTGCATAGGTTGAGAGACCCTTTCCACCAGCCATTGGACGCTGGCCTAGGAAGGACTCCTGTTTCAAGCCCTAGTCCTCTGTGAGCCTTCCTCCCAGGCTCAGTTTGTTCCCTGTGGTCATTACTTTACCCCTATATTGGCAAAAAATAGAAAAGCCTCAGCTCAAGGACAATGTGGGATAATCCTTGGAGACCAGCACCAAGGAAGATTGTGTGCTTCTGAAAGGCTCCATTCTCAGTGCCAGAGCCTGTTAGCAAGGCCAGGTCCACAGCGCGCGCTCCTCAGGCTTCCCGGCTTTACCTGGCTCCCTTGGTGGATGGAACTTTACATCCTCCCCTGCGATTATGTGGATGATGTGTCGGTCCGTGAGTGCTCATAGAGGCACAGCTGCAGGCAGGAGGTGGCTGGGGCACAGTTGAGATCCTCCACAGCAGTGGGATCTGTTTGATCAGCAGCAGTGGAGCTGAGTCTGAAAACCTGTGCTGGAATAAAAGTGCCTCATTTCATGGTGGGCCGAGTGATTAGGTAGCTTAGTATCTCTGTAAATGCTCTTGTTTTTATAAACCTCTGCTAAAATGTGGCATATTCAAATGCCGTTGCTTAGTCTTTGCATTTTTAAGAGAAGCAAAATAAAGGCTGAGGTAAAGAATGATGATCACAGCCAACTGCCAAGACATCGACCCTTAGGTTAATACTGGCAGGCATTCAACATGATTGTTTAAATTAGATATTTGATTTAAATAATGATGGGTATAAGAACCAAGTGCGGTGAACAGGAAAAAGAATATGGGGTATGTGGCTGTTTGGAAAGAGGAAACAGATGATTTTTTTGTTTGAAGTGATGATGTGTAGCATGGAATTGAAAGATGTCTACCAAAAGGTTAACAGGGTAATTTGAATGCTAAGCATTTTTGGCTATTTAATGGTATCTCTTGTATTTTTAATCCCTTTAAAGTCTTTATAACTGTGTGTCCATTGTGGGTTTGATGTTACTGGGGATTGTGGTTTTTTTCCTGAACGGTTTTCCTGAGTTTTATGGGTAGGCAGTAGACAAGAGAGAAACACTTGAGCAGTACTTTTTGCCATCTAGGCCAAGTACAAAGTAGAGGCTTTTTCCAAATAGCACTTGTAAAACTGCGTATTTTACAAAATTTTAAAGTGTTATATTTTGTCTCAACCAATAAAAACATTTTCAATTATCTCATTGTTTTTACTTTTGTTGGCGTCTTCTTTATGAAAAATCATGTATTCATTTTTTTGTGTGTAATGTAACCAAGTGCTCATCTGAGAAAATACAATCAGATAGAAATATCATACCCTTATCAATACTCTCTCACTGGGAGCCACCTGCCAAAATCTGAATGTATATCCTCTTGATTTTCCTTAAATTTATCTCTGTGGATATATCGTAGCCTGATTTGATTAATTAGTCATGTGGCTTGACCATTGTTCATATGGGCATTTCTGTAACCAAATGTGAAGAATGAATTTTGAGTGTTTTCATTGTATCTTGTTTCATATTTATGTCAAATTTTTACTCCTTGAAAATATTTTAAAACGATGTTGTAGTTAATTCATCAGGATGCAGTATTGTAAAATTTGTCATGGGCTTTAAAGGGGGAAACATGATTTTCTTCTTAGCTGAGAGTAAGCAATTCTCGAGGGCGTGGCTGTCTCTTCTGTTTTCAGGGTTGCCAGGTACTGGAAATGCACCTCCTCTACAACACCTCCCACTTTGGTTTTTTCAGCCACGGGGGGCTGAGTCCATAAGTTGAATTAGGTTCTTTATTTTGTAGTTGCCTCGTCACTATTTATATGTAAGGTTTTCAGATTTTAGGTACATTTTTCAGGCTACTAAAAAAACGTGAGAAAGAAACCTAGAAATTGATTATGAAGTAGAACAGGTCAGCATCTTGTTTATATTTAATTATTCTCCCAAATCATTTTGTTCATGCCACAACACTTTTTGAGGCTCCAAAGAAGGTAAGGAAACTTAATGCTTTCTTATCTTGAATTTGGTGAAGTTTGTTTGGGAAGCCCTTTCTTAAGATGTGGAATTATCCAGTCAAAACCACTGAAAGCCTTTTTCTGACAGCATAAAAGCTCGGACTCCCTTCCGATGGATCTTTGCTATTCTCCTATCAGCCTGACATTTGGAAGAGTTAGGGTAGCCTGCAGCCTCCACAGCTGCAGAGGCTGTGCAACAGCCCCCCTGGTGGGAAGCAAGCATTTCAGGAATTTATACTGCAATCTGCAGAACTGCAAAATCTAAAACTTTTCCATTGTTTCTGTTGGAAGCAAAACCTAGAGTTGTGTTTTAATACCATGAGCTACCTAAAACCAGAGAGGTTTTATTTTTATAATTTGCCTCCAGGATTACAGATAGTTCTTGGTGACTTTAACTGCAGAAAAAGATTTGAAATTATGCCAAACGAGCTTAACAGAATTTTTTACTGTCAGATAAGTTTCAAAGTTATTTTAAGTGAAAAAGGAAACTATAGAAAATGCATGGCATGTTAACTTTTATAAAAACTAACTGTTGCAGTGTCTTACTACTTCAGATCTATGGGGCTTGCTTTGCCACTGATCGCGCCTTGACCAGTTGTAACAGCCACTTGTGATCCTCTGATAACCACACCCACCCCGCTGCAAACCTTTCTGAAAGCATTTCTGGTTGAGGCACACTGGTGCCCCCATCAGTCCTTCTGCCCAAGTCTCCCAGTTCTTTTGTTAATGACATTTGATGACTTCCAGAGTACCAAGTCATTCTCTTACATTAAAGCATACATTAAGAATATTGAAATGAACTGTTAATTCCTTATGGAAAACTTAATTTTAGGTATCCATTTCCAGCTTCTCTCTTCCTCTCTATCATCAACCCAACTGTAGAACGTTAAACTACTAGGCACATATGCAGCAGAGCTGAGGTCTAATTCCAGTCGACCTTCACCATCTCACACATAGCATCACTTGGCTATTCTTTTGTTTTTTTTTTTGAGATGGAGTCTCGCTCTGTCACCCAGGCTGGAGTGCAGTGGCGGGATCTAGGCTCACTGCAGCCTCCGCCTCCTGGGTTCAAGCGATTATCCTGTCTCAGCCTCCTGAGTAGCTGGAATTACAGGCGCGGTGGTACCGCGCCTGGCTAATTTTTGTATTTTTAGTAGAGATGGGATTTCACCGTGTTGGTCAGTCTGGTCTCGAGCTCCTGACCTCGTGTTCTGCCTGCCTCGGCCTCCCAAAGTGTTGGGATTACAGGCGTGAGCCACCGCACCTGGCCTGCACTTGGCCATTCTTAAGATAACAACTTTGCCATTATCCATCGATTCCTCTTCCTTACCAACACAATCTATTACAGATTGTAATTTTTAAAAATTTTATAGGAGTCATTTAACATGTACTTTATACTTTTCTCCTCCCAGTTAAGCCTTTTCATCTTGCTTTGAGAACTCTAACTTTACTCCAAACCAGATGTATCCTGAGTGATACTAGTGCCACAGCTGGCCTGCTGTCACGAAAGACACCTTTGACTTTGAAAAATTTGAAAGGCTGTATATTATAATGCATTGCTCATTCTTACCTGAAGTGCAGGTGACGGAGATGACCTTCAAGGCTCTTTTTGCTCCAGAGTGTTCTGGTTCTTCTCTCAGCCTTGAGCATAGTGAGTTCAACATCTACCCTGTTCCCTAGGGTCTGTGCCCTCAGCTTAGTCATATGCTTTTGTCAAAGCCTTTCTTCAACCTAGTGTGAAAGCATGGTTCCAGTCTTCAGTTTCCTAGGAAGGGCCCTCTTATGTAGGGGCAGGAAGAAGAGGAAGACTCTGCAAAAGGGTGAGATTCTAGATAGTAGTGTCTTAAGGCTGGGACGAGGAATTCTAAGAATGAAAGAAATACCAAGTTGTCAAATGTGAAGGAGAAACTTGGGGCAAATAAAGCCTGAAGAACTGTTGGGTTTTGTAATTATGGTATTAGTGATAGCCATGGGAATTGGATGCCTGTAGAGTAGAGAGGGTGGAAATTCAGTTGCAAGGATGAAGGACTGATGGAGGGCAGAGGAACTGGAGGCAGCAGGCACAACCCACCTTGGTGAGTTGGTATCAGCCCTGTTGGGAAGCCCGTGTCCTCGATGACCATTCATGGTACAGCTGTGGAAATCTCCCAGTTGGAGTCTTGTCTGCTTTGGAACCAACTGTGAAGCTCCCCAAGTGAAGATCGGATGGACCTAACTTCTGTGCACAGATATTTAATTCTGATTTTATCCTTCAGAGTTGGATAGCTCCCCAGTGAGGAGGCAGCACATCTAGAGTTACATATAGTTTTAAATTTAATTCATTTAAATCACCAAATGCATGAGCCTTCACTGTTGTGATGAATTTTTAATGTAACTTGAGCAAGGCTCCCAGAATTTTGCATTCTCTCTACTGCCTGAACATTTTAAGGTGAAACATTATTCTCTAGAATTTCCTACTGTGTCTGTCCAATTTATTAGGCTAGTAGAACATAGTCCAGACCTAGGTTAAATTTTTCATGTGACGCTTTAGGCAATTTTAATTTTGTAACTCATATCCCAGGCATCAGTGGTATAATGCTATACATAGTCTTAGAAAATAGTCATTATGGCTGTTGAATGTCTTTGTATGGTAACTATTTCACTACAAAATCCAGTTTTATTGATATTACTCAGTGGTGAATCATACTTGTTCAGATCAGGGTTCTGTGCTGTTGACTTGTTTCTGGCACAGGATAAAATAGAAATAAAAAAAAGCATTCCAATTTGATTGTTGCTTTTTTTTTTTTAAACTATAAATGCAGTTTAAGTCTTTGTTTTGTTTTTGAGACAGTCTGTCGCCCAGGCTGGAGTGCAGTGGCACGATCATGGCTCACTGCAGCCATGACCTTCTGAGGTCGAGTGATCCTCCCACCTCAGCCTCCCAAGTAGCTGGCACCACAGGCATACACCACCACGCACAGCTAATTTTTTCTATTTTTTTTTTTTTTTTTGGTAGATACGGGGGTCTCACTATGTTGCCAAGGCTGGTCTTGAGCCCCTAAGCTTAAGCAATCTGCCTACCTTGGCCTCCCAAAGTGCTAGAATTACAGGCATGAGCCACTGTGCCTGGCCGATGCAAGTCTTTATGCAACTTTTTTCACTTGCACTTGAAACCAGTGAAATAATGGATCTGTAGAGTGCTTTGTAAAGTAAGGTATGCTGCTGGATGCCGTGACTACATCTGTAATCCCAGCACTTTTGAGAGGCCAAGGCAAGAGGATTGCTGAGCCCAGGAGTTCGAGACCAGCCTGGACAACAGCAAGATCTTGTCTCTACAAAAAAGAAACAAAATTTAGTCAGGCATGGTATCACATGCCTGTAGTTTCAGCTACATAGGAGGCTGAGGCAGGAGGGATCACCTGAGCCCAGGAGGTCGAGGCTGCAGTGAATCGAGATCATGCCATCGCACTCTAGCCTGAATGACAGAGTGAGAGACAGAGTAAGACCCTGTCTCAAAAGAAAAAGTATGCATATTAAGTCATTATTGATATTAAGAAGTAACTATTAAGAGAAAGAACATTTTTAACATTTTGTCCTTGAGTTTTTTTTTTTTTTTTTTTTTGAGACGGAGTCTCGCTCTGTTGCCCAGGCTGGAGTCCGGTGGCGTGATCTCGGCTCACTGCAAGCTCCACCTCCCGGGTTCACGCCATTCTCCTGCCTCAGCCTCCCAAGTAGCTGGGACTATACTACAGGCGCCCACCACCACGCCCGGCTAATGCTTTTATGTTTTTAGCAGAGACGGGGTTTCACCGCACTAGCCAGGATGGTCTCGATCTCCTGACCTCGTGATCTGCCCACCTTAGCCTCCCAAAGTGCTGGGATTACAGGCGTGAGCCACCGCGCCCGGCCTTCTTTTTTTTTTTAAGATGGAGTTTTGCCCTTGTCATTCAGGCTGGAATGCAGTGGCACGATCTCGGCTCACTGCAGTCTCCACCTCCCGGGTTCAAGTGATTCTCCTGCCTCAGCCTCCCAAGTAGCTGGGATTACAGGTGCCCTCCACCATGGCTGGCTAATTTTTGTATTTTTAGTAGAGATGGGGTTTCACCCACCATGTTGGCCAGGCTGGTCTCGAACTCCTAACCTCAGGTGATCCACCTGCCTCGGCCTCCCAAAGTGCTGGGATTACAGGTGTGACCCACTGCTCCTGGCCCTTGAGTTTTCATTCTGGCTTTACAGCTACTGTAGTCGTGTGTCATTGGGCAAGTTATTTCACATCTCTGCCCTTTGGGTGTCTACCTTGTAAAGTGATTTATGCGTTGGGACTTTGGGGGCTTCTAGCAAAATTGATCCATTAAGTGGCAGGGGCATCAGTTTTACAATAAGGGCGCACAGTACAGGCCCAAGAATGAATATACTACATTGGTCTTATTCTCAGCAACTAAGTACACAGTTAAACATTATTTTTGGCATGTGAGCACCTTGATGCAGTAGATAACTGCTGTTTTCCTTCTGTTGTATTCAATTTCTCATCTTGATGTATTCATTTCTTTTCCTCATGCACATAGTGTTGTCCTGTCCCTCTGCTGTTCCTTGTCATCATTTCCATTTCACTTCCCTTGTGTTTCATTCCTCTTTCTTGTCTAGACCAAGCGGAGCAGCCAGCTGGCAGTAGCGCCCTGTAGGACCCCCAGGACCCGATGGTAAGTGCACTTGTGTGCTTGCCAGGCCTCCCAGCGGCTCCTGCTCCTCTGCCTCACAGAGAGAAGCTCACAAATGCCATCTCCCCTCTGTAAATGTCCTTATGGGTTTGGTTTTTTCTTTTAATTTGATGACATATAGGACAGAAATCAGGTGTCAGAAGAAATCAGTACTGGTTTAAGGAAATGTAGCAGGTTCCACCGCCTGTTGCTGCAATATTTGGCGGTTGTGAGGGACACCAAGCCTGTGTATGTGTGGGCAGGACCCCTGGTTCTGCTTTCTGTTCTGCCATAGGCTAATTACTTCCCCTCTGGCGCTGGCCTTCACTTTCTCCCACAAAATTGAAGGCAGGACAGGTGATTTCAATAGCCCCTTCATCTCTAGTCCAAGGCCCTCACGATGAGACGTAACTTAACTGATGGTTCTCATGAAGATTGAGAACATTGTTCCAGGTGTCAGATAATCTCAATTCCATGGATGAATGATATAGACTTGTGATAGACTCATTTCCTTGATAAACTAAGTGTGTTGGTATTCACCAAATTTAGTTTGGTGGTAAATTTAGTTCTTCATCTCTCCATTTTTAGAATTGGCTTATTAGTGTTATTCAAGTACTTTTTGTAGTTTTTAATACATGTATAGACCGTCGAGTGTGATCCAGAAATGCATTGATCTAGTCCAGTGGTTCTTAACCTGGGGAAATCTTCTCCCCAGGGGACATCTGGCCATGTCTAGAGACTTTGGATTGTCACAATTAGAAGGGGGGGTGCCACTAGCATCTAGTAAATAGTGGCTACAGGTGCAGTTAAACATCTTCCAGTGCATCAGACAGCCCACCCCACAGCCAAGGATGATCTGGCCCAGATGTCGTTCATGCTGCGGTTGAGGCGCCTTGGTACCCTGTAGTGGTCTGTGGCGGGATCCCCTCCTTAGTCCTCTGATAAGATACTGGAGATGTACCTACTGCAAATGGCTTCTCCTCACAGTGGATTGGGTTTCCAGGGTCATGGCTTTTAAAGAGGACACCTGGAGAGAGAAAAGGGAGTTCTCGCTGATTAGGTTTTGTTTGTCCAATAAAGGACATTTGACATTTAGTATCAGCTAGGTGCTCTAACATTCTTTTAGGTAGGGAATAAAACTTAAAATAGCACTTATGTTTTAGACAGTTATGTGATTTCATTTTGAGTGCATCTTAATGGTATTAAGATTGTACTTCCTTTTGTTAAGATATAAATCTAGACATTTTACTTATTTAATACTCTATTTACATGTAGAACAGTGTACTTGGCTTTTTATATGACCTACAGACTGGGTTTGTACAACACTTGGGAGGTTGTAGAAAAATCTTTGCATTTTTTTTTGCAAGTGACTGTATTACAAGAAATTGACATCGGTTTTTCTATTAAATTTTACACTGTGGCCCTTCTTTAAATGTGTGTGAGGTTTATGCAAGGAGTGAAGGTTTAGATTACACCTCTCCATTTTAATTTATTTTAAAAGCTCATACTAAGTAAGTACTAAGTAAATGATCAGTAAAAAAAGGCCACATTCCTTGGCCTGTTTGGGGTTACCTGAGGGGTATGTCTTATAAAAATGTCATTGTTTGGGTTCAGAGAAAAAGTTTCTGAATATGATTTTTGAATCTGTGGGCTACACCAGGAACTCTCTCTTCACATGGTAATAAAAGAAGCCGTGAATTTCCTCACACATCAGTTGCAGCACAGAGAAGTTATGTTATGTCAGTAGTCATTATATTTGCATTATGGATGTGGGTGGGCGATAAGCATTTTGTTTGCTCTCAGTAATCTAATACGGGCTGAGCATCACACACAGGCAGAACTAGCTTATGTCATAAGCATAAGAAAACTGATGGAAAGGAGGTAGAATCCAAATTCCCTTAAACAAAACTGGATCCCTGAAGAACCTTTGTCATTATCTGATTTAGACAAAATGCTGTTAAGTTGACAAAGGGAGAAAGAGTCACAAGAGGACGTTATGCCTGTGGAAAGGTGCTTAGATGTTTGTGCCCCTTATGGAGGGGATTGGCTTATAATTCTTCACCTGGAGACGTGTGTTGGTCATCTCCATGCAGATCCTTCACTCTTGTTATCACCAGAGTGTGGTCCCGGTGAAGTGTGTGCTCGTTTTTTGAGTTCCATTTTAAGTGCCTTTGGAAATGAATGGATAGACAGGCTATCAGGAATTTATTTGCTCAAACCCTGATAAACGTAGTGGCAAAAACATCGGATTTCCTATGGGCTGAAGAATTAGGTATGTAGGCCGGGCACGGTGGCTCATGCCTGTAATCCCAGCACTCTGGGAGGCCGAGGCAGGCGGATCATGAGGTCAGGAGATCGAGACCATCCTGGCTAAGATGGTGAAACCCCGTCTCTACTAAAATACGAAAAATTAGCCGGGCGTGTTGGCGGGCGCCTGTAGTCCCAGCTACTCGGGAGGCTGAGGCAGGAGAATGGCATGAACCCGGGAGGCGGAGCTTGCAGTGAGCCAAGATTGTGCCACTGCACTCCAGCCTGGGCGACAGAGTGAGACTCCATCTCAAAAACAAAGAAAAAAAAAGGTGTTTAAAATGGTATTTTAGAATTTACGTTTTAAGACTAACAAGCAAAATGACTGTTAAGGTTATGTCTCAAATTTTTGTCAAAATCTGGTGGTGTTTTTTAGGATTTGTTTTTGCTTTGTATTGTATTTGATGTTTCTACTTTTAATCTAGATGTTTTCAATGATGCTATTTTATGTCTCTGACCTCATTTTTGTCTGTTTACATTTTTAGCTAATTATGCTTCCCGGTAGTGATTCTCTGTTATGGAGTATGTAACTTTACGTGTATATAGCAGCTTTAAGTCGTTTTTAGTTTGATTTTACTAATGCAGAGATAAAAGGTGTCAGAGGCTTGTAGTTCTGGAAGCTGGTGGAGGTTTGTCTGGGGGAGAGCAGCGGAGAAAAAGGAGGATTGTTACGGAAGAATGGGGATCTGTCTGGATCTGAAGACTGAAACACCAGCTTCCAGAAAAATAGAAATCTGGTAATTAAAAAATGTAAAAGAAAGGTTGCAAATTCTGGTTAAATCCTAAAGAAACTGGGCTTCTGACTTCTTCAGTATTATTACTCCTATAGATAATTGTTTCTTATCTTCATGACTTTAGTTCCGTTGTTCCAACTTATGAGAACGATGTTGCAATTTAATCTTACCTTGTAAACGTATGGTATCACTTGGAATGCAGTCAGTGTTTCTGAATTCCATCCTCTGAATTGTTAATGAAATATTGACCTGGACTGGACCTACAGTCAGATCCCTTAGGGCTCTCAGAGTGCCATGCTGGTGGACAGTGAATTATTCATAATTACTCTGCATTTGGTATTTGAGCCATTGTGAATGTGTATCTTTTGAAATTCCGCAGAATCTCTGCTTCTCTTGTTTTGCTTCCAACAATTATGGATAATCATGTCTTAGCTAAAAGGGCCCCAAGTTATAACATACTGTTTTTCTCTAATATGCTTCTTACAAATAGCCAATCCCTATTAGCTGTGTGGCATTGAAATTCAATGCTATTACTAATTTTCCTTTGACATCAATAGTAACGTTACCTCATAATTTGATAGTCATTATAGCTATGAAGGGAACTAATGCCCAAGATTCTCAAAAATGCAAGATTGATGTGTTTCTTTCTTTTCCCCTCTGTCATAATTTACCTATATAACAGAGTATTTACAGTCATCATTCATTCCTTTCTTTAGGAATCCAAAGTGGTAATTGCCCAGGAATATACAGTGTTCTTGATTGGATTAATAATTATCTTCAGTAATTCAGAATAACACATGAGGGAATGAATGAATGAATAAATAAAAAAAAAATGAATGAATAAATTAAAAAAAATTGTGTTTCAGGGAAGAAAAAATCCCAGGAAAATAAAAACAAAGGAAACAAAATCCAAGACATACAACTGAAGACAAGTGAGCCAGATTTCACCTCTGCAAATATGAGAGATTCTGCAGAAGGTAAGCTTGTGATATTGGCTTGGTCTGAATTGGGTGTGTATGTACCCAGTGAATTTAACTTTGTATCTCTTTATATTGTCCTTCTGAGAATCATTTAGGATCTTTACGAGGTTAAACAGCAAAAAAGCTGCCTAAATTTAATGTGGTAAGCTGAGCCTTCTATATGCTACCTTCCCTTCAAACAATTGTGAAAGACTTTTCTTCTTAAAAATGAACTTGTTCCTTTGTTAAAATAAAATGAGACCAGGTGTGGTGGCTCACACCTGTAATCCCAGCACTTTGGGAGGCTGAGCCAGAAGGATCTCTGGAGGCCAGGAGTTTGAGGCCAGCCCGGGCAACATAGTGAGACCCTGTTTCTACAAAAGAAAATAAGAAAATTCACTAAGATGATGGCATGTGCCTGTAGTTCTAGCTACTTGACAGGCTGAGGTGGGAGGATCACTGGTGCCCAGGAGTTAGAGGCTACATTGAGCTGTGATCCCCCCACTGTACTCCAGCCTGGGTGACAGGGCGAGACTGTCTCTAAAAAAATAAAAATAATGATAATAAAATGAAACATATGATTGCATTTAAAAATAGCATGAAGTTCAAAACCATCAAAAAATAGTGATAGCAAGGACATGAGGAGGCACCTGGGGTGCTCGCTGTTTTCTATTATTCATCTGTGGAATGGTCACATGGGTATATATATTTAGTGAAAATTTTATCTTGCTATATACTCAACTATTTGTACACTTTAATACATGTACGTTTTATACTTCAAATTAAGCATTTACTTACAATGTCAGAGACTTTGATTTTTGTATAACAGAACAAAAAGTATACAGAATGAAGTGTGTTTCTGTTTTTTGTTGGAATTTAAATTCTTATTTTGTCTCTTCGTGTTTGTCCCCTTAAAATTTTCTCCTTTATAGTCCCTCTGGTGATAATATTCTAGGCCTGCCACGACGTAAGAATCCAACCAAGAGGCATGGATTGAAAGTTAATCAGAAAGACAGCTTGCCCTCTGCTCATTGCAGTTGGGCCACCATATTGAGACTATTGATACAGAAGGGAAGGAGGTGTGTCTTAATTTGCCATGGGCAAATTTTTGCAGATTGCAGCTTACTTGAGTTGTTTATAGTGAGCCAAGTAGGCAAATTTCAGAAGACAGGTTTGTGACTCTTTTAAGAAATATTTGTAGAGGAAAATAACCAGAATATTTTGGATGCCTTTCATAACCATTTTTAAGCACTGTTTGTGATGATAACATTCATAAAAGATATAATTTTCTGTGAAACAAGAATAGTCAAGTTCATTTCCCAGAGTCTTAAGACTAAGTTCTGCCTCCTCATTGCAGGTGTGCCGAGAGTTTTTTTTGAACAACAAAAATTACTAAGGAACCTCACTACCTTTGGCGGTAGAATTAGAAAACAGATTCAGCAGTCACCTACTCCCCTTCAGTAATTCGAGACAATTATTTTTCTCCTGACACAACATCAGGTCCCATGAAAAATGACACTTGCTGGCCTGGCGCGGTGGCTCACGCCTGTAATCCCAGCACTTTGGGAGGCCGAGGCGGGTGGATCACAAGGTCAGGAGATCGAGACTATCCTGGCTAACATGGTGAAACCCCGTCTCTACTAAAAATACAAAAAAATTAGCCAGGCGTGGTGGTGGGCGCCTGTAGTCCGGGAGGCTGAGGCAGGAAAATGGTGTGAACCCAGGAGGCGGAGCTTGCAGTGAGCCGAGATCGTGCCACTGCACTCCAGCCTGGGCGACAGAGCGAGACTCCGTCTCAAAAAAAAAAAAAAAAGAAAAATGACACTTGCTCTTCACCCCCCAGTATTTGGCACAGCTGGTCAAAGTGGTGTCGTAGGCTTCCGCTGAATGTTCTGCGTTGTCCTCAGCAAATGGTCTATACCATGAGCAAACAGTTCAGACTCTTCTTTGTGCTCCCAAACCTCCCTTTATGTTCAAAACTCCAGAGACCACATAAAGTGCGTGGATCCACTCTGGCATGGGCCGTGCTTGTTAATGGAGCTGTGCAGACTTCGGTTTATGTTACTTTGGACAGTTTTATATCTGGGATTGTTTACCAGTCATGGGGAAAGACATTTTTTCCCCATCAAAAGAAGCCACAGATTTTGACTGAAAATAAAGTCTGTTAG
Organism: Homo sapiens; assembly: GCF_000001405.40. NCBI lineage: Eukaryota > Metazoa > Chordata > Mammalia > Primates > Hominidae > Homo > Homo sapiens. Next base: position 13,775,339 of record NC_000001.11, read on the forward strand.
GAAATTTCTGAGCCTTAGAGTTGGCGTTTTCTGTTGTCTCATTTCAACTCTTTTGGCAGTATTCGGGGTCTCTATTGAAAATATCTTTGAAAAGAGAGGTAGCTCCTAATTTGAAATATGTTACTACTGTCGAATGACTGGTTTCCCACTTTGTGGAAAGCTCATGGAATTTATGAAATTAGTCTAGGGGGAGAGAAGGCTGTTTCTGTTTGGAAACAGAAACCTCATTGCTAGTAAATGGAGTAGCAGATGGGAAACAGTAATTCCCGATATTCCTGGGAAACAGCAAGGAGGCTAGGACTGAATAAGTGAGCTTGTATGAGTAATACTTGGCATTGACCTCTTCCCCACTGTATCCACGCAGTCCCCATGTCCAGTAGCAGGCCTCTCAGATCGTGAGGGTCTGGCTGCTCTTTTCTGCCTCCACTGCCTCTTCCCCTTTCCTTCTTAGCACAGCAGCCAGCATCTCCATTCTCATTCTGCTCTGCCAGTCTTGCTCCTCGGCCTCCAGTGATGACCTTCCCCCATCCCTTCACCCACCCTGCAGCCGAATCTCCCAGATGGCAGTCTCCTGCTTTCAGATACCTTCAGTGGCTCCCCACTGTCCCCAGATAAGTCCACATTAATTTACAGTGTTCTCTATGTTTTGACTCTTTTCTGCTTGCTTTTCCTCTTCTGTCCTTAATTCTTGTATTCTTCAGGTTCTGTCTGCTTAGTCCTTTCTCTAAGAAGCCTTTCCTGATTAATCAAACCCATATGAGATGCTTCCGTACCACACTCACTTCCATAAACACAGCCATCAATGTTCTACAGTTTCGTTGCCTTCCTGCTTGTGTGTGGCTTGTATTAAAGTGAAGCTCTCTATGGGTAAGGATCGTGACAGTCTTGTTTACCTAGTACTGGCAGATAGTGGGTGCTAAGTCAGTATTTGCAAGTGATTGGGGGAACAGCCAGGTAATGTAGCCTGGAGAAGAAGTCAGAATAGCTCTGCCTCCTCCGTGGAACCTTTCTTAACTCTCCTAGTGCCTGCAGTAGAGGGGTCCGCTTCTGCAGTGCAGCAAGTGGGACTGTCGCGACAGCAGCATTGGGGACCATTCCTACTAGCACGAAACCGCGATTACAGCTTCCGTCTTTAAGAATCCCCTCTTGTCCCTGTGTTTTCTTCCAGTCTCTTCTCCATTTCTTTTTCTTTACAGGTAAACTTGAAAGAGTTGCTAATAGTCTCCCTGTCTCTCCATCTCCTTCCATTCTCTTAGGAACTCTGTTAGACATTTGTCCCCACTACTCCACTTGCTGTCACAATCACAAGACCTCTGCCTTGGCAGATGGAATGTTCCATTCTCAGTCCTCATTTTATCCAACCCATCAGGAGTTCTGGACACAGCTGATCATGCCCTCCTTGAAGCAGTTTCTTTACTTTGCCAAAGGACCACCACTCTCTTGGTTCTCTGGATACCTCACTGGCCTTTCCCCCAGCCTCAGTCGTGGAGTCATCTGGGACACAATCCTCTCATCCCTCTTCTGCCTGCGTTCACTTGCCAGGTGACCTCATCCAGTCCAGTGCTCTAAATACCTTCTCTGGCCTTCTCTAGGACTTTGAAATTTCTAGGCCAGCCTCTTTGTTGAATTCCAGATTCATATAAAGCTGTCTACTTAATATATTTACTTGGATGTCTATAATCAGGTACCTTAAACTTTAGCACGTCTGAAGTAAGCTCTTGATTTCCCCCACAACACGCACATGCACACAGACCACAGTTGCTTCTCTTGTGGTCTTCCAACGTTTTATTAGCCAGGATTATTGCAGTTGCGTGGAATCTCCTCTTCTCTCTCACCACAGCCAGTCAGCAGGCATGTTGTCAACTTCATTGACAAAATATATCCAGAGCACTTGTAGTCCCGCCCTGCTGCCACCCCTGTGCCACCATCCTGCCTCTCCTGGAGGATGCATTGGGCCCCATCTTTCCATCTGCCTCCACCCTTGTCACCTAGGGTTCACTATCTTCCTTGTAGTAACCAGAGTGATTCTCTTGAATACAAGTCAGATTATATATTTCCGTTAGATCTTTCTGGTAGCTCCCTGTTTTCACTCAAGAGTAAAAGCCAGCAGCCTGCAGGGGCTTGTGTAAGTAGGCCCCTGTTTGCATCTCTAGTCTTACCTCCTGCCCTCACTTTGCCCAGCTTCCCCACCTCACCTCACTGATGTCTTTGCTGTTCTTTGAATGCATCTAGTATGTTCTTGACTCAGCGCTTATGCATTTTGAGGGTTCCTCTATCCAGTAGGGCTCCTCCTCCCACCCCCCCCCCCAATATTTGCATGCCTCATTTTCCTTAGGTCTCTCCTCCACTGTCACCTTCTAAGCAAGTCCTTCCCTGACTGCCTTCTACCACCCACCTCAGGTGGGCTAGGCCTAGGGACTCCGAAGTGACTGCAGATTTCTGTTCCCTTCAGTGAGATGCTCCTGAGTTCTTAATAACTTGGCTAGGCTTAGAAGAGATGATCTCCAAAGATTGTCTAGCTTGAAAAACTTGTGATTACATGATTCTGGAAAATGTTCTAGCTTCTGAGAATAACATTTTATTTAAGAGGGAGAGAGGATCATTTACTCCAGACAGACTTCCAAGGATCTAACCTGGTGATATGTCTGGTAAAGAACTGTTTCCAGTTTGGAATCATGAGAAATTAGAATTTACAACTACTCCTAAAATGTAGTAGTGACTACTCCAACACGATTTTAAACACTACAGTTTCTGTCAACAGAGTTGTATCTGTGTGCAACTAAACACAAATCCCCAGCTCCACACGGACATCCTTGTCTGTTGCGCTCGTGTGTGTCCTCACTGCCGGGAATATTGCCTGGTACGTGGCTGGTACCCTAAATACTTGTTGAATGAAGTGGATTCATATCCAATACAACTTTGTCAATTAAGTATATAAAGTAGAAGTAATTTATTGTTCATCATCATCTCCCTTATGTTTTAGGTGGTAAGAGAAATAACTTGAATCATTCAGATTGTTCACCAAGTAGCTGGTTTCCCATGCTTCACTTCCATGCTTCTGCTTCCATGTGCTTTCTAGGTCCTAAAGAAGACGAAGAGAAGCCTTCAGCCTCAGCACTTGAGCAGCCGGCCACCCTCCAGGAGGTGGCCAGTCAGGAGGTGCCTCCAGAACTAGCAACCCCTGCCCCTGCCTGGGAGCCACAGCCAGAACCAGACGAGCGATTAGAAGCGGCAGCTTGTGAGGTGAATGATTTGGGGGAAGAGGAGGAGGAGGAAGAGGAGGAGGATGAAGAAGAAGAAGAAGATGATGATGATGATGAGTTGGAAGACGAGGGGGAAGAAGAAGCCAGCATGCCAAATGAAAATTCTGTGAAAGAGCCAGAAATACGGTGTGATGAGAAGCCAGAAGATTTATTAGAGGAACCAAAAACAACTTCAGAAGAAACTCTTGAAGACTGCTCAGAGGTAACACCTGCCATGCAAATCCCCAGAACTAAAGAAGAGGCCAATGGTGATGTATTTGAAACGTTTATGTTTCCGTGTCAACATTGTGAAAGGAAGTTTACAACCAAACAGGGGCTTGAGCGTCACATGCATATCCATATATCCACCGTCAATCATGCTTTCAAATGCAAGTACTGTGGGAAAGCCTTTGGCACACAGATTAACCGGCGGCGACATGAGCGGCGCCATGAAGCAGGGTTAAAGCGGAAACCCAGCCAAACACTACAGCCGTCAGAGGATCTGGCTGATGGCAAAGCATCTGGAGAAAACGTTGCTTCAAAAGATGATTCGAGTCCTCCCAGTCTTGGGCCAGACTGTCTGATCATGAATTCAGAGAAGGCTTCCCAAGACACAATAAATTCTTCTGTCGTAGAAGAGAATGGGGAAGTTAAAGAACTTCATCCGTGCAAATATTGTAAAAAGGTTTTTGGAACTCATACTAATATGAGACGGCATCAGCGTAGAGTTCACGAACGTCATCTGATTCCCAAAGGTGTACGGCGAAAAGGAGGCCTTGAAGAGCCCCAGCCTCCAGCAGAACAGGCCCAGGCCACCCAGAACGTGTATGTACCAAGCACAGAGCCGGAGGAGGAAGGGGAAGCAGATGATGTGTACATCATGGACATTTCTAGCAATATCTCTGAAAACTTAAATTACTATATTGATGGTAAAATTCAAACTAATAACAACACTAGTAACTGTGATGTGATTGAGATGGAGTCTGCTTCGGCAGATTTGTATGGTATAAATTGTCTGCTCACTCCAGTTACAGTGGAAATTACTCAAAATATAAAGACCACACAGGTCCCTGTAACAGAAGATCTTCCTAAAGAGCCTTTGGGCAGCACAAATAGTGAGGCCAAGAAGCGGAGAACTGCGAGCCCACCTGCACTGCCCAAAATTAAGGCCGAAACAGACTCTGACCCCATGGTCCCCTCTTGCTCTTTAAGTCTTCCTCTTAGCATATCAACAACAGAGGCAGTGTCTTTCCACAAAGAGAAAAGTGTTTATTTGTCATCAAAGCTCAAACAACTTCTTCAAACCCAAGATAAACTAACTCCTGCAGGGATTTCAGCAACTGAAATAGCTAAATTAGGTCCTGTTTGTGTGTCTGCTCCTGCATCAATGTTGCCTGTGACCTCAAGTAGGTTTAAGAGGCGGACCAGCTCTCCTCCCAGTTCTCCACAGCACAGTCCTGCCCTTCGAGACTTTGGAAAGCCAAGTGATGGGAAAGCAGCATGGACCGATGCCGGGCTGACTTCCAAAAAATCCAAATTAGAAAGTCACAGCGACTCACCAGCATGGAGTTTGTCTGGGAGAGATGAGAGAGAAACTGTGAGCCCTCCATGCTTTGATGAATATAAAATGTCTAAAGAGTGGACAGCTAGTTCTGCTTTTAGCAGTGTGTGCAACCAGCAGCCACTGGATTTATCCAGCGGTGTCAAACAGAAGGCTGAGGGTACAGGCAAGACTCCAGTCCAGTGGGAATCTGTCTTAGATCTCAGTGTGCATAAAAAGCATTGTAGTGACTCTGAAGGCAAGGAATTCAAAGAAAGTCATTCAGTGCAGCCTACGTGTAGTGCTGTAAAGAAAAGGAAACCAACCACCTGCATGCTGCAGAAGGTTCTTCTCAATGAATATAATGGCATCGATTTACCTGTAGAAAACCCTGCAGATGGGACCAGGAGCCCAAGTCCTTGTAAATCCCTAGAAGCTCAGCCAGATCCTGACCTCGGTCCGGGCTCTGGTTTCCCTGCCCCTACTGTTGAGTCCACACCTGATGTTTGTCCTTCATCACCTGCCCTGCAGACACCCTCCCTTTCATCCGGTCAGCTGCCTCCTCTCTTGATCCCCACAGATCCCTCTTCCCCTCCACCCTGTCCCCCGGTATTAACTGTTGCCACTCCGCCCCCTCCCCTCCTTCCTACCGTACCTCTTCCAGCCCCCTCTTCCAGTGCATCTCCACACCCATGCCCCTCTCCACTCTCAAATGCCACCGCACAGTCCCCACTTCCAATTCTGTCCCCAACAGTGTCCCCCTCTCCCTCTCCCATTCCTCCCGTGGAGCCCCTGATGTCTGCCGCCTCACCCGGGCCTCCAACACTTTCTTCTTCCTCCTCTTCATCTTCCTCCTCCTCTTCGTTTTCTTCTTCATCTTCCTCCTCTTCTCCTTCTCCACCTCCTCTCTCCGCAATATCATCTGTTGTTTCCTCTGGTGATAATCTGGAGGCTTCTCTCCCCATGATATCTTTCAAACAGGAGGAATTAGAGAATGAAGGTCTGAAACCCAGGGAAGAGCCCCAGTCTGCTGCTGAACAGGATGTTGTTGTTCAGGAAACATTCAACAAAAACTTTGTTTGCAACGTCTGTGAATCACCTTTTCTTTCCATTAAAGATCTAACCAAACATTTATCTATTCATGCTGAAGAATGGCCCTTCAAATGTGAATTTTGTGTGCAGCTTTTTAAGGATAAAACGGACTTGTCAGAACATCGCTTTTTGCTTCATGGAGTTGGGAATATCTTTGTGTGTTCTGTTTGTAAAAAAGAATTTGCTTTTTTGTGCAATTTGCAGCAGCACCAGCGAGATCTCCACCCAGATAAGGTGTGCACACATCACGAGTTTGAAAGCGGGACTCTGAGGCCCCAGAACTTTACAGATCCCAGCAAGGCCCATGTAGAGCATATGCAGAGCTTGCCAGAAGATCCTTTAGAAACTTCTAAAGAAGAAGAGGAGTTAAATGATTCCTCTGAAGAGCTTTACACGACTATAAAAATAATGGCTTCTGGAATAAAGACAAAAGATCCAGATGTTCGATTGGGCCTCAATCAGCATTACCCAAGCTTTAAACCACCTCCATTTCAGTACCATCACCGTAACCCCATGGGGATTGGTGTGACAGCCACAAATTTCACTACACACAATATTCCACAGACTTTCACTACCGCCATTCGCTGCACAAAGTGTGGAAAAGGTGTCGACAATATGCCGGAGTTGCACAAACATATCCTGGCTTGTGCTTCTGCAAGTGACAAGAAGAGGTACACGCCTAAGAAAAACCCAGTACCATTAAAACAAACTGTGCAACCCAAAAATGGCGTGGTGGTTTTAGATAACTCTGGGAAAAATGCCTTCCGACGAATGGGACAGCCCAAAAGGCTTAACTTTAGTGTTGAGCTCAGCAAAATGTCGTCGAATAAGCTCAAATTAAATGCATTGAAGAAAAAAAATCAGCTAGTACAGAAAGCAATTCTTCAGAAAAACAAATCTGCAAAGCAGAAGGCCGACTTGAAAAATGCTTGTGAGTCATCCTCTCACATCTGCCCTTACTGTAATCGAGAGTTCACTTACATTGGAAGCCTGAATAAACACGCCGCCTTCAGCTGTCCCAAAAAACCCCTTTCTCCTCCCAAAAAAAAAGTTTCTCATTCATCTAAGAAAGGTGGACACTCATCACCTGCAAGTAGTGACAAAAACAGTAACAGCAACCACCGCAGACGGACAGCGGATGCGGAGATTAAAATGCAAAGCATGCAGACTCCGTTGGGCAAGACCAGAGCCCGCAGCTCAGGCCCCACCCAAGTCCCACTTCCCTCCTCATCCTTCAGGTCCAAGCAGAACGTCAAGTTTGCAGCTTCGGTGAAATCCAAAAAACCAAGCTCCTCCTCTTTAAGGAACTCCAGCCCGATAAGAATGGCCAAAATAACTCATGTTGAGGGGAAAAAACCTAAAGCTGTGGCCAAGAATCATTCTGCTCAGCTTTCCAGCAAAACATCACGGAGCCTGCACGTGAGGGTACAGAAAAGCAAAGCTGTTTTACAAAGCAAATCCACCTTGGCGAGTAAGAAAAGAACAGACCGGTTCAATATAAAATCTAGAGAGCGGAGTGGGGGGCCAGTCACCCGGAGCCTTCAGCTGGCAGCTGCTGCTGACTTGAGTGAGAACAAGAGAGAGGACGGCAGCGCCAAGCAGGAGCTGAAGGACTTCAGGTAAGCTCAGGAGCTGGTGGGAGGGAAAGACCGGGAAGGCGACAGTATCCTTGCCTACGGGTGTTTTTTGGTTTCTTGTTGCTTTTTTTTTTTTTTTTCCCCACTTAAAGGAAATAGCTGTTGTATAAGTTAAAGGCATGAAGGGTCATTGCTTTGGCTGCTTTTAGAGATGAATAAATAGTTCTAATTTCAGACTTAGGACTCACAAAGCAGTGCCACTTCTTTAATGTGGCCAGATGTAAATTGAATTTAAAACTATAGAAAAGCTCTCAAAAGTACTCTAAGAAAAGATGCAATCCTCTCAAACTTCCTTTATGTCTTGGGTAATAGCTCAGTGTCATGTGTCTTATTTTCCGATCATAGAACATTTCTTAGGTTAAGACGGGTCACTAAGTTCATTAGTAAACCATGTTACAATCTTGTTTAATATTTCTGTGACTTCAGCATAGATCTAGTACCTGACACTTTCTTTCAGAATTGCCAATGCTTAAATTTTAATAATTGATTGCATCGGTCAAAACAAAACATAGTCCTTTAAAAAGGTCTTATGCACTGTCCCCCACCTCCTGAACTCAGCCGTAGGACGGTAAACAAGTCAGGATCTGGATGGGAAGCAGAGCAGGAGAGACATGCTTGGAACTCCAGGCAGGACCCTTGCAGCTCTTTCAGGCCTGTGTGATACCCAGGGCATGTCAGCCTCATTTGTCAGTGCCTTTGTTTCCCCAGTAATGATAGAAGGATTTGTCTTAGATTTGAAGTGACTTTACTGCTTTATTCCCTGTGCTTCCTATATTAAGAACTGTTCTCAGTGACAGATGAAGAGAGGGCAGCGGTTAAATTTGTTACATTGGATTCTCAAACTTCCTGAGTCCTTTGTCCGAAGTGGATGTGTATTGGAATTCCTGCTGTTTCTGAATAGTTCAGTCTCATGTGAAAATTACTCATCAGATAGCATTTCTGCAAAATACTTTTAAGTCTTGTCTTTTCACAGGATGCCACCTGACTCTAGGCTTTCATGCTATAGCTTTTGGTGTCTGAAAATTCTTTGGTGTTTTAAGCAAGCAGAATTAGGGATCCTAAGTGTGGACGCGACTGCCATTTTGTAGAGGTCACGAGGACACAGAGGTGCCATTAGCCCTGCATGATTGATGAGGTAGAATTTTTAATGCTGGTGTGCCTTAAATCACAGCTAAAGATAGAGAAGAATCATTAGCTAAGGCTGATTTGAATGATTTACTGTAGGATTAATGGATCAGATTTTTAAAAAGTTACTTCATAAATGTGTTAAATATTTAGTTGCCATAGGTCTGACCAACGCTCGGTCTCTGGCCGCGGCACATACATAGGTAGCATCTTGGAGGTTAGCTCTGCTGAAAATAAGCACCTGTGTTATCAGCTGTCAAAGCTGCTTGCCTTTAGTAATTGAATTGTGCACCTGTTTGTGCTCAGTCTGTGTTCTGGTGGTGCCACACCAACAGGACATGATCAAATTGAGTCCTTTTCAAGTTGCTTGTGTCTTCAACAAGCAGAGTGTGCCTTCATTTTCACAGATTGTACTATAAAACACCTCCCAGGCGGTTGATGCTTTAGAATGTACTGTCTATCCCTTTTGTCTTCAGTATTATCTAAAAGAAATGCTTGTTTTGTACTTGGCCCTACTTACACAGTTCAAGGTTAAAGTTGATTTGGAAAAATTAAGTTCTGCAAAGAAAAGCTGTCAGAGTGACCATAAATTTATGAGGCCTATTCAAATAGCCTCTACCCAGTGTCTTTTGAGTAACCTTTAAGGCTACAAAGGACTAAAGGGCCTTAAAAATCATGTCTCTTCTTTGCCCCAGTTCATTTTCATTATTTTGCTTTGTTTGATAGTTAACAGAGGGTTACCTTGCTGGAGTGAAATTTTGCCTAAAAGGAAGCACAGAAGAATCAGATAAGAAAACACTGGTATTGTCCTAACCGTAGATGGTAATGACAGGCATTGGTGGCAGCTCTTCCTCCTCTGTGTGAGGTGCTGGAACTGTGCTGCGGACACATCTGTAGGTCAGGAATGTGATCCAGGGGTCCACTTACCAAGTCACCATAAACCTGTGATGTGTTCTTGGGAATTAGAAAACAGATGTTCATCAAGATAGATTTTGACTATCTGGACACAAAAGTGGGCATTTCTTTAAAGTGTTTGTTTTGGTCTTAGTACTTTGTAGTGAGTTTAGCACAAAACTGGGATTCCTAAACTTAGACCTGGGTAATATGATGATTGTCATTAACGTGTTGCCCAGGGCTCGTAGAGAGGAGGCCTCAGCCTCAGTGCATATTTGTTGCATTACACTAATAAGGAGTTGTTTGAACTACAGTCGTCTTTCTGTTTAAGTATAGTTCTACTTGTAAATTTCGTGTAGGGATGATTCCTGACACAAGGAATCATCACATCTATTACATGTCGAGGAATACTCACTTTCACTCTGTTTGCAGCTTGCTTTACTTACCCTGTTGGGTACACAGGGATTTCTTACAGAACAGGCAGCACATCCTTGTCCTGTGTTATTTCTTTACAACAAGCTGTGATTAAGAGCTAGTTTTCCATACTCAGATATTTTACATGTGAATGCCACTTTCGGATTCCACAGTTTTTCAAGTACATGCTTGCAATCAGCCATATGATTTTTCCATGAGTTTTCTACTTAACACTGAGGGTCATTTCCTGGAACACAAGCCATGGTGCCAGACAAGGTGTCAAAAAGCCATGTGCTCCAAATATTTTTCTTAGGAGAAAACACAGGAAAGCAGGCATGCCACAGTCATTCAGGTTCTCCTGCTGCAGCTCTTACTACAGTGACCCACCCCCCACCCCTCGCCATGGCTTTCTGGAGTGCTGAGTTTAAATCTGTTGCTAAGGGTTCATTTCCATGGGCTCCAGTAAAGCAGAAAGGGAAGGAAAGAGGTGTATTCTCTACTCACCTCCTACTCATCTTTCACCTTTGTAAACCCCACGGTGTTTTTGGGTTCTTTTTTTTTTTTTTTTTTTAATGAGACAGAGTCTCGCTCCGTTGCCCAGGCTGGAGTGCAGTGGCACGATCTTGGCTCACTGCAAGCTCTGCCTCCCGGGTTCACGCCATTCTCCTGTCTCAGCCTCCCGAGTAGCTGGGACTACAGGTGCCCGCCACCATGCCCGGCTAATTTTTTGTATTTTTAGTAGAGATGGGGTTTCACCGTGTTAGCCAGGATGGTCTCGATCTCCTGACCTTATGATCCGCCCGTCTCGGCCTCCTGCAGTGCTGGGATTACAGGTGTGAGCCACCGTGCCTGGTGTTTTTGGGTTCTTTAATGCTTCTTTTAGAGCCACATTTTTCTTTTCAAACCGAGTTCCCATCGCAGTCAAGAAAAAGGTAGAGAAGCAAAATGAAATTCTAGACCAAGTTTTTCCATTTACCAGGAATTGATTTAAAAAAAAAAGTGCTAATTTCTCATGCCTCCATCTCTGCTACATCCCTTGGAAATAAATGCGTGTAGTTCCTTGCAGGGTGTGTCTTCTGGGTAGGACGCTCGTTCCTAAATGCCTTCAGTCATGTATGTGTTGTCGTCTTAATAACATTTGTCTTACGGTCTATTCACCTTTTTCTTTAACATGGTCAATCATGTAAGGTTATGTTCTGTTGTCATTTATCTTCAGTTTTCTTATTTTCTAGGAACTTCCTGTAGAAAAGCCCCCAAAACAAAACAAACCTTAATTGACTAAAAAGTATTGCATGCTCAACTTAGGATAAGCACTACGGCAAAGGATACGAAATCTACCAAGCTTGCAAGACCAGTTGAAGCTGACTCAAAAATCCTAACATTCAGCTGATTGCCGGCAGGCTTAGAGTCAGGCATCTGCTGCTTCGGTGGGGGCCCAACGCGCATGCTGGGCGCCCGGGTGATTGAGATCCAAAGAGAAGGGCACTGTAAGACAGGCCAGATGAACTGGCTCCTCGTCATGGGACTGGTACCTCAGATCTGAGCATGGCCCTTGTTTTTGGCACGTAGCAGAGAAAGGATTGATTTGAACTTAACCTTGCAAAGCAAGTTGCCTGTTTTAGCAGTAGTTTGTTGTAGGTTTCAGGGATGACAGATTTGGATGCACTCATTTAAAACGTTTTGGTCACATATCAGCTCTTGATGCCTTTCTTTTAAATTAATTATAGACAGAGAGAGGCATTTAGCTGATCTCTTACCCCTGGTATTTCTTTTTTTTGTTGTTTTCGTTTTTTTAAATCACAAGTAGATTGCCAGCGTAATGGAGAGGAAACCAGATTGGATATGGACTCTTTTTTATGCCTATTCTGGTGTTGCGTTTGTATATCCAAATGGACGTTATCCTCTCAGATTCTTATCTGGCACTAATTTATAACTATTATATTATCAGAGACTATGTAGCAATATATCAGTGCACAGGCGCATCCCAGGCCTGTACAGATGTATGTCTACACGTAAGTATAAATGAATTTGCATACCAGGTTTTACACTTGCATCTCTAATAGAGATTAAAAACAACAAATTGGCCTCTTCCTAAGTATATTAATATCATTTATCCTTACATTTTATGCCTCCCCCTAAATTAATGACTGAGTTGGTGGAAAGCGGCTAGGTTTTATTCATACTGTTTTTTGTTCTCAACTTCAAAAGTAATCTACCTCTGAAAAATTTGTAGTTTAATATTTGTTTGGTGAATTTGTGCCACTTTAATCCTTCCACTATCATTCCCATTTTGTTACATTTCTGTTATGGGGACTTTATGTTGAAATATTGTATAAAGCATTTGTAGCAATTTAAAAATAAAATATTTAAAATTATTTAAATTGTTTTGGACGCTTCAATTGTATTATATGTGATTTACATTTCACTTTTTTTGTTGGCGTTGTTAACCCGGAGAGTGCTCCTGTATTGAACTTTGCTGTTAGTTATTTTATTGCTTCTTTTTGGAGAGTGCTATAAAAGACTATTCTAATGAAAACATTAAAATTTACAATTTGACATACAAAAAGGGGTTGTCCATTGATTTTAACCAATGTAGCACTGAGAGAGAGAGAGGTTAATTATAGATAGACAAGAGTGGTGTTTGTTGTTTTTCCCCTCCCAGCATTGAAATCATTGGGGCTTGTCAGATGTATTAAAAAAAGATTTGTTGTGCTATTGCTGCAAACACTTAATAACTAGAGGAGAATTTAAACAATGCATTTTATATTATTGTAACCAATAAAAAACTTTCTAAACATCTGTGAAAGGACTGCATTTTGTACATAATTGGGAGCAGTTAGGGGGTAAAACAAGGTGTGTGTGGAGGATTGTTCAGAGCCCGCACTCTAATTTAAAAGTGCGGCGTCTACTCAGCCCACCTGGCGTCTGTTCACTTGTTTCTATTTGACAGTAACTGAATATGTGCTCATTCCAGTTGGATTTCTATGTAGAGGGTGGACGTGTAGTCAGACAACGGTGCCGAGAAGTACCTTGTGAACTCACTCGGGTAAGAGTAAAATACAAAATAATTTCATCTGTGGGGTCTCTGTGCTTCCTAAAAGTTTACTGTAGTTTGTGGATTGATGTTTATTTCTATGGGCTTCCAAAGAATGAAACCAAAAAGTTGTGACATACTCAGTTTATGTGAAATTGCTGGGGTTTTTTAAGATTAAAAATGGCTGACTATAAGCGGTTTCCTATAGTTCATCATCATAGCACTTTGCTAACCACATCTGTCTGTCACTCCTCAGGGAAAGGTGGTGAAGGGATAGCCAGCTTCCCTTGGCCAGATGTTCTGGCATACGATATTCCTCCCTTAGAAAAACACGGAGGAGAGAGGTTGGTGGGAATCTGGAACTGGTCTTCGATATTAGTAGTTTTAAACAAATGAGGCTTCAACACACAGCAGTGCCCTGTGAGGAGTTGAGTGTTGTGAGAAAGAGCACGGTCTTGGATGAGAACTGGATTTCCATCCTAACCCATCTGCTGGCCGTTCATCCCTTCCCTGTGCCTTCAGTAAACGGGCCTCCAACAAGCGCCCTCCATGGCTGCGTCTTCTGTGTTTTAGCCTTGGGCAAGTTCCTTTACATTCTGGATCATAGTTCCCAGTCTGCAAAAAGTGGGGAGTAGACTGGCTGGTTTCTGAGTGCGCCCTCTAGGAGGAGATCTTTTCTCCTGGATCAAGATGCTGTCAGACACAAGCACTGGACTGAAAGAGTGGGATGATGGCTCGGTCTCCACAGTGTCCCTGGCTCTGCCTGGAACATGACAGGGACTCAGATGTTTACTGGAGGAGTCACCAAGGAACCACATCACATCCATCTCACCAAGGGAGAAGCTGCCCTGTTTGGGTTGCTTTGGCTCTTCTTTGATAGAGTTAAACGTTTTTAAAAAATCAAAAGCTAATTAGAGCCTTCCATCCCTGTTACCATTGAAACATTTCACAGTGTTTCTGGTAAATGCCTTGCTAGGCTGGCTGTCTTGTCCTCGTTGTTACAAGTACTTTCTAGCAAGATAATTTTACAAAACCAGCTTAATGTATTGAGTACTTAATGTATGCCTGGCTGTGTTGTAGGTGCTTAGGATACATCTCTGAACAAAATGGACAAAAATCCTGACTTCCGTGGGGCTTGTATTTTCATAGTGGCTTTTTTCCCCACTTTATACTTCATATTCCAAACCTCCTCGCTGTCACAGTTCCCCAGAGGCTAGGTGGACAAGGAGATGCTTCTAGCTTAATATCTGAATGCCAGTAATCTAGATGACTGCCGGCTTTTAATACTTAGCTTAAAATGACTCTACTAAAATTATAGCTCACTTAATGCATTTGATATTTTATTCATGTGGGTTTTGATTTGATATTGAACCTCGCTTTGAATATATTGACTTGAATCCATAAAAAAAATCATAAAGGGCAATTTACCTTGAAAGTGGATTAGAGCACAGGCGGATGAGAAAAGGGTTGACTAGGATATAAAGGCCACATTTAAAGTGTTTCAAAGACCAGGCTGATAGTTACAGAAAATGGTTTATCGTTCCCCGTCAGCCTTTACAGGCCCAGCTCTCATGGCCTCTTTCCTGCCTGATGGCACCACTCCTGCAGCTGCCGCTTCAGGCAGCCTCAGTGAAGGTTCTGGTGAAGCACTGCTGTTGAGCGTATGTTCGAGGGCCTTGCAGGTGTGGATGGGCCATTCTGCTAGACTTAACAAAACGGGGAGCCACAAGCCCTGCCCTTCAACACCGTGGGTTCCACACTTCACCTGGGGAGCTTGTCAAAACCACTAGTTCCAAGGCCCTACAATGAGTCCATTTAGGGCTGGGACCTGCCTGGGTAATATGTACTTTAAAGACCCCAGGTAAATTCAGGGCACAGGAGAATTTCTGAATTTAATATGGGAAGAATAACAGATGAGTGTAGCTCTCAATTGCTAGAGGATTGTGTGTGCTTTAGGCCTCGCAGTGCTGCATGGCATCCTTATAATTATCCTGCAAAGTGGGCACTATTGTTTTCCCGTTCTTTCTAAGGCTGGCGGGGCCGTGCATCTGGCGTTGGGGCATCAGGGTTATTCTGAAGCCAATCCTGAGCCGTGTCCACTTGGTGGAAAGAGGAGGTGGTGGGCCTTGAGGGTGAAGGAACCACGGGCCTAATGTGTAGTTTCTCTCTGGCTTATGTTGATTCCAAGGCCCAAGCCCCCTTGGGCCTTGCCCTTCTGGTGGCTTGACCTTTCCTGAAGGGTTTGCCTCACAAGCAGAACCTTGAATACACAGTATTATGGGATAAGAAAAATAAAGGTCCAGATTGGTGGGAATGATGACGTGACCGTTAAGATTTTAGACAGAACATCTAATGTCAAAATAGAAGTTGAATACGGTTTGAGGTTTGAGTGGGTGGCATGTAGGGAAAAAAGTGCGAAACTGCTCCTTGGTGCCATGGATCTCTGTGCTGCAGTCCCAGGCCCCTAGGCCCGATCCTTGCTGCCACCTACACAGGGTCATGTCACTTCCTCCCTCCCCCCCTTCTGCCCTTGTGCCGCTTCCTCTGAGTGGTGGTGGAAATGATCTGAGAAGCTTTAGGGTGGATTCAGTCTGGCTTTCCAATGCCTGCTGTTTGCTGGGTACTCTGCTGAGCATCTACAAGTCTTGGCAATGACAGCCTGAGGTTGGTGTCATTTACCGATGGAGAAACAGATTTGGGGAAAGTGATTTTGTTCCAAGGGCACACAACTCTAAGGTGGCAAGTTGGGATTTGAACTCCAAGCTACACTGTGCAGTCCATCGTTTTTATAGGTAGGGTTTTTTTTTTTTAAGGGATTTTATTTCTTCTAAATATAGAAAACAGGACGCAGTACCTTCTCCATAAAAGCTTTTCCAAGCATTAGTGAACAAGTGGAACAGTCATTTGTGGGTAAGGAAATCTTCCTGGTGCAGCGAGCCTTTATTAGTCAGGAGTTGCTCCTGGACCCATTTGCTTTTAGTTTCCCTCTCACTGTGGAATAAACTTCTACCCCCATCACAGACCAATTAGTTCAGGTCAATCAAGCTGGCTTTTATAGAGCCATGTGGTTCATCAACGGCAACGTGACTGTTTAACAGAAGCCAAGCTCATTATAGTAATACCCTTTGATTTTGGAGATGATTCTAAAGGCCCTGGGATCCTCAAGCATCTCCTCAGATACCGGCGGAGAACCTTGAGCTGCTGGGCATTAACCCAAAAAGAAAGTTGGTCTAGGCTGCCTCCCGACTTCAGCAAATAGTGTGTTTGTTACATGCAAAACAAACAGGTATTTACGTTCTGCCGATACCTTATTTTTAAAGTATAGGATTAGAACCTGGAGGGGGTGTGTAGGTTTCATTTAGTTTTCTAGATTAAGAATTGAGGAAACCATCATCACTCTACATTAAATTACTTGCAGTTGCAAAAATTGCATTTAATTGTGAGTCATTAAAAGGTACCCAGAAATACTTTTATTAAAATAAACTTGTCGACCTGTTGCGGGTAATAGGATTTGCACATGCCTGCATTTCTGCCTTCCTTATGTCAGCTGGATTTCTTTTCAACTCTTTTTTAAAATAGAAATTCAGGTGGACATTCTGGAGACCATAAACATTTTACGGAAGACTGGTGCCTAAATGTGCCTTCCCATGTCCAGCTAATAAACCATGGCAGGAAGTCAACAGAACAAGCCATGTTTCTGAACACCCTTTCATAGGTGCCACCTGAGTTACTCAGTGAGGGGAGAAAGAACTGGAGTGTCATTTCAGCAACCACAGAAAGCTACAGGTGAATTTTAAAGCCCAGGTTTGTGTTCTGATTCAGAACATATTTAAGCTAAGAATATTTCCTTATTCATGTTTAAACAGGAGCCTATGATACAATCTGGAATCCTACATCTACTGAGTCTTAGCATTAAATCTAAATGTACATTTAAAATAGGACTCACTTTAAAAAACCTGGAATTTGTGGCACAGGTAAGTTAACAAAAGGGCATTTAGGCCTTAGGAGACAGTTATGGGTATTTTAATTTTTTAACTTAAAAACAATTTCAGTGTACAGCAGTTGAATTTGTCGTAGCATTTAATCATTGGCCCAAAATATACTTTAATTTTTTTTATTGGAATGAAGTTATTTAAAACTCATGGATTCAATTTTCCTTGCGGTAACATTCTCTTCTCACTTGCTTTTTATAATCGCATCCAATCCTTGCCAACCCAGCTAGAGTTTAGAACATTTTCAGATGGCTTCTATTTCCAGGCTATTATTGGACTTGTGAATTCAGGCACATTCTCCTGTTGTGATTCAGTCAGCCAGCCATTCAGAAAACATCTTTCAACAGCCAATCTGAATCATCAAAGTGTCAGGCTGTAGATCTGAAGGACTTTGTCCTGGGACTCTTAGAGGACCCTCGGGGTGTAGCTAACCACCATGGAGGGAGTTGAGGATGCGCCTGGAGTGTCACTGGCCTTTCCAGCGCGTGGGGCACCTTTCTGAGTGCTTTACATTTTGAGCTCTCCCACATCTGACGGAGATGGTATTCTCATTTACAGATAGATTAACCGAGTCGGAGAGAGGCAACATCACTTGAATTATGTCCCATGGCTACAAGTGGAGACCCCAAACCCAGCCATCTGGTTCCAGAGCCAAGCTCAACTACAATTTGAAACCACCTAATCACTGTGCCCTTGGGTTTTAGAGAGACTTGCATGTACATAACTGTTGTGTCCCCCAAATGAGATGCTGATGGCCAGAGAGCAGTTTTACTGCAGAGAGTGTGTGTAGGATCATGGGAAGAACATGGGCATTGAATGCCTTCCCATCTAGGTGTTCCTTACCTGGGTGCTGTTAGTTACTGAGTGGCAGGGCATGCTGCCCACAGAGTGACCAGCTTCCTGGCCTGTAGGGGAGCTCTGTGCCCCCCACCTGCCACATGCCGTGCGCGTTACAGAAGGCAGCATGTGTTCCCAGTGAGGATCCAATGGCTGATGGCTGTGGTGGCGCTGGTGATGACAGTGGACGCTTAATCCGCGTCAGGTGCTCAAGTCCTCACAAAAACAGACCTAGGGAGGCACCGCTAAGGAAATTGCCAGGTCTTAGTAGCCGGCCCCGGGTGGAAAGGGGCAGCATGTGGGGAACTTGGATGATGGTGATCACTAAAGAACTTGGGGACGAGGCTGTTGCAGAAACGACTCACTTTTCAAAAGCCCTGAAAGAGAAAAAAGCCCTTTGTGGGAACTGAGAAACATAAGTTTCTATTAATTTCATGAGTGGGTGGTTCTATCCTTTGGTGAGGCTAGAGCTTTGTCAGAATTTTTAAAACACTCCTAAAGGCTTCTAGAATGATGTATTCTTTTCTATCTAGGTAAGTGCGGAGCAATTGAGTCCCGGCTCATGGAGAGCATAGAGCAGGGATGTCCAATCTTTTGGCTTCCCTGGCCCACGTTGGAAGAACTGTCTTAGGTCACACATAAAATATAGTAACATGAAAGCTGATGAGCTAAAACAAAAGAAAGATATCGCAAAAAAAAAAGTTAGTGTTTTAAGAAAGTCTATGAATTTGTGTTGGGCTGCATGCAGCTTGTGGGCTGCAGGTCGGACAAGCTTGGTACCTGGGGAGCTCCAGACATTGATTCTCCTGGGATCCCTGGAGCCTTTCTCAGTCTGAGACCAGGGCCCCTCATGGGAGCAATGCAAGTTGAGACAGAGCTTCAGTTCAGCCTGGTCTGCCATGATTACATAGAAATGGAAATTCCAAGTTCAGAATTTCCTGAAGGCCACTTGCATTCCACAGAAGAGATGGTGAGGTGCAGGCCAGCACTAGCCGGGGTTGAGGTTCTACTGTTTTCATGACAGGCAGCGGAATGTAGGTACGGGCATTGGCTCTGGACCTGGAAGGCTGATCAGCTGGCACCTCCTCCAAGAAGCCTTTCCTGACCATCGATCTGTCACACTGCCTGGTCCCTCATCCCTCTACTTGCTGTGCTTTACTGTTCAAGACCCTTAAGCCTTCTGTACATTCTGTTATGGACTCATTATGTTTGTTTACTCTATGTCTCCCCCTTCTTAGATGAGAGTTCTACCCAGGCAGGAACTTTGATTTCTTCACTGCTGCGTTCCCAGCATCTATTAATAGAATGGAGCCTGGCATGTAGTAGCTGCTCAATAAATATTTGTTGAATAAAATATTTGAATTCTGGCTTTATCATGTGTAGTTCTGTAAGCGTAATCTATGCAAGTTACTCAACCTCTCCGAGCCCGTTTTCCTTTCTGTGGAAGGGCAGTAATCAATCTGACCACAAAGAATTGCCACGAAGACAACTTTAGAGCAGCCTGGAAGGACCACAGATGCTGTTCACCCCAGTGAGTGCTGTCAACGTCAGCTGCTGTCAGCATCACTATTATGACTGACTGATGTCCTCTCTAATCTCAGTTTGAATCTGATGAAAAGTTGAGCCTGGCATGCCATGTATAAGATTTCATGACAGCGTGAGTTGTAGTAGCCAGAACATTCCCTCATTATCTCCTGCCTCTGCCCAGAGAGAAAGCTCTCAAGTGGCCTGTAACTCCTGGTTTGGCTACCAGTGGCACCAAGGACCTTTGCTGTGTCTTTGCCAGGCCAGAGCTGTTCCTCTGTGGACCAGAGCTGCTTCCTTCTTATAGCAGATGCTCCCACCCATCAGAACTAAAGAGAAGTGAGCTGTAAGACAAGAAATCATTTTCCAATTCAAAGTGAGAAAAAAGATGATTCATTCTTATTCTATCACCCCCTCCCTGTAACTTTCTATTTCTTTTGGTTTTGAATTTCAATGTCAATTTTTAAAAGGTAAGTTAAGAAGAAAGCATTTCATTAGCTCTGTCAAACCATGAAAACCAAATAACCTCGCTTTGCTGAAACAATAATAATGTAAGGATGATCACCGATAATGCTTGCTGGCCACGATGTAAATAAAGGGCTTTCCATGTATTACCTCATTTAATCTTCAAAAGAGCCCTATGAATAATTTCATGTTCTCCCATTTTACAAATGGGGAAACCGAGGCACAGGGAAGTCAAGCAATTTGCCTGAAGTCACAGATGGTAGGAGGTGGAGCCAGGAGTCAAGTCCAGGCAGTCTGTCTCATCTCTTAATCATGAGTTTGTGCTACCTCTCGTCTGTGGATCTAGGCGTGAGGAGGTAGAAGGGAGCCCCTGGTCACGCCCCTGTGCCGCCTTCTAGTGGCATGGCCTTTAAGCAGCAAAGAATGTGACTTGTAAGCACCTTGTCTGCTGGACAAGAAGCACCAGCAGATTTGAAGGAGCTGAAAACTGTGTTGCGGGTGAATGGATGTCTTTGTTCTTCCTGGGATGAACCCATTTTGTATCTTCTTGGGAAACCAGCATGTCTGAGGTTTCGGCCAGGCCTCGTTTTTACCAAGGTTGGAGCCTCATCCCTCCAGCTTTGTTAGAGAAGGAGCAGATCTAGATACTGAACAGCCCAGAGGATGGATGAACCTACTCTCTAGGGTCAACTTCTCCCCCTTCTATTTTCACAGAAGTCTTTCCAAGCCAGGGTTGACCAGCAGGTTTCCATTTGTGTAGGGGGAGCAGTTGCCCAGGGTGCTGCATAGAACTGGATTCTGAAGCTGGGTTCACACTCAGGGAAAGAGGGCTGGCTAAGTGACCCATGTCTGCCTTGTATGCAGGAAGGCGAGTGGTTCTGGAGTGCCAGGTATTTGCTGCCTGTGATGTCATTGTGTCTGCTACTTTTCTGCTTTTTAAAACTACACTGGACTCAATTTCACCCTTCTTTGAGGGTTCAAGGTAACCATCAATTAATACTTTGTTGTAGAAAAGATGATTCTGGCATATAGGAGATCCTGACCCCACACTAGAGGATCCAGAAGCTTGAGATGTGACTTTTGAGAAGAGCGTACTCCTCAAGATCTCCTTTTCCATCTGTCACTCATGGATATTGTCTGTACTTCCTGGCATCCTTCAGATATGCTTCTGTTAATTGTGGGCTGGGAAGCTAGATTGTGGTCCTGTTAATATCATATGTAAACAAAGAGATGGTTGGCCCTGAGAGATCTCCCAAGGACCTCCCTTGTAAGCAAAGTGCATTAATTCCAGAACATGGATTTGTGGACATGGTTTGCTCACTCATTAACAGTAGGTCTTGACCAGATGCGGTGGCTCACACCTGTAATCCCAGCACTTTGGGAGGCTGAGGCGGGAGGATCATTTGAACTCAGGAGTTCAAGACCAGCCTGGGCAACATAGTGAGACCCCATCTCTACAAGAAATAAAAAAGCCAGGTACAGTGGCACACACCTGTAGTCCCAGCTACTCAGGAGGCTGAGGTGGGAGGATTGTTTAAGCCCAGGAAGCCAAGGCCGCAGTGAGCTATGATTGCACCACTGTGTTCCTGCCTGGCCAGCAGAGTGAGACCCTGTCTCCAAGAAAGCCAAAAACCAAAACACAATAGACTTTGGCTCTTGGTTCTGTGCTGGTAAGTGATGTTGCTGGGACAAGTGACCTAGATAGGAGAGTATTAAGTATAACACACCGTATAATGGACTGCTTTTTTTCTTTTAAGCTCCCAAAACACGAGTTAAAGAAATGATTTGTGGAGGGAACGAAACAAAAGTTTGGGTAAAAGTGCAATCAATTCCTTTCTCAGCAAATATTTGTTGCCAGGTGAAGTTCCTTAGTTCTGAAACAAGAGTTTCCTTCTCTTTACCATCCTATGTCCTTTAATTTATGTTTAGAATAAATAATCTATTTGGTGCCAAGTGGTTTAATCTTGATAGTTTTAGAGAGCTGGTCCTTACAAACCCATGGAAGTACTGGTAGTTCACTACCTTTAGCAGAGATTGATGACCTGCCCATGAAATGGATTTCTCTTATGGATTCAGGATGTTACTCTGGAATTGTTTTGGAATTTCTCTAATGGCCAATGTTTATGTTTACAGGTGTGAGTTTTATACTCTTACTGTCTTCATTC
Source organism: Homo sapiens (assembly GCF_000001405.40). Taxonomy (NCBI): domain Eukaryota; kingdom Metazoa; phylum Chordata; class Mammalia; order Primates; family Hominidae; genus Homo; species Homo sapiens. The sequence goes on from NC_000001.11 coordinate 13,797,300, forward strand.
TTATGTTAGGCTCCTGTGATTTAATTTTACGAGTGAGTTTAGTGAAAACAAATCTGTGTTAACTTTACCTTCACGTAGGAGCCAACTGTTTGATAGGCCTCAATGAACTGGTGTCAGATATTGTAGTTGAAATATATGCCGTGCCAGATTATTTCAACATTGTAATTAATGATAGGTTTATATCCTTTGAAAGCATTTTTAAAAATTACAGACACAGCTCGTGAGTGCCAGCTAACAGCAGGTGTTTTATTAAAGTGTTGTTCCGAGTTGTGTGTGGCACATGGCGAGGTAAGAGCATTTTGCGGTTTGGTTTGCGTTGTTAATTACAGCTTTAAATGCCATTTCCTGTCTGTGTTCCTGGGTGTGTGATGGGGCCCTAGTTTGGATCATCTCCCCAGGATGTTTGCTCAGTGGACCACCTACATTAAAAAATCACCTGGGTGATTAAAAGTTTCAGACCTACTAAACCATAATCTCTGGGGTGGGACTTTGAAATCTTCATTTTTATCAGCTTGTCACATGAGTCTTACCCAGACTTCAGAGGGCTTTTAAAGTATTATTACTTTTTTTAATGACATGGTATCACTCATCTCATCACTTAATTTCTTCTGATTTTGATTTTAAATTCTTTTCCTTTGCTTGTTTACCATCTCTTTGATATACTTACAGCAACATTTCAACTCTCAGAACACTTTCAATTATGTTTTTCCTTAATTCTTATAACAACCCGGTGATAGATGAGTCAGGGGCAGCTCAGGAGCTGGGGACATTTCTGAGTGTCGTAGGTAAGAGGGAATTGGGGGTTCGCCAACACAGCGCCCTGCATGTGTGTGTTCACCTGCACCCACCGTAGGCCTGAGCATGTGGTAGGAACTCAGTATTTGTGGAAGAAAAAGAAAAAGAAATCCTCAAGGATAATAGAGCCAAAGCTACCGCTCCGCCTCAGTGACCTACTTATGTGACCCTAACTCATGACCCTCTTGGTTTAAAATGTGAATGTTGGGGCAATTAACTGCTGGTGATTGAACAAAGAATGTCCGTTCATAGGTAAATGATCCATTAAAATCAAGCCGAAAGAAAAGGCTGGTGATAGCTAATTAAAATTAGTGTTACTGCCTCTGGGGATAGTCCTTAAGGTTAAGAATGCATAATGAAAGCCAATCAGTAACCCATAGAGACCAGTATAAAACTGCTAGCAACCCACTACAGCACAGTGTATTAATTCAAAGGTACTGGTGGAATTATAGTCTCCCCTCCCAGTCTACACTGGTACACACACCAAAGATTCGAGTCCTTACAGGCTGTCTTTGACTATAACTGAACATCATGGGGGTAGAACTATTCAACTATTCCTTCAGATTTCTAGGTTCTTTTTCCCCTATTTTTGGACCTGAAAATAGGGTCACCCTTTCTGTAGTACCAAGCTTGAATTTCATCTCCTGACACCTGACATCTCTTAAGGGGTGGGAATGGGGGGATCGATCCTTCCCTAGTAGAGCCTCCCAAAATACATAGCAATGGATGACTTTCCTTGCACATTTTCTGACTTTTGCTCAAAATAATGAATCATCTTCTTAGGGTTTAAACACTGATGGGTTTCATGGTGCCATGTGCATTTGAATGGGCTGTGTTAACAAAGCTGTTCCAAAAACCGGATCTGCAACACAGTATCGCTTGCCTTGGAGATTTCTCCTTCACCGTGGTGAGTCAGAGCTGCTGGGTAATGTGACTTAGTCAGCTGGATCAAAGGGTAACAAACACAAGCACTCCAGGCAAACACAGAGGTCTCCGCCACTTACTTCGTCACTAAGTCCGGCATGTTCACCATTGCCTAAGGAAGAACAGAGAATTAAGAATTGTGAGGCCGGGCGCGGTGGCTCACGCCTGTAATCCTAGCACTTTGGGAGGCCAAGGCAGGTGGATCACCTGAGGTCAGGAGTTCGAGACCAGCCTGGCCAACATGGTGAAACTCCTTCTCTACTAAAAATACCAAAAATTAGCTGGGCATAGTGACGGGCGTCTGTAATCCCAGCTACTCAGGAGACTGAGACAGGAGAATCGCTTGAACCCGGGAGGCGGAGGCTGCCATGAGCTGAGATCGCGCCATTGCACTCCAGCCTGGGCAACAAGAGCGAAACTCCATCTCAAAAAAAAAAAAAAAGTGAGAACATTTTGCAAAGCACAAGGCCTTGGAAAGTGGAATAGGACCAGAAATCCTTCTGAACTTTTTTGCTGGAACGCCAACTGTGGATAAAACATACAGTTGAAACCCAGCTGACTTTAGTTTGAGCGACCCACCAATATTAATGCATGTTCTTCATTGCCTCTGGAAATCCTGACCACTGCTCATAGGGAGAGTCCGTGTGCTTCCATTCCCAGCAGCCAAGTTAAATGCATGCCAAAGGTCAGTTGCATTTGTTCCCAAACCTGTTTATGCCGCTTGTATTTATTATCACACTTGCACAATCTAATTAAATATTATACAAGCCAATGACTAGCATAGAGCTATTTATGAAAAACAAGTTGAATACTTAGAAAGGCACATAGTAATTCGCTTAAAAATTGCAGTCCAACAAGGTGTGGGTGAGAAAATTAAAAATGTGCCGGGACCAGGGCAGAGATGGTAAAGGCATAGGAGGATTTTGTACTCAGATTCCCCTTATAAGTGTCTTAGTTTCTCTCTGCACTTTTAACAAAAACTGGAAGTTAACAGATGATGTAATGTGGGTGTGATTTAGTCCAGAAAGGCAGTGCAGATCTTGGCCATTCATTCATTCATTCATTCATTCATAAATGCGGGGCCTACGCCTGCTGTTACATGCCTGGCACTGTTTTAGGTGCCAGGGGATATAGCAGGGAACAAAACTGTCACAATGTCCTACTCCACGGAATTTATGTTCTAGTTGGTGGAGACAGGAAAGTAAGTAAATAGATGGCATGTCAGATGATAAATGCTAGGGAGAGAAATAAAACACAGATGCGGGAATAGAGACTTCTGGAGTGGAAATGGGGAGTGCCTTGATTACATGAAAGAAGATGGGGCCTGGCACCCATGGGAGGAGTGGGGCTCAGGAGGGGGCATCCCGCCTTACAAAGAAGAAGACAGCTGGGAAGGGAGGCAGGGCGCAAACTGTGGAAGTCTTGTTCCACCATCATTGTGTGCCATAGGGAGCGAAATCATTGGAGGTGGGTGAGGATGGGGAGATGTGGAGGAAGAGGGGAGACGGTGAGCAGCAGCCATGTGGGTAATCAAGGGAACGGCACCAGGGAACAGAGAAGGGCTGCCAGGAGGCATATGCGCTGGGAGCCCACCGGAGTTTTGGGGTCATGAATTTAAAATGCGGTCAGGCAGCATGTTTGTGTGTTTTTCTCCATCAAAAAGGTTGATGAACACACACACATCCCTCTATTTCTAATTAAGAAATGCTTAAATGTACCCATACTGACTCCCTGCTTTGAGTGACCAGCTGCTGGGCCGGCTCTCACTGAAGGAGGGTTGGGGGGGGTCTCCTCTCATAAGAGCCTCTCTGGATTGAACTCCATTGAGCTCCTGCTCTGTTCCAGGCACCATGCAGGCAGAGTTGGGAATGCTTCCCCAGCTATACGAAGTTGGCGTTAGGCCCGTTTCATAAAGGAAACTGTACTGAGGGGGCAGGTGACCCGCTCAGGCTGCTGGTGGTGGAGTTAGGACTGTCAGACTCTAAACCTCATGCTCTCTGCCTCTCCAGGAGCACCAGGTCAAACCAGATGGGTCAAAAGCCTCCACGTACCTAGTGTTCCAGTAGTGCCCCCTGGGGCTGGAGAGGAGGCCGTGGTGGGGAGGGCACTGCAGGCAGGGGCATCGACGTGAGCGAGGACTGAAGTGACATCCTATGGAGGGGGCAAGGGGAGGGTTCAGGCCAGGGCCCTTCTGTGCAGGAGGCCACTCTCCTGGAACTAAGTAGGGATAGGCTTTGACAAAGCCATCCCTTGCAGAATTCCCCTTGTGCGTTCACAGCGTATGTTTGCTTGGCTCAGCACTGTAACCCACAGTAACTGGCAGAGTGAGCGGTCAGTGGCTATCAGATAACTAAGGGAAATATGTTTGGGGTAGATGACAACCTGTCTCCTCTTCTTAGGAATTTACACTGCCTGTCAGCACATGAAAGGCTCAGAAATTGTGCAGAGACACGCCCGTTTGGTTTCACAAGCCTGTGCACTGGAGGTAAATGGCTCGGGCTTCCATCCCAGTTCTGCCGCCTGCCAGCTGTGTGTTCTTGGGCAAGTTGCCTAACTTCTCTGTGCCTTAGTTCCTCATCTGTAAAATGCACTAGTGCCCGTCTCCTAAAGTTCTTGGGAAGATTAAATTCATTATTCCATAACAAACACTTAGCACAGTGCTTGGAACACAGTAAGCAGGAAATGTTAGCTGCAATTATGCAAATGATTATGAGGACAAATACAGCGTCTGCGGGAACCAGTTCCACTGAACCTGGTTTCGGGAAATGCTGGTAACATGGAAGAAACACTGGGAGAGTTTTCATTCCACATGCGCCACCTGGCCGTCATTCTGTGGTCTCCCCAAATAGTGCCTGGCTGGGCTGGGTGTCTGTTTGAGCAGTTCTCAAACTAAATGGAGTGCAGGATCCTGGGAAGGTCTGAGCAGCCCAGGGTGGGGCCAGACAGCCAGGATCAGAGTCATCTGACACCTGCAGGCCTCCGTAGGCTCCTCGTGTGTAAGGTAGATTGAGCTGTCCCGTCCTGGCCACCTTACAGCCTGTTTGAGGACTTTGGGGATCACGAGCAGAAAGGTAGAAGGCACAAGAGCAGACTTTACTATTCAACCCCGGACCCTGGGCACATTCTGAGGATGAGACCTCCAGCTCCACAGGCCATGGTGCCCTTGGCCTTTGGGCAGCGTCATCCCCGTGTTGAACAACACCCGTTCAGGCACCAAGTGAGCGTGCCTTTCCCATGACAGTGCCAGCCCTGCATCTGGGACGCCCTGTCAGCCAGGCACACCCAGGCCTCCCAAGACAAGCTGGTTTTGACCTCTTGGGTAGCAAAGAACCCCAAGCTCCCACAGGCTTCTTGAGCATCGAGGCAGGAGCAGAGGGCGCCACAGGGAGCAGCTGCCTCTCATTGTTAGCATCCCTGGACCGGTTCCGGGTCGTCCAGTGTGGGCATCAGGCATCATGTTCTAGAAATTCTGGGTCCAGGGCAGATGCCACATGAGGCTTCTGAGACTCTCAGTCCCAGCAACTCCAAACCACACACGGGGTGAGCTCTTCTTTTCTTGGTCCTTGGGGTTTATGTAATCCCTTTGACTTCTTTGACCTAGATCATCTTTAAAAGATGGAACAGTGGCAATAATGAAGCTTTAGTGTCCTTACAGAATCTTACCATCTAAAAAGGGCTCTTCTGCTGGATCTCATAAGGGACCATCATCTCTTGCTTCCCAAGTTGGGAATCTGCTTTTTATATGTTCATCAGTCTTCACACACTTTGTGTTCGTGTTTTCTTTTTGGCTTCCCTCCTACTCTTAGAAGTTGCCTTTTGAAGAAAGCAATATGTTTCAGCTCCACAGGAGAGGAAAGAAGGGACAGGATTTGGGGCAGCCTAGAACCAGGTGGCTGCAGGGGAGCGTGTGATGGGAGGTGTGAAGGCAGAGGAGGGAGGAAGCTGTGAAGCTGGAGGAACCGCTCCTCCACCCTGCTGGGCTTCTCTCACCCGGGCTGGTCGTGTCACGGGCAGTGACGGTGTTTCCAGCCGAGGTGACATTCTCCAGACTTGAACCCCTGTGCTGAATGGAGTGGGGAAGGTGGGCTGGGGAGGCCTGAGGGCTGTAGGGTTAGGTTCACAGAACTGTCGTAAAAATGGGGACCTTGTCCCCTGGTTTGGGCGGGACCTTGGCAATGAGAGAAACCGTATAGGAAGCCACGCTGGGAGGATTTGGTTCTTGAGCAGCATGGACAGGCACATTTCAGGGTTGAACCGCACCAGGAGCCTGGCTTTGCCATCCATTTGTTCAGGAAACGTTCTCTGAGCACCAGCCTTTGCTAGGCCCCGTGGCAGGTTCGATGGGTGAGAAGTGAATAGACTCCAACCGTGCTCTCCTGGTGCTCCCAGTCCAGTGGGGGAGCCAGGTGGGTAGAGCCAGTTACAGAGATCTGAGTGCCCTCAGCGAGTCCTCGGGGGCTTCAACTACCCTTCTTCCCATCATCAATGTCCCCAAATAAGCAGTGAGCCTAGTCCTGTCTCCTCACTGCTCCCAAGAACAACCTGGAGTATGACTGTGAGCGAGTGCCTTGCTCGCTCTCCTCGGTTTCCTCGTCTGTAAGGGAAGGGCTGATCCCTGTGGCCTCTGGGGTCCCCTGCACTTCTCGGGTCTTGGCAGCAAAAGAGGCAGCCACAGCCGGGGGCTTTCCCCGCGGGCAGGTTCTCCGGGCCGAGGTCACTGCAGGCCAGGCCGGGCCAGCCTCCCTATCAACTGGGTCATGTGTTACGAGCTTCTCACATGCTGGGTATTTAGAGTTCAACCCAAACAGGTTTGGGGAATTCATGGCCTCTGAGGACCTCAGAACCTGGCTTAGAAGCTCCACAAAGCAGGGGCGTGATTGATCTTTTGGGAGCGTGGAGGCCACATTGGGGGCTCAGCAGTGGGCCCATGGCCTCCCTCAGGGCTGATGAGATGGAAGAAAAATGTGTCTGCTGAGGCCGACTTCAGCCCTGAAATCAGATCTGGGTGTGAATCTTCCCTCCCTTTGTCCTTCTATTCACACCTCTTAAGTACACGAGTTACTTAACCTCTCTGTGTTGCTGTCCCCTCTGCCATAAAAAGGGTATAACAGCCCATCTGCTGGGACTAAAGGGAGGATGACATGAAGACAGCGCATGGGCCAGTGTGTACTAATTCCTCATGGTCAACTGTGTTGTCCCCACTGTCCCCACCGGCTGTACTCAAGGGCTCTGTCTCACCTGAAGGCACCGCAGCGACTCCTTGGGCTGGTGGTGTCAAACCTTTACCCCTGCCCCCCAAGGCCTACGTTCATTCTCTCCCCTTCGGCCCCCTCATTTGGAGACTGTCTACAGAACTTCATCAAGCAGCAGCTCCTCTCCAGGCTTCAGAACGGGCCCCTGCTGGCCACTGCAGCCTAGCATGCTGCCCACACTTGAGACGCCGCTAAAGGTGTCCCCCAGCCCCATGCTCTTGCGGCGTCTGCATGCAGATGCCTCTCCCAGGGATCTTCTTAAACTGCAAATTCTGACTTGGAGTGGGTGGGAGCTGAGAGTCTGCATTACCAACAAGCTCCGGGGGGGGAAATGATGCCGCTGGTCTGGGGACCACATTTTGAGTACAAGGATCTAGACCAGTGGCCTGCAAAGACACCTTTTAAAATTCCCAATGCCTGGGCTGTACCTGAAACCAACGAAATCAGAACTTGTTGGGATAGAAAGCAGGCATCAGGATCGGTTTAGTATCCCCAGGGGATTGCAGTGAACACCCGAGTTTGAGATTCTCTGTTCCAGTGCCCTCTGAGCAAAGGTGGGTCCAGCCCAAAACAGACTGCCAGAGTCTTGAGTGGTCAATGCAGCTGCTCTATGGGCAAAGGCTCACCCCCACCTGGCTTTGGGATATTGGAAACAACTCTTCAATCCTCACTACTATGGGGACTGTGTCAGGGAGTGGGGCATGGGCTTTGGTGTCAAATGGTCCTGGATTCAAATCTTGGCTGCTTCTCTACTTGGCCGAGGGAACTTGAGTGTCCAGCTTCTTTATTTCTCTGAGCCTCAGAACCCTCCTCTGTAAAACCAGGACCATCACAGGCCCAGCCTTACAGGACTGCTGGGAATTTGAGGAGCTCCCAAAAACTACCCAAAGTAGCTCCTGGTGTATAGAAAGTGCTCAGTGGATGATGCGATGATGTTTTTTTCCCCCTTGCCTGACATCCTCATTTTACAGGCAAGACTTCTATGGCTCAGCGAGGTAGAGGCATTTTCCAGCGGCTACACAGCAAGTCCGTAATGGAGCTAGGATTCCAGCTCTGGGCTCTGGAATCCCCACCCCATCCTCCTTTGGGTTCCTGCCCTGCTTCTTTCTTCTCTGTCTTCTCAGCCCTTCCCCCAGGCTGGGGGCTTCATTTGAATGGGCAGGGGCTTCCTGAAGCACGTGGGCCTTCCCACTTGGGGAAGGTGGGTCCTGCAGTGGATGTCGACTGTTCCTGGAGGTGGCTGAGGGCCGATGGCTCCCACAGCTCCCACCTGTGGGCCCTCACCCAGCCCCCAGGGAATATCAGCATCATCACAGGCTTGTCTTACCTTTGCACCATCTCCCCACCCTCTGCCTTTCCCCTACCTTCAGCAAAAGTGCAGAATATCAGACACTGACTTCAAATGAATTGCACTCTGAGAATTTAGAGAGTTGTGTAAGACTTCTGCGGCCAGCGATGTGGCCTAACCAGCTTTCTGTATGGCTGTCCCAGGAGATCCCTCCTGAAGACTGTGAGAAAAAGGTGCAAGGAGGGACCAGGGCAGGCAGAGATCCCAGCCCAGGATGCCCATGGCGGTCTGGCAGGGAGCTTGGAAGAGCACCGTGGCCACGTGGGGACCCTGGAGCCCTGGAGAGCCCATGTCCTCTGAAAGCCGGCAGCTCCTTCCCTCCCAAACTCCTTTCCCTCCACCCTTCTTGAAGCGTCCTCTGGGTTCCTGCCTCCAGTGTCTCTTCTCCCCTTCTCTCTTGAACTCACTTTCAGGGTTTTGGCTCTTCTTGAGGAGCCATCAAACCAAGGTTATCAGCAGCCCCCAGGATGCTCAATGCAGTGGTTGGTTTCCAGTCCCATCTCCCTTGGCCCATCTGCGGCAGTGGACGCTGTTAATCCTTCTCTTCCTTGAAATACTCTCCACCTGGACACCGCCCTCTCCCAGTCTCTGCACATTACCAGCTGCTCCCCCGCATCCCGCCTCCATCCCTGGGCTCTGTCCCCCGCATCCCGCCTCCATCCCTGGGCTCTGTCCCCTCGCTCCGTCTCCGCTCCCCCTTGGTGATCTCATCCAGTCACATGCGTTAAATACCACCTGGATGCTGACCAATCCCGGGTTTCCACCCTCATCAGAATCTCCATTCAGCCGCCCACCTGACATCTCCCTTGGGTGTCTAGATTCAAATTTAATCTTTCCAAAATGAAACTGTCTCTCCATGAAGCCTCCCTCTCCTGCTGTCCTCCCTATGTGGGATGAATGGAAACGGTCCTGCTTGGAGTCCAGCTACCAGCTAGACTCCAACCTCTTCCTCCATCCCCACATCCAGCTCATCAGCAGATCCCCAAACTCACCCGGAATCCACAGCTTCTCTCAGCTCAGCCTCCTCAGCTGACCTGAGGTCCAGGCCACCATCATCTCCCTGGATGGTGGCAGTCACCTCCTTGCTGGTGTCCCCAGTTCCTTCCCTGTCAACCCACGGTCTGTGCCCAGCACAGCAGCCACTTTGGGTCATGATATTCCTCTGCCCAGAAGGACAACTGACTGACACCTCACTTGAAGGCCTATGAGACCCTCCCCTCTGCCCACATCACCTCAGACATTCCTGGTGGGTCTCACCTCAGGGCCTTTGCACTTCCTGTCCCCACTTCCTGGAACGCACAAGGCGTAGTATCCGGACCGATTGATCCCCCCACCCCAGGTCGTAGCCCACACACTGCCGTTTCCCATGTCACCTTTCCCTGTCTTCTCCTCCACTCTGACCTTCACTCCTGTTTCTTCAGTTTCATTTTCTCTTGTATATTTCAGTGTGTCTGGATTTCTCCCTTATCCAAAACCACTGGGGGCTGAATAAGAATGTGGTCATTTGGGAGCCAGGAGGCCTGAGTCTTGGCCTCGTACGGGCATCAAACTCCTTCTGAAATGAGTATCTTTCCTCTCTAGGCTACACTAAGTGACATGTAAAACTATGCTATATGTAGAGAACTTGACTTGTTTTATTCACTAAAACTCCTGTTGGCAAAGCACCTGGCACAGAATAGACACACCGTTCACCTGACAAATAGTAGATGACTGCTACTGTATGCCAGCCAGCGGCTGGGGTGCTGGAGGTGCCTCCGTGACAAACCAGCCTCCAATGCGCCCCCTCATGGAGCCTGCTAGACAGACAGTAAACAATAACCAGTAAACGCAGCTCTGTTGATGGGGATAAGCACAACTCAGAAAGTAAAAGGGAGTCGAGATGGGGAGTATCAGGGGGATTTGTGATTTCAAATAAAGTGGTTAAGCGAGGCTCACTGGGAATGAGACATTTGAACAGAAACTTGAAAGGGGGCCTGGGAGTGAGCCACAAGACCACCTGGGGGAAGAGTGTTCCAGGAACAGCCTGTGCCGAGTCCCTGAGGCAAGAATGGGCCACTGGAAATCTGAATGACTGAATGAAAGAATGAATGCATCCTTGAGGCCAGGAACAGAGCAGATGTTCTATTTCTAGACATGTTCTATTAGACGTTCTATTGTATAGATAATGCCCTTGCATTGTCTTCAGACTAGCAAGGAATTCTGACAAGTAAGAAATTAGGATCCCCAGGAGACGATGCTCTGAGGCACCATTTCTGAGCCTTCCTATGAGCCGGGAGTGGACCAGGTGTTTGAGGTCTGCCCTCTGCCCAATCCTTCCCCGTCCATACAGATTGGATGGTGTATGACATCCCCCTGTGCTTTCAAAGTCCATTAGTTTTTGTTCTAAGTAAAATGTCCAGAAATTTCCCTCCTAGAGTAGGCAGTAGAGCACACTTTGCCAGAGGCCAGACACTTCTGGGCAAAGCCTGTGTGGGGCACACAGCAGGTTCCTCCCAACCCTGCTACTATGTTTAAAATGTTCAACCACTGTGTATGAAAATCTTACCAAGGTAATGCTACACTCCCCTGCTTTCTAAAAACAGTTGATGCTGGGCCGGGCGCGGTGGCTCACGCCTGTAATCCCCACACTTTGGGAGGCCGAGGCGGGCGGATCACGAGGTCAGGAGATCGAGACCATCCTGGCTAACATGGTGAAACCCCATCTCTACTAAAAATACAAAAAATTAGCCGGGCGTGGTGGCGGGCTGAGGCAGGAGAATGGCGTGAACACGGGAGGTGGAGCTTGCAGTGAGTGGAGATCGCACCACTGCACTCCAGCCTGGGCGACAGAGTGAGACTCTGTCTCAAAAAAAAAAAAAAAAAAAACAGTTGATGCTGAACTTGTTCAACCCTTTCTTGATGTCTAGGATTGAGGACTACGTATCTCATTCATTTTGCCGGGATTTTATGGAGGAGCATCTTGGGGAGCATAGTAAGTCCATTTTCCCTCCCCTGCACTGAACAGATTTCTTGGTGTCTGAGAACAGCTGTGCAGTGGGAATATCACAGAGTCTTGAATTGCTCATTTCTTCCTTCCTTACATGTTGAGGGTCTATTATTCACTCACGCACAGTTAGGTACTAAGAATACAATGATGAACAAAACTCAACCACGCTCTGCCATCAGAGACCTTACGGCCCCCTGGGGAGACCTGCCTTTATCAGACAGTCGCAGATGCATGAGAAACTGCCCGTGTGGGGGCCGGTGTGGGAACCTGACCAGGGCCATGTTGCCTCAAGAGGGCGACCACAGAAGCATCTCCAGAGCAGTGGTTCTCAACCCAGCTGCATGTTGGAATCACTGAAGAGCTTAAAAATACCATTGCCCAATCCTGCCCCAGAGATCCTGATGTCATGTCCTGGCATGCAGCCCAGGCCTCTCTGGGTGAATCTAGTGAGGAGCCGAGGCTACAGGCCACTGGGAAATGGGGTCTACCCAGATTAGCTGGAGTAAACAAGAACAGAAGGGGAGAGATGGGCTGGGAGGGCAGTGCAGGCTGGACTTGATGTATCAAGGAACTTGGACTGCGTCCTGGGAGCCATGGGGTTTTGACAGGTTGCAGCAGGGGCGTGTCGTGGTCCGTTTTGCCTTTTGGGAAGACCGTCACACTTCTGTGGAACAGATGGGAGGGGAGCCAGTGTGGAAGTGAGAAGTCCAGTGAGGAAGGCGCCTTGCAGGACTCCAGGCGAGAGGTGGTCCCCGACAGTGGTAGAAGAGGAAGGAAGGCGGACTCGATGGAGCCAGTGGCAGGTGACGTGTAGCAGGAGAGAGTGACGGAGGGACCGTGTTGAGTCTCAGGTCTCTGGCTTTCAGGGCACAAATGCAGTGCTGTTCACCAAGAACAGGAGCAGGGTGGAGTGGCAGGCGTGAGGTGGGGTCATAATTTAAGTTCAGGAACTGATTTAAGGGGCCTTCTAGATGTCCAAGAGATGTCACGTCAGTGCGTGAATGGAGTTCAAAGGCCAGATGTGGGCTGGGCGTGGGTGCCGGTGAGTCATCTGTGTGAGGCTGGCCGTGGACGCCAAAGCCACGGATGCATCGCCTAGGGAGGGAGTCACCTGCAGAGATGACAGGCTGTGGTCCAGACCCCGTGTTCAGATCCTAATCTCACCAAGCATGACTCTGGGCAAGTTGTCTTAACAAAATTTGGGCTGCCATAACAGAATACCATGGACTAGGCGGCTTAAATGACAGAAATTTTTTTTTCACAGTTCTGGAGACTGGAAGTTCAAGATTAGGGTACCAGCATGGTTTGGTTCTGGTCGAGGCTCTCTTCCTGGTTCACAGACTGCCACCTTCTGTCTGTGTCCTCACATGACCTTTTTCGAGCACACGCATCTTCTTACAAGGCACAAGCACTAATCCCGTCATGAATGTCCCATCCTCATGACCTCATTAAACCCAGTCACTTCCTGAAGGTCCCACCTCTAAATACAATCACATTGGGGGTTAGGGCTTCAGCATATGAATGGGGTGCAGGGGACACAAAGGTTCCATCTATAACAGTTAACCTCTCTCAAGTTTGTCGACCTCTCAGGTTCCCCAAGGACGAAATTAAGCATGCATGGAACCCGGGACATCATGGCACATACATGGCCTGGCACATAGTATTTCCCTACCCTTGAACTTGCCCTCCTTTCCCGCTTCCAGGGAAGTGTCTGCTGTCTGCTACAGACTCTGTATTTGCCTCAATCTAACAGCTCTTTTCTTCCTCTTCTATTCATTTTGCTGCTTCTGATTGGCTGTGGACTTGTAAGCCATCGGCCGTATTCGTTTGAATTGTGTGTACAGTAAGAACAGCGTGCACTGAACGTGAAAGCTTGAGTTCTTTTTTCTTTTCTTTTTTTTTTGTTTTGAGATGGAGTCTCACTCTGTCACCCAGGCTGGAGTGCAGTGGCACGATCTCGGCTCACTGAAAGCTCTGCCTCTGGGGTTCACACCATTCTCCTGCCTCAGCCTCCCAAGTAGCTGGGACTACAGGCGCCCGCCACCACACCCGGCTAATTTTTTGTATTTTTAGTAGAGACGGGGTTTCACTGTGTTAGCAAGGATGGTCTCGATCTCTTGACCTCGTGATCCGCCCGCCTCGGCCTCCCAAAGCACTGGGATTACAGGCGTGAGCCACCGCACCTGGCTGAAAGCTTGAGTTCTGTGTGACTTTGTGCTCCTTAGGGACAGGCTGCAGGCCCAGGCATGAATTTTAGTGCCTGCATGCAGTGAGCTTCTGTCAGAGTTTACAGATCTGGGCCAGGCGTGGTGGCTCATGCTTATAATCCCAGCACTTTGGGAGGCCGAGGTGGGTGGATCACCTGAGGTGAGGAGTTGAGACCAGCCTGGCCAACATGGTGAAACCCCGTCTCTACTAAAAATACAAAAATTAGCCGGGCATGGTGGCAGGTGCCTGTAGTCCCAGGTACTCAGGAGGCTGAGGCGGGAGAATCGCTTGAACCTGGGAGGTGGAGATTGCAGTGAGCCAAGAAAGCACGACTGCACTCCAGCCTGAGCGACAGAGTGAGACTCTGTCTCAAAAGAAAAAAAAAGAGTTTACAGATCAGTGGGCACTGGTTGTGGATGGCTCAGACTTTCTACAACGTTCTAGGCTGTTCTCTGGATTGTGAAGGTTAAGGGGCCTCTGGATAAGTGAGGCAATGGCTCGTTAACGCTTACTTGCACAGTGACCATGCCATCACCATAACCCACAGGAAGCATCCTGTGACACTGTGCTCGCCCCCTGCTGGCTGATGGGGCATCCCCTTGTAACTGGAGGCAGTGCTGGGAGCGCACAGGCTGTCCTTGTGCCAGAGACTCTGGGCTCTGCCATCCCTGGACAGGGGCCGGGCCTGGGGAGGGTGTGTGGTCCTGAGACCATGTTTCCTCCACCTGCAAACCAGGGGCATCCCTCATGGCTGCCTCCACCCACCCACCCAATATTTCCTGTACCAGGTCCTGTGCCTGGGGACACAGGGGATTCCACTGTCAGCAAGACTCAGTCCCTGCCCTCAAAGACATCCTCTTCTAGTGTTGAAGGAGTAAGCAACTCGACAGGCAAGGTGATTGCTGTGGGAAAAGCTGTGAGCAAAAGGCCCAGAAAGTCACAGAAAGACAGAAGGAAGACAGAAGGGAACTCCAAAGGCTATGGGAACAGGGCTGGGGTTGCCACTAAGGTGGGGAGGTCAGAGAAGGCCTCTTTCAGGAGACACTTAAGCTGAGACCCACAAGGTGGGAGGGAGCTGTGGGCAGAGGAGGGCAGGGCAGGGGAAAGCCAGGCAGGGAGCAACCAGGTAAGAAGAGCTTGGCCTGGCTGAGAGACAAGTGCACAGGGTGAACACAGAGTGCGTGAGGGGACTGGGAGGGTCGCAAGCAGGTGCACAGCACTCTGTGTGGGAAGGCTTGGGCCACTTTTGCACTGGGCAGTGATGTGGTCCAGTGTCGTGGTCATGTCCGGTGGTCCTTATAAAGGCCTCTCTTGTTGCTTAGTGGAGAATGGATTGGTGGTGGGGGGGAGGGTGCAGCGTCGAAGTGGGGACAGTGCAGTGGCAATTGCCACAGTCCCCGTGGAAGGTGTTGATGCCACAGGTTGTGCTGGGTGGTGGCAATGGGAGTGGAGAGAGGTGTGTGGACCTGGAGGCAGAATTAAGGGACCCGGAGATGGATCAGCTTTAGGGTAAGCACAGCGGGGGGTCTCACAGGCCCCATGATCACAGCACACTGCTCGATGGTGTGCCTGCTTCAAATGTGTGTGGTTTCTAGGTCTATGGCCAATCCGAAGCAGCAAAATGAATAGAAGAGGAAGAAAAGGGCTATTGGGCTTTAGTTGTAACAACAACACGTTTGGCAGTGCCATTTCCTGAGAAGAGTGACAAGAGTCCAGTGTGGCTGGAGCCTGGTAGGGGCGGGAGCAAGGTGGGACCCTAGCATGTCCCACTTTGCCGTGTTAAAGTGAGATGCTCATTAGACATCCAAGTGGAGGGGCCCGGCAGGCAGTGGGTGTGCGGGTCTGGAGCCCTGCCCAGGAGTTTGAGCCAAAAGTCTGACCGAAGTGTTGACACAGAAGTCTTACCTGACATTCAGTCTTTAAGGACCAGTCAGGACCCTGGCTCACCTCCTGCTCCGATGCTTCCTGGGGTCACACCCACTAGGAGCATCTCACATGTGCTGGATTCTTCCCAGAAAGCAAAGTGCTCTCAATCCTGGTCACCAAAATGCTTCCAGCCCTGCTCTCTGTTGGCAGGCTGGCAGGGACTGTCTCCATTTTACAGAGGGGGAAACCGAGGCTCCGAGGCCGAGCGACAGGGAGTGGCTTACCCTGGGCCATACAGTCAATGAGAATGAGGATTATTAGAGGCCACCCCCAGGTCTCCAGCGGCCATACTGCATCCTCCTGGGGTGATGACTTCTCCATATGAGTCCACCAACCGCAACTGCTGCAGTCACGACACTGTGCTGATACCTACTGGAGTGCCAGGATGCCCTGCACGGAGACCTTTCTCCAAAGTTAATCATTACTGTAACCCCAAACTGGTCTTCCCGATTTGCAGAAGATCAACCTGGAACTCAGACAGGTCCATGACTCACTGAGGTCACACAGCTAGTGGGTGGGAACCAAGAATCATGAGGCTCTGCGCTAACTGCTACTGTGCCCTGGAGAAGCACCCAATTCCGGAGCCTTGGTCCTCGGTATTTAACATCTCGGGGTTGGGGGCACTGTGCTCTCATGAGTTCTTTGACAGTGAAGCACTTCTTGATCAGGAAGGACAGTCCCCCACGACATCCTGTCCCCGTCCTAACAGGAAACACCCAATTAGTGACCTGGTGTTTCTTCAAAATGGTGGCCTAAGGAGCTGAAAGCCCAGGGCTCTGCTCGCCTGGGAAAGTCTCCATATCCGTCTGAGCCTCAGTTTTCTCATCCGTGAAAGGGGTATAAAAGCACTTGTTCTTCCTACCTCCTGGGCTGCTGGGAGGGTTCAGAGAGAAAACTGAGAAAGTCCTTGGGAGTCATGGAGGCCATGTTCATGTTGGCTGCCGTGGTCCTCCATTAGGCCAGGCAGTGGATGAGGGGTAGCAGAGGGGCCTCTGCCTTCAGGGGTTTTGCCCCCGACCTACTCGTTCCACCCAGATGGACGCCCTGAGCCGGGGAGGAGGCGCGCCCCCTGGTGGAGACGCTATGGTTGCTGCATCCGCAGGAGCCCAGGCGGAAGAGATGCTAAAGGGAGCGGAGACACACTGGCTGGCTAGAGAGGCCTGGGAGGTCGGGGTGTTATTTTTGTGTGATTGATCTGGCTTTTGGATACTTAACAGCAGAGAAAGGGAGAAGCTGGATACTGATGATGCAGGGCTTGTCTGTCTCCAAAGCTTCTGCTGGTCTTGCTACACCACTGTAGACATTTCCCTGGGAAGGGGGACATCGTAGGGAGGGGACCTGCTCTTTGCCAGCTCTGTTTCTTATTGCCCAACAGGACACAGGAGTCCATGTCTCCAGCAGCCTCCCAGCTGGCTGTCTCCTCCCAGGTTGGGTCTCCTGGGGCACCAGCCAGCTAGAATGGGGTTGGCGGGGGTGGCCACTAGCTGCCTTGGTGGCCCGTCAGGAGCACAGTTGTATGAAGCATGGGTCCTCCGTTTCCTCCTTAACTCTTGCACAGGCGAGTAGACTGAGCTGACCGTGGGCCTTGGCTGCACAGCGCAGGGGAGGAATTCAAACAGGGGCAGCCCTGACCTTGACAGAGAGCCAGGCCCTTGGGGGAGGCTCACTCGTGACAACAGCAGGTCTCTTAGTCTTGTCTAAGGCTTTTCTCCAGCACCTTCTACATTTGCTTGTCTGTTGATGCATTTGCTTATTTTAATATTGATTGAGGGCTCCCTTGCCAACATTGACACTGTCAGCATTTGGGGCTGGTTAAACCTTTGTTGCGGGGGCCTGTCCTGGGCACTGTAGGAGGTTTGGCAGCACCCCTGGCCTTACCTTCCAGATGCCGGTAGCAGCACCCTTCCCTCAGGTATGAAAGCCAACGATGTCTCCACACATTACCAAGTGTGTACCCTGATTGAGAACCACTCATGTGAGCTCTACCATGTGCCAGCTTTGAGCTGGACTCCATTCCCGCCTCCTGTTCCCGCAGGCAGAGCTGGCTCTGCAAACACCTGGAGCAGGTAGGGTTCCGGGCGTGTTTGTCCCTCCTGCTTTCCTACCTGCCTGGCCTCCCACCTCCTCTGACCTGGGCCGCCTTGTCCAGAGGCCTCCCTCACTTTCCATTCTTCCATCTAGAGAGGTAGACAGGTGACAGGCTCTTTGTGCCTCAGTTTCCTCATCTGTAAATTAGGGATAATAACAGTATCCACCTGGGTAGGTTTTGTGAAGAGTTAGATTGTTTGTGTATGGAAAATACCTAGCACAGTTCTGGACATGCAGTGAGCCTGTATGTATCACTCTTACTCAGTGGATGTTTGTTTGTTTGTTTATTTATTTATTTGAGATGGAGTCTTGCTCTGTTGCCCAGGCTGGTGTACAATGGAACAATCTCGGCTCACTGCAACCTCTGCCTCCCGGGTTCAAGCGATTCTCCTGCCTCAGCCTCCTGAGTAGCTGTGATTACAGGCATCCACCACCACGCCTGGACAATTTTTTTTTTGTATTTTTAGTAGAGACAGGGTTTCACCATGTTCGCCAGGCTGGTCTTGAACTCCTGACCTCAGGTGATCCACCCGCCTCAGCCTCCCAAAGTGCTGGGATTACAGGCATGAGCCACCGCACCTGGCCGGATGTTTATTTTTATTGTGCCAAGCTGGGGATGCAACAATGAACAGGACAAAGATCCTGACCTTGGGATCTCAGAGCTCATGAGAAAGGCAGACACCTTATTCTGGGCTTTTAATTCAGGTGGGATGGGGACACCTAAGGGGCCTGTTGGAGGAACACCCCACCCAGGAGTTAAAGAAGGAAAGCTTCCTGGAGGAGGTAGCATCCCAGCTGGGCTATGAAAGAGAAGTACGAGTTAGCTGAGTGACGAAAGGAGAGGACTAATGGTGTGAGTTATCTATCTTTTAAATAAATTTTTTAAAAGCCCTTCTGAAAAAATCAAATCCCATTTACTGGGGGCGGTGGTTGGGGGTGCTTTTCTGTACAAATAGTACAAAACCATGCCCCCGAAATTCCTAGATTCACCTCTTTGGGAAGCCACGTCACCCCTGTGAGATACTCAGCATGGAAGTGCTTGGCACAGGATAGATGTGGAGTGTGGGGTTAAGGGCAATGGAGCTGCCTCCATTCCCCACAACCCAGCCCATGTGCAGGTGTGTTTGTACTTTGATAATAGTAACCTCCCCAGATGCTTTTTTCCTTATGGGTGTTGGGGCCTGGCAGGAGGGGAGAGCAGGGAGGCAGGTGGGGAAATGGAATCAGAGAAGGGCACAGCCGCTGTTCTGATGCAATCGGAGTCATTCTGGCTCACCTGCATGTCCACTGGGGGTCACCAGACGGCACTGCCCATCATGGTGTCTCAGAACCAGCCCAATGGACACTCCTCTTGCCCGTGCTTCTGCGATCGCCTCCGAGGGGAGAGAATTGGTGGATGGGACATGGAGAAGTGCACATTGGTGGTTAAAGCTCATGTCCTATTAGCTGATGCCAGGCACCTGGCCTCAAGGTGTCCAGGAAGTGCAATCCTATCCTGGCCTGGGAAGTGGTGACCAGCACTAAGGAAGCCCCCCCAGCAATGTCTAGGGCACCGGGCTGGGCTCCTGTGACAATGTGTGTTGTTCCTCTTCCTGCACAGCTACAGCCTCCGCTTGGCGTCCCGATGCTCTCCACCAGCGGCCCCGTACATCACCAGGCAGTATAGGAAGGTCAAAGCTCCAGCTGCAGCCCAGTTCCAGGGACCATTCTTCAAAGAGTAGACACTCTGGCTGCTCCCTGACAGGTACGAGGCAGGATGGAACAGCTTCTGGCACTGTTTGGGTGGGTCAAGGGGGTGTGGGCTTGGGTCTTGGGTGGGGAGGGAAGGAGAGAAAGCAGTGGGTGTGATTGCTTGTGTGTACCAGGCACGGTGCAGGGCCTCCCTCCAGGAGGGCACTTAGCTGAGTGCAGACTCCGGACCACTTGTTTCACATCCCAGCTCTGCCACTTGCTGGCTACGAACTTCAAGCAAGTTACTTAGTCTTTCTGAGCCTCAGTTTCCACATGTGTACAGTGGGCACTACAATAGGACCTACTTTATAGGGTGATTGTGACAATTACGAGTGTCAAATGTGCGAAGCACCTAGAAGAGTGTCTGTCACATAGTAAGCACTAGGTAAGTCATTATTGGAGTAATAATGATAAAAATAGTAATTATACTCAGTTCTTAATTGCCTCAGAGGCATTAAGCCCAGAAAAGATGACCGAGTTCCTATTCTCACAATGTTTTTGAAAGTCAAAATAATACAGGTGGAGTAACCCTAATCCAAAAATCCAAAATCTGAAATGCCCCAAAATCTGAACCTGAGTGAGGACATTCAAAGGAAATACACTCGAAGGAAATGCTCATTGGAGCGTTTCAGGTTTCAGATTTTTGGATTAGGGATGCTGACCCAGCAAGTATGTAGTGCAAATATTCCAAAATCCAAAAAAAATCCAAAATCAAAAAATTTCGGGTCTCAAGCATTTCAGACAAGGGATATGTAATCTGTCCTAATCCATAAAATATAAAACTCAGATTTATTTTGGACTAAAACAGCCTCTTCCTAGGTTTTCTGATGGTAAAAACCTGGAATTACTCTAAGATTTCTGTTGGATAAAAACATGGAAACCAGACTTTTCATTTTTGGAGTACCTGGATTCTGCTGGTGACCCACGAGCAGGCTTGGCCCTCCCTGTTGGTGACACCACACAACTGCATTCATTGTGTCCCCAAGGCCAGCATCTCAAAGTGATCAGAGGACCTCATACATCAGAAGATCTAGGATGCTTTTATAAATACAGACCTCAGAGTCCAGTTCCAAATGTACAAAATGGCCAAAAAGGCTCAAATCCCATTTACTGGACTATAGTACGAATAGGGCCAAACCCCATTAAAAAATCCCGAGTTCAGCCGGGCGCGGTCGCTCACACCTGTAATCCCAGCACTTTGGGAGGCCGAGGCAGGTGGATCACGAGATCAGGAGATCGAGACCATCCTGGCTAACACACTGAAGCCCTGTCTCTACTAAAAATACAAAAAAATTAGCCGGGCATGGTGGTGGGCGCCTGTAGTCGCAACTACTCAGGAGGCTGAGACAGGAGAATGGCGTGAATGCAGGAGGTGGAGCTTGCAGTGAGCAAATCCTGAGTTTACATCTCTGTGGGAAGTCACATCACCCCTATGAGATGCCCAGCATGGAAGTGGTTGGCACAGGACAGATGTTGAATACGGGGTTAATGGGAGGGAGGGGACTGGCCACCACCCCCCACAGCCCTGCTTGTATTGGTGGGTGGGTATTGATGGCACAGGCCCATCCTGGTGGGTGTGACCAGGGAACCTGCATTAGCAGATGGCCCCCTGGTTCTGGGACACGCGTAGGTTTGGGAATGTGTGCTTAACACGAGGCAGTGGTTAAAACACCAACCAGAGTCGTTTGGAATGAGAGTGTAGTTCAAGGCAAGAATGGGCTGAATTCTGAAACTCTGAGGTCTTTTGTATTATGCCAGGAAGAGAAGACCCTTTCTTCCTTCTGCCTGCCCTCCAACCCCAAGACCTCACTTCTCTCTTTCCTTTTTTTTTTTTTTTTTTGAGACAGAGTCTCGCTCTGTCGCCAGGCTGGAGTGCAGTGGCGCGATCTTGACTCACTGCATCCTCCACCTCCCAGGTTCAAGCGATTCCCCTGCCTCAGCCTCCTGAGTAGCTGGGACTACAGGCACCCGCCACTACTCCTGGCTAATTTTTTTTTTTTTTGTATTTTAGTAGAGACGGGGTTTCACCATGTTGGCCAGGATGGTCTTGATCTCCTGACCTCATGATCTGCCTGCCTCTGCCTCCCAAAGTGCTGGGATTACAGGCGTGAGCCACCGCTCCCGGCTGTTTACTTCTCTCTTTCTTAAGCAGTTGGAGTTTCTGGCTTGGCTTTATTCCTCTGGGGTTTGGGGAGGGGAGCAAAAATAAAATCCACTCTTGCCCAGAGAGTCTGTGGTCTGCTGCTGGAATTGAACCTGTCTCTCTGGGGCCGGCTGCTCCCTGAGAGGGGAACCTGGAGACTTGACCCTGAGCTGGAGTCTCATGGAACAATGTTGAAATGGACTGTAAGATAGTACAGAGCTGGGAGGCCCTGGGAGAGGTACCTCCCATTTTACAGATGGAAAAATTGAGGCCCCAAGAGAAGAGACATAGGACGTGGCTAGGGTCTTCTGGAAAGTGAGAGGCCATGCCAGGATGAACAATTCCGACTCTGGGAACCATTTGTGTCCAGCATCCTCCTTGCGGCCAAGGCTGCTACGTGAACCTTCTGTGTTGATGGGCACCCGGGACTTGCTTCCACCCCAGAGCAGGTGTTCTCTGCAGCCGGAGGGAGAGCCAGGTGCAGCTGGGCTGGCTTCCTAAACAGACTGGGCCATTTCTGTTGGCCACTGCAGGCTTGGCCATGACGAAGATGAAATGTATGTAGCATTTGCCAAGCCTTATGAATTTAGGCTCTGCCCCAGCACCAAGCACTGTCCTAGGTGATGGCCTTCTTTTTCCTTCTTTAAAAACATACAGTTTCCCAAGCGAAGCGATCAAATGAAGAGAGGCCTAACGTCATTTGCCTCTGCATCTTGTGATCTCTGTTTGCTCACCAACAACGAAGGCTCCAAACTCAGCAGTTTCGTGTAACTTGCTCCTTAAAATCTTCTGTAGCTTTTTTTCCATTTTTTAAATTGGTACTTACACCAAGCATGTGCTACTTATATTATTTTTAAAATAATTTTTTAAAAAAATCTCTTTATACTGTTTGCCTTAGTTAGCTCAGGCTGCTATCACAAAATACCACTGACTGTGTGGCTTAAATATTGAACAGAAATTTATTTCCTGATGGTTCTTGAGGCTGCAAGTACCAGATCAGGGTGCCACCATAGCCAGGTTCTGGTGAGGGCCCACTTCCTGGCTTGCAGACGGCCACCTCATTGCTGTGTCCTCACGTGGCGGGGGCCTGGGGGAGAGCAAGCTCTCTGGTGTCTCTTCTTAGAAGTCCACTCATCTCATCGTGAGCCCTGCTTCGTGATCTCATCTAAGCCTAATCACCTCCCAAAGGCCCCACCTCCAAATACCATCACAGGGAGGGGTTAGGGCTTCAGCATAAGGGTTTTAGGGAGACACAGTTCAGTCCATAGCACTGTTTAACATAGCTCCAGATTTATGAAAATGCCACAGCAAAGTATTTTAGTTCAGGAAGGTGTGTGCAGGTCAAAGCCCTCATTTTACAGAGACGGAAACTGACACGGAGGGGCGTGTGGCAGAACTGGCATCAACACTCTGGTCTTCTGATTCCCGGGACGGATCTTCGACTTCTAATTGGGCCGTGCCTCCTTGCAAAACTGTGTGTGCATGTGGGTTTTGTTCAGAAAAAAGGATGGCCTTCTCGAAGGACCCATGGCTTTGGCTGCTTAGCCTGCTCTTGCCCATTCCGGATTCAAGGCTTCGTCACCCGTCTCCCGGACAGTTTGAATGCAGCGAGAATGAACACAGAGGTGCTTGGTTTCTGGCAAGCCCTGCCTTTCACCAGCCTCTGTGGCACCCTCTTTACTGTGACTCACACAAAGCCCAGAGGTTTCTGTTCACTTTTAAGTGCAGAAAAGTGCTGTGCTGCCTAGTCTATAGGGAGGCTTCCTTTGCACATCCTGTCTTCACCCCGTGTCTTTCCTACCCCAGGGGTTCAGCGGGAGGCCCAGGGAAGGGACAGCCTCTCACCTGTTTGGCCACCATTGTGATCCTTCTCTCAGCTGTTGCTGCTCCTTTGGCTAAGACCAGCGGCCTCAGGGCCCTCTGTGGGCAGGATTTCTGACATGCGCTCCCTCCTGGGGTCCTGGGAGTGGGGGGTGTAGAGGTCGCCCATCCCGGCCCATCTCCCTTGTATGAGAGCTCCCCTCCACCTCAGGTCCAGCCCCCAGCTCCTGCTGCTGTGGCCTCCCCAGAGGGCTGCCCTCTCGGTGGGGGACTGGCAAGATGGCTCCTTTAATGGATCCCACGTGACCCAGGGGAGACCCACACTTGCTGGCCACGCCAGGCCAAGGGAATACAGCCACTCCATAGCCGGCCCCGCCTCTGCTTCCTTTTCTTCCCCCTGCCCTGGCTCATGGGCACGGGCACACAGGCCAGTCTGCTGCATAAGCAGGCGTCCTCTGGGAAGGGATGCCTCCTCTCTTGAAGACATCCCACTCCCCCGCAAACAGCCCTTTCCAGCCCCATCAGACATTTCAGGGAATTGAAATGAACATGCGTAGTGGTTAGGTGCACAGTGTCTGGAGCTATCCCTTCAGTGGCTACTTCACGCCTCTGTGTTTCAATTCACGCATCTGCGAAATGGGTTAATAATAATAATACCTCTCTCATGGGTTTGTTGAGAAGATTGCATAGGTTAGTGAATGAAAAACCCTTAGCAAAGTGCCTGGTATGCAATAAGCCTTCCATAAACAACTGGTATTATTATTATTATTATTGAAATATTACATTATTAGTGGTAGTAATAATAATAGCAGTAGTTATTTTTAGTAATAGTAATGGTGACCAGGTCCACTGGGCAAGAGAACTGTATCCCTGAACTTGGCCCAGCCCAATTCAACCCAATGCAGTGAACATTTATTTATTTATTTATTTATTTATTTATTTATTTATTTATTTATTTTGAGACAGGGTTTCACTCTGTCGCCCAGGCTGGAGTGCAGTGGCGCAATCTCAGGTCGCTGCAACCTCTGTCTCCCAGGTTCAAGGGATTCTCCTCCTTAGCCTCCTGAGTAGCTGGGATTACAGGCACCCACCATCACTAATGTATTTTTGTATTTTTGTATTTTTAGTAGAGACTGGGTTTCATCATGTTGGCCAGGCTGGTCTCGAACTCCTGACCTCAAGTGATCTGCCCACCTCAGCCTCCCAAAGTGCTGTGATTACAGGCGTGAGCCACCGCGCCCAGCCTGCAGTGAACATTATTAAGGATTCACCCATGTGCTCAGCTCTGGACTAAGCACTGTGAATGTGGTTTCTGCGGAGGAAGCATGCGGGAACAGCCATCCCCTCCCGACTGGAAGAGCACACAGATGCTGGAGTGAGTGAGCCTGACCTGGGTTCAAGTCTCACCTCTGCTGCTCATCATCTGCAGGCTTGTAAAAGTTATTTCTCCTCTCTGAGCCTCCATTTCTTTCATATAGAATGGGGATCTGTGTTGCCTGCCATGAGGGTTGTTGTGAACATCCAAAGGAAATTAAGCAGGAGTACAATCACTTTGGAAAACTGTTTGGCAGTGTTGACTGATGCTGAACATGTGGGTACCTCAGGACCCAGCAGTCCCACTGCAGGGGACACACTCAGCAGATATGTACCCACGTGCACCAGGAAATACCTATGAGAATGCTGATGTGTTATCTATGGACATCCTACGACCCAGCATTTCCGCTCAGCACAAATGCATACGTATTTGCACCATACGTGTCCTCTAGACACATATGAGAATGTTCTAGCAGCATGACTCACATGGCACCAAACTGGAAGTTCCCAGTTGTGGATCAGCAGAGGAATAGATGGATAGAGGTGGTGTATTTCTTTTTCTTTCTTTTTTTTTTTTTGAGACAGAGTCTCGCTCTGTCTCCCAGGCTGGAGTGCAGTGGCGCGATCTGGGATCACTGCAAGCTCCGCCTCCCAGGTTCACGCCATTCTCCTGCCTTAGCCTCCTGAGTAGCTGGGACTACAGGCACCTGCCACCATGCCTGGCTAATTTTTTGTATTTTTAGTAGAGACAGGGTTTCACCGTAGCCAGGATGGTCTCAATCTCCTGACCTGGTGATCTGCTCGCCTCGGCCTCCCAAAGTGCTGGGATTACAGTCGTGAGCCACCGCGCCTGGCCGAGGTGGTGTCTTTCTATAATAGCACACTACATAACAACAAGGTTGAAAACATCAACCACACATACAGAATGGGTGGCTCTCACAAACACTCGGTGGAAAAAGCCAGACGCAGGAGGAGATTACTGATTGACCCTATTTATTTAACTTAAAAAATGGGTGAAATCAGTCTATGCTGTTAGAGGTGAGGACAGTGGTTCTTCCCGAGGGCGGGAGGGTTCATGTATCCTTAAAGGGGTCACGGGTCAGGGGCTGATGGGCGGCTGTCACATTCTGATTCTTCATCTGGGTGCCAGCTCTGCAGGTGTATTCACTGTGAACATTCATCAAGCTGTGCTTTTTGCTCTATGTATGGTATGTTTCAATAAACAGTTTAGTTACAAAATTAAGTGCAATAACGCATGGACCACCATGGTCGGCACTGAATGTGTGCTTACTGTTATTATTTTTATTTTCTTTTTCTCCTCAGCACCTGAAGTGACCTGGAATCAGTGAAGCCAAAGGGACTGGCAGTCTGCCCTGCAGGGAGTACCGACCTATCCCAGTTGTGTGAGGCTGCGAGAGAAAGGGAGTGCATGTGCGCGCGTGCATGTGTGCGTGCGTGTGTGTTCACGTGTTCTCGTGCGGGCGCGTGAGTGGTCTTCAAACGAGGGTCCCGATCCCCGGGGCGGCAGGAAGGGGGCCGACTCCACGCTGTCCTTTGGGATGATACTTGGATGCAGCTCTTGGGACCGTGTTCTGCAGCCCAGCCTTCCTGTTGGGGTGGGGCCTCTCCTACTATGCAATTTTTCAAGAGCTCCTTGACCCTGCTTTTTGCTTCTTGAGTTGTCTTTTGCCATTATGGGGACTTTGGTTTGACCCAGGGGTCAGCCTTAGGAAGGCCTTCAGGAGGAGGCCGAGTTCCCCTTCAGTACCACCCCTCTCTCCCCACCTTCCCTCTCCCGGCAACATCTCTGGGAATCAACAGCATATTGACACGTTGGAGCCGAGCCTGAACATGCCCCTCGGCCCCAGCACATGGAAAACCCCCTTCCTTGCCTAAGGTGTCTGAGTTTCTGGCTCTTGAGGCATTTCCAGACTTGAAATTCTCATCAGTCCATTGCTCTTGAGTCTTTGCAGAGAACCTCAGATCAGGTGCACCTGGGAGAAAGACTTTGTCCCCACTTACAGATCTATCTCCTCCCTTGGGAAGGGCAGGGAATGGGGACGGTGTATGGAGGGGAGGGATCTCCTGCGCCCTTCATTGCCACACTTGGTGGGACCATGAACATCTTTAGTGTCTGAGCTTCTCAAATTAGCTGCAATAGGAAAAAAACAAATTGGGAAATGAAAAAAAAATGGGAAGATTAAAAAGCACAGGGGGAAGAAGAAGAGATTTCGGAGGCCATCCTGCCAGGGGCGGACGGGGCTGACTCCTGCTCTCTGGAGGACGGTCAGTCCATGTCTCGGAGAAACGGGTGAGCTGAGCTTGGCGTTTGGACCCAGTTCAGTGAGGTTCTTGGGTTTTGTGCCTTTGGGGCAGACCCCAGGCAAGGATGTCTGAGACCACTTGGGCGCTGTTTTCTCAGCTCCAATTTCAAGAGTGAGCTATCAAACCCAGAGCGGAAGGAGGGAGCTCTGATGAGCACGGTTTGTCACACGATAAAGGGATTTTTTTTTTCAGGGCTACTACGGTTGATCTTGCAACTCTGTAAATATGTATGTAGACACTTTTAAAAGCACGTATTTATGTCCCTGACTGTAAATGCTCCATTTTTAAAGTTTTATAACTTGTGTTATTTAATGAGTCAGTCAATCGGCTGCAGTATGGGATCTGATAAGGATCTAGGAGAAGGGTCTCATGCGGACCCTCACATGGGCAGAAAAATGGTGGTCATTGGCCGACATCACAGTTTTCCTGTTTCCCACCCAGCTAAAAACCGTTGTTTGCTTTAAATTTTCATAAACTGGAATCCTTTCACCCGCTCCTACAGCTAACCCTCACAAGCATGAAGTGCTGTGGCTGTTCCTTATCCTAATGATGCGCTTTTGTCCCGTAAATGTTAACACTCATGAAGCATACCCCGGCCTCTCAGTTCTTGAGGGCCTCCCCACCGCAGCAGCAAGGAAAGCTCACGAACCCCAAACCTGGCAAGTCACCTGCAGCCCATGGTGAGCTCTGGGAAGTGTGGTTGAGGCCTTGGGGTCACTCCTTTTTTGCATGTGCAAATGTGCTGGTCACCCTTCAACGCTCCCAGACGGTCAGGAAAACTGTTCCAATCATGAAAAGGGGGGATGATTTTGTAAAAGTGGCATTTCCTGGTCAGTGGTGGTCTTCAAGACGACAGCTCTGTATCTGCCATGTGAAGAGAATTAACAATAAAAGTGTGAAGAGCGATTGTGAGGAACAAGCCTGGGAGTGATCATTCTGGTTTCTGTGCTCTGTCTTCTGTGTTGGTGGTTTTGGTGGGAGGGCGGTGGGGGTCCCTGAATGCTCCCTCCCAGCAACGGGAGGAACCAAGGGCTCAAGGAAGCTCACTCTGGAAACGTCCCATCTGGTAAGTAAGGCTACTCTGCCACCTGCCAGCCAGTGAGTTGAACCACATCACTAAGACCAGAAAGACCTCTTTTGATTGCAAATATATTCTTGTCTTTAAACAGATTTATTAAGAGCTAATCCACAGATCATACCACTTACCCACTTAAGCACACACATCAGTGGCTTTTAGTATATTCAGTGTCATACAGCCACCTCCACAACCAATTTTTTTTTTTTTTTTTGAGAAGGAGTCTCGCTCTGTCGCCCAGGCTGGAGTGCAGTGGCATGATCTCGGCTCACTGCAAGCTCCGCCTCCTGGATTCACGCCATTCTCCTGCCTCAGCCTCCTGAGTAGCTGGGACTACAGGCACCCGCCACCACGCCAGGCTAATTTTCTGTATTTTTAGTAGAGATGGGGTTTCACCGTGTTAGCCAGGATGGTCTCGATCTCTTACCTCGTGATCCTCTCGCCTCGGCCTCCCAAAGTGCTGAGATTACAGGCGTGAGCCACCGCGCCCGGCCTCCACAATCAATTTTAGAACATTTTAATCACCCCTAAAAAGAAACTGCATGCCCATTAGCAGTTACTCCCCATTTCTCCCAAAGCCCCTACCCTTAGGCAACCACAGATCTACTTTCTGTTCCTATGGATTTATCTATTCTGGACATTTCATAGAAGTCTAACCAGATAATATGTGGTCTTCTGTGACTGACTTCTTTTACTTAGCATAATGTTTTCAAGGTTCGCCAAGGTTGCAGCACGTGTTAGTACTTCATTCCTTCTTATGGCCAAATGTTCCATTGTAGGAATAGACCATATTTCACTCACTCATTCTTCAGGTGATTTACTTTGGGGTTGGTTCTGCTTTTTGGCTATTAAGAATGTTGCTGCAGTGAACATTCATGTGACAGTTTTTCTGTGGACATAGATCTTCTTGGATATATAGCTAGGAGGGAACTGGGTCATATGACAACTCAAGAGTTCACATTTTGAGGAACTGCCAAACTATTTTCCAAAGTAGCTGCATGATTTCACATCCCCACCAGCCACACATAAGGATTCCAGTTTCCCCACATCCTTGTCGGCACTTGGCACCGTCTTTTTAAAATTTTAGCCACTCTACTGGGTGTGAATGTAAATGAATTCTTTGAAGGAACAACCATCCCTCTGATCACAAATCCTGGCAGAGTTAGGTGTCAGAGTCCCAAGAGGATGGGGATGGGCACAGGGGGATTCTGATGGGAAGTGAAAGACGTGTATTCTTGGGTTTGGGTGGAAGGAGACCCCAAAATGGTCTTTGTCCACATCCAAATATTGCAGAAAAGTAGGAGGAAGAACCCAAAGTTCTAGCTTTTCATTTAAACACTTCCTCTAAAAGGGAGAAGCGATGATGTGTTAGAGTTCTCCAGAGAAACAGAACCAGAAGGATATATATATCTACATATATATATGTAGATATATGATTTATTATGATGAATTGGCTCACATGATTGTGAAGGCTGAGAAATCCCAAGATCTGCTGTCTGTAAGCTGGA
Source organism: Homo sapiens (assembly GCF_000001405.40). NCBI lineage: Eukaryota > Metazoa > Chordata > Mammalia > Primates > Hominidae > Homo > Homo sapiens. The sequence goes on from NC_000001.11 coordinate 13,826,744, forward strand.
GACCCAGGAAAGCCAGTGGTTTGATTGAGTCCAAGTCCAAAGGTCTGAGAGCCAGGGGTGTTGACATAAATCCCAGTCTGAGAGCAGGAGAAGACATGAGACGTCCCAGCTCAACAGTCGGGGACGGGAAAAGGGGCAAATTACTCCTTCCACCTTTTGCTCTATCCAGGTCCTTAATGGATTGGACGATGCCACCCATAGTGAGGAGGGCCATCTACTGAGTCCGCAGACTCAAATGTGAATCTCATCTGGAAACACCCTCACAGATACACCCAGAAATAACGTTTAATCTGGGTATCCTGGGGTCAACTCAAGTTGACACATACAATTAACCATCCGCTCTTTGGAGGACAGTTATCTAGAAAGTAAACAAAGTAGACTCCCAGTGAGGTGAAATCCATGCATTCAACTCATCAACACTGGCTGGTCCCCTAGTCTGGGCAGACAGAGATGAATTTCACACAGGCCTTGCTAATGGGGGACTCACAGGGGGTGGTGATGGCTGGGGGAGGTGGGGAGAGTAGATGGAGGAGAAAGTGAACAATTTCAGGGAATGAAGAGTGTGGAGGCCAATCCTGGGTGCATTGAGAGCATAGCAATGGGACCTCAAATCCAGCCTGGGGCATCCGGGAAAGCTTCCTGGAGGAGGAGGGGACACAGGGGACTCTTGCAGATCCCAATGAGGTCTCCCCACCTAACCTCCGCATTAGGCTTTAGAAAGATTCATGAAGGGAAGAGAGGTCTTCTTAGTATTGCAAGTAGCCTGGAATCAAAATGAAAATGACATCCATCAGTGGACTACTTTTCAGCTTCATCAGATATTCCCACACATAATTCCATCCCATTCTTCCAACGGGCTTTAAGGTGGGCAGGGCAGGTCTAATGTCTGTTCTGCACTGATGTAGCTCAGTGAACTGGGTGACTCTTCCAGGTCACACCTACTCAGCATCAACCTGGACCCAAGCCAGCCCTTGCCTCCAAGACCATACAGGCACCCTTTACTGAGCATTGTGATGTGCCAGGTATTTTCTCCACATCCCCTCTCATCTCACAACCCAGCAGTATGAGTATCTCAATAGCTGTTTCATAGATGAAAAATGTGAGGCTCAGAGACATTCGATGATTTGGCCAGGGTCACATAGCTGGTAGATGTGGGCCAGGTATTGGACGCAAGACTTTCAGGGGCCCAAGGCCAAGATGTCCTACTCACCCATCCTTGCCCCTCGCTGCACCCTTTACCACTGTTTTAGCAATTCCTGATGATCTCAGGCCACCTTGCAAGTGGAAACGTTATAACAGAGGTCAATCCCTGACTCCCAGGGTACAGCAGTCAGCTCCTAGGCTTTTGCTTTGCCCAGATTTGTACCCATACAAGACACACAAGTTTAAAAGGTGTTGGAGCACCAGCCCCAGGTTAATCTCAGCTCTGCTCCATACTGGCTGTGACCTTGGGCTGGTCACTGGCCTCAGCTTGGTTCCTTGTTGGTACAAGGGGATGGTAGTCACTTCCACCTTCCTATGTTTCAGTGAGGATACAAATTACCTACTACTGGGTCTCTTTAGGGTAAGGATCACCTGGTCCTATTGTTAAAAGAGAGATTCTTGGTTTCCACTGCAGCAGGTGTTGAATCAGAATGGGGTTCAGGTTGTTGTATTGTCAACAAGCTCGGCATGTCCCACCAAGTTGAATGCCCGCTGTTTGAGGATTATGGCCATGGCAATGATTGAAAATAGCATTCCAGCCTCCACCAGAACAACAAATCGAGGTTGCCAGAGGCTCTGGAGTTTGCATTCAGCAGCGTCTCTGGTGACTCTTCAGAACGTTGCACTGGGCAGTGGCAGTGCAGGAAAGGGGAGACTGACTCCGGCAACGCCCACCTTCCAGGTGCCTCACAGAGCCTGCTGAACCTGATCACCTGTCTTCAGTGGAGAAACAGGACAGCGGTACTGAGACAGGGATCAGGAAACAGGGAGCCCCCATAGACCTCTGTGGCAGCAGCACGCAGAATGTGGACAGTCTCGACTTCCTTGGGGCAGGTTAGAGGGAACCCAGTGGGGACTGCAATGGAGGATCCAGCACTTCAGTAAGGTCTGGGATTTAGCAACCTGCTGAGTGACCAGGACTGTACGTGTGTCCACCAAGGGAACGTGAGGAGGCCACACGTACAGCTCACCAAACACATCAGCCGTGGCTGGGACAGAGTCTTCTTGGGTACCGCAGGTAGGAGCGGGGCAGAGGAGGGACCCGGCAGCTCACCTGGGGCTGTGATGCCACCTCCCACCAGCAGATGGGGTCCTCCCTCAAGTCCAGGCTCCAGGACATCCGGCTTTTGCCCAGGCCGGGGTAGGTCAAGTAGGTGAGCCGAGTGCTCCTGGTTAAGGCTGAAGTTACAAGGAGCCCTTGGAGCCACAGAGCTGCTCAGCTGAGGGGTTGGAAAGGAGTCCCTGAGCTCCCTACTCCAAAGAGGCAGGCTTGAGGTCCCACTCTGGCGTGAGGTAAGGGGAGAGATGCAGTGATGTGAGGTGGGGTGCCCAGCTGAGGGTGAGAGTCTGCTGGGCTGGAGGACCAGAAACTCAAACCGTCCTGACAGTTTTGCTGGCCATGGCTCAGCTGAGAAGACAGAACTGCCGACCCCCAGCTCTAGGAAGCCCGTGCCCAAGACGAGAGCCTGGCCTGGAGTTTCCCCCTCATTACAATAGGCTGGTGGGGAGGGGGCAGGGGGCCAACCCATAGCAAACGAAACCTTCAGCTGGTCCCCGATGGGCTGAGTGCAGAGTAAAGCTGTCCCATGCCCTCCTATCCTTCCTGCTAGTCCAGAGCAGGTCAGACAGGGAGGGCGAGTTTGCTGAGAGGGTGAGGCTGGTCATGTGACTCAGTCATCAGGTGGCTTCTATGCAGGGTTTGGGAGAGGGGACTGAGGGCCAGTAAGAGTCAGCATGTAGACAGATCTGAGATTGAGGATCTCCTTGCGTTTCACACCGTGACCACCTTACTTGTCTGCCCCTAGTTCTGGTCCTGGCAGCTTAGGATGCTGTGTGTGTCTTTGGACTGTGTGCACATCTCTGAATCCAATCAAGTCATTCTAAAAATGCTCCAAAGTCTTCCCATGCACTTAGAATAGAATTCAACTCCCCTTTCTGGTTTAGATGCCCCCCAGCCTCACCCTGCACCCTTCCCCACACGCCCATTGCCCTCTTCATTGCAGCCACAGTAGTCGTCTTTCTGATCCTGGGCTACATAAGCTCTCTTCTGCCACAGGGCCTTTACACAAACTAATTCCTCTGCCTGCAATGACTTTCTCTGCTTAGTCACGTGGATCTCTTCTCAGCATCCTTCCCTGAACACTTAGTCCAAAGTAGCTCATCATCTCTCATTTGGGCCTGTTGGTTTATTCTTCCCACTTATCATTACCTGAGAATTTCTAGTCTCCCGGCTTCTCCTGAATGTCATTCCTATGAGAGCAGAGGGACCACATCTGTCTTGTTCAATGCTGTATCCGGTGCCAATGACAGCACCCAGCACCTGTCAGTGGGGACCTACCTGTTAGTAGGTCCTCGGGATTCATTATGGGGCACATTGGGAGTCTTCCGTCAGAGAAATCGACCTCGGAGGAGACCTTGCTGACTCAGGGATCCAGTGCAGTTACGTGAAAATAGCTGATTTGCAGCTTCCAGGCTGGGCAGAGCACTTTGCTCAATTCTCAACCATGGCCTGCTTCTCTGTGTGGGTCTCTCTTGTCCACCTTCAGGACCAGGGGGAAAAATGAGGAAAATTTTGTTTTAAACATCACAGGTAGGGTAAGGGATGCCCATTTCCATTTGAATTTCAGATAACAAACAGATTTTAAAGTACAAATATGTCCCCAATATTGTATGGGACATATGTATGCTTAAAAAAAAAAAGTTGTTTATTTGAAATTCAAATGGAACTGAGAATTCCGTTCTGTTATTTGCTAAATCTGGCAACCCTATTCAGAGGGCCAGGCCTCTCTAAGATGCCCTTCTCTTCTTGGTCATCTTGAGGGGTTCCAGCTGGTCACTCTGAAAGCTCTCAGCCAGCCCTGGCCCTCTGCCCGGCAGTCAGGAAGCGGCTTCCTCTGCTCTTAACAGCAGCTCATGCCTTGGATGCGGAGGTCGCCAAATGTCAAGTGGGGTCCTGAGGACTCTAAAGAGTGTTCAAGTGGCTCTCGACTCCTGCCTACATCTTGGGATTGTGGCTCTGATCTTTAATTGATTCATAAAATAAAAAAAATGTTTAAATAAGCAAACTCCCTTTCTTGCCATCAGATGTGAAAGATTGCATGACAGAAAGGCAAACAAGTGACTGATTTTGGCATCAACTGGTAGGATTTTCAAACTAACATCATTCTTGGGCATCTGCAGCTGTAGGTCCCCTGCCCCTTCCCAGGGCCATGCTGGGTGAGCACTTCCAAACCAGATGTTGTGGAAATTTGGGCACTAGTGTGGTCCATATATGTCTGTCTTACCCAAGTGCTATTAGGTTCTACCAGCAGAAGGCTGAGGCTGAGAGTGGAGGGAAGGCAGGGGCCTGGCACACACCAATGCCCACCTTGAAGCCCAAGACAAGGAGGCCTCCACTATGAGCCATCTCTCCCTCTGTGACCTCTTAGGCCTGGGGTGTGCCCTAAGGAGCTCATAGCATGTGTGTCCTACCTCAGCACTGAGGCATGGGGAAATTCTTGCGTGTGATTGCTTAAACACAAAACTTTCTATTTTCTAGTTAGAAGATGTACATGGTTATTAACCCCATAAAAATAGAGAAAATCCAAAGAAATCCTGCCACTGATGGCCTTTTTTTTTTTTTTTTTTGAGATGGAGTTTCCCTCTTGTTGCCCAGGCTGGAGTGCAATGGTGCAATCTCGGCTCACTGCAGCCTCCTCCTCCCAGGTTCAAGCAATTCTCCTGCCTCAGCCTCCCAAGTAGCTGGGATTACAGGCATGTGCTACCACGACCAGCTAATTTTGTATTTTTAGTAGAGACGAGGTGTCACCATGTTGGCCAGGCTGGTCTCGAACTCCTGACCTCAGGTGATCCACCCACCTTGGCCTCCCAAAGTGCTGGGATTACAGGTGTGAGCCACCACGCCCAGTCTGATGGGTCCTTTAGTGCCTGATCCCTTAGGTTTTTATGATATAAATATTAGCAACTGGCTGTGACATCAACCTGCTGTGTGACCTCAAGAAGTTGTTGAACCTCCTCGTGCCTCAGTTTTCTCATCTATAAAGTGGGCATGATCATAGTTCCTTCCTCACAGGGTTATCAAGAAAATTGTTCGTTACATCAAAACACTTAGTGCCTGGCTTTGGATGTGAACTGTAAGCGTTAGGTATGATGTTAATCACGCTGGACTTTTAAACTTCAAGATGATTATTACTTCTACATTACCTTTAATGATGATGTTTGTAGGGGTACATAATATAGGCAGAATTTAGGTTACTTCTGTTTTCACACAGACACTGACAGTTTGGTACATATTTGCTCACACTATGATTATTTGCTGAGGGAGTGGCATGACCGTGTCGAGAGGCAGTGATAGATCAGTCTTATTGGATACACACCATGTGCCTTGCACTGGAAGTGTTTGCCTTAGGGAACCCTCTTGGAGGTGGGCTCCATTGGTGCTCCTATATTTGTGGAGGAGGAAACAGGCTTAAAGGGGTTGACCTCCCCTGAGGTCACAAATGGTGGAGCGAGCCACTGGTCTGGTTCTTGAAGGTGGAAGATGCCCCATGCTCAAATCCCAGTGGAGCATCCGCCAATGGCTGCAGCTGTCTGTGATCCAAGGCTCTTCCCTGGCCACCTAAGGCTCTGTGGTTTGCTTGATAACACTCCAGTTTCATCTCCTCTAAATTAGGGGACACTGCAAGGCTCCTGCTGGGAGAGGAGGGTAGGAGAAACTTGGAGAGTGTCCAAGAGCAAGGCCCTCCTGGCACAGGTAGGGATCCAGGTGCAAACCAGCTACCCTGAGGCCTGCTTGGCTGGGTTCCACTGTCTTGCGGAAATTACATTTTTACCAACGTGCCCTTTGTCTTCTGGGTACAGCCACGTGGAAGAGAGGCATGGGAAGGATTTGTATGCAGAGAGCAAGCATGGGCAATCTTTTCCCTTCTGGGTTGTTTGTTTGTGTTGTATTTAGATCTTTAACGGTGCACACCTAATATGAAACCAAAAAGCCTGATTTCTATGACAAGGTGCTGCCCACTGTGTCATCCTGAAGCCATGGACTTGAGGGAGAGGCTGTTGTCCAAGCAGAACAGAGGTAGAGATGATGCTGGGTGACTCAACTGGGGGCTGTGCCCACCATTCCCCATTCATTGTGCTGGGAAAGGGCCAATCATTTCTTAACATGGGCCTCCCGAGCCAGGCATTCTAGGTGGGCTTATCTGGCACCAGCTCCATGTACATCTGTTCTGCAGAGACCCTGCTGCTCCTGAAGGTCAAACCTAAATCTTGTGGCACAGCATCCCTGTGAAGGCACCTGCAGGGAGCAGGATCCTCAGGCAGGAGGAATGTGAAGAAGGGAGGGAGTGGCAGAAGGTGCCATCAGTGCTGCTGAAAAGCTGTACCTTGGATGGCCAGGGTCAGCTTTGTTTGCTTATTGTAGCTTCCCCTACACTGCCCTTTCCAAAATCATACACCTACTCACTGCTTCTGGTGGGATCTTTTCCGTGCGTGTGCAAGTTGGGAACAGGTATGTGCTCCACGCTGCACCTGCTGAGCCAGTCAGTGGTTGGGAGGGGACTCTAGTTTGACCTTTCCTGTCAACTAGATGGGGCCTGAGCTGGGTACAGCTCCTCGGGGCCTCCATCCCCTCTTCTTGACATGAGGCCTGTTCTCTGGTATGTCTCTGTCTCTTATGATCACCTTCCCTCCCTGGGTCCCCAGTGGATGCTGTCGGTCCATGCAGGAGCAGCCCCAGTGCGCAGCCCTTTTCCTTAAAAGCAGGAAGATCTTTTTAACCTGGAGAATGTGAGGTTGTGTGAACAGGAAGAGAGGGGGTGGGAAGGGCAATATGAGGGTGTCATTGTCCCCAAATGCTTACCATGTTTTCCCTCAATACAGGACCCAATGTGTGGCCTCGGGACAGAGCTATGACCTGTGGCATAGAAGATACAAGGGAACAGATTAGCCTAAGTGAAGGCTTGATTACTTTTTACTTTTTTTTTTTTTTTTTTTGAGACAGATTCTTGCTCTGTTGCCCAGGCTGGAGTGCAATGGCACGATCTCTGCTCACTGCAACCTCCACCTCCCAGGCTCAAGCGATTCTCTTGTCTCAACCTCCCCAGTAGCTGGGATGACAGGTACCCACCACCATGCCCGGCTAATTTTTGTATCTTTTTTTGTAGAGATGGGGTTTCACCATGTTGGCCAGGCTGGTGTCAAACTCCTGACCTCAGGTGATCCGCCCGCCTCGGCCTCCCAAAGTGCTAGGATTATAGGCGTGAGCCACCTCACCCAGCTTTTGATTGCTTCTCAATTTAAGAACATTTCAGGAATAGAGTCTTTATGATGGCCCCATTGAGCTTTTCCATCCTTTCCGTGTCACACTGAGGTCAGCACTATTGTACGGCCCACCTGTGACGTGGGAGGACAAAGGTTCAGAGCCAGTCCCTTGCTGGCTGCAGGATGCTGGGTGGAAGTGGGGGCTGAATGCAGGGTCCTTGGGTCTGTCTGCAGCAGTGAGGAGGGCTCAAACAGCAGCTTTGCATTTCTTTTCAGCCTTTCATGTTTTGCCAATTTTTCCTAAATTGGGCTCATTTAGCATAACGTTTTGTGAACCTCAAAAGTCTGTAACAGGTCTCAGTCAATTTAGGAAGTTTATTTCGCCAAAGTTAAGGACGTGTACCCATGACACAATCTCAGGAGGTCCTGACGACACATGCCCAAGGTAGTCCGGGCACAGCTTGGTTTTGTACATTTTAGGGAGACATGAGACATCAATCAATATATGTAAGATGAAATTGGTTTTGTCCAGAAAGGTGAGACAACTCGAAGCAAAAGCAGGACAACTTGAAGTGGGGAGCGGGCTTCCAGGTCATAGGTAGATAAGAGACAAATGGTTGTATTCTTTTAAGTTTCTGAATAGCGGTTCCAAAAGAGGCAATCAGATACGCATTTATCTCAGCTAGCAGAGAGATGACTTTGAATAGAATGAGAGGCAGGTTTGCCCTAAGCAATTCCCAGCTTGACTTTTCCCTTTACATTGATGATTTGGGGGCCCCAAGATTTATTTTTCTTTTGCAGTTTGTTGCAAATGTTTTATATCTGGGATGCATTCAACCCTATGAAAAGTGAAAGGACCTCTTGTGTAAAGGTGTGCTTGCATTCTCCGTACAGACAAATGACAAGAGCTGGATGATTGCTTTGGGGGTTAGGACGGGGACGTGAGAGAGTCTCTTCTGAATCCAGGAGGACACTTGTGGACTGGGAAAACTGTTCTTCCCATGTTCACAGCAGGAGACTGTGTCCTGGACCATCCTCCCCAGACCTTGGTAGACCTGAAGAGTCCCCTGTAGATTTAAGAACCCTTGAAACTTGCCAGAGCAAGCTGGGTGACCCCCACTCTAGAAGAGCGCTCTCCTGGAATCTCATCTGTTTGGAAGGTGGTAGCACCACATAGGCTGCTGGACAAGAGACACACGCAGCCAGCCACCCTCTGACTCTGCCCATGTGGACCAAAGTGACTGATTTGTGCTTGCACCTGCTCGTCACCCCTGTTGGAAGCAGCTGTATCCCTTGCAGGTGAGGGTAGAGGTTCAGGGATATTTGACAGTGATGGCAGAGGTGTGTTCTCTGCTGATGGAGCTGCCGCCACACCATAATCCCCAGTCCTGCCCCTACTGAAAGAGTGCTTATGCTCAGTGCTGGTTCCAGGCTTCCTGTTTGTCCCCTGCTGCACTCTGTAATGTGCTGGGCATAGGTAGGCAGCGACCTGCAATGGATGGTCGGCGCAGCTGAATGAAACGATCTGTTCTATCGGTACAAGAAGATCATCTGATGTTTTAGTGGACAACTTGTGTACTGGGGTGTACTAGTCTGCTCTGATCACCATAGTGAAATACCTTGGAGTTCTGGAAGCCTAAAATGAAAGTGTCAGAAGGCATGGTCTCTCCTGAATCCTCTCTCTTTGGCTTGCAGATGGTTGCCTTCTCACTGTGTCCTGACATGGTTTTTCTTCTGTGTGAAGACACATCCTGGTGTCTCTCCCTCTTCTTGTGTGGGGAACCTGTCCTATTGGATTAAGACCCATCTATATAATCTCATTTAACCTTAATTACTTCTTTAGAGGCCCTATCTCCAAATATGATCATATTCTGAGGTGTATTTGGGAGTTGGGATTTCAACAGATAAATTTGGAGGAGTGGGGCACGATTTAGTCTGAAACCTATGCAGGGAATTTGTCTTAGTCATTGCTTACTTAACATCATCAAACGGTCCTCTCTACCCCCACTGCCAAGGGCACACTGCCATTCCTTGCTAGGTTCACTGGTTCTAAGTGAACCAATGGGCCCTGGAATTCAGGCGACTTATCTATAAACTGTCCTACTGCATAAGTATCAGTCAGGATGTGCTGATTACGCTGCTGTAACAAACAACAGAATCTTAGTTGCTGATGATAAACGCTTAGTTCTTGCTCATAATACATGTCAATTGTGGACTGACTAGGAATACTTTCTCCTACTTGCTAACTCCAGGATCTAGACAGACAAAGTAGCTGTTTTTTTTTTTTTTTAACGTATTGTAAAAACAAACACAGGTACAGAAAACCACACAAAACAAATGTCTAGTTTGGTAAATTATAGAAACTCTCTTATAACTACCTCCAGATCAGGAAGGGAATGTTACCAGCTACTCATTCCCAATCACAGCTCCCACTTTCCCTCCAGAAGTAATTGCTGTCCTAACTTTCATGGGGATCACTTCGTTGTATTTGTTTAATTAAATTTTTTTTATTTTAGGATAATTGTAGATTTGCATGTAGTTGTAGGAAGTGTCTTACATTTCTTTGCCCATATGCTAATTGGATTGTTCACATCTAATTTAAGAAATAATACAGAGATTCTGTGTACCTTTGTCCAGCTTCCCCCAGTGGTAGCCATAATCCAACATTACAACCAGGATATTGACAGTGATAAGTCAAGATACATGACATTCCCATCACCACAAGAATCCCTCATATTGCCCTTTATGGCCACACTAACTTCCCTCCCACCCCACCTTCCCCTGAACCCCTGACAACCACTAATCAATTCCTCATTTCTATAATTTTGTCATTTCAAGAATGTCATATAAGTGGAATCATACAGTATGTATCCTTTTGGGGTTTGGGTTTTTTTTTTTTTTTTTTTTTGAGACAGGGTCTTAGTCTGTCACCCAGGCTGGAGTGCAGTGGCAGGATCATGGCTCACTGCAGCCTCACCCTCCTGGGCTCAACTGATCCCCTTACCTCAGCCTCCTGAGTAGCTGGGGTTACAGGTGCCTGCCACCACACTTGGTTACTTAAAAAAAAATTTTTTTTTTTTTTTTTGTAGAGGTGGTGTCTCCCTATGTTGCTCAGGCTGGTCTTGAACTCCTGGGTTCAAGTGATCCTCCCACCTCAGCCTCCCAAAGTGTTGAGATTATAGGTATAAGCCACTGCGCCCAGCTGGGGGTGGCTTTTTAACTCAGCATCATTCTCTGGGGATTCTTCCAGGTTGTGGTGTGTATCAATAGTTTGTTCCTTTTTATTGCTGAGTAGTGTTTCATGTTACAGATGTTGCACAGTTTGTTTAGCCATTTACCTGTTGAAAGGCATTTATTTCCAGTTTTTGGCTATGATCAGTATCGCAGCACTATTCACAATAGTAAAGACATGAAATTAACCTAGATGCCCATCAATGGTGGACTGGATAACGCCCCCTCCCTCCCTCCTTTCTCTCCTTTCTCTCCCTCCCTCCCTTCCTCCCTTCCTCCCTTCCTTCCTTTATAGAAATTGCCAAACTGTTCCAGAGTGGTTGTACCATTTAATGCTCCCATCAGCAATGTGCAAGTGATTCAGTTTCTCTGCACTCTTGACAGTACTTGGTGTTGGCACTAATTTTTTTTTTTTTGCCACTGTGGTTTTAATTTGCAGTTCCTTCATGGCTAAGGGTACACATCTTTTCATGTGATTATTTGTCATCTGTATCTCCTTCTCAGTAAAATATCTGCTCATGTTTTTGCCCACGTTTTGATTGAATTGTTTTCTCACTGTTGGGTTTTGAGAATTCTTTATATAGTCTGCATATCAGTTGTTTGTTGGCTATGTGGTTTGTATATATATATGTTTCTAGTCTACAGCCTGTCTTTTTATCTTTTTAGCAGGGTTTTTCATAAAGCAAACATTTTGAATTTTGATGAAATCTGATTCATCAATTTATGCTTTTATGGATCATGCGTTTGGTGTTGTCTATCAATTCCCCCAGCCCTAGGGTTTTCCTATTTTTTTTACATGATTTATAGTTTTACATTTAAGCCTATGATCCATGTTGAATTAATTTTGTGTAATGTGTAAGACTTAGGTCAAGGTTGTTTTTTTTTTTTAACCTATAAATATCCACTTACTCCAGCATCATTTGTCAAAAAGGCCATGTTTCCTCCATTGAAATGCTTTTGCATCTTGTCAAAAATCAGTTGGGCATATATGTGTGGGTGGGTCTATTTCTGTATTCCCTATCCTGTTTCATAGATTGTCTTTTCTTTTGCCTTCTTATGGCACTTGGAAATTGACTGTATGCCCATATCATGCAGTCTTAATTACCGTGGCTATAAAATAAGTCTTGTCCTTTCCTTTCCTTTCCTTTTTCCTTCCTTCCTTCCTTCCCTTCCTTCCTTCCCTTTCCTTCCTTCCTTCCTTCCTTCCTTCCTTCCTTCCTTCCTCCCTTCCTTCCTTCCTTCCTTCTTTCCTTCCTTGTTTTCTTTCTGAAATCTCACTCTATTGTCTAGGCTGGAGTAAAGTGGCATGATCTTAGCTCACTGCAACCTCTGCCTCCCGGGTTCAAGCGATTCTCCTGCCTCAGCCTCCTGAATAACTGGGATTACAGGTGCCTGCCACCATATCTGGCTAATGTTTTGTATTTTTAGTAGAGATGGGGTTTCATCACGTTGGTGAGGCTGGTCTTGAACTCCTGACCTCAGGTGATCCACCCACCTTGGCCTCCCAAAGTGCTAGGATTACAGGTGTGAGCCACTGTGGCCAGCCTTACAATAAGTCTTTCTTAAAGAAACTTTTCTTTTGGGGCCGGGCACGGTGGCTCACGCCTGTAATCCTAGTACTTTGGGAGGCCGAGGTGGGTGGATCACGAGGTCAGGAGATGGAGATCATCCTGGCTAACACGGTGAAACCCCGTCTCTACTAAAAATACAAAAAATTAGCCGGGTGCGGTGGCGGGCGCCTGTAGTCCCAGCTACTCGGGAGGCTGAGGCAGGAGAATGGCGTGAACCCGGGAGGCGGAGCTTGCAGTGAGCCGAGATCCCGCCACTGCACTCCAGCCTGGGCGACAGAGCGAGACCCTGTCTCAAAAAACAAATAAACAAACAAACAAAAAAACTTTTATTTTAGGTTCAGGGATACATGTGCAAGTTTGTTATGCAGGTAAACTGTTTATCACAAGGGTCTGGTGAAACAGATAGTTTCATCATCTGGGTAATAAGCATAGCACTGGACGGGTATTTTTTCTGATCCTCTCCCTCCTACCACCTTCTACCCTCAACTAGGCCCCAGCATCTGTTGTTCCCCTCCTAGTATCCATGTGGTCTCATTGTTTAGCTCCCACTTATAAGTGAGAAAATGCAGTATTGATTTTCTGTTCCTGTGTTAGTTCACTAAGGACAATGGCCTCCAGCTCTGTCTATGTTGCTGCAAAGAACATGATGTTGTTCTTTTCTATGGCTGCATAGAATTCCGTGGTGTATATGTACCACATTTTCTTTATCCAGTCTACTGTTAATGGGCATCTAGGTTAATTTCATGTCTTTGATATTGTGAATAGTACTGCAATGAACACACAGGAGCATGAATCTTTATGGTAGAATGATTTATATTTCTTTGGGTATATACCCAATGATGGGATTGCTGGTTTAAATGGTAATTCTGTTTTAAGTTTTTTGAGGAATTGCCACACTGCTTTTTCACAATAGCTGAACTAATTTACACTCTTATCAGCCATGTATAAGTGTTCCCTTTTCTTTTTTTTTTTGATGAGAAAATTGTCACATTTATTTACACACACATTATCTTGTGACTCTATCAATCCAGGTAAAAATAGAACTTTTGAAGCTAGTTAACACTTTAAATGATACTTTTAACAACTTAGTCCAAGAAACATTTATAATAACTATCATTTTTATTGGTTAAAATATATTGAAGGCCTTGCAGTGTTCCTAATGAACCTTATTCTCATGAATCTTTACAAAGACCATATGACATATGTAAGTCTATTCCCATTTTAGAGATGAGGAAACAGTTTCAATATGGTTTAGTACTTTGTCCAATAGACTCAGCAAATACATGGCACAGGGAATCTATATGCCATCTGACCTTTCTACTAAGTATTATGAAAGAAAGAGCTTCTTTCTTCAAGGAGATTGAGAGACTCCTCCATAGGCAATCACCCTTGCCTACATAAGGGGAGGTGACAGCAGGTAGCATTCCCTCACTCCCTCACTCATGGGGTGGCCCATATTCACAAGGGCTTATGTATAACTAGGACCCCCAGGCTCAGTGGGAAGTCGCAGAATACTTGTTCCTTTTTTTTTGACTTGGAACCAACCCAAATGTCCAACAATGATAGACTGGATTAAGAAAATGTGGCACATATACACCATGGAATACTATGCAGCCATAAAAAATGATGAGTTCATGTCCTTTGTAGGGACATGGATGAAATTGGAAATCATCATTCTCAGTAAAATATCGCAAGAACAAAAAACCAAATGCCGCATATTCTCACTCATAGGTGGGAACTGAACAATGAGAACACATGGACACAGGAAGGGGAACATCACACACCAGGGCCTGTTGTGGGGTTGGGGGAGGGGGCAGGGATAGCATTAGGAGATATACCTAATGCTAAATGACGAGTTAATGGGTGCAGCACACCAGCATGGCACATGTATACATATGTAACTAACCTGCACATTGTGCACATGTACCCTAAAACTTAAAGTATAATAATAATAATAATAATAATAATAATAATAATAATAAATATATATTAAAAAAAAGAAAAAAAAGTGTTCCCTTTTCTTCACAATTTCGCCAGCATCTGTTATTTATTGATGTTTTAATAATAGCCATTCTGGCTTGTGTGAGATGGTATCTCATTGTGGTTTTGATTTGCATTTCTCTAATGATTAGTGATGTCAAGCATTTTTTTAATATGCTTATTGGCTACATGTATATCTTCTTTTGAAAAATGTCTGTTCATGTCCTTTTCCCACTTTTTAATGGGGCTGTTGTAAATTTGTTTAAGTTCCTTATAGATTCTGGATATTAGATCTTTGTCAGATGCATAGTTTGCAAATATTTTCTCCCATTCTTTAGGATGTCTGTTTATTCTGTTGACAGTTTCTTTTGCTGTGTAGAAGGTTTTCAGCTTAATTAGATTCCATTTGTCAACTTTTGTTTTTCTTGCAATTGCTTTTGGCATTTTTGTTGTGAAATCTTTGCCAAGTCCTGTGTCCAGAATGGTATTTCCTAGATTATCTGCCAAGGTTCTTATAGTTTTAAGTTTTATATTTAAGTTTTTAACCCATCTTGAGTGGATTTTTGTATGTGGTGTTAGGTAGGTGTCCAGCTTCAATATTCTGCATATGGCTAGCCAGTTATCACTGCACCATTTATTGATGGAGGAGTCCTGTTTCTGTCAGCTTTGTTGAACAACAGATGGTTGTAGGTGTACAACATTATTTCTGGGCTTTATATTCTCTTCCAATGGTCTATGTGTCTGTTTTTGTACCAGTACCATGCTGTTTTGGTTACTGTAGCCCTGTAGTATAATTTGAAGTCAGGTAACATGATGCCTCCAGCTTTGTTCTTTTTGCTTAGAATTGCGTTGGTTATTCAGGCTCTTTTTTGATTCCATATGAATTTTTAAATTTTTTTTTTCTAATTCTGTGAAGAATGTCATTGGTAGTTTGATAGGAATAGCATCGAACCTGTAAATTGCTTTGGGGAGTATGGCCATTTTTATTATATTGATTCTTCCTATCTATGAGCACGGAATGCTTTTTCATTTGTTTGTGTCATCTCTGATTTATTTGACAAGTGTTTTGTAATTGTTGTGGAGATTTTTCATCTCCCTGGTTAGCTATATTCCTATGTATTTTATTCTTTTTGTGACAATTATGAATGGGATTACGTTCTTGATTTGGCTCTCAGCATGGATGTTGTTGGTGTATAGGAAGGCTACTGATTTTTATACATTGATTTTGTATCCTGAAACTTGCTGAAGTTGTTTTCAGCTCAAGGAGCTTTTGGGTAGAGACTATGGGGTTCCCTAGATATGGAATCATTCATTTACAAACAGAGATAGTTTAACTTCCTCTATTCCTATTTGGATACCTTTTATTTCTTTCTCTTAATTTCTCTGGCTAGGACTTCTAATACTATTTTGAATTGGAGTAGTGAGAGAGGGCATCCTTGTCTTGTGCTGGTTTTCAAGGGGTGCTTGTACTTCTGGCTTTTGCCCATTTAGTGTGATGCTGGCTGTCGGTTTGTCATAGGTGGTTCTTAATATTTTAAAGTATGTTCCTTCAGTGCCTAGTTTATTGAGGGTTTTTAACACGAAGCGATGTTGAGTTTTATCAAAAGCCTTTTCTGCATCTGTTGAGATAATTGTGTGGTTTTTGTTTTTACTTCTCTAAATGTAAATGAATTACATTTACTGATTTGCACATGTTGAGCCAACCTTGTATCTCAAAGATAAAGCCTACTTGACTGTGGTGGATAAGCTTTTTCATGTGCTGCTGGATTCAGCTTGCAGTGTTTTGTTGAGGACTTTTGCATCTATGTTTATCAAGGACATTGGCCTAAAGGTTTCTTTTTTTGTTGTGTCTCTGCCAGGGATTGGTATTGGGATGATGCTAGGTAATTTATAAAGGAACTCACTCCTGATGGGAGATGATTGGATCATGCGGGCAGTTTCTGCATACTGTTCTCATGATAGTGAGTGAGTTCTCACGAGATCTGAGGGTTGTAGAAGTATGTGACAATTCCTCCTTCACACACTTTCTCTCTCTCCTGCAGCCTTGTGAAGAAGGTGACTGCTTCCCCTCCTGCCATGATTGCAAGTTTCCTGAGGCCTCCCAAGCCATGCAGAACTGTGAGTAAATTAAACCCCTTCCTTTATAAATTACCTAGCCTCATGTATGTCTATAGCAGTGTGACAATGGACTAATACAAGAAGGGACTCCTCCCACCTCATTCTATAAGGTTAGCATCATGTGGGGATTATGGGGATTACAGTTTGAGATGAGATTTGGTTGAGGTCACAGAGATAAACCATATCACTCCTTCTCAGTTTTTTAGAATAGTTTCAGTAGGAATGGTATCAGCTTTTCTTTGTACATCTGGTAGAATTCAGCTGTAAATTCGTCTGGTCCCAGACTTTGTTTTGGTTGGTAAGCTTTTTATTACTGATTCAATTTTGGAACTCATTATTGGTTTGTTCAGGGATTCAGTTTCCTCCTGGTTCAGTCTTGGGAGGTTGTATGTGTCTAGGAAATTATCCATTTCTTCTAGATTTTTTAGTTTGTGTGCATAGAGGTGTTCATAGTAGTCTCTGATATTTTTTCCTGTGGGATCAGTGGTAATGCCCTCTTTGTCACTTCTAATTGTGTTTATTTGGATATTCTCTCTTTTTTTTCTTTATTAGTCTAGCTAGCAGTCTATCTAATTAATCTTTTTCAAAGAACCACCTTCTGTATTCATTGATCTTTTGTATGGTTTTTTATGTCTCAATTTCCTTTGGCTCAGCTCTGATTTTGGTTATTTCTTGTCTTCTGCTAGCTTTAGAGTTAGTTTGCTCTTGCTTCTCTAGTTCTTCTAGTTGTGATGTTAGGTTGTTAATTTGAGATCTTTCTAACTTTTTGAAATAGGGATTTAGATCTATAAACTCCCACTTAATACTGCCTTAGTTGTGTCCCAGAGATATTAGTATGTTGTATCTTTTTCTCATTAGTTTCAAAGAATTTCTTGATTTCTTCCTTGATTTCATTGTTTACCCCAAAATCACTCAGGAGCAAGTTGTTTAATTTTCACTTAACTATATCGTTTTGAGTGATTTTCTTGGCATTGATTTCTACTTTTATTGTGCTGTGGTCTGATAGTGTGGTTGGTCTGACTTCATTTTTTTGAATTTGCTAAGTACTGTTTTATGTCCAATTGTGTGGTTGATTTTGGAGTATGTGCCATGTGGCAATGAAAAGAATGTATATTCTGTTGGCTTATAGGATTTCTGCTGAAAGGTCCATTGTTAGCTTGATGGGGATCCCTTTGTAAGTGACCTGCCCCTTCTCTCTAGGTGCCTTTAACATTTTTTCTTTCATTTGGACCTGTGGGGGTCCAACCCACAGACCCTGACCTAGTGATGGATGAAAGACGTACACTGACACAGATATTTTCTCTGTCAGTCTGGCTAAGAGGCTCTGCTCTGAGTGTGGAGCATTGCCTCAATAAGCCGGTGAAGTTCACATTTATTTAGCACAGATTAAATGACAAAAGTCTCAAGTAAACACCATTAGAGGGTAATTAATATTGCCGACCCCCCGAGTAGAGAGCAATTATGCACCCATGGTTGATCAAAGGTTGGTCTTAGGACCACATAAATAAGCTATTTAGATAAATGCCCCACATTCCCTTGATATTTGCTTTTTTTGCTATCAACAAAGGCAAAGAGGATTAGGCTGCCTTCAGCCAAATCTGTTACTGAAGCCATGCAAACCCCCTGGCCTTCCAAGAAACTTTGTGTCTATTCCCTATAACTATATCTATAATTTTTTCCAACCACACTGATTGATCCCCTACATGGACTCTCGAGGGGGGTGTCTCACTCACTCACCCTTTCCTATATGGATAGGTTCTCCTGGCTCTGTGCTGAGCCCAGAGAGGCTGGTGCCCAGCTTTGCTCTTCTCTGCTCTCTGTGTTCCCTTGCTGCCTGGATGGAACCCACCGTGGTTTCTCAGATGATCTGCCTGTAGGGTCAGTGTTCATTAGTTCTTTTCTTTACACTCCATGACAGCAATACACAAGAGCTGCTTCTAGCCCACCATCTTGGCACTGCCCTACATTAAGTCTTAATTCCTCAGGCTTTATTCTTTTTTTCCGAGGATTATTTTAACTACTACAGTTCCTTTGTATTACTATAAAACTTTGGAATAGTCTCGTTTATATCTATAAAAAATCTTGCTGGGATTTGGATACGAATTGTGTAAAACCTATACACAGTTTAGGAAGTTCCTATCAGTTTAGGAAGAATTGTCATTTTTACTATGTCGAGTTTTCCAATCTGTGAACATGGTATCTCTTCATTTATCTAGTTATTCTTTTATTTCTTTCATGAATTTTATGTAGTTTTCAGAATAAAAGTCCAATATAGACTTAGTTAGACTTACATCTGAGTATTACGTTTTCTGAATGATTGTAAATGGTATTATATTTTAAATGTGGATGTCCATGCATTCCTAGTGAGTATAGAAAATGCAATTGATTTTTTGGGTGTAGATCTTGTATCTTTTTTTTTTTTGAGACAGAGTCTCACACTGTTGACTGGGCTAGAGTGCAGTGGCACAATCTCAGCTCACTGCAACCTCTGCCTCCCAGGTTCAAGCGATTCTCCTGCCTCAGCCTCCCTAGTAGCTGGGATTACAGTCATCCGCCACCACGCCCAGCTAATTTTTTGTATTTTTTTAGTAGAGACGGAGTTTCACCATGTTGGCCAGGCTGGTCTCGAACTCCTGACCTTGTGATTTGCCCGCCTTGGCCTCCCAAAGTGTTGGGATTACAGGCATGAGCCACCACGCCTGGCCAGATCTTGCATGTTGTGACTTTGATAAACTCACTTTGTAGTTCTAAGAGTTTTTGGTAGATTTTTTGGGATTTTTCTATATATTATAGGAAATCGTGTTATCTGAAAATAGAAACTCCCTTCCTTCCTTCCTTCCTACCTTCCTTCCTTCTTTCTTTCTTTTTCTTTTTCTTCTTACATATATGCTTTTCTTTTCTTTTTCTTTTTTTTTTTGGCTTTATTGCACTGTCTAGAACTTCCAGAACTATGTTGAATAAGAGCTGTGAGAGCATTTATTCTTGCCTTGTTTCCAACCTTAGGGGAAAAGCATTCGGTCTTTTGCTATTAAGTATAATGTTAGCTGTAGGTCTTTTGTAGATGTTCTTTATCAAGTTGAGGAAGTTCCTGTTCTTCCGACTTTCTGAGAGTTTTTTGTCATAAGTAGATGTTGACTTTTGTCAAATGTCTTTTCCTACATCAATTGATATCATCATGTGACTTACTTTTTAGCCTGTTAATATGGCATATCACTTTTAATAATTTTTGAATCAGAAATCTGCCTTGCATTCTTGGGATAAACCCCACTTGGTTATGTTGTATAATTCTTTTAATATATTTGCTAACACTTTGTTTGTTAAATTTTTTTGTCTATATTCAGAAGGAATATTGACCTATAGTTGTCTTTTTTTGTACTATCTGTTTGGCTTTGGTATCAAGGTAGAACTAGCTTTATACATTCAATTGGGAGTATGCTCTTCTTTTCTGTTTTTTGGAAGAGATTGTGTGGAATTAGTGTTAATTCTTCTTTAAATGTTTGGTAGAATCCTCAAGTAAATTTATTTGGGCCTGGAGATATCCTTTTTGGGAGTTTTTTTTAACATTATGAATTTCATTTATTTAATAGTTATAGGGCTATTGAAATAATCTATTTCATATTGGATGAGTTGTGGTAATATATGTTTTTAGATGAAATAGATCACTTCCTCAAAGTCATCAAATGTATGCGTGTATTCACAGTATTCTGTTATTCTCCTTTCAATCCCCTGTATTATTCCTGATGTTTCTAGTTCTGCTAGTCTAGTTGCGTTTATCTATTTTCTGATCTTGTCAAAGAACCAACTCTTTTTTCATTAAAAAGAGTTTATTTCTGTGTATATTATTTTCTGTTTTAAATTTCACTGATTTTTAAAATCTTATCTTTATTATTTCACTCCTTCTTTTGCTCTGGGATTCTTCTTCCTTTTCTAGGTTCTTGAGGTAAAAGTTTAGATTATTTACTCAAGAGTTTTTCTTTCTTCAGATGTATGCATTTAGTGCTGTAAGTTTCCTTTTCAGTTTTAGCTGTGTCCCAGACATTTTATGTTGGATTTTCACTTTCATTCAGTTTAATGTATTTTTAATTTTTCTTGAGACTTCCTTTTTTGATTTATGGATTATTTAGATGTATATTGCTTAGTTTCTAAGTATTTGGAAGTTTTCCTCTCATCTTCTGCTTTTGGTCCTCTGACCACATACATATTCTGTATGATTTTATTTTTTAAAAACTGTTGAGGTTTGTTTTATGGCATAGGACATAGCATATCTTGGTGTATGTTTGGTGGGCACTTACAAAGAATGTGTATTCTGTTGTTGGGGTGAGTGTTCTAAAAATGTCAGTTAGAACTTATTTGTTTGTAGTTAATATGATTTGGCTCTGTGTCCCCACCCAAATCTCACCTTCAATTGTAATGCCCATAATCCCCACTTGTCAAGGGCATGACCAGATAAAGGTAATTAAATCACGGGGGTGGTTTTGCCCATGCTGTTCTCGTGATAATGAGTGAGTCTCATGAGATCTGATGGTTTTATAAGCATCTGGCATTTTCCCTGCTTGCATTCACTGTGTCCAGCCATCTGTGAAGAAGGTGCCTGTTTCTCCTTTGCCTTCCACCATGATTGTAAGTTTCCTCAGGCCTCCCCAGCAATGTGGAACTGTGAGTCAATTAAACCTCTTTCCTTTATAAATTATCCAGTCATGGGCAGTTCTTTATAGAAGTGTGAAAACAGACTAATACAGTAAATTGGTACTTCAGACAGTGGGGTACTGCTACAAAGATATCTGAAAATGTGGAAGTGACCTTGTAACTGGGTAATAGGCAGAGGTTGGAACAGTTTGGAGGGCTCAATAAAAGAAAGAAATATGCAGGAAAGTTTGGAACATCCTAGAGAATTGTTGAATGGCTTTGACCAAAATGCTGATAGTGATATGGACAATGAAGTCCAGGCAGAGGTGGTCTCAGATGGAGAGGAGAAACTTGTTGGGAACTGGGATAAAGGTGACTCTTTCTATGCTTTAACAAAGAGACTGGTGACATTTAGCCCCTGCCCTACAGTTCTGTGGAACTTTGAACCTGACAGAGATGATTTAGGGTATCTGGTGGAAGAAATTTCTAAGAAGCAAAGCGTTCAAGAGGGAGCAAAGCATAAAAGTTTGGAAAATTTGCAGCCTGGCCGTGATGTAGAAAATAAAAACCTGTGTTCTGGGGAGAAATTCCAGCCAGCTGCAGAAATTTGCATAAGTAATGAGAAGCCAAATGTTAATCATCAAGACAATGGGGAAAATGTCTCCAGGGCATGTCAGAGGTCTTCAGGGAGCCCCTTCCATCACAGACCCAGAGGTCTAGAAGGGAAAAATCAGTTCGTGGGCCAGGCCCAGGGCCTTGATGGTTTGTGCAGTTTGGGGACTTGATGCCCTGCATTCCAGCTGTGGCTAAAAAGGGCTGACGTACAGCTCAGGCCATTGCCTCAGAGGGTGCAAGCCCTAAGTCTTGGCAGCCTATATGTGTTGTTGGTCCTCCAGGTGCACAGAAGTCAAGAATTCAGGTTTGGGAACCTCTGCCTATATTTCAGAGGGTATATGGAAATGCCTGGATGTCCAGGCAAAAGTTTGCTCCAGGGGCAGAGCTCTCAGGGAGAACCTCTGTTAGGGCAGTGCAGAAGGGAAATATGGGGTCAGGGCCCCCACACAGAGTCCCCATGAGGGGTCTGCCTAGTGGAGCTGTGGGAAGAGGGCCACCATCCTCCAGACCCCAGAATGGCAGATCCACCGACAGTTTGCACTGTACTCCTGAAAAAGCCACAGACACTCAACACAAGCTCATGAAAGTACCTGGGATGGGGGCTGTATCCTGTAAAGCCACAGGGGCAGAGCTGGCCCAAGACCATGGGAGCCCACCCCTTGCATCAGCTTGACATGGATATGAGACATGGAGTCAAAGGAGATCATTTTGGAACTTCAGGCTTTAATGACTGCCCTATTGAATTTTGGACTTGCATGGGGCCTGTAGCTCCTTTGTTTTGGCCAATTTCTCCCATTTGGAACAGGAGCATTTATCCGATGCCTATACCTCCATTGTATCTAGGAAGTAATTAGCTTGGTTAATTTTACAAGCCCATAGGCCGAAGGGACATGCCTTGTCTCAGATGAGACTTTGGACTGTGGACATTTGAGTTAATGCTGAAATGAGTTAAGACTTTGGGTAACTGTTGGGAAGGCATAGTTGGTTTTGAAATGTGAAAAGACATGAGATTTGGGAAGGGCCAGGAGGGGAATGACATGGTTTGGCTCTGTGTCCCCACCCAAATATCACCTTGAATTGTAATCTCCTGATATGGTCTGGCTGTGTCCCTACCCAAATCTCATCTTGAATTGTAACTCCCACAATTCTCAAATGTCATGGGAGGAACCTGGTGGGAGGTGATTGAATTATGGGGGCAGGTCTTTCCTGTGCTGTTCTTATGATAGCAAATGAGTCTCACGAGATCTGATGGTTTTAAAAACAGGAGTTTCTCTGCATAAGCTCTCTCTTGTCTGCCACCATGTGAGACATGCCTTTCACCTTCCACCATGATCGTTAGGCCTCCCCAGCCATGTGGAACTGTAAGTCCAATAAACCTCTTTCTTTTATAAATTGCCCAATCTTGGATATGTCATTATCAGCAGTGTGAAAACGGACTAGTACAGTAAATTGGCCAGTAGAATAAGGTGTTGGTGAAAAGATGCCTGAAAATGTGGAAGTGACTTTGAAGCTGGGTAACAGGCAGAGGTTGAAAGAGTTTGGAGGGCTCAGAATAAGACAGGAAAATGTGGAAAGTTTGGAACTTCATAGAGACCTGTTGAATGGCTTTGCCCAAAATGCTGATAGTGATATGGACAATAAAGCCCAGGCTGAGGTGGTATCAGATGGAAATGAGGAACTTGTTGGGAACTGGAGCTAAGATGACTCTTGTTATATTTTAGTGAAGAGACTGGTGGCATTTTGCCCCTTCCCTAGAGATTTGTGAAACTATGTACTTGAGGGAGATGATTTAGGGTATCTAGCAGAAGAAATTTCTAAGCAGCAAAGCATTCAAGATGTGACTTGGGTGCTGTTAAAGGCATTCAGTTTCAAAAGGGAAACAGAGCATAAAAATTTGGAAAATGCATGGCCTGACAATGCAATGGAAAGAAAAATTCTATTCTCTGAGGAGAAATTCAAGCTAGCTGCAGAAATTTGCATAAGTAACGAGGAGCCAAACGTTAATCCCCAAGACAATGGGGAAAATGTCTGCAGAGCATGTCAGAGACCTTTGTAGCAGCCCTGCCCATTACAGGCCTGGAGGCCTAGGAGGAAAAGTTGGTTTTGTGGGCCAGGCCCAGGATCCCCATGCTGTGTGCAGCCTAGAGATTTGGTGCCCTGTGTCCCTGCCACTGCAGCCATGGCTGAAAGGGGCCAATGTGGAGCTTGGACTGTGGCTTCAGAGGGTGCAACCCTCAAGCCTTGGTAGCTTCCATGTGGTGTTGAGCCTGTGAGTGCACAGAAGTCAAGAATTGAGGTTTGGAAACCTCTGCATAGATTTCAGAAGATGTATGGAAATACCTGGATGCTCAGGCAGAAGTTTGCTATAGGGGTGGGGTTCTCATGGAGAACCTCTGCTAGAGCAGTGCAGAAGGGAAATGTGGGATGGGAGCCCCCACACAGAGTCTGTACTGGGGCACCACCTAATGGAGCTGTGAGAAGAGGGCCACCATCCGCCAGACCCCAGAATGGTAGATCCACTGACAGCTTGCACCATGCTTCTGGAAAAAACCACAGACATTCAATGCCAGTCCATGAAGGCAGTCAGGAGGGAGGCTGCCTGCCTGCAAAACCATAGGGGCGGAGCTTCCCAAGACCATGGGAACCCACCTCTTATATCAGTAAGACCTGGATGTGAGACGTGGAGTCAAAGGAGATCATTTTGGAGCTTTAAGATTTGACTGTCCCTAGGTTCTTGGAGGCTGCAGCTTTAAGTGAAATTGTATACCCTATAAAGAAATCAATTTACCATAGGTTAGTTGATATAAACAAGAGTTAAGTTCTTATGGCAGATAGCGTGTTGTTTCACTTAAAAGCCTCAGTTTCCGCGAACCTATCGACAACATTAACTGAGAACTTATTTTAAAGCAGGTTTTGAATGTGTTATCAAAATGGTAAAGAATATTTAATAAATTATCAAAATCAAGTGATGGTCATCAAAAGAGACATATAAATAGCTGACTGCTACAAATATGTTTGTATGACTTTTGGACTAAACTAAAACAATAAGTATAAAATGTATTAAGCACAGCCAAAGATGTACTTTTTTTCCATCTGGATCTGTGAATTTTAGGAGGGATCTTTTTTTGCTGTCATAGCCATTAAATCCAAGTACTTGTATATCATGCCCTTAAAATTAAGACTATGAATCACTGTGTCACAAAGTACTAAACCAACATTTCAAATATAATGAAGCACATTCAATAATATTGCTATGTTTAAACATATGAATACTTACAATGTTTTTCATAAAAGTAAAAGGGTTTATTATTACTAAATTAACTTTAAATTACTCCAACATAAAATAAAATGAAACATCTGTTAAAAAAAAAAGACTTGACTGTCCCTTTGGATTTGGGACTTGCATGGGGCCTGTAGCCTCTTTGTTTTGGCCAGTTTCTCCCATTTGTAAGAGGAGCATTCATTCAATGTCTGTATCCCCATTGTATCTAAGAAGTAGCTAATTTGCTTTTGATTTTACAGGCTCATAGGTAGAAGGGAGTTGCCTTGTCTTGGATGAGACTTTGGACTGTGGACTTTTGAGTTAATGCTGAAATGAGTTGAGACTTTGGGGGACTGTTGGGAAGGCATGATTAGTTTCGAAATGTGAAGATATGAGATTTGGTTGGGGCCGGGGTGGAATGATATGGTTTGGCTCTGTCCCCACCCAAATCTCTTCTTCATTGTAACTTCCACAATGTGGGAGGAACCTGGTGGGAGGTGATTGAATTATGAGGGTAGGTATTTCCTGCACTGTTCTCATGATAGTGAATGACTCTCATGAGATCTGGTGGTTTTAAAAATGGAAGTTTCTCTGCACAAGCTCTCTCTTTGCCTGCCACCATTCACATAAAATGTGATTTGCTCCTCCTTGCCTTTTGCTGTGATTGTGAGGCCTCCCCAGCCATGTGGAACTGTGAGTCCAATTAAACCTCTGTCTTTTGTAAATTGCCCAGTCTCGGATATGTCTTTATCAGCAGCCTGAAAGGGGACTAATACATTCCCCTAATTTCTACTTGTTAAGGGCAGGACCAGGTGGAGGTAATTGAATCATGGGGGCAGTTTCCCTCATGCTGTTCTCATGATAATGAGTGAGTCTCATGAGATCCGATGGTTTTATAAGTGTCTGGCATTTCCCGTGCTTGCACTCACCCTGTTCTGCCACCCTGTGAAGAAGGTTCCTGCTTCTCCTTTGCCTTCCACCATGATTGTAAGTTTCCTGAAGCCTCCCCAGCAATGTGGAACTGTGAGTCAATTAAACCTCTTTTCTTTATAAATTACCCAGTCTCAGGCAGTTCTTTATAGCAATATGAGAATGGATTAATACAGTAATGTTTTGATTTTTCATATCTTAGCTGATTTCTTTCTGGTTATTTTATCAATTGTTGAAAGAAGGGTGTTAAAGTTTCCAACTATTTTTATGGATTTGTCTATTATTCTGTCCAGTTGTATCAGTAGTATTTCACATATTTGGAGTTCTGTTGTTTGGTATATACATGCTTAGGATTTCTATGGGCCATGTAAAAAATACTTTGCCAATTTATGTCTTTTAATTCATATAATTAGATTATTTACATTTAATGCAATTGTTGATATGTTGGAGGTTAAATCTATAAATTTTGTTTTTTCTTTCCATCTTTCATTTGTTGTATTTACCTGTCAGTTAATTGACCATTAAAAATTCAATTTTAATCTATTAGTAGTGTTTTTGAGTATATCTCTTTGTATCTTTTCACAGGTTTTTGAGTGGTTGCTCTAGGCATTATATTATACATACACGACTATCAGAGTCTACTGGTATCATCATTTTACCACTTCAAGTGAAGTGTCAAAATTTTACCTACCTTATGCTCTTTTACCTTCCCCTATTTATAGCATAATTACATTAAATATTTCCTTTATACACATTCAGAACCAGATCCGACAGTGTAATGTTTGCTTTATCAATCAAATATAGTTTAGAAAACTCAAAAGAAGGAAAGCCTATTATATTTACTTATAATTTTGTTTACCCCTTTTTTTCTTTATTTCTGGTTGTATTAGTTGCTGCTGTAACAGATTACCCCAAACTTGATGGCTTAAGACAAAGCAATTTTTTATTATCTTATAGTTCTGGAGGTCAGAAGTCTAAAATGGGTTGACAGGGCTACATTTCTTTTGAAGAATTTAGCAGAGTACCTGCTCCTTTGCTGATTGTTGTAATGGAGCGAATCTGTTCTCTTGCCTTTTCTAGCTTTTAGAGGCCACCTGTATTCCACGGCTTATGATCCCTTCTTCCACGTGAAAGCCATCAGTGTAGCATCTTTAAATCCTCCTCTTTCTTTCTGCTTCCATTCTCACAGTTTTTTCTATTCTCTCTCTCCTGCCTCCCTCCTAAAGGGACCTCTATAATTATATTAAGCCCATCTGGGCAATCCAGGATAATCTCATCTCAATATCCTTAATTCAATTACATCTGAAAAGTTCTTTTCATTATGTAAAGTAACATGTTCACAGGTTCCTAGGATTAGGATGCAGACATCTTTGGGAGGCCATTATTCTTTTTACCACAATGATATTCCAAGTGTAATCTTTTTTTCATTGCCTTTCTGTTTAGAGAACTTTTAGCAGAGAAAGGGTAGATTACTCTTTCTAGGGTGACAAATTCTCCTACTTTTCCTTCATCTGAGAATGTCTTGGTTTGCCCTTTATTCCTTAAGGAAATTTTCACTGGCTGTAGGATTCTAAGTTGACAGTTCTTTTCTTTCAGTGGCTGAAAACTTTGTCACTCCTTTCTGGCATCCATGGTTTCTGAATGAAAAACTCTCTGTCATAGAAGTTGCTTTTCCGCCATAGGGTATAGTTTCCTTACTATCTTATGTGCCCAGGCACTTTTTGTACATTTCCTGCCCCAGACACACCTGGAATCAGCTATTTCTCCAAGAAACCCTGGTTTCTTCTAATGAGGAATGTTGCTTCACAGTGACAGTTGGGTGCTAGGGAATGCTCCTTGCCACTGGGCCTGGAATACAACCAACGTTTTCTCTTTTTTGTTGTTGTTCATTTTTTAAAAAAATTTTATTTTAGGTTTTGGGGTACACGTGAAGGTTTTTTACATAGGTAAACATGTCACAGGTTTGTTATACATATTATTTCATTACCCGGGTATTAAGCCCAGTACCCAATAGTTGTCTTTTTTGTTCCTCTTCTTCCTCCCACCCTTCCCCTTCAAGTAAATCCCAGTGTCTGTTGTTTTCTTCTTTGTGTTTACAGGTTCTTATCATTTAGCTCCCACTTATAAGTGAGAACATGCAGTATTTGGTTTTCTGCTCCTGCATGAGTGAGATGGTTTGGCTTTGTTTCTCCACTGAAATCTCATCTTTAATTGTAACCCCATGTATTGAGGGACTTGGTGGGAGGTGACTGGATCATGGGGGAGTTTTCTCCCATGCTGTTCTTGTGATAGTGAGGGAGTTCTCGTGAGATCTCATATTTTAAAAGTGGCAATTTCCCCTGCCTGCTCTTTTTCTCCCACTGCCATGTATGAAGGTACTTGCTTCTCCTTAGTCTTCCATCATGATTGTAAGTTTCCTGTGGCCTCCATAGCCATGTGGAACTGTGAGTCAATTAAGCCACTTTTCTTTATAAATTACACAGTCTCAAGCAGTATCTTTATAGCAGTATGAAAACAGACTAATACAGAAAATTGGTACCAGGAGAGGGGTATGCTCTAAAGATAACCTGAAAATATGGAATTGACTGTGGAACTGAGTAATGGGCAGAGGTTGGAACAATTTGGAGGGCTCAGAAGAAGACAGAAAAATGTGTGAAAGTTTGAAAGTTCCTAGAATCTTGTTGAATGGTTTTGATCAAAATGCTGATAGTAATATGGACAGTGCCAGGCTTAGGTGGTCTCAGATGGAGATGAGGAACTTCTTAGGAACTGGAGCAAATGTCACTCTTGCTATGCTTTAGTTGGTGGCATTTTGCCCCTGCCCTAGAGATCTGTGGAACTTTGAACATAAGAGAGATGATTTAGGGTATCTGGTGGAAGAAATTTCTAAGCAGAAAAGCATTCAAGAGGTAACCTGGCTGATTCTGAAAACATTCAGTCATATGTGCTCACAAAGAGATTATCTGAAACTGGAACTTTTATTTAAAAGAGAAGCAGAGCATAAAAGTTTGGAAAATTTGCAGCCTGTCCATGAAATAGAAAAGAAAAACCCATTTTCTGGGGAGAAATTCAAGCCACCTGCAGAAATTTGCATAAGTAAGAGGAACAGAATGTTAATCCCCAAGACAGTGGGGAAAATGTCTCCAGGGCATTTCCAAGATCTTCATGGCAGCCCCTCCCATCACAGGCCCAAAGGCCTAGGAGGAGAAAATGGTTTTGTGGGCTGGTCCCAGGGCCCTGCTTCTCTGTGCAGCCTGGGAACTTGGTGCCCTGTGTCCCAGCCACTCTGGCTCCAGCCAAGGCTAAAAGGGGCCAACGTACAGCTCAGGCCATTGCTTCAGATGGTGCAAGCCCCAGGCTAGGTGGCTTCCATGTGGTGTTAGGCCTGTGAGTGTGCAGAAGACAAGAGGTGAGGTTTGAGAACCTCTGCCTAGATTTCAGAGGATTTATGGAAATGCCTGGATGTCAAGGCAGAAGTCTGCTGCAGGGGTAGAGTCCTCATGGAGAACCTCTACTAGGATAATGCAGAGGGGAAATGTGGAGTTGGAGCTCCCACACAGGGTCTCCACTGGGGGACTGCCTAGTGGAGCTGTGAGAAGAGGGCCACAGTTCTTCAGTCTGCAGAATGGTAGATCCACTGATATCTTGCACTGTGCACCTGAAAAAGCTGCAGGCACTTAACGCCAGCCCATGAAAACAGCCTCAGGAGCTATGCCATGCAGAGCCACAGGGGCAGAGCTGTCCTAGGCATTAGGAGCCCACCCCTTGCATCGGTGTGCCCTGGATGTGAGACATGGAGTCAAAGGAGATTATTTTGGAGATCTAAGATTTAGTGAATGTCCTGCTGGGTTTTGGACTTGCATGGTGCCTGGGACCCTTTGTTTTGGCCAATTTCTCCCACTTGCAATGGGAACATTTGCCCGACGCTTGTACTCCCATTGTATCTTGGAAGTAACTAACTTGTTTGTGATTTAATAGGCTTATAGGCAGAAGGGACATTCCTTGTCTCAGATAAGACTTTGGACTTGGACTTTTGAGTTAATGCTGGAATGAGTTAAGACTTTGGGGAACTGTTAGGAAGGCAAGATTGGTTTTGAAATGTGAAAAGGACATAAGATTTGGGAGGGGCTGTGGTGGAATGATATGGTTTGGCTTTGTGTTTCCACCCAAATCTCATCTCAAATTGTAATGTCCACATGTTGAGGGAGGGACGTGCTGGGAGGTGATTTGATCATGGGGGTGGTTTTCCCCATGCTGTTCTTGTGATAGTGAGGTGTTCTTACGAGATCTGATTGTTTAAAAGTGGCAGTTTTCCCTCTCTCTCTCTCTTCTGCCACCATGCAAGAAGGTGCTTGCTTCCCTTTTGCCTTCTGCCATAATTGTAAGTTTCCTAAGGTCTTCCCAGCTATGCAGAACTGTGAGCCTATTAAGCCTCTTTACTCAGTCTCAGACAGTATCATTATAGCAGTGTATGGACTAATACAGTTACTTTGCTAAATATGATAGCCTCCTGCTTCATCAATGTTCCCACAAAAGACACAATCTCATTCTTTTTTATGGCTGCATGATATTCCATGGTGTATGTATACCACATTTTCTTTATCCAGTCTGTCATTGATGGGCATTTAGGTTATTCCATGTCTTTGCTACTGTAAATAGTGCTGCAATGAACATTCGTTTGCATGTGTCTTTATGCTAGAATGCTTTATGCTCCTCTCGGTAAATATCCAGTAATGGAATTGCTGGGTTAAATGGTAGTTCTGCTTTTAGCTCTTTGAGGACTTGCCATACCGCTTTCCCCAATGGTTGAACTAATTTACATTCCCACCAACAGTGTATAAGTGTTCCCTTTTCTCCACAACTTCATCAACATCTGTTATTTTTTGACATTTCAATAACAGCCATTCTGATTGGTGTGAGATTATATTTCATTGTGGTTTTGATTTGCATTTCTCTAATGATCAGTGATATTGAGATTTTTTTCATATGCTTGTTGACTGCATGTATGTCTTCTTTTGAGAAATGTCTGTTCATGCCTTTGCCACATTTTAATGGGGACTTGTCTCGGATGAGACTGAGACTTTTTTTCTTGTAAATTTGTTTAAGTTCCTTATAGATGTTGGATATTAGACCTTTGTCAGATACATAGTTTGCAAATATTTTCTCCCATTCTGTAGGTTTTCTGTTTACTCTGTTGATAGTTTCTTTTGCTGTGCAGAAGCTATTGAGTTTATTTAGATTCTACTTGTCAATTTTTGCCTTTGTTACAATTGCTTTTGGTGTTCTTGTCATGAAATCTTTGCCAAATCCTATGTCCAGGATGGTATTGTCTAGGTTGCCTTCCAAGGTTTTTATAGTTTTGGGTTTTACATTTAAGTATTTAATCCATTGTGAGTTGACTTTTGTATATGGTGTAAGGAAAGGGTCTAGCTTCAATCTTCTGCATATGGTTAACCAGTTATCCCGGCACCATTTATTGAATAGAGAGTCTTTTTCCCATTGTTTGTTTTTGTCAGCTTTGTCAAAGATCAGATGGTCATAGATGTGCAACCTTATTTCTGGGCTCTCCATTCTTTTCCATTGGTCTATTTGCCTGTTTTTGTACCATTACCATGCTGTTTTGGTTACTGTATCCTTGTAGTATAGTTTGAAGTCAGGTAACATGATGCCTACAGCTTTGTTCTTTTTGCTTAGGATTGCCTTGGCTATTCATGCTCTTTTTTTGGTTCCATATACATTTAAAAATATTTTTTCTAGTTCTGTGAAGAATGTTATTGGTAGTTTGACAGGACTAGCATTGAACCTGTAAATTGCTTTGGGCAGTATAGCCATTTTAATGATACTGATTTTTCCTATCCATGAGCCTGGAATTTTTTTTTTATTTGTGTCATCTCTGATTTTTTTGAGCAGTGTTTTGTAATTCTCATGGTAGAGATCTTTTACTTCCCTGGTTAGCTATATTTCTAGGTATTTTGTGTGTGTGGCAATTATAAATGAGATTGCCTTTCTGATTTGGCTCTTGGTTTGACTGTTGTTGGTGTATAGGAATGGTAATGATTTTTGTACATTGATTTTGTATCCTGCAATTTTGCTGAAGTTGTTTATCAGCTGAAGGGGCTTTTGGGCTAAGACTATGAGGTTTTCTAGATACAGAATCATGTCGTCTGCAAACAGAGATAGTTTGACTTCGTCTCTTCCTATTTGCACGTTCTTTATTTCTTTCTCTGATTGCCTGGTTACTCTGGCTAGGACTTCTAATACTATGTTAAACAGAATATAACCAGTGTTTTCAATGGGGCATGTAGCTACAATCTTGAATTTTGCTAATCACCAATGCAGAGAAAAAGGGGACTTTGGAGGGTTTTTACATCTGCAACTAAATGCTCTGTCATAGAGTGATGCATGTTACTTCCATTCCTAACTCATTGGCCAGGACTAGTTGCCTGGCCTTATCCAATCATAAGGGGCCCAAGAAATGCACTCCTATCATGAATCTTGGAAGCA
Organism: Homo sapiens; assembly: GCF_000001405.40. Lineage (NCBI taxonomy): Eukaryota > Metazoa > Chordata > Mammalia > Primates > Hominidae > Homo > Homo sapiens. Next base: position 13,859,045 of record NC_000001.11, read on the forward strand.
AAAATGGAAAATATTTGAATGGTAGTAATGTACCTCACAGTACGAGAACCCCATATGCAGCCTGGTCTAATCAATTAGACATCAAATTAATGTTTAGAAAATGTATTGAATCAGAACTGAAAGTGGTAGGGACAAACACAATGTTTGAAGTCAGATCTATGTTTGAATCTTGATTCCTCTGCTACCTAGTTCTGTTTCCCTGAATGAGTTATATATTGTCTCTTTCCGTATTTGAACTGGAGATGATGATTGCATATTATTTTGTGGGATTATTTTAAGGAATAATGGAGAATGCATGTAAAGCTTCTAGCCTATTTTCTAGAACATAGTAAATGCTCAATGCTTAGTAACTCTACTATTTCCTCTTGGTGGAAATTTCTACCTATGTTTTTTGAAACTTAAAAAAAACTTTGTTTCTTACTACCTAACCTGCCATTGTGAAACTTAATTTTTTAAAAATAAAGTAATATGCATTCATAGTTTAAAAGTTAAATTATCATGTCTGATAACAAAATAGCAGAACTCTTGCCAACCTTTTTACCCCAAATTTTCATTTCCAGAAGAAACTACTTTTAATATTTTTAGTTGCTTCTGGTATTACCCATTTATATATGGTATGCTAATGTCACCTAAAATTGAAAAAAATCAATGAATATTATCTATTATAGTTGGCCCTGCATATCCATGGGTTTTATATCTGTAGATTTAACCAACTGTAGATAAAAACCTGCAGATATGAAGGTTGACTATACTACACCATTTTATATAAGGGACTGGAGCATCCCCAGAATTTGGTATCCACAGAGAATCCTGGAACCAATCCATCATGGATACAGAGGGCTGACTATACACATCTATAAGAGAAAATGAGGATTAGGCTTCCATACCAACCTCTCCCACTATAACCCATAAATTACAATTTTGCATTGAATTAATAGTCAGTAGTCAGTCTCTGTCGTGATGATGCAAACATGTTCTGTGCTGAGCCAGTAATAAATTGTGATTGCTTTTTTTTAAATTTCTCCACCCCTGCATTTTGTTTTATTTGCTTAGTTATTTATTTGCCTTATTTTCTGTGCCCATCCCCAGAGTCTTTGCCAGAGCTGTAAAACACCTCCGTATGGTCAAACTGGTTCTCTTGCTTTCTTGTTCTTGCTCTCTCTCTCTCTCACTCTGAGATATTCCCCTAAAGTCCTAATCCTTTTGTTATCAACTAGACTGGGCGCTCCCTAGGTGACTCAACAGCTGCCACTCTCCTTGGTCTTCCTTTTACTATCATTTCAAGGATTCATGTCATATCCTCTTGTGTTAGGATCTCAGAAGCAGGAGTTCCATGGGCCCACATTTCTTGGTTTATTCCCTTTCTTTATTGGATTCTACCTTTTAGTAGCTTCCTGAAAAGCGTGCATGGGAATGAAATTTGAGTCTCTACTAATCTAAAAATGTTTTTTTTTTTGTACTTTCAAGCTTCTTTTATAACTTAACCCAGCAGAATTCTAGGTTGAAAATTACATTTCTAAGGGCTTTGTTTCATCCTTTTTCAGCCTCCAATGTTCTTGCTGTCAAGAAATCCAGTATGCTGGATGCCATACCTGTTTTTCTTTAGAAGCTTTTAGGATCTTCTCCTGATCTCTGATGTTCAGACAGAAACTTCACAATGTGGCTAGGTATGAGTCCCTTTACATTTGTAGTACTTGCTGGGTACACTGCTCGGACTCTGAAATGTTGTTATAATTTTTGAATATTAAGAAAGAAGTGTTTCTTTTCTCTTTCTGGAACATTTATTATTTAGATATTTAGCTCCTGGAGTGATCTATCTGTTTTGCTCTTGATTCATTTGTTCTATTTTTTTTTTTTTTTTTTTTTTTTTGGTGAGACTTTCTCAGTGTTAGACTTCAAGTCATCTCTTAAAAATTAAATCTTTTTTTTTTTTTTTTGAGACAGAGTTTCACTCTTGTCGCCCAGGCTGGAGCTCGGTGGCACAATCTTGGCTCACTGCAACCTCTACCTTCCGGGTTCAAGCGATTTTCCTGCCTCAGCCTCCCCAGTAAGCTGGAATTACAGGTGCCTGCCACCATGCCTGGCTAATTTTTGTTTTTTTAGTAGAGATGGGGTTTCACCATGTTGGCTGGGCTGGCCTCGAACTCCTGACCTCAAGTGATTCACTCACCTCGGCCTCCCAAAGTGCTGAGATTACAGGCATGAGCCACCATGCCTAGCCTCATTTTTATTTTTTAAGATGTCTATTTTGTTATTCCTCTGTATTAACATCTCACAATTTCATGGGTACAAAATCATCTCTAACTCATCTTCTTTTTTGCAGTCATCTGATATATAATACATTGACTATTTCTAGAGAGCTTCTTTTTTTAGCTTTTATTTAAATTATATAGTTCTTTTGTATTCCAGTAACTATTCTAGGTGGTTTTACAAGTATTTACTTATTTGATAATCTACCTCTTATGAGGAAGGTCTCATGAAGTGATCCAAAGTCATTTGTTCAAGTCCCACAGGTTGCAAATGGCAGAGCAGGGATTTGAACCCAGGCCTTTGGCTCTAGAGCCCATGCTCTTAGCTACAATAACTAGGAGCTACATGCTTCCCTCAGGGGTCAGTCATGTCAGAGTGGGCTGTTTTGTCATACTTCGAGAGACACAAATGCTGGCAGGAAGCCTTGTATGCATGGGTGATGCTTGTCTGCTGGTGAGTCTCTCACAGGGTGTTTGGATAAAGACCTAGACATTCAGCAGGGACTCCTAAGTGTCAGTATCTCAGGAGTATCCTGAAAGGAGATGTATCGGGGTGATAAAAAACTGGCTTTAGCATTCTGATTGCTGCGTGGAGAAATACAATATATAGGCTTTTTCTTAATTTCCCTGTTTTTATTACAGCCTTGCTCTTGCCTTTAGCTGTGCTTGGCATTCATGAGTCCTGGGACTTTCTGGCTCAGCTACTCTCTGCAGTGTCCTTACCATTTTAAAAAATCACATTGCAGGAAGGGGGATGGGCAATCTAAGTGTTCCTTACAAATTTTCAATTCATTTTCCTATTTTTCAGCCCTCTTCCAATACCTACCTTCAGAAATGCCCTCTGCCTCTAGTTCTGAGCCTTTCTGGATTTCTATGATGTGTGTTGCAGCTTTCTGTTGACTGCCTTCCACTCCTCCTTGCCACGCCACTCCACTTTCAGCTTTCTCTGCCTTACGATGATCATCCTTTAGACATCTCCCTTCCAGCTGTCAATGTTTGTTGACAATTTATCTTCTCCCATCTCCCTCCTTCTTGTTGCCTTAGTGGCTTTCTACTTTTTTATTTAAAAAATTATCATTCTGCCCAGGCGTGGTGGCTCACGCCTGTAATCCCAGCACTTTGGGAGGCCGAGGCAGATGGATCACCTGAGGTCAGGAGTTCAAGACCAGCCTGGCAAACATGGTAAAACCCTGTCTCTACAAAAATACAAAAATTAGCTAGGCATGATGGTGGGTGCCTGTAATCCCAGCTACTTGGGAGGATGAGACAGGAGAATCGCTTGAACCCAGGAGGCGGAGGTTGCAATGAAGCGAGATCACACCATTGCACTCCAGCCTGGGTGACAAAGTGAGACTCTGTCTCAAAGAAAAAAAAGATATTCTATTGGAGTTATGGGAAGAGATTATTATAAATTCATGTTTAATCTATCACATTTAAACTATTTATTTATTTTGAGACAGGGTCTTGCTCTGTCATCTAGGCTGGAGTGCAATGGAGCAATCATGGTTCACTGCAGCCTCCACCTCCCAGGCTCAAGCGATCCTCCCACCTCAGCCTCCCAAGTAGCTACAGGTGTGTGCCAACGTGCCCGGCTAATTTTTAAATTTTTTTTTGCAGAGATGAGGTCTCACTGTGTTGCCCAGGCTGGTCTCAAACTCCTATGCTCAAGCAATCCTCCCACCTCAGCCTCTCAAAGTACTGGGATTACAGGCATGAGCCACCATGCCCAGCCTGAAAAACTACTTTTAAAAGAGGGAAGCACTTTATCCTTACAATGATCCAGACCTGAGCCTGTAGGTGAAGACCTCTTGAGAAAGAAGGCACAATAGAAGGGCAAGGCATTTGGGAATGATGGCTTTGTGCAGTACCTGTTATGTGATAGCAAGTCATTTATAATCTATATGAAGAAGGTGTCACTTCACATTAGAAAAGGGTAAAAGAAGGATAAGAAATGACTCTGATCTGGGAGAAATAAAAAATTAGACAAGTTTGGATTAGGGAATTCTACTTCTTGTAGCTTTTCCATTTTCCAGCCTAGCCCCCTGGGAACCTGTTTCTGGCATAGGATATAATCAATGTCTGGAGTCCTCTCTGCATGTGAGGTCAGTCTTTATGTGTTGCAGCTATTGAAATACGTTTTCAGCCCAGAGTTACCTGGAGGATATAGCACCTGTCTTTGCTTGGATACTATAGGGAGAATAATTGCTTCATAGTCTTTCAAAGGATGAACTTTCATTATGTGTAATAGACTCTGGCAATGGTGCTAGCACAGCACTCATATTCTCTTCCTAACAATTTCTTGATATTTTCAGGGATTACTTCTTCCCCTGTGTGGGTGCTTTAGCTAGGACAAGTCAGGTCAGTTCTTCCCATCCTGTTTAGTTGCTGAGAGGGCATTTCCTTCCTCATGCCATCCTAATACAGCCTGGGAGTAGGCAGGAGACCCAAACTCTGTCAGTCAGATGCCCTTGTCTGAGACTTTGAATTCTGAGAGTGATGCAACACCAGAAAAAATGGTTGGCAGTCATGCATCTCAGCTGCTGTTCACTGATCAGATACTTATGCTTTATAAGTATAGTTGGCTTCTGCAGTCTCTGCTTCCAAGTCCCTAGAGATATCTTAGATGTTCTTGTACCAATTAGGGTTCTGGCTGCAAGCTACAGTACTGACTGTGGCTTTCTCAAGTAAGAGCAAGGAATGTATTGGAAGGATATGGAAACTAGAAATTGGTGGGAGGCTGAAGGACCAGACTTAGAACCTGGGCATGAACCAAACATGCTCTAGAGTGTTAAGAAGTAGGAAGCATGAAAATCAGATTTTAATAGAAACAGTCCACCAGAACAAATTTGCAGCTGCTGACACATGCTGCTATGTCATTAAACCACCCCCATAGCTACTTTGGGATTATTCTCTTTTTTTTTTTTTTTTGAGACGGAGTCTTGCTCTGTTGCCCAGGCTGGAGTGCAGTGATGTGATCTCAGCTCACTGCAAGCTCTGCCTCCTGGGTTCATGCCATTCTCTTGCCTCAGCCTCCCAAGTAGCTGGGACTACAAGCACCCACCACCATGACGGGCTAATTTTTTGTATTTTTAGTAGAGATGGGGTGGGATTATTCTTAATTGTCCTTTTGTCTCTACCACTCTCTGCAGATTCAAAGTGTCAAGTGGGATGGAGGGTGTGCCAAGACTGGGTCACGTACCCGGCCACTGATTTTGGATTCCACGCAGCCAGAAGTGGGCAGGCCCACCAAACTGCTGATTTCCACTCCAGGTTTCCCTAACTTCATGTGGGTTCTGCAAATTCCCAGTTTCCTTCCAATAACTTCTCTTTGTTCACTAGCCAGAAGCCTGTGTCTTATATATAAAGATCCCTCTACAATCAGGTAGGTATCATTCTTCCCACTGAACTCTGTTTATTGGTGCATCTTAGAACTTTGGAAATCTTGAATTCTAGACTGCGTATTTGTTCTTGACCCATCAGCTTGATTATAATGTTTAGGGGAGAAAACAATTTGTATGTCTTTTGCTTATAGCAGTTTATCGAGGACTGGCCACGAAGAGCATTTTCTACTTTCTTGGCCCTGGAGCTGGCAGTTCGCATTGAAGTGTCAGCAGTGAGCAAAGTCACCAGCACTTGGAGATGGGCCTGTAAAGTGAGTCAGTGTGGCCAATCCATTCCCACTGGGCACATTCAAGCTTGAGTACTTTTCTCTGAGGAGCTCATTACTGTGGGGGTAGGGAGGCAGTTTCAGGCAGTTTCATGTAAACATGAACGAGAAACCACTTTGCCCGCTACTAGAATTTGGTTAAGGAGATTTAACTAGTTCTGGGGAACCAGAACTCCCTGGGAAGCTGTGTGTAAAATGTGCTTGTGTGTAGGCACGCATGCTAACTTTTTGGAGGAGAGGGTCCCTGGTTTTTAGGAACCAATAGGGGTCTACAATATCCAAAAATACCCATTGAATTGTGTTGTGAATTCTGAGCTTCTTAAAAATGAAGAAGTGGTGTTAGCCACATAACTCTGAATTTACTAAAAACTATTGAATTGTATGTTTAAATGGGTAACTTGCACATATGTGAATGATAGCTCAAGAAAGCTTTTAAAAACTAACCCTTGGGCTGGGTGCGGTGGCTCATGCCTGTAATCCCAGCACTTTGGGAGGCCAAGGCCGGCGGATCACAAGGTCAAGAGTTAGAGAGCAACCTGGCCAACATGGTGAAACCCCGTCTCTATTAAAAATACAAAAATTAGCTGGGCGTGGTGGTGCATGCCTATAGTCCCAGCTACTCAGGAGGCTGAGGCAGGAGAATCACCTGAACCTGGGAGGTGGAGGTTTCAGTGAGCCAAGATTGCACCACTGCACTCCAGCCTGGCAACAGAGCGAGACTCTGTCTCAAAAAAAATAAATAAATAGAAATAAAAAGTAAAAAGTAACCCTTTAGTACTAACCTATTTTTGAGCTGGGGATTGCCTGAACGATGGGCTCATCTTGGGTCCTCAGTGAATTTGGGTATTATTGAGCTTCTTGGGATGTCATTGCCTGATACCCAAATACAGTCATTTGGTGGTGCTTCTAAGTGAGTTATTGGCTTTCAGTCCTGGACCGAGGACCATATCTAATCCCATGATGAGTAGAAGAAAAAGCTTATTTCATTTGCTGCCCTAAGAATGATTGTAGTTCTGGTAATGGGTGAAGATATGAGTGCACTGAAAGTTTAGCCAAAATCCTTCACTTTAATGAGCCTCAGTTCCCTCCAGCTGGTACTTGTCACCCTGTTAAGTGATCAGGACTCAAGATATTTTGTATTATTTGGGGGGAACTGCTATGTAGTGATATTGGGGACTATTGCACTCAAACTGAAACAAAAATCAGGAAAAATTAACGTTGGACCCTCCTGGGATCCTACAGAACACATCAGGCAATTAGGGGGTCAACATAGCGAGCATTAAGTAAAAATAAGTCGAATCTATCTTGTGTGTAGCCATAAAAATGCAAGCGTGCCCATATCCTGTTCATGGCTAATTCTTGGGTGGCTTCCATCACAGCTGCACAGAGTCTGAGCATGTGACCATGGCCTGGGTGGCCCTCTCACCTTGGCCCATTGCTCTGTTCCACCTGCTCCATGCCACATGCCCCTCCTAGCCCACCATGCTCTTTTTTCGTCTTTGAAGCTTTGTTTATGCTCCTTAGGATCACTCCGTTCCTCCTAGCCAGCTCCTCTTCTTTTCCACTCTGTAAAAGTTTGCCTGCTATTGTCTCTTCCAAGAGTCCTCCATGGCCCTGCAGAGTGCTTAGGTATCCTACTCCCAGCTTCTTACCATCACTTCCTTTACCACCCTGTGCCATTTGTAATGCCACTTCCTTACACCCATGTGCGCTTGTGTGGGCAGGAGGCTTTTTGAAGCTGTAGTGCCCTAAGTTACTTATACACAAAAATCCTGCAACTGCTCTCTCCCTGGGTAGTAGCTACTCTTGTAGCTACCCTCATTGAAGAGGTCAGTGAGAGCCAGGTCTGCCTGGAGATGGGGTAGAGGAGGCCCCACTGAGACTTGTGCTCTAGAGAACAGCTGGCTCCATATTCTGGAATTCAAGGGCTATGTTAGTTTCCTAGGGCTGCCACGACAAATTTTCATAAACTGGGGGGCTTAAAACAGCAGAAACTTATTCTCTCACATTTCTGGAGGTCAAAAGTCCTAAGTCAAGGTATCAGCAGGGCCATGCTCCCTCCGAAAGCTCTAAAGGGGGGTCATTCTTTGACCCTTCCAGCTGCTGGTGATGGCCAGCAATCCTTGGTGCTCCTTCCCTTATGCAACTCCAATCTCTGCCTCCATCTGCACGTGGCCTTTCTCCTGTGTGTCCCTGTGTCCAGATTGCCTTCCTCTTACAAAGGCACTAGCTACTGAGTTAGCGTCATATCCTAATTTGATGTAGGGGGGATGTGGCCCACCGTAATCCAGTATGACCTCATCTTAACCTGACTACATCTGCAAAGACCTCATTTCCAAATAAGGTCACATTCACAGTTTCCGGGCAGACATGGATTTTTTGGTGGGTTACCGTTCAACCCAGTCTATAAGTTCCTCCTTCATATGTTCCCCCTTCACTAAATAGTTCATGCATCCTCTCATTTGCCAGCTTTAAAAGCCTGGAAGTCACTCATAATATTCTTTCTTCCCCCTCTTTATTCTATCTCTGAAACAGATCCCACATGGATCACATTTGTCTGTCTTTCCATTTCTTCCTGACCACCCTGGCTGGGGCTACGATCATCAGAATGACTTTCTTTGCTCCTCCTGTTGCCTTACTATCGCCCATCCTCTCTTCTGCAGCTGGGGATATCTGTTTGAAACTTAAATCAGGATGCTACTTGGATTGACCCTTCCAAAGCCTGCCCATTGTGCATTACAGAAAACCCGAAAGACTTATGGCTTGTGAGGCTCTATGTGGTCCAGCTGCTGCCTCCTGTCCCAGCATCACTTCCGGCCACTCTACCTCTGGCTATGCTCCAGCCACAGTGACACCTTTCGGTTCCCAGAACATATTTGCATGTCCTTTCCTTAGCACGTGTCCTGCCTGTCCTCCTGCAACCCCCAAAGCCTACCCCTTTAACCAGCTAATTAACCAATCATGCAGGTATTCGCTTCAATGCCACTCTCTTGATTTAAACACTTCTCTGACCGCTGAGTCTACAGGGGTACCCCTATCAATCTCATTATGCCCTTTGTGGGGACGATGCACTTGTCCCTTGCAATTATGCTTCTGTGATTGCCTGTTTAATCTATGTCCACCCTGTTACACTATTAGCTCCATGAAGGCATGGGTCATCTTGTTCACAGCTGTATCCCTTGTACCTGGAAGAACATCTGGCACAGATATTTGCAGGAATTAATCTTAGCCATCACTTCCCCGTCTCCCCAGTTATTTCTTCGCTCATTAGATATTCAAGTGCCCTTTCCATGCTTGACCTTGTGCAGCACTAGGGAAGATAGATGTGTGGCACTCAATCTCCTTTCTGTGTTGTACTGGGACTCTTCCTTTTTTACACAGTGTCCTGTGGCTGGTTGGAGGAGGCCTCACGCTGTACAAAAACACGTGCATTGGACATGCGTCTTGCAGCTACAGGCCCCTGTGGCCTACTTTTCTGTGCTGTTTTAGGTTCCTTCCTCCTTGGCTCCTAGTGTGCCTATGAGACTTCTCAGCTCTCAGGGACAAATCCAGGAGGAGCGGGCTGTGGCCCCAGGAACCTCCTTCTGGAATCCTGGCATGACTGAGTTACTCTTCTCAGGGTGGGCACTATCCTAGAGACCTAGCACCTGGATTTGATTTATGCCCTACCATTAAAAGGTGCTGATAATTTTCTAGGTGAGGGATTGAGGCCTGCAAAAGGTCAGAGTTTCACACTGTGTGGCCCAGCCCCTCCTGGCCAGGGAGTTTGACTCTGGAGATGACGCTCTTAGCTGCCCCACTGTCACCATCTGGGTTCTCCGGGATGTAGACTTCAGGCCAGAATTAATACTAAGGGAGGTTTTAGGGAAGTGCTCTTGGGGCCCACCTTAGGGAGGAGGTAGAGTCAGGACTGGACAGAGGGAGAAGTTCATTACCATGAAGGACCCACAGCCTGGCTGACCCCACAGGTTTCCTGGAAGCTGAAATGACTTGTTGGAGTGCCCCACGTAGAGCCAGAATGGCCAGGCCATCTTTAGATATGAGGAGTGGAGGGTTCGTGGGGACAGCGGGAGGAGGGTGGGAGTAGGAGGGATGTGCCCTTTGGCCTCTCTGCAGCTGAGGCCATCCTGCAGGAACTTTAGCACCAATAGCAGCCCAGCAGCCAGCCCTTTCTGGAAGGAGGGATCTGGGATCTCATCTGCTACACTCTTTCCTCCTACTCGCTTTTTGTGGATAATTCTAGAACTTTCCACCACTTATCTGTAAGTGGAGTTTTTCTCACCTTAAATAATTGTTGCAGTTCTTGAAAGTGAAATATCCTTTAAAAATTGCTAGTGGTCATTTCAAGGATAATCTGGCCCAACCAGCTGTATCATCCCAAAGCTTTTAGACTTTTTTATCTGTCAAAGCCAAGGGCCATCTGCTCAGTGTGGCAGAGAGGGCTGTGGAATGGTGGCAAACCAAGACTCTTGATAAGGAGTAACTTAAAGGGGATTGTTTGCAACGTAGGAGCCCCTTAGTCTGAATGCAGAGCTAAGTTAGTAGTTAAGCAGAATGAATGGAAAAGGAGCATGAAGAGAAAAACCCAGCTGAGTTTCTGCTAAGTAAAAAGTCAGCAGGGGGCCACCCCATGCATTCTAGCTGCCCTGGTGATCTGCCACGGGAAACTTGTCCTGTCTCCTCCCACCTCCTGGAAGAGCTGAGAAGTCATTCTTATCTGGGAAATCAAACGTAATTCTTCATCTATATCAGGGAATGGCAAACTTGTTTTGTACGTATATTGTTCTGTATGTACATTCCGTAAATGTACATTTATAGAACATACGTATATTCTTCACAGTTATATCTAAATTGACATTAAAAAAATGAAACTGTCCTGTTCCTTCTCTGTGTGACCAGCCAGCACCATTAAGCTATTGCTATGTGCCAGGCTCTGAATAAGTGCTTTGAATAGCATCTTTCTTTCTTTCTTTCTTTCTTTCTTTCTTTCTTTCTTTCTTTCTTTCTTTCTTTCTTTCTTTCTTTCTTTCTTTTTAACTTTTAAGTTTAGGAGTACAAGTACAGGTTTGTTACATAGGTAAACTTGTATCATGGGGATTTGTTGTACAGATTATTTCTTCACCCAGGTATTAAGCCTAGTATCCATTAGTTACTTTTCCTGATTCTCTCCGCCTCCTACCCTCTACCCTTCAAAAAGGCCTCAGTGTGTGTCGTTCCCCTCTATGTTTCCATGGGTTCTCATCGTTTAGCTCCCACTTGTAAGCGAGAACATGCGGTATTTGGTTTTTTGTTCCTGTGTTAGTTTACTAAGAATAATGGCCTCCTGTGTCCTGCAAAGGACATGATCTTGTTCTTTTTTGTGGCTGTATAGTATTTCATGGTGTATATGTACCACAGTTTCTTTATCCAGTCTATCACTGATGGGCATTTAGGTTGATTCCACGTCTTTGCTATTGTGAATAGTGCTGCAATGAACATACATGTGCATGTGTCTTTATAACAGAACTATTTATATTCCTTTGGGTATATACTCAGTAATGGGATTGCTGGGTCAAATGGTATTTCTGTCTTTAGGTCTTTGACGAATCACCACACTGTCTTCCACAATGGCTGAACTAATTTACACTCCCACCAACAGTATATAAGTGTTCCTTTTTCTCCACAACCTTGCCAGCGTCTGTTATTTTTTGACTTTTTAATAATCACCATTTTGACTGGTGTTAGATGGTATCATAGTGTGGTTGTGATTTGCATTTCTCTGATGATCAGTGATGTTGAGTTTTTTTTCATATGCTTGTTTGGACACATGTATGTGTTGTTCTGAAAAATATCTGTTCATGTCCTTTGCCCACTTTTTTATAGTTGTTTTTTTCTTGTAAATTTGTTTAAGTTTCTTACTGTGCACAGGGTATTTGATGGAATCCTTACAACCCCATGAGACAGGATGCACCCCTTTTTCATAAGATAAAAACCAAGATTTAGAAAAGTTCACCAAATTGCTGGGAGCTACACAAATAGAGAGCAGGAAATAACAGAATTCTGTCCTGGGTCTGATTCTACAGCTGTTAACCTTGCTCCCTATACCTCCTGTTAGAGCAGGATTCCTGTCTGTGCTTCCTCTGCGTGCTCCTGACCACGTACAGTTTCCTTCCTGGGGGGGAGTTGGCTGGGAAGGCGAGTGAGCATTGTGGTCACTGTGTTTCATGGGTGAGCAAGTAAGCCACCAACTAGACTAGAACCAGCACACATTGGCCAAATATGGCCCATGGCTCTCGAATGGTCTTTACATTTTTATTAATTTATTTATTTTTAACTTTTATTTTAGGTTTGGGGTACATGTGAAGGTTTGTTACATAGGCAAACACGGGTTGTACATATTACATATTGTACATATTATTTCATCACCCAGGTATTAAGCCCAGTACCTAATAGTTATCTTTTCTGTTCCTTTCCCTCCTCCCACCCTCCCCCATCAAGTAGACCTCAGTGTCTGTTCTTCCCTTCTTTGTGTTCCTAAGTTCTTATCATTCAGCTCCTGGGTTTTTACATTTTTAAATGGCTGAGAAAAAAATCAAAAGAAGACTACTTTGTAACACATGAAAATTACATGACATTGAACTTTCAGTGTCCATAAATAAAGTTTTATTGGTACACACCCATGCTGATTTGTTTACACGCCATCCATGGCTGCTTTTGTGCTATGACAGCAAAGTGGAGTACTTGCAACAGAGACTGGATGGCTTGCAAAATATTTGCTATCTGGCCCTTTGCACAAAAATTTTGTTGACTCCCGATCTAAGATGAAGAATGATGTTTGATCTCTCAGATAAGAATGACTTTCTAAGCTCTTCTGGGAAGTGGGAGGAGATGGGACACTTTTCAGGGGGCAGATCCAAAGGGCAGCTGGATACGAAGTCGGATTAATTGAATTATATATATGCTTATATGCATTGTTCTGGAACATTCTTTGCAGTAACCAGGGACTTGTTTTTCAATAGGTCTTGAGCGAATGTCTCTGTGGTGGCTGTGCTCTGATGAATTAGTGCTTTTCCTGCAAGCTCTTGCCTTGAAACCTGATGTGTTTCTATTATGTCATGTTCTTCTCCAAGTGCTGGCACCCCTGAGCAGCTTTGTCAGTACAGGATGCTTGTCAATTTGACAGCTCTTGCCACAGCAGATCAAAGAAGCATTACTTAGTGATTAGCACGAGGAGTTTCTACTCAATAAACCAGTGAAGAGCTGCCATGTACCAAGCCCTGCACTAGGTGCTGAGGGCATGAAGGTGAGTGACAGCCACTGTTCTTAGGCCGTCACTACATGGAGTGATGGGTGAGATGTCAGAGGATCTTAGGATTCTTTGGTTGTAAGCAACAGAAGAAGATTCTGGCTAATCTCAGCCAAAGACCGTGCATAGGGAGGCTATGGAATAATTCACAGGAGAAGCTGAGCAGCCAGGCTCACAAAGGACAGGGATACATAGCTCTGGGGACCTAAAGAGAGGAAATACAGTCAGTCTCTTCTGGAGTCTATGCCATTGGGACAAATTTGTTCTCACCATTTTTCTCAACTTCATCAACATCAGGTTGCCTCAGCATGAGAATCTGGCTTGACCTCAGTTCTGTGTCCACTTCTTTGCCTAGAAGAGAACAAGATTCATGATTGACAGTGTGCCAAGGCTGTTGCAGGGGTGCAGGGGACTTCCCAAAGGACATGAGGTTCTGTTGTTGGAAAAAGGAGTAAGTGCTGTTGGGCAAGGAAAACCAGGTTCCGCATTATGGAAGCATAGAGGAAGATGCCCAACCCAGCCTGGTAGGTCAGGGAAGACTTCCTGGAGGAGGAAACAACCAAGCTGAAACCAGAATGAAAAGTCAAGTTAACCAAGGCAAGGGGCAAGAAGGAAATGAAACATCACAGGCCAAGAGAATTACAGGTGCAAAGGCCTGGAGGCCAAGGGCATTACCGTTGTCTGCAGAATAAAAGCTCTTCCCTGTGGTCTGTAGGAGTGATGGGTCACTTTGCCCAAAGACTTGTACTTTTAAAGATCAGAGTCCATGCTCTCTCCATCCCCCTAGAGTCCTTGAGCTTCCCAAGGTCAACTGAGCCTCATGGAAAACCTCAGGCTGTGACCCCCTCCCTCCCAGCGAGTCTTCAGGCTTCAATGAAATCTTGAACCTCCAGCACTGAGACTTAATAGGAAAAAAAAAAAAAATGCTGCTGCAGCCTTGAGCATTTTTATTGCTCCTCTCTGGCTCCAGTGGGGGAGGCCTCCAGTTGTGAGCTGCCTGAACTGATTCGCACTGGCCTCAGTCACAAATTGTGGCTTGGCATTTATAACAGCCACAATCCACGTGTATCGATTATTTAGAAAAAGAAATGAAGAGATGGCCGAGCAGCTGCCTCCTTAAACATCTGCTCTTGTCACATTTCATCCTGACGGAAGAGGGGGCTCAAACTGGGAAAGGGAGAGAAAGCTCTATCCCCAGTTTAGATCTCGTTTGTGTCTCGGGAGATAGCCAGTGGCTTTTATTCACCGTCTTTGATTAATCAGTTCCTCTTTATTCATGTGAAAAATCCACAATCACCCGGGGGGCTCCTTGGAAGGATTCATTGTTCTTTGCGGGCTGGGCTCAGTTGCTTCTGTTCTGTGTTCATGGGGCTAATGAAAGTGGAGCCACTGTCTCTGTGCTGGCTGTGCTTTGATGACTTGGCGCCTCTCCTGAAAACTATATTTCTCTGATTAAGCCGATGAGTTTGCTTCCTCCCTTCCCCTCGGTCATTAGGAAGTTGTTCCTTCCATGCTAATGACGGTGGGAGCTGTGGGGAGGAGTCTGGGCCTCCTTTCCATTCAGAGAGCGCTTGGTCAAGCAATTATAGTCCAAGATCCTTCCGATGGAGTGAGCCCAGAGGTGAAAAAACAAAACCCACAGTAGCGCCAACCCTGGAATGGAAAGAAGCCGAGTTAGTGCCTGCAGTTGAAGAGTTGAATGGCGCCTTGACCAACAGTGGATGTGCTCTTCAGTGCCACGTGGGAGGGAGGCAGACCCCCCCCACTTCCCCCAGACGGCTTGACTGGAGCTGGCCAGGTTTGATCAGATTCCGGCCAAGCTCTACTTTAACTTGGACAACTCACTGGCTCTCTGTGATACAGCTGCCCCCTGTAAAATGAGGGGATTGAACTAGATACATGTGTTAGTCTGCCCAGGCTGCCGTAACAGAATGCCACAGACAGGGTGGGGGCTTAAACGACAGAAATTTATTTTCTCACAGTTCTAGAGGCTGAAGTCCAAGACTGAGGTGCAGGCAGGGTTGCCTTCTGGCGAGGCCTCTTTTCCTGGTGGGCAGGTGGTTGCCTCTGTGCCCTCCCTCAGCCTCTCTCTGTGCTTGCTCAACCCCATGCCTCTCCCACGTCTCAGGAGGACACCAGTCCTACTGGGTTAGGGCCCCACCCTTATGATCTCACGTAACCCTCGTTACCCTCTTGTAGATCCCTTCTCCAAACACAGTCACATTGGGGGTTAGGGCTTCACCATGAAAAAAACAATTCAGTCCATAACAATGAGAAAACTTGCACTCCAAAAAAGTAAGGGAAGTTGTTGACATTTCCATACGAAGAGTCAATTGCTGGGTGATTGGAGAGGACTTTTCCCAGCTATACAATCATCCCTCACCCCATTCCTACTTGAGAAACCCCTGCCATGCTGAGCTAGTCTCACTGATGCCATGATGAACTGCTATCACTGGTGGCTGTGTTTTCCCATCCCTGTGTTGAGTTGTAGCAAACTCCACTGGTTGCCCACCCAAAAGCCATTTACCCCCTCTCCTTTGTTAGCTAAAGGGTCCCCATGATGACTTTTATGGGTCCTGGGTACTTTTGCCCTTGGGGGCTCCATTCCTCTACAAAAAACATTTAAAAATTATATAAGTGATGTTTGAAGTAGACACCTCACTTATTGTGAGAAGTAAACCATTTCTGTGGGCTCCTAAAGGTGTCATTGGCTCTAGGCCCTGGTGCCTACTCTGCTCGACAGGTAAGTCAAACTGGGGTCCACCCTTCCCCGCCTTCTGTAGGGAAGGATGACCTTCCACCAGCCACATGGGGATATCGAGAGTGGGGAAAACCATTCCCACAGCTGCTGACCTGGGCCTAGCCAGGGAATGCCATCTGGCCAGTGAGATGGGAGGGACAGTTTCCCAGAGAACTCCTAAAATGGGTTTCTTTTCCCTTAATGAGATGCATGAGGGAGAAATAGCCCTTCTTTTCCTGGGCCCTCTCATGCCTCTGTGTGGCAGCTATTTGGAGATGATGAGGCAATGCTAACTCACGGGGGGTGGCGGGGGCAGCACACAAAGGGTGGAGGGTACCTGAGTCCCAGATGATGCCGTGGAGCCATGGCATTAACCATCATGGGACTGTCTTGGTCTCTGCTAGGGCTGCTGTGATGGTAACGAAGTACCACAAAAGAGATGGCTTAAACTACAGACATTTACTGAATCTCAATTCTGGAGGCTGGATGTCTGAGATCAAGGTGCCAGCAGGGTGGGTTCTTTCTGAAGGCTGTGAGGAAGAATCTGTTCCATGCCTCTCTAACTTCTGGGGGTTTTTCTGGCAATCATTAGCCTCACTTTACCTGTAAAAGCATCCCCCCAGCCGGGCGTGGTGGCTCACGCCTGTAATCCCAGCACTTTGGGAGGCCAAGGCGGGCGGATTACGAGGTCAGGAGATGGAGACCATCCTGGCTAACATGGTGAAAACCCGTCTCTACTAAAAATACAAAAAATTAGCCAGGCGTGGTGGCGGGCACCTGTAGTCCCAGCTAC
Source organism: Homo sapiens (assembly GCF_000001405.40). NCBI lineage: Eukaryota > Metazoa > Chordata > Mammalia > Primates > Hominidae > Homo > Homo sapiens. Next base: position 13,875,779 of record NC_000001.11, read on the forward strand.
TCAGGAGGCTGAGGCAGGAGAATGGTGTGAACCCGGGAGGCGGAGCTTGCAGTGAGATGAGATAGCGCCACTGCACTCCAGCCTGCGCGACAGAGTGAGACTCTACCTCAAAAACAAAAAAACAAAAAAACAAAAAACAAAAACAAAAGCATCCCCCTATCTCGGTCTTCATCTCTACACGGCTTTTTCCCTCTGTGTGTGCCTGTATCCAAATCTCCCTTTTTAAATAAGGACATCAGTCATATTGGCTCAGGGCCACTCTAATGCCCTCATTTTAACTTGATGACCTCTGTAGAGACCTCATCTCCAAGGCTGCATTATGAGGTTCTTGGGGGTAGGACTTCTACATAGAAACTTTTGGGGATACAGTGCAGTCCATAACACCTACCTGGAGACTGGTTTTGGGGTGACAAATCCCCTTATTTTTTATTTTGATTTTTTTTTTTAGAGACAAGGTCTCTCTCTGTCGCTCAGGCTGGAGTGCAGTGGTGTGATCATAGCTCGCTGCAGCCTCCAACTCCTGGGCTCAAGCGATCCTCTTGCTTCAGCCTTCTGAGTAGCTGGGACTACAGGTGTGCTCCACCATGCCTGGCTAATGTTTTTAGACGAGTTATTGCTCAAGCCTTTTGAGTTGGGTTTTTGTTACCTGTCATCTGCCTGACGCCCGAATTGCTGAAAGAGATCTCAGTAGGGCTGTCTTGCTCTAGCCTCTGGCATCATGGGTTTCCCTTCTCATCCTCAGGCCCTACTAGGAACTGTTTTTGTTTTTGTTTTTGAGACAGGGTCTTACTCTGTCGCCCAGGCTGGCGTGCAGTGGCGTGATCTTGGCTCACCGCAGCCTTGGCCTCCTAGGCTCATGCAATCCTCCCACTTCAGCCTCCCAAATAGCTGGGACTTACAGGCACATGCCAGCACACCTGGCTAAGTTTTATGTTTTTTTGTTTGTTTGTTTTTGAGATGGAGTTTTACTCTTGTTGCCCAGGCTGAAGTGCAACGGCACGATCTTGGCTCACTGCAACCTCCACCTCCTGGTTCAAGCGATTCTCCTGCCACAGCCTCCTGAGTAGCTGGAATTGTAGGCGCCTGTCACCATGCCCAGCTAATTTTTTGTATTTCTAGTAGAGATGGGGTTTCATCATATTGGCCAGGCTGGACTTGAACTCCTGACCTCAGGTGATCCACCCGCCTCAGCCTCCCAAAGTGCTGGGATTACAGGTGTGAGCCACCACGCCCAGCCAGTTTTATGTTGTTTTTGTAGAGACAGGGTTTGGTCCAGTTGCCCAGGCTGATCTTGAACTCCTAGGCTCAAGTGATCTGCCCACCTCGGCCTCCCAGAGTTCTGGGATTACAGGCATGAGCCTCCATGCCCAGCCCCCTACTAGGAATTGTACTATCTCATTTTCTTGCTGTTGGAGATGTTCATGGGCAGGTCCATGAACCAAAGCCCTGCACAGACATTCCAGCTAGAGATCAGCACATGCAAAGGCCCTGAGGGAGGAAAGAGCTCAGGGTGTTTGAAGAAACCACAGAAATGAAACGGCGCTGATGCCCTTGCCTCTTCTGGTGGCCACCTGCACTGCCTGGCTGGTGGTCCTGTCTTCTGTCTTCCAAGCATATTACTCTGATTTCTGCTTCCGTCGTCACATCACCTTTCCTCTTACAAAGACTCTGGTGAAGAACCAGGCCTGCCTGGGTACACAGGATCATCTCCCCACCTCGAGCTCCTTCACACAGTCCCATCTGCAAAGTCCCTTTTGCCACCTAAGGTAACATATTCCCAGGGTCTGGGTATTAGGACATGAACATCTTTGAAGGGGGCGTTATTTAACCTACTACAGGGAATTAGACTGTCACATGTATTGATTTATCTCGTAGTGCAATGGCTGCTTGGAAGTGGATGCTTTCCTGCCCATTTCTGCTCCTGGTGTTGAAGTAATTACTTTCCTATACCTTGATGCAGGGTCAGAGGGTGGGAGGTGCAGTGAATAAACTCTAAGGCAGTGCATCTCAAAGTGTGGCCCTGTACCAGTAGCACCAGCAGCACCAGTGTCTCCCGGGAGCCTGTTAGGCATGCAGGTCCTCCAGCTCCGCCCGCCCCAGACCTCAGAATCAGAAACCCTGGGGATGTGGCTTAGCCATCTGTACTTGAAGCCCTGCCTCATGATCCTGCTTTTATTTAAAATTTTGATTTTTGCATTCAATTTGAAATATTTGGAATTAAGATACTACTTGTCTTGACTATTGAGATTTTTTGGTTTCTCCTTCCCTTTTGCACCTGGGGGAATGCCTTGATTGCCTTACTCTAGAAAACAAAGGTCACTGAATCTCCGATCAAAACCTGAGTTCCCCCAGGAGGTCCGTGTCGTGTGTGACACAGACCTCGACCTACTCGGGCAATCACAGATGCCTTCTACATGGACATGACGTCAGGACTGAGAACTGAAGGCTGGAAGGAATTAACCTGGTGAAAAAAAAGTAGGGGCATCCCAGGCAGAGAGAGACGTAGAAGCAAAAGCTGGATGTTTGGAGGGAATGCAGCAAAGAGAGGGCCTGGGAAGAACACTGTGTGTGTGATTCCTTTAACAAATATTTATTGAGCTCCTATTGTGAGCCCTGGGGTCTTCTGGCCTTTAACAACCCAGAATTCCCCCCACACATTGACTTGGAAGAGCCTAAGAGAGGCAATCGGAACAAAGGTTGGGTCTCGGCGTGCCTCGGTCACGTTGGCAAAGGATGCCCCAGGTACTCTTCCGCCCAGAAATGGTGTTTGGCACCTAGCAAATCAGCCGGGGAAAGTACAAAAGGCCCTGCATCTCATAAAAGATGCATTTAGCACAGGTTTCTATTTCAGAGCTAATGGCATTAGCTGTTTTGTAGAAAGTAAGAAAGCACAATTACCCTGTTTTAATAACATGGTTGACAGCACAGCTCTAATCCTGGGGGATTCTGGGTTTACATTTTGAGGTTTCTGTAGCAAGCGAGTTCTTAGTACCAAGCTAGCGTGTAGCCTTATGTGCCAGTTTGCCTAAAACACTCCTGGCTTATACCTCATGTTTATTAATAGCACCCTCTTTCACCTTCTAGTGTCCCAGTTTGGGCAATAAATGACACAATCACCTTAGTGACACAAAACTGAGAACGCTAAGCCCATGCTTGATGGAGCAGCTCCCCACCAGCTCCTTAGAGAAATCCATCCCTAGCAAAAAAAGAATTCACCAAATCTCAGACTGTGCCCCTTCACCCATTAATGTTTGAGGCCATGTCCGTGCTAGGTATTGCTCTAAAATCCAGGCAAAAGAGACTTCCTAGGATCTGATATCAGACTTTTCACTGTACTCAGGAAAATGCTTAAGTAGAACAAGGGGAAACAAAGACATCAGTAAGATAAAGTAGCACTCACTTTTATTTAATAGGTCACTCCTTAAATGTGAAGGCTTTTCCAGGGACAGTGGTTGGGGAATAGAAAACCTTCCGGTGAAAGCGAATATATTGCTCCAATTCAGTGTTTAATTGTTTAAAAAATTACAACTGTACAAGTTTGTTTTGGACAATTCAAAGGAATAATGGCAATGCTCTCAGTTGTCCTACTGCTTTAGGGTGAGAGTTATTAAGTTTGATTTGAATCCACCCAGACTTTTAAAAGTAAATTTTATTGAAGCGTAACAACAGCAAGAACACAGATGGTAAGATGGAGCTGCTGTGTCCAGAGAACATTGCAAGCCCCAGGAGACTCACTGGGGGGTCCTCCCGATTACCAGCCACCATCCTTAAAGGGGACTACCACCCCGAGCCCTCAGGCTAAAGAGTCTATGAAGTCCAAAAAGATAAAACTAAATATAGGCCGGGCGCGGTGGCTCACGCCTGTAATCCCAGCATTTTTGGAGGCTGAGGCGGGCGGATCACGAGGTCAGGAGATTGAGACCATCCTGGCTAACATGGTGAAACCCTGTCTCTACTGAAAAATATAAAAAATTAGCTGGGTGAGGTGGCAGGCGCCTGTAGTCCCAGCTACTCGGGAGGCTGAGGCAGGAGAATGGCGTGAACCTGGGAGGCAGAGCTTGTAGTGAGCCGAGATCGTGCCACCGTGCTCCAGCCTGGGCGACAGAGCGAGACTCCGTCTCAAAAAAAAAAAAAACAAAAAAAAACCTAAACTAAATGTAGTTATACATGTATTTTATGTTTGGCTTTTTCCTCCAACCTTGAGAATCATCCATGTTGCATGTATTTTGCTCACTCTTATTCCTGGGTGGGTTCCATTGTATGAATATACCCTTTCATTTTGTTCTGCTGTTGATGAAAACTTGGATTATTTGCATCTGGGGGCCACTATGAATAATGAATGCATCTGTGAGCATTCTGGTAATATGTTGGTGCACCTGTGAATGCATTCTTCCAGGTCCGTACCTGGGAGTAGAACTGCTAGGTCATAGAGCAGATAGATGCTCAACTTTAAAATATAATAGCAGACAGTTTTCCAAAGTGTTTGCAGGACTTGATGCTTACACCAATAGGGTCTGAGAGTTCCTATTGCTCCACAGCTTTTTCAACACTTGGAATTGTCCATCCAATATTGGCTATTGTGTTGGGTATGTGTTTGAATTTCATTGCGGTTTTAATTTGCTTTTCCCGATGAATAATGGGGGGTGAACATCTTTTCATATTGGCCATTTAAATACCCTCGTTTGTGAAATGCTTGTCCAAGTTTCCTGTCTACTTTTGTTTTTTTGTTTGTTTGTTTGTTTGTTTGTTTTTTAAGACAGGGTCTGGCTCTGTTGCTTAGGATGGAGTGCAGTGGTGCAATCTCGGCTCACTGCAACTTTAGCCTCCTGGGCTCAAGCCATCCTCCCACTTCAGCCTCCTGAGTAGCTGGGACCACAGGCGCGCACCAATATGCCTGGCAAATTTTTGTATTTTTTATAGAGACAGGGTTTCACCGTGTTGTGTAGGCTGGCCTCGAACTCCTGGACTCAAGCAATCCTCCTGCCTCGGCCTCCCAAAGTGCTAGGATTACAGGCGTGAGCCACTGCATCCATTCCTGTCTATGTTTTAACTGAGTTTTTTGCCTTATTGATTTGGGGGAGTTCTTTCTATAATGAGAATATGAATCTTTTCTTGGTTATAGGTGTTACACATTTCTTTCTTTCATCAAGAGACAATAATAAGAGAGTAGAAAGACTAGTCACAGAAATGGGAGAAGTTCTTAACTTTGATATCTAATTTATCAATCTTTTCCCTAATGGTTGGTGCTTTTTGTGTCTCGTTTAAGAAGTATTGCCCGCCCACCGTTACCAGAGCCATAGAGGTATTCTCTATCACTGTCAAGAAGTTTTGTTTTGCCTGGGTGTGGTGGCTCACACCCGTAATCCCGGCACTTTGGGAGGCTGAGGTGGGTGGATCACTTGAGGTCAGGAGTTCAAGACCAGCCTGGCCAACACAGTGAAACCCCGTCTCTACTAAAAATACAAAATTAGTTGGGCGTGGTGGCGGGCGACTGTAATCCCAGCTACTCGGGAGGCTGAGGCAGGAGAATCACTTGAACCCAGGAGGCGGAGTTTGCAGTGAGCCGAGATCGCACCACTGCACTCCAAGCCTGGGTGACAGAGCAAGACTCCGTCTGGGGAAAAAAAAAAAAGTTTTGTTTTGATTTCACATTGAAATCTACAATCTGCATGTAACTCACTTCCATCTATGGTGTAAAGTGGAGGTCAACTTTCACTTTTTTTCTCCATATGAATTTCCACTTGATTGACCGCCATTAAGCATCTCCGCTGCCCTGCAGTGATGGTGTTGTCCTAATGCAATAGTGAGTCAGCTTCTGGACACTTTATTCTCATTATTGATCTCTCTGTGTATTCTTAGCCCAATACCATGCTCTCCTAACTACTGAAGCTTAATTATCTGTCTGGAGCATCTGGTGGAACAAGTCTTCATTTCTGGTGGCCTTCACCAAGAGCTTTTGGCCCTTTGCCTTTCCAGTTAAATTCTAGAATCATCTTGTCAATGTTTACAGAAAATCTGCTTAAATTTTGATCTGATTAAATGTGTAGATTAATTTGGGAGAATTGAAGTTTTTACAACATTGAGTCATCAAACTATGACTCAGTGGTGCATGTCTTCATTTGTTTAGGTTCCTTTCCTTTCTGCCCGTCTCATAGATTTCTGTAGAGTGGTCTTAAGGGCTTTTTGTTAGATTTATTCCTTGTTATTTGATATATTTTGATGTTAATGTTATAGTTTCTTAAAGTTTATTTTGTTCCACATCCAGTAATATAATTTACATTTTAACGTGTACCTTATGCTTATGTAGCAACATTGCTAAGTTTATTCTAATAATTTATCTGTATACTTTTCTTTTGGGATTTTCTACCACAATCATGCCAACTGCAAATAGTGACAATTCTATTTTTCTATTTCAAACCTCAAATCTTGTCTCTTTTACTTCCAGTATAATGTTGTATAGAAATGATGATAGTGGCCATTCTTGTCTCATTCCTCATCTTAAGAGGAAGCTTTCAATATTTCATGAATGTTGTGAAGGATGTTTTCTGTAGGCTTTTTAATACAAATTATTTATCAGATTAAAAAAATTCTCTTTATTCTTATGACACTTTTTGAGATGTGAATTAAGGTTTGGCAAAGGGACAATTTTTGTAATGTTCTCTGTGTTTTTTTTTTTTTTCTGAAGAGAATGTATACGCTGTACTTGTCAGGCACAACTGATCCATTATATATGTCTGTTAGTCAATATGTTAATTGTGTTCAATTTTTCTGTATTGCTTGCTTTTTGTTTAGTTTTTCACTTCTGGGTTTAGTTTTTTGCAGTTTGTCAATTTTTTGCTCATGTTTGGAGGCTTGTTAAATTGATCATTTTGTTATTATGAAGGATGTTTTTGATTGCTAGAACTGGGTTTTTTTTTTTTTAATTTTTAAGTCTACTTTGTCTGATAGCAACATAGTATACTAGCTTTCTTTACAATTCTTTTTTCTCTCCTTTCCTGATATCTTTTGGATTGATTATTTTTATACTCATTTTCCCTTCCTATTAGTATGGTGATTTTGTACGCTTTTATAAACTTTCAGTGGTTATACAAGAGATTGTAGTATGTATCCTCGACTTATTAATGTCTAATATAAATTAATCCTTCTATTTTTCCCTGGACAATGCAAGGACCTTAGAACATTTTAATTCCATTGTTCTTCTTTCAACTTCTAAGCTATTTTTGCTCTGTATTTTATTTCTATATATACTTTAAATCCTACAGTGTATCACTGACCTGTTAATATAAGATAAATTAATGTTAACCATTAGTAATTATGAATTCATAGTCAACATTAAGTTATATTTAATTTAGACTTAGCCACAATTAACCTTTTCACAGCTCTTTGTTCGTTTCCATGGCTCTGAGCTTCCACTTGGCTTCATTTTTCTCCTCCTTGAAGAAACTCCCTTTAGTGTCTTCTTGATGTGTCTGCTGGTATTAAATTTTCCTAGATTTCTTTGGTCTGAAAATTTCTTTATTTCACCTACATTATTGAAGGATATTTTCAATGCATATAGAGTTCCACATGGCAATTATTCTCTTTGAGCACTTTGAAGGTCTCATTCACTGACTTCTGGTTTCCCTAGTTGGCGTTGAAGTCAGATGTGGGTCTCTGTTGTTGTACTGAAAGTTCTTTGTTTTCTCCTCATCCTGACTTCTACAGCTGCTTTTAAGACTTTCTCTGTTATTGGTTTTCAGCTTATTACTATGATAAGCCTAGGTATGATTTTCTTTTTATTTATCCTATTTAGGGTTCATTGAGCTTTTTAAGTGTTAATTTACACAGTTGCAAAGCTGTATTGATCAAGGTTCTTCAGAAAAACAGCGCCAATCGGATATATATAGACATAGAAGAGGAGATTGATTATGGGTCTTGGTTTGCATGATTACAGAAGCCGAGTAGCCCCATGATCTGCTGTCTGCAAGCTGAAGACCCAGGAAAGCTGGCGGTGTCATTCCGTCTGAGTCCAAAGGCCTGAGGACAAGGGGAGCTAATGTTATATCCCAGTCCAAGGTTGAAGGCCTGAGAACTGCGGTGGGGGCTGCTAGTGTAAGTCCTGGAGTCTGAAGGCCCAAGAACCAGGAGCCCCAGTCTCCAAGAGAAGGCAAAGATGAATGCCCCAGCTCCTCAAGAAGACACAGAGAGAGGGAGTTTACTTTCCTCTCTCTTTTTTTTGTTCTATTCAGGCCTCAACATATTGGATGATGTTCACCCAACATAGGTGAGGGTGGACCTTCTTTACTCAGTTGCTGATGCAGACACTGACCTCTTCCAGAACCACCCTCACCAACACACCCAGAAGTAACCAGCTATCTGAGTATCCTTTAACCCCTTCAAAAGCTTCTTGCAAGAGGAGATTTGATCTGACTCCTGAAAGGGGTTGAGTTTTGGGTCCTTTCTTTTTTGAAGGGCACGGATACTGCCTAGAGTCTGTCCCATTGCCCCTTCATCCTTGCAGATGCTCTGGATGGAGCATGTTTTAAGGGTCAGCTGAGTTTGCAGAAGCATCATATCCTGTCACCCATGTGCCAGGTTCACAATGCGTGTTCACTCCTGACGTCCCTGCCAACCCTGCCAGAAAGGGACCTGCTGAATTGTATAGTCTTAACCCTGTCATGTTGACACATACAATTCACCATCCGAGGTATTAACAGTTTCTCCTGATATTGCTTCTACTCCTTTTCTCCTACTTCTTTTCTTCATCCTCTCTTTCTTATTTGTCCTCCCTTTCTGGGATGACAGTTAAACCCATGTCAGACCTTTTAACTGAATCCCTATGTCTCGTCCTTTCCTCTATCTTTCCTATCCTGTTGTCTGTGCTTCACTCTGACTTTCTTCTGACTGATCTACCATTTCACTAATTCTTTCCACCTGTGTCTAATATCGATTTGGTAAATTTTTATAGTTTTTTCCCCCAAATCCTGTACCTTGCTCCATTTCCCTAACCATGTTAAGCAAACTTATTGTGGACTGTGTCTGATATCTGGATTGCTAGTGGTCCTTCCTTCCTGCCTTCCCTCCCTTTCTTCCTTCTCCTTCCTTCCTTCCTTCATTCCATCCTTTCTTCCTTCCTTCTTTCCTTCCTCCCTCCCTCCCTCCCTGCCTCCCTCCCTCCCTTCCTTCTTCTTCTTTTTCTTTTCTTGATAGGGTCTTGCTCTGTTGCCCAGGCTTGGAGTGCAGTGGTGTGATCTTGGCTCCCTACAATCTCTGCCTCTCAGGCTCAAGCTATCCTCCCACCTCAGCCTCCCCAGTAGCTGGGACTACAGGTGTGCACCACCATGTCCAGCTAATTTTTGTATTTTTTGTAGAGACAGTATCTCACCTTATTGCCCAGGCTGGTGTTGAACTCCTGAGCTCCAGCAATCCGCCCACCTCAGCCTCCCAAGGTGTTGGGATTACAAGCGTGAGCCACTGTGCCTGGCCTGGTGGTTTTCTTTTTGTTGTCTGTTTCTCTTGCCTTTTGACCATGTTGTCTTTGTCCAACTAATTGTTTTTCTTAAACTGTAGGAAAACTGAAAGAATAGTATAGTAAACATTTCTCCCACAAGTCATTTGAGAGTCTGCTGTAGACATGATGCTCCATCATTCCCAAATGTTTTAGTGTGTGTTTCCTACACATCAAGGACATTCTCCTACTAACCACAGCACAACTATGAAATTCAAGGAATTAACATTGATCCATCACTACTCTAATTTGCAAGCTCCATTCAAGTTTTATTGGAACAATTCAGGATCACAGGCTGCGTTTAGTCCGGTTGCCTCTTTACTTGCTTTCTATTTGGAACAGTTCCTCAGATTTCCCTTAACTTTTATGAACTCGCCACTTTAAAAAATTATAGGACAGTTATTTTGTAGGCTGTTCTTCAGTGTGGGTTTATAAAACGTTTTCCTGATTCGTTGCGAGTAATAGATTGTTGTCAGGAATACTGCAGAAGTGATGCTGAGTTTTCTTATTGCATCATTTTAGGTGGTACATGGTTTTGATTTATCCTATGACTAATGATGTTAACTTTGTTAACTAACTTTGATTAAGATAGTGTCTTCCAGGTTTGCCCACTGTAAAGTCACTCCTTTTACTTTTTGTGATTAATAAAGATTTTATGGGGACAGAGTTTGAAGCTGTAAGTTTACTGTTTCTCATCAAGCTTTCACCCACTAGATTTAGCATTCGTTGACATTTCCTGCCTGAATTATAACTATGAGAGGCTGTCAAATGGCAATTTTCCAAGTCCATCATTTTGTGCATCTATTGGTTGGCATTTGACTATAAAGAAGAACTTTTTCTTCTATCTCTCTATGCATTTATTTGTGGATATATTTATGTATCCATCCATCCATCCATCCATCCATCCATCCATCTATCCATATGGACATATAGATTTCTATTCAATGAGTTCTAATTCATTATCATCACTTTTATATAAAAATTATTCTTGATTTGGCCAGTGAGGGTTTCTTCAAGCTGGCTACTGTGTGTTTTTGGAATGTCTCCATCCATCTTGGAGAAGTTCCTTGCTTTCTGGCTAAACAACATGTCAAGATATCTTTGTGTTTTTCATGCACCAGCCCTGGACCAATCAGCTCTGGTTCCTTGTAGCAGAGGAATGATATTTAGAGCATAGATCTTGTTTTTAGGATAGCTCATTGCTATTGGGGTATCTCTGTTCCCAGGCCCTCTCAGTGGACAGAATTAGGGAATATAGTATGTATATTCTGATGGATACACACATACATCTAAATCTAGATTTATTTATGTGACTATATATAGATTAAAAACCAAGAGCTTATACCAATGTTTATAATTTCTATTCAGCATCACAGATTTCATTCTAGCTTTCCCTTGTCTCTAACAGTGAGACCTGGCTCCCATTATCCTCAGTATGTTTACTTATTTGCCCAATCTCATCCTGTGTAACCAATCTCCTATTGCTGTTGCTGCTTCTTGTGTGAATGCCTTTACTCATCTTACTTGGGCTCTGACCCTAAGGGATTTCTGTCATCCCTCCTTACTTCACAGATGTTGTAAGTTTCTGCAGTGCAGTGATTATCACATTTGTCTAACAAATGCCCCTTTATCTTGCTTGGGTTCTGACTTAGTATTGGGCTCCACCACCTACTCCTTTGGCAAGGATTTCTACCTCTCTTGCCCAGTGTTTTGCATTGAGTTGAATTATTCAGGAAGGAAGGAAGAAAAGTAGATACCTTGTTATTTTAAATTCAGTGCTAGACAGTATTTATGAAATTATAAAAATAATTTAAGACCTAGGGATAATGATGATGAGTGATGATAATGATATTCCTCCAGAGAAACATTATGTTCACTCCTATAGGTTCTGTTGTGACAGAATAAAAGACAATGTTAGCTCTTTCTGACCTGGATCTATTAATCAGTGATTTCTCTAGTCAAAGAAAGGGCTAACTTTATAAATAAGTCTGTTTAGAAATCTAATGAAGCTCCTTTTGAGCCAATTACTATTTCAGCATCTGCCATTTTTAAGGTTACTGGAATAATAGGACTTAGCTCTGCATCAGGACGTTAGAGCCCTCATACACAGCTGGTGGGAATGTAAAATAATAAAGCCACAGGAAAACACTCTGGCAGTTCCTCAGAGCATTAAACATAGTTACCATATGACCCAGCAATTCTAGTCCTTGATCTATACCCGAGATAAATAAAAATAAATGCCCACACCAAAAATTATACACAAATGGTTATAATGGCATTATTCATAATAGCCAAAATGTGGCAACAGCCCAATGTCTATCAACAGATGAATGGATAAACAAAATGTGGTATAGTCATACAATGAAATATTATTCAGTCATTAAAAGAAATGAAATATTGGTATATATTACAAGTTGAATAAACCTTGAAGAGATCGTGCTAACTAAAAGAAGCCAGACAAAAAGGTTCACATATCATATGATTCTATTCATAGGAAAATCCAGAATATGGAGATGAATGGATACAGAAAGTAGATTAGTGGTTGATTAGAGTTGAGAGGGTGTCGTGGAGTAGAGGTGAGAGCTAAAGTGTACGGGTATCTTTCTGAGGTGGTGAAAGCGTTCTAACATTGACTGTGGTGATGGTCGTGCATGTATTTGCATATACTAAAGATCACTGACTTGTACACTTCAAGTGGGTGAACCGTATGACATGTGAATTGTATCCCAATAAAGCTGCTTAAGCATTAAAAAAAAATAAAGACATTCATTGTGACTTGCTAGGAGCCTTGGATCAATCTGGAAACATTTGTGGGATATGAGTTAATAGCACAACTTCCCAAGGACATAGATAATAGCTAGTTTCAAAGCAGAGGACCAACCTGTAGGCCCATTCATCCTATAGATTACTACGAATGGCTGTATAACTTTCTGCCGGGTAATCTTGGGCAAAGGACACGAATTTCTCTAAGCCCAGGTTTCCTCATCTGGGAAGAGGGCACATTAGTATCTGTCATTAAATAAGAATGTTTGTGGCGCTCCTGATGCCCTCCAGCTCATGTCACATAGCAGCCTCCACTTACTGATAATTTAGTATGCGAAATAAAGTATCATAAAACAAGTTGCTCTAAGCTTGGTGTCATGTTTTCCTAAATTGCTCTTCATTTTATCTCTGTCTATAACAGCTGGCTGGGGTACTCTGCACCTTTTGGGAACTGTAGGTGATAACAGCTGATGTACTGAGCCTGAGTTGATGTGTGCACGCGGCTCTTAACTCCTGTGAGAGTATGAGTGTGAGGACAGTCAAGGGAGAGGCCTTTGGGGTGAGTCAATTGAAATCCTATAGAACTGAAGACGTACTAAGGAGATTGTTGGGTCTGTCCTGCGGACCCTGGCTGATGGATGAAATGAGTACTCATACAGAGGTATGCAGTGGCTAGGTGGCTGCCTGGTTTAGTGGCCAGAGAGCAGCCCCGAGAAGCTGGAGCTGCTTGCTTTTACTCAGTGCAGGCACAATGCCGAAAACCTGGAGCCAACACAACCTGTAGGTAATTAACATTTATTGTTCCCCTTTCAGGGAACGTCTTGGGCGGGTGATCAAAGGTCAATTCCTGGTCAATGTAAGTAAACAAGCCTGTTTAAGATAAATTCCCCCACACTCCCTTGCCCTCTGCCTCAGGGTTATAGGACAGCTGCCTTCAGCTATTCTCCCCCGGGGCTCTGCAGAACCTTCCGACTTTTCAGAAGGTTTGTGTCTTTTCCCTATAGTTTTTCCCACCACTCTGACTCATCCCCTACAAGAAATCTTAAAAATAAGGAGATAATTATTGATTTGAACCAGAGCAAATTTATATTATTTCTTATCTAAAAAGCCCGAACTAGACTTTAAAATGTTTTCAGTATAACAGGATATTTATGCTAGCCTTGTCCGAATGACTTGCCCAAATTCCCTCCCCAACCCAATCCTCTTCCTTCTACTGAAACAAATCCTACTTCTCTTCTTAGATCCAGGTCTAACACTGCCTCCTATAAAGTTCTCCCTGAAGGCTCCAGCTGTCACCTGTATTAGAATGACAAGACCTTTCATGGCCGTAATTCCCAATGTGCTTTCGTGTCTTTCCACTTGTGTACTTAATCATTCTTTGTGTTTATCATATATACATAGATACATTTTGTGTTGCTTTTCCCACTGTCTCTTCATTCCTTCCCTCTACCACTTTCCATGCACACCACTGTCCCATCTACCTGTGGTTAGCCTAGGGTTAGGGATCAAATAGATATTAAATAAATGATCCTTATTAATGCAGATGTAACAAGAGTCCTATACATCAGTTAATGACTTCTCCTGTGTGACTTTCTTTTGACCTCTCTCTCCAGAGACATTGCAGTACCTGAACACGTCTCTGTGAGGAATAGGCTTGTATTGTAAATGAATGCAGTCCATGCTGGGTGTAACAGGATGGCAAGCATTCCATATAAAGGGGGTAATTGCTGCTCCAATTTATTGTGGCATGAGACATGCAGACTCAACACTATCAAATCTGACTCGTCTTGAAAAATTCAAAATCCAAACGTCTTAAAATGTTAGCCACTAACTTTAAAATTTGAATATTGATAGCATAGTTTGAGGAATCAGTAGATAGGATAGAGAGCTCAAGAATATACTCATGTATATGGAAGCGTGATAGGTAATAATAGTGATGCCACAGTGGAAAAAGATAGGTAGGGGGCCTTGGTCAGTTCGAGCTGCTACAGTGGAATGCCATAGACTGGGTGGCTGATAACCAACAGAAATGTATTTCTCACAGTTCTAGAGGCTGGAAGTCTGAGATCAGGGTGCCAGCGTGGCCTGGTTCTGGTGAGGGTCCACTTGCAGATTGCAGGCTGCCAGCTTCTCTCTATGTCCTCACTTGGTGGAAAGAGAGCTAGAAAGTTCCCTGGGATCCCTTTTATAAGGGCAGCAATCCCATTCACAATGGCTCCACCCTCATTATCGTATCACCCCCCCAAAGGCTTTGTCTCCTAATTGTATCATATCGAGAGTTAGGATTTCTACATATCAGTTTTGGAGGAACATAAACATTCAGCCCATTGCATAAGGAAAAGATGGTTTTGGGAAAACTGTTTTACAATCTTGAGGGGAAAAAGGTGAACCCTACCGAATACGAGATATAAAAATAAGCTCCAGATAGACCCGAGTATGAAAGGTAAAACTATAAAAAGGCTAACTTTGCAATCAAGAGGGAAGGATGTTTTAAGCAAGACCCCCAAATCAGACTATAAGTCAAAAGAGCAACTGACCAGATTACCCTAAAATTAAGTATTTCAAGTCAAGGAAAGACACCATGGGTAGTTAACAGCTGGATGACCAACTGGGAGAAGATAACTTGTAAAATCTAGGTGGATTAGAGGTTAATAGCTAGCAAAACCAATGAACTCTGATGAATCAACAAGAATGCTGGAAAATAGTAAAATGACTGAAAAAATGGGCAAAGACTATGAACAGGAAATTTCCTGAGGAGGAAGCCTCCATAGCTGGTAAGCTTTTCAAGAAGTACTTGACTTAGTAATTAAGGAAAGGCAAATCAAAACAATGAATTATAATGAACTGTACCTGTTAAATTTCCTAGCTTTCTAATTTCTGCCAACAACAGTTACTGGCAAAAGTGTGGGAGAGTGGGAGTACAAGCACCATGTGTAGTACTAGTGGGCGTGTAAACCAGCACAGCCATTCTGGAGTAGTACTTGGAAGCATTTAGTGAAATCAAATTTGCATTTATCCTTGAACAATTCTACTCCTGGTTGTGTAGCCAGGGAAATTCTTGTGCTGCTCTCCATCCCTCCTGGTTTATGCTGTGTATCCCGGTGTAGTTATCAGTGGCACCTCCACTTACTTTCAGAGTGTCCTGATTTGAACAATATATTGCTTGATGACCTTAATGCTTGATGGCATCATCACTGTGCTGCTTTTTTTCTTTTGTTTTGTTTTGGTTTTTTTTGAGATGGAGTCTTGCTCTGTCACCCAGGCTGGAGTGCAGTGGCGAGATCTCAGCTCACTGCAGCCTCCGCCTCCCAGGTTCAAGCGATTCTCCTGCCTCAGCCTCCCGAGCAGCTGGGATTACAGGCACCCAACACCACACTCGGCTAATTTTTTTTTTTTTTTTGTATTTTTAGCAGAGATGGCATTTCACCATATTGGCCAGGCTGGTTTCGAACTCCTAACCTCAGGTGATCCACCCGCCTCAGCCTCCCAAAGTGCTGAGATTACAGGTGTGAACCACTGCTCCCAGTGCTGTGCTGTTTATAGGAGGAGAGCTTGGGAAGCAAGTCAGTTGCCAGGTGCTAAGGGAGCAGATAGAGTAAAATCGTACATTTAATATATGAAACACTATTTAGCAGTGAGAAGCAATGGACTGGGTATACAGAGAATGGAGGAAAACATAGATTGCCAAACAGAAGACATCTGCAGGTTAAACTACTATATAAATGTTCACCTTGGATTTTTTTTTTTTTTTTAACAGCAGCTAATGGGCCATTGCTGGGAGGCATTATAACTTCCATTTCCACTCAGACCTGAAAAACCAATCTATTTCCCTTCCTGCGTGGGGTTTCTGCAGATATCAAGAGATCTGGTCTTCTAACCCTAGCTCTTGACCACCTTAGACCCAATTTGCCAGAGAGAAATGGTCCCTGGTGTCCTACAGTTTCATGACACGGAGAAGAGCCTCATGCATGACAAGAAAAGGGATGCTCAATCACTTAAACTACCTGGAAGCAGCATTAACACAAAGTCAGACTTCCTTTGAACTCTTGGAACTACTTCAAGGCTCCTCTGCCTTGTCTTACCCATCCCAAGGAACCCTCAAAACATCACTAAGCTGCATGTGTTTGCTGGCCAAGGGCTGTAATGGAAAAAGGCCTGTTTGAGAGTCTTTCTGGCCCCTAGATCAGTTGTGAGTTTATCTTCTGTTGCTTAAATACAGAAGAGGCAAATGGCTTTTCTAAATCAAAGTTCTCCGGAGGGAAACAGACACGGGTGCTTTGACGGCTGCAGCTGAGCTCATTGTGGCACAGCCTCTCTCTCCCTGCACGTGTGTTGCTGCCTAGAGAGGTGATTGCCAGTACCAATGTCTCAGCGGAATCCTCAAAGTACCCTAAATGCTGGCCCGAGATGATGCAGCCTCTCTGGAGTTAGCATCTTCATGATTAGCAGGTGGAATAGCAAAATAAACCCAGCACTGGCAGAAATAGCTGTTGGAATCATGCAAAAAGTACCCCTCTCCTCCTTTTCCAGAGAAGCGGCCCCTTTTGGTTTGGAGCAGGGGACAGATCCTTCATACACAGTAGGGTTGGGTCGGCTAAGATGAAGTACTCAGATCTCTGTATCACCGGAGCGCCCTAGGGGATGTGTGGCATTTTCTCCTTTTCTCTTCTTGGTCTCTGGATTTTATCGCAGGCAGTCGGGTCTCCCGTGCCTGGCACTTCCTTGGCTGTGGGCAGGAAGAGGTTACAGCAGCCCTGGAGCCTGCTGGGCTGAGTTAGCACTTCCCTCCGCATCCAGAATATCTCCCAGGAACTGCCCCCTTTGCATCGCCGCACCGGGGTGGCGGCGCGGGCTGGGGGCCGCTGCAGCAGGTCTCAGTCCCTCCCTGCTGCCACGCGAGGAGTGGGGAGCGGCAGGGCCTAGGCGTCCCGAGTGGAGGATGAGCCGGAGACGCCTGCGGGTCCGGAGCTGCACCGCGCCCGTGCGGCCCGCGCCGCCCGCCTCCCGCGCTCTCCCTTTGGCAGCAGCCGGACGCCTGGCGCGTGCAGGACCTGGGGCCGCGGCGCTCGCGCGGGGACGCGGGAGCCCAGGGTCGGCGCTGCAGGCAGCGGGGCGGCGCCAGCAAGGCCAGCTCCCCGGGGACCCTGGGGCAGCCTCGCGCCCTGCCTGCCTCCCTGGACTGAGACGCCGCGGGGCCTGGGCAGCGCTCTGCCGGCAGCTGGTGCTGGAACACAGCCGGGGCTGAGCTGCTCCCGGGGACCCTGCCCCTTCCAGGTGACCCCAGGAGAAGCAGCCCCGGGCCGGGGGGCAAGTTCCAGCCACCCTTCCGGGTCAAGAAGCCACGACTCCTGGTTAGGGGGAAACTTAGATTTTTCTTTTGCATGGAACTGCTGCTGTGCAAGATTTGCCAAGGCTTATAGGGTTTCATTTTTTACTTGACTGGTGTTTGAGAAAAACTGCAAGGAAAGGGTGGCGAAAGGAAGAAACACTATAAACTTTGGGGGCGGGGACATTTTCTTGGAAGTGACAAGTAGCCTCAGATCTGCAGTTCCTGGGCCAGCGACGGCATCCTTTGCTCTGACACTCCAAGGGTCTGGACGCTGCCACATGACCAACACCAAAGACCCCAAAAGAGCCATGGAATCCACGCTGGCGACATCCAATTCTGCCACAGGCCCCGTCACCTTCTCCCACGTCTTTGGTCAGCAGTGCCAACTTATGCAAGCAGGTAGGAATTGCGTCGTGTGTCATGTGCCCAGAGAATGGGAAGTGGAGCGTTATCCCGGGTCCCCAAAAACAGCGGTCTGTGTGTGTCTGTGTGTCTGTCAGTCTACCTCATCTCTTTCTTGATATAATGTGGGATGTAAGACTTAACTAGCTAGTGAAATGTTTGCCTGGCATTTATCACTGTAAAAGATAAAGTTTTTAGGACTTGCCATGAGACAACGCGCTGCTTTTGCAATGAGTGAGGGGCCTTGTTTGTCCTTCGTCATCGATTTTCTCTGTGGCTAGCTGGGGGGTGAAGGAGGGTGCGTCAGGATGGATCTGATGATGCCATGCTGTGGCCATCTTTTGAGGCCAGGTGCCAGTCGTAGCCTGGTTGCCTTTGTCAGCTTGCCTCTCTCTGCTCCTAAGAGTTATGTTTAATCTATGCCCCCCCAGCCCCTGCTGGAGTAACTTCCATGCTTATAAGTGTCTGCTCTGAGCAGCCTCTCCCAGGCTTTGACTTGGTTGTGGGGATTCCTCATTAGTCTGTGCTCATGAATTTGTCTTCCAAATGGCTCACGTTTTATACAGAAGGGAAAGATTGGCATGGGCTGCGGGCCTTATAACCCATGCTAGCCATCTTGCTAGGATGCACATGTGGTCACATAAAAAAAAAAAGGTGAGGATGGATGGCTTGGTGCAAATAGTCACCATGCTCAAACTCACAAGTGGTGCTTAAGACATGCTTATGATTGGGTTGGAGTCACACACGAAATAGGATGCCTGTTTCTCGACTTTTTTGGCGTTAATTCTCACTGGGAAAACAACCACACATTCCTCCAATGTTTTCCTGGGTGTTATAGGGTTAATTGTGGATTTTGACCGTGAGTCTCAGGAAGATGGTGAGACGAGCACTGTATTAGGAGTCTGGGGGCCTGAGTCAGTGTTGATGCTTTCATTGGGTAGTTGCATGACCTTGGAAATTGCAGACTGCACCCCCCTTCCTGGGGTATCCGTCCCCTGCTGCAAAACAAGAGAACTGGATTCAGGGCTGCTGGGTCCATCCAGGCCTGAGATTCGGTGAGCTCAGAGGAGCACAGCTTGGTGGAGAAGACACACTGGAGCTGGTTTCTAAAACTGGATGTGTCTGCACAGAGAGGCAGCTCGTGGAGTGGGTGAGTGAGGGCTCTGGAGCTGACTGCTGGGTTGGGGTCCCAGTTTCACTTATTAAAAACTGTGTGATCTCAGGCAAGTTACTTAGCCTCTGTATGCCTCAGTTTCCTCTTTTGTAAAACGGTGCTACTAGGCACTCCATAAGGTCATTGCAAAGATTAATTAAGTTAATATGTGAAAACATCCTTCTATGGGTCAGTCAAGGCATCTCTGTTTGCAGGGAGGGGCATAGCTGCCTTTGGTAGTAGACAATGGAAGCATTGAACACACACCCTTTGCCACCCACTGCACTCCTAACTTGATTTTGGTTTGTCCAGAAGGTTGAAAATCTCCCACTCCATACATCTGTGGAATATTTTATCTGGAATGGATTAGGTAGGAGGGCTCAGAAGCTTTCCTGGACTGAGGTTCCCTTGCCTTGCCTTTCTACTTCTCTGAGGATCCTGTGGGAAGGCACGTCGGATTTCTAAAGTACCTCCCCTGCGGCTTCATTCACTTTCTTTTAGAAGCACCCAGGCCTAAATCAGGCCATGAAATCCTCTGCCTCTTTTTTAAAAAAACATCCTTTATGTCAAGAGAGCAATGCAACATGGAATAATAATGACCAGCAGTCTCCAGGGAGAACACTCTCCCTGAAGAAACGCAAAGAGGAATCATTAACCTTAAGTCAAAAGAGCTCACTCAATTAGGACGCGAAAGGGATGGAGACCAACACTGATACGTCTCCAGCCAGCCATTTACAGTCCAGCAGGTATCACAAACGAGATCTTAAGTGTATGTGAAAATGATTCGCAGACTCTAGGGGTTTACAGCTGGGTGAATCACATATATTCCCAAGTGAGAGGTAGCTACAGATCCCACGTACTCACCGAGTACCTACTATGTACTGTGCACGGTGCCAGGAACCACAGGATCTGGAGAGTAAGTTACGGCTCATACTCCTGGAGATGTTGGTCTCGCTGGTGTAAACATAAAGCATATTGAGGAAAAGAGAATTACACAAAATGTGACTTTTCAATGATACCATTTCCTGAACAACCCTTCTTATATGTTTTACATAAACTATCTCCTGTAATTTTCATAATTTTTTTTTTTATTTTTTGAGACAGGGTCTTGCTTTGTCACCCAGGCTACAGTGCAGTGGCATGATCATAGCTCACTGCAACCTCAACCTCCTAGGCTCAAGTGGTCCTGCCACCTCTGCCTCCTGCTACCTATGCTGGTCTAGGGCAGGGGTTGACAAAGGTTTTGTTTCTTTTGCAAAGAGCCAGATAATAAATATTGTTGGCTTTATAGTCTACAAGTTTTCGCTCATGACTACTTGGCTCTACCGTTGTAGCATGAAAGCAGCCACAGACAAAGTGTATACGAATGGGCATGGCTGTGTGCCAATAGAACTTTATTTGCAAAAGCAAATGGTGGGCCAGGCTGTAGTGCAGTGGCATGATCATAGCTCACTGCAGCCTTGACCTCCTAGGCTCAAGCGATCCTCCCATCTCAGTCTCTCAAGTAGCTGGGACCACAGGCATGTACCACCATTCCAGGTTAATTTTTTAATTTTTTTTGTAGAGATGAAGTCTCGTTATGTTGCCCAGGCTGGTCTTGAACTCCTGGGCTCAAGCGATCCTTCTGTCTCAGCCTCCCCAGATACTGGGATTATAGGAGTGAGCAACCATGCCAGGCTCCTGTAATTTTTAAAAATCCTACCCAATTTCCATAGGCAAAGGAAATACACAGGGGTTGCCCGCATGCCCACCTTCACACCATTTGGGAAGGAAAGCCTTGGTCTGATGCTCAGGCCTTTGCCTTTAACCTCTAAATTGCATAGTCCCTGGTGACAACTGGGGCTAATCTTTTATATCTGTAAGTATCTCATGTCTTAGGAGAAAAAGTTGATTTCCAGAAATGGAGCGGTAAGGATGCTTAAAGAGGTGGGAATGGGAGGGGGCTGAGCACTAAAGGGCGCCTAGGATTTAGTGGGGCAGCAGAGATAGGTTTCTTGGAGGCAGGGCAAAATTGGGCACAGATGAGACCAATAAAAGCTTTGACCCAATTAGCAGTAGTGGGAGCATGAAGGTCTGGTGGGGCCATGGGAAGAGCATGTGGTTCTTTCTCATTTAGTCCCAGTTTGGCTGTTGCTGGCTGTGTGAGCTTCAAACCAAAGGTTGGCAAGCTACATCCCTGGGGCCAAATCTGGCCCACTACTTGCTTTTGTAAATAAAGTTTTATTGGCACACAGCCATGCCCATTTATGTACATTTTGTCTGCGGCTGCTTTTGTGCTACAGTGGCAGAGTCAAGTAGTCATGAGTGAAACCATGCGAACCATAAAGCCAATAATACTTATTATCTGGCTCCTTGCAGAAAAAACAAAAACTTTGCTGACCCCTCCCCTAGACCAGCATAGGAAGCACAGAATGGGGTTAGACAGAATTTATGTGGCACAATGTGAAAGGGATCAAGCCTGAGAGTGTGGCTCTGAAAGATGCTTATTTGCTGGTACCCTTGATGCTACATGGTGCTGTGGTTTTCTCATGTTCTCTTCCACCATCCACACACGAGGCCACACTCTCAGGCTCATACATGTATGTAGGGGTTGCTTCAGGAAGCTTTTAGAATAGATCTGAAAGTCCTGGCAAGAACAGAGTTCTCAGCATGTGCCCAAATCTATAGCACCTGTGCTAGACAAACTCACATCTGCCTCATTTTCATGCCACCCTGCAGGGTGGATGGAGCATTCCCTAGTTAACCAGTGAGATTTCCATGTTGGCAGAGTTGAGATTTAAACTTCAGGCAGCCCAACCCCAAAGGCTGTGCTCAAAAAAGGCAATTCCACAGCTTCTGCAAAGGGTTTTAAAAAATGTGTCTTGTCTCGCTCAAGGATTTGGAGGAGAGAGCAGCATTTTGGATCTTGCAGTGGCTTTGATGCTGTTGCCCACCTTCCTCCCTCTCCAGGTCCTTCATCTCACTTAATAGTCCTGTGAGGAAGTTCATCCTCTTCTATTTCTAACCCCCCACCCAAATTTCTTTTACTTGACTTTGCCCCTGCTATAGCCCAAAATGGTAGGTGAGAAGTTGGTCTGGCCAGGCAGGCATGACCAATGGAGGCTGCCGCTGTCCATTCGTGCTGCCTGACCTCCTTCAGGTGGGAGCTTAAGGCCACACTCCCAGGCAGGGTATCTGCTGATATCGTAATATTCAGAAACATACAGGGGTTCAGCTGTGTCCAACATCTGAGGATGTTGGGGGGACCTCCGAGGGGATAGGCAGTACAGACTCGAGCTGGTATTCTTGTGGTCTCAGTGCAGCTGGACAAGTTCCCTTGTCTATATTCTCCTGGGTTCCCAAAATGTTTAACTGGACACCCTCTACCCCCTGACCTGGCATTTGGCTGCGTCTCTGCAGAGGGCTGTTGCCCCATCCCCTGGCCTGGCAGTCTATTGGTTGGGTGACCCCCAGCTTGCAGACCATAGCTGGTGGGGACTTCATCTATTGTGCCAAGTTCTGACTTGCTAAGTTGCGCGTGTGTTACGGAAGTTGATTTCCAACCCGTTTCATGTGGGCAGAAAGCATTTCTGCAGTTACCTTGCTTGACCCAAACAACTAAAGTCATTTTATCTAATATGTCCTGCTGACGCTGCATGAATCCAGGCCCAGCTCGTGGAGGGTGGAAGGGAGATGAGGACAGGAAGGTGACAGGACTTCAGCACCTGGACTGCTGCTGCTTGGCACTGTTCCTGGGCTGCAGCTCTGATGCCACCTGCAAGGCTCCTTGTTTGCATGATTAGTGAGGGATTGGTCCCCTGCACCACACCATGCAGAAACTCAGACATGTGCAAGCCATGCCTGTCTGTCTGTCTCTCTCACCTGTCAGACTGGTACCTATTATCATGCTCCTTCTGAAGGCTGCCAGCTGAACCCCTTTCCCTGCCTTTTAAACAATATAGGGGTCCTTCTGAATATGGAGCCTAGCTACATTTGGAAGCCAATTGCCAAATTTATAACTAAGAGGGCAAGGGAACTAACATTTATGGCATCTGTGGTGAGCTGTGCACATTGGGGACTTTTGCAAAAGTTAAACAGACGAAGATGAGCAAAGAAGCAAGCACACACTTCCTGTCATTCCGTCCATGGGAATGGGAGCACAGCTTTAAGGTTTCCTTGTATATCCCTGAGGGGTGGTGTGTAGGACCTGTTTCTTGCCTGGCTGTTTCTCCAGTGGAAACAGTGTGTTCTGACATTCCAGAAAAAGATTCGCCATGGCGAACTGCTGGCAATTGGGCACAACCATAGGTGGCACTTATTGGGTACTTATTCTGGGATGGTTATTGTGCTACATTCTTTACATATTACCTTGTTTCACCTTGTTGCATCCTCAGAAGGCAAGTGAAATCATCCCCATTTTATAGATGAGAAAACTCGAGGCCCGTAAAGAGAAATATTTCTCTTAACTAGTTAGTAGTTGGGCCAGGATTCAAATTCAAGCCATCTGGATCTGAAGTCCCTATTTATTCCTGTTCTTCCTTCCAGACTGTCCTCCAGAAATTAATCTCCAGAAATGTTGCTGAACATCTGTGCCAGCAAATGACTGTTTGTTGAATGAATGTGGAATCTGTTAACACTGGGGTGACAGTCACTCCTCATAACATGTTATGTTGGGTTGTGATTTCTGTTCATTGATGTCTTCTGTGTTAGACTCTAAGCTTCCTGAGGTCAACAACTGTTATCTTGGTTGTCCTTTTTTTTTTTTTTTTTGAGGTGGAGTCTCGCACTGTCGCCCAGGCTGGAGTGCAGTGGTGCGATCTCAGCTCACTGCAACCTCCGCCTCCTGGGTTCAAGTGATTCTTGTGCCTCAGCCTCCTGAGTAGCTGGGATTACAGGTTTGTGCCACCATGCCCAGCTAATTTTTGTATTTTTAGTAGAGATGGGGTTTCACCATGTTGGTCAGTCTGGTCTCGAACTCCTGACCTCAGGTGATCTGCCTGCCTCGGCCTCCCAAAGTGTGCCCGGCCTATCTTGGTTGTCTTTGGACCCTCTGTGCCTTATATGGTGCTGACAATGTAGCAGCTTTCATCAGTAAGATATTGACGCATCTGTTTTAGACCATATCATTAGTCATTTTATGGGGCGGCTGTCATCCTTATGAGTAGCTGCTAGCATGATGAAATGGTGTTAGTGGAATCTGGCAAAGCAAAATTGCGGTTATGTTCATTCTCTTTCTCAAGACTAATTCTTCTTGATAGTCCTCAAGTTTGCCTCGACCTGGATTCCAGGTCAGTGGGGAAAACAACTTATTCCAATAGTCCCTTGGGCTGATCAGACTGAGTACTCTGAACTCCAGGCCTTAAAGGGAAAGAGACACATGTGAGGCACAATGGACAAAGAGGTGGGAGTCAGGATTTCATTCCTTTCCTCCAGCAGCCCCTCCCTGCCCAATCCCTCACCCTCAGCCCCAAGGTAAAGTATCCCCTACCAGCCCCTGGTGATCTCCTTGGGACTCATGCAGCTGGTGGTGCAAGCACTTACTGTCGATGATGCCCCTTGGACCACTGCTTGACCTCAAGAAGTTCCTACAAGTTGCTTATTTTCTTGAGGAAAAAGCAACAGGGTGAAGTGGGGTCCTCATAGCCTTGGAGTAAGCAGCGTACACAGTGGTCTCAGCTTGTGAGCAGCACGGGCCTCCCACATCACTACATCAGAAGTAGTCTTATTTCTCCAGAGACCTATTTGTCAGAGGCAGGGGCATGTGATTTTTAGTATGGACTTAAGAGCTCCATGGCTTGGGTTCAAATTCCACTTCTGCCGTTCACTAGCTGTGTGACCTTGGGCAAGTACCTTAACCTCTCTGTGCCACATTTTTCTCATTTGCACAAGGAGAATAATAGTTTACTACTTCATAGGGTTGTGATGAGTCTGACAATGAGTCATTATGTGTAAAATGTTTTTCACAGTGCCTGACACAGAATGCTATAGTAGATCAACATTTGCTGTAACTATTACTATTTGTTATTAGTGCAATTGCTGTATTTTGTTTAATGAGAGGAAGTTTAATAACACTAGGATTAAAACATTCCTTCTGGTCATGTCTTCCTGACAAGTAAAAAAGTTGCTACTTGTTTTCCTTGGCTAATCATTGAAAAAAAAAAAACAAAAAACAAAAAAAGAAAACCTCAACATTTTTTCTTTTCTTGATTCCCAAGGCCAAGAACCGACCGGTTATAAAAACAGCCACCCCCCGTCCCCTCCAATCACAAAAGGATGTTTAAAGAAGGGCCCTCATTGGACCGAGTTTGCCTGGGGTTTGTGTGTCTCTTGCTGGTATAATTAACAGTATCAACGTTCATTCTCAAGCATGTCTTTGTTTGCATGTTAAATCATACGGTCACCCTTAATAAGAGGCAGCTGAGTAAATAAAATTCCAATATTACTTAAACAAAATGTGGATCATCTGATCCCGGAGGAAGCAGTTTAAGGTTAAAAAGACAGTCACGGGAAGAAGCGGATATTTGGTCTGAAACAAGGGGCCGGACAGGTCAGGTGAGCTGGGTGCCACTTCTCAGAGATTCTATTAGGATTTCCAGTGTTGCCAGATCATGTTTTCCAAGAGAAACCTGGAGTCCCAATGTTCCTATTAAGCCCTCCAATTTGTGGATGTGTATTACCAATGAAAGGTTTGAAATTCCAGAGGCCAAACTCTCCAGCTGCGTCCTGCCAGTGGGCCACCAGGTTACAAGCTCTGGCTTAAGCGTTCAGTTCTGGCTAGCAGGCTTCCCATGCCAGCTTAAAAGCTGCTACCGGCATCAGCGATACTCTTAACCTTTTGCTCTTGTTTCAACCTTGTGTGTGAGATATCCACTGTTTGACAGGCATCTGAGTTCTGCCACGTGTGAACACATGTGTCTCTCCAGCTGTCAGCTTCTTGCATCCTTGCCTAGCTTGTTGTACGATGAAGTATGCACTAGGATTGTGATAAAGGTGCTTTACTTGTGCTACTGATGTTTGCTCCCTTTCCTTGGTCATGGGTTCCTGAAGGCCTGGCAGGGGATGTGGATAAGAAACACATAGCCTCAAGGCTCTGAGGCATTTCAGTTTTGGACCCGAGATTATCCAGTGCAGAAAGGGAAGGCCTTAGCCGAATTACTGATACACACGGCCCCAGGCAGCCCCGGGGTGGTCAGCCACAGAGCTGGCTCTCTGCCCTTGATGGTGGCACCACAAGGCAAGAGGGATGTCTCTGGATTTGGTGAGATAATGGGGGCTGTTTTTGAGAAAGAAGAAAAATGGCCCATTTGTGGGAGAATAACTTGGCGATCCTTCTTTACCCTTGGTTCTTTCTTCTGAAAGTGCTGGGATTAAATGACCGGAGGGTTTCCTCCTTTGAAACTGGCTTCCATGATACCAAAAGTCCATAAGGAGTGGGACCGTGAAGGTGCTTTGTCTTCCCCAGGGTGTAGGGGGTATATACTTAGCATTTAGAGTTGGTCTCATTCTTGGACATGTGTAGTCAGCCGGCTTAACTTCATGCAGGCTGTTTTCATTAGGCCTGATGTGGATATCTAAACCAGCTTCCAAACAACTTTAAGAGTTGATTTTTATCACTTGTGTTCCCAAACCCTGGCGGCTACCAGAGGCAGGAAGGGAGACAGGGAAGAGGGGGAATAAAAAGAGGCTGATGAATGGGTGCAAAAATACAGGTAGGTAGAAGGAATACGATCTAGTGTTTGATAGCTCTGGAGGGTGACTGTAATTAATTGCGTATTTCAAAATACCTAGAGGAGAAGAATGGGAATGTTCCTGGCATAAAGAAAAATGTTTGAGATGATGAATATTTCTCCCTATTACCCTGATTTGATCATTACACATTATATGAATGTAATGAAATATCACATGCACCCTCAAAATATGAACTATTATGTATCAATCAAAATACATAAGTAAATAAATTGAGGAAAAAGCTCTTAAACAGACAAGCTTTCCCTCCCATTCTTCCTGAATAAAATGTAATGGCTGTAGGTTTAACAAAACCTCCATGATGGTCCCCATGATATGGCCATGGGTGAGTAAGGCTCAGCCCGTGATGGGAACCACAAGGCAAGAAGCAAATGAGGTGGGTTTCCACATGGGTCAGTGGGAAACCCCAAAGCATCAGGGATTATTTGAAGTCTTAACACTGACAATGTGATGTTTGGAGTAGGGAAGATTATAAAAGTCTTGCTGTAAAATGCTTTGAAAATATAAAATTATATACTAATGATGTACTGGCATTCCCAGCCACCCATCTCTCTGGGCGATGATGTTCAGACCTTGATGAAGAACCCACTTGTGGTTTTATGGTCTTGGACCACATTTTTCTTTTGGACATTAGTTCCTTGACCAATTCAGATCACATCTGTTTTCTAAGTATGTAAGGAATGAGCTAGATGAAACAGACATGGAGTCTGGACTTTCATCTGAAAAGTAACTGCGTTTTTGTCGGCCCTTTATATCAAGCATCCTCTTTAGTGCCTGCATTTACCTTTTGTTGTCATCTACAGGGTCTAGTGCCAGTGTGGCTAGGAGGGAGACTCAGCCTCGGACCCCAAAGGGAAGGAGAGCCAGTGGGGGACTCCCATCGAAGGACAAAGACAATGTCATGATGGCGGCTGAGTGGCCAGGCTAGATTCCACTTGGCTGGACTTCCTGAAACTTGAAGTCTTCTCTTTGATCTCCCCAAAGCCATTACCAGTTACATATAGTGAAGACGAGTTAGGTCACTTAAAGAAAGAACTGGTCTGGGGACAGGAGTAAAGGGAAAAAGGGAGGAGGATGTTTTCATCTCTGCCAGGCTAGGGAATTAGAGGAGTGATGGGCAGGAGGAAGACGGCCACTGCTGGGGAGAGACTTAAAGAGATTTTGAGCAGCTCTAAGAGGGTGGTGCTCTTAGCTACTTGAAAAGACAGAAGTTTTGACCTTGATTCCATGGTGAGAAGTGAATCTGAAAAGGAATGTATGTGGTGGGTCCCTCTGAGTCCCTGGGTGACTGCAGCCCCAGTCAGGAGCACCAGAAGCAACAGGTCTCCAGGAAGGGATGCGAGCTCTAGAGAGGCATGAACCACTCCGCACAGAGACATGGTAGACTCAGAAATGTGTCAGGAAATGTGGAAAGGTCTATTTGGAGACTGAGGCAGGGTCTACAATGTCATCAGTGCTTAACATGGAGCAGTTGTCTGAAAGGCTGGGTAGAGGGATCCAAAGAAGGACTAGGGCAAGGGAGCAGAGGATGGAGGGGCAGAAGGCCGGGCGAGGAGGTGCCCTGGGATGCTGGAGGCCAGCATGCACCTTCCTCAGCACAGAGGAAATAGCCACTTCTAAGACAGGTGAAAAGGAATAGTATCTCAGGAAGGGAACCCCTCATGCCTCCTCCCTTCCATTAATAGGCAACACCCTGTGGCCTGTTAAGCAGAAAGTATTGCTGGGAGAACTCCCAGGTTGGAGAAGTTGGGTTGTAGGGATCAGGCCAGTCACAGCTGAGATGATCATCCATGATCAAGACCAATCTGCACTGGAGGCCAGGACAAGCTACAGCAAAGCCTCCACAGCTGGGTCTCTAGAATGTTTAGTTTTATTTTGGCTACTGTTACTGGATAATGTCAGCTGGATATAGATTTCTAAGTTGAGTTATTTTCTCTCAACATTTTGGAAAGGATGTTCCTCTGTTTCTGGTTCCTGCTGTTGCTGTTGGTCTTTGATTTTGGGGTCATTTCTCTGTAGGTGATCTCTCTTTTCTATGGATTTGCTTTGAAAGTCTTTGTCCTGGAAGCTCTGTAGTTTCACTACAGTGTAGCTAGGGGTAGGTCTAATTTTATTTATCCTATCTGGGGTTTGTGCTTCTCAGATCTGAGGATTTGCATCTCAGATGCAAATCATGTAACTCATGTTCAGTTACTTATTTCTTTGAACACTGATTCCCATTCTTTCTATCCCTCCTTTAGAAATTCCTTTGTGACTTGTGTTAGACTTCTCAATTTGAACTCTTTTTCATATTTTCCATCTTTGTCTCTCTGTTGCATTCTGGATAATGACTTTAAAAACTATCTTCTGGTTCATTAATTTTCTTTCTAGCTGTGTCTAATCTTCAGCTGAACTCAGGCAATTCATTTTTCATTGAATGTCTTTTTTTAACCTCTAGAAGTTCTCATTGAATAGTTTTCAAATCTCCCAGGTATTATTTTTTAAGATAATCTTTGTCTCTCTTGCTCTTGATCATATGTTTTATTTATTTAATCATTTAAAATTAATACTTATCTGATAAAGGAATTTTATAATCCAATTCTGGCACTCCTGAGTACATTTCTTCTGCTTTTCTGTTGACTCATGTCTAAGATAGCTTATTACCTCATGCACTTTGCAAGATTGGATTTTGAGCTTATTCTAGGAATTTTATCTGTGAGATGTTATTACCGTAGGTAATGTTAATTTCCAGGCTGGATATTTCCATACATTCCCTGGTAGTATAAATTTGAACCCCAACTCATATGAGGGTAAGCTTGAAGTAATGAGGTATTAAGGGAGATCACTCTCAACCCCTCTCAATCCAGGACTCAGACTGAGGCAGACAAGCTTTC
This sequence comes from Homo sapiens, assembly GCF_000001405.40. Lineage (NCBI taxonomy): Eukaryota > Metazoa > Chordata > Mammalia > Primates > Hominidae > Homo > Homo sapiens. Next base: position 13,905,511 of record NC_000001.11, read on the forward strand.
TTACCTCCCCGTGCCTGTGTTCAGGACCCACATCCAAGTCTCATCTTCCCTGATGTCGAGCCCTCTAAGATAGCTGGTGTGTGAATATGTGTGTGGAAAGTATTGTAGTTCTAATTCCTCTATCCCAGCATAACCTAAAACCTTGCCATCTATCCCATGTGGCTAATAAAACTCTAGCATTCATTTTACAAGATAAGCAATTGCCTCCGAACAGCCAAAATCTTAGTGTGTGCTATCACTCTGGTTTTCAGTTTTGTAATTTTTTTTTGTTAGTTTGTTTTGTGGATGTATTAATTTCCTATAGCCATTATAACAAATTACCACAACCTCGGTGACTTAAAACGACAGAAACATATTATCTCATTGTTCCGCAGGCCAGAAATCCAAAATCAGTATCTCTGGACTGAAATCAAGGTCTCAAAAGACCTGAGTTCCTTCTGGGAGCGCCAATCTCTCTCCATGGTTACCCAGCTCCTCCTTCTCATCTGTGTATGTGATCTCCCTCTGACTCTCTCTTCTAAGGACGCTTGTGATGGCAATTAGAGCCCACTCGGATAATCCAGGATAATCTCCCCATTACTAGATTCTTAGCTTCAATCACATCATTTGAAAAAAGAGACCCTTGTCCCAAATAACATAACATTTACAAGTTCCAGGGATTAGGATGTAAATGTCTTTTGCAGGGGGCATTTTCAGCCCACTACAGTACATTTCTGTTACTTTAAGAGTTCAGTTTTGTATTTCTAAGGATGCCTATTGTATTTTCAAATGTTTTATAGACTTTCCCCTGAGTCTACCATACTAACTCCCTGAAAAAGAAATAGAGCAAACAACCTCCAGGCTGGAGAGAGAAATACAGAGCCTCCTGGGGGCGGGCTTCGTTTTCGGAGAGGCAGGAGTTGGAGATGTTGAGGCGTAGGTGCTTATAGGTGTGAGGAAATGATGCTTCTAAAACCCTGTGGGGCAGAAAGGCTGTACTACTGCTGAGAAGATGCTGCTGCCTGGGCTGGACCGGCCCAGGTTTCCAGTCTGCCTCTTCCCGTTCTTCTGGCCTAACTTTGTCTCTTGGCTTCCATATATGTGTGATCGACCTTGGTTTACTGCTCTCCTTTGACCTTTAATGTCTTCCATTCTGACAGCCAGAACTGACCTTAAGTCTGTTTCTTATTATCCCCTTTGCCTCAGACACTGGACAAGACATTCACCTGGGACTGTCTCAGGGACTCACTCTGTGCCAACTGGGTGTGGCCAAAACCAGAGCAGGGCCAGGACCAGAAATGACCATTATTACACAGCATGCTATGCTGCAGATGCCACCATGGGAGAGAGACGAATGCATTCCTGAAAATTCCATTCTGGGGCACATCTTCATTCCTAGCGACAGTCAGGCAAACAGACCAAGAGACTGTGTCATGCTTGTTGGGATTCTTCGGGAAGTAAGGCTTCCCGCCTGTGCAAAGGCCATTGCAAAGTGAAATACCCAGTGTCTCCAGGTAATGCGTGGAGTGGTTATGGTGGGCTTCTTGTTCTATTAGCTCAGAGAAAAGAAATATCTATGTGGGTGATTTTTGTTCCTGCCTCTTTTGATGTGGTGTCTCTGTCTTCAGTTAATGTGAATGGCTAAAACCTTGATGAAAAGTGTTTTTGCAGCTGGATTTCCCCTGAGAAGGTATCTCCACCATGCAATAGAATCTTCCAGCACCACAGGGCACCCCCTCCAGGACTAGAGTCCCACTGAAGGCTGGAAACACATTTTGTGCCTCTCAAGCCAGTATTAGGGATCAGTTGGCGAATGTCTCCCTATAGTGAGGTGGAGTGGCCCCTGGGGACTGTGCCAGGATGCTTGGCAGGGTGGGAGCTAGGACCTAAATTCAGTTTAATAGCAGGAAGTGGTAGAGAAGACCCCAGCCCCGGGGTATGGGCCCAGGCCTGGCAGAATGAGTGACAGGATTTAAGGCAAGGCCTTTGAGGGGTGTGTATGAGGCTGTGTGTGTGTGTGTTGGGTGGGTGGGAATGGGGGGTCTTGGAATGAACTAGGCTGGCATTATCTGGTCTCTGTTACTCTCAGGTCCAAGCTCTCTTATCCAGGAGGAAATTCTAAAGGTAACCCAGTCCCTGGAGCCACTGATGTTATCTCCTGGTCCAATAGCCCTTCCACAAACAACCCAAATGTATGCTATGTGTACCCAGTTTCAAAATATTTTCTGGGAAACATAAGGCTGAATTAGTCTGGCAACCTTCAGACTGGCTTCTCATGAAAGCTCAGTCTCCCCATGAGACATTTTTGGATGGGTTTGGGAGTAACTTCTCCCACCGCAACATTTTTTTTGGCTTGGATGATACTTCTTGTGCCCCTGTTGGGTGAGGTTATAAGACTGTGTAGTTCGTAGAGAAAAAGAGAATGTGCTTGTCCTAAACAAGAGCTGATTCTCTGAGAATTATTGGGGTCTGAAGACAGCAATACTGGTGCACAAATTTATAATATGATTAGCAGTGGTAGCAGGAGATGGAATAGATGACAAGGCAAAGAGAACATTTGCTGTCAGCTGGCCTGCAGGAACTTAATAATTTAAAGAAAGTGCCAGCCACATTGTGGCAGTCCATTTTTCTACTTGAAACAGAATTCCTGGACTTTGTTTCATACTGAAGACGTGGTTTATTTTTAGTTACATCAGAAAGCCTGTAGCTGGGGTTATTCAGAAAGCTGGACTGCCCATGAGAAACAGGCAGCATCAACACATTGTCTTGTGGTTTAGAAAGACTCTCTTGCCTGCTCTAGCATGAAGGACCAGCCACTTGCCTTTGAGGGTAATGAGAGAGGTCATGAGAAAGCTAGGGGGTTTCAAAGCAGTCCACGCCTTCTTGCACAAAGCTATTGCTATAGGCTGAAGCTTGGCTCTTTGGCCTTGACGGCTCTTTGGTCAAGAAAGCTCCAGCCTAAATAGCTAATTCCCCTGGGTCCTAAGTGTTCATTAAAAATCCAGTTTGTCAGGTGGTACCACCCTGGTTGTCCCCAGTTTAAACAAAAGTTCCTTTGTGGACACTGGCAGTTGGAAACGGAAACTTGGAGCCGTGTCGAAGCCAGATGGCAGCCAGCAGAGACTTTATAGCTTTTCTTGGGAAGGCATTGATCACTGATAAACGAACTGGGCATTGCAGAAGAACCCTTTGCCATTATCTTGTCCCTTGGTAAACTAAAGCATGGTGGGGCCTGTACTTCCCTTTCAAGGGTCATAAACTTCTCAAGTGGTGGAACAGGCCCGAGCTAGGATGCTGAGCTGCAAAAATTGTTGTGTGTGCAGAAATCCACGGTGACAAGACCTGTGTTCACCCCAAGTAGCATCATGGCAGAGCTGTTAAGGACTTTCGTGAGCTGGAGAACATAAAATAAACACATGTTTTATGAGACCAAAGAGAGTAAGTACGAGGCTACTCCTTGGGCTGCCTTTTGTTTTCGCAAAGCAGCAGAGCTCGCAGGTTTGCCTCTTCTCCTCGCTTCTTGGTACACGCAGGTGGGTGAAGTCCACCAAGTCAGGGAAAGTCGGTAGGTGCTTTCTTATCCCTACAAGAGGAGAAGATGGGCATTGGCAGGGGGCATTTAGGTATAAACATTTCTTATGGAAGTACAAGGTTATTGATAATCTTAGTGTCCAGCCTTGAATTATGGGATTGGTGGACACACCAGTTAATTTCACTGGTTCTTAAGTACCAACAATAGCAACAATGTATCTGCAAGCTCAGAGTTCAGATAACATCGGGGGTGATTTCAATTAGGAGATAAGACAGTGTGAGTCTTTCTCCTTCCTGGGATGCCTGACAATAAAAGAAAAAGTCTGTAAACCTACGAAAGGCTGTGTTTTTTCAGGGGCAAGAGGGTGAGGAGGGAGGTATTGATTTCTCTCTCTTAGGTAGTGAGGAGGAGAGCTCCCGTCTAGCATTGGAAGGTGGGGGAGGTTGTGAATAAGGGGGAATCTGCCTGGATATGTTCTATCTCAGCCAGGGTTTCCCCCACAAAATGGTCTTCTTGCACCCTGCTTTGCCACCCACCTGTTCCTACACCCACATTTTCTTCAGAGAATTGCAAATCAATACTGAATATTGATTTGGGCTTATTTATTAATAAGCTTGGTCTTATTTAGGATAAAATAAAATAAGACCTTTCTTTCTTGGCTGCTTCTTATGATGAAGGCCTGGTTTAAAAATGTAGCAAGACGAATTAAGCATTTATGAGGGCAGAGTCCTCCTTCTGCTAGCCTTATGGAAAGATTTGGTCTGAGTTGAACCCTGAGAATAAGGTGGGTAATCTGTAGCGGTGGAAATGTAGAAGGGAGACCAGAGGCAGCTCTAGCCCCTCTTCTTGGCTGGCTTCAGGGAATCCGCTTCAAATGTTGAGGCTCATGGAGGCCTCGTTTAAACCCAGATGATGGTGGTCAATCTCACTCCTGAGTGGAGAAGGCTGATTAGGAAGGGCCCAGATGCCACTCCCAATAGCTGGCATTTGGACTGGATACTTTCAGTGGGGTCTGGTATGGTTTAGATCTGTGTCCCCATCCAAATCTCATGTTGAATGGTAACCCGCAATGTTGGAAGTGTGGCCTGGGGGGAGGTGATTGGATCATAAAGGCAAGTTCTTATGGTTTAACACTATCCTCCTTGATGCTGCTGCGGCGATAGTGAGTTCTCATGAGATCTGATTGTTTAAAAGTATGTGACACAGGCTGGGTGTGGTGGCTGACGCCTGTAATCCCAGCACTTTGGGAGGCTGAGGTGAGTGGATCACGAGGTCAGGAGATCGAGACCATCCTGGCCAACATGGTGAAACCTCATCTCTACTAAAAATACAAAAAATTAGCTGGGTGTGGTGGTGCATGCCTGTAATCCCAGCTACCCAGGAGGTTGAGGCAGGAGAATCGTCTGAACCAGGGAGTCGGAGGTTGCAGTGAGCTGAGATCATACCACCGCACTCCAGCCTGGCAACAGAGTGAGACTCTGTCTAAAAAAAAAAAAGTGTGTGTGACACCTCCCCCACCTTGCTCCTGCTTCACCATATAAAGTTCCTGGCTCCCCATTTGCCTTCTGCCCCAATTGCAAGTTTCCTGAGGCTTCCCCAGAAGCAGAGCGGATGCTAGCATCATGCTTCCTGTACAGCCTACAGAACCGTAGCCAATTAAACTCCTTTTCTTTATAAATTACCCATTCCCAGGTTTTTTCTTTTTTATAGTAATGTGAGAACAGACTAATATAGGGCCTAACTCCCACCCAATTTCCAGGTGCTTTCCCATAATAAGAAGAGATATGTAGGTGTGTTCGGCTGTTCTTGCACTGCTATAAAGAAATACCTGAGACTGGGTAATTTATAAAGAAAAGGGGTTTTATTGGCTCACAATTCTGTAGGCTGTACAGGAAGCATGGCGTCTTCTGTTTCTGGGAAGTCCCAGAAAGCTTCCAATCATGATGGAAGACAAAGGGGAAGGAGGTGCATGACATGGGGAAGACAGGAACAAGAGAGAGATGGAGGAAATGGCACACACTTTTGTTTTGTTTCATTTTGTTTTTGAGATGGAGTCTCGCTCTGTCACCCAGGCTGGAGTGCAATGGTGCCATCTCAGCTCACTGCAACCTCCACCTCCCGGGTTCAAGCAATTCTTCTGCCTCAGCCTCCCAAGCAACTGGAGTTACAGGTGCTCACCACCACGCCTGTCTCATTTTTGTATTTATGGTAGAGACGGTGTTTCACCATGTTGGCCAGGCTGGTCTCGATTTCCTGACCTCAGGTAATTCACCTGCCTCGGCCTCCCAAAGTGCTGGGATTACAGTCATGAGTCACTGTGCCTGGCTGGTGCCACACACTTATAAACAACCAGATCTTGGAGAACCCACTCACTTTCGGGATCCTGAAGTCAGCACCAAGCCATGAGGAATTTGTCCCCATGACCCAAACACCTCTTACCAGGCCCCACCTTCAGCACTGGGGAATCACAATTCAGCATGAGATTTGGGTGAGGACAAGTATCCAAACGATATCAGGAGAAACTATTATAATCCATCATGGTTGAGTCAGAAGAAATGAGATTCTCCTGTTTTCTGATGCTGAAGGAAGACATCACGTCCTTTGAGGTCTATATAAATTGTCCCACTTTGAAAATTTTCATTTTGAAACCTGCCTCACAACATACATCACCTGGGAGGCCAGACAGAAGCATTTTGAGTTTGCTGTATAATATCATTTAATGTATTAAATCCTTAGTCCTTAAATAAAAAATGTTATAAGGCATGATGCAGCTTGGCAGAAAGGGAAGTTGTGATTGATAAGGACAGTTATCTGCTGGAAGTTGGGGTTGGGTTTGGGCCCCCAGAAGTCCCTTCTAGGTGGTTCTAAGAAGTGAAGGATGTGGGTTTGGTGTCAGATTTGCATTCTGGCTGTGCTTGGCTATTTATTGATGTGTTATTTTGGACAAGTTTCTTTTTCCCCATTACTATTGTTTTAAATCTCTCTGAACCACGGCTTTTTATGTGAAGTGGAGATGGCAAGCCTCTAATGTAGGCACTATGAAGGTTATATTAAAATGCATGGAAAATGCTAGAGGACCATGTGCTTGGAGTAACACAAAGACCAGTGCTCACGATCAAAGGCAGCTTCCCAGCCGAGCACTGGGCTGCCCTGGGCACCCCCTTTACCCAGCACACAGGTCAAATCTTATTATTGGTGAGCACCGTAGAGTGTTCAGGTCAGAAGAGAACCCCCGTCTTTCCTCCTGTGCCTAATGAGTCCGCGGCAGTTCCTTACTGAAACTGCTTTATCTGGCCTCTGCTGAGTTGGTGATTTGTCCAATCTACTTGTGGGCACACACTTCAGATAAAAGGCCACATGAAACCGTGTGCTGCTTGATGGGATCAATAAGTGCCATTGAAGATACTCCAGTCCACTCAACTCCCAGGTCCAGGGCTGGGCTTCTCTTCCTTCAAGGTCTAAAGGAAGAGGCTGAGACCAGGGCAACAGCTCATGTTGACACCCATTTAAAAAGTAGATCAGATGATAAAATTGATAAAGTGTTGACTGAGTTTCTATATCTGTAAAAATGAAATCCTACCTAATGCAATTCTTTTTTTTGAGACAGGGTCTCACTCTGTTGCCCAAGCTGGAATGCAGTGGCACAATCTTGGCTCACTGCAGCCTCTGCCTCCCAGGTTCAAGCGATTCTCCCACCTCAGCCTCCCCAGTAGCTGGGATTACAGGGGTGCAGCACCACACCTGGCTAATTTTTTGCAGAGCTGAGGTTTCACTATGTTGGCTAGGCTGGTCTCGAACTCCTGACCTCAGGTGATCTACCTACCTTGGCCTCCCAAAGTGCTGGGATTACAGGCATGAGCCACTGTGCCTGGCCCTAATGCAAACTCTATAGTTCATGCAAGATTTACCTGCTGGCTGTGTAGCATAAATAAACCAAAGGAAAACCTGGGCGGGGACCAGGAGCTGCATCCTGCATGGCCCCTAAGAAGATTGGCTTAGATGAAATTGGAACTCTCCTTTATCATCTTGCTGGATCATGGGGCTGGGGTTGGGGTCACTGGACCCTCTCCTAATGTTAATATTGAACTGCAAGAGACACTTACTAAGCATCTACTGGTTTCCCCCAAGACAAGGTGTTCTAGGGCATACAGGAGAGACAGAAGCCTAGCCCTTGCCAGCTCAGATAGACAGACATCAGGAAGAAGTAGAGGATTTCAGCAAGTTAGAGAGAAACTAGAGGAATTGTTTTGGTATAAACTAGCAGAACGTTCTGTGTGGCCTCTATCTGGTCAAGCAGAGGAGACTTGTGGGAGGTGGTGGGTCTTGCAGTGGATCTTTCCAGATACTTTGCACTGTGGATTTGGTATTTTGGGGTAGGAATCTCAGGCTTCTAGGCCTGTGGTGGAGCTAGAGATGGTCAGCGGCTGCTCCCCAGAGCTGCCTCTGCCAACATGAAAGGGCTTGGCTGGATGGTGGGAGAGTTTGGGGCCCTGTAAGGTCAGGGACTGATTGTGCAGCTCCATTCTTCCCAAGGGCTCCTTCTTCTCCAGCAAGGCAATTCTTACAGATTTGCAAATCTGGTTCTCTTCTGGCCTCAGGGGAGATAAAGCCATGTTATTGCATGGCCCTGCTTTCAGCTAGGATTTCTTAAACTTTTCCAATTCATTTAGGCCAAACAAGAAACCTTGGAGGGGGTGATCCTTTTTGAAGTGGTTTTCTAACTTCAGTGTTTCATAATTACTTGGAAGCTTGTTTAAAACACAGGCTCTCAGCCCCGCCCCAGAAATTCTGATTACTGGGTCTCACTGCAGGCCTGTTTATTCAACAAGGATCACCAGAGTTCCTGCTTCAGGTGGTTTGAGAATCATTAAACTAGTGCAGTGGTTCTTGAACTGGGATCCTTGGACCAGCATCACCTGGGAACTTGTTAGAAAGGCAGATTCTCAGGCCTCACCCAAGACCTGCTCAATCAGAGACTCTGGGGGTGAGGCCCGGTAATCCGAGTTTCAGCGCATTCTGGCCTGGCTGAGGCTCGAGAACCAATGTGCTAGGATTTGCAACAACTAAAGACGCGCTGAAGGAATTTCAAGCTCATAGGGATGGAGAACCAAATCCCAGTAGGAATAGTCAGGGTACTAAATTTGATTACCAATCTGGTGGCACCTGGTTTTGCTAAAAACGACAAGGAAAGCTACTCATGCCTAGAAATCTCACTATTGCCCTCCTGCCGTGCCTCAGGCACATCACTCTGAACTAGGGATGCTATGTGAGCCTGGCAGTTCATTTAGCCCCCTGAGCATCAATTTCCTCAACTGTAACATGGGGATAATATTATTGTTGACCTCACAGTGTTAAAACTTGTATGAATTGCACAGAACAGTACCTGGCTCAGACGCGAGCTAATAGAGCTACTGATATTTGCTAAAGCTCCTGCACAGGCAGCATCCTGGTGGGTGGGGTCTGTGCCTGTAATGGGATGTCACCGCCTCGATTAGGTTATGTTATACGGCCCTTATATAGCGGTGATGTCCCTCCTGTGAGTACAGGGTATTCCATTACTCCTTCTTAGCTGACCATGGAGAGATTTTCCTGCTGGCTTTGAAAAAGCAAGAAGCCACACTGTGAGAGGGCCCGGTGGCAAAACCTTAGAGCCCTTAAGAATTATGCTAAATATGGCTGGGTGGAGTGGCTCACACCTGTAATCCCAGCACTTTGGAAGGCCAAATTGGGAGGATCACTTGGGCCTGAGGGAAGCTCCAGGAGCCCAGAGTGAACTTGAATGGCAGGTGGCTGCAATGGGAACCTCAGTGAGACAGCTGCAAGGAAATAAGTCTTGCCCACAGTCTGAGTGAGCTTGGAAGCAAATTCTTTCTTAGAACCTCCAGATGAGAATACATCCCAGCTGACACCTCTATTGCAGCCTGAGACCCTGAGCAGGGGACCCAATTATACTGTGCCTGGATCCATGACCCTCGGAATGGAGACAATAGATAGTGTTTCCTTTGAGCTGCTAAGTTAGTGGTGATTTGTTACACAGTAATAGAAAACATACAGAAATCACATGTGTGTGTAAATGTACACACATGCATGTGTATACGTGCAGTTGTATATATGTGCAGATGTGTATACACATGCACACAGACACAAACACAGGCACACATGTATACGATCTGCCTTTCCCCAGCAGGGAGGGTTTTCTTATGGCGAAACCAAAAAAATCTTAGCAACCCTTTGGGTGGATGACACACTGCCTGGGGACCACGGGACTTTTAGGAACTCATAAAATTGTTTTAATTTCTTTTCAAAGAAGAAAAAAATGCACTTTGAAGCTGACAAAAATGTTTTAGTCTATAACATTAATATATTTGTCTTTATACCAACATAGTTGTAAGTATAATTTATAATATATTTTATGGAGGACCCGCAATAGCAAAAATGCTTGGGCACTTTGGGGCCCATGAACGTCATAATATGGCCCTGGCAGATGAAGAGGAGTCCTGCCCTCTCCATGCCAATTTCCTCCTCCTTCTCTGTCCACCACCAGCCCTGGGGCTGTGTGCACCAAGGTTTCTCCTTCCACCTCAGCGCCCAGTTGCCCTCTGCTCCCACCCTAGGTTGGAACATCTCCTATCTGGTGACCATTCCAGATGAAGGAGGAAGCATGAGAGAGGACCCAGGTCATGAGGCCAAAGACCTTGCTATTCGCTTTTTAGCACTAGAGAGAGAGAGAGGGGCTTGAGCCTGGACTCAGCTCCACCTCGTTCCACCTTCCTTATCTCTGAACACCTTCTGCATAGTCTGTGATACATTTCAGTGCTCACTCCTTGCTTTGATTAGGATTCTTTGGTTGTGAGCCACATAAACTAATTCTAGATGGAAAACAATTCAGATGGCATTAGGGAGATTTCAGAAAATAGGAGAGGTGAAGATCCAGGCTTTGAAAAAGACTGGTGTTAGGGAAGCATTGGTGGAAGCTGTGGCAGGGGTTGGGGGCCGGGGAGTGGGGGTTCAGACCAAGCCCTAACCAGTAAGGTCTTTGAGCTTTCACCAGCAGGATGATCAGCCCCAGATGCCTTTGGTGCTTGCATCCTGCAGGCCAGATGTGGTTTTCCAGGAGTGAGGGTCCTCTTGGGTGAGGTGCAGTCATGGGCTCACCTACCCTGATGGGAGAGTTGGGACCCTGGATGGAAAATCCCACACCAGCCGCATATGAAGGGTGAGGGATATCTCCCCAGAGAAAAGAAAGAATGACATTCGCCTGAAAGAGGAAGGGATGGCATGCAGCAGGAGTCACCTCTGATTATGTTCTGTTTCTTATTTTCTGATTGTCTCATGAGTCTGTGTCCGAGACCCCTGCTGGGACTCTAAGCATCAGGAGAGAGGGGCTGTGTCTTAGCCTGCCTGGTATTTCTGATACTGCTTAGTATGGATGGTAGGTGCTCAAAGACTGCTCTATTAATGTTCATTTTCCCTACCCATTCAGCATCCCTACGTGCCAGGTGCTACACATTTAGAAGTGGCCAGGACGGGGTCCCTGTGCTCTTGCTGCTCAGAAAATAGCAGAGAGAATTAGACATTCACCAAATCATACAAATGTATGTAAAATTACAACACAGAGCATGTTGTGAAGGGGTGGCAGAGCTGTAATCAGGATAGCTGAACTGCAGGGGGAGTTCAAGAGACCCTTCCTTCCTGAACTGATGGCTGAACTGAGATCTGCAGGCGAGGAAGATCCACCTGGGGAGCCACTGAAAGGCCTTCTAGGCACAGGAAGCCTCCTGTGGCTGGAGGCAATGTGGCCTTGCTGGGGGAGCAGAATGGGGCCTCATGGTTGAGGTGAGTGGGCTCGGGGAGAATGGGGGAGAGGAGAGAGGAAGAGGCAGGGCTGCAACTCACAAGACTTTGTACACATGTGGAGGAGGCTGGCATGCTCCCTGGGTAACCATGGAAGGATTTTGAACAAAGGAGGAACTAGTCTTGATTTCTATTTGATTCGATTAGAAGAATTCTCTGTATGCCAAGATAGCCAGGCTTCCATTCCCCTTGAAGTATGTGTTTGTGTGTGTGTGTGTGCACACGTGCATGCATGCACGCCCATGTGTGTAATACAAATTTCATTTGTTTAATGTAAAGTAGCTCCTACCATACGTTAGAGGAAAGAAGCCATTTCTATAACATAAAAGTTCAAGGTGAAGCAGCAAGTGTTGATGGAGAAGCTGCAGCAAGTTATCCAGAATATCAAGCTAAGGTCGTTGATGAAGGTGGCTACCCTACACAATAGATTTTCAATGGAGATGAAACAGCTTTCTATTGGAAGAAGATGCCATTTAGGACTTACATAGCTAGAGAGGAAAAGTTGATGCTTGGCTTCCAAGTTTCAAAGGACAGGCTGACTCTGGTGAGTGGCCAATGCAGCTGGTGATTTTAAATTGAAGCCAATGCTCATTTACCATTTTGAAAATCTTAGGGCCCTTAAGAATTATACTAAATACGGCTGGGTGTGGTGTCTCACACCTGTAATCCCAGCATTTTGGGAGGCGGAGTTGGGAGGATCACTTGAGCCCAGGAGTTCAAGACCAGCCTGGATAACATGGTGAGACATCATTTATATAAAAAATTTTTTAAAAATTAGCTGGGTGTAGTGATGCAGCTGTGGTCCCAGCTACGTGGGAGGCTGAGGCAGGAGGATCACTGGGGCCCAGAAGGTTGAGGCTACAGTGAGCTGTGTTTACACGACAGCACTCCAGCCTGGTGACAGAGAAAGACCTGTGTCATCAAAAAAAAAAAAAAAAAAAAAAGGAAAGAAATTATGCTAAATCTATTCCACCTGTGCTCTATAAATGGAACAGCAAAGCCTGATGACAGCACATGTTTACAGCATGGTTTACTGAATATTTTAAGCCCACTATTGGGACCTACTGCTCAGATAAGATTCCTTTCAAAATATTACTGCTCATAGACAATGCACCTGGTCATCCAAGAGCTCTGATGAAGATGTACAGGGAGATTAATGTTGTTTTCATGCCTGCTAACACAACATTCATTCTGTAGCCCATGGAACAGGGAGTGATTTAGACTTTCAAGTCTTGCTATTTAAGATGTACGCTCTGTAAGGCTATAGCTGTCACAGATAGTGATTCCTCTGATGGATCTGGGCAAAGTCAATTGAAACCTTCTAGAAGGGATTCATCATTCTAGATGCTATTAAGAACATTCATGATTTATGAGAAAAATCAAAATATCAGCATTAACGGGAGTTTGGAAGAAGTTGATTCTAACCCTTATGGATGACTTTGAGGGTTCAAGATTTAAGGGGAGAAAGTAACTGCAGTTGTGTTGAAAATAGCAAAAGAACTAGGATTAAAAGTGGAGTCAGATTATGTTGAGTTATTGCAGTCTCATGATAAAACTTAAATGGAGGAGAAGTTGCTTCTTAAGTGGTTTATTGAGATGGAATCTACTCCTGATGAAGATACTGTGAACATTGTTGAAATGACAACAAAAGATTTGTAATATTACATAAACTTAGTTGATAAAGAAGTGGCAGGATTTGAGAGGACTGACTTCAATTTTGAAAGAAGTTCTACTGTGTATAAAATGCAGTCAAACAGCATTGCATCTTTCCTGAAAGGAAGAGTCCATTGATGTGGCAAACTTTACTGTTGTCTTGTTTTAAGAAATGGCCACAGCCATTCCAACCTTCAGCAACCACCACCCTGATCAGTCAGCAGCCATCAACATCAAAGCAGGAGTACTCCACCAGTAAAAAGATTACAACTTGCTAAAGGCTCAGAAGAGTATTAGCATTTTTTATTTTTTATTTTTTTTGAAACAGGGTCTCAGTCTGTGGCCCAGGCTGGAGCACAGTGGCATGATTGTAGCTCACTGTAGCTTTGGCCTCTTATGGTGTTAAAATGTTTTTTTTTCCCCCTTTTTGGAATAAAATTGAGATTAGATAGTGGGCCTTCTTAATGTTCTTACTCAGCAAAGTAGACAATTAACAAACTTATCTTTGTCCACACAGGGGACCATAAAACTTTGAAAATTGAAGTACAGCATTTACTAATCAGAAGTGTACTATGGCTCAGTGAGTTATCACAAGTGAATACATCTGTATAACCACTTCTCAGCACACAAAGTGCACTGCACTTATCTACTCTTGGAAATGCCTCATGCCTCCTTTTAATCATCTCCTCCACCTTCTCCCAAGCACGACCTCTGTCCTGACTTCTTCCAATATAGTGTAGTTTTGCCTGTTTTTGACCTTAGATGAATGGAATCATAGAATATGCTTTCCTTTCTGTCTGGCTCCTTTTGCTCAACCCATTTTGGGATTTCTCCATGTTGTGTGCAGCAGTAGTTGGCTCTTTTTCATTACTATATAGTATTCTGCAGTATGAGCATATCACACACGTTTAATATGTCTACACTTAATGGTCTTTTGGGTTATTTCTAGTTGGGACCATTATGAAAAGTACATGACAATGCATTCTTTTCCAAGTGTTTTTGGTGTACATGTACACATATTCCTAGGAGTAGAACTGGATCATGGATGTGCCTGTGTTCAGCCTTCAAAAAGATATTTAAATTGGCCATTTGGACATCTGTTGTCAAGTGTTTGTTCAAGGCTTTTGTCCATTTCTGTATTGGGTTATCTGTGTTTTCCTTATTAAATTTTAAAAGTTTATATATAGTGTGCATGCCAGTCTTTGGGGCATATGGATGGTGGATGTGGCTTGCCTTTTCACCCTCTGACATTGTTGATGAGCAGAAACTTCCAATTTTGATGTAGTCCACAATATTAATATTTCTCATAGGCCACCACACCCAGCCTATGTTATCTTTTAGAAGCTTTATTGTTAACCTTTTATATTTGGATCTAAAATCTACCTGAAATTAATTTTTGTGTATGGTGTGAGTTAGGGGTCATGATTCTTCCTTTTCTGTATGAATATCCTATTGACCCAGAGCCATTTATTAAAAAGGTTATTTTGCTGAGGTGGGTGGATCACAAGGTCAGGAGTTTGAGACCAGCCTGGCCAATATGGCGAAACCCCATCTCTACTAAAAATACAAAAATTAGTTGGGGCTGGTGGCATGCGACTGTAGTCCCAGCTACTTGGGAGGCTGAGACAGAAGAATCACTTGAACCAGGGAGGCGGAGGTTGCAGTGAGCTGAGATTGTGCCACTGCACTCCAGTGACACAGCGAGACCCTGTCTCAAAAAAAAAAAAAAAAAAAAGGTTATTTTTCTGTCCCATGTTCTGAAGTGCTCTTTTTGCCATGAATCAAGTGTCCATCCTATATGTGGTCTGTTTTGGACTCTATTCTGTTCTTTGATGTGTTTACCTGTCCTGTACTCACACCATACTGTTTTAATTACTTTGGGGTATCAGGTTTACTATTCAAGAGTGTAAGTCCTCCAGCTTTGCTTCGAATCTAACTGGTGAAGTTGGCAGGCTCACCAGGTGTACATGTTGTAAGAGTTAAAGAAAGAAGAAAGAAACATGAAAAGTGGCTCAACAGTCAAAGACAGGTTTACTTTGGAGAATAAACCTGAGAGGGGCTTCTGGCTGGTTTTGGTCAGGAGCCTTCTCTCTTACAAAGGATATTTAAGGGTTTAGGGAGGGAGAGCTTATTGCAGGCTCAGAATGTTTCTGTGTAGGGGAGAGTTTTATTGAGGGGTTGGGATGTCTCTGGTTGGAGGGGAGGTTATCATGGGGCTGTCATGTTTCTGGTCAGAGGGGAGTTTATCTCAGGGTTGGAATGTTTCTGGTCAAAGATATCACTTGTGGTTTATGGTCACGCTGACATTGGCCATTAGGCTGATGTTTTTGGGCTGGATTTAGGTGGTTTTCAATCAAGGGGAACTTAAAATGGTGGTGTTTGTCCAAGATGGCGATGCTCCTGCGCTGTCACTTGTCAGATGTACAGCTCAGAGGAATGTGCACATAGCATCTGGAAAGGCAATAAGCTGACTTTTCTGTGTGCTCATTGTGTCCCAGACCCATGCTAAGTCATCTATATGCATTGTTTCAGGACCTCTATGAGGTCCTTGTTGTCCAAGGATGACTGATATTGAAAAAGATCTCTCAAACTTAGATTGCCTTGATTGTTCTTGGTGTTTTTTATTTCCATAATACATTTTATAATCAGTTTATCAATGTTTGAAATGATATCTAAATGTAATTTGATATTTTATTGATTCATGGCCAATTTGAGAATAGACATCTTTTCAGTATCAAATCTAGTGCAGAGGTCAGCAAACTTTTTCTCTAAAGATCCTGATAGTAAATATTTCCGGCTTTGCAGGCCAGATGGTATCTGTCACAGTACTCAACTCTGTCATTGCAGTGTGAAAGTAGCCACAGGCAATATGCAAGCAAATGAATGTGGCTGTGTTTCAATACAACTTTATTTACAAAAAGAGGCAGTGGGTCTGATTCAGCCACAGGTTATAGTTTACTGACATCTGTTCTAATCCATGAGCATGCCTTCCAAGTTCTTTCATATCTGTGAAATCAAGAAGTCTGGGGATCATATCCTCTTATCCTCATCCCTTGTAGTCTTTCCTCATGCTTCTATCCTGCCTTGCACTATAGTTGTTTGCATTTTTTTTTTTGAAATGGAGTCTTGCTCTGTTGCCCAGGCTGGAGTGCAGTGGTGTGACCTTGGCTCACTGCAAGCTCCGCCTCCCGGGTTCATGCCATTCTCCTGCCTCAGCCTCCCGAGTAGCTGGGACAACAGGTGTGGTCACCCGCCACCACACCTGGCTAATGTTTTGTATTTTTAGTAGAGATGGGGTTTCACTGTGTTAGCCAGGATGATCTCGATCTCCTGACCTCGTGATCTGCCCGCCTCAGCCTCCCAAAGTGCTGGGATTACAGGTGCGAGCCACTGCGTCCAGCCCCAGTTGTTTGCATTTTTATTACAGTCTATGATCAGGTCATGAGTCATTGGAGAGCAGGGATTGGGTTTTTTCCATGTGTCTTTTCCTTTTGGTGCTCTATACAGTGTCTGACACATATACTGGTGCAATAAGTTACTAGGGTCTGAATCTGATGTTGAAGAGAAACTGGGAAAGTATGGGGTTTAGAAGCTCACCCTTAGGTGCCTGGGCCCTGGATTTCTCTGCCTTTTCTGTAGTGCTTTGGGGAAAATCCATGGCACCAAGACTTGGCTCTGTCTATTCTTTACAGATCATCGGTCCCCCGCCCCCAACTCTTGTATTTTTCCAGTAAAGTTCTGTATCCTGTGAAGATACAGAAAGATCACGTATGTATTAGACTTTGGGCCACTTGAAAGCTACGTCTGTGTTTACTGATCCCCTGGCCTCTAACATAGCACTTCATGAGTTTTGAATCAATGAAGGGACTAACAGAAGGAGAAGGTTATTTCTGTTTCCTATTGGAAATCCCTTGGAAATATCTCTTGTGGTCGCATTTCTATCAGGATGGCTACACTTTGCATCTGGCTTCCTAGGAGAAGGGTTTATTTGGGGCTCCTTTTTCAGCACCACCTGGCAGAGCTGCTTGTGCTTGCTGTGCTTAGAGGTTTTGCTGCAGTCTGTCCCTGAATGGGAAGGATGGGAATCGTGGCTGAACGCAGCTGGGGTTTCCTTCTCTCCCAGATTTACAGCTTTAAAGGCACCCTGAGAAAGCATGACTCATCAAGTCACAGTCTTGGAGGCTCTTGGGACCAATCAGGGCAGCTGGCATGAGGACAACGTGTCCAGCTTTAGAGTCAGTGGTGGGGTCACCTTCCAGAATTCCCCAGTGCAGCTCAGAAATCTGGCTCTTTTGGAATGTTTTTTCTTACTTTTGGTTGTATTTTGTAAAGCTGTACCATTTTATTTCTATAGTTTAG
The DNA here is from genome assembly GCF_000001405.40 of Homo sapiens. NCBI lineage: Eukaryota > Metazoa > Chordata > Mammalia > Primates > Hominidae > Homo > Homo sapiens. The sequence continues at coordinate 13,922,888 of NC_000001.11, forward strand.
CGCTTAGAACATTCGTCAGCACATAGTAGATGGACAAGGACTTAGAACCTAACTAATGAGGTTGATGGGCTTGCCAGTTGCACAGGTCAGAAGGACAGCTCAGGGGATGTGCACACAGCAGCTGGAATGGGAAAAGTCAAGCTGGAACATAGAGTTGACCTGGAGCAACCTGGGGATTAGGATTACTGACATCTTCCTCCTGGACAAAAATCCATGTATAACTTTTGGCTTTCCAGAACTTAACTACCAATAGCCTACTGCTGACCGGAAGCCTTACTGATAATATACACAATCAATTAGCACATATTTTGTAGGTTATATGTATTATGTACTATATCCTGACAATACAGTAAGCTAGAGAAAAAAGGTTATTAAGAAAATAATAAAGAAAATATAATTACCATGGCTGGGGGTGGTGGCTCACGCCTGTAATCCCAGCACTTTGGGAGGCTGAGGTGGGCAGATCACGAGGTCAGGAGATTGAGACCATCCTGGCTAACATGGTGAAACCCCGTCTCTACTAAAAATACAAAAAATTAGCCGGGCGTGGTGGCAGGTGCCTGTAGTCCCAGCTACTGGGGAGGCTGAGGCAGGAGAATGGCGTGAACCCGGGAGGCGGAGCTTGCAGTGAGCCGAGATCGCGCCACTGCACTCCAGCCTGGGTGACAGAGCGAGACTCCATCTCAAAAAAAAAAAAAAAAAAAATATAATTACTGTTTGTTAAGTGGAAGTGGATCATCATAAAGGTCATCATCCTTGTCGCCTTCATGCTGAGTAGGCTGATGAGGAGGAGGATGAGGAGGGGTTGGTCTCGCTGTCTTAGGGGCGGCAGAGGCAGAAGAAGTGGTGGAGGTGGAAGGGGAGGAAAGGCAGGCACACTTGATGTCACTTTTATTGAAATATATGCTATGTAAGTGGACCCATGCAGTTCAAAGCTGTGTTGTTTGAGGGTCCACTATAGTTAAATCCTAGGAAATGTCCAGTTGATGTATAGTTAAATCCTAGGATTTGCTGATGGATTGAATGCTGGGGAGTGAGGGCAAGAGAAGAGTGGATGCTGACCATGCGGGTCTCCCCTGGATGGCCCGTCGGGCAGAGTGGCCTTTGGCTGAGAGAATAGAGAATGGATGGGAGGGCCAAATATGGGGTGGTGGGGAAGAGCAGTGATTTGGTTTTGATAATGTTCTCTCTGTACTTTTGTTTTTTTCATGGCTCACTGCTTCCCAGTGCCATAAACTCAATCTGCAAGCACTGGCTCAGTTATTCTTTGAGATTTTTATCATCCAAAGATAGCTAGAACTGGAAAAGGCCCCTCAAGGTAAATCCATGTAAATGAAGGCTAAAAACTCAAAGGTATGGCTTAAAAGATAGAAGACTTAGCAGTAAAACTGTAATTAAAAAATTTTAAATAATTTTTTGATGTAGCAAAATTTATGTGGGTATGAAGGGGACTTCAACTTCAGTAATATTTTCTTTTATTAAAATACACTGAAGCAAATAAAGTGATCATGTTTTAATTCTAGGCGGTATAGTTCTTTTTAAAAAACAGCTTTATTGAGATTTAATTTATATATTGTGAAAGGAAAATAAATCTTGGGGCCCCAATATCACTAATCTAAAGGGAAAAGTCAAGCTGGGAACCGCTTAGGGCAAACCTGCCTCTGATTCTATTCAGTCATCCCTGTGCTCACTGAGATAAATGCATATCTGATTGCCTCCTTTGGAGAGGCTCATCAGAAACTCAAAAGAATACAACCATTTGTGTCTTATCTACCTATGACCTGGAAGCCCCCTACCCCACTTTGAGTCATCCAGCAATTGCTTCGAGTTGTCTCGCCTTTCCAGACTGAACCAGTGTTCCTCTTCCATACGTTGATTGATGTCTTATTTTTCCCCAAAATGTATAAAACGAAGCTGTGTCTGACCACCTTGGGCACATGTCGTCAGGATCCCCTGAGGCTGTGTCATGGATGCGGGTCCTCAACCTTGGCAACATAAACTTTCTAAATTAACTAAGACCTGTCTCAGATACTCAGCGTTCACAATATCATACAATTCACCCATTTGACGTGTACAATTCAGTGATTTTTAGTATATTCACAGGTGTATGCCACCATCAACAAAGTCAAATTTAGAGCATTTTTATCAGCTCACATAGAACCCCATACACTTTAGGTCTCACCCACTCCATATCCCCAGATTCCTTCCACCCCGGGCGACCACTCATCTGCTTTCTGTTTCTATGTATTTATCTATTCTGGACATTTCACAGCGATGGGATCATAGATTACGTGGTCTTTTTGTGACTGGCGTCTTGCACTTTGCTTAATGTTTTCGAGTAATTTCAGATACAATCCGTGTTCCTGCATGTATCAGTGCTTTATTCCTTTTTATGGCTGGTATAGTTCTTTATACTTTGCCATAGTTTTGAAAGAGTCACCACTTGGCAGGATAATCTAATGTGGTTATGTTGAAAGGATGTTCTTATCTGTGAGAGCTAAATAAAGTGTCAAAGGGGGATGGGAGTATGGGTGGTTGGAAAAGGCCTCAATGTGGCAGTGACTTTTGGGCAAAGATCTGAAAGAGATGTGAGTACCTGGGAGATGGTGCTCCAGGCAGATGGGATGGGAGGTCTAAAGACCCTGCGATAGATTAAGGAATGTCCCGGTAGGCAATGAATGAGGAGAAAATAGCAGGAAGTGAGGCCCGAGAGGCACTGAGCTGGGGTAGGCTATGGAGATCACTTGGGACCTTGTAGACTGTTGAAGGGAATTTAGATTTTGTTATGGGTGAAAGGGGAAGCTGGGAATGCAGAAGTACCTTGACTGACATACAAGTTCAAGGAGCTCTCTGGCCAGCGGTTGAAAATGGACCATAAGCACTAGAGGACAGAGGCAGAGAGTCCAGGTTGGGAAGAGTGGGTGTGACCATGAATTGGACTCAAGCACTGGGAGTTGCAAATAGAGTTGGGATCCATTTCAAAAATAGTTCTTGGAGGATTTGCTGATGATTGAAGTTGGGGAGTGAGGGCAGAAGAGTGAATGACCATGAGGGTCTCCCCTGGGTGGCCCATAGGATGGAGTGGCCATTGACTGAGATGGTAGAGACTTGGGAGGGGCACATATGGGGTGGTTGGGGGACAGAGCGTGATTTGGTTTTGATAATGGTTTCTCTCTCCCTTTGTTTTTTTTCATTTCAAAGGATCTAGTTCTCATTTGAGTCTTCACTAATGAGTCACTTCTCCTAGGAAGCTTTCACCAATTCTCTCCCAAACTGAGTTGGGGTCTTGCTGACTCCGACAGCACTTCATGCTTCCCTATGCCCTGGCTCACCGTGCTGTTACTACCCAGAGTGGGCAGGACTAGGACACACCAGGCTGGCTGTCTGCCCTGGCTGGCTGAGACCACCAGTGAACACTGCACCTCCCTGCTGGGAGAATAGGGGCTCACTCTTAGTGTGGTGGCAACTCTGCCTATGTGAGCTGGAGGTGCTTTCTTTTCTTACCCTGAAATTTTCGAATTCCATGTTTAGGACAAGAATGAAGCAATGAACAGTCTCCACTTGTGTTTCTGAGTCACCCGATGGCTTCCTCCCACATTTCCCCTGCCTTTTCCCTATTTTCAAGTCCCCTTTGCACAAAGGCATGTACACGTGTAGCCAGTGACATTGGGTCCTGATTACAGTGAAGCTTACAGGTCCTTGTTATTAATGAGTAAAAATAACCAGGCAATGAAAATAAGAAAGGAAGATTTATCTTTAAGAGTTAAAAAAAAAAAAAAAATCTCCTGGGAACTTCAGTGCATGACAGCCATAAATGGCTGTAAATTTTCCCAAGCACAAATCAGTATCTTAAGGTGACAAAATGCTGGCTGGAGTGACATATCATATTTGATACTGGGGTGACAGTTAAAATAGCATCCTCCATATTTGCTATTTTTCCAAGTTAGGGCTTCAAAGGGAATAGCTAGGGAGACAAGAAACATTTATCATCTATGATTTTTGCTCCCTTTCAAAGGTTAACCTTGCTATGGTGCTCAAAGAAAAAAACCTGCAAAAATATGTGTTTTAAATATGCATTTGTCGTAAAGTGCCTAAAATCCCATGTCACTCGGCCCTTTGTTTTCCATGAAAACCCTCATGCAAGATTCTGTCATTGTAGCGTGGCAGCTATGCTAAAAAAGAGATGTCACATTTTCAGTTTCATCAAGCAGGATTCTTGTTTTTGTGTGTGACCCAATTTCCGTGTTCTATAAAGCCCTTTCAGAAATCTTTTAAGATCATAATAATGCAGTCCTGGGTTTTGTTAATAGAAGTACAATATCAAGGTGCCTGTGTCTTCCCTGGAATGAACCTGGTCCTAGTGCAGTTGGAGAAGAAAGACACTGAGGAACTAGAAGGTCACACAGGGACCCTGAAGCAGGTTTGGAAGACTTTCTGTATAAAACAGAGCTGAGCACAGTGGGGCATTACAGAGAGGGCTTAAAATGGGGCCTGGGAGCTGTTTACAGACACCTAAAAGGGTTTGAGCAGGAGGAAGTATTTTTTTCTGCTCATCACATCAGAAGACAAGGTTAGGAATAGCTGGGCAAAGAACCATCAGAGGTGGGTTAGGAGTTTGGTCTGTGTCCCAGGCAGACCTATGTCCAAATCCCAACTTCACTTTTATCCACTTTGGACCTATGTTCAAATCCCAATGGTACTGTTGCATTCTTTGATTCAGTGGCTCTTGGTGGAGGATCTCTTTTGAGCCAGGCATGTTTTTAGGCATGGAAAATACAGTGGATGCAGGATGGAGAAGTTTCCTGCCCCAAGAAGCTTGCATCTTAGTGGGAATCCAAAAGCTAGATCCATATTCTGATATTTAGAAGGTCGCATAGCAACTGAAACAGAGAGGAAACTGGATGTGTGGAGCGGAAGAGACACAAGTACAGGGTGCTCAGAGGCTGCCCTGCAAGGGGCCACATTTGGGCTGAGACCTGAGTGATGGAAAAGATATGGTCACATGAACATCAAGGAGGAGGGCATCCCAGGCAGGGGCAGGGCCCCTGCAAAGATTCTATGGTGGGAACAAGCCTGGCAGTGGGTTCAAGGAACAGAAAAGAGAGCCGAGTCAATGGCAGAGGTGAAATTCCAGCTTGGCTCCATCCAATTTCAGAGCTGAAACTGTTAACCACAGAGCTAAGCTACACATACTGGAGGAAGCAGAGGGTGTGTTTGTATGCAGTGGTCAGAAATTTCATTGCTCAGGTTTTGCGGAGAAGATCAGGTTCCTGTAAACTAATAGCCTGTGACTTTAAAAATGTGCCATACCTGGGGTTCTCCTGAAAGTGCTTTCTCATATAGTTAAGAAACTTGGGTGGAGATCCCGTTGTGTTACTTCCTTTTGCTGGGTCCTTCTGGATCATGTATGATGATGATGATGACAGTGGTGACATTGATGATGACAACTGTAACCATAGTAACAGCTTCTCTGAGAACTTGTTATATACCTGGCACTCTGTGTATTATCTCCCTGAATTCCTATTTTTCTTTTCTTATTGTTCTGTTAACACTGAAGCTTAGAAAGGGTAAGTGACTTGCCCAAGGTCACACAACATCAGTATGGCTTCTGAAATCATGCTTGTCACTAGTTTTCTGAATTGCAAATCAGGAGAAAATGAGTTGGAAAGTAGAGTTTAGAAACTCACTATTCCCAAGACACTGTTGCCTGTACAATGTGTGATTAACATAATAAAAAATTCAGGACATGATTTTTGTCCTGAATAAAATATTGATCCAGCAAGGCTCTGCATGGGGATGATGGTCAGAAGCATACATGGGCATATTTTGGGGAAAGAAAGAGTAACTTCTAGGTAGGAGAATTCTTTAAAGCATTGCCTTTTCACAAAATATTTTGATCTTTAATTTTGCTGAGTACATGCCTTGGAGTGAAAAACAAAATGCTCCATTTGAAGAAATCTTTTTTTTTTTTCCCTGATCTCTAATTTTGGAGAAAGAGCTCTAACAGGCGATAGATTCTAATCTTTGTTGTGTGCTCAAACAAGTTGTGAATTAGAGAGACTTCTCCTCCTGGGAATTAGTAGCTTTCTGCTTTGTAAAATAGATTTGAGAAGCCAGAGCTGGGCCAGCTGAGGGCCAAGGTCTAGTTCAGCTTCAAGGCTTTTTTTTTTTTTTTTTTTTTTTAAGAGACAGGGTCTTACTCTGTCACCCAAGCTGGATTGCAGTGGCAGGATCATAGCTCACTGCAGCCTCGAAATCCTGGGCTCAGGCAATCTTTCCACCTCAGCCTCCCAAGGAGCTGGGATTACAAGCACGAGCCTGGCCCAAGGGTCTTTGATTCTAAGGTGGAGTTGGGCCCCTTGGACCCAGGAGTGGCACCTGAGAGGCACTTATCTGTGTTTTGTCTTGAACGTGTCTTGATTTAATCCAGTTAAAAACTCAGGCTGCTGGCGGGCATACCTTATACATTCATTGGAGAGCGAGGTTGACTCCCACTGTGCGCTCTTCATCTTCATGACTGCATTCAGGATCCCAAGGAAGAGATGGATTGTCTGGGAGGCACACTGCAGCTCAGAAGCCTGCAGCCATCCATCATTGCGACACCTTCTTTATGGGCAGAATGACTTTGGTGATGCTCACATCAATGTCAGCCTGGGGCTTTGGTGCTAGCCTTGAGCCTGACATCTGGGGGCACTTTGAGCAGCTACTAAAGGTCTACTCATGGTTAATAAAGGGATCACATGAATGAGATAAAATATGTGAACTAATTGGGAAGAAACTGGGGAGTCTAGCCACAGGAGGGCGTGTGGTTGGCATAGGAAAGGGATGGGGGCTGGGAAGTGTTTGATATTTTCTGGGAAAAGATCCAATGCAGAGAAGGGAGAGAATTAAACTAACAGGTAGAATGTATTAAGTGTTTGCTACGACCAGACCTTGTGCTAAATGCTTTGCGTGGGCCATTTTCATTAAATCCTCGTAGCAACTGCCTGCAGTAGGTATTATTGTTATATCCATTTGATAGGTGGGGAGGCTGAGGCACTGAGTGTTTGAGTCACTTCCTCCATGGTCACAATCTTGGTTGGTTGGAGCCAGAATTTGAACTCAGGCAATCAGTCTTTAGAGTCTAACGCTTAACCATTTCCCCCTACTGCTTCCTTATTTCCCCTTCTCTGTATATTATATAGCCACACTGTTTGCCATGTGACTTTGCTATGCGTCTCAGTAGAGATGGGGAACATCCTGCCCCCTCTTCCTACCGATTGATGTTGAACTTGGTCAGAAGATTTGATGTGGCCAATCAAGTGTTGGTGGATGTGATTCAATTACAGACTTTAAATGTGCTGGCATGAGTTAGCTCCAAGTCTCACGTTTCTGCTACCTGTTATGAAAAGGACAAGCCCCGGGGAAGCTGCTTCTCCATGCAGTAGACCTGAACCCCACCTGTAGCCTGAAGCCAGGGTGAACCACCAGCAGAGGGCAGCCTACCTGTCGACCCACAAATGAGAAATAAGTGCTTCCTATAAGCCATTGGTTTTGGCTATTGTCACATGTCATTATTACAATGGGATACAATGGGATCCCTGATACAATGGAATCTACTAAGCCATTTTCCCCCTTTTTCCCTTTCTCTTGTCTCCCCTTCCATTGAGCATCTACTTTGTGATGCTACTATGTGGTGCTGTGCTAGGGCTGGGGAAACAGACACAGACCCAGTCCTCATAAATCCCAGTCTTATGGGGGAGTTGGTTAATAGGCAGACAAATTAAAATGCTATATTTGAAATATAAGAAAAGCATAAAAGTCACTGACTTAGTCATTGGAGAAGGTTTTACCAAGGTAGGAACCTTTGGCCTGGGTTTTGCAGGATTCATAGGAGTTTACCAGAGCTGATAGTCTAGAGTAAAGGAAGTGCTGGGTTTAATAATCTCTGCATCCCTGGTCATCCCGTAACAGCCACTCAGTCTTGGTTTGGAGAGAGAACACTCCAGTGGTCCTTAGGGGGTCCTGGACTGACCCCTCTTGGCCTGTCAAGATAATGCCCACAGATCTGCCCCATGGCCTTGTGGGTCCTGGCTCTATACCTCCAGTGTCTTACCTACCACCCCTGACCCCTACAAGTCTGTCTTATGTGTCTGGACTTGAATGAAACAGGAAGCAGATCCCTCAGGTTCCCAGTAAAATCTTGTGGTCAGAGCATCTGTGTACAAAGTCCTTGGTTTTTCTCCTGATTAAATAATGAAGGGTCATTTATCTCTGTTCATGCTGGAAGAATTCAATTTTGCCAATTAATGTTAGTGAATTGCAAAATCTAAGGAAATGATAGTTTCTGCAAAATAAAAACAGTCACACTATTTTTATTACACAGCTGTAATGGTCCAGGTACATGGCTATGATTGGATTTGAAAACTGTAAACATAAATTAATAATTCTCCCTCCAAATAGCAGTGCAGCTTCCCTGACATGTTTTAATCGCTGTGCTTTGCAGTGCAGGAAAACCTGGCCGGGTGTGACTGCAGCAAATTGCTTCTTTGGGAACTGCCAATGTTTTTCAGCCAGAGGGGTGTGTGTGTGTGTGTGTGCATGCGTGTGTGTGTGCATGCATGTGTGTGTGCATAGACACATGCTTTTTTCTTGAAAGATGCTGAGTTGAGGCTTAGCATCACAGACTCAGGGAAGATTAAACCAGAAGCAATCATGCCTTATGCCAGTGTCCTGACTTCTCCATTATCCAGACTAATAAGAGAAGATAAAACGTGTGGATAATCAAAAACATGGCCAGTCCCAATGATTGTCATGTGTGTGTGTGTATTTGGCCCCTAGTATATTAATGTTAATTCTTATATGTAGCTTAGACTGAGCTATTTCAGAACCAAAAATCATGATGCAAATACTCATAATTACATTTTCTGATTCATAAATGTATTTATATAAGACACCTTACAAAGGTGTATAGCTTAAGTTTTTCTTTGAAACGGAGTCTCGCTCTATTGCCCAGGCTGGAGTGCAGTGGCACGATCTTGGCTCACTGCAACCTCTGCCTTCATGGTTCAAGCGATTCTCCTGCCTCAACCTCCCTCCCAAGTAGCTGGAACTACAGGCACGTACTGCTAGGCTTGGCTAATTTTTTTTTTTTTTTTTTTTGTATTTTTTAGTAGAGATGGGGTTTCACCATGTTGGCCAGGCTGGTCTCAAATTCCTGACCTCAAGTGATACACCTGCCTCAGTCTCCCAAAGTGCTAGTATTACAGATATGAGCCACCATGCCCAGTCAAGTTTTACATTTAATAACTCATATATACAAGAAGGAATAAGTTATTAGCTAGTTTACATTCACTTATATGAGCGGGGTACAGTTCTCAGCTTATTAAACATTTTTTTTTTTTTTTTTTTTGAGACGGAGTCTCGCTCTGTCGCCCAGGCTGGAGTGCAGTGGCGGGATCTCGGCTCACTGCAAGCTCCGCCTCCCGGGTTCATGCCATTCTCCTGCCTCAGCCTCCCGAGTAGCTGGGACTACAGGCGCCCGCCACTACGCCCGGCTAATTTTTTGTATTTTTAGTAGAGACGGGGTTTCACCGTTTTAGCCGGGATGGTCTTGATCTCCTGACCTCGTGATCCGCCCGCCTCGGCCTCCCAAAGTGCTGGGATTACAGGCGTGAGCCACCGCGCCCGGCCTTATTAAACATATTAAATCCAGGAATTCTCATAACATCACCATGAGATAGGCACCATTTTCATCCCCATTTTATAGATGAGGAAATAGAGACCTGGAGGGCATGAGATAGTTGGCCACAGTAACACAGCTAGTAAATTTGATCCAAACTCAGGCAGTCTGGCTTGGGCCGGAGCTCACAATCAATCACTAGCAATATGGGTTCGTTGCTAAATGTTTGACGCTGGAATGATTCCAAAATCTGGGGAGGAGGTTGTCACGCATGTATCTTTTTCTTCTGACAGGCTCACTTAATAATTTTCTAAAATGAGTTATAAATAAAAAGTTTACTTAAAAATAGATACCAAATGCAGATACTTTTTCTAAATAAAATTTTTTGGGGGAATAATTTTAGATTTACAGAAAGGTTGCAAAAATACTACAGAGAATTCCTACACACCCTTCATCCTATTCCCTATTTCCCCGAATGTTAATATCTAACATTCCAATGGTATATTTATCAAAACTAAGAAACCAGCATTGTACATGACTATCACGTAAACTCAAGGCGTTATTTGGGTTTCACTAGTTTTCCCATTAATGTCCTCTTTTTGTTTCAGGGTCACATTTAGGTCCCTTCATTGTATTTTTTTTTTCATTAAAAAATATTCATCGGCCGGGCGCAGTGGCTCACATCTGTAATACCAGCACTTTGGGAGGCCGAGGCGGGTGTATCACATGAGGTCAGGAGTTCGAGACCAGACTGACTAACATGGAGAAACCCTGTCCCTACTAAAAATACAAAATTAGCCAGGCGTGGTGGCGCATGACTGTAATCCCAGCTACTCGGGAGGCTGACGGAGGAGAATTGCTTGAACCCGGGAGACGGAGGTTGTGGCGAGCCGAGATCACGCCATTGCACTCTAGCCTAGGCAACAAGAGCAAAACTCCGTCCCCCCCAAAAAATATTAATCAAGTCTGGTAGGGTCTGGTACAAAGTCAGTGGTCCTTCATTCATTGGACAAGTGTTTACTGAACCTTTGTTTTTTGCCTGGCTTAGTTCTAGACCTTGTGGGCATAGCTATGGACAGAACAAACCCAAATCCAGCCCTCATGGAGCTGACAGGCTAATATTTGCTGAATGGTCATTTTAATGGTGAGAATAATAGCAAATCATTCATCGAGTACTTGCTATGTGGCAGGCACTGGTCATGAAGGCATTGTGCTCATTTGATTGAAATTATGACCCAATGAGGTGCCTGAGGTTCAGAAAGGTAGACTAACTTTCCTAAGCCACATATCTGGTTAGTGGCAGGTTAGTATTCTAACCCAGGGCTGTCTGCCTCTAAGGCTGATGTCCTTATTACTTTTTGGAAATGAATGAATGGATGGATGAATTCTTAAAGAAGACCGTCAGAGACAAAAGATGTGTTGGATGAGAAAAGAAAGCCAGCTTGAAGTCAAGAAAAGAAAGACAAGATTACCAAGAATACCTCCACGCCTTTGAATAAATGGAAATAGCCTGTACCAGTCCTTTTAAATAACATAGATATTTCTCTCCCTGGGAACTAGTATAGAATAGATGCATAAAATAGAAAATATAAAAGTAACAGCAAAGAATGATCACCAGACTCACAGGAGCAAAAGCAACTGCTGCCTCTCTCTGCCAGATAAGTTGCGACAAAGGGTAAAGTGAGGTTGAGTTTCCTCAAGGACAAAGTGTGCCTCAGATTTTCTGTGAGCCTCCATTGGGGCACTGGGGGTGTGTGAAGAGCCACCATCTTGAGATGGCACTCCCCGGGGAAGCGTCTGGAAAGAGATGCCTGGAAAAGGCCATAAGCATAGATAAGCCTGCCACTCTCTAGAGGCAAATCCTTACCTGTAAATTTAATGTCATTGTGCTTTTGTCAAAGTCTATGAAATTCCTATAAGCAGAACAAATGAACACGGGCAAAAGACACGGCTAGAAAATCTCCTTCACTGATACCCAAGAAGAGGTGGGATTGGTGGAGAACAGGTTCTCTCTCTCCAAATCCTACTTTCCCCTCATGCTGGAATCTCACTGGTCTGTCCAGATAGACAGTTTCATGTGACTGTGACTTTTGTTTGCTGTTTCTCTCTTTCTCTTTCTCTCTGCCTGTTGAAACCCTTTCTATCCTTTAAGACCCAAAGTTGGAAGGGGTTCCTCTGACCACTGGGCTTCCGGGCATTGTATTTACTCCTTGGGCAAGATTCACTCTATTTACTTGGGTTGTTTACTTGCCCGGCTCCTCTGAGTGACTGAGAGCTCTTTGAAGGTGGAAACTGGGTCTTACTCATCAATCTAATCAATCTAATCCCTAACCCCAGTGCAGGTTCAATGAGAGTTTTTACCGAGAGATGAAATGAAATTGAATTAGCATAATAATAAGCCTTCAGGGCCGGGTGTGGTGGCTTACGCCTGTAATCCCAGCACCTTGAGAGGTCGAGGCAGGTGGATCACCTGAGGTCAGGAGTTCAAGACCAGCCTGGTCAACATGGTGAAACCCTGTCTCTACTAAAGATAGAAAAATTAGCCAGGTGTGGTGGCAGGTGCCTGTAATCCCAGCTACTCGGGAGGCTGAGGCAGGAGAATCGCATGAACCCAGGAGGCAGAGGTTACAGTGAGCCGAGATGGCGCCATTGCACTCCAGCCTGGGCAGCAAGAGCGAAACTCCGTATCAAATAGTAGTAGTAGTAATAATAATAATAATAAGCCTTCAGTACTGACTAAGCATTTTACATATATTCTGTTATCCAATCTTTCCAACAAGCTGAACTGTTTTAATTCTCATTTTATGATGCAGAAAGTGATGCAAGAGACTTGTGTAAGGTGAAACAACTGGGAAGGGCAGAAACGGGGATTCAAACCCACTCAATCTGGCAACAGAGCCTGTGATCTTGACTGCTGTGCTATGCTGCCACCATCCTACTTAACAGAACGTTGGCTGTTTTCCAAGAACCTGGCCTTTGGGGATGCCATTTTATGGCTTAGAAGTGTGGGAGTGAAGAGGTTGGAGAGCTGGCCACCTATCTGCAGCTCACGGTTGGGAGGTTACATTTCCAGCAGAGAGCTTCAGCACTGGCCTATAAGCCACAAACACATGTGTAGTTGCATCTTGAATTAAGACAATCCCCGCTATAAATATTACAGTTTACAGCGTGGGGTAGTAGATGGAACATGAACTTCATAGTTTGGTTTGAATTTAGTAGCTGACAAAGTCACTACTGACTGGGCAAGCCACTTCACACCTCTGAGCCCCAGATTTCCCATTTCTAGAATGTGGATAATTACTTTTACATCCTAATGTGTGTGTGTGTGTGTGTGTGTGTGTGTGTGTGTGTGTAGAATCAGATAAATTATTTAATATATGTACATCATCAGAAAACTAGAATATATATACTAGAATATATATACTATTATATGATTTGTATATATCATTACATATCTGGTATGTGTATCTTATCCTAGTATTTATACTATATATTCTAGTTTCCTTTTTAAATTTTTATTTTTATAGATTTAGGTGGTACAAGTGCAGTTTTTTTTTTTTTTTGAGACAGAGTTTCAAGCTCTTGTTGCCCAGGCTGGGGTGCAATGGTGCGATCTCGGCACACCACAACCTCTGCCTCCCAGGTTCAAGCGATTCTCGTGCCTCAGCCTCCTGAGTACCTGGGATTACAGGCATGCACCACCATGCCTGGCTAATTTTTTTTTTGTATATTTAGTAGAGACAGAGTTTCTCCGTGTTGGTCAGGCTGGTCTCGAACTCCTGACTTCAGGTGATTCACCTGCCTTGGCCTCTCAAAGTGCTGGGATTACTGGCATGAGCCACCATGCCTGGCCTACAAGTGCAGTTTTGCTATATGGATATATTGTGTAGTGGTAAAGTCTGAGATTTTAATGTATCCATCACTTGAATAATGAACATTGTACTCAACAGGTAATTTTTCAACCCTTACCTCCCTCCCACTCTTCCACCTTTTGGAGTCTCCAAGGTCTGTTTTCCCACTGTTTATGTCCATGTGTACCCATTGTTTAGCTCTACTTAAAAGTGAGAACATGCACTATTTGACTTTCTGTTTCTGAATTATTTCACTTAGGATAATGGACTCCAGCTCTATTCTTGTTGCTGCAAAAGATATGATTTCATTCTTTTTAATGGCTGGGTAGTATTCCATGGTGTATGTATATGTGTACAGACTTAGGTTATGTCGATTTCATGACTTTGCTATTGTGAATAGGGCTGTGATGAACGTACTAGTGCAGGTGTCTTTTTATAAAGCAATTTCTTTTCCTTTGGGTAGATAGCCAGTAGTGGGATTGCTGAATCAAGCCATTACAACTGTGCAAGATGGTATCTCATTGTGATTTTAATTTGCATTTCTCTGATGATTAGTGATGTTGAGCATTTTTATGTATGTTTTTTGGCCACTTGTATATCTTCTTTTGAAAAATGTCCATTCATGTTTTTTCCCCACTTTTTTTTTCTTTTGTTTTTTTTTTTTTGAAATGGAGTCTCACTCTGTTGCCCAGGCTGGAGTGCAGTGGTGCAATCTCAGCTCACCATTACCTCTGCCTCCTGGGTTCAAGTGATTCTCCTGCCTCAGCCTCCTGAGTAGCTGGAATTACAGGCACATGCCACCACACCCGGCTAATTTTTTGTATTTTTAGTAGAGATGGGGTCACCATGTTAGTCAGGCTGGTCTTGAACTCCCGACCTCGTGATCCGCCTGCCTTGGCCACCCAAAGTGCTGGGATCACAGGCATGAGCCACCATGCCCAGCCATCCTTTGCCCACTTTTTAATGGTGTTATTTGTTGTTTTCCTTGATGAGTTGTTTGAGTTCCTTGTAGATCCTGGATATTAGTACTTTGTCAGATGCATAGTTTGCAAATATTTTCTCCCATTGCATAGGTTGTCTGTTTACTCTGTTGATTATTTCTTTTGCTATGCAGAAGCTTTTAGTTTAATTAAGTCTCATTTGTTTATTTTTGTTTTCGTTGCATTTGCTTTTGAGGACTTAGTCGTAAGTTCTTTGGCCTATACCAATGTCCAGAAGAGATTTTCCTAGGTTTTCTTCAAGGATTTTTAGAGTTTCAGGTCTTATATTTAAGTCTTTAATCCATCTTGAGTTAATTTTTGTGTATAGTGAGAGATATGGGTCCAGTTTTATTCTTTTGTAAATGGCTAACCAATTTTCCTAGCACCATTTATTGAATAGGGTGTCTTTCCTCAGTGTATATTTTTGTTGACTTTGTTAAAGATCAGCTGGTTGTAGGTATGTGGCTGTATTTCTGGGTTCTCTATTCTGTTCAATTGACCTATGTTTCTATTTTTATGCCAGTACCATGCTGTTATAAACTTGTAGTATCATTATAGTATAATTTGAAGTTAGATAATGTGATGTCTCCAGTTTTGTTATTTTTGCTTAGGAGTATTTTGGCTATTCAGACTCTTTTTTGGTTCCATGTGAATTTCAGGATTGTTTTTTCTAATTGAAATATGAAAAATGATGTTGATAATTTAATAGAAATCGCATTGAATCTGTAGATTGCTTTGGGCAGTATGGTCATTTTAAAAATATTGATTCTTCCAATCCATGAGCATGGAAGTTTTTTTCTGGTTTGTGTCACCTATGATGTCTTTCATCAGTGTTTTGTAGTTCTCCTTGTAGAGATCGTTCAGCTCCTTGGTTAAATGTATTCTAGGCACTTTCTTTTTAGCTATTATAAATGGGAATGAGTTCTTGATTTGGTTCTCTGCTTGATCATTCCTGGTGTATAGAAATGCTACTAATTTTTGTACATTGATTTTTTTACCCTGAAATTTTACTGAAGTCACTTATCAAATCTAGGAGTCTTTTGGAGGAGCCTTTAGGGTTTTCTAAGTGTAAGATTATATTATTTGTGAACAAAGATAATTTGACTTCCTCTTTTCCAATTTGGATGCTTTTTATTTATTTATTTATTTCATTCCTGATTTCTCTAGCTAGGGCTTCCAGTTCAAATCCTTGGTGTCCAGGCAGAAGTCTGCTGCCAGGGTGGAACCCTCACAGATAATCTTTACTAGGGCAGTGGCGAAGGAAAACGTGGGATTGGAGGCCTCACACAGAATCCCCACTGGGGAACTGCCTAGTGGAGCTGTGGGAAGGGGACCACCTCTGCAGCAGGCTTCTGCCTGAACACCCAGGATTTTCCATACATCCTTTGAAATCTAGGTAGAGGATGCCAAACCTCCTTCACTCTCTGTGTGCCTGCAGGCTTAACACCATGTGGAAGTTGCCAAGGCCTATGGTTTGCACCCTCTGCAGCATGAGCTGTACTTGGGGTCCTTTGAGCAACAGCTAGAGCTGGAGCAGGAGGGATGTGGGGAGTATCCTCTTGGAGTGACACAGGGCATTGGAGCCCCAGGCCTTGCCCACAAAACCATTCTTTCCTCCTAGGCCTCTGCCTTGTGATCTCCAGGTTGCCTTGCAGATCTTTGGAGTGACTTCCAGGTCTCTCTCCATTGTCTTGGCTATCAGCACCTAGCTCTTTTTTAGTCATGCTAATATCTCTAGCAAGTGGTTGCTCCACAGCTCCCTTGTATTCCTCTTCTGATAATGCTTTGTATTTCTCTGCCATTTAGCCAGATTGCAAATTTTTAAAACTTTATATTCTGCTTCCTCTTTGAATAAAAATTCTAGCTTTAAGCAATTTCTTTGCTCCTGCATCTGAGTGTAGGCCACATTTTTAATGCTTTGCTGCTTAGAATTTTTTTCCACCAGATACCCTAAGTCATCACTCTTAAGTTAAAACTTACACAGATCCTTAGGGCATGAGCACAATTTCTTTGCTAAGGCATAATAAGAGTGACCTTTGCTCAAGTTCCCAATAAGTTCTTCATTGCTATCTGAGACCTTGTCAGCCTGGACCTAATTGTCCACATCACTATCAGCATTTTGGTCACAACCATTTAACCAGTCTCTAAGAAGTTCCAAATTTTCCCTCATCTTTCTGTCTTCTTCTGAGCCCTCCAAACTCTTCCAATCTCTGCCCGTTACCCAGTTCCAAAGTCACTTCCACATTTTCAGATATCTTTATAGCAATGCCCCACTCCTGTTTTAGGCTATTCTTGTATTGTTATGAACAAATACCTGAGACTGGGTAATTTATAAAGAAAAGAGATGTAATTGGCTCATAGTCCACAGGCTATATAAGCATGGTGTTGGCATCTGCTTGGCTTCTGGGGAGGCCTCAGGGAGCTTTCACTTATGGCAGCAGGCAAAGAAAAAGCTGGCACAAAACATGATGAGAGTGGGAGCAAGAGGGTGGTGGGGGAGGCGCCTCAGACTTTTAAACAACCAGGTATCATGAGAACTCACTATACTGAGGATAGCACTAAGAGGATGGTGCTATACCAATCATGAGAAATCTGACTCCATGATCTAATCGCCTCCCACCAGGTCCCACCTCCAATGATGGGGATTAAAATTCAACATGAGATTTAGAGGGAACAACATCCAAACTAAATCAGGGATACTCACCTGTAGTTTTCTTTTTTTGTTGCATCCTTACATGGCTTTGGTATTAGGGTGTTAATGGTTTCATAGAATGAGTTAGGAGGATTCCCTCCTCTTCATTCTTTTGGAATAGTTTCAGTAGGATTGGTACCAGTTCTTCCTTGCACATCTGATAGAATTCAGCTGTGAATCCATTTGCTCCTGGGAGTTTTTCTGTTGGGAGATTTTTTTTTTTTGATTACTGATTTAATTTCACACTTGTTATTGGTCTGTTCAGTATTTCTGTTTCTTTCTGGTTCAATCTTGGGAGGTTGTATGTTTCTATGAGTTTATGCATTTCTTCTAGGTTTTCTAGTTTGTGTGCATAGAGATGCTCATAGTAGTCTCTGATGATCTTTTATCTTTCTGTGGTGTCAGTTGTAATGCTACCTTTATCATTTTTGATTGTGTATATTTGAAACTTCTCTCTTCAGTTCTAGTTTTCTGATGACATATACATATCAGATAATTTACCAGAGAAGTAGAATACATAAAAAAGAATCAATGACAACTCTAGAGTTGAAAAAATACTATAACTGAAATTAACTCAATATACAGGTTAGACACAACAGAAGAGATTAGTGAACTGGAAAATTAATAGGAAAAAAATACGTAGTACCTTGTATATGATTGGGGTTGAAAAAAATTTCTGCTGCTACCCTTACTGGGACATTGCTTGGGTTCCATTTTTTTAAACTTTTACAGTGAGTTGTTGCAAATATTCTTAAATTAATTAAAATATCCAAAGAATATGAATTATATTTATACCTAAAAGTTCTGAAATGCATCTATAATATTAAATGGGAAAAATCTGGGCTGGGCATGGTGGCTCACACCTGTAAACCCAGCACTTTGGGAGGCGGAAGTGGGTGGATCACCTGAGGTCAGGAGTTCGAGACCAGCTTGGCCAACATGGTGAAACTCGTTTTTACTAAAAATACAAAAATTAGCCAGGCATGGTAGCACATGCCTATAATCCCAGCTACTCGGGAGGCTGAGGGGGAGAGAATCGCTTGAACCTAGGAGGTGGAGGTTGCAGTGAGCCAAGATCGCACCACTGCACTCTGGGCAACAGAGCAGGACTCCATCTAAAACAACAACAACAACAACAAAAAAAAAACAATAAAAAGGAGTAGGGGGGAATATCTGCATAATCAATGACTACTACATAGGAAATATTGGTCTCTTTCATACCTGCTCACACACTCTTTCAAACAGTTCCCTTCCCTTTATCAAACATTTATTGAGAATCTACTATGTGCTGGAGATGAATAGGGAACAGCTCAGGAAGCCTGTGGTCCTCAGTCCTCAGCTACATGTGGTCTCCCAGACTATGACTCACATTTAGGTTGGACAGGCCTCCTCTCTGCTTACCTCTCACATCAGTAACCCAAACCTTGGCAAGTCAAGTCAGGGGTGGTGATTTTTTGGCGAGTGCCTATGTAAAGCAGATGGGATTGGTGGATTCTGTCCCAGGAGGCATCCTCTCCTGGGGGTTCTTTATTCTGAAGTTTCAGCAGTAAGTAGCACTTTAGAACAAGCACAGCTGTGTTTCAGATTTTCTTTCTGTTAATGGAAGAGAAACTTGTTGCAGAAAAATTTTCCTACTGACAACAAGTAGAAAAACCGGCCCCAAATAAAACAAACCAAACCTACCACCATCACCACCACCACCAACAGCAACAACAAAACTCATGTGTGTGAGAACACCAAAGAGCTACCAAGGCAGCCAGCACTTAGGGAGGCAGCATCCAGAGGGAGGAGAAATCCAATGATGTTAGTCCAATTTTCTGCTGTGTCTTCTCTTTTAAGGCATTTGACAATTGCAACCTGTGTGAGGCTAAGAGTTAAGAAGTTGAACAGAACTCAGTAGTCAAAACAAAACAAGGAAACAAAGCAGGAATTTTGGAAGTCTTATGGGTCTGGGCCAACAAATATTGAAATTAAGGTCTGCTAAGGAGGAAGGTCCCTGGCAATTCCAGTTAGCGCCCTGAAATGGCTCTATTTTAGGAGTTAGAGTGGATTGAAAATAGAGCATCCCTCAGAAAAGACTAAAGCCCAGCTTCAAATCCCTCAATTCTCAACCGGATTGAGGTGATTTACCTTCACTCTACCTCAAAGCAGAACAAATTTTTTTTCTGGAGAAAAATATAATTCACCGGCCAGGCGCGGTGGCTCACGCCTGTAATCCCAGCACTTTGGGAGGCCGAGGCGGGTGGATCATGAGGTCAGGAGATCGAGACCATCCTGGCTAACAAGGTGAAACCCCGTCTCTACTAAAAATACAAAAAATTAGCCGGGCGTGGTGGCGGGCGCCTGTAGTCCCAGCTACTCGGGAGGCTGAGGCAGGAGAATGGCGTGAACCCGGGAAGCGGAGCTTGCAGTGAGCCGAGATTGCGCCACTGCAGTCCGCAGTCCGGCCTGGGCGACAGAGCGAGACTCCGTCTCAAAAAAAAAAAAAAAAAAAAAAAAAATGTATATATATAATTCACCAACACCTCAAATTCTCTTTATAATTGTTCATACACAATCTCTGGGATTGAATAAAAAACAATCTCAGGCACGCTAGGAAATAGGACAAAACAACAAAAAACCAAGACAAAGACTTGAAGTTATTTACGCATGGACATTAAAATAATTGTGATTAATATGCTTAATAAAATAGATGAGAAGACGGATAATTTTGTCAAATAGCTAGAATCTATAAAAATTAGATAACAACTCTAGAACTGAGAAGTACTTTAGCTAAAATTAATTCAATATATGGGTTTAACAACAGATTAGACACAACAGCAAAGAAGATAAGCAACCTGGAAGACCAGTAGTAACCTACATAGTGAAGCATAAAGAGAAAAAGGGTAAGAGACATATGGACATGGTAAAAAAGATCCAATAAGTATCATTGAAGTTCCAGAATGAGAAGAAAAAAGACAGTGAAGCAGAAACAATATTTGAAGAGATACTGGCCAAGATTTTCCAAAACTGATTAATATCATCAAGCCATAGGCCCAAGAAGTTCTATAAACCACAATCCAAGTAAGTACAAAGAAGACTACTGTAGGCAGATCATCACAAAACTTATGAAAATGAAAAAAGGAAGTTAGAGAGAAGAAGATACTACTTTCAAAAGAGCAACAAGACAAACAATTGACTTCCCTAAGGACCTGATGAAAGCCAGAAGACAATGGAATGGCATCTTTAAAGTGCAGAAAGAAGATAATAGTGTCTGGGCACAGTGGCCCATACCTGTAATCCTAGCACTTTGGGAGGCTGAGGTGGGAGGATCCCTTGAGGCCAGGAGTTCAAAACTAGCCTGGGCAACATAGCAAGACCCCATCTCTATGTTAAAAAAAATTTTTTAAAAAAAATAATAACCACCTAGAATTTCATATTTACAGAAAATAATCTTAGGACACAAAGCTTAAATAAAGGTGTTTTCAGAAAAAGAAAAAAAATCTAGAGAATGTATTCTAAAATACTAAAAGAAATCTACCAAAGGGAGTTTTCAGGTAGAAGAAACATGATCCCAGAAGGAAGAACAAACATGCAGAAAGGGTTCAAGACCAATACAAAGAGTAGTTATTGGCAAATCTAAATATTCACTGATTTTCTAAAACAAATAATATATATAAATAAAAAAGAAGCCTATATGGTATATACAAATGGCTAATAAGCCCATGAAAAGATACTCAACAGCATTAGTC
The DNA here is from genome assembly GCF_000001405.40 of Homo sapiens. Lineage (NCBI taxonomy): Eukaryota > Metazoa > Chordata > Mammalia > Primates > Hominidae > Homo > Homo sapiens. The sequence continues at coordinate 13,943,803 of NC_000001.11, forward strand.
CTTAGGGAAATGCAAATTAAAATCACAATGGTATACTATTTCACATTCAAAAGAACAGCTACAATAAATAGAAAATAACAAACTTTGACAAGGATATGGAGAAATGGGAACCTTCCAGTATTTCTGGTCAGAATGTAAAATGGTGCAATCATTTTGGAAAAGTTTGGCACTTACTAAAAAAGGTAAAGGTAAAACTATCATAGCAATTCCACCTCTGGCTATCTACCCAAGAGGAATGAAAACCATTGTCCACACAAAGACTGTCATGCAGATGCTCATAGCTGCCTTGTTTATAATAGCCCCAAAGTGGAAATAACCTAAGTGTTCATTAATTGGTGAAAGACAGAGAAGTGTGGCATATCATACAATGGAATACTATTCAGCAACAAAAGGGAATAAACTACGGATACGCGTTACATCATAGATGAACGTTGAAAATAGCACGCGACGTGAAAGAAGCCAGACACAAGAGACCAACCACACACTGCGATTCCATTTCTATGATATATCCAGAAAAGGCAAATTTATAGAAACAGAAAGCAGATTAGTGGTTGCCTAGGTCTAGAAATGGGAATGGAGATTAACTGTAAATGGACATGAAGGATTTTATCGGGGGGTAAATTGCTATAAAATAAATTTATGGTGATAGTTGCACCACCTGGTAAAATGTAGTAAACATCATTGACTTGTACACTTGAGATGAGTATTATGATATGTAAGATATACCTGAATAAAGTTGTTTCAAATGTATGTAGAATTAAAATACGTAACTGCAGTAGCACAAAGGCAGATGAAAGTAAATGGAGGTAGTGTTTTAAATGCCTTGAATGGCCGCAAAGCAGTAAAAGTAGTAATTTATATTAGACTGTAATAAGTCAAGGATGTGTGTCATTATCTCTATGGTAACCACTAATAGAAGGGTGAAAAATGTGTAATTAAAAAGCTACTAGAGGGATAATTGTAATTAAAATACTTGATTAATCAAAAATAAGACAAGAAAAGATAAAATAAGCAACATAAAATAGTTTTGACAAGTAGAAAACAAATAGTAATATAGTTGATATAAACCTGGATATATAAATAATTATATGTAAATAGACTAGATGTTCTCAGTAACAAAGAAAAAAATCCAACACTATGAGCTTACAAGAGATATCCCTTAAATATGTGATACAGGCAGATTTACAATAAAAGGAGAGAAAGAGATATCATTGTAAACACTAATCAAAAGAAAGCTAGTGTCATTTAAAAAATATAAAACAAAGTGGACCTGAAGGTAAAAGACATTACTAGATATAAAGAGAAACATTTCATAATAATAACAATAACAGGCTCAATCCACCTGAAAGATATACTATCTGGAAGATATGAATAAAAAATTTATGTGCAGGCTGGGCGTGGTGGCTCACACCTATAATACCAGCACTTTGGGAGGTCGAGGCAGATGGATCACCTGAGGTAAGAAGTTCGAGACCAGCCTGGCCAACATGGTGAAACCCCCATCTCTACTAAAAATACAACATTAGCAGGGAATGGTGGCCCATGCCTGTAATCCCAGTTACTCGGGAAGCTGAGGCAGGAGAATCACTTGAACCTGGGAGGCGGAGGTTGCAGTGAGCTGAGATGGCACCACTGCACTCCACCCTGGGCAACAGAGGGAGAGTCCGTCTCAAAAAAAAAAAAAAAAATTAGAATTGATCAGGAATGTGAGACTCCATCTCAAAAAAAAAAAAGTTCTGTGCACTTTGCTAATATCAACTCACAATATATATATAGCAATGAATGGTAAAACTAACAGTGTACCCACAATCATAGTTGGGAATTTTAACACAGCTGTTCCATAGGATGATTTTTTTAAATGACATTTGCTCTCAGTTTGTGTGTGTGTGTGTGTGTGTGTGTGTGTGTGAGAGAGAGAGAGAGAGAGAGAGAGAATGTTTTTAAACCTAAGTCTTTAGTACATTTTTTTATGAAGCCGGTGCCTGGTAGATGGGGTGAACTGGGATATTGGAATGCTGGTTCTGGCAAGGGCCACCTGAATTGGGGAAGATGCAGTGGTGTGGTTTTCAGAACATCCGAGATGGCTCCTATGCCTGCTTCCCTTCTCTGCCCAAGTCCCTATTGCTGGACTTCTGAGGAAGCACAGTTATGGGTCTTGGTTGTTTCCAAAAAAGGCCTCTCTCCAGCACCAAGAACTGCCAGATGGCAGTGGTTAGACAATCTGGGCTTCCAAGTCCTCAGGAGAGTCACTCAGACAGATGAAACTACCTTCCTATTTTTAAATAAACCCAGAGTTAGCTTTTCTGTATTCTTTCCCTGGTCAGCAATTTCTGGTGCTTTTCTATTAAGAAATGCATTCTTTTGGCTAACCCGAATCCCTCATGTCATGATTTAAGTGCCTTTATTCTAGTATGCTTACCACAGTCTTACTGATAGAAGAGGAGAAACATCACACAGCTGCCTTCTAAAGCATGGTTTTTGTTTTCTCAATCACAGAATGCATAGAGGCGAAGAGTTGCGATTCTGGAGCCAGTCTTCCTGGGTTTCAAAACGGGATTTTCCTCTTATTATCCATGTGACCTGGGACAAATTACTTTTCCTTCTCCCCATCCATAAAATAGAAATAAAGTGAGCAATTTGAGGATTAAGAAGAATCAAGAGCACAGAAGTCTGCCGACACCGTGATCAATACTAATCATTATGGTTATACTCACTGTAGAAAATTGGGAAATTCCAGGGAGTACGAGGAAGTTTAAAAATTCCCTATGACATTGTTTCACAACTGTCCCCTGCTCCAGTACCTAGGACAATCCTTGGGATCCTTAAGAAACACTTGTTGAACTAATATTCCAAAAGGGTCATGATCACCTGCTTGTGCCCTGTAATGTGTGTCAAAGATGCTAGATGGCTAAGGTATTATGATCCTGAGGTCACCTGACACTGTCTTTATCTGTGTTACTCCGTAACCCTACTTCCTAGCACTGCACCTGAGCCCTGTAAATGATGCCTCATATTTTAATATTAGGTAGTGTATTTTCATGTGTGTGGCTGCTGTTACGAATGACCACAAACTTAGTGGCTTACAACAACAGAAATGCATTCTTTCATGGTTCTGGAAGCCGGATGTCCAAAATTAAGGTATCAGTGGGGCTGCATTCTCTCTGGAGGCTTGGGGGGAGAATCCGTTCCTTGCCTCTTCCAGCTTCTGGTGGCTGTCCCATTCCCTGACCTGTGACTGCATCCCTCTGATCTCTGCCCCCATGGTCACTGTATTAGTCTGTTTTCACACTGCTATAAAGAAGTGCCTGAGACTTGGTAATTCATAAAGGAAAGAGGTTTAATTGACACACAGTTCCTCAGGGCTGGGGAAGCCTCAGGAAACTCACGATCATGGCAGAAGGGGAAGAAGGCACATCTTGCATGGGAGCAGGTGAGAGATAATGAGCAAGAGCAGGGAAAACTGCCTTCTAAAGCCATCAGCTCTTACGGGAACTCACTCAGCAGCTTGCCTAGGGTCACTCGGGTAGCAAGAGGCAAAATCGTGAGTGGACTCAAGATGCATGTTCTCACTCATGAGAACAGCATGGGGGAAACCGCCCCCGTGATCCAATCACCTCCCACCTGGTCCCTTCCTTGACACCTGGGCATGTGGGGATTATGGGGATTACAATTTGAGATGAGATTTGGGTGGGGACGCAGAGCCAAACCATATCAGTGACATTGCTTCCTCATCTGCAGTGTGTCTGTGTCAAGTCTCCCTCTGCCTCCCTCTTGTCAGGGCACTTGTGATTGCCCTTAGGGCTGTATTAGTCTGCCCTGGCTGCCGTAACAAATACTTCAGACTGGGGGCTTAAACAACAGAAATTTATCGTCTCACAGTTTTGGAGGCTGGAAGTCTCAGGTCAAGGTGTCAGCGGTGTTAGTCTTTTCTGAGTCCGTTCTCCTTGGCTGTAGACAGCCGTCTTCTCCCTGTATCTTCACGTGATCTTCCGTCTGTGTGTGCCTGTGTCCTAATCTCTTCTTATAAGGACACCAGTCATGTTGGATCAGAGCCCATCCTCAGGACCTCATTTCAATGACCTCTTTAAAGACCTTATCTCCAAACACAGTCGCACTCTGAGTTAGCTTTTCTGTATTCTTTCCCTGGTCAGCAATTTCTGGGGTTAGGATGTCAACATATGAATTTTGGGGGGATACAGTTTAGCTCATACCAAGGGCCCACTCAGATAATTCAGGATAATCTTTCCCATCTCAAGATCCTTAATGGCAAAGACTGCTTTTTCATTTGAGGTAACAGTCACAGATTCCAGGGGTTAAGAACTGATTTCTTGGTATGGTTCTATTTCATCCTACTACAGGTATAGAAGAGAAAGAGTGAAGGATTCTGGAAACGTCAGGCTGCTGAACCACCTTCATATGGTTTGGCTCTGTGTTCCCACCCAAATCTCACCTTGAATTGTAATGATCCCCACGTGTCAAGGGCAGGACCAGGTGGAGATAATTGAATCATGGGGGCGGTTTTCCCTATGCTGTTCCCCTGATAGTGATCAAGTTCTCACAAGATCTGATGGTTTTATAAGGGGCTTCCCCCTTCGCGGGGCACTCATTCTCTCTCCTGCCACCCTATGAAGAGATGCCTTCTGCCATGATTGTCAGTTTCCTGAGGCCTCCCCAGCCATGAAGAACTGTGTCAATTAAACCTCTTTTCGGTGTAAATTACCCAGTCTCTGGTATTTCTTCATAGCAGTGTGAGAACGGACTCATACACATCTGGTGTGGGGAAAGGGGGCAGTGGAGAGGCTTCTGCAGGATGGAACCTTCCTGTTTTGAGATCCAGTGTTGGCTTCTTGAGCCTTACCCCCAAGACCTCTTTGTGGCCATGAACCGTTCTTTTTTTTCTGCAAACAATCTTTTTCCTGTTGCAATGATGCTCAGTCCACCATCTCCTGGTTTTCATTCTGTATCTCTGGAAGCTTCTCCTCAGAAGTATTGCTGGCTCCTGTTTTGCTGTTATTTTCAGGAATGAAAATATGGCTCAAGGTTCTGCCCTAGGCCCCTTCCCATGTTACAGACATGAAAATGGAGGCTTAGAGAGCTAAGTAACTTGGCTAAGGTCACTCGGGTAGCAAGAGGCAAAATCGTGACTGGACTCAAGATGCATGACTCAGATGTCCCAGCATCGCCTCTCTGACGTACCCAGCATCCAGCATGTACTCTGTGTTCAATAAATACGCTGATAAATGCTGAGTAAAACAGAACTCAAACCCAGGTTTTCTGGATCTAATCTATTATTCTTTCCAGCCAGCATTCTGGTAAGAACATCATTTCCCCTCTCCTCTGTACCCAGAGGGAGCAGCTGTCCCAGAAATTGCAGTTACTCTCAAGATTTTTATTTTCAGCAGCTCTGATTTTTATGTTCAGGGACCACACTTAATTATTGCAAAACATCTGCTGGCACAAAGTGGCGTTTTGTTACTGAATCATTCCCAAGAACATCCCATGAGCTCTTGTACTTGGAGACAATTTCTGCAGGGGCCTGGGCCAGCAGAAATACCTCCTGTTTAAGAGGCAGCAGGGGAGACTTAGGGTTGACTGGCTTTGAAAGCAACCACTAATTAGATTGTTCAGGGCTTAAAAAATGATAAGGCTTCTCAATATCAGACAGCGGTCCTTATCAGATATTTAATAACCTCTGCATGACTTTCCGTGAGCATCTCTGTGTGACGAGGTGTTTTTAGGGTGAGATTTTTTTCCATGTCTATGGGGTTCCATAATGGCGATCATAACAGCTCACACTTTACTGAGCCCTTTTTCTGTGCCAAGCAGCGTCCTTAGCACTCCTTGAACTTCATCACATTCAAAAAGGTCTCCTATTATCCATATGAATATACCTTATGATGGAGAAGTAATCTGGGTCAGCTAGAAGTTGTCTTTCCCAAGGCTGAGCCAGCTGGCAAATGTGTGACAGAATCTAAACCCAGACAGGCAGACCCCAAAGCCCCATTCTCAACATCCATCCTCTAAGGTCAAAGGTAACGGGGAAGCTGCTGCTCAAAACACAGCCGAGACACCATCCAGTTTGGACCTGGGAGGATTCCCACTGCAACTGTTGACTATAAGACTGAGTTTGATGTGAGGAGGAACTTCATGGCTAAGATTTGGAGACACTGGGTCCGAGTAAGATTGAAAGGCCTTGGAATGGTGGGTAGGGGCCTTCCAGATCCCGCCCCTGCCTTGCTCTGCAGCCCCCTCTTCCAACACATCCCCACACCCCAGGGCTGAGCCTGCTCCCTGAGCCTTGCTCCCTCCCAGGCCTCTTCCTTTGCTTCATGCACCTGCTGCTTTGTTTGGGCTGCACTTCCTCCCTCTTGGCCTTTGTCATTGGGTGCCCAGGTTTTTCTCTGTCCCCGCCTCCTCCGATGGTCCTGCACAATGCTTCCTTGGTGTCCCTTATGCCTTCCAGACCTCCCTGGCCAGGCCAGTGCCCTTCCAGGTCACCTCTTCTGGCATCCCACATTGCCCCCACAGAGCACTTCCAGCTGTCCTTTTGTACCCATTTCTGGGATTTGATGGTCTCTCCTATCAGACTGTCAGCTCCATGAGGACAAGGACTGTGTCTGTTTCTCCTTATTGTATATCCCCAGCGTTCAGTGTACTGCCTGGCAAATAGTTCATGTTCAAAATATTTTTTGAATGAGTTGTCTGAGTTATCTACTTGCTTGTGGGCTTCCTTACTAGACTATCAGGAAACAGCATCTGGCAGGTAGTAGTTGATGTGTTCAAATTGGGATTTTTAGTAAAGATACAGCTTACAAAGGCAGCGTCGGACTGCAGGAGTTATTATAACCCTCAGGCCTGAGCAGACCAGGAGAGGGAAGGGCTGCCTAGAAGGAGCTGCGGCCTGGAGAGAGCAGAGGAACGAATACCCCAACCTCATCAGCCACTCATTCTTTGACTTCTCTATGTGCCTCCCATTGACTGAGCCCACAGGGCAGCTAGAGGTCAAGGGGGTTCAAGGATGCAGTTCCCACTGGCTGCCTCTTGGGGCGTTTCAGGGGCAAGGTCGTCTATCCAGTACTGTGTGTTAAATAGGTATACAAAGGAAGGAATCGCCTTCCCAAAAGATGTGATAGTGTTGCAGTTCTCGGGAAACTGTCAAAGGAGAAGATAGAACGGGATGTTTCTGGTCTTGTTGGGAAATGACCCTGCCTGGAGTCCATGGGATTCCTCTTCCTTTCAGCCTTTTTTCTTTGGCTAATACCCAGCCCTGTATTAAGGATTTGGAATTTGCAGGCGATACCATTGCATTGTCAGGTAGAGATTCTTTGAGCAAAGACTTTAGAGAGGAGACACTGTGGGTGTGCCCAGTGCACAGTGTTGGGGGTCAGCATGTTTGAGTGAACATCCTGGCTCCCGGAGAGGCAGCAAGGCATAGTGTGGTAAGGGACATGGGACCTGGAGTTAGCCTATCCAAGTTCAAATCCTGGATCTGGATCTACCACTTCACAGCTGTGTGGCTTGACTTTCCCATCTGTGAAATGGGGATAAGGGTAGATGAGGATAAGATGAGCTAGTCCACGCAAAGCACTTAGACCCATGCCTGGCTCATGGTTCGGGGACCACACTTCCTGGTGAGCTCAGGATGGCCCCAAAGTATGCCTGTCATCCCAGAAGAATTATTACTAATGTCCCCTTTATTCTCAAAAGGGTTCTGGTTTGGAGATGACTCACGTGGTCTTACACACTGTAGGGTGTTGTTATGTCTTGCTGAATATTTGGACAAGCCACTTCACTGCTTAGAATCTTAGCTCTAAAATGGAGATAATAATAATAATAATAATAATAATAATAATAATAATAATAATAATATCTGCTCTTCTGGGTTGATTTGGGATGATAGGATGAAACAGAATGGCCAGCACAGGGTTGCTGTCCATGATGATCATGCTCTTTGTGTTTCTCTAAGTCCAGGCAAGCCATACAGACATAGATGGATTCCCACCCCCTTACCACCCACTTTCTGCTTTTATAAAAATCTCTCAAGTAAAAGTGCCTTAAGACACATGATGCCAAGGTATGACCCACAGTGCTGTTGCCTTGGTGGTTATCTGGCCTGCCCTAGCTGTGCTATTTATTATCAGTTGGGTAGTTTTAGTAACAGTTTCCCAGGGAAATCTTGAACCAGGTCAGGCCTGTTTGCAGTAAAGAAAGGGTGGTGTCTTAACCCAGATCCCTGCAGGCCTATGGGAGCTGTTGATTGTTTGAGGACTATTTGTTGCATAATCTCCTTTCTTTTAGCAGCTTCTTATTTGAGCAGGAAAAGGGGTTTCAGGACTCCCTAGAGCTTCTACTTTATTTGTTATTAATATTATTTACTGGGCTGCCTTTTTGTCTTCTAAATTGAATTACTCTCAAAAGGGTTCTGGTTTGGAGATGACTCATGTGGTCTTACACACTGTAGGATGTTGTCATGTCATGCTGAATATTTGGACAAGCCACTTCACTGCTTGGAGTCTTAGGTATAAAATGGAGATAATAATAATAATAATAATAATAATAATAATAATAATAATAATATCAATATCTGCTCTTTTGGATTGATTTGGGATGATAGGATGAAACAGAATGGCCAGCACAGGGCTGGACAATTGGCCTGGGAGGCTCAGAGCTTCGCAATTCTTCTAGGCACTATCTTATCTCTCCTCTCACCCCTTACATGGAGGTGAATTTTGGCTTTATTGACTCAGGGAGGAGTTGTGGTTACTTCTTGGGCCCTGTGCTGGTTCCTTTTAAAGAGGAGAGAGAACAAACAGCAGCAAGCTGGGGCAGGGTCTTCTGGGAACTGTTATAAACCCCCGATCGCTTTCAGAACACCTTATAAAGTCAACCTGTGTGCACACAGACGCATGACATTGAAAGGTCCCCCTGGCCAGATCACCAGGAAAGCTCCTCATGTTGCAAGGCCACTGGCCAGCCGGAGCTCAAATACCAGTAGTATCAGCTGGACCACAATTGTGCTGTGTGACCTTGGGATGTCCCTATCCCTCTCTGGATCTCCACTTAGTCGCCTTTAAAATGAGGAAACTGAACCAGAGTTCTCTATGATTTTCCTCCTAGTTATATGATTCTTTATTTCCTAAGATATAGGGAGATACATTTTTAGCTCATCATAAAAGATATTCGAACAGCCAAAGCTGCCTGATGATCAACAGAATGGGCTGCCCTGGAGTATTGAGAAACCTGTGGTTAGAGGTATTCAAGTAGAAGCAACAGAACAGGCTGTGGTGGGAACTACAGAACGGCCCCCGAATTCAATAGACAATTGGCCTGGGAGGATCAGAGCTTCCGCAGTTCTTCCAGGCACTATCTTATCTCTCCTCTCACCCCTTACATGTTGGAGGTGAATTTTGGCTTTATTGACTCAGGGAGGAGTTAGGCTACTTCTCAGGGCCTGGAATGGTCTAAAGTAACACCTCTCAGAATCTGGAGATACTTTTTGGCCCGTGGAGTACTTCATGCTGTAGAAGTCAATCTTGGTTCTGCACTAAGCCTGACTACGGGAGAGAGGCTTTTGCAAAGATCATTATGAAGGACCTCAGGATGAACTGAGTGAGTTCCATGTCCAAGTTTTATCTTCACCTCAAAATTGAATGGTTGTTTGTCTGATTAAAGAATTCCTGATCCAAAATAACGTGTTCTCAGAAATTTCTCCCACCAGCCCTTTTCTTCTAGCATTTAGTGTTGCTAATGATAGTTCTGATCTCAATTTGATTCTCATTTCTATGTTAGTAACCCTTTCTTTCTTTCTTTTTTTTCTTCTCTGGAAGCTTTTAGAGTTTTCTTTTTAATTTGTTCTGAAAGTTCACTACTGTATTTCTAAATATGGGTCTATTTTCACGAGCGTGGTGGACTCTTTTAATCTGAAGATTCATGTCTTTAGCTTGTTTTTTACATTCTAATCATTTTCTTCTAAAGCTCTTGTTAGAGTTGCACCATCCAATATGGTGGCCACCAGATTGGTACCAATCATAATCTCAAAAGACAAAATTCCAAATGTCATTTTCCTGAATATTGAAATCCTGGAAGATCAAAATTTCTAAAGTTGAAATCCCTTAATTCTAAAATCACTAATATTTAATTGAATCCCCAAACCATGGCAGGTTTGCCATTAGGTGTGGTCAAGTCTTCAAAAAGTGAATCTCAATGTATTATCAGTAAACTTTGTTTTTTTCCATTCGGCCCCATGCATTTGTTGGAAAATTCAGATGAATGAGTGGCTGAGCAATACACGAACAACAAAAACTGCAGTTTAAAAACGCACCACCCAGGAGGCGGAGGTCGCAGTGAGCCGAGATTGCGCCACTGCACTCCAGCCTGGGCAACAGAATGAGACTCTGTCTCAAAAACAGCAACAACAAAAATAAAACCAACCAACCAACCAAACAAACAAACAAAAAAACCAACAACACAAAACCGCATCATGTGTCTGCATTGGCATTGCTTCCAGCTGATGACATTCTGGGAGCTTTTTTGTTGAATTAAAACCACACTTGCTTTCCTGAAGAAGTCAGCAAAATCACTGACTGGTTCAAAAATAATTTTGTGCATGACAGGATAAGATGTGATGGGGTTGCTGTTTTGATCACCAGGATTGTTTCTGCCAAATCTGTGGTCTGTGTATGAGTGCATGCAGAATGGATTTTTATATACTCAAAACAACATAGAAGCATGGCAAAGAAGATGGGAAAATTTCATAGGGAATGCTTGTGTTCATGCATGTCAACTCATAGAAGAATTTCAAAAAAGCAGTGCCGTGCCATGTAGAAAATGAATGTGAACATATTCTCTGAGGACAGCCATGCCCTAAAAGAAAAGCAAGCATTCATCACCATGCAAGACTTCAGAAGTCGGCCAGCTCTTATGCACTACCTCCATGCAATTGCCCATAATTTATCCCTGTAATACATTCTTCCATATGTTGAGATTTCTTTTTAGTTTTCTTGAGGGGGTTGGACTTTTTTCTTTTTTTACTTTCTTTCCCACTATTTTAAATTGTCAGCATTAGTTTTTACGAATTGCTATGCTGTGTTTTTCATCTTCACCCTCTTTCCAATGCTAGAAGTATAAATTGTGTAAAGACTTTTAGAGAGCTCCAATTCGTCTTAGGCTTTTTTTGTTGCAAATTTGACTCCTCGAAAGTAACATTTTCACTTTGACTGTGTATAAGGCACTGTGTGTGTATGTAAAAATGTTGAAAGGTCCTCAGAAAATGAAGCTATGTCATTTTTGCATACCTGCACTTGTGAAAGGTAAAATTTCTTGACATATCAGCTCTTTGGGTGACTGTATATGGGTGGTGAATTGTGGTGGTTTTTGATTGATCTCATCAAAAGATTTAGGTTGTCTGTCGTGGTATTTCAGATGACCACAGTTATATAAGCTATTTCTTTATTAATATGGTCCGTCTGCTCATAACCGTTATACCCGTATGACTGTCATTAGTATACCTGAGTGTTAATGATTATAAAAATACATGTTTTTATTGCCTATTTTACTGTGTAAAGTGGCCTCAAGTTTTTATATGAATAAATCTCCTTTTAAAATATAAATAAATGTCCTTTAAATAATTTTAAAATTATTATTTTTTTAAAGTATATTTTTGGGATTTTGGTCTTTTGGGATTGTGATTTTTGGGATTTTAGACTTTAGGGATTTTGGTCTTTCAGGAATTCAACATTGGGGATGATGGCATTTGGGGTGGTGTCTTTTGGGATTATGGCCCAAACTCTTCACAAAGATGTTCTCCACCTCAGGAATCTGGGAAGGAGAGGACAACTGGACAAACCACAGGTGTGTGAGCCTTAAAGCCAGCTTGCTTTTCTTAAAAATTTTCTACCCTTTTGGGGCTCATTAAAAATTCTCTACTATTAGATCTTAATATAACTAACATTTTCTCTTAAAAGACAGTACATTCCTACTATGTGAACATGACCTTCCTAACTCCAACCTTTAGGGATAAATGAAAGAAGAGGCACTGAGGAAAGTCCTTGGGACTTCTTAGTACCCCTCCTCTGGGGTGGGCCATCTTCTCCAGAGGGTTACAGCCTGCGGCCCATGATTGTAGAGTCACGCCAGTCATTCTAAGAAACGTCCTTCTATTGGACTCATCACTGGTGTCTGCTCATCATGAGCGCCCATCATCCCAGCACCTCGTAGGACCTGTAGTGAGGATTCTGTAAAGGCTGCTGGATGAATGAGTGATGGGTGCATTAATTAATCCCAATTAGAACCGGAAACTCAGTTCCCATTTTTTATTAACTGAGATAATGTTGTTTTGTATTAATTTTCTCTAAATCATTATTACATTCCCTTGCTGGCATTCCCTCTTTGTCATTGTCACTAATGTGTACAGTCTTCAAGTTGAGTCTTCCTTACTTGGAATGTCAACCTGCAATAATTTTTAGGGATGTCTGTAGATGTTACTACATCATTTCTTTTCTTTTTTTTCTTTTTTTTTTTTTGATCATTTATAAAAATGTCAGCTTGGCCAGTTCCAGCCCCAAGTCTCTCGGTGGGCTTACTGTTTACATTTTTGCATCCAGAGACATGTCCCTTTGTCTCTATCTTTAATTCCTGCCTGTTCCTGACCAATGACAAAACTGTCCTCCAATTCCCTGCCAGCTCATGTTTCAAAAGGAACTTTTAGGAGAAATATTTCTTAGGAAGTATTCTGACATGCATACGATTATTCTTTTCTTTCTGGGCATCCCTCCAGGAATCTCGTGACTAAGTTTGTGTACTCCAAGCATGGCCCACCTAATGGTATGGTAATTGCTTTGGCTCTCGCAGGAAGTCTGCACTCATAATGTGATTGTGCATATGCTTGGAGCATGATATGCACCCACTATTTTGTTGTTGGGAAAAAATTATTACTTTCAGATTAAAAAACAAAAACCGTGGACTTGAAGGATGTATAGAGAAGATGTGGGAAGAGATTGAGGGAGCTGCTCACCTGTGTTTTGTTTTTTAGATAGATGAGTAAATAAAGACCCAAGGAAGGGAGGAATGTTTCCAAGGACATGAGAGTTGTTGGTTACTAAGTGAAGCTATGGCATCCCAGGTCAGGAGTCTAATTGTATGAATTGTATTAATTTTGTCTGTATGTTGGTGGGTAGCTGAGGGCATGATGAGGCTGGGGAGACCATTGTGAGTCTTCTTTATGAGATGATCTTGCATTTACTCTGAGCCTTGTAGGGAAGCTCCAGCAGTTGGGGTAGAAGAAGAAATCCTGCCTTGTGTTGGAGCCTTGTGACCTGCCAGGATCCCGGAGAAGGTTATGAATCAGGGAGTAAGAGACTCGGATCATTGCTACTTGGCCAATGACTAGCCTGACCTAGGAGTCAGGTGGCCTCCCCAGACTTCTGTCCCCTCACTCGTAATGTGTGGAAATGCAAAATAAAATGATATATGCAGACTCTAAGGCCAGTGCCCCTGGATATGGGCAGTGAGAGAGACAATCCAGATCCCTGCTCTTCTGGGACAGGGAGACAGGAAACAGCTAAGCAAGCTAAACTAAGATAATTTGACAGTAATGAGTGCCCTTCAGACAGTAAAAGGTTAATCAGACATGGAGTGACTTGGGGATGGGTTTGGGTTGGGTACCCCTGTGTTTTAGTCCATTTAGTGTTGCTATAAGGGAATATGTGAGGCTGGGTAATTTGCATAGAAAAAAATTATTTGACTCCCAAATTCTGATGGTTAGAAAGTTCAGGATTGGGCATCTGCATCTGGTGAGGGCCTCAGGCTGCTTCTACTCATGGCAGAAGGCAAAGGGAAGCCAGGTGTGCAGAGATCGCCGGGTGAGAGAGAAAGCAAGGTGGGGATGGGTGAGATGTGAGGCACTTTTTAAGAATAAACTCTCACTGGAACCAGTGAGTGAGACAGTGAGAACTCACGCTCTGGGGGATGGCGTTAATCTATTCATGAAAGATCCACTCCATGACCCAAACACCTCTCATTAGGCCCCATCTCAAATTTGGAGACCAAATTTCAGTATGAGACTTGGAAGGGACAAACATCCAAACCACAGCACTTTGTTTCTAATAGGACAGGGGTGGCTACTACCAGTAGAAGTATGATGATGACATCCAGGGAACAGGAAACGGAACAGGGACGTTCAGTGCTGGACATTCAAGGATGGGAATGTGATAGTAATTCAGGTTATTGAATAGGCATGTGCATGAATATTCACCTCATTCGTTCATTCATATATTTATTAAGCATTTACCATGTGCTGGGCATTGCTCAGGCATTAGGTACACAACAGGGAACACCAAAACCATGATGTGTGTGCACCCAGAGCTTATAGTGGAATGGGGAAGACAGAAGTTATTGTAATTATGCACACGTAGATATTCAATTGCTAATTTTTAAAAAATTTAGCCTTATACTTTTCCTTAATTCCACTTCACTAAAAATTAAAAATTGGCTGGGTGCGGTGGCTCACGCCTGTAATCCCAGCACTTTGGGAGGCCGAGGCGGGCGGATCACGAGGTCAGAGGATAGAGACCATCCTGGCTAACACGGTGAAACCCCGTCTCTACTAAAAATACAAAAAAAAAATTAGCCGGGCATAGTGGCGGGCACCTGTAGTCCCAGCTATTCGGGAGGCTGAGGCAGGAGAATGGCATGAACCCGGGAGGCAGAGCTTGCCATGAGCCGAGATTGCGCCACTGCACTCCAGCCTGGGCGACAGAGCCAGACTCCATCTCAAAAAAAAAAAAAAAATTAAAAATTAACATATTGGGAGAGAAACTAATTTGAAGGGCAGATCAGGGAAGGCTTCTCTGGGGTCATATTTAAGCAGAGACTAGGGGGTTAGGTAGGAATCATCCAGCCTGGGAGAACTGGTGGTGACGAGGCCCTGTGGGCAGATAGATACATCTATGGGAGGCAGACCTGGAAGAGCCAAAGGGCATGGTAGATTTCAGAACAGAGAGGAGACCAATGTGGCTGGAGCCAAGGCGGGAGTGGAAGTGAATTGGAGGCAGAGATGAGAAATGCAGGAGCTAGGCTGCTCAGGTCCTTGGTAAGAATTATAGGCTCTACTAGATTGGTGAGGTCTGACCGCAGCTAAGAAAAGCCAGGTGTGAACATCCATCCCACCCATCCTGGTTAGCATCTGCCCTGTTGATCATGCCTGTGGTCTAGGCCCACCCACAGTCTTGCTTTCCATTTTCACTCCCACCATCATGAATCTCAACCCCTGATTCCACCATGTCCAGGTGATTGCAGGTGTCTCCCAAGTGATCCCTCTAGAAGCCCCTGGGAGGTGATCAGGAATTAGTGCCCTTACAGAAGAGACCCCAGAGAGCTAGCTAGCGCTTTCTACCAGGTGAGGATGTAGCCGAGAAACACTTCTGTGAGTCAGAAGATGGTCCTCACCAAAACCAAATCTGCCACCACCTTGATCTTAGACTTCCCAGCCTCCAGAGCTGTTGTTTATAAGCCACCCAGTGTACAGAATCTCTATTGCAGTAGCTCACAGGAACTCAGACAAGGACCATACCCGACCTCACCTTGAGATGCTCTGGGATGGACTGTAAGTTGGCAGGGAGGAATTAGCAGCCAGGATCCACATCTAATTCTCTTTATCCTCAGTCCCCAGCACACTTAGAAATGCTTCAATAGAGTAAGGTCACATTGAATGTGAATGTCAGAATTGATTGGCAGTCCATCCCTCTGATCCTATTGGAACATGGCCCTGCCCTCTCGCACCCTCAGGGCCTTTGCACTTGTTCCCTTTGCATGGGATCATTTCCCCATCCTTCTCACCACATGAGCGCCTATGCATCCTTCAGTTCTCATTATAGATCACAGATGCTTCTTTCAGGAAACCTCACCTGACCAGGTGAGATGTCCACATCATACCCTCAATTTATTTACCTCCACCCTGGGAAATTACCAAATTAAGGCAGCCTTTCTCATTAGATTGTGAGCTCCTTGTGCACAGGGCCTGGGTCTGATTCACTCTCTTTAGATTTGCTGCCCAACACCCTCCGTGGCTTATAAATAGCACCTAATAAATGGCCATTCATTGTCGAAGGACTATAATGCAGTGGGCACTGCATTTGGAGCTGGGGAAGGAGGCAATGATGAATAGAAACGGATACAGACTATTCCTTCTATTTTCATGTGTATTTGAAGTTTTTCATAATAAAAAGTCCAAAAAACATGTAAACCCCACCCCCGCCTTCACAAAGGGTACAGTCTAATGGGGAAAAAGCCATTAATAAAATAATCACAGAATTTATCATTAAAAATCATGTTTAGCCATATGGAGGAAAAGCAATAATAAATAATTCACTTCTACAATTCTTGAGTATATGCCAAGCATTGTTTTAAAAGTTCTGTGTGCATTACTCATTTAGTCCTCACAAAATCCCTACAAGGACGGCACTATCATTATCCCATTTTGTAGAAGGGGAAACTGAGGCAGAGAGCTTCGCCCAACATCACACAGGCAGGCAGAACTGGGATTCTAACCCGGACAGCCCAACTTTAGAGCCGATCGTTTGATTGTATCTATGGCTTTTATAAGGACATACCTTAAGTCATGTACGTTCTAGTAATGCCAGCACTAGTCCCAGAGTTGTCCTTGGAAGGTGCCGTTTTCCCACTTGCCGGGCCACAGAGATGAAGGTGAAATCAGAACCACAAACTCACACCTAACCAGGGCCATCTTGGAACGCTACGTGCAGCCACAGTGACCTCTGGTGGTCAAAGCATGAATGGCATGAATGCATCACATTGACGCCGGGAGACCAAACCTCAGGATGATTTCCCAAATCGGCTTGTATTTGCTAAGGCCTCATTCGGGTCCTACTTGGGCTAGTGTCTCCCAGGACACGAGGAAGGATAAGTTTCCAAAGGCGGACTGTCAGGGCTTGGTCAGTGGCTGGGGGCTACTGGGAGTCTGTGCTCCTGTGTTCTGTCCAGGCCTTCGGAAAACCCTGGCCTCAGCTCCATCCAGCTCCCCTCTCCTGGGGCTTCAGGACCTGGGGCTTCAGGACAGGGGGCTGTGTGGCTCTGTCATCCAGGTTCAGTTGGTAACATCTTTTGCAGGCACTGTGTCCCTGGCTGAGAAGGGGACAGTTACTCATTCATTCATTTGATCAAATATTTATTGAGCATCTACTGTATGCCAGGCACATTCTAGGTGCTGAGAAGAAAGCAAAGAATAAAAGAGACAACGTTCCTGCATTCCTTCTCCCCTACATTAGGGGCTGAGCCCCTTTTTCCCACCTCCCTTTTCCCTCTCCTGCCCCCACCCTCTTCTTCCAACTTATAATGTAGTGTAATGATTTCATTCCTGGGGTTCGCGTGTGTGTGGAGTCTCTGTGTGTTGAACAAAAGGAACTTGACTTCTACTGCACTCAAAGAATAAACCATAAACTGCACTCAAAGAATAAACCATAAACCAGAACAGACAGACAGACACACGTATACACACACACATGCACATGTACAAATTCCTGACCTCATGATGTTTGCATTCTAGTGAGGAGAGACAGACCATAAACAGGTGATCATAAATGTCACAGAGAAAAGTAAAGCCACAGCAAGAGGGTCAGGAGTGGAGTGGTGGATGGGAGTCATTTTGTTTGGGCTGGGCTGGGATGCCTTGATGATATTTAATGAAGGCCCAAGGTGCCTTGTAGGGGTGCAATTGGTTTGTTCCCTTTCTCTCTGTCTCTTTCTCCACTGCAATTATCCAGAAGTTAATACATACAGTGGTACAAGTAGATGTTTTCATGTTTGAGAGTCAAAGATTCTAGAGGCAGTCACTCAGGGTGACATTGAAGTAACAATTTTCTACTACTTTGTTATAGTAGCCCACAGGGACTCAGACAAGGACCATACCTGACCTCACCTTGAGATTCTCTGGGATGGACTGAAAGTTGGGAGGGAGGAATTAGCAGCCAGGATCCACGTCTAATTCTCTTTATCCTCTGTCCCCAGCACACTTGGAAATGCTTCAATACAGTAAGGTCATATTGAATGTGAATGTCAGAATTGATTGGCAGTCCATCCCTCTGATCCTATTTGAACGTGGCCCTGCCCTCTTGCACCCTCAGGGCCTTTGCACCTGTTCCCTTTGCCTGGGATCATTTCCTCTATCCTTCTCACCGCGTGAGCTCCTATGCATCCTTCTCACCTCAGCATAGATCCTAGGTGCTTCTTGCTGGCTGGAGCGTTGGCCATGCAGGAACGAACATTTGTCCTCTTTTTCCTGTTGTGCTTCACACTTGGAGAAGTGGATGCAGGGAGGTGAGCTGTGTGGATATCTGGGAAGAACATTCTGAGCTGTGGGAACAGCCTGTGCCGGGGCTCTGGGCTGGGTACTTGAGGGACAGTGAGGAGGCAGATGTGGCTACAGGTGCAGTAGGGGGGTCGGGGCGGAGCAGGAGGTGAGGCCAGAGAGTTGGGGGAGGTGACTCTCACAAGGGGCCTTAACAATACCTTGTCCCTATCTCTGGTGGGGCTGATTTTGGCCTTGAGGATGAAGGCAACACCTTCTCAGAATGCTGAGCAACTTTGTCCACACAGTGGAGGGGTGGAGGAGGTGAGCTCCTGACTCAGGTGCCCTGACACCATGTGGGGCTCTCTGGGGCCAGGCATCCTCAGAGGCTCTCACTTGCATCATTTCTTGTTTACTTTCCCAACAACCCCGGGTGATAGGCCTTATGCTACCCATTTTCTTTTTTCTTTTTGAGATGGAGTCTTGCTCTGTCACCCAGGCTGGAGTGCAGTGGCGTGATCTTGGCTCACTGCAACCTCCACCTGCCAGGTTCAAGCGATTCTCCTGCCTCAGCCTCCCATGTAGCCAGGATTACAGGAGTGCACCACCACGCCTGGCTAAGTTTTGTATTTTTAGTAGAGTGAGTGTTTCACGGTGTTGGCCAGGCTGGTCTTGAACTCCTGACCTCAGGTGATCTACCTGCCTTGGCCTCCCAAAGTGCTGGGATTACAGGCATGAGCCACTGCACCTGGCCTATCCTACCCATGCTCTAGATGAGAAAACTGAGGTGTAGAGAAGTAGAGAAGAGAGTTTTAGGTGGTCAGGACAGCTTGCTCGAAGCCATGGTGAATGGAGGATTTGGGGGTGTTCTGGTGACGGAGAAGTCTTGGAGAAGCTAAAGAGACAAATTGGGGCCAGTTTGTAGGGACTTGTGTATCATTATAGGAAGCTGGAACTTTATCTTGGTGTCAACAAGATAATAAAGGGATATGATAGGAAGGGATATTATACTACCTGTGTTTAAAAAATCTCTCTAATGTCTGTGGTGATGGGGAGTGGGGAAAGAGGGGCTGGAGAGTCAAGGAGATGGGAGATTTTGTGGACCATCTAAAATAGGCTGAGGGCTACTTTCAAGAGAGAAACTACCTGATTTAGAAACATCAGAAGGTGGAAGTGAGCAAGGGAGGCAGGTTAAGGGAAAGTATGAATTTTTTATTTTCTATTTTTCCTTTATTTTCTAGAACATTCAGCTCCATTTGGGGACGGTAGTGGGCACTGCAGAAGTGCTTGTTGGATCCAAATCCTCTAGCTACGTTGCTGGCTGTGTCCTTATTTAGTTCCTCACATGGATAGTGATTCCAAATGGACCACATCCTCTTCAGACCTAAGAAGACAGCATCTTCTATACACTGGGCATTTTGTGTTAGAAGATATTGCTTTAATTATTGTTCCTCTGGCTCCTTTATGAATGAGTCTATCATCCAGGCAATTATAGAATTTTCTAAGTAAGTAACAGCCACTTCTTATCTCCCTTAAAATTCTATTCATGCATCAAAGCCTAGCTCAGCCATCATCTCCTCCATGAAAAAACAAAAAAACAAAAAACCTTCATCTCCTTCTGTGTTCTTTAAAGGGTTAAATGTTTCTGCTGTGGTCTGTGTGTGTGTGTGTGTGTGTGTGTGTGTGTGTGTGTGTGTGTGTAGGGGTAGTGGATGACAGGGCAGTATACTGGATGTCATAATAGGCTTTGGAGTTAGATATCATACCTGTGTTTTAATCCTACTTCTGCCAATTGCCAGCTGTGCTATCTGGTTACTTAACCTCTCTGAGTCTTAGCTGTGTCATCAGTAAAACGGGATAAGAGTATCTACCTCCTAATGCTGTTGTGAGAGTTAAATAGGCTGATTGATCACAGAGCTTGGCACAATGTCTCCCATTTGCAAGTGCTCAAATAGTGGTGGTAGGGGTTGTTAACACTCTTCATCCATTTTTTAAAATTGTCTTGAAAATTATTTACTGAGTATCTACTATATGCCATATACAATCCTAGGCATATTCTATGTGCATCAGTGAATAAAACATATGTCTTCCCTGGAGGAGATACTATAGTTCTATATAGTCTAGATGGGGGAGATAGAAATAAACAATGGTGTTTAACAACGAGTAAGTGTATTTTATAGTGTATTAGAAGGTAATAAGTGCTGTGGACAAAAAAGAAGAAAGCAGTAGAAGTTGGTTGACAGTACTCAGGCAGGTAAATCAGTCAGCTACTGCTGCGTAACAAATAGTCACACAACCTGATGGCTTAAAACAACAACTGCTTATGTAGCCCCTAGTTCTGTAGTTCTGTGAGTCCGCAATAGGCTGGGTTCAGCTGGGCAGTTCTGGTCGTGGCTCACCTGGACTGTGCTCATTCATGTGTCTGTGGTTACCGGTTGGTCTAGGATGGCCTCAGGACAACTCTGTTCTTTAAACGTAGTCTCTCATGCTCCAGCAGGCCACCCCAGGCTTGCTTTCGTGGTAGAAGCAGGGTTCTGAGAGAGGCAAGTATCCCAGCCTTCTTGAGGCCTCTACTGGGTGGCATGACATCCCTTTTGCCGCATTCTGTCAGCCAAAGCAAGTCAAAGCCAGCCAGCTCTTGAAGGAAGGAGGTAAAAAGTTTACATCACAAAAGGTGTGGCTATGGGATGGAAAGTGAGGGGTGATAATTGTGGTCACTCTTGCAGTCAATCTACCACAGTGAGAAGGGTGCAGGTCGCAGCATTAAACAGGCTGGCAGGGAAAGCTCTCCCTGAGAAACTGACAGTTGGACAAAGACTCGAAGCAGATGAGGGAGCTGGTGAGGCAAGTGGTGTAGATAAGAGGGTGCCAGGTGGAGGGCATGGCTAGAGCAAAGGCCCTGGGGCAGGGACGCACCTGGGGCATTCCAGACACAGCAGGAGAGTGAGGCTGGAGGGCAGAGTGAGAGCAGCAGGGGAGGACAGAGAGGCCACCTGATGAGTGCAGGTCAAGGCAGGGACTCTGCCTTCCACCCTGAGTGACATGGAGGGGTGGGCGCTAGAGAGGTTTGGGCAGGAGGTCAGGATCTAACTTGCAGTTTTAAAAGATGATTTCAAGTTCTGTGTTGAGACTAGATAGTAGGGGGCAAGGGTCCAAGCAGGGGGACCTGATGGGAGGCTCCTGGGGAGGAGATGGTGACTCACGCCCTGGGAAATTCACAGCACCTGCCCCTAGACGCTGTGGGACGTCACATTCTAGGGCTGTTTTGAGGCTTGAATAAGATGCTGATGCCAAGTGTATAGCTCGGTGCTCAGGATATGACAGATGTTCAACAATGGAAAGTGGGTGGTGGTGTTTTGTTAAGGTGGGTGCTTTTAATAATTATTACATCAGAAGGAATCACTTCCTGATATTTTGGACCTGTTATTTGGTAAGTGTGGCACTTACCACCTTGCAACTTGAGTATTTATTCGCATTGCTATTTCCCAGCAAGACTGGGAGCTTCCTGAAGTCAGGGAATACATCTGCAGCCCGATAGTCCCAACTCTCAGCATCATGCCCAATGCACAGGTGAATGGAATGAATTCACTCCGCAGCGACTTCTGCTGTGAAGTCAAGGAGGGCTGGAGCTGCGTCTTAATTATCTCTATTTCCACGGGGCAAAGTCTAGTGTCTTCTCATAACCGGTGGGTCTATCTGATTGAATTACATTGTTTCCATGTCATCACCTGAATGTAAAATGTTTTCCTCTGAATTAGGAAGCTCTCATGAGCCCTCCAGAGTTCATGATTCCAGCTGGTTTCCTGCCAAGCTGAACGTCCTCCTGCAAGAAGGGCTGGGTCCTCCCTGATTTACATGGTTATTGGAGATGGAGCCCAGGAGGGGGAGGCAGAGGACAGCAAAAAGCAGGGAGAGGGAGCAGCACAGTCCAGGCGGCTCTCCAAGTCCTTCTTTCTCATCAGACCCGTAACACCGAGGTGGGCCTGAGCTCTCCTAAGCCTTTGCTGCTCCTTCCCTTCCTCAAGCCCTACCTATTTCTCTCCCCTTCCTCTGCTTTCTCTCCCTGCCTCCTCTTCCTTCCCTCCCTCCTACTCCTTCCCTCCCTCCTACTCCCTCAACACACCTGAGTGAGAGGCTGCTCAGGGACCAGGTAGGAAAATGGCAACAGCAATAGCGATAGGAGGCAACGAAGACCACCTTTCAGGGACAATGGGAGGGCAAGTGGGGGCGCCTTTTGGACCCCAGAGCTCTTTGCTTGAACTTCTTCTCAGCCCTGGCTCTGACCTGTCTTTACAGTGGCGGCAGCAGGTCCTCACAGTGCTTTCTGGGGGTGGGGTCCTGCAGTCTTGATGTGTGAAGCAGATCTCACTATCCTTGGAAGGACTCCATGGGATGGACAGGGTCACTGACAAGGAAGCCCTGGCTTAGAGTGGTGACCTGACATCTCTGGGGCCACACGGCTGGTGAGTGGTGACGCCAGGATCTGAACTCAGGAGGACCCAGGGTAGTCTCTTGGTGTCTACCACAGTAGCCCCCTGGCCACAGGAGGCTGGCTTTTGGGTGCTCCAAGTGTGGCTATCTGAGTTGAGATGTGCCGTAAGTGTAAAATAGACACAGGATTTCGAAGCATTAGAATGAAACACAGTATAATATATGGCATTAGGAATTTTTTATAATTTTTTATATTGGTTACTTGTTGACCTGGTTGTTTTTTGATATATTACATAAAATAAAGGTTGCTGAAATTCATTTGACCTTTTTCTTTTTACTTTTTTAAATGCACTATCAGAAAATTAAAAATTACATATATGGTTTACCATACAGTACTATTGGACAGCACTGGTCTACAATGTATGTCTTAAATCACTGCGTTCTACTGTGTCTGTATAACTGGTCCCACCCCACCCCTCAGCCCAGCTAGACTTTAAACTTCTTAAAGGCAGGAGTCAGGGCTTACTCACTGTTTTATTTTCTGTAGCACCTTAGATGGGATGCAGCACAGATTAAAGTTATTTTTTTCAAAGCTTTTTATTTTGCAGTCATTAAACTCTCAGGAAGTTGTAAAAATAGCACAGAAGGTACCTGGTAGTTGGCTTCCCTCAGGGCTGACATCTTACCTAACTGTGGTTGGCTGTCTAGGTTTTGGACAAACGTGTGTGGACTGACTTAAGAGTGCATTAATTAAGAAGGTGCCCACTCTCACCTACCCTGCAAGGAATGCAAGTCTTCCAGAGCTGGAAACTGAAGGACTGATTGAGAAGGATTACCTCAGGGAGCCTTTGGAATCTCCCCACCCTTCCCCAAGTGCACCCAATAATACATTGAGGCGACCCTTTGGGAATCAGTGGTGGCCAGCATCCAGCAGTGTAGGCATGGAGACAGTGTGGCCTGGGGGGAAATACAGAGGCCTGGGGGTCAGACTGTCCCAGTCAAGTCCTGCGTTCACCACTGAGGACTGGTGACCACTGCACTTCACTCCCCCAGACTCATTCTCCCCATCTGAATGGAGCCAATGATAGTGCGTTGCCTCTGGGCTGGTTGTTGGGATTGGCTGTGACAGAGTAGGAGAAGTGCCTTCATACGTTCCATGGGTGGAGACTGGGGCAGGGGAGTGAAATGTGGCTCACCCAGCCCGCCAAGCCTTAAGATCCTAGTTCAGATCCCAGTTCTCATTTTCATAAGACCAGAGCGGGGCTTCACTGGGCGGGGCTGGATCTGCTCTCAGCTGTCAAGAACAGATGCAGTGGGACTCTGCACCTGCAAGGGCTGGCATGGCATCTCTCCCAGGTGGCCTCCAACACAGATGGGCAGCAACCCTGGCATTGGAGCTCCTGCCTCTTTGCAGCTGCAGTGGGGACAGAAACCATGGAAACCACAGATTGGGCAGTGCCTCTCCCTTGGTCTCTAGGGGCCTCCTCCTGTTCCCCAGTGCCATCACCCCAGGGCGGTCATTTCTCACTGATTTCTTGAGGGAGGAAATGGCTAGTTTGAGAGCTGAGTTTTTAAATGGTTCCCAGGTGGCTCCTGGTACTGGGAAGCCCGGGGTCCTGCAGGTGTGCAGCTCAGGCAGCCAGAAGGTGCAATCCTTTAGGGCACTCTGGGACTTCAGATTCACTTCTTAGGACATCTGCAAGGCCACCACTGAGGGAAATGAGACCAACTGAAAGGGTGATTTAAATCAGGGTGCTTTCTAGCAAATAACCTCTCACTTTCCTGATGTGGGGGACAGACCTCCTGGGTTTGTGAAAAGGTCCAGACGGAACAGTGCCTTGGAACTTCCACTGTGGATCCCCGACAGGCAAAATGGGCTTGAAGCCATTGGCAGCTACTGTACCCACCTTTAACTCCAGCTGCTAAAAATCTGACTTTGACTCAATCTGCTGTTGCCCTCTTACTCCTTCCCTGCAAAACTCCTCACGTGACGGGTCTACACTTCCTATCTACTTCCGCATTGTCCATTCTGTCTTGAATCACTTCCGGTTGGATTTTGTCCCTACTGTGGAGGCTAACAAGGACCTTTGTTTTACGAAATTCCATGGTTGATCCTTTCACGTGACCTTTCAGCAGCATCAGACCTCTTTGAAATCCTTTCTTTTCCTAGCTTGTAAGACACTGGATTGCTCTGTTTTGTTTTCTTTTTTCCTAACCATGCTCACCATTTCTCAGTATCCTTTGCTGGCCTCTCCTCTTCCATTTGAACATCTACTCTACATTCTGTCTCTCCAGTTGATCCCATCCAGTCTCATGTCTTTAAATGCCATGCACTTGCCGATGACTCCCAAATCTACAAGTACAGCTGTGACCTGCTTGCTAAGATTCCATATTCAGTTGCCTACTTGACATTTCTACTTGGGCTTCTAATAAGTATCTCAACTTATCAAGTCTAAAATGAGACACTTTATTTGTACCTGTATGGATTATTCTTCACGAATTTTCCCTGTACATTCATTAATTCAGCAGATATTAATTCAGTATATGCCATGTGCCGAGGAGTCTTCTAAATACTTGAGATATGGCAGTAAACAAAAAACAAGTTTCTGCCCTCAGGAAGTTTATATTCTAGCTGGGGGATGTTATGGGTTAAAGTGTGTCCCTGAAAAATTCATATGTTAAAGTAGTAGTCCCCATATGTTAAAGTAGTAGTCAGAGTGCAAATTTATTTGGAAATAGAGTCATTGCAGATGTCATTAGTTAAGTTAAAATGAGATCATACTAGAATAGTGTGGGCTCTTAATCCAATAAGTCCTTACAACTGGGGGAGATTTGGACACAGACATGCACATGCTGACAGGGAGAAAACCAAATGAAGATGGAGGCAGACTTTAGGATGATGCCTCTACAAGCCAAGGAATGTCAACCATTACCAGCAAACCACTGGAAGCTAAGTGAGAGGCATGAAACAGATTCTCTATCACAGTCCTCAGAAGGCAGTGACCCTCCTACACCACTCTTTTCCCTAGTCACTCTGCTTCAGCCACACCAGCTCGCTTGTTGGGTGATGAAGCCTACTCCTACCTTGCATTTCTTGCACTGGCTGTTCCTTCTGCTTGGAGTGCCCTTTCCCCAACTCTTTGTGGCACTCAGTCCTTCACATCATTCATGGCTCAGATGCTACCTGGCTGAGGTTCCATGTGACACCAGTCTTCACTTGGATAGGAAATGACTAGGATGTGTGCCCAGCACACACCACAGATAATTATTTTCAGGTAGGCTCCATGTGTGATTTGAGAATTTTGGACTGCATTGTCTTTTGAATTCAACTATAGAGACCTATAACAGCTAAACATTATTGATTCTTAAACTGATTCTGTGAGGTAGGCACCGCCCATTTTATAGAAGAAGAAGCCAAAGCTGAGAGTAGTTAAGTAGTTTGCTAAAGGCACAGGCCTGGTGAATGCAAAAAGCAAATGCAAAACTTGGTTTATTTGATGCCCAAATTCATGCTATTTCTATTCTACTAAATGCACTAACATTCCTGCACCTTCGTCACTCATATCTTAGATTCCAGGAATATCTAATCTAGAAAAAAGAGGCTGAAAGGTCAAATAAGTATATTCTTGGTTTTTAAGCAAAAGGAATATGCCAAATACCATCTGTTCTCAGCCTCTCTTATGATGGCAGAAAGTGATATCTGTCAGTGAATGATTAAGGCATTAAATATTAGCAAAAAGTGCTGACAAGGACTGATAATAGCTCACATTTATTGAGGGTGCACCATGTGCTAAGAACGGTGCTGAGCCCATCTGTACTTTAATTTTATGACAACTCTGGAAAGATATGCTCTTATTATTCTCATTTTACAGGTGAGGAGACTTAGGATCAGAAGCGTGTATATGATCACATATCTGTGATCATGCAGCCTGGCCATGGAAGAGTTGGAGTTTGAACCCTGAGGGTCTGACTTGCAAACGTTCACTCATTAATAATGAAAAAGGTGGGCTTGGAACCGTGGAAGCCTCTGATACTATCTATCTGTGATGGATCAGGTGTGATTCTGCTCAAAGGCAGGGGGATAGAGGATTTGATCTCTTAAGATTGTTCTCTTTTAAGAGAATTCTATTTTTCTTGACCAAAATGTCAAAACATCTCTTTTCCAGAGCCAATGCCTATTCTTAACAATGACTTTCTTTGGGAGACTATAGGCTTTCTCTGGTTCATACTTCTATTCTGATTTACTGGCATGGGCTCCAAACCTTCTTCTGCTAATCTTTATCTAAAATATGCCATCTCAGCTCTTTCATGGAGTTGTGGATTTTGTCTAAGCCAATCAAAATACTCAATAATGAAGAAAAGACCTTCAGGCATAAAGATTTTCTTATTCTGATGGTTTTAATGAGAACTGAAAATGAGAGTGACATATGTTGTGTATCAATTATTTACTGCCCCAAACCACCCAAAACTCTGTGTCTGTCACTCAGCTTGCTTTGGGTAGGTGATTTAGGCTGTGCTCAGCAGGGAGGTTCTTCTGCTCTGTGCTAGACATGTCTGGGAGTTGGCTGGCTGGTGTCTACCTTAGGGTGGCCTTGGCTGGAAGGACCACTCAGCTCTCCTCCACATAGCTCTCACATTTCTCCACCAGCCTAATTTGGATGTGTTCTTATGGCCTTGCAGGGATATAACAGTGAGCAAACCTAATTGTAAAAGAGAGCAAGTGGAACTGTTTACATAATCTTGATGTCTCTGCTTGCTTCACCTTTACTAACATTATTTACGCCATAGCAAGTCACAGGACTGAGTGAAGAATCAGAATCAGACTGTGTATGTATAGGGTGGACTAGAGTTACAGCTCAACGGGCATTGAATTGGAGGTTCAATAATTGGGGTCACTAATACTATCAATCTACCACATTTCATGGTTTCATATGCATGCATTTTCAATGTAGGCCCGAATGTGCATCTTTCCAGCCATCTTCACGTGCCTTGGTTACCAGAACAAAACACAGTGTGCTTCTCCAGTTTAAGGGATGCATATCCACTGAGTATCTTGTGAGGTTTTTTTTTTGTTGTTGTTGTTGTTGTTGTATCTGGGAAGAATTTCACAAAGCATGGTGATATGGCTTGAAGCTGTGTCTCCACCAAAATCTCATGTCAAATTGTAATGCCCAGTGCTGGAAGTGGGGCCTGATGGAAAGTGATTGAATCATGGGTGTGCATCCTTCACAAATGCTTTAGCACCATCCCCCTTGGTACTGTCCTCATGATAGTGAATTGTTGTAAGATCTGGTTGTTTAAAAGTGTGTAGCACCTCCCCTCCTCCCTCTTGCTCCTGCTTCCTCCATGTGAGATGCCTTCCTCCCCCTTTGCCTTCCACCATAATTGTAAGTTCCCTGAGGCCTCCCCAGAGGCTGATGCTGCCATGCTTCCCGTACAGCCTGCAGAACCATGAGCCAGTTAAACCTCTTTTGTTTATTGATTACCCAGTCTCAGGCATTTCTTTATATTAATGTTTGAATGGACTAATACACATGACTTCCAAACACATGGCAAGATAGAGAATTGTTTTGTGTTAAATCAGAGTGGAAAAGGCATGTGCAAAGGAGAAATAGAATATTTCAGAAAATAATACAATTTAAGAAGAAAAAAGCAGTCAGCAACCATGAAGAAGACTCCAATAAAATACTAATGAACATCCATGTGTAAAATGCCACCCTACTTTTTTTCTTTTTTCTTTTCTTTTTTTTTTTTTTTGAGACACAGTCTTGCTTTTTCACCCAGGCCGGAGTGCAGTGGCGCTATCTTGGCTCATTGCAAGCTCTGCCTCCCGAATGCCACCCTACTTTTTAAAAATAAACAGAGATGTGAAGATGCTCCCAGCATCTTGTGGGATGGAAAGGAGTTCCACTGTCTGTCAGTTGCTATGAGCCCAACAGCCAGTGTTCTGTGCTGCCAGAGCACAGGCAGCTACATATCTATCCAGAGCTCTATGATCCATGATTGGGTCTGTATTATTTCTATAACACCAGGATTAACAAGCTGCTGGTGAGCCCGGAAGGAAGACCCCCAGCCTTTTACTCTGATAGTTTTGGAGATAGGCGAGGACCAACCCATCTCTCAGCCTCGATGCTGGATACATTGTAGGGGTTATCAGATGGACATCCCTGGAGGCAGACTGGCTGTATTTAAAGAGAACTGGACTGGAATCAAAACATCTGGATCTTGCTGTCAGCTCTTGCTTGAACTTACTGTGTGTCTTTGGGAAAGTAATTTCCTTTCAGTTAACATCTGTAAAATTAAGGTTTTGACTAAGGACTCCCACCAGTTATTCTGTGTCTCAAAGACCAAATCCCTGTGTTGAGTCAAGGTTTAGAATCTGGATATAAGGACCCTTATATAATGCAATGATTTAACATATTTATTGTCTATCACATGCCAGGAATTGTTTTAGGTACAATAAAAATATTCTTGCTCTCAAGGGGCTTCTTTCTTTTTCTCATTTTCCCTCCACCTTTTCCTCCTTGTCTTCCTTCTCCTTATTCTTCTCTTCATCCTTTTCCTCCTCCCCTTCATCTTCTTCCTCTTCATCTTTATTATCAACATCTATAAAACAGTGATCTGGCATTCACATTATTCCAGACGATGTACTAAGTTCTCCCTTGACATGTATCATCTCATGTAAACTTCATAACAACCTCATGGAGGTAGAGGCTATCACCACCACTGTGCTGGGTATTTCCCCCTTTCCCCTCTAGATCCACTGTCTGCCCTTCTCCACCCTGCTTTATTCCCTAGGAGGCTGACCCCTGTGGACCTCATTAGCTGTCTTCCTTACTTTCAGGTGTCTAGTTGGGCTTAACCAGTGGAAACCACTGGCAGAAGAGTAGAGGATCAGAAGAGAGTGAGGTCAGAACACGTATTTACCTGGCTTGCTTCTCACCAGGTTGCCATGATCTCTGGCTCTGATCAGGCAGTCCCCTTCATACAAATGCCTTCTCTGGATTCAGGTAACAACTCCCTCAACTTGCCTTTCAGGCCTACGGTGTTACCAGCTTTCCAGTGTTTGTAGCCCAAGGGTACTGCATCATCCTATGTTGGTTTTCTTAAATCCTGACCACACCTTCGTGCCTAATCCCTTTATGCATTTTCCTCCAATAACCCAGTTTGACAGTGTCGTGCATCTTCTGCTGAGACTTTGTTAACATCCCCATTTTACAGATGAGGAAACTGAGCTTTAACACCAGCCCTATCACAAATGGGCTGTGTGATCTCCATCCTGGGTCTCAGCTCAAATACCATCTCTCTGAGAAGACTTCCCTTGTGCCTCATTAAGTAGACCCCTGCATCGGGTGTCCCCACGACCACCCACAGGTCTGTTGGTTCACCAGGAGGATTCCTAAGACTATGCATATCGTCATACTCACAGCTAGGACTAGGATGATCCAAGGCAAAATCAGCCAAAGAAAGAGATGCATGGGGCAAAGTCTGGTGGAAACCAGGCACAAGCTTCCAGGAGCTTCGCTCAGGGGAGTCACATGGGATGTGTGTCAATCCTCCAACACTGGATTGTGACAATGTGTGTGAAATGTTATCAAACCAGGAATTTGTAAGAGATTCACTGCCAGTGTTTTTAATGGGGGCTGGTTATGTAGATCTTCTCTGCCTAGCATGTACCAAAACTCCAGACCCAGAAGAACAAGCAGCTGCCTAGAATAAACCACATTGTACAAACAATCTAGGCATAATGGGCCACTCTTATCATTTAGGGAAAGTTTATATCAGTGTAGGGAACTGTTTAAGATGTAAGTTGGCAGATACCAGCTGTAGTGAGTTGAAAAATGGTGCCTTTAAAGATCTGCCCACATCGAATTCTCAGAAGCTGTGAATGTGGCCTTATTTGGACAAGGGTCTTTGCAGATGTAATTAATTAAGGATCTTGGGATGAAGACATCATCCTGGATTATCTGGGTGGGACCTAAATCCAGTGACAAGTGTCCTCATAAGAGACAAGTATCCCTTATAAGGAACAATTTGGCAGACAGAAGAGGAGAAGACAATGTGACCATGGAGGCTGAGATGGGAATGCTGCTGCCACAAGTCAAGGAATGCCTGGGGTTGCCAAAAGCTGAAAGAGGCAAGGGACAGTTTCTCCCCTAGAGCTCCCTGAGGAAGCAAAGGAAGCAAGGTCCTGCTGGATTTGGGATTTCCAGCCTCCAGAACGGTGTGGGAGTCAATTTCTGTTATTTTAAGCCACCTATTTTGTGGCAGTTTGTAATGGCAGCCCCAGAAAACCACTACACCAGCCAAGGGCCAACCTTGTAAACCTTAGATACCCTGGAGGTCTCACACAGACCTTCAAGACTGCTTTGTTAACTCTTTTTTATATCCGCCCTTTCCCTACAGTGTAATTTGCTATCAGATGATCTATTTATTTTTATAGCACTTTTCTTATCCTAATTATGTTGTTTTCTAGTTGTTCATTTAACATGTATTTATTGATCACTTTCCATGTTCTAGGCACTGTGCTGGATTTTGGGTGTAGAGTGATAAGAACAGATGGGGACTCTGCTCTTAGAGATTTTACGTTGAGAGCCTACAGTAGGAAGACAGATCATAGAGTGTGTCAGGGTGGTGGCTGAGTCAGCTGCCCACCCCTGCCTCCACATGTATTTGGATCGAATTTGGCACTTTCTGTCATTACTCAGAAGGCAGGAGTGGGGCCTGGGGAGGCCTTTGATTGTGAGGCACTTCAAGGCCACTGTTCAGAACACTTGGTTACTTCATCACAGCCCATACCAAGCATATAAAAAAGGTCTCTTTATTCTAAGAGTATCTTTGAGTGAGAAAGGAGCTTCAGATATCAGTGGGCTGAGAGGTGATGCTTCAGAGGCTCGACTCTTTCCTCTGCACTTAGAACCATGTGTAGCGGAAAAGAGCTGCATGTGCCTAATTTGCAACTTGAAACACAATTGGACTTTCTCTATGTATTTGTTTATCATATGTCTGTTAAATTATAGCTACCCAAACATGCTCTTGAGTCCCCAGTGCTGAGTAAAAACTTAGAACAGAATAGATACTCATCAAATATTGATCAAATGAGTGGATGAATGAGCCATACATTTCCTTAAACAAAACTTAACACACCGGCAGGTAGATAGTATTGACTCAATTGTCTCCCCTACCAGATCATGAACTAGTCGGGAACACGAGTCACGTCATGATGTTTTTTGTGGTCCTGGCACATTGATGGGGTCAGTCAAGGCTTGCTGAATGAATGAATGAATGAATGAATCAAAAGGAATAAATATGAGTACACGCATAGTAAACCCAGCTTCTGAAAGGTGTTTTGATGAAAAAGTAAAGCAACATTTCTCAGAGTGCTTTGGAAGTCTCTCCTAGATTTAGGCCACTTTTCCTCTGTGTTTTTGGTGTCTAGGACAATTAATTTTGTTCAGTCCATTGCACCCTGCCTTGAATTCAGATGCCTGGGTGATTTTTCTAAAACTTTGGCTGTTTATCTTGTGAGGCTGGTTCTTCCATTAATATACCCCATCTGTTCTGCTCTCCAAATAATGTCTTCGTGAGAATTCTTAAAGTTGGCCTCTAGAATCCTTAGTTTTCAGATGATTTTTCCATTTACAATAATGACCATTCTGTCTAATTTTTATTCTTAATATTTTCTGATGGACTTTCCAAATGCATCCATGCTTTTGATTTTCAAAGAGAGCAAATGGGAAATCGACTAATAAAAATCTGTAATGTAACGGTTTTAATAAGTCAATCTGTCCTTTGCTGTCATAGAACCAAGCTTCCATTTCACTGTTCAAGAACTCATCAGATGAAATGACCTCCTTGTCAAGAAAAATTACTCCATATGGTAATGTAATCACAAAGGAGAAACATTATTTCCCTATATATTATTCCCCGCAGAAATTGCAGTAAGAAAGCCATCATATTAAAAATATCTAGGATGCTGAGGTTCCTGTTTGCCAGCCTGATGGAGTTCATTTTCTTTATAGGAGAGGCAAACTCAGTTCTCATTGGCAGCATTTTATTTTAAAGGTTCATTAGGCAATTGTACATTACACTGGAACACCTGTGGAAGTGCAGATTATATCTACATGAATATAAATGCATTTGTTATGACTCACGCTATTACAGTCAATAACAGATGTCTTTTTAAGAACAGGCACTTAAAAAGAAGTGTGTATCGATGCATCCACCTATCTTCCTTAAGATGCTAGTGGCAGCACTGTGTGTTTTTTTAATTTAGAAAGTTAGTATAAGGAGAGATTAAAGCATCTCTCCTCTATTAAGCATCACCTTCCCTAAAAAGTGCAGTGCTAGTCAGAAAAATGTATATGTTTAAATAGCATCTTACTTAATGAATCCTTTTCATGAACCACATTTACTGCACAAGGAAATATTTTTCTTCATCTTAGTAGGGCCATAGAGACAATTCATCCAAGGTTGAGTTGAGCTGGGAACCCTCCTGTCTTATGAATTATTCAGCAATTTCCCTCTGTTGAATACAGGTTGGTTCCCCATTGTTGGTGAGGATCAGAGAGGAGGTAGAGAGATCCTTACCTGTGCAGGAAGAGAGCTTAGTCTACAGGGAATTCATTCTTTGTTCTTGTTTTTTCAACTGAGTTCTTTTGTTCTAGATATTATCCGTCTGATGCCACTGGTGAGGTATCACAGGTACATTGGAAAGAACATGAAACTTGAAATAAAACTCAGTTCTGTGACTTCAGTGGTTTTTCTTGTGACATAATTTAAATCCCCTATGACTCAGTTTCTCATATGTAAAATGAGGATAATTTTACTTATTGCATAGGATTGTTTTGAGCTTTCAGTGGAGTAATGTAGGACTTCTGGTTCTGCTGAAATAGCTTAGATAGACTAAGCCTTCCTTCTGTCTGAGATCAATTGTAAAATCAGATAAGATATGTCAAAGAGTGGGGGAAATAAAGCTCCCTGAAGACAAAGAGAAACCAAATGAACAAGAACTTGAGAGGCCAAATTTTGGAGAGAAGAAAATCTTATTCATGTCAACTCCACTTTTTCTTCTGGTTTCTCTTTGCAGGGTATTGCTGATTCACAGGAAGGAAAAATAGAAGTTGAGTAAAAACAGGCGGCCTGGAACTTATAACAATGTTGCTAACATGGGGAGACAGAGGTTAGAATTTGTTGATGCCTAGACAGTTGAGAGTTGAAGGGCCAATGTTCTAGAAAGGAGGAAACTACAGAAAAATGACCTCAGGATTCTATGTACAATTTCACCTTGATGCAATTGTCGGATTCTCTAGACTGGGCACGGTGGCTCACGCCTGTAATCCCAGCACTTTGGGAGGCCGAGGCGGGTGTATCACAAGGTCAGGAGATTGAGACCATCCTGGCTAACACGGTGAAACCCCGTCTCTATTAAAAATACAAAAAAATTAGCCAGGCCTGGCGGTGTGCGCCTGTGGTCCCAGGTGCTGGGGAGGCTGAGACAGCAGAATGGCGTGAACCTGGGAGGCGGAGGTTGCAGTGAGCCGAGATCGTGCCACTGCACTCCAGCCCGGGTGACAGAGCAAGACTCCATCTCACAAAAAAAAAAAAAAAAAAAAAAGGCAATTGTTGGATTCTTAAGTTGCATATGTGCGGCGCAAGACTCAGAAAACAAAGAAGTGTGAAGCAGTTGCTAGAAGACTAAAGAGCTAAGCAAAGATTTTGGCAGTTAGCTAGAGCCTACGTAGTTTTCATCTTCACCATGTCTGGCATTTAAGAAATTACCACACATCCTAGGAAATAGGACCTGAAAATCACAAGAAGAAAGATCTATAGTGATCCCAATATTGAAATTTTCAGACACAGACTTTAAAATAACTATGGTTCACTTATTCAAGAAAATAAAAGAAGATAAATAATTACATTAAAAAAGCAGAATATATAGGTAGATGGATATAGAGATAAATATATATATATATATAAACTATATGAAAATGCTATACCTTAAAAATAAAGGTAAGTTAATTCAACAGAGAGGTTTAAAAGTAGATTAGACACAGTAAATATGACTATTAGTAAACTGGAAGATAGGTGAGTAGAAAATATCCAGATGAAAGTGTAGAGAGAAAAAGATAAATTTTAGAAAAATCAGAATTTTTTTTTTAAAAGTGAAGTGGGAAAATGTTGAAAAGAGCTTAAGAGACAGGTAAGATGTGTTGAAGAAGTCAAACATATGTGTAGATAGAATCCCAGAAGAGAGTATGTAATTAATGGAGCAGAAGCAAAATTTGAGCTGATGTGGTGGCATGCCTATAAGCCTAGCATTTTGGGAGGCTGAGGTGGGAGGATCGCTTGAGCTCAGGAGCTCAAGACCAGCCTGGGCAACACAGGGAGACCCTGTATCTACAAAAACAAAATTGCCAAGCATGGTGGCACATGCCTGTGGTCCCAACTACTTGGGAGGCTGAGGTGGGAGGACTGCTTGAGCCTGGAAGGTTGAGGCTGCAGTGAGCCGTGATTGCACCACTATACTCCAGCCTTGGTGACAGAGTGAAATCCAGTCTCAAGAAAAAAAAAAAAAGCAAAATTTGAAGAAATTACTGACTGAAAAAATTTTTATGCTCATTGAAAGCATCAAGCCCCAAATTCAAGAAACTACAAACCTCAGGGGGAAACCCGTCCCCCAAAGCTAAAAGAAAACTTAAAAAGCAAAACAAAACCTCCATCACATACAAAAAGGAAACCTCAAGACATCAAAAATTAAAAAGGTGTTTTAGCTTGAAAGAAGCAACAATAAAACCAATAGCTAATTTCTCAACAAAATGATGAAAACCAGGTGACAATAGAATGACATCTTTAAGTCAGTGAAAGAAAATAAATGTCAACACATAATCCTTCATCCTGCAAAAAATACTTCAAAATATTAAGATAAAGATATTTTCAGAAAACAAAAACTGGACTGCACTAAAAGGAATATTTAGGTCAAAAGGAAAGGACTTCTAGATGGAAGCATGGTTATCCAGGAAGGATTAGAAAGAATATATGCAATGGTAAATGTAATTTAAATCTGTCAACTGAAACAATAATAGTAATACCGTGTAGAACTTAAAATATGCGGCAGGGTGTGATGGCACACGCCTGTAATCCCAGTACTTTGGGAGGCCGAGGCGGGCGGATCACAAGGTCAGGAGATCGAGACCATCCTGGCTAACATGGTGAAACCCCGTCTCTACTAAAAAATACCAAAAAAATTAACCAGGCGTAGTGGCAGGTGCCTGTAGTCCCAGCTACTCGGGAGGCTGAGGCAGGAGAATGGCGTGAACCCTGGAGGCAGAGCTTGCAGTGAGCCATGATCGTGCCACTGCACTCCAGCCTGGGCGACAGAGCAAGACTCCGTCTCAAAAAAAAAAAAAAAAAAAAAGAATTTAAAATTTGCATAGAATTAAAATACATATAAAAATAGCCACACAAGGCAGGAGGTCCATAAATGCCTTTAAAGTGTTAGACGGTTCTGACATTGTCCAAGAAGTGTCAATGTCCTAATTTAGGTAGATTTTTAATAAACCAAGCAAGCATGTTGTAATCTCTAGGTTAACTGCTAAGACAATAATGCAATAATATACACATGAGAATCTAATGGAAGGAGAAAAGTGAAATAATAAAAAATACTTTAGTAATTCAAAAGAAGGCAAGAAAGCATAATAAAAATTGAACAATAAACAGAAAACAGTGAAGAAGTAGTTTTCATTTCAATACATTAAGAATTACACTAAGTATAAATATACTAGTCAAATTAACAGCAAATATTTCCAGACTAGATTTTTAAAACATATAACTATATGCTGCTGACAAGAAATACACCTTAAATATAAACATATTTAAAAAGCTAAAAGTAAAATGGTAGAAAAAGATATACCACGAAAATACTAACCAACAGAAAATGGTATAGTAATATCAAGGTAGACTTTAAGATAAAAAGTATTACTGAATATGAAGAGAAAATTTCATAAGAGTAAAAGGGTCTTTTCAGTAGGAACATATAGCAAATATAAATTTGCATGTGCTTACTAATATAGCCCCAAATATATAAAGCAAAAGCAGGCATAACTAAAAGGAGAAGTAGATACATGAACAATCAGGGCTAGAGATTTTAAGATACTTCTCTCTGTAATCGATACACCAAGCAGACAAAATTCTGGCTTGGGATCTCTGATGTGGTTGTAGTCAGACAGCAGTTGGAGCTTGGCTCACCTTGAAGCCTTCTTCACTTCCATGTCTGCGGCCTGGGCTGAGATGACTCAAATGATTGGCGGTTGGAGTAGCTGGGCTCACTGGCATCTTTCTGTCTATGTTGTCTTTCTGGATGGTCTGTCTAGCATGGCAGACTCTGGGCAGTCAGACTTTATGTATAGCAGTGAAAGGCTCCTAGAACGAGTGTTCCAGAACCTGGGGGAAGCTGTATAACATTTTATGAGTCAGCTCATGCATTTTTGACAAAGGTGACATTATCCCTTAAGGGGCAAAAGTTGGTTCTTGGAGAGGTATAAAAAATTACTCTTTATATATATATATATATATATGTATATATAAACACAGATTATATATAGTACAAGTAATACATATGTGGAATTAAACTATCATGGAAGTGGTTAAATGATAAGAAAAAGGCCTAAGAAGACTGTATGGAGGTGATCACAATTTTTAAAAAGTTAAAATTATTAATTTAAAATATTAAATTATAATGCTTAATGATTAGAATTATTAAATTATAAATTAGTAATATAAATTATATTTAAACATGATTTAAATATACATTTAATATTTATATTTTAAATATTAACATATTGATATTTTAATATTACAGTGAGCTGGCCTTAGAAGTTCCATGATGTCATTTTAGCTATTGGTCAAAGCAGTCATAACCCTGCCCAGATTCAATGAGGGGAATACTAGACCTGCCTCTCAATGGGATGCGTGTCAAAGATTCTGCCGCCATATTTAAATCCACCAGAGTGAACATTCTATAGATTCCTGCAATTACAGAGCTCTGTCAAGGTACAAAGTTTTACTAAGCAGACCATGCAAAAACCATGAGAAAAGGAAATCTGGTAAGAGGCAGAGTGAACTTGAACCTGTGACAAAGCAAGAGGTCTTGTTTATGGGCTCATGTGAGAACTTTCACCTCCAGCGTATGAATGAAAGAGAGGTCAGGGAAGCTAAGAGTTCTCTTCTGGCTCTCGTTCAGCAGGGGGCCCCTGTGGAAGCATGTGATGACTGTGGATGCTTTTACAGACCCTAGAAGATGCTGTGATATGTTGTGGTTGTGACTGTGTAGTGATGATTGCTGACCTGAATGCCCTAGTCTTAAACATTAGAGGGTGGGACTTTCTCATTGCACAAACCAGAAGACTGACCTGGTCAGGGAAAGCCACTTGGCCGAAGTCACACACAGAGATGGGGGGCTGTCCTCTTGGTTTGCTAAGTTCCCACTTCAATGTTGATTCCCACCCCTCAGAGAATAATTAGAGGAATATTAGTACCTGATTTATTTCCATTGTTATTGGGCAAAGGTCCAGGGCCTAGAGGGACTCCAGTCCGGCCAGGGCCTGAATCCAGGCAGGGAAGGACATCCTGGGCTCTGCTCAGGCGGATCATGGACGTGTTTTCCCTTCTCAGCAAGAGTGGGCTGCCTCACAGTGCCCACCTCAAGGTGTGTCCGGAATTGGTGGGTTCTTGGTCTCACTGACTTCAAGAATGAAGCCGTGAACCCTCACGGTGAGTGTTACAGTTCTTAAGGGAGCGCGTCTGGAGTTTGTTCCTTCTGATGTTCGGATGTGTTCGGAGTTTCTTCCTTCTGGTGGGTTCGTGGTCTAGCTGGCTCAGGAGTGAAGCTGCCGACTTTCGCGCTGAGTGTTACAGCTCATAAAAGCAGTGTGGACCCAAAGAGTGAGCAGTAGGAAGATTTATTGCAAAGAGCGAAAGAACAAAGCTTCCACAGCATGGAAAGCGACCCGAGGTGGTTGCCACTGCTGGCTCGGGCAGCCTGCTTTTATTCTCTTATCTGGCCCCACCCACATCCTGCTGATTGGTAGAGCCGAGTGGTCTGTTTTGACAGGGCGCTGATTGGTGCGTTTACAATCCCTGAGCTAGACACAAAGGTTCTCCACCTCCCCATCAGATTAGTTAGATACAGAGTATCAACACAAAGGTTCTCCAAGGCCCCACCAGAGCAGCTAGATACAGAGTGTCCACTGGTGCACTCACAAACCCTGAGCTAGACACAGGGTGCTGATTGGTGCTGATTATAAACCTTGAGCTAGATACAGAGTGCCCATTGGTGTATTTACAATCCCTGAGCTAGACATAAAAGTTCTCCAAGGCCCCACCAGAGCAGCTAGATACAGTCTCCATTGGTGTGCTCACAAACCCTGAGCTAGACACAGGGTGCTGATTGGTGGGTTTACAAACCTTGAGCTAGATACAGAGTGCCCATTGGTGTATTTACAATCCCTGAGCTAGACATAAAGGTTCTCCAAGGCCCCACCAGACTCAGGAGCCCAGCTGGCTTCACCCAGTGGATCTCGCACGGGGGCTGCAGGTGGAGCTGCCTGGCAGTCCCGCGCCCTGCGCCTGCACTCCTCAGCCCTTGGGTGGTCGATGGGACTGGGTGCCGTGGAGCAAGGGGTGGCGCTCGTGGAGGAGGCTCGGGGGCACAGGAGCCCACGGAGGGGTTGGGAGGCTCAGGCATGGCGGGCTGCAGGTCCCGAGCCCTGCCCCACGGGAAGGCAGCTAAGGCCCAGCGAGAAATCCAGCGCAGTGCCGGTGGGCTGGCACTGCTGGGGGACCCAGTACACTCTCCGCAGCCATTGGCCCGGGTGCTAAGTCCCTCATTGCCTGGAGCCAACAGGGCCGGCCGGCTGCTCTGAGTGCAGGGCCCGCCAAGCCCACGACCACCTGGAACTCTAGCTGGCCCGCAAGCACGGCACACAGCCCTGGTTCCTGCTCGGGCCTCTCCCTCCACACCTCCCTGCAAGCTGAGGGAGTGGGCTCTGGCCTTGGCCAGCCCAGAAAGGGGCTCCCACAGCGAAGCGATGGGCTGAAGGGCTCCTCAAGTGCCGCCAAAGTGGGAGCCTACGCAGAGGAGGTGCCGAGAGCGAGCGAGGGCTGTGAGGACCGCCAGCACGCTGTCACCTCCCAAAGGGAACCTCTTTTCCTTCTTTTGATATCTGAGGATGCTCATTGATTATCTCTCCATGCACTTACAAAACTAATGCCTTTTCATTTTTGTTTCGAAAGTTATACATGTTTATTTTTGAACCTCCTCTTTTCAAAACCTAAACTGGTGTGTGGGTTGAAGGTGGGGGAGGTGGAAAGGGGGAGGTTCTTATACTTCTCAACTTAAGCTTGGTTCAGCTTCAACAGATGTTGAAAATAATGGTAGAAATTACTTGTTTGGGGCCACATTTATTTGGATTATTTTTATTTTCTATTTTTTTTTTGAGATGGAGTCTCGCTGTGTCCCCAGGCTGGAATGCAGTGATGTGATCTCCGCTCACTACAAGCTCTGCCTCCCAGATTCACGCAATTCTCCAGCCTCAGCCTCCCCAGTAGCTGGGACTACAGGCGCCCGCCACCATGCCCGGCTAATTTTTTGTATTTTTGGTAGAGACGGGGTTTCACTGTGTTAGCCAGGATGGTCTTGATCTTCTGACCTCGTGATCTGCCCGCCTCGGCCTCCCAAAGTGCTGGGATTACAGGCGTGAGCCACCGCGCCCGGCCTATTTGGATTATTAATCAGAAAGTCTTGGAAGCTTCTAGGAAACGGGCAATGGGCTGTTCTTTACTGGAATTGCCAACAGAAATGACAGTATTTCTCTCATATGTTGTGCATTGAAGTGTAAATTCAAACAACTCCCTAGAAAGCAACTTGAGCACAAA
Organism: Homo sapiens; assembly: GCF_000001405.40. NCBI lineage: Eukaryota > Metazoa > Chordata > Mammalia > Primates > Hominidae > Homo > Homo sapiens. The sequence continues at coordinate 13,984,469 of NC_000001.11, forward strand.
TAAATTCATATTTTGACCTAATAATTCTAATTTTTTTGGAATCTCTTCTAAGAAAACAATGAGAGAGATGGATGAAGATGATAACCTTGTAAAGGTGGTCATCTCAGTGTTATTTATGGGAGGCAAAAAGTGGAAGCAGTCTAACATTTCAACAGTAGGGAGTTTGTGAAATAATTGTGATTTTATGTATGTTACTATATATAAGCATATATGGACATACTAGGTAGAGACTGAGTTTGTCTTATTTATATGTTCAGTGATGAGCACAGAGCATGGCATATAAGTGTGCAATATATATTTTTTTGGTAAGAGGTTCACTGAGATTCACTTACCATATACATAATTCATGTGCCATACAATTCACCCACTTAAAGTATACAATTCAATAGTTTTTATTCTATAAGCAGATATGTGCAACTGTCACCACAATCAATTTTAGGATTTTTTTTTCAAATAGAATGAAGTTTATTGTGAATAAATATAATTTCTCTCATTTTGGGTATGGAAAAATAAACACTAAAAATAAAATTAACTATAGGATAGGAGAGATGGAGTTTAGCAGCAGCATGTATAAAATTGGCTTGCTGTATTGGCCAGGATTCTCCAGAAAAACAGAACCAATAGGATATATCTCTGTCGATCTCAATGTCTTAATGTCTCTCTATCAATTTATATATCTATCTAGGGAAATTTTTTTTTTCAGCAGAATTTTTATTCCTTTTTATAAAGCTGAATTTTTTTAAAATTATTATTATACTTTAAGTTTTAGGGTACATGTGCACAATGTGCAGGTTAGTTACATATGTATACATGTGCCATGCTGGTGCGCTGCCAACCCAAATGTCCAACAATGATAGACTGGATTAAGAAAATGTGGCACATATACACCATGGAATACTATGCAGCCATAAAAAATGATGAGTTCATGTCCTTTGTAGGGACATGGATGAAATTGGAAATCATCATTCTCAGTAAACTATCGCAAGAACAAAAAACCAAACACCGCATATTCTCACTCATAGGTGGGAATTGAACAATGAGAACACATGGACACAGGAAGGGGAACATCACACTCTGGGGACTGTTGTGGGGTGGGGGGAGGGGGGAGGGATAGCATTGGGAGATATACCTAATGCTAGATGACGAATTTTAGGATATTTTTATCATCCCTCCAAAAAAAAAACCCTGTACCTGTTAACAGTCACTGCCCATTTTCCTTCAACTGTCAAACCCTAGGCAGCCACAAATCTACCTTTCATTTCTATTGATTTGTGTATTCTGGACATTTTCTATAAATGGAATTATACAGTGTGTGGTCCTTTGTGACTAGCATCTTTCACTTAGCATAATGCTTTCAAGGTTTACCTGTATTGTAGCATGAATAAGTACTTTATTCCTTTTAATTTCCAGATAATATTCCATTATACAGTATACCATATGTTGTTTATCCATCCATCAGTTGATACATATTTGAGTTGTTTCTACTTTTGGCTATTACGAATAGTGCTATAACAAGTTTTTGTGTGGGCATAAGTTTTCATTTCTCTTGAAATACATATTTAGCAGTGAAGTTCCTGGGTCATATGGTAACTCTGTTTAAAACTTTCAGAAACTATCAAACTGTTTTCCAAAGTGACTTTATCATTTTACATTTCCAACAGCAGTGTATGAGAGTTCCAATTTTTCCATATCCTTGCCAAAACATAAATATTTGCTGAATAAATGAAAGGATGTCAAAATTTGATCACGACATAAGATGATAAAACTGTAAATATGATTGTATTTTTTCTTTTACAAATTTGCATTAGGAACAAATCTTGTAGGAAATTTAATATGTTGTTTATTTTTGGTTTGATGAGATTGGGGTAATTAAAATGTTTGTTATAATTTTCACATTCCTTAACTTGCTGCAGTGAACAAGTGTTGCTTATATAATAAGAAAAAATATTTACAAAATGTTGTTCTGTAAAAGTTTACATCAGAGAGAAGGAAAAATTATCTCCAAATTAATTTTTATAGGTCCTAGTTAGAGTTAGAGACCTTTCTTGCATTGAGACTTGGAAATGGATAAAATACATTAATTTGACTTTGCCTATTTTTGGCTAAATGTAAAGATTAAATGACTTGGTTGGGGGTATACATCAGTAAGAGTTCTTGGTTGCAAACAATAGAAACCAACTCCAGTTAACTTAAAAGGAAAAGGAATGTATTGGAAGGATATTGATTGGTTTGCAGAAGGCTAGAGATCCAGGCTTTCAAAAATGAGCAGAAGCCAAGGAAGGATGGGTAGAGCCAGTATCTCTATAGAGGAAGGAGAAACCAGCCACCGGGGCCCTCGTGTCTAGACAGCAGTGCCAGGACATTGGGGTTGTCCTCATTTAGACTCATGCTGCTCTGTCCTGGACCTGAAGATCTGCTACAGCCTTGTGAGTTCATGTCCTTCTGGTTCCTTCCTCAACCTTGAGAGCATTCAGTTGCCTGAGTGTAGGTTACATACCTATCCACAACTGCTAGAAGCCAGGAGATAAATTCTTCCCCCTAATGCTGTGGAAGAAAGAAAGTGTCTTCCATTGTAAGGTATGCCCCTGCCTTTTACCTGTTGTGGGATTTATCTGACAGAAGGGTTCCTGGGTGCTCAGCAGGCAGAATTTTATGACAGGAGAGACTTTTTTGTTGTTGTTTTTTGGTTAATTTTTTTTTTAACTTTAAGTTCTGGGATACATGCACAGAACGTGCAGGTTTGTTACATAGGTATACATGTGCCATGGTGGTTTGCTGCACCTATCAACCTGTCATCTAGGTTTTAAGCCCCGCATGCATCAGGTATTTGTCCTAATGCTCTCCCTCCTCTTGCCCCCCTACCCCTCAACAGAACCCAGTGTGTGATGTTCCCCTCCCTGTGTCCATGTATTCTTATTGTTCAACTCCTACTTATGAGTGACAACATGTGGTGTTTGGTTTTCTGTTCTGCAGGAGGGACTTTTGTACCTTGTAATCTAGATTGCAATGTCATAGTCATAAGCTTAGTCAATTTCATGCTGCTATAACATAATACCACAGACTGGGTAATTTATAGTGAACAAATTTTTTTCTACAGTTCTGGGGACTGGGAAGTCCAAGATCAAGGTGTTGGCATCTGGGGAGGGCCTGCTTATTGTGTCATCATATGGCACAAGACATCACATTGTGGAAGGGCAAAGAGAGGGAGAGAAAGAGAGAGAGAGAGGAACTCATCCTTTAATAATGAACCCACTACTGTGATAACAGCTCTTAAAAATCCCATTTCTTAATAGTGTTACAATGTCAATTAAATTTCAACATGAATTTTGGAAGCATCTTAGTCTATTTTGTGTTGCTATAACAATACCTGAGCCTGGGTAATTTACAAAGAACAGAGATTAATTTTTTTACAGTACTGGAGGCCAGTCAGTTCAAAATTGAGGGGTTGGCATCTGTTGAGAACCTTTGTGCTGTGTCATCCCATGGTAGAAGGCAGAAGGGCAAGAAAGGATGAGAAGGAAAAACAGAAAACTCACAATTTCAAGCACTTTTATAATTGACATTGATCCATACAGGAAGGTGGAAACCTCCTGATCTAAACACCTTCTATTGTACTTCACCTTCAAACACTGTTGCACTGGGGATTAGGTGTCCAAAACATGCTTTTGGGGGGACACAGGCAAACCATAACAGAAGGAGACAAATATTGAAGTCATAGCACAAGCATTTGGAGAATAAAATAAATTATTATTTCTTGAATAGGTGAGAAAGACCAGACTACCAAATCATTCATATTTAAGCAGTAAATAGTAGAAATAAAAATGCCTATTTCTGCTATATAGTCGGGGTAAATAATGTTAGCTGCTGTAACACACAACTGGAAAGTCTTGGTGGTTTAACACTGTAAAATTTTATATCTTGTCCAAGTTATTGTCCAAATAGGTATTCAACAGGCAATTTTCCAAGAGACCTAGTAGGGTTCTTTTACTTATGATTTCATCCATCTCAAGGCAATTTTTCTAGGACCTCCCTTGTCTGGCAGTTAACAAGAAAAGACAGCGCATGGGGTGTCATCTAGGAGATTTCAGGGCTCAAGTCCAAAAGTGGTGAACATTATTTCTCCCTACATTCTACCAGCTAGAACTCAACCATAGGGTCTCATTTAATCACAAGAGAGACTGGGAAATACAGTCCAGCTATGTGAGTAGGAAGACATGGGAATGGGCTTGGTGAGCATGTAACAAGTCTCTAACAAAATCCTTTGTTAATAAAGAAAAACAAAAGTAGCTATTGTCAAAATTCACTACAGCAATTCTTAATATGTTTTGGGGTCACTAATCCCTTTGAGAATGTGTTAAACTCTTTACCCTAAAAAATACACTTGTGAAAACATTTTGCAGACAATCTCAGGAATTCAGGCTACTCCTGATCTGAGGATCCCTTGGCATCTTACTTCATTTTGTGCTGCTATACAGAAAACCTGGGACTGGGTAATTTACAAAAAACAGAAATCTATTGGCTTACAGTTACAGAGGCTAAGAAGTCCAAGATCAAGGGTCTGGCATTTGATGAGGGCCTTCTTGTTGTATTATCACATAGTGAAAGGTAAGAGGGCAAGAGAGAGAAAAGGGGACTGAACTCACCCTTTTGTAACAAACTCGCTTCTGTGATAACAACATTAATCCATTCATGAAGGTTGGAGCCCTCATGGTCTTCAGCTCTCATTAGGCCTCACCTCCCAATACTATTGCATGGGGATATTATGTTTCCAATGTAGGCTTTTGGGGGGACACATTTAAATCATAAAACTTTGGGTATATGGCAAGCAGAGATCAAGTTGGCACCTACTATATAAAAAGCACATTTCTGGGTACTGTGGGGTTACACGGATGAACTAGACAAAGCCCTAAACCTGGAGGGCTTTACAACCTTCAGGCGGGAATCAGAGAAACAAGCATCACATGAGACCAAAGTATAATAAATGCTGTGCTACAGATACAAAGTGGTGACCAAGTAGAGACCTCAGGCATCTGCCTACATAGACATAGGCCAATGCAGAAGTTAATTTTTCAGGGTTGGGTTATAAAGTCAAAATGGAGCAAAGCATTCATTCATTCATTTATATATGCATTTGTTCAGTTTTTACTCTATGTAGTATTCTAGGTGGTGGGGATAAATCAGTGAATGGGAAAGGCAAGATTCTGTACTAGCGGGAGCTTACATTCTATTTGGGAAGGCAGAGAGGGAGATACTAGTAAAGAAATAAAATGGCCATCCAGTGACCACAGGCCCTTGGTACACCTCATCAAGCTCATCTTTGATCCCGTGGAGAAGGATTGAAAAGAATTGCTGCCTGCTCAGAGGCCAGTACAGTTGACTCAGACTTTGTGGTCATCTTGTCTTCCATCCTTGAAGAAGACCTGGCAACACTGAGCTAGATGCCATGGCCCTAGGTAGGGCATATCAAGCCAGATCAAAAAGCTGGCATCATCTGAGACTTTTCCCTTGCAGGAAAAACTACCCAAGTGAGAAAGTACAGAGAATGTGTTACAGATATGGCATTGCCAATAGGGAGACTGAAACAGAAAAGAACTTTTCTGAACTCTTGACAATCAAAAACAAACTTTACTTTAGAAAGATCCCTGGAAGTTTGGTATAAAACCAAGCACACATCTAGTTTTTGAACCAGAAATTCACTTCCTAGGTATCTACCCAAGAGAAATGAAAACACACATCTATAAACAGACTTGTACAAGAATGTTCATAGCAGCCTTATTCACAATAGCCACAAACTAGAAAGAGCCCAGGAGTCCATCAAGAAAAGAATGAATAAACAAGGTGTGATATATTTATACGAAGGAAGACCATTCAGTAATAAAAGAAGTGTATTCCTGATGCAGGCACCAATATGGATGAATATCATAAACATTATGATGAGTGAAAAAAGCCAGATGTAAAGGAGAATATACTGTATAACTTTCCATTTATGAAATTCTGGACTAGTAAAGCTAATCTGTAGGTAGAAAAAAATCAACACACTAGCTGACCATGGTGAGTAGGGGAAAAGATTGGCTGAGAGGGGACACGCGGGAGCTTTCTCATTGACAGTAGTCTCTATATTTTGATAGAGGTTTGGGTTACATAGGTGCACACATTTGTTAAAACTCATAGGATGATACACTTAAGAGTTTTTGTATTTCATTTTATGCACATTTTACCTCAAAAGAAAAAAATCTGAACTTAATCATAAGTACACTGTGGCGTTTGGAGTGAAATGTACTGATGTTTGCAGCTTTGAAACGCATGACTAAATGAAATGAATGGACAAACGAATATACCTGCGATAAAGCAAGTGCAATAAATGTTAATTGTAGAATGAAGGAGGTGGGTCTATGAATAAGTGATTACTGTAAATCCTTTCAACTTTTTGTTTGAGTATTTTCATAATAAGATATTAAGAAAATAAGCATTGCTGCCTAATAAACTATCCAAAAGTTTGGTGACTTATAACAACTATTATTTTTCCGAGCTCTGTGGTTTGGCACATGTAGATATGGGTTTTGATAGCAATAAAGAAGCAAAGACAGGAAAGAATAGCTAGCAGGTATATTTAACGCATCCCGTGAAATCAGTGGTATGCTGGTAAATGTTTAACAGCCAGCTCTTGGTGGGAGGAGTGAAGGGCAGCGAGGCTTCTGTTGTGTAGCATTTGCTGGCTTCCATGGTGTAAATACCTGCACTGTGACTGATTTCAAGCTACCAACATGCCCTTACTGAACAGCGAGTTGGAAAATGTAGTGTTTCAAATATCACATACCAGGGCCTGTTGGGGTGTGGAGGGCTAGGGGAGGGATAGCATTAAGAGAAATACCTAATGTGGTTGATGGATGCAGCAAACCACCATGGCATGTATATACCTATGTAACAAACCTGCACGTTCTGCACATGTATCCCGGAACTTAAAGTATGATAATAAAAAAAGGGGAAAAAAAGAAAATGTAGTGTTTCTACCATACAGATAAAATAAATGTAAATACCTCAAGGACAAAGATAATAGTAAAATTCAGTAAAATAATTAGGGAGTGATGCATTTTGAGTATTTATTGCCTCTGTTTTTAATATCCTAATTCATTTCATTGGAAGTTTATGTAATTTAATTTATAAAAACCATTATGTTTAACTACTGGCTCACAAAATTCTGGAACAAGTAATAATTGTAAGCTGGCTTACACTGGTCTGGTGGGATAATTTCAATGACCATTAGGTAGAGCATTTTCACTCTTCTGCACCCCTGCCCTCCTTTCCTTCAACAAATATCGTGGTTGACATGATGCTTCCCAACTTGCTTCTCTCTCCAGGCTCATTTTCCGAGTGCACTCTAAGCCCCAGCCACCTTGAACTATAGATACAGACGCAGTGTACCTCATTCCCAACCCTCCGTGCCTTACACAGTCTGTCTCCGTCTTTATCGTCTTCCTGGATGCCTTTTTCTCCATCATAGTCCTCACTCTCTACTACCCCACCACCACTACCTACCACTACCAACCAGATAACTTGCAGTTCCCCCAGCTAACTTCTATTCATCCTTACCTCTGCATTTAGCACCTACAACAACTCCCAAATGGTCCCAGACTGGATAAGTGTTCATCTTATTTGTTTTAAGAAAAATCCCACTTTCTACACTTCATGAAAAATATTTTTGTCTCCCTGCTAGACTGTAGGCACCCCAAATACATGGGCTGTGTCTGTTAGAGCTGCTTCCAGGACAGCACGTCACTTTATGTAGTAGAAGATCCATAAATGTTGCTGAATTTATGAATCTTTATTTTTTTTTCTTGCTCACCAAAATTATTGTGTGAATGGCTTCCCAAGTCATCTCTTCCATTCCTATTTACACAGACTGAAGTTGGGAACCTCCAGATTCTTCTCTCTTTACTCTCCTCTTTTGCTGTCACTTCTTAGTCTCTGAAAAGAAATTCTCTCCCCTTAAGTAGTGAGTCATGGAGGAGGGGAGAGAGAATTTCCTGCAAATGGTGGCTCGAAGGAGTACCTTCTACTGGAAGGTTAAAGCTGACTACTGTTAGCCAAACCAGCTTGACTTAAGATAATGGCCCTGAGATTAAAGGCTTGCAGGTTCCAGAATTCTGCCTCTTTATTAGAGGCAAATTGTACATGAAAGTAAAAGGAAAGCCTCCAGGAGGCACTCTCAGCTCTCTGGGAAGGTAAAGAGCAGGGGAACGGGGGATTGACGAGCATCTTCTTTACTGATGCTGCCTTCTCATTGGGGGTGGACAATGTGGTCATCCGAGGGCTGCTTCTGAACATATTAGAGGAGAAAAACCAGCTCATCTCCCCTGTGCTTTTTTATAAGTTCAGAATTGGCCAAATGTGGTTCCCCAGTTGGCTTTCAAAGGTAAAACAAGAACAATTTTTATTTATTTTTCTTTTTAAGTTTGGATCTGGAAATTCCACTGTTTTCTCTCTCATCATCTCCCAAGACTGAAAACACAGCATGATAGAGTCTATGACTGGTGGACCAAATATTTCATTTCCCTTCTTGCTGTGCCCCTTTGCTCCAGTGATGTCAGGCTTGACCATGTGATTTCCTTTAGCTAAGGCCATGTGAATAGAAGTAGTGTGTGTCGTATCAAAGTCAATGCACAGTTTGCCATCTCCTCTTTTCCCTCTCCCATGGGCAGGAAATAATCCCAGAAAGAGGTTGCTTCATCAGCCTGGGTCTCACAGTGAAGGTAGCACTGCAGGGGGTTGGAGGGAGTTGCAACTGACCTGGGTTACACATGTGGCATAAATGAGAAAGAAAAATATTAATGACTGTAAGTCCTAGGCTGATTGATACATATACAGTCAGTTAAAGGAGTTTACCAGGTTTTAGTAAGAATGGAAGGGAAAGAGCATAACTTAAAAAAAAGGCTTTAGTTGACATTAAATTGTTTGATATTTATTTTTAAAAGAAGTGAATTGTTCTATAATAAATAAACAATTTCAACTGTATAGAATTTTATCTGGCATTGTCTTTCCTATTTCAACAGGTAGATTGAATGGTAGTTGGTTTAGTCATTTGTTGAACTGATATGTATCAAGTACTGATTAGCATCTAAAAACTACATTAGGTCTTGAGATATAGTGGCAGTCAAAACAGAGAAGATCCCAGCCTTCGTGGAGCTTTCCCTCTTGTTGGGCTAGGTGAATTCAAAACAAAATGAAATATCAAATAGTAAACATGATAATTTCAGGAAGTTACTAGGTTACAAGAACAATTAGATGGGGTAAAGTGATGGAGAGTGACTGTGAGGGTCAGGGGTGGGCATGGGGCCACCTCAGAGTAGTTTGACTTCTCAAGCTTTACAATACTGAGAAATTGAACTGATATGTACAAATGACTTTTTAAAAATGGAGTCATAGTTTTATGTCAATCCCTTTAATAAGAACATTGGGTGAATTTAAAATTGGGAGCCATTTTGTTTTACAAATGAGTCTTTTTGTGGTGCAAACATTTAACTTCAAATCCATCTGGAATGAAGTCTGAATTTTTATCCAAAAAGGACCTCGTTCCACTGTTGAAGAGAACTCTTCTTGGAGAACATCTTAAGGAATTTGGTTTCTAAAGTAGCCAGGGAACTCCATGACAGGGCAGTTAACTTTAATTTGGTTCCAGAATATTATAAACCCATGTGTGCTGTGAAGCTCTGACCCAGGGCATGGCATTTTTTGTCCCTTCTGGACAAAGCCCACCATCTGCTTCCAAAGAGCTTACGATGAGCTCAGAGAGCCAAGGATTGTAGGCACAAAAGCATACCAACTGGCTTTTATGTTTTCAAACTCAGCAGAGCCAATGGGACCAGAAAAGTAGAGAATTGTTCACATTCATCAAAAGTTGACTCATGTCTTTTGCACCAATTCTGTTCTCCAGTTAAAATCATAAAGAGTCAAAGGCAAAAGAAATGAAGCTCATCATTTTACAGTTGTGGGAACTGAGACCAAGTTAGATTAAAATGAGTTGCTGAAGTTTGTGTGTTTGACAAATATTTATTGAGCCCCAACATGCTTGGAGCTGGGCACTGTGCTGGAGCCTGGAATTTCAATGGGGAACAAAACAGTCTTTGTTCCTAGGAAGTTTATAGTCTGGTGAGTTGAGTGGAAATTGGAGTATAAATGTAACCAGACGGTTCTATGAGAATTTATCCCTAAACAGCCTGACCTATTTGGTGGGGCAGTGTCCAGGGAAGGTTTCCTTGAGGAAGTTACCCTCAAGCAGGTGTCTGAAGGATAAGTAAGGTTTAACAAGGAAAAGGGCCTGTGAAGAGGATGCTGTAAGATCCTTCCAAGGCTGGAGATGGAAAGCATGCACAAAGGAATTCTGGTGGATGGGAATGCAGCATGCTAAACAAACAAACAAACAAACAAACAAACCTTGAAAGTAATTGAGGTTGGAGAGTAGAAAGCAAGGAGCACCAAGTTTCTGGGTGGGGGGATTGGGGCTCTAGAGAGACTCATGGGCATAATGAAAACTTCTAAGGAGGAAGTGACATGATTAAATTTCCTCTTTGAAAAGAACATGCTGACTCAGAGTAGGAGAATATTCCGTTAATCCAACAAAGATCTACAAAAAGCTTACAGCAAATGTCATACTTAATGGTGAAATATTAAAAGACTTTGCCTTTGGGACCTGGAATAAAACAAGGATTTCTCTTATCATTACTTCTTGGAAGTCTTAGACAGTGCAATAAGGCAAAAAAAAAAAAAAAATCCTAATGATTGGGAAAAAAGATGGGTTACTATTTGCAGATGACCATGATTGTGTATGGAGAAAATCTAAAATAATCTATACACAAATTATTATCTCTCATGCATAAACTTGGCAAGGTTAATGGATACAGAGCAAGATGCAAAAATAAACTGTTTTATATGCTAGCAGCAATAAACAGAAAGTGAAATTTTAATAAAGATATGTTTACAATAGCATAAAAACCTGACTACTTGGGAACAGATCTAACAAGAGTTTTTTTCTGAAAACTGAAACAATATTGGAAGAAATTGAAGAAGAAAATAAACAGAAACATCTTGTTTGTAGATCAGAAAACCTAATATTGTGAAAAATTTCATTTTTTCCTAAATTGATTTACAGATTTGACACGATCCCAATCAAACCCCATACCTTTTTAGGTGTAGAAATTTCACAGTTGGGAGACTGGCCTAGCCTCTCAGCCTACATCTTTCTCCCGTGTTGGATGCTTCTTGCTCTTGAACATCAGACTTCAGGTTCTTCAGTTTTGGGACTCAGACTGACACTCCTTGCTCCTCAGCCTGCAGACAGCCTATTGTGGGACCTTGTGATCATGTCTCAAGCATTTTTCCAGATTTTTTTTCTGCTAAGCTCACCATTGTTTTGGCTTTGAAGCTCAACATGATAGAGGCGGTGCCAAGATGGCAGACCAGAAACAGCAGCGATCAGAGGCTCCCATGGAAAAGAACCATAATAAGTGAAAAGAACCATAATAAGCATGTGAATCCTTTACCACTAACCAAGGTATCCAGGTTCCGTCATCACAACGGACTAGGAGGCTGGCCTGATCCACGGAGAGGAAGGAAGAGCGTGGCAGCCCACCTGAGAGCCACACGGGGCAGGGGAACCCTCAACCCCCAGCCAAGGGAGGCAGTGAGTGAGCGTGCTACCCAGCTGGGGAAACTGTGCTTTTTCCACAGAACTGTACAACTCACAGATCGGAAGATCCCACTCACAAACGTGTGCCACTGGGGCCTAGAGTCCCAACCCCCGAGCCGCGCAGATTCTCAACAGCCTCTCAGCTGGAATCCCCTTAAGCCTATGGAGCTCCCGGGGAGGGAGGGGCAACCAGCACCATAACTGAGGCTGCCTGCTGTCTAAGCCATTTGAGCTCCTCGAGGGAGGAGCAGCAGCCAGCACTAGGACCCACAACAGCCTAACACACTAAGCTCCCTGGGTGGGGGAAGGGCAGCATTCATCTCTATAGCTCCAGGCTGTGCTTTTTCCCTGCTGAAGTCAGGGGAGGGAGGGAGGCTGGATGGCTTGGTCCCAAGATGTGTCTCCCACAGCCCAACACACCGGCTGTGGCAGACTGCAGCCAGAGTGCCTCTTCAGGCCTGACTCTGACTCATCTTTCCTCACTGGGTGGGGCTTCCTTGTAGGAACTCCAATAACTCCAGCCAAAGGCTCAGGGATAGAACTCAGGTCTCCCTGGGCCTAAGCCCCTAGAGGGAGGGGTGGCCACAGTCTCTGCAGACCAGCAGACTTAGCCTTTCCTCCTGATAGTTCTGAGGAATCTGGGCAGCCCGGATGAGTGGGTTTCCCCCCAAGCGAAGCACACCCCCCTCCGCAAAGGGACAGTCAAAGTACTTTGTTAAACAGGTCCTGTTCCCTCTGCCACCCAACTGGACGAGACCCTCCAACAGGGGTTGTAAGATACCCTGTACAGGAACAATCCTGCTGGCATCAGGTTGGTGCCCCTCGAGGTCAGAGATCCCAGAAAAAGGAGCAGGCACCTGCCTTTGCTGTTCTCCAGCCTCCTCAAGTAATATCTCTGGGCTTGGGAGCAAACCAGATGAATAGTGCCTGAAGTGAACCCCTAGCAAATTGCAGCAGCCCTACAGAAGAGGGACTTGACCATTGAAAGAAAAACAAACAAACAGCAAAAACAACACCATCATCAACAACAACAACAACAACAACCCCCACAAAAACCCCATCCAAGTGTCAGCAGCCTCAAAGATCAAAACTAGACAAACTCACGAAGATGAGAAAGAATCAATGAAAAAATGCTGAAAACCCAAAAGGACAGAGTGCCTCCTTTCCTCCAAATGATTGCAACATCTCTCCAGCAAGGGTGCAGAATGGGACAGAGCATGAGATGGATGACAGAAACGGACTTCAGAAGATGGGTAATAAAAAACTATGCTGAGCTACGGGGGCATATTCTAACCTGATGCAAAGAAGCCAAGAACCTGATAAAAGGTTAGAGGAGCTGCTAACTAGAATAACCAGTTTTGAAAGGAGCATAAATGACCTAATGGAGCTGAAAAACACAGCATGAGAACTTTGTGAAGGATACACAAGTATCAACAGCTGAATCGACCAAGCAGAAGAAAGGATATCAGAGTTTGATGACCACATTATTGAAATAAGGCATGCAGACAAGACTAGAGAAAAAAGAATGAAAAGGAATTAACAAAGCCTCCAAGAAATATGGGACTTCATAAAAAGACCAAACCTGTGATTGATTGGAGTACTTGAAGGAGACGGAGAGAATAGAAACAAGCTAGAAAACATATTTCAGGATATTATCCAGGAGCACTTCCCCAACCCAGCAAGACAGGCCAACATGCAAATTCAGAAAATACAGAGAACACCACTAAGATACACCACAAGAAGATCAGCCCCAAGACACATAATCATCAGATTCTCCAAGGTCGAAATGAAGGAAAAAATGAAAAATGTTAAGGGCAGCCAGAGAGAAAGGCCAGGTCACCGACAAAGGGAAGCTCATTAGACTAACAGCAGACCTTTCAGGAGAAACTCTGCAAGTCAGAAGAGATTGGGGGCCAATATTCAACATTCGTAAAAGAATTTTCAACCCAGAATTTCATATCCAGCCAAACTAAGCTTCATAAGCAAAGGAGAAATAAAATCCTTTCCAGAGAAAAAGATGCTGAGGGATTTCGTTACCACCAGGCCTGCCATTGCAAGAGCTCCTGAAGGAAGCTCTAAACATGGAAAGGAAAAACTGGTACCAACCACTGCAAAAACACACCAAAATATAAAGACCAACGACACTATGAAAAAACTGCATCAACTAATGTGCAAAATAACCAGCTAGCATTATGATGACAGGATCAAATTCACACATAACAATACTAACCTTTAATGTAAATGGGCTAAATGCCCCATTTGAAAGACACAGACTGGCAAATTGGATAAAGAGTCAAGATCCATTGGTGTGCTGTATTCAGGAGACTCAACTCATGTGCAAAGACACACATAGGCTCAGAATAAAGGGATGGAGGAATATTTACCAAGCAAATGGAAAGCAAAAAACAGCAGGGGTTGCAATCCTAGTCTCTGACAAAACAGACTTTAAACCAAGAAAGATAAAAAAAAAAAAGAAGGGTAATGGTAAAGGGAACAATGCAACAAGAAGAGCTAACTATTCTAAATATATATGCACCCAATACAGAAGCACCCAGATTCATAAAACAAGTTCTTAGGAACCCAAAAAAGACTTAGGCTCCCACACAATAATACTGGGAAACTTTAACACCCCACTGTCAATATTAGACAGAATAATGAGACAGAAAATTAACAAGGATATTCGGGACTTGAATTCTGCTCTGGATCAAGCAGACCTTGTAGATGTCTGCAGAACTCTCCACCACAAATCAACCGAATATACATTCTTCTCAGTGCCACATGGCACTTATTCTAAAATTGACCACATAATTGAAAGTAAAACACTCCTCAGCAAATGCAAAAGAACTGAAATCATAACAAATAGTGTCTTAGACCACAGTGCAATCAAATTAGAATTTAGGACTAAGAAACTCACTTGGCCAGGCACAGTGGCTCATGCCTGTAATCCCAGAACTTTGGGAGGCCGAGGCAGGTGGATCTTCAGGTCAGGAGTTTGAGACCAGCCTGGCCAACATAGTGAAACTCCATCTCTGCTAAAAATAGAAAAAATTAGCTGGGTGTGGTGGTGTGCACCTGTAATCTCAGCACTCAGGAGGCTGAGACAGTAGAATCGCATGAATCCAGGAGGTGGAGGTTGCAGTGAGCCAAGATCACGCCATTGCGCTCCAGCCTGGGTGACGGTGCAAGACTCCATCTAAAAAACAAAAAACAAAAAACAAAAAACAAAAAAACAAACAAAAAAAACCACAACTCACTCAAAACCACACAATTTCATGGAAATTGAACAACTTGCTCCTGAATGACTCCTGGGTAAATAATGAAATTAAGGCAGAAATCAAGAAGTTATTTGAAATCAGTGAGAACAAAGAGACAACCTACCAGAATCTCTGGGACACAGCTAAAGCAGTGTTAAGAGGGAAATTTATAGCACTATATGCCCACATCAGAAAGCTAGAAAGATCTCAAATCAACCCTAACATCACAATTTAAAGAGCTAGAGTGAAAGGAAAACTAATCCAAAAGCTAGCAGAAGACAAGAAATAACTAAAATCAGAGCAGAATTGAAGGAGATAGAGACATGAAGAACCCTCCAAAGTATCAATGAATCCAGGAGCTGGTTTTTTGAAAAAATTAACAAAATAAACCACTAGCTAGACTAATAAAGAAGAAAGAGAAGAATCAAATAGACACAATAAAAAATGATTAAAGGGGATATCACCACTGACCCCACAGAAATACAAACTAGCATCAGAGAATACTATAAAAACTTCTATGTAAATAAACTAGAAAATCTAAAAGAAATAGATAAATTCCTGGACACATACACCTTCCCAAGACTAAACCAGGAAGAGGTTGAATCCTTGAATAGACCAATAACAAGTTCTAAAATTGAGGCAATAATTAATAGCCTACAAACAACAAAAAAAGTCCAGGACCAGACGGATTCACAGCTGAATTCTACCAGAGGTACAAAGAGGAGCTTGTGCCATTCCTTCTGAAACTATTCCAAAGAATTGAAAAGCAGAGACTCCTCCTGAACTGATTTTATGACACCAGCATCATCCTGATACCAAAACCGGGAAGAGGCAACAAAAAAAGAAAACTTCAGGCCAATATCCCTGATGAACATCGATGCAAAAATCCTCAATAAAATACTGGCAAACCAAATCTAGCAGCACATCAAAAACTTATCCACTATGATCAAGTTGGCTCTATCCCTGGGATGGAAGGCTGGTTCAACATACACAAATCAATAAATGTAATCCATCACATAAACGGAAGCGAAGACAAAAACTACATGATTATTTCAATAGAGGCAGGCAGAAAAGGCCTTTGACAATATTCAACATCCCTTCATGTTAAAAACTCTCAATAAACTAGGCATTGATGGAACATATCTCAAAATAATAAGAGCTATTTATGACAAACCCACAATGAATACCATACTGAATGGGCAAAAGCTGGAAGCATCCCCACTGAAAACCAACACAAGACCAAAGATGCCCTCTCTCACCACTCCTATTCAACATAGTATTGGAAGTTCTGGCTGGGCAATCAAGCAAGAGAAAGAAATAAAGGTATTCAGATAGGAAGAGAGGAAGTCAAATTGTCTCTGTTTGCAGATGACATGATTTTTTTTGTTTGTTTTTGAGACGGAGTCTCGCTCTGTCGCCCAGGCTGGAGTGCAGTGGCGGGATCTCGGCTCACTGCAAGCTCCGCCTCCCGGGTTCACGCCATTCTCCTGCCTCAGCCTCCCAAGTAGCTGGGACTACAGGCGCCCGCCACTACGCCCGGCTAATTTTTTGTATTTTTAGTAGAGACGGGGTTTCACCGTTTTAGCCGGGATGGTCTCGATCTCCTGACCTCGTGATCCGCCCGCCTCAGCCTCCCAAAGTGCTGGGATTACAGGCGTGAGCCACCACGCCCGGCCGACATGATTTTATATTTAGAAAACCCCATCATCTCAGCCCCAAAACTCCTCAAACTGATAAGCAACTTCAGCAAAGTCTCAGCATACAAAATTAATGTGCAAAAATCACAAGCATTCCTTTACACCAATAGACAAGCAGAAAGTCAACTCATGAATGAACTCCCATTGACAGTCATTACAAAGACAATAAAATACCTAGGAATGCAGCTAACAAGGGATATGAAGGACTTCTTCAAGGAGAACTACAAACCACTGTTCAAGCAAATAAGAAAGGACACAAACAAATAAAAAAACATTTCATCCTCATGGATAGGAAGAATAAATATCATGAAAATGGCCATACTGCCCAAAGGAATTTTTAAATTCAATGTTATTCCTATCAAACTACCATTGACATTCTTCACAAAATTAGAAAAAACTACTTTAAATTTCATATGGAATCAAAGAAGACCCCATATAGCCAAGACAATCCTAGGCAAAAAGAACAAAGCTTGAGGCATCACGCTACCTGACTTCAAACTATACTGCAAGGCTACAGTAACCAAAACAGCATGGCACTTGTACCAAAACAGACATATAGACCAATGGAACAGGACAGAGACCTCAGAAATAACACCATACATCTACAACCATCTGATCTTCGACAAACCTGATAAAAAGCAATGGGGAAAGGATCTCCTATTCAATAAATGGTGCTCAGAAAACTGGCTAGCCATATGCAGAAAACTGAAACTGGACCCCTTCCTTATACCTTATACAAAAATTAACTCAAGATGGATTAAAGACTTAAATGTAAAACCCCAAACCATAAAATCCCTAAAAGAAAACCTAGACAGTACCATTCAGGACACAGACATGGGCAATGACCTCATAATCAAAATGCCAAAAGCAATTGCAACAAAAGCCAAAATTGGCAAATGGGATCTAATTAAACTAAAGAACTTCTGCACAACAAAAGAAACTATTATCAGAGTGAACAGGCAACCTACAGAATGGGAAAAAATTTTTGCAATCTACCCATCTGACAAAGGTCTAATATCCAGAATATACAAGGAACTTAAAGAAATTTACAAGAAAAATCAAACAACCCAGTCAAAAAGTGGGCAAAGGACATGAACAGACCGTTCTCAAAAGAAGACATTTATGTGGCCAACAAACATATGAAAAAAAGCTCAACATCACTGATTGATATGGTTTGGCTGTGTCCCCACACAAATCTCAACTTGAGTTGTATCTCACAGAATTCCCATGTGTTGTGAAAGGGACCCAGAGGGAGGTAATTGAATCATGGGGACTGGTCTTTCCCATGCTCTTCTAGTGATAGTGAATAAGTCTCACAAGATCTGATGGGTTTATCAGGGGCTTTTGCTTCTTCCTCATTTTCTCTTGCTGCCACCACGTAAGAAGTGCCTTTTGCCTTCTGCCATGATTCTGAGGCCTCCCCAGCCATGTGGAACTGCAAGTCCAGTTAAACCTCTTTTTGTTCCCGGTTTTGGGTGCGTCTTTATCAGCCGTGTGAAAATGAACTAATACACTCATCATTTGAGAAATGCAAATCAAAACTACAATGAGATACCATCTCATGCCAGTCAGAATGGTGATTATTAAAAAGTCAAGAAATGATAGATGCTGGTGAGGCTGTGGAGAAATAGGAACGCTTTTACGCTGTTGGTGGGAATGTAAATTAGTTCAACCATTGTGGAAGACAGTATGGCAGTTCCCCCAAGGGTCTAGAACCAGAAATATCATATGACCCAGCAAACCCATTACTGAGTATATACCCAAAGGAATATAAATTATTCTACTATAAAGACACACGCACACGTATGTCTATTGCAGCACTATTACAATAGCAAATTCGTGGAACCAACCCATGTGCCCATCAATGATAGACTGAATAAAGAAAATGTGGTACATATATGCCATGGAATACTATGCAGCCATAAAAAGGAATGAGATTATGTCCTTTGCAGGGACATGGATGAAGCTGGAAGCCATCATCCTTGCAAACTAACACAGGAACAGAAAACCAAACACCGCATGTTCTTACTCATAAGTGGGAGTTGAACAATGAGAACACATGGACACAGGGTGGGGAACATCACACACCAGGGCCTGTTAGGGGGTCGGGGGCAAGAGGAGGGAACTTAGAGGGTGGGTCAATAGGTGCAGCAAACCACCATGGCACATGTATACCTATGTAACAAACCTACACGTTCTGCATATGTATCCTGGAACTTAAAGTAAAATTAAAAAAAAAAAAAAAGAAAATTACAAGTTGAACCTAAAATGTATGTGGAAATGCAAGATGCTAGGACTTGTCAAGGCAATCTAGCCAGCACTTACACTTTTATATAGAAAGAAGTGAAAATAGATGAAGGACTTAGACTACTAGATACCAATTCCTATTTAAAAACATAGTAATAAGAGTATAATACTGACACACGGATGGACAAAGACAGACCATAAAAAGAGAAAGTCCAGAAATATACCCACAAATATACAGTCATTTGATTTGTAAGACCACACACTGCAGTGTGGTGGTGAAATTATTTTTATTTCAATAAATGCTGCCAAGTTAACTGGCTATTTATATGAAAAAAGATGACAGGTGCATGGTAGACCTAATTGTGAAAGCAAAAGCAAGCAAAAACAAAACAGAAACAAAACCAGAAACCAAAAACCCTCCTAGAAGAAAATGTAGGAGAGCAGATTTATGATTTTGAGGCAGTCAACATTGTTTTAAATGAGATCCAGAAAGCTCTAACCATAACGAAAAAAGGAACTGGTAAATAGGACTACATTAAAATTGAGAGCTTCTGTTCTTCAACAGATACTATTAAGGGAGTTAAAAGGCAGTTCATGGAATGGAAAAAGACATTTGCAATATATTTGACAAAAGACTCATTTACATAATATATAAAGGCCCTTACAAATCAATAATAAGAAAGCAGGCAATTTAATAGAAAAAATGGGCAAAGGGTTTTAGCATTCACCTCCCAAAAGAGGATATCTAAACTGCCCAAAAAAAAAGCAAATGTCCAACGTCATTAGAAATCAGGGAACCGTGAATTAAAACCACCGTGATATACAACTATGCCCACACCCAATGGCTAAAAATTGAAAATGACAGATGATATCTAATGTTGAGAAAAATGTGGCACAACCAAAACAATCATATATTGCTGATAGTGGTGTAAATTGGTGCAACTATTTTGGAAAAGTGTTTGGCAGTATCTACAAATGTTGAGAATACATTCCTATAGACATAACCATCTGAAATGCATATGTATGTTCACCAAAATACATGTGCATAAATACCAGTACATTTACATAGTACAAAAATGTACAATGTCAATACCAGCACTATTCATGTTAGTCCTAAAGTGAAAACAACTCAAATATCTATAAACAGAAAAATGAATAAATATAAATCATGATATAGTCATGTAATGGCACACTGCAGCAATGGGGTGCTTAGTGACTAGAAGAAGCACGATGAGAATTTCCTAGGGAGTACTGGTGATGTTCTGTTTCTTGATCCAGGTGCTGGTTTTGTAGGTGCATTCACTCAGTGAAAGCTCATTGAGCTGTTCCTTTATGATTTGTGCACTTTTGTACATAGTGTTTGCTATGGTTTGAATGTCTCCTCCAAAACTCATGTTGGAGCTTACTTAATCTCCCTGGCAGTATTGAGAGATGGGGCCTTTAGGAGGTGATTAAATAATGAGGTCTCTGTTCTCAGGAATGGATTAATGGGTTAATGAATTAATGGGTTATCACGGGGGTGGGGAACTGGTGGCTTTATAAGAAAAGGAAAAGAGAACTGAGCCAGCATGTTAGTACACTCAGCCCCTCGCCACCCGATGCCCTGTGCCACCATGGGATGCCACAGAGAGTCCCCATCAGCAAGAAGTCTCTTATCAGATGCACTCCCTCCGCTTTAGACTTTCCAGCCTCCATAACTGCAAGAAATAAATTTCTTTTCTTTATAAATTACCCAGTGTCAGGTATTCTGTTATCAGCAACAGAAAATGGTCTAAGACAGTGTTATACTTGAATAAAAATATTACTTTAAAAAGGAAAATAAAAATAATTACTGCAGAGTAGAGCCAGACAGTGGAGTG
Organism: Homo sapiens; assembly: GCF_000001405.40. Lineage (NCBI taxonomy): Eukaryota > Metazoa > Chordata > Mammalia > Primates > Hominidae > Homo > Homo sapiens. The sequence goes on from NC_000001.11 coordinate 14,005,209, forward strand.
AGCATTCTGGATGTGGAGAGAGAGTTAGGTGGTTCTTGCAAGAGTTCTGGTGCAAGACCAAGCTGATGGCCGCAGAGAAATAGCAAATTAGGTTCAAGACAGACTGAGGAAGGAAAACCAAGAGGACTTGAGAATGGGTTGCCTAAGGCAGGATACAGAAGAGGGAGATGTCCACGTTGATTTCAGGTTTCTACCTTGTATAACCAGGTAGAAAGTGTCTCCCTCTCCAGAGAAGGGCAGTGCTGGAGGTTATTGGGCAGGGAGGATGTGAAGAACATACACTTGGAGTTGAGGTTCTAGAGATATACAAGTAGACTCATGGTGTAGACAGTTGGGTATGTCCGAAGTTCAGAGGAAAGGCGAGGGTTGAAGACATAATCTGTTAATAAACTGACCTCTAAAAAATGGAATTTGAACTGACTCTTTTAGATAAAGATACCAATTATCATATGCCAGGCACTACTGGGCTGAATGCTTTCCCTGGAGGATCTTTACCTATAGAATTAAAGAAGGTAAGCAGATTGCAGATGCTTTGAGCTTTAGGAAGGGGCAGGAATGAAGACAATGGGGCTCTTCAGATTCAGATCTTCTGACTTAAAGTTCCAGGTGTTGTTGCTGATTCACACTGCTCCTATCAATGGACTCACTGGCCTGTAGTGTTACAGATCCTGGATGAGCAAACAAGGGCACTGTAGCATTCCCACTAGGAGAAAGCTTTAAACAAAGACTATATGTATCCATCTGTCAGCCTGAGAAGGAGCTCAGAGGCTTAAACTCCATGATTGCCTCATATAGGGTTTAGTAGATGCATTCTCAGGATTCAAATATATATATTTTGGATATTAATCTCTTATCAGATATACATTACACAAATATTTTCTCCCAATCTGTAGGCTGCCTTTTTATTTTGTCTATTACTTCTTTTGTTGTAAAAAAGCTGTTTAATTTGTGGTCCCACTTCTTATATTTTTGCTTTGTTGCCTGTGCTTTGATGTACTGGTTAGTCTGTTTTGCATTGCTATAAAGGAATATCTGAGGCTGCATAGCTTATAAAGAAAATATATTTATTTGGCTCAGGGATCTGCCAGCTGCCTTACAAGTATGGCACCAGTGTCTGCTTCTGGTGAGTCCTCAGGAAGCTTTTACTCATGGCAGATGACAAGGAAGGGGGAGCTGGCATGTCACATAGTGAGAGAGGGAGCAAGAGCGATGCCAAGCTCTTTCAAATAACCAGCTCCCAGGGGAAATTTTCTACGAATTTTACAGTTTCAGTCCTTGTGTTTAAGTCTTGAATTCATTTTTAGCATATTTTTGTGTAAGATTAGGGTCCAGTTTTATTCTTTTGCATGTGAATATTTAATTTTCTTAACATCATTTATTGAAGAGACTATCCTTTCTCCAGTGTGTCTTCTTGGTGCCCTGGTTGAAAATTAGTTGACTGTACATGCTTGAGTTTACTTCTGAGCTCTATATTCTGTTTTATGTGTCTATTTTTATGCCAGTACCATCCTGTTTTGATTACTTGAAATATAATTTGAAATCAGGAAGTGTGATGCCTCTAACTTTGTTTTTCTTTCTCAAGATTGCTTTGGCTATTTGGGTATTTTTTTTCTGTGGTTCCATGTGAATTTTAGAATTTCTTTTTCTGTTTCTGTGAAAAATGCCACTGGAATTTTGATAGAGAATGCAGTGGGTCTCTATGTTGCTTTGAGTGTTAAGGACATTTTAACAAAATTCATTCTTTCAATTTGTGAACTCAGACTATCTTTCCATTTATCTGTGTCTTCTTCAATTTCTTTCCTCAATGTTTTATTGTTTTCAGTGTACAGATCTTTCACCTCCTTGATTACATTTATTTCTAAGTGTTTTATTCTCTTTGATGCTATCATGAATGGTATTGTTTTCTTGATTTGTTTTTTTAGATAAGTCTTGATTGGTGTAAATAAATGCAGCTGATTTTTGTGGGTTGATTTTGTATCCTGCAACTTTACTGAAATTGTTAATTAGTTCTAAAGTTCTTTCGTATATATGTAGTCTTTAAGGTTTTCCATATATAGGATTATGTCCTCTGCAAACAGGGATAATTTGACTTCTTCCTTTTTGATTTGGATGCCTTTTATTTCTTTTTCTTGTCTGATTGCTCTTGCTAGTACTTTCAAGTACTATGTTGAATCAAAGTGGTGAGGGTGAGCATTCTTGATTAACTGTCTATGGCCAGCTTCCTCCTGTGCATTTAAAACACAATGCCATTCCCAAGCAGATATGCACACCCAGCTGGACAGGGTGGCACATTTGGCAAAAGGTCAGGCAGATCAGTAACCACAGGTTGGCATTGTAAAGAGCAAAACACTATCCATGTCTGGCACTAAAATACAAAAAGTCAGTGCTTCCACAATCTGATGGTGTATCTATAGTCACGTTTTTGCAGATATATAAGCCACAATTTTATCACACTAGTTTCCAAATCACTAGCAGCATCAAGGTCATGTTGAAGTTCAAATACTGGCTCACTTGGGTGTGAGTGCAAATCATCTGCTTTTGTAGTCATGGACAAATAAAACACGTGTTCTACTTGCTGTTACAAATCAGCAGGTTTAACAGACGCTGTCCGATAATGATTTTTAACTCTAAGTCGGCGGGAGCTAAAGGAAAGGAGTGTTGGAACAGGATTCAAGCGTCCTAGGTTTGAATCCTGATTCTACCCACAATGATCCCTGTGCTGTTGGTTCAGTTACGTCCTTTTGGCCCTCAGTTGCCTCATCTGTAAATAAGAGGTTTTACTGTTTTGTCTCTAGGAGTCTTCCATCTGATACATTTCTTTGCTAAATTTAAGTGGCATATTGGACTTCTAGTTCTGCTAGAAGTAATTGGCATTGTGGCCTGCTCACTTCTTGTAAAAAGGTCAAGGCATGCTGCTCCCAACCCCTGTGTTTAATGTTCATTTTCTGACCTGAAATTTGAGTTGATCATGCAAAACCCTCCTGTGCCTAAATGCATCTGGGGATAAAAATAACTTCCCATGAATTCTCCCCTGGGTGAGCAATTTCACATGCAATAGTACCCTTAGCTTCCACATGACTTCTCGCCACCGTCCCTATTGTTCTAGTAGAAGGTATGCATTCATAGAATGCTAAAATGTTTTATGAAAAGGAGACTAGGGTGGCAAATCAAACCTACCTGATGAAAAAAATCTGCTGAAGTCATTATATTGAAAGGGGACTTCCCTGGATTTCAAGACATGGATTATCTGTTCATTTGTTAATTAATTTGTTCAAAGATCAACTAATCATTTAGTAAGAAACTAATGTGTGTCAAACCCAGAGTCGAGTACTGGGGATACAGCTCTGAAAAGGGTCTTAATCTTAGTGAGCATAAAGTTCAGTGGGATGGGCAAGTAAAGAGATAATTACACACACATAAAATCAGATGACTGGTGACATTACTGCTTTAAAGCTATGCTTTCATTTTTTTGGAGGATGAGGATGAAAATGTTGATGAGGATGGTGGTACCGATATAGCCAGGTGCTATTCTAAGTGCTACACATATATTCACTCATTTAATTTTCTCTTTTCCCAGTTTTTAAATTGTGTTAAAATGCATATAACACAAGTTACCATCTTAACCATTTTTAAGTGTATAGTTCAGTGGTGTTAAATACATTTATAACATTGTGCAACCATCACCACCATCCAGCTCCATAGCTCTTTTCATCTTGTAAAATGGAAACTCTGTAGCCATTAAACAGTAACTCCCCATTCCCCACTCTCCCAGCCCCTGGCGACTACCGTTCTATTTTCTGTCTCTATGATTTTGGCTACTCTGAGATTTTTGCATACAAGTGGAATCACACAGTATTTTATTTTTGTGACTGGCTTATTTCACTTAGCATAATGAGCTCAATGTTCATCCATGTTGTACCATGTGTCAGAATTTGCTTCCTTTCTAAGGCTGAATAATATTCCATTGTGTGTATAGATCACCTTTTACTCATCTGTTGATAAACATTTGGGTTTCTTCCACATTTTAGCTATTATAAATAATACTGCTATGAGCATACCCATATGTACACGTAAGTCTTTGAGACTGTGTTTTTAATTTTGCTAGGTATATACCTGGAGGTAGAATTGCTAGGTCATATGGTAATTCTATTTTTAATTTTTTTGAAAGACCACCATCCAGTTTTCCATAGTGGCCGTACCATTTCATATTCCTTCCCACTGGAACAGTGCATAAAGATTCCAGTGTCTCCACATCTTCATCAACACTTGTTTTCTGTTTTTCTTTGATAATAGCCATCCTAATGAGTGTGATAGCTCACTTAATTTTCCCAACAACCCTTTGAGATAGATACTATTTTTAATTCCCATTTTATAGATGAAGAATTTTAGGGCACAGAGAGGTCAAGTTACTTGTTCAAGCTCACATAGTCAGTGGTCAGGTCAGGAGCCTAACGTGGGCAGTCTGTTCCTGACCACTCCCCCATATCTGATCCGCTGTTCATTCAGTTGGCATTTACTATGCATTTACTGTGGGACAGAGAATACAACATAAGCATTATGTCTTCTGCCCTGGGCTAGTTCACATTCCACAATGTGCAAGTATACCAGGATATGTGCAGAATGTTGCAGTCATAACTGAAGGAGAACCCACTCTGTACACACAGGTGGGAGGGTGTGTACATATTCACATTTGTGCCTCCATGTGTACACACTGGGAAACCGGGTGGTTTCCTTAATGGCCAGAAACACACTCTCTCCCACTCCCCTGTTTACTTTTGGCAGAAGATGTTGCCCAAGACTATTGTAGACAATCTATAGGCATTCAATTAACACATCAACAATTTTGTTGTTGCCATATCAGTATCATCTGTGCTATTATCTAAATAATACTAATTAAAAAAATTAGCTATAACTTTTTTTTTTACTCATATTTATCCTACCATGGGTCTGAGATGTTAGTTATCTTTGCTCCTGGTGCACATTAAAGTAAATGCATAACACTTCAAATAAAACCATCCATGCTTCATAGAAAATCCTCCTAGGCCTACTGTAGAGGAGCTGCCTGCTGTACTTTGGTCTTACTATATAAAACCTCTGTTGTGTTACAAATGATACATCATCTTCTGGACTTTTAATTTTTCTAGGAAGAAGGGCTGGGGCCAACTCAGAATATGAGTGTTGAAACTGTAACGTATCATTTTAATTTCTGATCAGCATTCTATATTGAAGAAAGGATGCCAGCGATGAAGCAGTCCGGTATGGGAGGTGGGAGGGGTTCAGCAGAAGTATTTCTTGGTTGCTCAACTCACCATCCAAGTCTTGCAATCCTTTGCAGCCAAAAGCAGCCTCTCCACCATCTGCCCCATGGCTCAGCTTGAAACTGGTCTTTGAGGCTTTGTCCTGCCCTTTTATGAGCAGGGCTGAGACTCCTATGTCATTGTCAGAGAGTTTTGTTAAGCATCCTCAGGATGTTTTGAAAGGTATGCTTTGATGCCAGGTGGCCAGACATGTACTCAGGGTGGACAACAATAAAAACAGAGGTGTCAAAGCCCAAAAGGATCTGAGTGACATAAGAGAAAGCCTGACAGCTTCATGGGGGAAAACCCTGTTCCTCAGGTTGGGTTAAGTGTCATGTGGCCAGAGGAAAACATCTGCATTTAAATGGCCATTCTTAAGAGTGTAACTCTTTGCCAATGGCAGAAACTACCCTGTGATTCTCACAGCCTTTAGCCTTGCTTCCCCTTTTTTTTTGGACCTTATCTCCCTTCCCCATCTTCTGCCTCCCCTATTTCCTCTCCTTACCTCTTTTTTCTCTCCCCTCCTCCATTGCCATCACTATTGCCATAGTTCAGCATCTGCCCACATCTCACCCCATCTTGGGAGCCCCCAGACCAAGAGGCAAGATCTACATTTCTTCCTTGGGTAGATATGAGATGTGCCCTTGGTGTCCCAGGATGGAATCGACAACACCTGAGAAAGTTAGACTTAGAAGAAAGTCCGAGTTGCTACCTCTGGTTTAGAAGACCTCACGTGATCTGGTGGCTGCCTGATCAGATTCGTTTCGCACTCTTTCTTGCTCACCATGATCCAGCTCCAGGTCTTCTTTCTGTTCTTCCACTGTGCCCAGCTCATGCCCACTATAGGGCCTTTGCAGCTGTTGCTTTCACGTAGGATGTTTTCTTCCCCAGTCTTCACCTGGCTGCTTCGTTTGCATCACCTGACGACAAAAACCACCATGCACTGCCTGGCTTTTCTCTTGAGGTCACCTCCTGGAAATCATTGGTCCCATCGTGGAATACCCCCAGAGACAGTGAGCTCATTCTTCCTATGGAAGAGCTTTGTGCCTCTGGGCAGCCTCTTGGTTGGAATGCTCTGAAATTGCAGACTCTGTCGAGGGAGGGATTGTGTAGGGGTTATGAGCTAGGAATGTAGAGCCAGACTGCCTGGGTTTGAATCCCTGTTCTTCCATGAGCTCTGTGACCTTGGGCAAGTGAGTGAACCTCTCAGAGCCTCAGTATTTCATTTCTGATGTAATCAGCGATAAGGAACTTACTTCATAGAATTGTTGCAAGGATTAAATGAAATAATACATGTATTAATACATGAATTAATACATGTATCAGCGTTTCCCAGCACAGAGTAAGTGGAATACAGGCTGGCAGATGTTCTCACGATTACCTTGAATCACATCTGTCTCCTGCAGCAGTAGTTCTCTTTGGGCATGGTTCTACCTTTTAGGGGGTGTTTGGAAATGATTGGGGATATGCTTGCTTCTCAGAATGATTGAAGGAGGCTACTGGCATTTTGTGGGTGGGGAGAAATGCTAGATGTCTTGCAATTCACAGAGAAGAATTTCTCCACACCCTACTCTTGCCAGATGTTCATGTAAGTGAGAGACCTGACTGTAGGACTTTTTTGTATGGTTGAATCTACACTGAGTTTTTAAGGAATGTAACTACATGTAAATCAAAGATACATCATGTCTTGTTTTATTTGGATTTTTTCCAGGAGCTGTGCCCCATTTTGAAAATGTTCATTAAAGTTACATATGCCTCATGGTATTTGAGTTAACAGAACAACCACCTGAACCAGTGTGCAACTTATAGCCATTGCAGTCATGGTGATTCTTCATATTTGTACAAATGCACTTATTTAATTCTTATTCCAAAATGCTAAATAGAAAAATCAGTGTCAACAATATCCAATTGCTTATCTCTTGACTCCAGATGAAAATGGGCTGAAAAAATAAGTAAAAACATTGGCTGGGGTCACTAGTCTTCTAGTCCAACCCTGCTTGAGAACCTACTTTTAAAAATACATATTAGGCTGGGCAAGGTGGCTCACACCTGTAGTCCCAGCAGTTTGGGAGGGTGACGCGGGTGGATCAGGAGTTCAAGACCTGCCTGGCCAACATGGCGAAACTTCATCTCTACTACAAATATAGAAATTAGCTCGGCGTGTTGGCACACACCTGTAATCCCAGCTACTTGGGAGGCTGAGGCACGAGAATCACTTGAATCCAGGAGGCGGAGGTTGCAGTGAGCAACCACTCCAACCAATTAAATGGTGGAGATTGCACCACTTCATTCCAGTTTGGATGGCAAAGAGAGAACCTGTCTCAAAACAAACAAGCAACAAACATATTTACCGTATGCTCCTTTCATTTTCTCCTTTACAATTTATTTCATTTTATTTCTCCTTTACAATTAAGTTAGGATAGTAAAAGGGGAATTTCAACATATGTTGTAAAAAGAAGGCTTCGAGCCTGATAGAGACCAGCATCCCTGCCCTGAGACACCTCTTAGCGGGTCCTAGACCTGCTTCCTAATTTTTCTTCCCTGTGACAGCTCTTCAGATGTTTAAAGATGGTGACAACATTCATCTGTGCACCCCTGAGTCCACTTTTCCGGAACCTGCATCCTCACTTCCTTCAATGTTTTCTCTAATGATGTGGTTTTCAGACTCCTCATTAGCCTGGTTACCCCTCTATGAATTTTCTCTGGTTTCTCTAAATGCCTCTTTCCAAAGAAACCAACTAAAGAGTACCCTGTAAACTATTTTTATCAAATATGCAGGATTTTTTCAAACAGGCAGGAACAAAGTTGTTCCTCGATCTAGGTTTTGTGCACAATAGTCAATGTTTGGATTCCCATTGGGCAGAACAGTGAAGCCTTGCGATGAAAACCTTTTAATGAAAGGAGAACGAGAAACAGGGTTTTTTTTAACCCCAAAATGACAACCCCCCAGAGGTTTTCTGTTGTGTTGTTTTGCTTTTTCCCTTGGTAGCAGCAAGGACTTGGCTGCTGTGTACCCACCACTGTCAGAGGATGGTCATGATAGCCTCAAACTCCATAATCATGGGATTCGTGCTGTATCTCAGAGAAAGGCACCAGAAAGGAAGGGTTCGATGGAAAATAACCTAGGAATATGGGACTTTAGTACCAGGCCTCTGCTATTAGCTTATTTTCCTGACACCGTAATCAAACTGAAATTGTGCCAACCTTTCCATTGTCATGGTTTAAATGGAAGCATTCCTCCTTCAGCAAGCTTGTGTCCGGGGATGGCTGCTAGATGTGGGTTTCTCATTCTGTATAGAGTCCTCTCTAGAGAGACAAGATTCTGATTTGACCAGGGAACAGATTCCTTGGAAGCCTCCAGATCATGACGATGATGGCTCTGGAATTTTCAGGGCCTTTTGCCAAACTGGGATTGGTCCAGTGAAATCTGATTTGAATGTGACCCTTTAACTCAGCAACAATATTCCCAACAGGTCTCCCTTAGGTCCTCAGGAGGAACGGGTGTTGCTTGTCCTTGCATTAAATAGCTTTAGGCTGCTCCATTGAAAAGCGTTTCATACCGGCTTTTTGTAATTTTTCTATTTCTTTCTCATGAGGACTCTATATGCCACCACCCACCATTGATGATTTTTTTTCGCTATACCACAATATATCAATAACATTGTATCCGGGAGGAAGGCTTGGTGCCATGTTGCAACTGTGTCTGTTGTAATTGTTCTGCCGAATCTGGAATTTCCTGAACAACCCAAAACAGCCAGAGGCAGAGTCTCTCAGAGAAGCATCTAAGTCGCCTAGACCAGGGTGCTTGGGCAATGACATGGAAATGTCCTCTTTCCAAGCAGAGAAGACAGAGTCCCCTGTCAAAATGACAGAAAAGGGTGAGGATGTCCAGCTGTCCCAGGGCCCTGGTTAAGAAGGAGAGGATGCCTGGATACTTAGCTCTTGGTGTTCCTGCAATGATCCAAGCAGAAACCATTTCAGAAGGCATAGAACAAGGGTCCACAAAGAACAAGAGTCCCTTGGGTCAAATCCAGCTTACTGCCTATTTCTCTTAGCCTGCAAGATAAGCATGGCTTCTCCATTTTTAAAGGGTTAGGAAAAAAATCAAAAGAAGAATAATATTTTGTTACATAAATGATGTGAAATTCAAATATCAGTGTTCATAAATGTCCTTAAAAATCAATGTCCAGCATAAATGTTGGAAGGAGCAAGATGCAGTGTCTAACAGAAAAAGTACATCTTGGAGAAAAGTCTGAGAGGGTGAGAAAGTGGAGCCCTGTTTAAAATAATAAGCCCCTGCACAACTTAATAAGATAACATTGTCAAAATGGTGCTACCCTAATCCGATTTGCACTAGAGCCAAGGCCAAAATGCATTTTTTGCTGGTAAGGAAATGTAGCCTCAATGATACTAATATTCAAGCAATTTACCCAGTGATAAGACTAAAGTAATTTATTATAATTTTATGATGAGATCTCTTTTTCTTGGCTTGGGAAAGGTTTTTATTGCCTCTAGTCTTGCAATTTCACTGTTGCTAATATTGATTTTACTGTAATCTCTTTCCTTTTTTTACACTTCTCAAGTTATTTCTTGATTTGGACAAAATCCACATTTTAACACAGATGATATAAAAACCAACCTTTGAGAAAACGTATTATGATAATTATATTTTCCTACTGGTGGCCAACATTATGTGTGTGCCAATAGAGAAAAACGCATTTTGAAGTCACCAGACTTTCCTCTTCTTTTGTCTTCTTTGGGCTTAAAGGACAAGCCTAAGAGGACAAAAATGCCGTTCAGATGATAATGGCTCTGTCTGTTGGGAAGGGCTTTATAAAACTTCCTGGAAAGATGACCCACATTCCCTCAGTGGACCTAGGCATGGCTGGAAAAACACTTTAGTTGTTCCCTATTGTCCTAAATTATTTTATAAAGACAAGTGTGTTACATCTACTTTTTTTTTTTTTTTTTTTTTTTTTTTTTTTTTTTTTTGAGATGGAGTTTCGCTTTTGTTGCCCAGGCTGGAGTGCAATGGCGCGATCTCAGCTCACTGCAACCTCCGCCTCCCGGGTTCAAGCAATTCTCCTGCCTCAGCCTCCCGAGTAGCTGGGATTACAGGTGCCTGCCACCACACCCAGCTCACACCTGTAATCCCAGCACTTTGGGAGGCTGAGGCAGGTGGATCATCTGAGGTCAGGAGTTCAAGACCAGCCTGGCCAATGTGGTGAAAACCTGTCTCTACTAAAAATACATCTACACTTTTATGCAATCCTGGGAGGTCAGTGAGGCTTTTCCCATCTTTCCACTGGAGGGAAATTGGGTTCATAGAGTAGAAATACTTTGCCCGAGCCTCAACAGCTGCTAAGAGGTGCAATGAAAACTCAACTTGAGGCTGTCTGATTCCAGAGCTCCACAACCTTTTCACTGCACTGGGATTGAGGGCCTCCCTAGAAAATACCTCCATATGACCAGAGACCACAGGATTGTAGAGGCTTGTAACACAAGGGCAACAGGCACTCAAAACGGAAAGCTCTATGTCTCTTTAAGAATGCAATGGTTCTGAGCCTTGTTGCTAGGCTAGCTGTGTTTCCAGGCAAGCTCATTAGAGCATATCTTGGTTCTGCACATCTCAGGGTGGGGTGCTCATTTCTTTTCTCTCCCAATGCACGAAGCATTGCCAAAGCCTGGTGTTAAATAAAAAGGACAATGTAGGGCTCCGAGATTAACTATTGCTGTATTTATTAAACACTTTGCACACATTCCGTGTTGTGCTAGGGAAAAATGCAAGAACACTTCCTACACAATGTGGGTGATCTAATACTCACTTTTATGGGTACAGGACTCTATGGCTTACAAAGCGTATTCATAAACATGACCCTATGTAAGCCTCTCAAGAGGAAATGCTATACCCATTTCACAGGTGGGGAAACTGAGGGACAGTTGACTGAATCTGTGGGATTCAGATCTCTGGGAGATCAGAGCCATGGGGATAATTTGGGCCTCTTAGCTCTCAAAGGATCAGTGTTGGGGGCATGTTTATGAGATTGTACACAATCCACTGTGGGCTCCCAGTGAAATTTCAGAATATCTCGGAGGCTCACTTTGGGATGCATCGTCCTAATTTTCTTTTAGAGGCTTCCATAAGCTGCTCCCCAAATAGATTTTTATTGTGGTTTTGCTTCCTCTGACCTTTGTTTTTGTGTTAATGGCCTTTATTTCCCATTAGCTTCTCAAGAGCTGGTGTGTCACTGAGCACGCATATTTTACAAAACACAAAAACCTACAGTTTCCATGAAGATCCACAAAGAAAACAGAGAAGCGGGGATTTGCCTTTGTGCTGCTCTTACTGTATTAAAAAATAAATGTGGTAATTTTTGTATGTGCATTTGGGATTTTTACTTTCCGGGTTAATTCAGGAGCAGTTACCATGAATAAAAATGTCTTTGCTGCTTTGGCAGAGTTTTGGGACTAGCTTACCTGCATCAAACTTGTCTCTTATAGGTTCTTCGAGAAGTGCCTCTCTGAGATGAGTTGGCAGCGATTCTGGTCTATGTCCTGTCAGCCTAATGGAAGACAAGTAGGACATGCATCTTCCCTTCTTGTTCTCAGTATTAGGTAGCATGTTCACAAAAATAAATCTGATTCCTTCTGCTTTTTCTCAATGACGTTCTGCCAATTCGAGGTAGAGGCTTGGGGTCCTTTTCAACCTGTCTCCCAGCTTCTATTGCAACTGCCATCCTTACACCTACACCCACTCACTCTCAGTTATTTGCAAAAGACTCAGAGCCCTCAAATCTGTGTCCATAAACATTTGCCTTCTGACTCAAGACTAGATTCAGGAAGTAACTTGTACAGTGCTTGCAATTTCAGCATAGAAACTGAATATTTTTCCTTTCTAAGAAAGGCAGAGGGGCAACTTACATTGATTGAACACTTGCTATATTCCAGACACGTGCATTTGTTCTTTTCTATGACCCAGTGCATTCTCTTAGCTTGTTTTTACAGGCTCAAGGGGGATGAAAAGTGTGACCTGCCCAAGGGCATCACGTAAGAGGTGAACTCAGAGTTAAACCCAGCCTGTCTGACCACAGAGTGTATTCCATTACACCCCAATGCTTCACCAGGCTGCAGAGGCTCTGTCGGGTTCAGTGCAGCTCTTGAGTAAAATCCTTTGCTGTGTTCTAATCCTTTTGTTTTCTCCTAATTTGAAAAAGCATTGAGCATGGCCTGTGGAAATTTTCCAGCATGAGAAAAGACCGTGCGTTGGAATTCTGTTTCCGCTTGTGGAGCTACCACAAAGCATGCTTTATTTTCATCCAGAGCTGTCATGCCTGGGTACTTGGCCCAGCCCCCTCACCAAGACTCCCTGAGAGCCACGTGTTGTTGCTAAGCTTTGGTCACCTGAATGCTGGAGAGCAGCCAGGGTAATGATCATCATCATAACAGCTGACGTTTACTAAGCATGTATCTGCCAGGCACTGATCAAAATGCTTTATGTGAATGAACTCATTTAAGCCTCAACACTTCCCTATGATTAAATTATTATCCCCATTTGGCAGCTGAGGAACCTGAGGCACAGAGAGACTAAGTTCGCATTGATCACTGGCTAGCTAGCATAGAGTCACCTTACACTTCACTTATCTCTTCTAAATAATGAACTCAGAGTAAAACAAGACTTTTATAATGTGTCTGAGCTGGCTAGTCCACTGCCTTTACACTCAGTTTTTCTAGTGCTTATCTTCATTGTGAAGTTTGTTTCAACAGCTTGTGGCCCAATCCACTGTGGGTAAATTGACTTCGTGAGAAGACGATGTTTGATTCTAGGCAAAATTTACTGACAAGCAAAATGAAGACAGGGTACGGGGGAGAAGGAGGGGTCTTATCAATCTCCCAGTGTGAACTTGCTGATCTTCGCCCTTTTGGGAGACATGGTAGAAAAATATAACAGCTATAATTTATAGCGGTGATAATTTGCACATGTGATGGTTAATTTTGGGTGTCAACATGACTGGATTGAGGGATGCCTGGATGGCTGATGAAGCACTGCCTTTGGGTGTGTCTGTGCGGGTGTTTTCAGAGGAGATTGGCATGTGAGTTGGTGGACTGGGTGGGGAGGGTCTGTCTTCCATGTGTACAGACACCATCCCATCTACTGGGGGCCTGGATAGAACAAAAATGCAGAGGAAAGATGATTTTCTGGCTCTCTCCTGAAGCTGTGCTTCTTCCATCTCCTGCACTTGGGTTTCAGAACTCTAGGTTCTCTGGCCTTTGGACTGCAGGACTTACACCATGGTCCCCCTGAGTTCTCAGGCTTTCAGTCTCGGACTAAGAATGACACCATTAGCTTCCCTGGCTCTGAGGCTTTAGGACTTGAATTGAGCCATGCTACCAGCATCCCACACTCCAGCTTGCAGATGGCCTGTCATGGGACTTCTCAGCCTCCATTATCACATGAGCCAAGGCCCCTAATAAATCCCCTCTCATCTCTGTCTCTATGTACATATCCTTGATTCTGTCTCTCTGGAGTCAGAACAACACATGTGGCCTTTTAACTTTCAAAAGCTCTTTCTAATATATAGATTTAATTAGTACTGACCAACAAAAGACCAAGAGAAACTTAATTCTTCCTTGCAGACTTACTGATTAGAAACGACTTGTTTTGTGTAACATGATTTGAAATCTATATCAGATGCTTGAAAAACACCATATACCCCAGATATTTTTTATTAACTGCCATGTTCCTGGTGTGTTGGTGTAATGAGAACCACACACTCAATTCCAATACCCTATGATAAATCCCATGAGAAAGCTATATATCAAGACCCACTGGGAACACAAATGAGGAAAAGGCCATTCTTGGAAGGCAGGGACATTTGAACCAGGCCATGAAGACCGAGTACAGCATATTTGGCATGGGCTGGGGTATTTATGGTCACTCTTTTCCTAGCCATTTCTTCTTTGCTAGTTATCCCTTTATCTTGCCCAGAAGCTTCTATATATACATCTTATCCAGGTCCCCTTTCCTCCACCATGACCAGCACAACTTCATACAACAGAACCTCCACCTGCCAGCAGATATTGCCAAGAACACATCTGTTGCACAGCAGGTGAGAACTCTAGTTGACCTCAGGGTGCTACATTGCCCTACTCCTGACTAGCAGGTATTTTCCAGGGTTTCTAGGTCAACTCTTTCCCTGCAGCCATGAGATCCTTTCTGCAGCTTATTCTAACAGGGTGGAGCCCAGAACAAAGAGTGTTGTGTCCCCAGGCTATTAAAACTCATTCCTTACTCTACAGCAGTGGTCCCTGATCTTTTCAGCACCAGGGACTGGTTTCACGGAAGACAATTTTTCCATGGATGGCTGTCGGGGGATGGTTTTGGGATGATTCAAGCACATTACATTTATCGTACACTTTATTTCTATTATTGTTACATTGAAATATATAATGAAATAATCATACAACTCATCATAATGTCGAATCAGTGGGAGCCCTGAGCTTGTTTTCCTGCAACTAGATGGTCCCATCTGGGGGTGATGGGAGACAGTGACAGATCATCAGGCATTAGATTCTCATCAGGAGCATGCAGCATAGATTTCTTGCATGCACAATTCACAGTAGGATTTGCACTTCTGTGATAACCTAATGCTGCCACTGATCTGACAGGAGGTGGAGCTCAGGTGGTAATTCAAGCAATGGGGAGCGGCTGTAAATACAGATGAAGCTTTGCTTGCTCACATCTCCTGCTGTGTGGCCCAGTTCCTAACAGGCCACGGACTGATATTGGTTCATGGCTCAGGGTTTGGGGACCCCTGCTCTATAGGACACTAATCAGCTTGGGTAGGAGTTTCTGCCTACATGTTGAAATGTCTTAGGCTAGATGATCACTCTCTTTTTTCCCCATTTCACTTCACCCCCATCCCTAGACCCACAGGATAGAGCCTGTTTTCACCCTTGTACAGGATGAACAAAAAGTCTTGTTTCTTCACAATATGATTGAGGAATCCAGCCCTGTAGCATAATTCTTGCTGTAAAACTGTGTTAAAGTGACTAGCAAACTGTTTTGTATAATTACACAATGGAATCTGAATGTACTGTGCTGGATATGCATGATAAGTGTCCAGTTTGTTTCTTAGGACGATCTGGGAAAGACAAGATAATTCACCTTGCTGTGTCTCTCCTTCCTAAGATTTTAGTTTTAACTAATTGAGTCAGCAGAACAATTTGAAATCTGAGTTCCAGCAAAGTTTTCCCTCTGTGAGCTTATATGATTTTGCAATATCTGGATAGAAAGTAAAACATTTAGTCCATCTTCTGGAATTCTCAAAACAGTAGGATATTTTAAGAACACTGATGGTAGCCAGCATTTGTCACCGTTCCTTTAGATGAGTCTTTGGAACCCGAGGGTCAGGCACGTAGGTTTCTTTTCAAAGTCTATAAATCATGAATCCTCTTGTGGCTGCATTTGTGAGGGAGGGATGTTAACTTTATCACTCTTTCTAATTAAGCAAGGTGGTGATTTTGGCATTTTAACTCTTAGCCAAGCCAGGTTTCTCACCATTTTAACCTCAACACTACTGATGTTTTGGGCTGGACAGTTTTTTGTTGTCTGGTATGTGGGAGTTGTTCCGTGCATTGTAGGAATGCTTAGCAGCATCCTTGGCCTCTGTCCACTAGATGCCAGCACACCACTCCCCAATTATAACAACCCCAAATTTCTTCAGACATTGCCAAATGCCCCACGGTGGGGGAAAGTCCTCCCCAGTTGAGAACCATTGTCCAAGAGCCTTGCTATAAAGGCTACCTGGATCAGTAGCATCTGTATCACCTGGGAGTGGTCAGAAATGCAGAATCTGAGACCATAAGCAGACCTATAGGATCAGTATCTGCATTTTCATCCAATTCCCAGGTGATTTGTTTGCATGTGGAAGTTTGAGGAATTTGGTAGTTCAATGACTTAAAGCAGTAATACTCAAACTTTGGTGTGTGTCAAAATCCCCTTGACAGCTAATGAAGAACACAGATGCCAGGGTTGTGGAAGGAGGAGAGGGTCTAGGTCTCTCTATTTTTTCCAAGTTCCCCAGGTAATTGTGATATTGACCAAAGCTTGAGAATCATTACCTTAAAACCACAAGATCAGAACATAGACTGCCTTTGTCCTGAGGTCAATGCCCAAACATTATTTTATAATTTTAGAAGAAAAATTTTAGATGCAATGATCTTGTGGAAAGACCCAAGCAAAGTGTCCTGATGGTCAGCATCTTATCACTTCTCAAGTATTGTAGGAGATAGACTCTTTATGTTCCCTGGGGAAGCCAATTTGTTCCAACAGCTGCATTACAAATAGAAATTCAAAAAGAAGTATTTGCAATTATGAGATGCAAACAGGAAATGATTTTCTCTGGGATCAATATTCTCCAAGAGGAAATGGGATGTGAATGAACATGCTTTTTTTTTTTTTTTTTTTGTAACGACTTCTCAGGTGCAATGCATCATCAGTCTGTTCCATCAGTCTATTGGATAAGCACTGATGTCAGCCGGATTACCCATGCCGTCCCGGGTAAATAAAGAATGACAATTGATTTCATATCTTGTTGAGTGGTGATGAGGGTAGGTGAGGACTGAATAATGACTAGGAGCTTTGGATCTGGGGTGTGCGTGTGTATGTTGTGTGCATGCATGCTCTTTCTAGCTTGTTCTTTATACATGACAAAAATTGACTTTTCTTTTTCTCTAGTTCATTAAGTTCGGTCATGGTGTTTATATCTAATCTGAGTGGTTTAAAATCTTTTTTGATAACTTCACCTTTGTAAATCCACTGTAAGCTTTGTATAAATGTTAGCCTGAAGGCTTCAATTATAAGAGAATTGCAAGTACACAATAAATGATAACAATCTTGATTATTAAGAAGGCTTTGACCTATACTGAGTATAGGTCTTGAAAAGACCACGGTGCATTATAGCTTTCACGTATTTAAAGCAAAAAAAAAAAAAAAAAAAAAAAAAAAAAGAAAAAAAGAAAAAAGAAATAAAAATAACAAACAAAAACTGTGGATTTTATATGTCGTATGATGCAGCGTTTCTATAATATTGTTTTTGTATTATTATATATAATATTCTGTTTGTATTTGAAGACCAAAGACCTTGAGTAGTGGTCTCAAGTGGTCTCATTGATAATGTGAACACAGAGCTGTTCTCTTTACATCTCTCCATGATTGTACCATTTCCCATCATGACCTTTTTTCTTCCAAATGGCTTAAACAGTTAATGACAGAGTACAGTAATAGAGTTTTCCAGATTTTCTTGAAAGAGAGCTAGGTGGGGTAGTTCAGTGCAAAGACACTGATTAGGGAAGTGACTGGCCTGGGTTTAAACCCCATTTCTACCATGAAGTGTCTCCATGACTTTTGAGCAGGTTTCTTAACCTCTTTGGACTTCTGATTGTTCCCTTATAAATGGAATACTATTTCCCACCTGGTATGATTCTTAAGGGGATAAGCATCAGCCAAAATGTCAACAGTACTCATTGGCTGGGTATGGTGGCTCATGCCTGTAATCCCAACACTTTGGGAGGCTGAGGTGGGAGGACTGCTTGAGCCCAGGAGTTGGAGACCAGTCTTGGAACATAGCAAGATCCCATCT
The DNA here is from genome assembly GCF_000001405.40 of Homo sapiens. Taxonomy (NCBI): domain Eukaryota; kingdom Metazoa; phylum Chordata; class Mammalia; order Primates; family Hominidae; genus Homo; species Homo sapiens. The sequence goes on from NC_000001.11 coordinate 14,023,147, forward strand.
CTACAAAGTAATAATAATAATAAAAAAACAGCCAGGCATGTTGGCATGCGCCTGTAGACTCAGCTACTTGGGAGGCTGGGCAGGAGGACTGATAGAGCTTGGGAGGTCCAGACTGCAATGAGGCAAGATTGCTCCACTGCGCTCCAGCCTGGGTGACACAGCGAGACCTTGTCTCCAAAATAAAAAACAAAAACAAAACAAGAAACAATACTTTTTGAGTACCCATCAGGTGATATATTCTACTAGGTGCCTTATGCATATTAATCACCAAATCTCTATGAGGAGGTTTTATTAACATCATCATTCCATTTCTGCAGATGAGGAAATGCATCTCTCACCAGGGGTAACACAGCTACAAAGTGGTCCAGGCAGGATTCAAAGCTGAGTGGTCTGGTCCTGAGTTTGTGATCTAAACCCATAGGCTGCGCTTCTTCCTTGGGTGGACATTGACTGTAAAGTTACCTGCATGTGGATTTCATAGGAGAGGAAGAAGGAAGAAATGCCAGTAAAAGGAAAATCAAGGAACGGTAAACAAACAAACAAAAAAACGGGGCCATCTTAATAAGCAGTAGGAGGTAGAATTGAGTGACAGGAACCAAACCCTCAGATGCCAGGAGGGGAAGTGGGTGAGTGAGGATGAGTTCCGGCTCTGCTGATCTGCACACACAGCGGACTCTCAAGACCTCTCCTGTCCTGAGATTTTCTTCTGAAGAACTCTGACCAAAGTCTGAGAAATCAAGACAGAAACCAATGGGCAACGTGTAGAGGTTCACCAGACCCAGCTTCTCAGACCATTGAGGACTTTGGGTTGGCATCTAATGGACAGTACACGGATCCCGAACTTCTTACACAGTAAAACCTTGTCCCACCCAAAGAGCCAGAGCACCCCACGGAGAAGGAAATTCTGCTTAGGATTATCTTGTTAGGGATCGTGTGACAAGGAGAAAGCATGTGGTGGCTGAAGTAGGAAATGCAAATGGTGCTGACAAGAGAAAACCTTCAGGCTGGTGACCCAGAAAAAGTTCGATGCAGAAAGATATTCAATACAGCCTTGTTTATCAACAGCCACAAATTGGAGGCAACCCAAATGCCTGACAACATGGAAGTAAATTATGATTAACCATCTTCATGAAAGTTTATGCAGCCATTTAAAGTGATGGACATGAAAACAATGTGGTGTCCTGGGAGATGTTGCTAATATAAAACTCTTTCAAAATATCAAAATTATTTGAAAGATCACATATACTCACACAGAAGAACTAAAAGAAAACAGAAAAATAAAACAGCCAGTTCCTTAGTGGCAGTCAGGCTACTGTTTCTTTTAAAAATAATTTGCTGGTATCATGTTCATTTAATTAATTTAGAAAAATCAAGGGATGCATTCTGCCCCTCTCCTTGTGAAAACAGTCAACAGGAAAGAAGCAGGAACAGGGAGAGGGTACCTCTGACTTGTTGCCTGGGTGCACAGCACTTGAAGGTAATTCCTGGAGGGCTATTCTGGAGCAGGTGTGGCACTCAAAGCAGATTCAGATCCAAGCTGGTAGGGTTTGGCAGTCAAGGTGTGGGATAAACCCAGGGGAGGGAGTGGCACATTTGTATAAAGAAGCTGGGCTATTCAAAGTTGAGGATCTCAACCTTGGCTTGCATATTAGAATAAACTAGAGAATGCTTGAAAGGCACTGACGCTTAGGCTTTGTCCCCAATCAGTTAAACCAATTGCTGGCGTGGCATTTCTAATAACATCCCCAGCTGACATTAATATACACCAAGGATGGAAGGCCAAGAATCCAAAGAGGCAGGAACAGTATTAGAAAGTATCCCAATGAGATTGGTGATTTGATAATTAAGGAAAATTAGGTCAGATCAAAGCACATCTTTTTTGTCTCAGGGTTAAAAGCATTTGGAACAATTTCCCTGTCCTTCCACTAAATTTTGTCTTGGTTCCTCCCAGAGTTCCAAACAGAACAGGTCACTGGTTAGTTGGCCCATAGGGGAAGACATTTTTTGCATCTGAATTTGGAGGCTGGGGTGGCCAAGAATATGAATATCATGCACTTCACTCAACAGTCACCGCTAGAGTCTTACTGTTCCTCTGAAGACCATCCCTTCTCATTGGTCAAGTGCCAAGATGAGCTACAATCTATGAGGCAGCTCTGCTCAGTTCTGACTAAATAAGATTTGGAAATTCTTTGTATTTGTGTCTCTGCCTCTTCGTTATGAGGCTAGATTCTAGCTCCTCAAAATACAGTAGTTAGACCAGCATCATCAACATCACCTGGGAGTAGAAATGGACCATGTCTTAACCCTAAGACAAAGAAGACAAGCTTTGTTCTGACCTAGTTTTCCTTTAGTATACCACTGCCAATCTGCTAAATCCAAATCTGTATTCTAACAGGATCTCGGGGTTTTCATATGCACACTAAATTTGGAGAAACACTGATGTAGACCAACACTATCCAATAAACCTTCTGCCATGATGGATATACGTTATATTTTCACACTTCAGTGCAGTAGCCACTGGCCACATCTGACCATTGAGCATTTCAAATGTGGCTCATGTGACTGAGGAACTGAATTTTAAACTTTATTTAATTATAATTGTATTAAATTTAAATAGCCAATATGGGTAATGGCTACCATATTGGCTCCAGATCTTTCTAAAATTTGGCTCCATTCTTACCTCCCCAGTGAACCACCTGCATTATGGTTGCTTGTCTTTCAAAATTAAAAAGTGAAAATACTGTCCTCTGTTTAGAGACTATAGACTCTTCAACTGGATGCAGAGTATGGAGCTATAGTATGAGAGGAGTGGTCTTTGTTCTCACTCTCCCGCACTTCCTTTTCACCCCAAATGAGTTCACCTTAAGCTTAGGCCAGCAAGACAGTACATAATTATGAATGTAAAACTCTATCTGAGGAAGTGAAGCAAAAATGTTTATATGAAGGAAAAGGGCATTTTAAAGAGCTTTAGAGATGAAGAATGATAATGTATTAAATCTTCTCTGTGTTCCAGAGAATAATATATATAAATTCCTTATATATATTATTTCATTTAATCCTCCCAATGAGAGCTCAGGGATTTTTGTCTTTTTGTTTCACTGATAACTCCCGAGGGCTGGCAACAGTGAGTGGCACATTGTAGGTGCTCAAGGACTACCATTGAATCTCATCCCCATTTTATAGATAATAAAGTTGAGGCAAACGGTGGTTAAGTAATTTGCTTGAGATTATAGAGTGGTAGAGCCAGGCTTGAAGACCCTATGGTGGGGGTTCCAGATTCCATCTTAGCCCCATGCATGAACAGCTAACTTATTTCACTACATTAATAAACAATGGCCCTGCTGCTTGTTTCTCTGAATTCATCTATGCTACCTGAGGCAGGGCAAAGTCTAGATATAAAGAAGCTTGATTTAAAAATAATTTGTCGAGTGCCAGCCATTTGCCCTGCTCCAGGAAAGCAATGGTGTAGAGCAGCAACTTTTCTTAGCCTTTAATGTGCTTAGGAATCTCCTGGGGATTTTGTTAAAATACAGATTCTGATTCAATAGATCTGCACTGAGGTCTGAGACCCTGCGTTTCTAACAAGCTTTCTGGTCCAAGAATTGCAGCTGGAAAGTGAATAGCACAGCCCTGCTCTCAGGAAGCTCACAGTCCAGGAGGGAAGCAGATGAAGGAATTCATGGTGAAATTGCAGAGTGGTAATTGCTTGGATAGGATACAGTGGGTTCTGTGGGGGATCATGGAGGAACAGCCAGATGGGGGAAGTGACATCCAAACCGAAACTTGAAACAGGGCTGGAGGAGAGACAGGTGAAGAGAGTAAGGGAAGCCTGGTCCAGGAAGAAGCAACAGCATAGACAAAGAATGGGAAGGTAAAACTAGGATGGGGCATCTGGGGACATGAAAACCGTCTTGACATCCTATCAAGAACCTGCTTCTCCTAAGGTAAACACTTTATCCAAAGGACAGCATATCGTATTTCAAACTTTGCCTTTTCTTGGCTGCAGGCTGGAGCCCAGTTCACCTGCAGACAAACAGCCTCCTCTGAATCCCATGCTCAAAGCACCGCTTGGTTCTCGTTTATATTTCTGATTTTCCTTTTGATGTCTGGAATCCTTTGCCCACTGCTCCTCAGCCCCATGCGATGCGCTGGCTTCCCTTGGAAGCCTAATGAGGCAGTTGCCATGGTAACCGGGTGACATCCCTGTAGCTGATGCTAATGCCATAGCTCCCTAAACCCCATGCCTCTTTCTTTCTGTTTGGTAAATTAATAACATTTAAATTAAACATATTAATTTCATGTCAATTAATTTGTATGTTAAGTTGCATGCCGGCTTCTGCCCCCCCGCCACCTCCCAACACCCATTAATTAACTCCAGCCAAATTAGGAGCACATCAGAGAAGGTTGCAATAGCTTCTAGCAAACTATAATTACAATACTGTGTTCCTACATAGAAAGTAATCAATGTCAAAATAATTGCTTTTCACAGGTCTACAGTCAGCTGTCTCATCATATAGTTAACTTACAGTTATAACCATTTACATATTAAAAAATAAAAAATGTAGCCAAAATATTGGAGGGACAAGCAGTGGCTGCCAATACAATGACTTGTGTTTAATGTTTCCCTTTTCTCAATCGATATTTTTGTTATTGTTTTCTTTGACATGCAGCATCTCTCTCTAAGGCTGGTGATGATGCCACCTACAACTTTGCCAGGCTGGTTTCAGGAATTGCAGTTTCCAAGAGGGTTAGTCATAGAGAAGAGTCATTGGGCATGCCAGTGGGTTTATCTGGTTCCAAATGAGCCAACTTTTGCCTTTCTTTATTCTGTCTTTGTAGAGATGGTGGGAAAACTGGTTCCTCCAAAAGAGATTATGTTCCCAGAATCTGCTCCTCACTGGTGAGGCATGCCTGCTGCCAAGCTTAGTGTGAGCCTTGCTAATCTTATTGGAGTAGCTTCTGTCCCCCCAAACTCTGCACAGCTTTTTAGCACTTAGTAGCCTCTTTCTTCAAGCTTTGGGGTGCAGCTCTTTATTTATGGTAAAAACTGGTGTCTGGGAAACTACGTAGGTGAGTGTTGCTGGCTCGTTTCTTCATTCTGGCAGGAAGTAGAGTTGATGGAAGGTTGATGGGTATGCACAGACTTCTACAAATGATCCAGCGTCATGCTTTTCAAATTGGGCGTGACAGAAACCTGCTCATATTGTAGCCTGAGATGTGATGCATTGTATCCTGGTAGATCCTGGAGCTCGAATTTGTCTACTATCTAATCACCTCCTCATGCATAACCAGCCAGCCAGCCGGATGTTAACAAAGTGCATTTCTATCACATACTCACCTCTGCGTTAGGCTCTGGGAATTGAGAGGGGAGCTAGGGAAGTCTGTCCACAGCCCAGCTGGGTTAGAGCTGAGACACGACCAGCTCCTATCTTTATCTTTTTTAAAAAATTCAAGATCAATACAGGTTTATCATTTCTGCTCTTCATTTATGAAGACCTCTTTTGACTTTTTACATTCCTTAAGGACATTTATCTCTCAATGTCAAATACGTCCATTGTAAAAGCTAGCTCCTGTCCATAGTTTCAAAAGGTTTGCCTTTAAATGTGAAAGAAAGATGATTTCCAATTTCATCCATGTCCCTACAAAGGACATGAACTCATCATTTTTTATGGCTGCATAGTATTCCATGGTGTATATGTGCCACATTTTCTTAATCCAGTCTATCATTGTTGGACATTTGGGTTGGTTCCAAGTCTTTGCTATTGTGAATAATGCCGCAATAAACATACTTGTGCATGTGTCTTTATAGCATCATGATTTATAGTCCTTTGGGTATATACCCAGTAATGGGATGGCTGGGTCAAATGGTATTTCTAATTCTAGATCCCTGAGGAATCGCCACACTGACTTCCACAATGGTTGAACTAGTTTACAGTCCCACCAACAGTGTAAAAGTGTTCCTGTTTCTCCACATCCTCTCCAGCACCTGTTGTTTCCTGACTTTTTAATGATTGCCATTCTAACTGGTGTGAGATGGTATCTCATTGTGGTTTTGATTTGCATTTCTCTGATGGCCAGTGATGATGAGCATTTTTTCATGTGTTTTTTGGCTGCATAAATGTCTTCTTTTGAGAAGTGTCTGTTCATGTCCTTCGCCCACTTTTTGATGGGGTTGTTTGTTTTTTTCTTGTAAATTTGTTTGAGTTCATTGTAGATTCTGGATATTAGCCCTTTGTCAGATGAGTAGGTTGTGAAAATTTTCTCCCATTTTGTAGGTTGCCTGTTCACTCTGATGGTAGTTTCTTTTGCTGTGCAGAAGCTCTTTAGTTTAATTAGATCCCATTTGTCAATTTTGTCTTTTGTTGCCATTGCTTTTGGTGTTTTGGACATGAAGTCCTTGCCCATGCCTATGTCCTGAATGGTAATGCCTAGGTTTTCTTCTAGGGTTTTTATGGTTTTAGGTCTAACGTTTAAGTCTTTAATCCATCTCGAATTGATTTTTGTATAAGGTGTAAGGAAGGGATCCAGTTTCAGCTTTCTACATACGGCTAGCCAGTTTTCCCAACACCATTTATTAAATAGGAAATCCTTTCCCCATTGCTTGTTTTTCTCAGGTTTGTCAAAGATCAGATAGTTGTAGATATGTGGCGTTATTTCTGAGGGCTCTGTTCTGTTGCATTGATCTATATCTCTGTTTTGGTACCAGTACCATGCTGTTTCGGTTACTGTAGCCTTGTAGTATAGTTTGAAGTCAGGTAGTGTGATGCCTCCAGCTTTGTTCTTTTGGCTTAGGATTGCCTTGGCAATGCAGGCTCTTTTTTGGTTCCATATGAACTTTAAAGTAGTTTTTTCCAATTCTTTGAAGAAAGTCATTGGTAGCTTTATGGGGATGGCATTGAATCTGTAAATTACCTTGGGCAGTATGGCCATTTTCACGATATTGATTCTTCCTACCCATGAGCATGGAATGTTCTTCCATTTGTTTGTATCCTCTTTTATTTCCTTGAGCAGTGGTTTGTAGTTCTCCTTGAAGAGGTCCTTCACATCCCTTGTAAGTTGGATTCCTAGGTATTTTATTCTCTTTGAAGCAATTGTGAATGGGAGTTCACTCATGATTTGGCTCTCTGTTTGTCTGTTGTTGGATGAAATTGGAAATCATCATTCTCAGTAAACTATCGCAAGAACAAAAAACCAAACACCGCATATTCTCACTCATAGGTGGGAATTGAACAGTGAGATCACATGGACACGGGAAGGGGAATATCACACTCTGGGGACTGTGGTGGGGTGGGGGGAGGGGGGAGAGATAGCATTGGGAGATACACCTAATGCTAGATGACGAGTTAGTGGGTGCAGCGCACCCGCATGGCACATGTATACATATGTAACTAACCCGCACAATGTGCACATGTACCCTAAAACATAAAGTATAATAAAAATAAATAAGTAAATGTGAAAGAAAGAGAAAAAATTGGCAATGTACACAGATACACACACACACACACACACACACACACACACACACACACACCAATCTATCCATTTCCCTCAAGTTACAACCTCTTTGCCAGCTTGGACAGATGGATGTTTATTAGCAGGGTAAAGAATTGCAAGAATGGAGGCTTCCACAAGTTACTAACGACTTAAGGACAGGGTGCTAAAATAAAATGACTTTGCAGGTTTTACAAGTATAAGGGGGAACTGCCTGTTTTATGTGCACAGGAAAATGGAATTTACACCTTCCCTTAAACCAGCAACTATGTCTCTTGACCCAGCAACTGCTGCACCATAGGCATTTAATGAATATTTATTTTAAGGTCATGAATTTCTTTATGTCTTTATACAAGCCTATAATCTGTTTTGTGCCCACGGTTTCTCCTGACTTGAAAATAGATGTAATACCGTCCTTCCTTAGAAGTTGGTTGAAGGGTCAATATAGGACATCCATGCACCACCAACCTGTAGTACTAATATTTGGAGATTTGACTGTTATTTACTTATAAGCTAGTTGCAATTAACAGGCATTTATTTCATATAGTGACTTTTGGAGGCACATGAAAAGGTATGTCCAAATACCATGTGAATATCAACAATTCAGACTTCAATAGGGACCCACATTAATATAATTATATACAAAAAATGATTAGTAGTACAGGCAGGATTCCCAGAACAAATAATTTTTGTTTCCTTCCCATGTCATAAGGATTCATGAGCTAATTCCTACAAATTGGCTAGCTACCCAGATGAAGGATGCTTGCTGAAGATGTTGCGGGCAACCAGCACTGATTTAATTCGTTGCTCCATGTAGACAGAGAATGGTTCTCCTTGTTATAGAAATGCTTGGGGAAGTTGTTGCTTTGGCCTTGTTGAATTTTCAAGGAAAATGAAAAGATATGTTTTAGGACATTCACCATTTCCTCCTATGAATGAGAGGCAGAAGCTTCCTGCTTTTATTCAGTTCTGTTGCTGGCTAGATTCTTGCCACAGGATTTGAAAATAATGGAGTTGGGTTGTCATGGCAACACATCCCACGTTGTAATTTTGATATTTTGACCAATTCTTTGACGCTACTTTTATCTCATGAATTGCTTAAAGTTTCTTGAGACTCTGCTTCAAGGGCAGGAGGATTGACAGCATTCGATTCAGATGAAGAAACAGGTATTCAGTTTGCTTTCCTTCCTGGACATTGTATGAAGTGGAATTCTGGAGTTTGTGTGCTTGAGAGAAAAACCCAAAGAAACTTGCTTTTCTTGTTAACAAAACCATCTTCATACCCTTAACAGCTGCCTGAATTGCTGGGACAAACTGTTTTTTGCCCAAACAAAATAATTCCCCAAATTGGTAACTTGAATGTTACGTCTGGATGGCTGGCTGGCTGTTAAAAGATCATCCATACCCTCTCTTCTCTTCCTTCCCCAAACTTGGTACTTCTGCTGGGGTCTCCCCACCAACCTCAGAAAACAACTTCCCATCCCCTGGCTACCCAATTCTTCTTGGACTCCTCCCTTCTGATCTGTTTAATGGGTCAGGGAACCCAATTATTTCTCATAACAATAAGCAACACTTGCTGTTTGCTTTGTGTTAGACACTGTTCTAAGTGCATTACATGCATTAACAAACTTAACTTTGACATCAACCAACACTGTGAGGTCGGTAGCATTCCTTGTTATCTTCAAGATACAGACAGGAAAACTGAGGCATCAGAAGGTAGAATTACTTGCTCCAGGTCACATGAACAGGGATGGCAGAGTTAGAGTTCCAATCCAGATTGGCTGGCCCCAGAGCCTGTGCCCTTAACCACTGTACCCTGCAGCCTATCTCAGAGCCTTCTCCTTACCTGTAGAATCCACCAACCTCTGTCTGTCCCAACACCTCTGCTTTGACCTAGACCTCTATTGTCTCTTGCTGAAATGACTGCAGCAGGTTCCTGACTTTTTCCTCTCTCTCAGTCTGGTGTTTCCCATCCATTCTGCATGCAGCTACCAGAGTGATTGTTCTGAATTTCCAACATAGTTACACCCCTCCCATCCTGGCTCAGCTCTTCCAATGGACTGTCAATGCCTTCAAGGGTGTATTCTACCTCCTTAACGTGTGTAACTCCTGTGTGTTCTGACCCCTGCTTAAAATGATAATGAAAATCACTATGATCTTGGTAATGATGAGAGCTGGCATTACTAAGCATACACTAAGTGCCAGAGGTACTGCAGGAATCATTTCATTACATTCTCCCAACATCCCTGATTGAGGCTGGAGAGGCTTCAGATGATGGCAGTGTGAGTCCAGGCCCTGGACTCTTCACCAGCGACCCTGATTCCTGTGCCCTCTGCACCCTGGTCTTACTGAGCAACTTGCAGGGTCAAGCATTTTCTCACCTCTGGGCCTCTGCCCTGCTCCTCTGTCTGCCTAACCCTGTACTTGGCACAAAAAGACATTTGTTGAAGGAATGGAAGAACTTCACAGAAGATGCCACATTGTTTGGAATCCTTTTCTGCTACTAATGCAGCAGACAAGAATCAAACCCAGTAAAACCAGGCAAAGCCAAAGGAGAAGCCAGTGATGAGGAAGTTTGACAGCCAGCATGACCTGAGAGGAGGAGAGAAACCAGGGTGGGCAAGGATAGCACTCAGGAGCCACAAGTGAGCAATTTGGTTTTGTCTCCAGTTGGAGAGGTGACACTAGAAATAGACAGCAAAGTGACTGGCAAGGTCAGAGTCAAACGAGGAGGCTCTGAATGCCACAGTCATGGCATGGGGGCTGCTGAGGTTCCTGGAGACAGTAAGGCAGCATCATTGATACTGAGAACTTTCTTCCTTCCCACTTATTGAATCTCAGACATTGCCGTCTCCTGGCTGCGCAAGTGCCAAGCTATACCCTAGGGACAGGGCTGCAAGCACAGGCTTTTGCAAAACCTTGCTTAAGAACTTGTGACTTTATTTTGTAAGCTATGTTCAGCCACTGGAAGGTTATTGAAAGTGAGGAAGGTGTGCTCACTCCTTCTTATCTTGCTGCTTCTTAGGAATGGGACAGAAATGAAACCTTTGGAGCCACACAAGGCTCCCCAATCTATGGTGAAGTTTAAGTGTTTGCCCAATTACTGCAGCCACTACAAAACTTCTAGAAGCCCATGTCAAGCAAAGCAAGTGAAATGGGAATCGAATCTTTTCCTAGAAAAACAGGTTCTCTCCACTTCTTCCATCCTCAAACACATGCAAAGGAGGCTCAGAATTTGTAAAGGGAAGGAAACCTGGGAAGCAGCATTTAATTCTGTGTTAATCCAGTCCATGCTTCCCTGGAGCTGAGACCAGCAGACTGGCACATCTTCCAGGCAAGACAGGACAGTCAAAGGGAATGTATGTGGAAACGTCTAGCCTGGAACAATGTTGGGCGCAGCAAGGCTGTTGTGCCTTTGATTGCTGAACTGAGTTATTACCTATACTAAGAATGTCATCTAAATGTAAATCTCCGCTATGGGTAATAGATAAATGTTCCTTTTTACCTTGATTTTTCAAACAGCCTGTATCAGGTGGCTATACATAATGGCAAATCTAGACCTGGATCCATACCACAAAAGAAAAAGAAGTGTTCATTATCACAGCCAATTTAGATGTAGGAGGATACAAGCTGGTGTTTCCTTTTAGCTGTTTTTTTTTTCTGTGCCTTTGCAAAGACTTTGCAAGGGTCTCCAGGAGACATCCTCCGGTGAGGCTGTTTACAAGAGTCCTGTTTGGCCAGGGCAGAATTGGTTAATTTTAATATTGCATCATTAAGGGAAGTGATTTCTTTTTCATGGGGCCAAATTGGATTAATTATATGCACACAGTATATATTTAACAAATGGCATAATTCAAAGGTGTCGAGCTGGGTCACGCACAATTTAGTTCTTTGTTTTTCAAGTGAACAAGGCGTTTGCCATTTGCACCCTCAATTAAATGTGCTAGGTTTGAAAATTCTAGTGGCCATTAATGTTCCTTGATGGGCTTCAGTGCATTTATGATCTCCCCCACTAGATTATACACATAGTGCAACAGATGACCACAGGCAGAGTTAAAACATAACCAGAAGAGAGAGTTCATGGTTCGTTGGGTGCACTTAGTGCCTGATCAGAATGCAAAGCACCATCAATCCAATCCAATGATTCCTTGATTATCAGTGGGCTCTGTGTAATCAAGGAATGAGGCCTGGCTCAGCTGCCCTTTCTTCACTCGGTAAAGACTGGTGGGAAGTATTGAGCCCTGAAGGCAGAGGTGGCTTCCGAGGAACTGCAGAGAGCTCTTAGTGGGCCGCTTGCAGTGATGGGGGAAGATTCTGCGCTCCCAGCCTGGCAGAGGCAGCATGATAAAACTCTCATTTGATGTGATTCCAGGTGAGAGGTGACAAAAAGGCAGCATTCCTCAGTTTGGCATTCCCTTTTCCCAACACAAAACAGCAAAAGAAGGTGTCTTCTTTTGTTCATTCTATAGCAACATCGGGAGGCATAGCCTCATTGTCCTGTCAGGTCTCACCAGAACTTAACCTGGTAGGAAGGGCAGATAGGCAGATTAATCCACTACAATGTGACGGGGAGATCCGTGGTTGCCGCAGTGGAATTGCGTTGTGATTGACAAAAAATTGCAGTAGATACCAGTTGAGGATGTACGATTTCTCTAGTGGTGAAGGCTCCAGTTTTATAAAACAGGAAATAACAGTGTTCCTAGATGGAGAGAAGGCTTCCCAGAGTCCCCAGATAACCCCTGGGGACATATAGCTAAAGATGAATCACCTGCCTAAAGCAAGCATTTGCCCAGGTGTGAGAAGTTTCTTTTGCCTTTTTTTCTTCTTTTTTTTTTTTTCTGAGACAGGTCCTCATTCTGTCTCCCAGGCTGGAGTGCAGTTGTGTGATCTCAGTTCACTGCAACCTCTGCCTCCTGGGCTCAAGCAATCCTCCCAGATCCTCCCACCTCAGCCCCTCAAGTAGCTGGGACTACAGGCATGAGTCACCAAGCCTGGATAATTTTTGTATTTTTTTTTTTTGTAGAGATGGGGTTTCCCATGTTGCTCAGGCTGGTCTTGAATTCCTGACCTCAGGTGATCTGCCCGCCTCGGCCTCCCAAAGTGCTGGGATTACAGGTGTGAGCCACCATACCTTGCCTGTTTTGCCATTCCTGTAGGGGTTTTTGGATTCTGTTATCTCCCTACTCCCTCAACTAGAGTTTCTGGTTATATGTCTGCCCACTCTTCAATTGCAAATGTCTTTTAAGAAAAAAAGAAGTCTTCAATATATTTATTGTGAGGTGGAGAAAATCATTTCCTAGGATTATCCCTTGGCAGGCTCAGGCTTCAGGCTGAGGTAAATACAAAGGTCTTAGGAAATGAGAGAGTCTGAAAAGGCTTTATAGAGGAGGTATCATTTGAGCTGGGTTTTGAAGCATGAAGAGAAGTTTTCTAGGCAAACTGTGGAAGGCAGGAGCATCCCTGGCAGGGGGAACAGCACATGCAAAAGAGAGGAGGCACAAAAGTGCACCTTTTGAACAGGCTGGAGTTTCTCATGGTAGCTGAGGAAGCTGAGCTGAGCAAGGAGGTTTCTCTTCCAACATGGCCCAAGACATGTGGGGACTTCAGCAGTTTTGGGTGGGAGGAAGGAGGCTGGGATGGGTAAGACCTTTATTGGGAGATGCTAACTCAGTTCTGGAGGCCAAATCATGTGGCTGTTCAGGCTTCGTTTAATTCAGGCAATGCCTCAGTGAGGGGAATGTCTTCATGTTCTGCACAGGCCGGGTGAAGGTGTTATTCCATGGTTGGGCAGGACCCTTTCCACAAATTAACCTAAAATTTGCATGTTGAACTCTTTTTGAGAAAATTATAAATGTTGCAGAAAATTTAGAAAGTGCAATAAAATAGGCACATTGGCTTGTCCATGTAGCCCCAGCTACTCAGGGGACTGAGGCAGGAGGATCACTTGATCCCAGGAGTATGAGGCTGCAGTGAGCTATGATTGCACCTGCACTCCAGCCTGGATGACAGAGTGAGACTCTGTCAAACAGAATGGAAAGTAGAATAGAATAGGAGTAAAACAGGTATTTAAATCACCTAGAACCCGATCATCTAGGGAGAATTACTGGTAATCTTTGGAGTCTATTTATTTATTTATTATTATTATTATCATTATTATTTTGAGATGGAGTCTCGCTCTGTCGCCCAGGCTGGAGTGCAGTGGTGCAATCTCGGCTCACTGCAACCTCCGCCTCCCAGGTTCAAGCAATTCTCCTGCCTCAGCCTCCCGAGTAGCTGGGATTACAGGCGTGCACCACCACGCCCAGCTAATTTTTGTATTTTTAGTAGAGACGGGGTTTCACTGTATTGGTCAGGCTGGTCTCAAACTCCTGACCTTGTGATCTGCCCGCCTCAGCCTCCCAAAGTGCTGGGATTACAGGCATGAGCCACTGCACCCAGCTGGAGTCTATTTATATACACACATTTTCTGAACAAAAATGGGATCACATAGGGTGGGATTATTTTATAGCCCACTTTTTCCACTGAATACATCATAGACCTCTCTCCATGCCAGTAAATACAGTTCTACAATACTAGTTTTAATGGCTACATGGCAGTTCCTTGTTAAGATGCATGATCATTTATTTATCCAGCTGCCTATTGCTAGACATTCCATTTGCATGACAGGCTGCCCTCTCCGTTTGCCCTTACTCAAAGTGTTTGCCTCTTACCTCTCTAAATTCACCTAAAGCTATCCCCTACCAGTGTAGAAACAGCATTTCTGATGCTTTCGTATAAAGCGGAGAAATCTCTGCACTGACTCTTGTCTGAAGCTATTCTTCCTTTCTGTTGATTCTGTCTTACCTCCCTTGTTGGTCAGTGGAGGAATAGGGACCAAATTTAGAACCCTGAGTCCTGATGTGCACAGCCCAGCTCCTCAGGCAGCAGCTATCGTGTGGCTTGCGGGGAGAAAGAACCTTTGATTTAGAAGTATCTGTTCCTCTCCTCCAGCTGTTTTCAAGAACTCCAGCACAGAAGCAGCTGTCAGCATGTCACAGTAAATTTGGCTTGGTGGCAGCCTGGTCACAAATAAGCTGCCTACATCATGAAGAAATGGGGTTCAATTAAGCCTCTGAAGTCTCCCAGCCGTGCTGCCTGAGTTGGTTTCTTCATTTGTGTCCACACCCTGCAGACTTTGGCTGAGTAGAATAGTGTTTCTGCACCAGTGGGTTTGTTTAGGCTGCTCTCTAATGGGCCCATGCTTTACTAAAAGCCTAGGACGCATTGCTTGCCTGCACTGGTGCATATGTAGAACCCTGAAAGCTTTGGGTTTTAGGGGGTGAGAGGCTGGCTACCTGCAAAGCTTAAGGAAGGGATTAAATTCACTCAACCACCCACCTGTCCATCCATCCATCTGTCCACCCATCTATTCATCCATTCATCCATCCATCCACTTATTTATTTGTTCAGTAAGGTTTGTTGGGCACCTCCTATATGCCAGGCTCTGTTTTAGGCACCTAGGACCCTCAGTGAACAAAAGTGACAAGCAATACTCTATGAGCACAAGTAAGTTACATAGTATTTAGAAGGTACTAAAGGATATGAGTAAAGCAGAGCAGGAAAGGGATCTGGGGGTCTGGGTGGGGCAGGTGCAGTTGTGATTTTAAGTAGGGTGGTGAGGTCAGACATCATTGAGAAGTTAACCCTTGAGGGATGATTCGGAGAGTGAAGAAGTTAGCCATATGGTTCTCTGGAGGGAGAAAGTTGCAGACAAAGGGAGCCCCCAGGTCAAAGGCCTTATGCAGGAACATCCTGCACATTTAAAGGACAGCACCTGGGACAGGTGACCTCAGAAGAATAAGCCTGGGGGAGAGCAAAAGGAAATGAGGTCTGAGGGCAGGGCTCCAGGTTGCCCTCCTTTTCAATATACCTTTCACTGTAGGACTGCAATTGGGTCATGAAAGTGGGATGCTGGGAGCTGAGCGACAACCATAGACACCAGTGCCTTCCTCCCTGGGCTCCACTGAAGAGAGTCCTCGGGAGGGGTGCAGGGTCTCTGCCTTTCAAAGGACACAGGAAACCTTGCCTTAGGTCATACCTGTGATGAAGCTGCAGGGGGTTCAGGAATCCATGGAAGCAGTGCAAAGCGAAGCATGGAGTTGAAAATGAGATAAATAGATTTGGGTGTGAATCCGTTTTTCCAATTCCCTTTACAAATAACTCACTCTCTAAGCTTCAGTTTCACCTCTGTAAAAGTAGGGATTAAAGGCCAGGCGCAGTGGCTCATGCCTGTAATCCCAGCACTTTGGGAGGCTGAGGCAGGTGGATCATGAGGTCAGGAGATTGAGACCATCCTGGCCAACAAGGTGAAATGCCATTTCTACTAAAAATACACACACAAAAAATTAGCTGGGCATGGTGGTGTGTGCCTGTAATCCCAGCTACTCGGGAGGCTAAGGCAAGAGAATCACTTGAACCAGGGAGTAGGAGGTTGCAGTGAGCCAAGATCGTGCCACTGCACTCCAGCCTGGCGTCAGAGTGAGACTCTGTCTCAAAAAAAAAAAAAAAAAAAGTAGGAATTAAAGTAATAGCTATTTGAGAACAACGTATCTAACCCTGAAATTAAGTTGCCTGCTTCCAGACAAGATGGTAAATTGCAGAGCCAAGACTTCCACTCTCTACGTCTGCCTCCACGGTCTCCCTATGAGCTGCCCTCTTATCAAGGCATACAGCAAGGACCAAGTCAACCAATAAAGTGTTTGAAAGAGGCTGGCAAATTGTCAAGTGCTGTATCGATGCACTTTGTCATTGTTATTAAAGATGGGACTTGGGGTTAAGTTCTGAGACGACCCTAACATCTAGCAATGCAAGATTGTCCACATGAGTCGGCAGTGGGCTTTGAGTGACAGCTGAAAATTCTGCTGCTGAAGGTCACGGTAGAGCTTGGCAGGGCTGAGCATGGTTAATAGATTTGATCATCATGTTTTATATTTAAAACTTTTATTTACACAGTATAGTTTAGCAATCGCTGCTGCCTGAGCATTTTACTAATTGATTTATGTTAACTTCCATGCATGCTGTTGATCAATATAAACAGCCTTGTAGTGTTGCATCCTTGGAGATTTAGAGAAAACCCTGACATTCATGCACTCAGTATGCTGGGCGACCTCTCCAGCCCTCTTCCACAGGGGAAAGGAGCACAGATAACTGTGGATTATCTAGATTTTTCTACATTGCCATGTGTGCCTGTTTCCAATCAATTCCAATAGACAAGCTTGTACAGCAAATCTTTTTTAACATCAAATTGCTAGCAACGATACTGACATGCATATCACCCTTAGGCTGGGGATTTTTATGAAAACGTTAGATAAATCTTACTTGGGTAATAAATTCATCTGGCTGAACTTGGTGGAAAAGGATGTGTGTGTGCACGTGTGTGTGTGTGCACGTGTGTGTGTGTGCACGTGTGTGTGTGAGAGAGAGAGAGACAGAGAGAGAGAGGTTTTTTTTCTGCTTGTGATATTTTTAACTGGAGGGATTTCATGTTTACCTGGCTCAGGCAATAAACCCAACCTGGGTGACTCATTTCCACCAAATGTGAGCACCCTAAAATAGCATTTACATCTGACCTTTTCAGTTTGAAAACAGCTGACTCTGTAACAGGAAATTGAAGCTTCTCGGGGAGAAAAGGCCAGGCTGAATTAGGTGGAAGGAGTCAGTATGGGAGCCTTCAGATCTCCCGTGTATGTGGCCAGGAGTGCTGTGGGAGGTCAGCGGGGGATGGAGGGGATTCCTTCCATTAGACTCGAATAGGCTTAAAAGCCTGAGCAACTTTCCTAAGGGTCTTTAAGAAAGCCTTGCTAGGCTGGGCACGGTGGCTCATGCCTGTAATTCCAGCACTTTGGGAGGCCAAGGCAGGCAGATCACCTGAGGTCAGGAGTTTGAGACCAGCCTGACCAACATGGTGAAACCCCATCTCTACTAGAAATACAAAAATTAGCCAGGCATGGTGGCGCCCGCCTGTAATCCCAGCTACTCAGGCTGGGGCTGAGGCAGGAGAATCACTTGAACTCGGGAGGCGGAGGTTGCGGTGAGCCGAGATCGCACCACTGCACTCTAGCCTGGGAGACAGAGCGAGACTTCATCTCAAAAAAATTAAAATAAAATAAAATTAAATTAAATTAAAATAAAATAAAATAAAATAGAAAAGAAAGCTTTGCTATTCTTGTTCACTTTGGAAAACCAATATTTTCCTGAGCTATTAGGAGTTAATATAATAGATATAAACATTAAATTACATTTTTAAAGTACAGAGAGAAGCCATTTTTTACCTTTAAAATAATTTTTATTTTAACCAAGTAATGCACATGTATAGTTTCAACATCAAATAATGGTGAAAGGCTTCTGACGGAAAACAGCAGTGCCCCATTCGCTTGGCAGCTTCACTTTGCTCCTCAGAAGCAACCACCGCTGAATTCTTTTAGCTGTTTCTTCTGGCATTTTCTCCAATATTTTCAAATCACATCAGTGTATTATTTCATGAATGATCAATTTTGAACAATGTCTGTTGCTTTCATATTATACCTAGGTGAGGACTTCTGACTTTCTTACACCCCTCTTTCTTTTCTCCTTATACCCCAGTAGTATAATTCCACGTTTTGTTGTAATTACTATTGTTTCCATTATTATGACTATGCAGATATTGTTTACTTCTAAGCCAGGGAATGTACTATGATTATACCTTTATGATTTTATTTCCTTTCTTCTCAACTTACTTATAAAATCTTCATTTTCCCATTTCCTGGATTTATTTCAAGTCTTTATCTTAGTTTTCTTGTATTCTCCAATAGCTGTATAGAATGCTCCTCAATGCAATTTTTCAACTCAGCCAAACCTGTCAGATAACCTACCAGTTTTATTTATTTTTTCTCCTTGATTTCTCTCTCCTGGAGCCCTCCCTTATGCTCCCTTTTGGCTTGGTTCTTCTCTAAGACTGCTGAACAGATTTTATCCTGGGGTCTCTCTTCCATTATCCTGGAATTCCCTTTACCTTTCTCCTGTGCTAGATTCCCTATTTCTTTCATCCAAAGTCTTCTTTTTCAGTAGTTACTTCCCCATGTTAGTGGACCTCCTTCCCTTGTAGTTTCCTACAGAGTACTAGAGAATTAACTTCTTGTATGACTTTGCATGTCTGAAAATGTCTTATTTCACCCACACCCCAATGGATAGTTTGGCTGGGTATAGAATCTTTCTCTTACAATTCTGAAGGTATTGTTTAATTTTTTTCTGGCTTCTGGTTGTTGAAAAGTCCAGTTCCGTACTGTTACCTGATCCTTTGTGACATTCCTCTCTGAATGCTTTTAGGATCTTCTCTATCTGTGATTCTAGAATAATTTCATTATGATGGGTCTTAGTGTGGGTTGGGCTTATGTCTGGTACTGGGAAATTTTAAAATGTTTTTTCTTTGTCTACTACTTATTGTTTTCTCTGTTCTCTCTCTCTGGAAATCTCTTAGTCAACTGTAGGACCTCCTGGATTGACCTAATTTTCTTTTTTTTTCTCTTCAGTTTTTTTTCCCTTTTGGGAAATTTCCTCAGCATAAATTTCTACTCCTTTTACAGAACCTGCTGCTCTTGATTCCAGAACCTTCTAGTTTATTTCTTTGGAAAATATACCCCCATCTACTATAAGTGTAGAGGAGAGGGAAGTCACTTCCTATGCTGGGTTACAGGAGGGCAAGAATACTATGAGTCCAACAGCTTCTCATCCAGACCTGTAGAACATTCTCCCTGCTTTCAGCCCTCATCTTAGTCTCAGCTACCTCTGTACCTGGTACTTCAAGTTCCTGAGCAGGTCTAGGGTTCCCAGGGCAAATTGGCTTGCTTTTCCATATTGTCTCCCTCTGCCAGAACTTAAATTTAACTTTCTTCTGCTCACTCAATCTATTTTATCACTTCATATATTGTGGGTTAGTGATACAGATGGCATCTAGTTTCACCCAAATTGTACTTGGGTTTCTTTTTTTTCCCTCCTATTTGTTGTGAATTGATTTTTTAGAGTAGAAGGGGACAGATATTTCTTCATTTTGCCATCTTGGAACTGGAAGTCAAGCTGTCTATTTAAAGGGTTTCTCAAGCTACTCCTTTGTATAGTAAAGTAAAAGATCATTTGATGTATCATCTTTCCAAAACTTTTGCATGTTACTGAATACTAGCAGTGAATGAAATCAGTGTTTCTGCTTACGTACCTGGCCTTAATTATCTCTTGTCATAATGATCATTATTAACTTAAACATTTTTTTCTTATTGTGGTAAAATATACAAAACATAAAATTTACCATTTTAACCATTTTTAAGTGTACAGAATGGAATTAAGCACATTTACATTGTTGTGCAACCATCATCTCTGTAACCTTTTTATCTTCTCAAATTGAAACTTGGTACCAACTAAACTCCTTCAATCCCCACCCAGTCCTTGGCAATTACCATTCTACTTCTGTCTCAATAAATTTGACTACTTTAGGTACTTTATATATGTGGAATCGTACTATATCTGTCCTTTTGTATCTAGCTTATTTCACTTAACATAACGTCTTTAAGGTTCATCTGTGTCGTAGCGTGTGTCAGAATTTCCTTCCTTTTTAAGGCTGAATGATATTCCATTGTATATATAGACCAATTATGCTTGTATATATAGACCAATTTTACTTATCCATTAATCTGTTGATGGACACTGGGTTATTCCAGCCTTTTGGCTGTTGTGAATAATTATGCCGTAAACGTGGGTGTACAAATATCTGAATCCCTTATTTCAGTTATTTTGGGTATGTACCCAGAAGTGGAATTGCTGGATCAAATGGTAATTCAATTTTTATTTTTATTTTTTTGAGGAACTGTCGTACTGTTTTCCATAGAGGCTATACTATCTTACATTTCTACCAGCAAAGCAAAACTGTCTCAATTTCTCTATACCCTCTCCAACACTTGTTATTTTCTGTTTTTTTTTTAATTAAATATAACAACCAGTCCAATGAGTATGAACGTAATAGACTTTTCAAAGGTATGTGCTTACTTTTATGGAGTATTAGGTGAAGTACTGTGCATGCGTTATCCTCTTTAATCCTCACATCAACTCGGAGGGAGGTGCTATTTCATATGTAACATATCCCCATGTTACATATGAAAAGCTGATGTCCAAAAAGGTTCAGTGACTTGTCTGGGTTGATAAAGGGACTAAGAGGCAGAGCCAGTGTTCCAATTATATATCAGTGTATAACAGAGCACTCAAGCCCTAGGGGCTGAGAAACAACAATGTATTGTTAGCTTGGACAGTTCTGTGGGTTGACTGGGCTCAGCTGGGCCATTCTCCCTTGTGTCTCTCATGCAGTTGGACCAGATGGTGGCTAGGTCTAAAGTCAACTGAAGACTTTACTGGGATAAACACTCAAATGGCTTCTTCAATCATGTTTGCCTTCTCTGTGCTTCTCCATGTGATCTCTCTCTCTCTCTCCCTCCTCCAAGATTGAGTCTCCATCTGACTCCAGAACCTGCTTGCCTAATCACCCACCAATACTGTGTTTCTGTTGGTTTATCTTTATTTTTGGGGTCATCAAAGTCTAAAGTAGAATCATTAGGGATCACCTAGTTCAGTGGCTTTTAGAATCATTTTCTAAAAAAAGAAAAAGTCGAACCCTTTCCTCAAATGATAATTTACCAGGCATTTAAGAGTACAGTGAGTAAATTAAAGACACAGGGTATGGAAACTCACTGTTCCGCCCCCCACCAAGCCATGTGACTTTGAACAAGTTATTTAACCTTGATATGCTCTATATTCTACTCTGTAAAATGGAAATATTTCCAATAATAATACCTACTATGGGATACTGATGAAGAGCGGATGAATTAATATATATAAATAAGTGCTAAGAAGAATGACTAGCATGTTGTAAGGACTCAATGAATGAAGCTTTATTATTATTATTATTATCATTAAGAGTGGTAAGTAATATGAGATAAACCAGGCAATTTTCTAAAATGGGAATTGGTAAATGAGACTCCTCTCTCGCCATTAACTGTGTAGCCACTCTAGTAGATGAATGTGCTTTCAACTTACAGCTAAGGCAATGTCATGGAGTAAGGATACCTGCAAATTCTTTGCAACTCCTCCTGCTGAGAGGTAATTCTCTTCTCCCTGAATCTGTTGTACCTTTAGTGACTTTCTTGACAATAAGATGTGACAGAAATGATGTTATGAGATTTCTGAGGCTAAGTCAGAAGAAGCCTTTCAGCTTCTGCCGGGGTAGATCAGACCACATACTCTGGGGAAAACCAGTAGCCATATAAAAACGCCATCTACCCCAAGACCACTATGCTATGAGAACCCTGAGCCACTCAGGGAGGTCGTAGAGGATGAGATGCAATGTGAAAAGAGAGAGGCCAAGGAGCCCCAAGGGGCCAGTTACACAGATGCCAAAGCCATCTTGGAAGTAGATCTTCCAGCCTCAGCCACCTCAGCTGAGACCACTTGGATCAGAGATGAACTGCCCAGAAGAGCCCTTCCTGAATTCCAGACTCACAAAATCAGGACCCAAATGAAAGTGTTGCTTTCAGCCACTAAGTGTTGGGGTAATTTGCAACACAGGCATGGAACAGGAAATGTATCCAGTGGCTTCAGTATATACCTGGAGAGGCATTGGTCTAGCAAAAAGAGGCAACTCACCAGCATCATCCATCAAGGACAGTGTGGTGTGAGAGTTAAAACTAGGGACTCTGAACTCAATTGACTTTGCTCAAATCCAAGCTCTGTCATTTGCTAATGGAGAAAGATTTCTAACCTTAAATTCCATAACCCAATTGTAAGGATCAAATGAATATTATATTTGCAAGTCACTTAGAGCAGTGACTGGTCCATAGTAAATATCTACAATTATTATTATCAATGATAACTGACAGCAGATTCTGAATCAGAATCCATGTTCCCTGTTTCCAATTTGATGGATTCTCAGGGAGCCAGCCCATGGTGGGGTGTGTATATGTGTGAAGTTAGAGACTTTGTTACTTCCTAGTTTGCATTTCCTCAGGCAAGTTGCAAGTTGCTTATTACTGAGCCTTAGTTTCCTCATCTGTAAAATGGGATTAATAATAGTAGGGTTGTCATTGGACAGGTGAACTATGATAATTGTGTAAAGGACTTAACATAGTACCTATAAAATGGTAAACATTCCACAATGGATAACCATTACTCCTGTACTACCACTACAGCTACTAAGAGTTCTATTTCCACAATGCTATTATTTTCCTACACACAAATAAGTGTGATATATAACTGTGAGAAAAGCCAGGAAAACGTACAATTGAAAGAGAGCTTGGAAGTTTTACCTCATAGTGCAGAGAACAGACAAGGTCCATTTGCTATGAAAATCCTGCTTCTAGAGGAGCACTTTTAAATGTAAATTCTCCAAAAAATTACCTTTAATCATCTAGTTGGAAATCACCGGCAGTTTGATAAAAAATTTAATAGGAATCATGGATGGTGGGTTCACCTAATGATGACTGAAGCAACAGCATCTGTTGCAGATTCACTGAGAATCATTTTCAATATGACACACTCTCTCTCACCAAATGAAAAATTAATTTAAAATCCTAATCCCAGATGCAGCCAGAACTAATATTCTTGGAGCCAAAAATAGGAAAAATACATCTGAAGATTGGTCAGGGGATGGTGCTTTTGTGGTTTTATATCCATATCTGTTCAAAATTTAGGCAGGAATAGGTACATACATATATATATAAATTTATTACCAGAGCAAAGCAAAACCAAAAATAAAAACATAAGAAGAAAGATGAAAGAAGCCCAAGGGTGTATGTGTACTGTCCAAATACACTCCAACATCCCATCTTGTTTGCTGGCTTTTGACACAAAACAGGTCATTTTTCCTCCCGCATAGAACTTGCTTGCAGAGATCATTGGAGAGAGCTACATGGATCAGACCCATGAGTGAACTCTCAGACAGTCCCTGCACTCTCATGACCCTGAATGGTGGGGGTTTATTGAGCAGGATGGAGGCATACAGTGTCCAGGACCAGGCATGCCCTCTTCCTTACCTGCACTCAGTGAGTTTCTCAGGAAGAGGTTATGATCAGGGTCCAGGGACTTGGCTCTTGCTTCTCTCAAGGTCATCTGGCAGCAGGCCCTGTGTTTCCCGATTGGAGTCTCTGAATTGCCCAATTAACTCCTGAACAAACATTACCCAAGGAAGACATTTTGGCAGAATTTTCATCCCTATCAGGGAGGGACAATCGGAAGGCAATCCTGTAATCTTATGGGGTACACCTGGTTGGGGGTTAGGGTGCCTGGGGCACCTTATGAGCCTTTTGAACCAAAGTCTTCTCTGTCCAGTGGGTCCACTTTATTTATTCCTTTGTCTGTCCACCCATCTGTCCATCTGTGCATTCGTTCATCCTTCCATCCACCTGTCATCCATCCATCCATCCATTTGGGCATCGATCCATTTTAAACTCTTTGTTTAGAAGCGGAACTAGTGGAACTGTTAACTGAATCCTGGTGCTCTTCACTGGTAGAAATAGGGATGGGAAGGGTGTCCACACCCCCTCTCGGTTCCTGTTGCTGGCTTCTGAAGCTTCTTCACAGGATCCTAAGCTCTAATGAGCACATCTCTTTGACAACCACTAATCTCAGCCATATGCTTAATCTTCAATATTTACTCCTCATTTTATTCCCAAATATTGATCTGGGTCCTCCTTGACCTCTTGCCTGGACACCCAGGAGCCCATGGAACAGCACCCCCTGGAAGTTTCCACAGGCTGCTCGAACAGCACTTCAAAAGGGAACTTATCAGACTCCAACCTCACTCCAAACAAACAACCCTTCTTCTACCTTAATGGCACCACTGCTCGCCTGGTTGCCCAAGCTGCTTGCAGTACTTCTGCTGCTTAGAAAGAAAAAGTTTAGTCCGGGCATGGCGGCTCAGCCTGTAATTCCAGCACTTTGGGAGGCCAGGGTGGGCGGACCACTTGAGGTCAGGAGCTTGAGACCAGCCTGGCCAACATGGTGAAACCCCGTCTCTACTAAAAATACAAAAATTAGCTGGGTGTGGTGGCACACACCTGTAATCCCAGCTACTTGGGAGGCTGAAGCAAGAGAATCACTTGAGCACGGGAGGTGGAGGTTGCAGTGAGCTGAGATCACACCACTGCACTCCAGCCTGGGTGACAGAGTGAGACTCGGGAAAAAGAAAAAAGAAAAAAAAAAATAAAGAAAGAAGGAAGGAAAGAAAGAAAGAACAAAGGAGTTTAAAACCATCAAACTGGAAGCTCCATGAAGGGACACAGAATTCAGGTTCAGTGTGATTCTATTTAATAGAGATCTGGGCATCTCTCTGACCCAGTGGCTAAGGGTTTAGGTCTGGAGCCAACTCTTCCACTCTCCAGCTGTGTGATCTGGACAAATTACTTAACCTCTCTCTGCCTCATTTTTCTCTATCACAAAGGTGGGAAAGTACCTACCTTGTTGAGTTTTTTGAGAATTAAATGGCATCATATTTGCAAACCTTTAGCATAATAATACCCAGCATGGAGGAATTCTCATCAATTCCCAATCAACAATTCTGGCCAAATGTATCTCAATATTTCTTAAACCCATCTCCTCTTCTCCATGCCTACCATCCTGCCCTAATTCAGGCCTCCATACTTTCCTGATTGGACTATTTTAAGAGCATTCTGCTGTTACAGCAACCAAACTAATGTCTCTAAAATACTTCTTTTTTTTTTTTTTTCCTTTTTTTCTGAGATAGAGTCTTGCTCTGTCACCCAGGCTGGAGTGCAGTGGAGCGATCTTGGCTCACTGCAACCTCTACCTCTGGGATTCAAACAGTTCTCTTGCCTCAGCCTCCTGAGTAGCTGGGATTACAGGTGCCCACCACCATGCCCAGCCAATTTTCATGTTTTTAGTAGAGACAGGGTTTCACCATGTTGGCCAGGCTGGTCTCAAACTCCTGACCTTAGGTGATCCCACCCACCTCGGCCTCTCAAAGTGCTGGGATTACAGGCATGAGCCACTGCGCCTGGCCTAAAATACTTATTTAAACACATTGTCTCCCACTTCCTGTTTAAAACCTTTCAATGATTTATAATCCTTTGGGTATATAGCCAGTAATGGGATTGCTGGGTCAAATGGTATTTCTAGTTCTAGATCCCTGAGGAATCACCACACTGACTTCCATAATGGTTGAACTAGTTTACAGTCCCACCAACAGTGTAAAAGTGTTCCTATTTCTCCACATCCTCTCCAGCACCTGTTGTTTCCTGACTTTTTAATGATCGCCATTCTAACTGGTGTGAGATGGTATCTCACTGTGCTGCTATAAAGACACATGCACACGTATGTTTATTGCAGCACTATTCACAATAGCAAAGACTTGGAACCAACCCAAATGTCCAACAATGATAGACTGAATTAAGAAAATGTGGCACATATACAACATGGAATACTATGCAGCCATAAAAAATGATGAGTTCATGTCCTTTGTAGGGACATGGATGAAGCTGGAAACCATCATTCTCAGCAAACTATTGCAAGGACAAAAAAACCAAACACCGCATGTTCTCACTCATAGGTGGGAATTGAACAATGAGAACACATGGACACAAGAAGGGGAACATCACACACCGGGGCCTGTTGTGGGGTGGGGGGAGCGGGGAGGGATAGCATTAGGAGGTATACCTAATGTTAAATGACAAGTTAATGGGTGCAGCACACCAGCATGGCACATATATACATATGTAACTAACCTGCACGTTGTGCACATGTACCCTAAAACTTAAAGTATAATTAAAACAAACAAACAAAAAAGAACCTTCCAATGAGTACCTGCTGCCTACTGAACAATTTTCTACCTTCTCAACAACCAGTAATAATAGGTCACCTATCATCACCAGGGTGCTTCTGCCCCAGTCTTCAACTTCAGTACCCACACTCCATGCCCTCTCTCCCTCTCTTCCTTCCTTTTTTGTTCCCTTTTCCCTCCTTTTCTCCCTCTTTTCCTCTCACCCTCCTTTCCTTCTGTTCTTCTTTCTGTAGCTCAACTGATGTTGACGGAGATTTTTGATGTGCACAGAGCTCCGTCTGGCACTGGGGTGATAGTGAGGGAAACCAGACAGTGCCCTTGCTCTCAGGGAGCTCTCATGATAGACAAGAAGCCAGACATTGATCAAAGAATCATGGAATGAGTGTCCAGTCACAGCTGTGACAGTGTCACCCAGAGGGCCTGACACGGTGGGACCTTCAACCTGGCCAGTGAGGTCCATGGCATCTTGGAGGAGGAGGCCCTGCCTTGCCTGAGGAGTTAGCTAAGCAGAGGGAAAGGGAGAGGGGCCAACTGTGTGCATGTGGGCATGCATGTGCACGTGTGTCTGTGTGGGTGTGTGGGGGCATGCATTGCACATGCCTGTGTACATGTGTGCATGTATGTGCACATGTGTGTGGGCATGCATGTGCACATGTGTGGATTTGGGTATGCTTGTGCGCGTGTGTGGGTGTGTGCGCACATGTGTGTACACATATGTGCACATGTGTGGGCATGCATGTGCACATGTATATGTGTGGATGTGTGTGGGCATGCCTGTGCACATGTGTTTGCATACTATAATTTGGAGCACTGGATACTTCTCTAAAGGCCAGACCAACAGCTGAGTTAGGCCCCTGTAGTAGTCTGTTTTCAAACTGCTGTAAAGAACTGCTGGAGACTGGGTGATTTATAAGGAAAAGAGGTTTAATTGACTCACAGTTCCGCATGGCTGGGGTGGCTTCAGGAAACTTACAACCATGGCAGAAGGGGAAGAAGGAATGTCTCACATGACAGCAGTTGGGAGAGAATATGTGACAGTGCAGGAAATACTACTATTTACAAACCCATCAGATCTCCTGAGAATTCACTCACTCTCGTGAGAACAGCATGGAGGAAACTGCCCACATCATCCAATCACTTCCCTCCCTCGACATGTGGGGATTACAATTCGAGATGAGATTTGGGTGGGGATGCAGAGCCAAAACCTATCAGCCCCCCAGACTCTCAGCCTCCTCCCTCTCCCTCCACTTCCCCCATTGAGCTCTCAGCCAGCCTTGCGGACAGGCCTGCCCATGTGCCAGTGCTGAGGACCCGGCCCATCCTCTGAGAGCTTCCCTCTAACCTCATGAGCCAGGCCCACTGCCGCATCCTCAGAACAAAGCAGGTGGCTGAGAGTATTGTCTGGAAAATCCATAACATGTATTATGACAAACAAGCATCATTTGGTTGAAATGATCTCAAATGTTTTTGCTGATGTTGTTTAAGAGAAATCGAGCCAGATACCAGTTAAAAGTATAGATTTAATTCAGTACCATTGCAATAGAGGAGGGAGGCTTCAGCAAAACTGAACTCAACTCTGAGCACAACAAAGACACTTGGGATTTATAGCCAAGGATTGAAGGGAGGGGGTCAGTGGATGGAAAATTTCTAAGGGGAGGCATCAAGCGTCATAGAATTCTTGCTGAACTGACTTCAAAATATTCTTACTAAAGGCAGGCCAAAGACTTAGACATCAAGGGTGGAGATAAGGAATTTTATTAGATATCAAGGGTGGGGTGATTCTCTTTAAGCTGATCAAGCAGGACTCTTGCTAAAACTGAACTGGGCAGGCCAAGGACAGGGCCCTAGGACAGGGCCCCAGTCAAGAAGAGTGCTCAGAGGAGCCTGTCCAAAGCTTGGTGAGGAGGGAGTCTGGGTTTTTTCTTTATTTTTAATTCTTGTTCATCTACCACGCCTGCTCTCTTAAGGGTAAAGCACAAGATAAAATTTCTGGGAAGTAATATGTTTGCATCATGCACTGCAAGGTATTGAATTATCTGTTTCTCTTCAACTGAAAGGTAAGAAGTCTGACTAAGAATGGCTGGTATTAAGCCAGGTGTGGTGGCTTACGCCTATAATCCCAGCACTTTGGGAGGATCGCTTCAGTCCAGGAGTTTGAGAACAGCCTGGGCAACATGGTGAAACCCTGTCTCCACAAAAACTACAAAAATTAGCCGGGTGTGGTGGCATGCACATGTAGTCCCAGCTACTTGGGAAGCCAAGGTGAGAGGATGGCTTGAACCCGGGAGGCGGAGGTTGCAATGAGCCGAGATTGCACCACTTCACTCCAGCCTGGGCAACAGAGCCAGACCCTGTCTCAAAAAACCAACCAACCAACCAAACAACAACAACAACAAAAACCCAAAACCAAAAAAAATGCTGTTACTTACCATGCCTGTCCTATGTTCTGGAGCTCTTCCAAGCCTTATGTTTTTGATCCTCACTGTGGACAGTTGCTAGTATAGCAGAGGCTAAACTTTGGGTATGGCAGTGGTCCCTTTATGAGCTGCTTCACCGTGTGGTTTGGATTTTATGTACCTGTCCTCTTCCCTGCTGGAGAATACGCTCCTTGATTCAGGACCCAAATCTCAGGCTCTTCCTGACACCATCACTGGCACCCGGCTCACATCTTGTACCTGCTCTCCCAGGGGTCAGCCAGAGAGCTGAGTCCCCCCAACCCAGCCAGGGCCTAACTCTAAACACCAGATGGATCTGTGATAATTATCTGTGTGTTTACACATTCTGCTTTTTGCAAAGGCATTAACCTTTTTGAGTCCTCTCTATCAGCTGATCTCATCAATATTTCAGAACTGTGTCAAAAAATAAAAATCAAAAGAGATATTGGGCACTATGATAATCTGCAAAAAAGTATTTGTTCATCCTGCACCTCATGTGGCTCAGTGGTGGCCGCTGCTACACCAAGCCATGCAGGATGCCCTATGGGAGTTTACAATTAAGATCATACCCTGTGATGCTGAAAAGTTATTTGATTAAAAGAAGGACAGGGTGTGGGGTGGAAAAAAAAAAAAACAAGAGAAATTGACAGGAAGATGATGTGTTTGCACTGTGTGCTATGTGGGGTCAAATGCTTTGGGCCCTACTCCAGCTGTCTGAGAGGTTGGGATGTGTAGGGGGGCAGAGGCCCATTTGGTGAGCTCCAATCATCCTGGAGAGCAGCAAAAGGAGACTGAGAAGTTAAGGTAACAAAGGAGAGAGGGAGGCCTTTTCCTCTCTGAAGAAGTGACATTCGAGCAAGGAGCTGAATGAGGCAAGGAGGGATTCCTGTGCGTATTCTAACAGAGAGTCCAGGCTTTCAGGCAGAGGAACAGCCAGTGAAGTGCTCCTGTACCCATCTGCAGGCTGATGAGGCCCTCATTTTCCCATGGAATGCCCATGGGGTTGATGTGGCAGACAGAGCCTAGGATGACCCGCAGGAGGTTTCCGGGCCCTGGTGTCTGTGCCCTTGTGTATTCCCTGCCCCTTGAGTGTGGGCAGGGCCGGTGCCTCACTTCTAACCAGTAGAACACAGCGAAGGTGGTGGGATGCCACCCCGTGAGTCTGTGATGTTACATGGCAGTGGTCACGGGATCTTACTCCTGTGACATTACATCACACAGGGCTCTGTTTTTCTAGAGTTGCTGTTGTTCTCCCACTGGCCTTGAAGAAGCAAGTGGCCATGTTGTGAGAGAGCCAGTGGGCAGGCCCACGTGGCATGAAATGTAGTTCTACTACCATGAGAAATGGAATTTTGCCAACAACCTGAGTGAGCTTGGAAGCAGCCCTTCCCAGGTTGAACCATCAGAGGAGACGACGAGATTGTAGCCCAGCCAACACCTTGATTGCCGTCCAGTGAGACACTGGAGTGGAGAACCCAGCTAAGCCACACCTGGACTCCTGACCTACAGAACTGTGCAATAATGGATGGGTGCTGTCATGAGCAGCTATGTTTTTGGTAGCTTGTTACCCAACAGTAGAGAACTAAGGCAGTTGGTATCACACTTTCCTCTGCTCAGCTGTGAGGAAAACTGTCTGATGACACTTATTGAAATGGGGATCAGAAGGCTCCAAGTTCTGATCACAACCCAGAACTACGTTACAATCTTCATGGGACCTAGGTACTTTTGCCGTTGTGGGCCTCATCCTCCATTAAAGAAAACAGTGAAAATTGTTTTATGCCTGCTTTGGTATACAGACGAATACAGCTTTCCCTTGAACAATGCAGGGATTAGAGGCACTGACCTCCTTCACAGTCAGACATCCATGCATAACTTTTGACTTCCCAAACACTTACCTACTAATAGCTTTCTACTGTCTGGAAGCCTTACCAATAACATAGTTGATTAACATGTATTTCACATATATATGTATATATTGTGCCTTCTTACAATAAAGTAAGCTAGAGAAAAAAATGTTACTAAGGGAAGCATAAGGAAGAGGAAATAGATTGACTCTTTATTAAGTGGAAGTGAATCATCATAAAGGTCTTTATCCTCATTGTCTTCATGTTGAATTGGCTGAAGAAGAGCAGGAAGGGGAGGGATTGGTTTTTCTGTCTCAAAGGTAGTGGTTTGTCCGTGAGTTTTTTTTTAATTGTCTACAAGTTGAAAAAAAACTCCAAGAAATTTTCCAATATATTTACTGTAAAAAAAAAATCTCACATGTAACTGGACCTGTGCAGTTCAAACTTATGTTGTTCTAAGGTCAACTGTATAATCCAGGCTGGGCTCATTATTACATACTTACTGTTATATTCATTTCAATTCTGATTAAAAAAGATAAAAATAAAAACCTTTTCATGGGTCCCTAAAACTATCTTGGGCCCCTGGCATGTGCCTATAAGGTCTGATGGACAATCAGCTCCACAAGAACCTCCCTACCCTGTAGGCCACTTTGGCATTTTTGGTAGACTGAATTTGAGTAAATGAAGATGAGATGAGGACAGGATGAAGAAAGTCAAAAATGGGAAGAGGAAGAAATGTAAAACATTCTATCTCAGTAAATATTTACTAAGGTTTTCCTAGGGGCTAAATTCTGGAACCACAAGGATAAGGGTAGCTCAATTCTTGGCCCAGGCATATTCCACTTTAATAAAAGAGATGACATAAGGACCTGGAAAATGATACATTAAGATAGGTGACAAAGGCCAAAAGGGAGAAAAGAGAATGAATCATTCGAGGAAGGAGAAGAGTCTACTTCCAGGATTGTTTGTTCATTTGCTTGTTGGTCTGTTCATTTATTTTACAAACATTTATTGAGTTGTAGGTCATGCGTGAGAGTTAGAAATGTGTATGAGAAGTGGTGTCTGCCTCAGAGAAGCACATAAGCTAGTGTAGGAGACAAATTATTTTAATGTGATGTGTTCAAGAAGGCTGCCTGGATGTGAAGTCTGGCTCTAGAGCAGATGTCTCGACCTCAGCTCCATTGACATTTTGGGCCAGGTAGTTCTTTGCTGTGGGGTCTGTTCTGTGTGTTATAGGATGTTGAGCAGCATCTATGGCCTCTACTCACTAGATATCAGTGGTCCTTATCTTCACCTTCCAGTTGTGATAACCAAAAATGCCCATGGAAGGGTGAGGAAGGAGACCTGTCTTTGGTTAAGAACCATCGGTCTAGGATTGACTGTGTAACCCAGAGTAAGTTATTTAATTTGTAGGTGTCTCTGTTTCCTTATCTATAAAATAGGGACAAAATTAGACCTATTTCACAAGCTCATCACAAGTATTAAGTGAGTTGATGTGTGTAATAAACTCAGAATATTGACTGGCACATAATAAGTACTCAATAAATGTAAGTGGCAGCTGACATCATTGTTGCAGGGAAGGGCTCTGACACATGATTTAGAATAGACCCAGAGTCTGCACTGCATGAAGATGTGGGTGCATGATATATGTGTTGGGAAGCCTTGGGATATAAGACACACGCATGTTGATTGGGTCTGTGAAGTCAGGGAAGGTTCCAGAAAGCTTTGATTGCCCAAGCCAGAAATCTTTCCCCTGAGTCAGGAGGTGGTAGGGATTATGAAGTTTTCTGAGCTGTGTTTAGCAGGGAGTGGAGGTTTCTCAGGCATCCATACAGGAAAGCCCTTCTCCCCACATTGGATCATCAGACAGGGGTTCAGCTAACAGTTCCCTGTAAACCTAAACTGTGCAGTGCTGTCGCTCCACAGAAGGTAGATTTTCAGTTCCTCTGCCAAGAACAGATGAGTCAGAGTGTGGGGAGCCTCCCTCTACCCTCTGGAATCTCTACTCTTCTAGTCCACAGAGCAAAGGAAAATGAATATTATTGTTTACAACAGAAAAATCAGCCTCCCGGATGTGTTCTGGACTTAATTTTGCAAAAGAGAATGTTAAATGTCTCAATGTCTGGGGGAAAAATGCTACCGAGCCTTTTATTTCCCCACCAGGGTCTTAATCGTTCCCTTCACTGTCCAGTCTTTCTGCCCCATCAAGCTAGCCTACCCTCTACCCCCTCTTATCACCACCTTAATCTGAATTTCTAGTTTCTGCACTTTGCTCTGTGACTCATAATCTACCTCCTCCCTGGCTTCAAGATCCAGTTTTCCCAAAGCCTTTTCACCTAGGAGGCAACTCAGCTTCATGGAGCCTCAGCTTTGTGCCAGGCCTTTGCCCAACTGTGGTTGGCAGAATACTGTCCCTCAAAGATGTCCACCTCTTAATCTCCAGAAACTGTGAATATGCTACTTTACATGGCAGACGAGCTCCGCAGGTGTGATTAAATTATGAACCTTGAAATGAGGAGATTCTCCCAGATGGTTTGGTAGGATGATGTAATCACAAGGGTTCTTCCATGATGAAGGCAGAAGGATTAGAGTCAAAGGAGATGTCACGATGGAAGCAGAGCTTGGAGGGATGTGGACCACAGGGCAAAGAGTGTGGATAAACTCTAGAAGTTGGAAAAAAGCATACAAACAGATTTCCCCTGGAGCTTCCAGAAGGGACCCAGCCCTGCTGACATCCTGATTTTAGCTCTGCAAGACTCATTTCAGGCTTTTGATCTCCAGAATTATAAGAGAATAAATCTATGTTGCTTTAAGCCACAAAGTTTGTGGTACTTTTGTTACAGCAGCAACAGAAAAGTAATACGCCACCCTTATGTCACCGATAAGGAGACCGAAGTTCAGAGAGGTTCGGAGGTGGTTTGTTCATGATCACACAGCAGGTGAGACAGAATCAGAGACAGAACAGGTCTCACTCTGAAGCCTGTGTTTGTCCTGAGACACCAGACTGGAAATGGCCTTTTTTTAGACATAGCAGGAGACCCAAACTGACTATGGCCTCGCTCCTGTACACCATCAAGTATTTCAAATGTAGACAACAAACAAACAGAAAACATTCAGATTTCAAAATCAGTCTCTTGGCCAGGTTTGGTGGCTCATGCCTGTAGTCCCAGCTACTCGGGAGACTGAGGTGGGAGGATCGCTTGAGCCCAGGAGGCAGAGGTTGCAGTGAGCTGTGATCACACCACTGTACTCCAGCCTGAGTGAAAGAGCGAGACCCTGTCTCAAAAAAAAAAAAAAAAAAATCACTTGCTTAAGCTAAAGCTAGTTGCAGAAGGGAACTTGCATGTTTAACATTCTTTTTTTTGTTTTTTGTTTGTTTGTTTTTTTTTTTTGAGACGGAGTCTCACTCTGTTTTCTAGGCTGGAGTACAGTGGTGCAATCTCAGCTCACTGCAATCTCTGGCTCCCAGGTTCAAGTGATTCTCCTGCTTCAGCCTCCTGAGTAGCTGGGATTACAGGTGCTTACCACCACACCGGGCTAATTTTTATATTTTTAGTAGAGACGGGGTTTCACCATATTGGTCAGGCTGGTCTCGAACTCCTGACCTCATAATCCTCCCTCCTCGGCCTCCCAAAGTGCTGGGATTATAGGCGTGAGCCACCATGCCCAGCTATGTTTAGCATTTTTAGTAGTTTATGGACTAGAACTCCTTTCATTTGAGGATGTTTAGAATGTGGTCAAGGTCATGGCCTCACTTCATATGTGGGCCAGTTATGTTTACTCTGTGTTAAGTGCCTGGTCTATGGTCCTGATCTGGCCAACCATTAAAGAGGAGGATGCATGCAATGCCTAACACATAGTAGGTGCTTAAGAAATGTGTATCGTTTCTCCATCCAGCAAATCCATAGTTCCTAAGGCCCCGATAGGAGAGCACAGATGAGCAGGCAGGATTCATCCTTATGTCTGGAAAGGCAACTCAAATAAATGCTAATGTGGGCCAGGCCACTGAGTGATTCTTCCAAAATGTATGCTTCATGAGGGCAAGGATGTTTTGCTGTTTTTATTTCTCTGCTGCATACTCAGTGCCTGGCACATAGTAGGTCTTCAATAGATATTTTCGGAAAAATTAATGTGACTAGAGTGCTGGACAAAGAGTATAATGAACAACAGTTCATGTTCCAGTTTCATCACTTGCTTGCCTTTGAGCAAGTCTCTTAGCTTCTCTTAGAAATTCAATGGAACTTCTCCATTGATAATGTGGAAAAGTTGTTATCCTTCTTGAACACTTTTTGGGGCTTGGGGACAAATCTGCCCCCTCCATGCCCAGGTGGGGATGTCACAGAGCCCATTGTCCTCCATATGCCCCACCTGTGTCTTAGCTCTCCCCTCCCTCCACCTTCCCCCACTATCCCATAGGTCCAACTGAGAAGCAAGGGACCAATTCCCATGGCTCTAGGGACTCCCACACAGACCCCTTCTCTTCTTCCTCCTTCCTTCTTTACCTTTAGTCTGAGAGGAATTCTTTCCCTTCCAAGTTTCTTTAAGCCTCTCTGCTTCACCGCTGAATCTACTAAGGACTTAAGTCTTTAAAAAAACAAAGCCAGGAAGACACATGGCTGCTTCCATTCTGTTCTCTGCTACTGGCCTCTCTAGGGCAGTGGGCATGGGAAAGGGAAAATATATAAAGAAGAAGAAAAAAACCCCTTAGATTAATATCTCCACATGACACCAAGTCACATAACAAATCTTTAGTAAGTGCACACTGTGTCCTGGGCTATGTGCTCGATGCTGGCATGCAACAGTAAATAAGGGAGGTGCAGCCCTTGATATGACAATCTGGTGGATCAAAGCTACATGGATTCATTTATCTCAATAGTTCAGGAACTACTTAGGGTCTACAGAGGCAGCATTATGTAAAACAAATAAACTGTGGTGTATTTCAAGAAGAAGTGATTAGGGATGCCAAAATAAAGAACAGAAAGGGGAGGAGGGACCTAGTTTAGACAGGATGGTTGCAAAAGGTCTCTCTGAGATGATATTTAAGCTAATATTTGCAGGATGAAAAGGAACCAGCATGCAATGAGAGGTGAACAGGACTTTCCAACCAGGATCAGCATGTGCAAAGGCTCTGAGGCAAGAAAGGTTTTGGCATATTCAAAGAACTGGGAGAAGCCTAAAGTTGGCAGCAGCATACGATGAGGCTGGAATTATTGCTATGATGCTACCTCAGAGGACGGCTTTGTGATGAAGGAAGGACAGAATTTGCAATCTCTTTAACCTTCTGGGAATTTAGAATGAGGAGGTCGAGGGACTGTGGGTGAATGAGAATTATCTTCTTTTAACCTGGTGTTATTAGTCAGGGTTCTCCAGAGGGACAGACCAATAGGATATATGCATATATGAAAGGGAGTTTATAAGGGAGAATTGGCTCACACAATTACAAGGCAAAGTCCCCACAGTAGGTCACCTGTAAGCTGGGAAAGAGAGAAGCTGGTAGTGGCTCAGTCTGAGTCCAAAAGCCTCAAAACCAAGGAAGCTGACAGTGCAGCCTTTAGTCTGTGGCTGAAGGCCTGAGAGCCCCTGGCAAACCACTGGTGCAAGTCCCAGAGTCCAGAGGCCAAAGAACTTGGAGTCTGATGTCTAAGAACAAGAGGAGAAGAAAGAAATATCCAGCACAGGAAAAAGAAAGGAGCCAGAAGACCCAGTAAACAAGGTTATCTTACCTTCTGCCTACTTTGTTCTAGCCACGCTGACAGCTGATTGGATGGTGCCCACCCACATTAATGGTGGGTTTTCTTCTCCCAGTCCACGGACTCAAAAGTCAATCTCCTCTGGCAACACCCTTACAGACACACCCAGTAACTATACTTTACCAGCTATCTAGGCATCCTGCAATCCATTCAAGTTGACAACTAATATTAACCATCACATCTAGATATTCTAAGATACTGTGGTCCTTCTACCATGTGCTATCCACGATGCAAGGAACTCAGAAAAGGTTTGCTACAGGTGCTTGTGAAGCAGTATTTTAGGATTCCTTCAGGTCCAGGGTGCCTTAAGTGTTGTCTGTTTTTGGGGAAGCATCTCGTAACACTTTCTAAATCCCTTCATTGGGTCACAATGGCCTAGACTATTTCCCCTGCTTTCCTTTGATTTATTTGCAAAAGCCAGAACCTGTTCTGGAAGCCTATCCTCAAGTCAATACCTTTTATTCTTTCAGACACATTTGGTAGGCAAGTCTCTTTTAAGCTTCCTGCCTTCTCACCACTGTCTATTAAAAACAGTTTGGATTTCCATGATTGTATAGTTCTTTTAAGAATGAGCCTGGGGGCAGTGGTTCACGCCTGTAATCCAGCACTTTGGGAGGCCGAGGCGGGCGGATCACAAGGTCAGGAGATCGAGACCATCCTAGCTAACACAGTGAAACCCCGTCTCTACTAAAAATACAAAAAATTAGCTGGGCGTGGCAGCATGCGCCTGTAGTCCCAGCTGCTGGGAAGGCTGAGGCAGGAGAATGGCGTGAAACCGGGAGGCGGAGCTTACAGTGAGCCGAGATCGCGCCACTGCAGTCCAGCCTGGGCGACAGAGCGAGACTCCACCTCAAAAAAAAAAAAAAAAAAAAAGAATGAGGGTTTCATGTTCCCTACTTGCAATAAGAGCTGTGAGGCCAGATGTTCCAACTGGTTCTAGAATAGTTTCCCATAATGATAAAGATGTCATTTAGGAATCATGTTATCAGAATGCACTTATTCAGATCAAGGTTTAATTCAAGGGTTTGTAGAGAGGGAACAGTTTCCCTCTGAATTTCCCTGAGGGCAGGGACAATGTCCCCTGACTTCTTTTCTTCTGCCTCACTGCCCTGGAGCAGCTTGAAGCATCTGTGACATCTGTGACAATGGTCCTGAGAGAACCTTCCATGAATGACTTGGGATAACTTCTGAGTGAGATTACAGCATGTCCTAAGACCATATAAATAAGCAACTCTGTAAGTTTGTATCCAAGCAGGACCCTTTTGGAAGTAGAACAAGGTGTTGTGAATAATTATCCTGGAATAGCAGGCAAAATCCAGGACCATCTTGGGCAAATTGGGATGTTTGGTCACCCTCCATGTAAGTTACCCAAATCCTTGCCAGATGTTCCTAAGAACTCCTGCTGCCTGCAGTGGTGGATAGTGCCCTGGATTTGGAGACTGGAGACTTGGGGTCAAGACCCTTCTCCTCCCACACCAGCAGCGTGGCCTTTGACAAGTCAATGAGTTTCTCAAACTTTGTGTAAACTTTTCTCCTAGAGAAAAATCTAGAAGCACAATGGGTCCGAGAAGGGGAGGACCAGGGTGGGAGAGGAGATTAACTCTGTGAGTGTCCAGCAAACGGGGGAGTATTCACAAAGGATAAGACTACAGGCAGTTATAAACCAGTGCTCACAGCCTGTGATAACAGTGGTTATAGTAGAGTGCTGTGGAAGGCAGAGGAGAGACCCCTATGTCACCTGGGGAGGGGAACAGGGAGGAGTAATGGGGAGGGAGGTGTTGAGGAAGACTTTCTGGAGAGTTAGTGACCTATAAACTAAGAACTGAAGAATGAATAGGAGATTCCTGGGAAAAGGGTCAGAGAAGAGAAAAGAGGAAGTGCAAGACACAAGAAGGGGTAGAGAGGGCACAGGCCAGGCAGGCAGAAGAGAGCTTGGTATGTCTGAAGAGCTGCAAGTAGCTGCGGCATTGAATATGACCCCGTAGAACGTTCTAGAACAATATGTGGGAAAATGCTCAAAAAGAGGCAAGCAGACCCACATCCCAAAGGGCTTCAAATGCCTCATAAAGTAGGTTTGGATTTCACCCTGAGGGCAACAGGGAGCTTTGACATGTGTTCCTGTCCATCTTCCCCAACGGCAAAAGAAAATTCCACAGTGGCAGGAACTTGCCCATCTTTTTCATCACAGTACTCTTGTTAGCCCTGTGCTTGGTATACAGCAGGTGCTTACTAAATGTTTGTCTAAAGAATGAGTAGATTGAAGAGTATTAAGGAGGAAGCTTGCCTTTTAGATATATCACATCTGTGCGGAGTGGAGAATGGGTGTGAGAGTTGCGGACACAAAAAGAGAGAATTCGGAAGACTGTCGAGGTCACCAAGAGCTGGCCTAGTGCAGGGTGGAGCAAATGGACTTGCTTATGGACTTGCTAACTTAGGGGAGAAAAATGTGCCTTGTTGAAGTCTGGAATTCACATAATAAAGATTTGGGTGGTAATGGAGTTACTCTGCAAAAGTACCTTATTCTTGGAAAGCACAGCAAACAGGAAGCGTGGTGCACCCTGGAGAGCTGTGCTATAGAAAGAGGAAGAATCAGAATAAGGAAAAATTCTATACCAGGACACTTAGCCACCAAATAATAAGAAGATGTGCGGCTAACTACTTCAGGAATCATTCCTGAAGCATGAAACCCAGAGCGATTCAGGTTGAAACAGCATGTTTCTGAGTATGACAAAAACGACGGGACAGAGTCAAGAGGGAAGTGGTAACCGTTGTTCCTGGAGTTCCCAGATGGCCTGTCCTTCAGTTATTTTATACTTTGGTTAAAGGCTTAATAAGGAGAATCAGCCATCCTACTTGAGGCACTACACTGTGCAAAAGAGGGTTTTCAGTTTCCCACTGAGATCTTAAACTTAGGACTTTCTAAATGGCTTTGTTAGGGTCTTGTCTGATGGATGACGGTAAAACTTTGTTTATTCAGGCAAATGGGAAGCAAGACAAGTCTGAATTATTGCAAAAGGCTGTATTGGGTAATTGTTTACAATAAATTGTAAACACAGCCATTTGTTCAGTAATCTATCAGATATCTATTGAGCACATACTAAATGATAGCCTGATGCTAGGAGCTGGGAATGAGGAAACAAAGTAGATACAACCTCTCTGCTGAGGAAGCTTCGAGTCTAGTGTGAAGGAGAATCAATAATCAAATGACCGTCCAAATCAATCTTTAATTAAAAACTGATTCATGGTACAAAGGAACAGTTCAGGAAGATAGGACATCATCAAGCAGGGACATTTAATAGAATTTAGGGGTGGGGCAGTGTTCAGGGAAGGCAGCTTCAATGACATGGTATTTGAGCTGCCACATATGTGAACCCAGTTAATAGGCAGTGGAGGGTGAGCAATTAGAAGTCTGGCCACATCTGTCTCCATGAATAGATGAGACGTGGCTGGAAGCATAGGAATTATAAAATGCTTGAAAACATGTTTTGTTAAGCAAATTCAATATACACATATTTTACATCGTTGTTATTATTTTGCTTGGCTCAAGTTTCATTACCAATTCCAAATTACTGACATGTGAATTAATGGTGCTATATTTATTAACTCAGCCCTTTTATATTGAACTCTTGGTTACCTGCCATATATCAGCCATAGGACAAGCTGTGCAGACTTGCAGAGATGAATAAAACATTATTGATGCCCTATGGAAGACAGTGTCCTAATCCAGCAGTTGTAATATACATCAGTATTTCCCAAAACTTGAATTGGTTGAGTACCCACTGAACACTATTTTCCATAACTAGAAAGTAAGTAACAATAATTATAATGAAAAAG
Organism: Homo sapiens; assembly: GCF_000001405.40. Lineage (NCBI taxonomy): Eukaryota > Metazoa > Chordata > Mammalia > Primates > Hominidae > Homo > Homo sapiens. The sequence goes on from NC_000001.11 coordinate 14,063,345, forward strand.
AAATACTGTGTAACTACCTTCCTAGCTAGCTGTGTTGCCTGTTAAGAGACTTTCAGCCCAAGGCATACTCTCCATTTATTCAAAATGGAGATCAAATATGTGAGCAAGAGAGGTGTTAAAGACCAGTGGGTGCCCAATTGAGTACCCAACAGATTCTTGTTATAATCAGGTTTGGAGGGTGATTCTTCTAACAGAATAGCTGACATCTGTAAAGTTTCAACTCTACAGAGTTGAAATTCCCAATATCACACCATCTATTCAGAAGTATTTAAAAGTACATTACGGTGGGACTTATATAGAGGTTTCAGGTAGGTCAGTGATATGGTTTGACTATGTGTCCACTCAAATCTCACCTGGAATTATAATAATCCCCATGTGTCAAGGGTGGGGCCAGGTGGAGATAATTGAATCATGGGGTAAGTTTTCCCCATACTGTTCTTGTGGTAGTGAATAAGTCTCATGAGATCTGATGATTTTATAAATGGGAGTTCCGCGGCATAGGCTCTCTTGCCTGCCATCATATAAGACGTCACTGCTCTTCCTTGTCTTCTGCCATGATTGTGAGGCCTCCCCAGCCATGTGGAACTGTGAATCTACGAAACCTCTCTCTCGCCCAGGCTCGAGTGCAATGGTGTGATCTCGGCTCACTGCAACCTCCACCTCTTGGGTTCAAGCAATTCTCTGCCTCAGCCTCCCGAGTAGCTGGGATTACAGGCACCTGCCACTCTGCCTGGCTAATTCTTTTGTATTTTTAGTAGAGATGGGGTTTCACCTTCTTAGCCAGGCTGGTCTTGAACTCCTGACCTCATGATCCCTTGGAAGTATATGCAGTAGCTCACAGAGCAGCAGAGTGTCTTCAACTACATGCTGCCCTTGTGTTTACATTGCCAGAAGAGAGCTCTGAGGGGCTCACCTCCTGACGAGGGGAGGCTGGGGGCTCTAAATTGACAGCGACATCAAGGCTTTTTGACCCAGGGGAAGACAGTACATTTTGATTGGAAAACTGAAGTACCGTCACCAGAAAAGGCACGGTCAACCGGTGTCTACCTTAACCAGCAAACTCTGACCAGTCCGACACCAACCCAGGTCACTCTGCTGCAGCCTCTCAGACTTGGGGAAGATGGACCCCTGCTTGGAGCCCATGCTGTAGAGGGGCTCACTAAGCTGAACCACCAAAACATAGACTTGGCTTGTTTGTTTGTTGCTTTGTTATTGTAAGGAAGCGTTTTTTGATGTTTAGCACCCATTTGAGCTGATGGGCATTGTGAAAAGGAGGCGGGAAAGCTGGATGGGACTTCCTGGGCCAGAGGGTGTGCGCCTGAGAGCACGAGGGTGGGGGTGGGCGAGGAAACAGTCAGAGGCCCTGCCTGGCAAACATGGACAATGCTGGTGCTTTTGTGTAAGGTTGACTGCCCTGCGGACGCTCAGGTGACTGTGCTTCTCCCTCCCCGCTGCTCGGTGGTGGAGTTTGGGAAGTGGACATCCTGAGTCAGTGGAGGGGAACCTGCATATCCTGGGGCTTGTCCAGGCCAGTCCCCACCCAAGGTCCAGTTGCCCCCAGGAGTCTTGTCCCGGCAAATGCTTACTACTACTCAGGCCACCAGCGGCCAGTAAGCGGAAAACATGTGTCCTTTAGCCTCCTGGTCAAGAGGCTGGGTTTTGGGGAACAGGCTTTGGGGCCCTGGGTATATCTAGATGGTAACTTTTAAATATTTAAATGTGGGTATGTGGGGCTCTGTTTGTACTCTTGTTCTAGGTTGTGCAAATGTTATGGGGAGACCTCTGACAACACAACACCTTGGGTAGAATTTCATCCAATGTTGCAAAGCTCTCAGGAGGGGAATCTGTTCCGGCTTGCCTTCCGCATTGATAACATGATAAAGCTCATTCAGGTCACATGGACGGTGAAGGAACAGAGGAGTTTTGGAGGAAATGGGCTGGGGTGAATTTTGCTGGCATAGTTCCAAAACCTTAGAACAGAAAGCATAAAGCTTTCACGGTAACACACACATGAAAACAAGACAAGAACAGAAAGAACAAACACTGTGTTAGGGTAAAAGAGGCTAATGCATTTTGAAACAGGCCCTGCCAAAAAGCTCGCTCACCTTTGAAAGCTAAAAGCATAATTTGAATCTTTTGTTTTTCTTTTCCTATATTTCTAAGCACGCATAAGCTACCCACTCTTAAACTCGAAAATCTTGGGCCAAATCAGAAATGCATTTAAAAAAAAAAAAAAAAGCTCCCAAAGGAAAACTGCTTCAAACAGCACATAAGAGTAAATGTCTGATCTTCCAATTACTCCAGCAGGTTCCAATCCAGGCATCTAATCCACACGCCTCTGAACTTGTTCCAATCGATATGCAAGGGGCGGGCCTGGCATTTTCCTCTCCGTGTGCATCTTTGTTGTGAATAAGCTAGTGACTGATCTCAAAGCAGAAAGGGAAAGGAGCTTTGGTTTCTTTCTTTTTAGAATTATATTGAATATATATATAGGGTACAAGTGGTTTTGGCTACATGGATGAATTGTATAAAATTCATGAATTGTATAAAATCTGCCATTTTAGTGCATCTGTCACCCGAGTAGTATACATTGTATCCAATATGTAGTTTTTGTTTTGTTTTGTCTTTAATCCCTTATCTTCCTCCTGGCTTCTGAATCTCTGCTGTCCATTATACCACTCCGTATGCCTTTGCTACCCAGCTTAGGTCCTACTTATAAGTGAGAATATACAGTATTTGGTTTTCCATTCTTGAGTTACTTCACTTAGAATAATGGCCTCCAGCTACATCCAAGTTGCTGCAAACATCATTATTTCATCCTCTTTATGGCTGAGTAGTATTCTATGATGTATATTTTCTTTATCCACTCATCAGTTTGTGGGCCCTTAGGTTGGTTCCATATCTTTGCAATTGTGAATTGTTCTGTGATAAACATACCTGTGCAGGTGTCTTTTGGATATAATGACTTCTTTTCCTTTGGGTGAATACTAAGTGGTGGGATTGCCGGATCGAACGGTAGATCTACCTTTGGTTCTTTGAGAAATCTCCACACCATTGGGAAAGGAGAATTCAATCTCCTTGAATCTGAATTCCTGTTGAATCTCGTTCTCACTTCTTGGGGTAGAGGGTTGGTTAGTGTCTTTCACTCTATGATGACGGGACATGACTTCCCTCTTCTAGGCAGGAGAACAATCTGTTCATTTTATGGTTAGAACATGCTTTTGGTCCCTTAACTACCAGAGAAAACCCTCAGTTGTATAAGGGATCACAGCTGTGGTCCATTTGCCCTGAAGTTGCCGCCCTCTGTTGGTTTCCAGAGCTGGAAGATGATAGAACTGCCAGGCTCTTTGGAATGATATCGGTAATCACTACATAGGAGCTTTATGACTCTTCCCCATAACCTCCTTTCTGGTTGATAAGTTACAGGGTAGAAGATTGCAGACCAAATTCTGCCATCTGTACACAAATGCCTTAGCACTCAGGCACAGAAACAGTGGAGAACCTGTATCCATTAGCTCAGCAAAATCCCTGCCCTCTGTCCTTGTGTGTTCCTGACAAGAACCTTGCCTCAGTTTCCCTCTTGGGCTGGAGAAGCATTAATTTGGCTCAGCCTAAATGTCACTTTCTCTGAAACATCTTCCTTGACTACCCTATCTCAAGTAGCTCCCTTTCCCCCAAACTCAACTGCTGTGTGACTATCATATTGCCCAGTTCTGTTTCCTCTGTATCACAAATCCCTATCTAGTATTCTTTATTTACCAACTTTTTTCCCTGACTCCTCTCTCCTCCTCCCCGCCCCAAATAATGTAAGATCTATGAGCACAGGGACCTTGTCTGTCTTGCCAACGGCTGTCTCCCCATAGCCTAGCACAGTGCCTGTCCCGTGATAGGCTCTGAGTCTACGTTTGTTGAACAAGTGAAAGAACTCTTTCATGTTCTTCCCCTTTGCTGGTTTTACTGCTTAGGTATGACATAGAATGGGAAACTTTCCCCCTCCTTTGGGAAGAGAGATGAGAGATGTTTCAGCGCACTGCTGGAGAGACTAAAGCTTTGAAGTTATTTCATGATGTTGCCTACAACTGGAGAAATAGAACGACAGATTTCCAACCAGCCCCTACCCCAGATTGTGAAATCCACAAAGCTGGTATTATCTGTGTTTGTGACCCCTTCTAGACTGTGGGGAGGATGGGCATGGGCTTATTTATGTTTATATTTCCAGTGCCTGGTGCCTCATGCTGCTCTGTAAACGCTTGTTAAGTGGTATTTGCTTCTTCCACCCTTCTGTCTGTCCCCCCCCATACTGCTTCCTGGGTTAGTCCCACTGTGTTTCCAGGACTCTTTTGATTGACAGAATCCAATTCAAGCTTGCTAAGGAATAAAGAAAACGGGGAAGGGTGAATTAGTTAAAAACCTTGAAAGTTCTGGGGCAACCACAGCTGATCCAGGGCACCCACGATGTCACTGGGACTTGGTTTGGCCTCATTTCAGTCTCTCTGTGCCAGTTCCTCATTCAGGCAGACTCACCCCATGTGGTGGCTCCCAGCATTGTCCTCACAGCCAACCATCCCAGCAGAAAGAGAGGTTTTCATTCATTAGTGTTCCAGGAAAATTGTCTGGGATTGGCCTGAATTGTGACACACTCATTCCTGAATCAGTTAGCCCTTTTCAGAGCCGGAATACTTTGGCCAAGCCTGGATGGCATGCCAACTCCTGGATTTAGGGGTAGGTGGAGCCCGCCTTAACTGCTGGCAAGAGTGAGGGAGGGGTGTTGATGTTCCCCCCCCCAACAATTGAGGTGTAATTTCCAAACATATTGATGCAGAAACAAACGAACAAAATTACTGCAAAGTAGACTTCTGATCTACCAACCACCACATTAAACTTAGAGACAAGGGTGTCCCTATCTTGTCCAGTCAATTAATTTGTGTGACGATGTTTTGGAAGAAGCAACCTCTTCATGTACAAGCAAGTTTAAATGTTATTGATGCTTGCTAGATAGTTTTCTCATTTGCTTCTTACCTTGTGGGCTCCAAGACCCAGTTAGAAAAATACCTGGTAAGCTGTCTCTGAATCACCTGGGGCACTTTTAAAAATATAGATTCTCAAACTATGCCCCAAAAGAGTTTAAAAAAAGTCTGCAGTGGGGCCAGGGATATGCATTAAAAAAAAATCTCATCGGGGGATTCTACCATGCAGCCAGGCCAGAAAACCATTGGCCTAATCCATTGGTGATGCTTAAATTGAATTTTGGGGACTGAGTAGGGTGCAAAGGCAGTATCATGGCTGCCTAGTGGGAGAGAAATTTGGGCCCTTCAGGGGCTTTCATTGCCCTTGCAATCCTGTTATAAATGCAGTTGTCTTTTCCCTACGACAGAGAATGAGACTTGCTCTGAACTTCTTCTTCAAGTTTTTGTGTCTGACCAGAAATCAGGAAGCAAGAAGTTGTTGAGTTCTCTTTTTTTTTTTTTTTTTGAGACGGAGTCTTGTCTGTCACCCAGGCCTGGAGTGCAGTGGCGCCATCTCAGCTTACTGCAACCTCTGCCTCCCGAGTTCAAGTGATTCTCCTGCTTCAGCCTCCTGAGTAGCTGGGACTACAGGCACGTGCCACCACGCCTGGTTAATTTTTGTATTTTTAGTAGAGATGGGGTAACACCATATTGGCCAGGCTGGTCTCGAACTCCTGACCTCATGATGTGCCTGCCTGGGCCTCGCAAAGTGTTGGGATTACAGGCGTGAGCCACCATGCCCGGCCAGTTGTTGAGTTATCAAGCAAGGTCTTCAGCTCATTATCCACTAATAGTTTTCATTACTGACCCAGGAGCTAATATGGGTAAAGAGAGCAGGATGGAACCTGGTAAGTGAGTCTGTAGCTGCATTACACAGTGCATCTTCATCAGTCCAGTATGAGGAGGGGCTGCTTGTCCCTTGGGCATGCCAAGTGGAGTAATTATGCAATGTGGGTAGCAGGGTTCCACGTGAAAAGTGCTCATTCTGGAATGACACCTTCTACACAACCGCGATTATCAAGTCGGGGAGGAGAGTGAAGGCCTTGTAAGCTGGATTTCATGCACTGTGCGCTGGGACTCTGAAAACTTTCACTCAAGCTATAAAAGTAAGACCTGTTTACTTCCAAACCCCCATGTAATTACAAATATCAAGTCATCTTTTCTGTACAAATAAACTCAAATGATAGTGATCTGTTATTTGGAGCCATATCTGTGTTACCGGGAAGATTTAGCTGGCTTTCTGAAATGCCACAGACCTAATTGCCACCAAGGGAAATGTTGAAAGCCTCATATTTTCAGCTTAGCGTACTCATCTTCTTTTAATCTCTCATTTTGATTTCTGAAAAATCTTCCTTGGATTTCATGAAGGGCAGGGGCTATTTTGGAGGAAGGGAGGGAAACCCTTTCAGGTTTTGTTATCACTGGATGTTTATTCCTTATTAGCCACAAGACAAGGCCATCCTAGGAGAAAGCTGGGGGCCACTTGCGTATTGCTCTCTCCTGTTGATCCTTGCAGGTGATTAAGAAGAGAGGGAGGAGGCTGGGTGCGGTGGCTCACGCCTGTAATCCCAGCACTTTGGGAGGCTGAGGCTGGCGGATCACGAGGTCAGGAGATTGAGACCATCTTGACCAACAGGGTGAAACTCTGTCTCTACTAAAATACAAAAAATTATCCCAGCGTGGTGGTGTGTGCCTGTAGTCCCAGCTACTCGGGAGGCTAAGGCAGGAGAATCGCTTGAACCTGAGAAACGGAGGTTGCAGTGAGCCGAGATCGCACCACTGCATTCCAGCTTGGCGACAGTGCGAGACTCCATCTCAAAAAAAAAAAAAGTAAATAAATAAAATAAAAATAAGAAAAGAGGGAGGAGACAAATAAGGTATGAAAATTAAAGGGAGGTGAAGGGATTAAGGTTTTTTTTATTAGCTTATTTTGAAATGTGAGCAAAAACCACCTTCTTATTTATTGCAAAAACAGCCTAATATTTGTAAGGAATTTCACAAATCCACATACAGAAAATACATACAGAAAAGAAAATCATTCCAGTACACCCTAATCAGAAAGATATCAGAAATTCAGTAGTGGTGAAATAACAGTCTTGACTTGCAAGAATAATTCAAAGGCAGACAAGCAGCACAGAGTTAAATAGGAAAGACGTTTGGATTTAATGATGAGGATTTACATGATGCTTCTTTCCCATCCCACTGTAAAAAAAGTCATTTCTACAGTGCTGTGGCCACCATTATTGTTGAGAGAAATAATGTCTGATATTAAACATCTTAAAGAATTGGGAACTTACCATATATGTGTGCTAGTTCAAAAGGTGACACTTTCGTACACGTATGGCTTTCAAGGTTGTGAGCTACACATATTGTTTTAAAGCATTTGGCTAAAATGCCCCCATCTTCCCAGAGCTGCCAGCCCTCACAATGCCAACAGCTAAATGTACCCAAGTGTTACTGAACTGTGTTTGATTCACCTAAATCATAAAAACAGCCACAGACCATGCCTTATCTGAATGTTACAGATACTCAAATCGAGGTATCGTCATTCCATTGCACAGCAGAGAGTGGAAGGACAGAGAGGTTAAGAAAGCTGCCCATGGTGTCATATCGAATAAGTCGTTGAGTTAGGATCCAAACCTGAGTCTCCCTGACTGCAGCCCATGGGTAATTCTCTTTCACTGGGCTGATTGTCACAGGCATAAACCCCACCCATGGGCGAAACCCAGGGTTCCTTTTACTCCCAGAGCTGGATTGAAGCCCATGTGTACAATCATATAGTAAAGGAAGGGGTCAAGCACAAGACAGCTGTAGGAAAGGGACTCAGGACACAGAGTTTAGCTGCAGGTGTCACTCTTGCCTGCAGTTAAATGGACCCAAACTGGGATTCAGGGTCTGTTTGGGGAACTAGTAGGTCTCATCTATGTTTCTGACCCTGTGGACCCCCTGATGTCTTTGCTTTAATCACCTTGGGCTGGAGTCTGGGGGGACTGTTTGGCTGGCTGAAGGAACAGAGGATTCTGGGGACAGGCATAGGAGCATGCCCTCTTGAGCTTTGCCTGATCTCATAGGTTCTAAGAGTACAAAGGGTTGCTACAGTCAGAAACAAACTGAGCTCTTTCCATGACAGATTTTGTATGGTTCTGCAAACATGACAAGATATTTCCCAATGTATATTTGTGTAGAGAGGATACCCTCCTGCTTCTGCATGGAACTCAGCATCCTGTCAGCATTGTGAGTGCTGGCAGCTCTGGGAAGATGGGGGCAGCATCCTCACTTGGACATGGTGTGTCCTCAGCAGGTACAGGTGTGTCGCTAGCGGGCACCTCCTGCAGCAATCTCTCCCAAGGAGCTCTGGTGGAAGGGCATGAAGGATGTGGTGCTTAGCACATGTCAGGCAGCCTTTGTGGACTCCCAGAAATGCTTGTGGTCTCCCAGAAATACTTGTGGTGAGGGAAGGGTGCTTGGCAAGAGCTGGCGGTTCTGCCTGAGCAGGTGGGAATAGCCCACTAAGGAAACCTGAGCTGCAAGAATTCTGCTCCTCCCAACTACAAGGCTTGGAGACCCTCAGGATCTTCCTGAGTTTCTGTTTTATCTCATCAGTCATGTTTGTAGTATCTGGTGGCTCTTTGTTTAGGGTAAGTATCAAGAATGCAGAGTTTCAGGTGGAACCATCTGGACTGAAATACTATCCCAGCAAGTTCTAACTTTGCTAACTTAAGGCAGTAATTTGATCTCTTCATGCCTCTGTATCCTCACCTGTGAAATGGGGATGATGGTGACAAATGGTGATGATGGATGAGGATGATGATGGTGATGATGATGATATTTACATTATAAAGTTGTCTTTTTGCACAGGGCCTAGTGCGATGAGTGCTCAGTTCATGTGATCTTATTGTAAATTAAATGTCATTTAGTGTTTTTAGTTTTGTGTTGTGTTTTTGCTTCTCCAATTTGCTAGGGCTTTTTCATCTAGGACCAGGAGGACTTGGTTCTGAGTCAAGAGAGGGCAAGCCCCAGCTGTGGTGCTCCTCCATCTATTTCTTCCAGGGCCTCGGAAAGATGGTAATGACTCCATGTTGGCTGGGGATTTCACCACTTACCAACTGGGATGGCATGGGCAAGACCTCTCCAACACTCTGTGCCTCCACCTACCTATAAAGGGGGCTAATACTACTCGTCTCCTAGGGTTGTAATGCATATCAAATGTGGGAAAGGTGTGTGCAAAACATTTTACAATAATAATTATGAAAGCCCTGGTATCCTTCCACTGGTGAGAGGCGGCTGAGGAAAACAGAACGAGTGTGCACACCTAAGTCATACTGACCTAGGTTTGAGTCCTAGCTTTAGTTCCAGCTGCGTGACCCATGACAGGTTGCTTAATCACTCTGGACTTCTGCTTTCCTCTCCTGTAAACTGGAACAATGACACCTCCCTCCTGCGATGTGTAAGGGCGAAATGAGATGATGTGTGTTTTGTGTCTGGCACCTAGGGATGCCCAGAAATACTTTCTCCTCACCTACTAATTCAGAGACCTGCTTGCCTTTCTGAATTTACTACCACTGAGAAAAAATTGTAGATTCTCGAGGCCATTTACCTACTCTGCTGATCCCACTGATGGGAGTCTTTTTAGATCAGGGCTGGTTCTGAATCTATAAAAGTTACTCCTTCAGGTCATGGTGGAAGGAGCTAAAACATAGTGAATGATGGCAGGGTAAGGCAGTGGAGAAGAACGCACATCTCACCCAAGGCACCTGTGATCAGCTTTGCAACTGAATGCAACAAGAACCACATTTGAGAAAGAAAGAGAAGAGGCTATCAATATTTATATTGCTTTCTGAAATCTGAGAACCCAAGACAGTGAGTATGTAGAGATAGGAACAGGAAAGATTAACCTTGTGTATGTCAGGAGAGCTGAAGAATTTGACAGTGGCCACAAACTCTAGTGTACCAGGAATCAATGCATGCAGGGAGCTATGTGGAATTGGGAACAGAAGATGTTCAGATTCTTTTCTATTTTATTTCATTTTATTATTTTACCTATCTTTAAAACAATTTTTTTTATTATACTTTAAGTTCTGGGATACATGTGCAGAATGTGCGGGTTTGTTGCATAGGTATACATGTGCCATGGTGGTTTGCTGCACCTATCAACCTGTCATCTACATTAGGTATTTCTCCTAATGCTATCCCTTCCCTAGCCCCCCACCCCCAAACAGGCCCTGGTGTGTGATGTTCCCCTCCCTGTGTCCATGTGTTCTCATTGTTCAGCTCCCACTTATGAGTGAGAACATGCGGTGTTTGATTTTCTGTTCTTGTGTTAGTTTGCTGAGAATGATGGTTTCCAGCTTCATCCGTGTCCCTGCAAAGGACATGAACTCATCTTTTTTATGGCTGAATAGTATTCCATGGTACAAATGTGCCACATTGTCTTTATCCAGTCTATCATTGATGGACATTTGGGTTGGTTCCAAGTCTTCGTTATTGTGAACAGTGCCGCAATAAACATACATGTGTATGTGTCTTTATAGTGGAATGATTTAAAATCCTTTGGGTATATATCCAGTAATGGGATTGCTGGGTCAAATGGTATTTCTGGTTTTATCTTTTATCTGTCTGTCTTGGTGAACATTCTGGAAATAGAACAAAATATTTCTGCTGGTCCAGTCCGGCCCTCAGGCTGCTGCTCTGTCTCAAACTACACACCCCTAACATTTGCAGGGCCCTGGACAATAGTACAAAGGAAGGCCCACACACTATATGTCTAAATATGTGAGAATTACCAACTCAGCTAACAGACTGCTAAGTGAAATATGTTCCATCCCCCTACCTCACAAATGCACCTGGAAAGCCAGGTTTGAACACAGCGTCTGAACTCCACAATAGTCTGTGCTCATGGCTACTGGGGAAAGCCGTCTTTGGCTCCCAGCCCCCAGCCCCCAGCCCCTTTCTTCAACCCTGACTCTGTGCCACCTCACAAGGAGCCCCTCCTCACCAACATACATGTGGATATCCTAACCTCCATGCCCAAGATCTGTCTACATCCTCTGCAAACCAGCACCCCTTGACCATCTCCAGCTGAGGGGTGGACACACATCAGCAATGGGACCCTCTCCTGGGGATGGACCTGGGGAAAAGCCTGTCGCAGTCTTAGAAGAAGGCTTGGGGTCGTTTGACAGAAATTCTGGGGTCCCGGGTACTTAGAGGTCTGGACAGCTGTGGGAGGGTGCAGGGAGAGTTGGGGGGCACATCTGGGAGGGGACTAGAGCAGGGCCCTCTACAGAGGACAGCCTAGGACAGGGGACCCTCTAGCCCAGGTCTAAGGGCAGAACTGGTCTCAAGTGTATCTAAGGGCTTTTAAGCATTAATGAGGTGTCAAAAAGAATCCTAATTGCATACATTTTTATTAGCAACGGACTGAGATGCAGGGACTTGGGTTCCAAGCCCACCTCTGCCAATAACCTACTCCATGTCTTAGGGACAAATTGCTTCTCTCTGGGCCTCGATTTTATCATCAATTAAATAAAGGTGTTGGACTAGGTCATCTGTAATTTGCTTTTCCACCCTCTAAGTGAAATGTGTTTGCTTTCATTCGTGTCAACTCATGTTAAACTTTGATTTTGTGCAGAAGTTAGGAGAGGAAATACTTTTAGATCTACGACTTATTTCTTATTTGAGAAGAGTTTCCTTGTGTTTTTGGTCACTGAAGGAAAAAAAAGATGGGGTGAGGGGGCTGCCAGGAATGAAATATTTGGCTCATATTGCTAATTATTTGTATTAAGTGGTTGTATAATGGGGAATTTGAATATAAATACCTGGTCTTTTTAGTGTAACATTTACCCATGAGAATTACAAAAATCCTCAGTGCAATCAGAGTTCATTTAAATGTTAATTTTAATTTTTATTCACCACTTGGTCTTGGTGCTGAAATACACATAAGTTAAAGCAACTGCAGCGGAGGTGCCTTCTGCCACCCCTGGCAGAACTCACTCTTGCGCTAATGGTTGTTTCCCATGATTTATTTCTCCTGTGGATCACCTTTGTCGCAAGAGAAGAGAAAATGAATTTCTTTAGAAGGTGTATTAATCTACCTCAGCACACATCAAGGTGCAAAAAATAAAACAGCAGAAGCACACTCCTTGGGAACATAGAAGCAGTACAGATAAGGGGTTGGCATGGAACAGAAAGGGGGCAGAAGACATTTTGTTACTTTAAAATAAACTAATGTGGGCAGACTTTTAAAAAAAAGTCATCCAAATTTTTATACCCATGCATGCTCAGAACAAAAACGCAGTTCCTTGAAAAATGATTGTTTTTGCTCTTTCCCGGGGAAAATCATCCTGTTCCGAAGCCACCTACCCAAGACAGTCTGCACCAGGGAGAGCAGCAACACTTGGGCTGAATAGTTCTTTGCTGTGGGGCTGCCCTATACACTGTAGGATGTTTAGCAGCATCCTTGGCCTCTGCCCACCGGACGTCAGTGGCACCCTGTTATGAGTTGAATGGTGTTCCCGTCCCCCCAAACTCATATGGGAAAGTTCTAACCCCTAGGACCTTGGAATGTGACCTTATTTAAAAAGAGGGCTCTTGCAGATGTAAACAGTTAAGATGAGGTCATTAGGGTGGGATTTATACGAAAGGGAAATGTAGACTGGGCGCGGTGGCTCATGCCTGTAATCCCAGCACTTTGGGAGGCTGAGGCAGGTGGATCACGAGATCAGGAGATTGAGACCATCCTGGCTAACATGGTGAAACCCTGTCTCTACTAAAAATACAAAAAATTAGCTGGGCTTGGTGGCACACACCTGTAGTCCCAGCTACTCGGGAGGCTGAGGCAGGAGAATGGCGTGAACCCGGGAGGTGGAGGTTGCGGTGAGCCGAGATCACGTCACTGCACTCCAGCCTGGGTGACAGAGCGAGACTCCGTCTAAAAAAAAAAGGGAAAGGTAGACACACAGACAGGTCAGCACACTGTGAAGAGAGATGAAGGTAGAGATCAGGGTGATGTATCCACAAGCCAAGGAGTGCTGAAGATTGCCAGCAAATGCCAGAAGATTGCCAGAAGCTGGGGGAGAGGCAAGGAACAGATTCTCCATCACATCTCAGAAAGAACCACCCCTGCCAACACCTTGATCTCAGACTTACAGCCTCCAGAACTGTGAGACAATAAATTCTGATTGTTTAAGCCACCTAGTCTGTGGTACTTGGTTAGGAGAACCCTAGCAAACTAGTTCACATTTCTAGTTGTGACAACCCAAAATGCTTCCAGATATGGCCAGATGTCCTCTGCAGGGCAAAACCACCCCTGCTTGAGAACCACTGTTGTGCATATTACCTATGGCTGCTTTCACCTGACCCCGGTGGAATTCAGTAATTGTGACAGAGACTGAGAGGCCTGCAAAGCCTAAAATATTTATTATCTGACCTTTTCTATAAAAAGTTTGCAGGCTCCTGCTCTCAACTCTCCTGTGGTGCACTGTGAGCTGGTTGTGGGGCCCTGAGGCACACTAGGTTCTGTAGAATCAGCCCATGAATGGCTGAGCGTGGAACTAAAGATGCAAGGTGAGGATGCCGTTGTGCAGAGGAGGACTGTCGCTTGCCCTGGGATGCACGGCTGGCCAAGTGGTGTGATTGATTCATACACGTCTAGGACTCCAGCCTTTAGGGTCCCCGTTCTCAGCCCTAATTTTACTTCCTGATTGCTCTTCATCTCTGGAATGGGTCTCTCTTGACCAGTTGCTTCCTCGGGCCACCTTGTGATTGCCAGGAAGGTTCTCAGTTTCTCAGAACTCAGCCTCTGTGTTACATGGGGCTTTAGGCTGTTCCCATGTGGACTTCGTTCTTGACAGTTCTTTGATCCCAGGTGTTCGTTCTGCTATTGGCTTGCCACTGTCACCGTCCATAGAGTGCCAAGATGCCGTTGGTGGGACTCTTCTCTCCTAAAAATGTCTTCTGCAAAAAATGTCTGTAAAGGGCTGTCCCCATGGTAAGTAATGAAAAGGTTTTTTCTAGACCCCTTTGACTTTGGGAAGGCAAAGAAGACACCCTTAAGATGGGTGCTGCTGCAAAAGACTTACATGTTACTCAAAAGATCTTTCTTCAGCATTGTTTCCTGGCCGTCTCTGTCCCTCAGCCCCTTGATCGCAGCAGCAGCAGTTAAACTGTCCATCATTCAATTGGGGTTGGATTGCTTTTTCAGACCTGGAAGATGGACCTTGTATTGATTCCTTCAGGCTCTGCGGTGATACTGGAATCTTTGAAGAGAAAAAAGAAACCAAAAGATGGTGTAGATAATTGTTATGGGTTGAATTGTGTTTCCCAAAAAGATATGTGGAAATCCTAAGCCCTGGTACCTGTGAATGTGATCTTATTTAGGAACATAATCTTTGCAGATGAAATCTAAGTTAAAAAGAGGTCACTGGGGTGGGGGGATATGGCTGGAGTTCTTACACGGAGAGAAGACACACCAAGACCGACACAGAGGGAGAAAGCAATGTGAAAATGGAGGCAGGGATTGGAGTGATGCATCTCCAAGCCAGGGAATGCCAAGAGTTGCCGGCAGCCGCCTGCCACGGAGAGAAAGGTGTGGAACTGCTATTCCCTGGGAGGCCCCAAGAAAGAAGCAACTCTGCTGACATTGGACTTCTGTTCTCCAAGACTGCGAGAGAATAGCTTTTGTTGTTTTAAGCCACTTTGTTGTGGTGATCTGTTACGGTGGCCCTAGAAAAGACACATGATCGTTAAGGGGTTCATGTATTCTTGCACCTTCTGTATTTTTACTTCTCCATGTGGTTTAGCAATCAAATGGCTTTGGGGTCAGGACACATGGCTGGCACTGATGAGCTGATGTACACTCTTGCCACTCCCCAACCTCTTTCTTCCTGGCAGTTATTCTTGTTCATAATTATACATGTGCCTGTGTAATTATTTGAGTGTCTGCTTATCCCGCTAGATCTAAACTCCATCCACAGCATTCAGCATCGTGATTGGCAGCAACAGGCATTTAATAAGTATTTTGTTGAGAGACCTTGAGCAAATCATCTATCATTTCTGAACTTCAGTTTCCCTATCTTAAAAATAGAAATATTAATGGTGCTGTAAGAGAGGGACCAAATCTGTCTTAGTCCATTTGGGCTGCTCTAGCTAAATAACATAAAGTAGGGGAACTTATAAACAGCATAAACATATTTCTCACAGCTCTGCAGGCTGGGAAGTCCAGAGTTGGAACACCGGCAGATTGAGTGTCTGGTGAGGGCCAGCTTCCTGGTTCATAGACGGCGCCTTCTCACTGTGTCCTCACAGGATGGAAGGGGCAAGGCAGCTCTCTGGGGCCTCTCTTTTTTGTTGTTTTTTTGAGATGGAGTCTCACTGTCATCCAGGGTGGAGTGCAGTGGTGCGATCTCAGCTCACTGCAAACTCTGCCTCCTGGGTTCAAACGATTCTCCTGCCTCAACCTCCCTGGTAGCTGGGATTACAGGCACGCGCCACCACACCTGGCTAATTTTTATATTTTTAGTAGAGACGGGATTTCACCATGTTGAACAGGCTGGTCCTGAACTCCTGACATCAGGGTGATCCGCCCACCTCAGCCTCCCAAAGTGCTGGGATTACAGGCGTGAGCCACCGTGCCCGGCCTCTGGGGTCTCTCTTATAAGGGCACTGGGTTAGTCCATTTTGCGTTGCTGTAAAGGAATACCTCAGACTGGGTAATTTATAAAGAAAAGAGGTTCATTTGGCTCACGATTCTGCGGGCTGTACAAGCATGGCACCAGTATCTGCTTGGCTTCTGGGGAGGGCCTCAGGAAGCGTCAGCTCATTGCAGAAGGCAGAGAAGGAACAGACATGTCACATGGCAAGAGAGGGAGCAAGAGAGAGCAGGGAGGTGCCAGGCTCTTTAACTCTTTTCACGTTTAGAAAACAAAGTGCAGCTTGCTGCTGGCAGTCATTTAATTTTACATCAACAAGCTCTTTGAGGCTGAAGCAAATCTGACTGATATTCAATGTGAAAATAAAACATAAAAACTGTTCTTGGAGTTACTTCTTAACAGAACTCACGTCAGAATCATCTGAATCATCAGAATCGTCTATTTTGGAAAAAATCAGACTCATCAAATGAATCTTTGGCCAGCAACTGTTCCAGAGCGATGTTAACATCACGTGTAGGAATGCTACGTGTTCTAGGATTTGACATTTTCAGCGGCCGAGGATTACTATATTTTGTAAATGGAAATACCAGTACTAAAACCAGAATGCTAGAAACGGAATGATGTCTTTTGCTTCCAAAGTCGATATACTCACAGCAATGCAAAAATAATAATAAAAGCAAACTATTTCGTGGGAAAGTTATCTCTGGGTAAATGCTGGGTACAGCTGCAAGTGCTGCGGGTGAGTATTCTCGGAGCAAATGGGAAAAGAGTTAAACAACCAGCTTTCCCGTGAAGGAATAGAGCATATAGAGAACTCATTCAATACTTGGGCTGGCACCAAGCCATTCATGAGGGACCCGCCCCCATGACCCAAACCCCCACCACTTCCCATCAGGCCCCACCTCCGACACTGGGGATCAAATTTCAACATGACATTTGCAGGGGACAGATATCCAAAGTATATTAGACATCACTGCCATTGATGGGAGCTCCATCTTCATGATCCCATCAACTCTCAAAGGCCCCACTTTCTAATATCACATTGGTGATTAGGTCTCAACAGATGAATTTTGGGGGGATGTAAACATTCAGACCATAACAAAATCCTTTTCCTTTTACCCTTCTAAGTTCTCAGCTGGGGTCCCTATAATGAAAGACAGATTGACAAGAGGAAAACAAACAAGTTTATTAATATGTATATCTCATATGTTCATTGGAAATACCCAAGGAATGAGTAACTTGAAGAGGTGGCTTAGAGCTCCTTCTCATATAACTAATCTTTCACAAAGGATAATACATTAGCAGAGAAATGACAGGACACAGGAAGGTGGTTTTAGGCTTCTAAGACTGGGAAAATGTGGGAAGGGAAATACACGGGGGAAACTAATGGAGTAAGGTTTGTTTGTGGATTCCTCTGGTGCTGTAAGAATCTGGAGTCATCTCCAGTAAGGAGAATTTATATCCTGCCCTTAGGCAGAAAAGGGGGTGGGTAGAGAGAGATTTTGCTGTATTTGTTGCTTCTTAGTTGCCTTCAGCTCAAAGACAATTTTTATGTCCAAGTGGCATATTTGAGGGTGACATACCAGGCTCCTTCAGTACCTACTTCATTGGTCATTTTGAGGATTAAATGAGATACTGTATGTGCAGCATGATGCATAACATGCGGTTGATGCTGGCGTGAGCGTTTTCTGCATGACTCTTTTCTGTAAAAGCTTCGGTAGCACATAGAGCTTTGAGTATTGTGTATCTGCTCGGAATATAGGCCCAGCACATAGCCAGCTTGTGTAACTTGTTTTGACAACCCCAGGTAATGATTTGTCATTAAGAGCTACAGTTGAAGTTTGACCCCCCCAGGGAAGTTTCCATGGTTTCTAAGACCTCAGCACTAAACAGCCCTGAAGATACAGAAAGAACCTTCCTTCAAATTGCTGTTAAGGCCATACTTGTCACCCTGGGAAAAGCTAATGGACAGAAACATATTGATGTGTTAACAGTTTGAGACCCTTCCCCTAAGAAAACCTTTTAGCTAGCAAGGGTTCATTCACCTTAATTAAAAATTATCCAATGGATACATCTCTTTCCATCACTCTATGGACACACATGGTGTTGGTTTTTTTTTTTTTAAGGAATTAAATTTAAAACCTCATCCTTCTTCAAATAAATCCTTTGTTTGCTTTATTAAGCAGAAAAGCCTGCTGGCTATTAGTTGTCAATTAAATTTAGGTGTTAATTAAAATGGCCATGTCCAAGCACTCCTGGAGATTAATCTTCCACTTGGGGCCCCGTTGTTGAAGATGGCCGTGAACTGCAGTACATTATCTGTGATATGACCACTCGGTACCACCCTGGGACACAGGAGAGCTGACTTAAGGATGAGCTTGTTGCATACATTTTAAACAGCTCTTCCCAGTTGATGAGCCATACCTAGGATGATTTAAATCACGAGTATGGCCAATGGGTCAAATCTCATCCTCTGCTTGTTTTTGTATGGCTCGTGTGCTAGGAATGGTTTCACATTTTCAAGTGGTTTGCAATAGCCAAAAGAATAATAATTATTTCATGGCACATGAAAATCATGTGAAATCAAAATTTTAGTGCGCATGAATAAAATTCTACTGGTACATATCCACAACCATGTGTTTACTTATTGTCTGAAGGTCTGTGGCCAATCCCTGATTTAAATGATCAGTGTGACATCAGCACTCAACTTGAGGACACATAGACACTTGTGTGCACTCTGTCCCTTTTGCTTTGTTTTGTTTTGTTTGTTTTTTGAGACATAGTCTCATTCTTTTGTCCAGTCTGGAGTGCAGTGGTCCAATCAAGGCTTACTGCAGCCTTAACCTTCCGGGCTAGATCAATCTTCTGGGCTTGATTGATCCTCCTACCTCAGCCTCCTGAGAAGCTGGGATTACAGGTGTGTGCCATCGCCCCCAGCTAATTTTTTTATTTTTATTTTTGTAGAGACAGGGTCTCACTATGTTGCCCAGGCTGGCCTCAAACTCCTGGCTCAAGTGATCCTCCCGTCTCTGCCTCTCAAAGTGCTGGGATTACAGGCATGAGCCACTATGCCCAGCCCACTCTGTTCCTTCTAGCATCTCTCTGATGGGGCTGCCTGGCCACCAAACGTTCCATGGTGTGTTCATCCCTGAGTGGTAAAGCAGCATCATTCAATAATATGAATGTATTTATTCTCTTCTAAGTGATCAAGCTGTGGTTTTGTGAGGACTGCCTTTTATATACTGAGGCTGATTCTTGAGGTGTGCTTGGAATCAAATCCTACCTTTCGGGGATATCTTAAATCCAGTCTCTTACTGCATGTCCTCTTCTTAAAGGAGGAGAAAACCACCATTGCCTCCATACTTTGACAAGATAGTCCAGGCAAGGGGGAGCAATATTGCAAGATGTGGAGAGCTGACACCCTTCCTTGTTATTTCACAACAAGGGCCAGGCCTGTAGTAGATTTCTGAGCCTGCCTTCTTAAATGACTGCCCGGAGATGCAAGTCAACCCTTGATTGCATCCTGTGGGGAGAGTTAATAGTGTGTTCTGGGCATCTGATCAAGGAAGCCCTGCCCAGGAAGGATAACAAAATTAGACCGAGTGCTGCAGCATCTGAATCTTCGGGCCAAGTCCGAGCACCATGAAGCAGCAGTTAATGTGTGTTTTTGCCGAACCTCCATATGCCTGGACCTCACTTTTCCTGAGCATCCTATTTCTTTTTCTTGTGCTTTCCTAGCTGATCTGGATCAGGAGCCTTTCTTTGTACCTGTATTTCTCATATTTCCAGAGTAGAAATCCGATCTGGTCAAGGCAGATTGGTCTCACCTCTCTAAGTACCCCTCCCACTTTACCTCCCACTTACACTTAATGAACATTTACTATGTTTCAAGAAATATAATTAGAATCAAATACAAGGGCCAGGCGTGGTGGCTCACGCCTGTAATCCCAGCACTTTGGGAGGCCGAGGCGGGTGGATCATGAGGTCAGATTGAGACCATCCTGGCTAACACGGTGAAACCCAGTCTCTACTAAAAATACAAAAAATTAGCCGGGTGTGGTGGCGGGCACCTGTAGTCCCAGCGACTCGGGAGGTTTCCCTGCCACCTCTTCAGACATTAAAAGTCCAGGCTGTCCCCAGGGAACAAAACCTAATTGTCCTCACCCATCCCTGGCCTCTTGTTGATCTTTAGCCATGTAGAATCTTTGCATCATGGTCTTGATTGTTCTGTACATAGAGCACTTTCTCATAGGTTATCAATTTGGCATAACTGTGTACCTATAAATAACATTGATGAGCATGATATTGATTTGATACATTTTAGTAGAAAATAAATGTGGAAATCAATATGTGTGTTCTGGAATCAGCTACCTAGAATTGAATTCTATCTCTGTTACTTGCCAGCTGTGTGCCTTTGGGCAAGTTTAGTAACCTCTCTGAAACCTTAGTTGTCTCATGTCTCATCTGAAAAGTGAGATGATGAGCAACATGAATGGTATTGAAGAGAAGTGATTTATGCAAGTGACTAGCATGGTGCCTGGCTCAGAATAAGTGGTCTATACATAAGAGCTGATGCTAATGCATCTTTATTGTGCTTTCAGGTAGCAAAGAGTTTATTGATATGCCTTGGAGTGTGCAGCATTAGAAAGACTTAGATCTGGGAATGTTACAGAAGCCAATATGTGTAAACATGCACATATTGGTCATTAATTTCAAAGACTTTCTCCTGAACCCAGTGTGATTGGAAATGACAACTTTATATTAGACTCATATCTCATCACAGCATCACTGGAGGCTGATGTGGGCCCAGATGTTGTTTTCAGCATTGTCCCTCTGATTACTTTATCCTCATGAAATCAGTTAATCCTCCCACACTTTCTTCTATTTAACAAATATTTATGAATCACTTACTGTGTGTTAGTCATTGTCCTAGGACCTGTGAGCAAAACAAACATGGTGTGTTCTGTAGTACAGTTGGAAGCAGACAGACGTTAATCAAATAATCACACACAGATTTACATTTTTAAAGACCCATCTGGCTGCAGTGAGGAGGCTGGATAGAAGGCACTAATGGAAACACAGAGACCCATGAGAAGGCTAACACAGCCCCTCTGGAGGGAGGTGATGGTGGATTGGACAGGGATAGTGTGGTCAGATGGAGAGAAGCGGGAAGGTCTGGGGACGATCAGAAGGTAAAATCAAGAAGACCAGATATTAGAAAAGATGGAATGTGGAAGTTGAGATGAACAGGAGTGACCCCCTGGTTTCTGGATTGTGGCCTTGGAGGGAGGGAACTCTGGAAGAAGTCCAGGTGGTAGGCAGAAGAGCATGAGTGCAGTTTGGACATCCAGGTGGGGTGTCAGTCAGATGTTGGATTTATGGGTCTCAGAGGAATTCTCCCTGCTATTTGGCACATGCAACCTGACCCTATACAGTGAAAAAATATATTGCCAAATCCCCTGCCCATGTATGTGTACACACAGGGTTAAATACATCCTTTACATATTGTACACATCATTAAAAATCAATCATTTCCTGCTCTGTTGCAGCCCATGTTAAGGGGATTGGCTATCATTAAGCAAGTTCAAGGTGATGCAGTTTGCTCCAATATAATAGTGGTGGAACCATTTACTTCAATCTGTAACTTTAAAAAAAAAGTAAAACCTAATTGGCCATCTTATATCAATACAATAGTCATTAAAAATGTACATGTGTGTCACCAGGGCCTGTTGTGGGGTGGGGGGAGGGGAGAGGGATAGCATTAGGAGATATACCTAATGTTAAATGACGAGTTAATGGGTGCAGCACACCAACATGGCACACGTATAGATATGTAACAAACCTGCACGTTGTGCACATGTACCCTAAAACTTAAAGTATAATAAAAAAAAGTACGTGTGTGTGTATATGTGTGTGCATATATATGTGTGTGTGTACATTCATGTATGTGTACATGCATGTATGAGTGTATGTGTGTATGTGTGTAAATTGGATCCCTACAAGATTAAAGGGATTTCTTGGAAGCTCTGAGGTGGCTTCCAAGTCTCTGATGTGATTCCTGGGTTCTTTCATTCAAAGATTCCCAATACTTTCAGTGTGCTATTCTTCCCCCAGTTACACTAAATGCCCTGGAGTTTGCTGTCATCTTAGAACAAATCCATTTATCTCTGAGAACCACAGTGGTTTGTAGAAACTATTTTGAACTCATTGTAATTAGGTAACTCTTAGCTAATTGGATTGTGACTTTTTGGATGTAATTGCTTTGTCAGTTTTATTGGGGCATAATTTACGTAAGATAAATTAATCAATTTCAGTGTACATTTCAATGAGTTTGGACAAACGTATGTAGTCTTGTAACCACCGCCACCAATGTGAAATAGAACATTCCGTTACCCCAGGAGCTTGCTTGTGTCCCTTTACAGCGGATCCCTTCTCACCACCCCCTGACCACTGGCAACCCTGCACCTGCTTTCTGTCACTATAGTTTTGCTTGCTCTAGAGTTTTATAAAATTGAAGTCACTCAGCATGGAAACTTTTGTGTCTACCTCCTTACACTTAGCATATTGCTTTTGACAGTCATTCATGTTGTTGCCTGTATCAGGAGCTCATTCCTTTCCATGGCTGTGTAATATTTCATTTTATGGGTATGCCACGATTCACAGGTGATGGACATTTGGGCTCCTCCTAGTTTTAGGCAATGAATAAAGTTACTATAAACATTCACATACAAGTCTTTCTAGGTGGATATGAGCTTTTATTTCTCTTTAATAAATACCTTGGAATGGAATTAGTGGCTTGCTTATATGGTAAGTGTAACTTTATAAGAAATCATCAAACTGTTTTCCAGAGTGACTAACATTTTGCATTCTCTCTCAGCAATATATGAGAATTTCAGTTTTTCCACATTCCCCCCAATACTTTTTAAATATGGCCATATGAAAAAATGTGAAGTGATACCCCATAGTGGTTTTGATTTGCTATTTTTCTAATGATTATTGTTGTTCAGCATCTTATTGGCCCTCATATTCTTATTTGCCATCCTCTTAAATATACTTTGGTGAGATGTCTGTTCAAATCCCTTGCTCATATTTGTTGGATATTTTGATTTCATACAATTGAGTTTTAGGAGTTCTTCATATATTTTGGACGCAAATCTCTTATCAAATATACATCTTGCAAATATTTTATTTTGGTTTGGTTTGGTTTATTTTAAGTTCTGGGGTACATGGGTAGGATGTGCAGGTTTGTTACATAGGTAAACGTGTGCCATGGTGGTTTGCATTACCTATGAACCCATCATCTAGGTATTAAGCCTGGCAGGCATTAGCTATTTTTCCTGATGCTCCTCCCCTCCCCCAGGTCTCCCCCAACAGGACCCAGTGTATGTTCTTCCCCTCCCTGTTTCCATGCGGTCTCATTATTCAGCTCCCACTTATAAGTGAGACCATATGGTAGGTATTTGGTTCTCCCAGTCTATGGTTTGCCTTTTCATTTTCTTATCAGTATCTCAAATATTAAAAGGTTTTAATTTTGATGTTAAATTTATCAATTGTTTCTTTTATATTTCACATTTACTCTAAAGAACTTTAAGTTTTTAAGTTCTAAAGACATAAATAATCTTTGCCTATTTAAGTAGACTTTGCTGTACTCAAAGAATTAATATTTTCTCCTATTTTTTTCTAGAAGTTTTATAATTTAGCTTTTACATTTAGGTCTATGATCCATTTGGAGTTAATTTTTGTACATAGTATGAGGGAAGGGTCTAGATACGGATATCCAATTGTTCGAGGATAATTTATTTAAAAGATTATCTTTTCTCCATTGAATTGTCTTGACATCTTTGTTGAAATTTAATTGACCATGTATGCGTGGGTCAATTTGTAGACACTGTCTTCTGTGTTGTTATGCAAATGCTACACAGTCTTGATATCTTCAGCTTTATAATATCTTGAAATCAAATAATTGTAAGGCCTCCAACTTTTTCTTTTTAAAAATTGTTTTTGCTATTCTAAGTCCTTTGTGTTTCTATCATTAGGTTGTGAATTTTTCAAAAACAGCTTGCTGGGAATTTGACTAGGGAGAACGGACGTCACCATCATCATCATAGTGAATCTTCTAGTCAATGAGCATATGATGTATCTCTCCATTTATTTAGGTTGTTTTAAGTTTTCTCAGAAATGTTCTTCGTGTACAGGTCTTGCACTTAAAAAATTCTCACAATTTTGATGCTATCATAAATGGCATTTTCATATTTAATTTCCAATTTTCTTTGGCAATATATAGAAATACAAATTATTGTTGTATAGTGACCTTTTATCTTCTGACCTTGCTAAACTCACTTATTAGTTATAACTGTTTTGTAGATTCTTTAGAATTTTCTACAAAGGTAATCATTTAGTCTACAATAAAAGCCAGTTTTAATTATTTCTTTTTAACTTCTTTGTGTATTCATTTCCTTTTCTTGCCTTATTTTACTGGCTAGATCTCTAGTGCAATAGCAAATAAAATGAGGCAGTGAACATCTTCACCTTGCTCCAGTTCTTATAGGGGAAGCATTCCACCTTTTCCACTAAGTATAGTGTTAGCTATAGAGTTTTAGATATGTTTCATCAGATTGAGGAAGTTCCTTTCTATTCTTATTTTGCTGAGAGTTTTTTTTATCAAGAGTGGCTGTTAAAATTTTAAAATTATTTTTACATCTATTAAGAGAGTCAGACGGTTTTTCTGTTTTAGTATGTTAATGTGGTGAATTACATGGATTAATTTTCAAACATTAAGCCAGTATTACAATTTTGACATCAACCCAGCTGGTCATGGTATATTTTTTAGAATAAATTGCTGAATTTCATTTGCTAACATTTTGTGTAGTAATTTTGCATCTATACTTTTGAGAAGTATTGGTTTGTAGTTTTCTTTCCTTGTAATCTCTTTGTCTGGTTTTGGTATTAGGGTAATGGTGGACTCATAAACTGAGTTGGGAAGTGTTCCCTCTTGCTGTTTTTTTTTTTTTTCTTGATGTATGATGGTATTATTTCATCTTTAAATGTTGGGTAAAATTCACCAGTGATCACCTAGGCCTGACGATTTGTTTGTGAGAAGGTTTTTAGCTACTAATCTAATTTTTTCAATAGATACAGGGCTATTCAATTTATCCAGTTCTTCTTAGATAAGCTTTTAGCTTTGGGTTTAATTTTTGCATCTTTTTCTAGTTTCTTAAAGCGTAAGCTAAGATCTTTGATCTTAGACCCTTCTTCTTTCTAACATAAAAATTTCATACTATAAATTTCCCTGTAAGCATTACTTCAGCTATACCTCACAAATTTGGGTACAATTTGATATCATTTCTCACTTAATTAAAAATATTTTATAATTTTATTATTTCTTCTTTGACCCATGGGTTATTTAGAAATGTGTTATTTAATTTTCAAATATTTGAAGATTTTCCAGATATCTTTCTGTTGTTTTGTCATAGATTTTTAATTCAGTTCCATTGTGGTCAGAGATTTATATGATTTCAATTCTTTAAATTTGTTAAAGATTGTTTTATGATCCAGAATACGATCTATTTTGGTAAATATTCCATGTTCACTTCAAAGAATGCTCTTCTGCTGTTGTTGGACAGGATGGTCTATAAACATTGGTTAGACCAAGTTCATTGATAATGTTGCTCATGTCTTCTATATCTTTACTGATGTTATCTGTATACTTGTTTTTATCAATTATTGAGAGAAGAATATTGAGGTCTCTGTAATTAGATATGTCTAGTTCTTCTTTTAGTTATATCATTTATTGTTTCATATACTTTGATGTTCTTTTATGAAGTCCATGCACATTTAGCATTTTTTTTTGCTCTCTTCATGAATGGGCCTTTTTATCATTATGAAATGTCCCTCTTTATCCCAGATAATATTCTCTGTTCTAAAATTTACTTTTTCTAAGATTCATACCATCATTCTAATTTTTTTTTTTTTGATTAGTGGTTGCATGCCTTACCATTTTCTAAAAAAAAAAATCCAGACTTTATTTTTTAGGGCAATTTTAGGTCTACAGCAAAACTGAGAAGGTGCAAAGATTTCCATATTCCCTCTGCACCCACACATGCATAACCTCCCTTTAATATCAACATCTGCCACCAAAATGGATGCTGTATCTTTTTATATTCTTTTAAAATTTTTCTATTTAATATTTAGAATGTTTTTTAAAATAGTTAGAATGTAGATGGGTCTTGCCGTTTTATCCAATCTGACAATCTATGTCTTTTAGTTGAGGGTGTTTAGACCACTTCCATTTACTGTAAGTACTGATATGGTTGTATTTAAATATACTGTTCTGCTATTCATTTCAATACATATATGATCTTCATTTATTTTATCTTCTTTTCTTCTTGTGGATTAATTCAGTATTTTTTATGATTCTATTTTATCTTTACTTTAGCTTATTAGCCATTCATCATTGTCCATTTAAACAAATAGCTATTCTGGGGTTTAAAATATACATTTTTAACTTATCACAGTGTCCCCTCAAATAATAGGATATTGTCAGAACCTTGTAGCACTATACTTTCATTTCCTCCCTACTATGCCTTATGCTACTGTTATCATTCATTTTACACTGCATGTGGTCTAAACTCCACAGTACGTTATAGTTATTCATTCTTTACATAGCCAATTATCTCTTAAAAATATTTACAAAAGTGAGAAAACTGCCTTTCATATTTGCTATTTCTGGTGCTCTTTTATTCCGCTACATGATTGACCTAGTCTTATTTTCTTTCTGACTGAAGAGCTTCAGCCAGTGTATCAGCATAATGAGAAATAAATTCTGGTACTAAATTATCTCAGCATTTGCTTGGCTGAAAAAGACCCTTTCTCACCATTATTTAAAAAATATTTTTAGCTCACTATAGAATTTCTTTTGTATTTTAAAGAAATCACTCCATTGTCTTCTAGCTTACATAGCGTGTGATGAGAAGTTTGTTGATAATGTTTTCTTTGGTTCTCTGTAAATAATGCATCTTTTTTTTTTTCCTGTGGCAGCTTTTAAGATTTTGTCTTTATTATCATTGCCTTTCTGTAATGTGATTATTTTGTGACTGGCATGTTTTTCTTCATGTGTCTTTTGCTTGGGGTTTATTGAGCTACTTGGATCACAGGTTTGTAATTTTCATTAAAATTAGAAAATGTTTAGCCATTATTTATTTAAATGTTCCTTCCCTCATCCCCCTCTGGCTTTTCTGGGACTCCAATTGCATGTATGTTGGGCCACTTGATATTGTCCCTCATCTCACTGACACTCCATCCATTTTTTTCAGTCTCTTTTTCTCTGTATGCTTCATTTTGGAAAGTTTCTATTGCCATATCTTCAAGTTCACTAATTTTTCTCTCTCTCTCTCTTTTTTTCTTCAGTGTCTAATCTGCTGTCAATTCCGTCTGGTATTTTTTCCAGCTTGGATATTGTATTTTTCATCTCTAGAAGCTTGATTCAATCTTTTTTATAGCTTCCATTTCTCTCCAATGTTTCTCTCTGCCTTTTTGACATATCGAGGCTATTTATAATGACTATTAAAATGCTCTTGTTTATTAACTCTAATTTCTGAGTCTGTTTATACTGGAGCAACTAGGACTGATTTGCCTCTATTACTGTGACAATACTTGCCTTAGAATTTCTTTCAATACCATGTGTTTCTACACTGACTGGTGGGAAAATGAATTATTCCCAGTGCTGGGTAGGCACAATGAGTGGTTCTGTCTGCTGCTCTCTGGCCATTCTTTCTGGTCTCTGGTATTTCCTCCCATGTGAACACAGATCAATGCTCAGCTAAACACTAGAGGAACAGCCGGGTGCGGTGGCTCAGGCCTGTAATCCCAGCACTTTGGGAGGCCGCGGTGGGTGGATCAAGAGGTCAGGTGTTCGAGACCAGCCTGGCCAACATGGTGAAACCCTGTGTCTACTAAAAATACAAAAATTAGCTGGGCATGGTGGCACATGCCTGTAATCCCAGCTACTCAGGAGGCTGAGGCAGGAGAATTGCTTGAACCCAGGAGGCAGAGGTTGCAGTGAGCTGAGATCATGTCACTGCACTCCAGCCTGGGTGACAGAGTGAGACTCTGTCAAAAAAAAAAAAAAAAAAAAAAAAGACTAGAGGAATTCCCTTTACAAATTTACCTGTGCAATTCCCTCCTCTTGGTATATTGCCATGCAAACCTCAGCCACTCTGGCCTTCTCAAACTCCAATCTCTTTTCTCCGCTCAGTGAGACCACCAGGCTCTGTGTGGTTCCCTCTCACTGCATCTTGGTCTGAAAACTCTCAGGCAGTGAGCTGAAGAAATAGCAGAGCTCCTTTTGTTCCTTCTCCTCTTCTCTTAAGGATAGCTCTCCTCTGGTGCTTGTTGTTTGATGTCTGGAAACTGTTGCTATAAGTGTGTGTATGTATGTGTGCTTGTATGTGTGTGTGTGCATTCAGTTTTTCTAGCCTTAGGAAGGTAAATTTTGTCTTGATTACTCCATCATGGTCAGAAGTAGAAGTCATGTCTATTAATTTTATTTGCATAGCTAAAGGTAAAAACATCAATTAATACATCTTACTGTAACATTTAAAAAATGTCAAAACATTTTGTGAATGTCAACATTTTGATAATGCCAAATTCATAGCTATTTCTTTCTCTATTTCAATGATTCATAACTTTTGGGGGCCTATGGGTTTGTTAAATCTATGGACCCCCTCCTAGGAAAAATGCACATGGTCATGTATAGCGTGCAAATTAAGAGGTATAAAATAATTCCAAAGTCTGTCCCAGAAACCTTGGAAGACTAGAATCCAGGTGAAAAATTCCTTCTCTAATTCATGCTAACCTTGCTTGGTACTTTG
Source organism: Homo sapiens (assembly GCF_000001405.40). Classification (NCBI taxonomy): domain Eukaryota; kingdom Metazoa; phylum Chordata; class Mammalia; order Primates; family Hominidae; genus Homo; species Homo sapiens. The sequence goes on from NC_000001.11 coordinate 14,091,866, forward strand.
GTGATCAGAAAATTTAGACTTTGGCTTACCCCATAGGGTGATTGTGAAAGAGCACGCTAACAATGTGAAAATGCTTTAAAAGGGCCATGGACACACACTGTAATTTTTATGATGATTATTGTTGCTACTGTCATCATCATTATCCTTTACAATAATGGCTCTTAAGTGGTGCTTTAAATGTAGTGGTTAATTCTTGAATTCTTGTAATACTTTATTATTTTCTTTTCTTTTTTTTTTTTTTTTTTGAGACAGTCTTGCTCTGTCACCCAGGCTGGAGTGCAGTGGCGCAATCTCAGCTCACTGAAAGCTGCGCCTCCCGGGTTCATGAAATTCTCCTGCCTCAGCCTCCCCAGCAGCTGGGACTACAGGCGCCCACCACCACGCCCAGCTCATTTTTTTGTATTTTTAGTAGAGACGGGGTTTCACTGTGTTAGCCAGGATGGTCTTGATCTCCTGACCTCGTGATCTGTCCGCCTCGGCCTCCCAAAGTGCTGGGATTATAGGCGTGAGCCACCGTGCCCGGCCTATTATTTTCTTAACAATAAGAAATATATAATTGGTATAATATATAACAGTAATAAATAAATAAATAAATTATATATATATACACACACACAACACACACATATTTTCACATGTGTACCACTGCATGTATGTGTGTAGGGGTATGTATGTACATATATGTACATATACACACATATATACATATGTATGTACATATATGTACATATACACACATATATACATATGTATGTACATACACACCCTTACACACACACACGCACTGGTACCCATGTGGCTTATATTTGAAAAAGGAATTTCAGACACTATAACCATCTATTTGTGCAGAAAACGTACCTTTATTTTGTCCTTTATTTTCTCCCCTTTTGTTTTTATCTCCTGGTTGAGTAGTTGTCCAACGCTACAATTTTTTGCATTGATTTACAAGTAAGTGTTGTGTAATGTACTTTGTGAAATTAATTTTTCTGTGCTATTAAAGTTAATAAAGATGCAATTTATGAAATAATCGTATTTAGGAGCTATCTCTCTGAACTGGTTACATTCTGTGGTTCAGTATTGGCTATGCATGTTCTTAGATAGTGCAAGAACTTGCCTGGGTTTCAGCCTTCCCCTGTGGTGCCTTTTCTCTTATTCTCGTACTCTGTTATCAAGCCATAAGTCCCTGTTGCATCTGCCCCATGCTGTGCCAGATACACGTCCACTGTGCTCCCATGGCGTGTGCCATCTGCCTCTGACCCACCTCTGCATCCTCTCCCTCGCCACATGTCTCTGTGCCCCAACACCAGCCACTGCCCGTCAAGAAATTAGTACCTCATCCTCATCAAGTAATTAAATCCCTCCATCCTTTGCAGTTTGGGGCACACCTGCTTTAGAAAAGCTTCATAGCTCCTTAGACCCATGGCTGGCTCTCTTTCCTTTAGGAGTCCTGGACCACCAACCCCTGTGCTATCTTACTCCGTTTCAAATGTCATCATTTACATTTTGTTTGTGGGAGAGTTTGAGAGCTCTTTAAGGATAGAGACTAGGCTGTCTCATCTTGGAGACCTCTCAATAAAGTGCTTTTTAATAGAATATGCTAAATAGTTACTAAATTAAATTCATTTGAACTAATTCCTTCCCTGTCTGCCTGATATGACAGGTAAGGAGATTCCTCTTGCTTCACTTCCTAAGACTTTAGATTCACTGTCCAAGAAAAGCCCTGAGACAATTGGGACATTCTTGTAGGGGAGTTCAAACTTGCCTTCTGAGTATTTGAGTCTAAGTCTGCTGAAAAAAAAACAAAAACAAAACTGACAATAGACAGTTTAACAGAAGAAAAGCCATAACCAATTTATTTGATCATAGTTTTACATGACACAAAAGTCTTCAGATTGAAGACCCAAAAGTAAAGGGAAGGCCACCTGGCTTTATGCTTAGGTTCAATGAAGAAGATTCTCTAGTAAACCAGGTAGAAATGCGATTGGACAAAAAGAAAAGATCTGAGCTGATGGTAATAGACTCAGTGGGAAATCCTAGCAAGGCCTGTCTGTTCAGATTCATCCTGGCCTCTCTGTGGTAGCATTTCTTCTTCCCAGGTATGGGGTAGGACCCTGCTGGAATGAGAATCTAAATTTCTTTATGGCCAGCTGTAACACGGAAAGGTGCGGTGAGGCTGGAGTCACATTTTTAGGTATTACGGGTGGCTTTGGGGAAAGGGGGTTTTGGTTTCTCTGACTTGCCTTGGGGAAGAGGGATTCTAGCTTTTATGGCTTGCCTTGGAGGAGAATGAGGAGTGAGAAACGGGAGGGCAGGAGAAGGTCAAAGGGATACTTTCCTTCTGATGCTGCTTCTGAGGCCTTTACTATCGTTTTTTTGAGCCCTAATATCCTCAAACGCTGTTGATGAGAATGGAAAATAGTTCAGCGATTCTGGAGGGCAATTTGGAAAGCTATATTAAGATTATAAATATTCACCCAAGCAATTCCTCACTTGGATACCTATCCCAAGGAAATGCCTTCAGGTAAGTCAAAAATTCAAGGACAAGGTTTTTCACTAGTGTGTTATTATTTGTGATTACAAAAGCCTAGGGAAAAATGCCTAATTATTGATTAATATGTAAATGTTTAAATTAACTACACAGTATCCACACAATAGACAACTGTTCAGCACCTTAAAAGAATTGAGTAGATCTTTATGTACTAATAGACAAAAATTTCCAAAAAATATATTGCAAATTTAAAAATTTTAGAAGTAATATGACAAGTTAATATCACTTATCATTTTAAAACCAACCCCACAAAATCTATATATTTCTATGTATCTGTATTTATGGAATCTTTCTATTTCCTAGTAGTGGAAGTGAATATCACATGGGAGAGAGGTTCTTTCTACACAATTCAGTGAGCACAGTGACAGCTGGACACAGTCAACATTTATTTCTAAAATCCCTTAGAAAAGAGGCACTTCAGGGTTGGACATTCCATCTTTACTAGGTGGAATGCAGCTCTGTTTCCTGCTGTGTTGGAGCAGATTAATGTTTCTGCAAGTACCAGATGAAGATGGCAGCCTGCATTTGGGGGCCGCAATGTTCAAATAAAAAGAAATTTGTGTCTTTAGGATGCTCACCCCATTCAAGGCCCTCTGAAGCTGAGACCAAATAGTGTTTCCCAACAGGTATCTAAGAATGTAGGGCAGGACAATTCTATGCTGGGCAACACTGTGCAGGATGAATGTTTAGCATCCCTGCCTCTCTGGCCCTGGGTGTGTACCATCACCATTCCCTTCCGTGAACAATGAAATAGTCTTCCAAATATTTCTAAATGTCCCTAGGGGGCAGTATTTCCCTTGGCTGAGAACCACTGGGAGAGCCACATGGCCCATTTCATTCTCACTCTCATCTAGGTATATGCCGTGGAGAGGAATCACCTGTTCTAGTTATTTAAATAGGTTTTCTTCTTACTTTATTCTTTCTTTCTGAGCCTGTATAGGCTGAATTCACATACGTTGCATAAGCAGGTGTTATCCTACTATATCAGTTATCTGTTGCTATATAACAAACCATCTACTACATAGTGGCATGAAAAAACACCCATTTTATTGTGCTCACAGATTCTACAGATCAAGAGCTCAGACAGGATGCAGTGGATTTCTCTACTCCACAATGTCTGGGGATCCAGGTTGGAAGACATGAAAGGCTTAAGGTTGACTCAAATGGCAGGGGGCTGGAATCATCTGGAGGCTTCTTCACATACATGTCTGTTCCCTGAACTAGGAAAACTCAAAGGCTAGATTCAGGTGGGAGTGTCAACTGAGGCCACATGGCTTCTTCATGTGGCTTGGGATTCCTCACAAGATTGCAGCCTCAAACTTCTTACACGGTTTCTCAGGGTTCCCAGGGTGAATGTTCCAGCAAACAAACAGAAGCTTCATGGTCTCTTATGACCTAGCCTTGAAAATCATGTTACTTATGCTACTCTACTGTCAAAGCAAGCATAAGACCACCTAGATTCAGAAGGATGGGACATAGACTCCGTCCTGTAATGGCAAGAGCATCAAATAATTTATAGTCATGCTTTAAAATCACCAAATCTCCTATGCATAGGAGAGAGTTCTGAAAGGATGCATATCAATCTGTTGAGTCAATGAAATTGCTTCTTATAGGCTAAAAATGGTAGAATAGTAGCAATTTCATATGGCTCAGTCTACTACTAATAACAGTGTTTATATCTGATAGAAAAGATTGGAATAAGAAGGCAATAATCAAGGGGTAATTTCACTTTATCTGTGTTATTTTTATAATAATTATATATTCACATATTATTTACATAATTTTTTTAAAAGATGAAGTTGCCTTCATCATAGAAACAGTCCCATAAAAGTGGATTCAGAGAGAGGCAGGACATTTTGACCTGCAACCAGGGGTATAAAGGGTAATAATTACTCTGGATTCACAACGAATGTGTCAGAAAATACCACCTCTTTCAACTGATGCTACAGCTACTCACTGAGCACCTCCCGGGGGCTTAAGAGTGAGCCAGATGCCCTGGAGGATACACTGATGTTTAGGAAAAGGTGCAGGTGCCTGCCTTCCATGGCTCACCACCTGCTGACAAAACCCGAACCTGCTTAAGTTTCTTGGAGGCATGATCGACAATGATAGGTTCTGTAGTCAGAGCATGAAGGAGAATGGTGACAATATCTCAAGTGATCAGGAGAATTGACATTTATTGAGCACTTACTACGTGCCAGGCACTGTTGGAATTCTTTATTTCTCAGAACAACCCTCAGAATATAGGAGAGGGCACTTGAGTTCCAGTTTATTGGAGAAGGCTTCAAGAAGGAGGCAGGATTTAAGCTGAGACTTATGAGCTGAGGTTCTCAGACTCTGGAGATCATTGCCTGGGGAGTTTGTTCAAAACTTGAGTGAATCCCCAGGCCTACTTCAACGCTCCTTAAAACGGTAACAGGGAGCATCTGTATTTTAATGGAGATTCTGTTGTGCATCACAGTTGAACTACCTCTACCTTAAAGAATGTTTCTCAGAAGCTCACCCAGGGCTTTCACAAACATGGAGCCCAGGCTTTTCTCACGGAGATTCAGATTCAGTGGTTAAGGTGGAGCCTAGGAATCTGTGCCTTTACTGAAAGTCCAGGTGATGCTTTTGGTCAGGCAAAATGCCATTGTAGAGGATAGTGAGAGTTTGACCTTTAGAGGTGTAGGGGAAGAGAGATCCTGCTAGGGGGGCAAGTTTTGTAAAGGTGGAAGTTGGAAAGTATAGATTGACTTGAGTCTGTGTTGAGTGCTATAGAGGCTAGGTTGGAGAAAGACATAGGAAGAAGGGAAACTAGTTGGGAGCCCATTGCCATAGTCCAGGGAACTTAGATAGGAAGCTATTGCCATAGTCCAGAGAACCTAGATAGAAAACTATTGCAATAGTCCAGGTGAGAAGTCACACTGGCCTCATGCTCCCTGTAGCCTAAAGCATATGTCACAAAGTGAAAAGGCCATTGGAAAGGCCTGCCTTTTCCCCACTCCCTGCTTGCCTGGAATGTTAGTGTGATGGCTGGAGCTACAGTAGCCACACTGGACCATAGAGTGACCTTTAATATGGATGGCGGAAATGAGAGACACAAGGAAATTTGATTGCTCTGGTTCAAAGGATTTCTATCTACCTGAAAGGCATTGTATTCGTAGTCAGTAATGAAAGTAGACAACAGCCTGCAATTACAGAATAATGTATGTGAGGGGTGTGTGTGTGTATGTGTGTGTTGTTGGGAAGGGAACATTCACCAGTGAATATCTGGTTTGTTCTTTATCTTGTGAATTGAACCTGTTATAGAATACTTCACTGCCTCTCATATTCATTTAGTTAGCTCAATCTGGCTCTCAGATATGCTTAACTTGACTAGCTTTTATCTTAATATTCAGAAAAATTCAGTTAAACTACTTGAAACCATCAGTAAATTCAGGGAAAGAAGTTGAATCAGTTCCCCAGATGAGCCCAGAGCTCACCTTCCTTGTATCTTCTTGGACATAAAAGTGCTGTCTTTGGGAATATTAGCATGCCATGATAGTGTCAGTAGTAACAGCAAAAATAAAAATAAATATGCCAAGCCATTTGGAGAGTTATCTCATTGAATCTTCACCACAACCTTGGAAGGTAGGATTTTTTTTTTTTATTATCTCCATTTTACCGAAGAGGAAACAGGTTCAAAGGTGTGGAGTCACTCGCCCAAGTCCTCCCAGCCAGCAAAGGGCTGGAGCTCTTCCCCTTGCCTTGTGCTGCCTCAGTCATCTGTGAAGCTCTTTCATCAGCTTCCTCACCTTCTGACTCAAGTGTCTTCTATACTTTAGCATCTTATATTCAGAGAACCAGTGTCCATTAATGCAGACCAGTCCTGGAACTAAGAAGGTGGGGATGTGGTTAGCTTGAGGGCATCTGCCACTGAAAGCCTCTTCCAAACAAAGCAGGGTTTTTTTGCCCTATGGTCAAGTAGATGATTAAATGGGTTTTATTTTGCCAGTGGTGGATGAGAGTTGAATTAACCTATGCAGCTATAGTATGCTCCTTTATGCTGGAGCTCTGTTTGCAACAGAAGGCAAACAGCAAGTGACAATTGCAACATTATGTAAATGACTGCATGAAAAGGGGTTGCTGTGGGCAACCAGGGTGTTTGAGGAATTGCCTCCATTCTTCTTATATTTCTGCCTCTGGCTCCCCTTCAAAATGCCCTCCAGCATCCCTCTGCCCAGACTGCATTACCCTTGGTTTCTCCTTTTACCAGATTTGCTCCTTCATTATTGCTGTAGGGTTGGGGCCATTTGGACTTCCCTGAGTAGCTCCACTGGAGACCATGCCTTTAAGTTATTACAAACATCTCATGCATTCCAACCCTGTGTGGCTGCCCTGGGACTCTTCAGCTCTTCATTACCCAAGGCATTCCTTTGATTTACTTCAATTTATAGTTTTCTCATGTATGCCTTCTGCTTCCACCCTCCCTGGGGAACAGATGGGGCCCATGTTGGCACCCACACACATGGAATTCAGAGGCCAGGGAGGGGAGAATTTCACATCTGCCCATTAGCCCTTCCTGTTAGGGCTTTTACCATCTTCTCTTAGGTCAGGGTTTAGGGTTTGGAGCCTGGGCTAAGGCTTGGTGGGGAGAAAGGAGGCAGCCTCCTATCTTTGTTCAGTGTTCTACTTAGTTTGATTGGGTAGCCTCTCCTGGACAACTCTGCCAGGAAAGGTGGCATGAAATATACCCCATGTGAAGTTTGACAAATGGAGGGGAATAAGGAATCAGGGCCCTTTGCTAGATAACTGGAGCTTTAATCTCAGGATGGCACTCAATCATTAGCTTCTGGAAACACCTGTGCAGGGACAGGGTGGGGGAAGAATCAAACTAAAGGAAATCAGAGATCAATCTTCCCTCCTGTAACCACATACCCCCATTTTTCTAAGAGATGGCTTAATTATTAATTTTTCTTTCTCTCTTCCTTCCTCATTCCCCTGGTTCCCCACTTCCTACTTAGCCCTTTAGAAATGCAAATATAGCCTGTACCCTGTTCCTTCACCAGATACTCCCTATAGGGCAAGTTCATTGAACTCCTCAAGAGTTAACAGTCAATTTATAGACGAAAGCCTGCCTGCTACCTGCCACCCATCAGGAGGTTGCCTTGAGAGATAACAGCTGATTTCTACAAGACTCCCATCAGGAAACTGCCTTGAGAGATATGAAACTCCCTCTCACCTGAGGAGTTTTTGGCCTAGTCCTGCCCACGAAGGTGCCAGCAATCACCAGCTTAACTGCCCAATAGATAAGGCACCAAAGCTAAAATGCAGACACCCCACCCTTGCTTGCTTCCTCCCCTGCCTTTTAAAAGTGGCCGCTTTCTGCTCTAAAAGTGAAATGGTACCTTTAAAGGTGGATTGCCTGTGCTTCTTCCCCTAAGCTAGCTTAGAAATAAATCACCTTCTTTATATCTGATCTGGCTCATGTTAATTGGACAGTGCAAGCGATGAGCAACTAACCTGCATTGTGGTTATACTCCCTTCTTACCTTTCTCCTTCCCTCCCTTCCTCTCTTCCTCCTCCCTTCTCTTTCTCTCTCTCCTGAATGAATATTATTTGGAGATGGATCTGAAAGGCAATAAAGTACTGGAGAATGGCCATGAAAGTTGCATCTGCAGCCAACACAGTAATAGTCATGATTACTGTCACTGCTCCAAACCCCTGCCCTCCCACCAGTTGCTAACAACCAGCCCCTCACTAGCCCAGGATATGGCACTGTTGTTTATCGGTTCCCTTAGACCCTGCCTATCCTTAATAAACAGCCCTTTATGGAAGGCTCTTTAAATCCCCCACTTGAGGTGGCTATTTGAGTCCTGCCAGGAATCTGAGGCATACACGGAGTCAATGAATGTGGAACTGGGATTGAAATCCGCAGCTCGACCTCAGATATGTCCCTGTGTTAGGAGGTCCCCAGGACCACCCCCAAGTGCAGTGGTTTCCAGGTGGACTTACAGGACCCAGCGCACAGTTGCACTCAGGGCTGTAGTTTATTACAGCAAAAGGATCCGAAGCAAAATCAGCAAAGGCAAAAGGCTCATAGCATGAAGTCTGGGGGAAACCAGGCTTGAGCTTCCAAGAGTCCCCTCACTGTGATGTCCTAGAGGGCACACTTAATTCTCTCAGCAATGAGCTGTGACAATATGTGGGAAGTGCTGTCTACCAGGGAATCTCTTCAGAGACTCAGTGCCCAGGGCTTTGTTGGGGGCTGGTCACATAGGCAACCTCTTGCCTGGTACATACACAAATTCTAGACTTCCAGAAAGAAACAGGTGTTCAGCCTAAATCACATTGTTTGCACAGTAGTTTAGGCACAGTGAGCCAGTCTTATCAGTGTGATATTGTTTAGCTGTGTCCCCACCCAAATCTCATCTTGAATTCCCATGTGTTTGTGGGAGGGACCTGGTGGGAGGTAATTGAATCATGGGATGGGTCTTTCCCGTGCTGTTTTCATGATAGTGAATAAGTTTCACAAAATCTAATGGGTTTAAAAATGGGAGTTTCCCTACACAAGCTCTCCCTTTGCCTGCTGTCATCCATATAAGATATGACTTACTCCTCCTTGCCTTCCGCCATAATCGTGAGGCTTCCCCAGCCACATGGAACTGTGAGTTCTCCATTAAACCTCTTTCATTCGTAAATTACCCGGTCTCGGGTATTTATCAGCAGCGTGAAAATGGACTAGTACACAGTGCACGGTGGGAGCCCTCCCCAAATCTGAGTTCCCAGATGCCCACTAAAAGCCAGTCTTGCAAACAGGCCTTGAAAGGGTTGCAGTCAGGCCTGCCATATTAACTCTTTTCTGCACAGCTCATAACCACTGCACCACTATTTATTACGTGCTTATTATGTGCACGGCATCATAATAAACCAAATTCACCATTTGGAGAATAACACCATTCATCTCTTTGGATGACGGTTTATAAGATAAATACTGTTTTTATCTCCTTTTTCAGATAAACAATTTGAGTTAGAATATCTTGTTCAAGGTGATAAAACAGCAATAAAGTAGTGAAGGAGGGTTTGAATCCAGGTTTATCTCACTCCAAAGTGCTTTGAAGGCTGGCTGGGGATGGGAGTAGGGATTGAAGGGAGAGGGCTGGAGAGGATGTGAATAGTGGTTATTCTTAAGTGAAGGTGTCGTGGATCATTTCTAGTTTCTACCTTTGGACATTTGTGTTGTCTAAGTTTTCCCCAATGGGTACATATTGTTTAACTGGAAAATTTGAAAATTACTTTAAGTAGAATTTTTAGTGAGTTTCCTTTAATATTTACATAAACCCAATTATAAGGGCAGCTTAATTGTCAGCGTGGAAGTAAGCACTGCTAAAGTACTTGAGGTCAGTTTTTTCTCTTAAACAGGATAAACATCTTCCTTATGATGTTGTTTACATATTGTGTTTGCTTAGCAAAACCTTTTTTTCCAAATAGTGCAAACCTAAATGATAGCTTGGCCCCAGCTGAATTAGCCCAGACAGTAACATGCTTTGATAACTAATAATCATCTCAAGTCAAAGATCCCTCTTCCAGCAAACCTCAAACCTTTTAGAGAGAATGAACTTCAGGATATTTTTAAACAACTTCAAAGAAGATGAAGCTTAATTTTTACCAATCTCAGTGAGTGAGGTCTTGGTATTATCAAGTGGGATATTATTTCTTGGAACTTAAAAAAAAAATAAGTCCCTTGACTTATTTAAAAGCCCAGCTGAACTCAAAGCACAGTTTCAACTACACAAAATCCAGAGTCCCGGGGAAGACGCCCTCAGCACACTGGCATGGGTTTACGTGCCCACAGGGTCTCCAGTGCTGAGAGCAATCAGAGAAATCGCTAATCATGGTTAACTTCTCTGTCTGGAGCTCCTGATAGAGACAGCCTGGGAAAAAAATGGGTGATCCTAGTTCCCGCTCGCTGAGCACCTGCCCTCACGCCCTTTGGTTTGTAAACTGCTGCTGGCTTCCTCCATCCAATGGCCATGGTGTCCACCCATGTGACCCCTCCTGGTTGCATCTGATAGAAAGAACCTGGGGAAAAATGGGTGATCCTAGTTCCTGCTCTCCAAGCAGCTGCCATCGTGTGTTTTGGTTTGTAAACTGCTGCTGGCTTCCTCCGTCCAATGGCCATGGTGTTCACTCATGCAGCCCCTCCTGGTGGCATTTCACAGTCCCTTTTTGCAGCTCCATTTCCATGTTTTGGGGGATTATCGTCTCCCATCCTGGTGCCTTCAGGGCCCTCTATGGTGAGCTCCGTGCATCCCCGTGTATTAGCTCTTATGGCTGCGGTGCTAGGGGTGCCATAACCGCACACCATGGACTAGACAACCCACCATGCATTAAACAACAGAAGTTTACCTTCTCACAGTCCTGGAGGCCAGGCGTCTGAGATCAAGGTGTCAGCAGGGCTGGTTTCTCCTGAGGCCTCTGTCTTCCCTGTGTCATCCCATGGGCTTCCCTCTGTACACATTTGAATACTAATCTCTCTCTTTTTTTTTTTTTTAACGGAGTCTTGCTCTGTCACCCAGGCTGGAGTGCAGTGGCATGATCTCAGCTCACTGCAACTTCTGCCTCCTGGGTTCAAAGGATTCTCATGCCTTCATGCCTCAGCCTCCCAAGCAGATGAGGTTATAGGTGTGCACCACCACACCTGGCTAGTTGTTTTTGCATTTTTAGTAGAGCTGAGGGTCTCACCATGTTGGCCAGGCTGGTCTCGAACTCCTGGCCTCAAGTGATCGGCCCGTCTTGATCTCTCAAAGTGCCGGGATTACAGGTGTGAGCCACTGTGCCTGGCCTGCTCTTCTTGTGAGGACACCAGTCTTGTTGTATTGGGGCCCACCCTAGTGACATCTTATACATCTATCTCTTCTTGAAATACATATCTCGAAATACAGTCGCATGTTGAGGCACTGGGGGTTAGGACTTCGATATATAAATTGGAGTGAATGGGAGAAAGGAGACACAATTCAGCCCATACCAGCTGCAGTAACAAATTACAAGTTTAGCAGCTTAAATAACAGAAACTTATTATCTTACATTTCTGTAGGTCAGAAATCTGATACCAAGCCTCACTGGGCTGAATCAAAGTGTTGGCAGCTCCTTTCCATGGGCACTGGATAGAGTCTGTTTTCTTGCCTTTTCCAGCCTCTAGTGATGCCCATCCTTATCTTCAAAGCCGGCCTGGCCAGTGAGTCCTTCTCACATTGCGCCTTTCCAGCCTTCTCTGCAGATACATCTTCCCCTGATTCTCCTGTCTCCCTTTTGCATTTTAAGGGACTCTTGTGATTTTATTGGGCTCACTTGGATAATCCAGGATAATCTCCCTATTTGAAGGTCAAATGATTAGCAACCTTAATTCCATCTGCAGCCTGAATTCCCCTTTGCCATGTAAGGTATCATATGCACAGGTTCCGGGGATTAGTACGGAGACATCGTTGGGGGCCATTATTCTGCCTACAACACTCCCCAAACCTAGAGATCAACACAGATAATTTCTCTGTGTTAAACTCTCCAAATGTAGGCAACATCTCTTTACTGTGCAGGCAGACAAATAGGCAAAAATCGACATTATAATGTAGATTTTACAGGGATGCCTGTGGAGGGTGTTGGGGGTTACTGGAGACAGCGAAGACACTGCAACATTATTGGCACCATGCCAAAGGAAGGTGGGTTCTCCTTGTCTACACCCAGACAGGGTATAACCTACCAGAGCTGGGGACGAGGGAGGAAGGGTCTGGAATATAACACAGCTTGTGGCCTCATTGCAGAGCTGGTGCCAGATGCGTCTCTCCTTCTTGTGCCAAGTGACCCTGCTCCTTCCCCGCAAGGAGCACCTGGTCTCCTGGCGCTGGAGGAGGTCTGTCCTCAACTCTTGACTCAACATCCCCCATGCAAGCAGTGCAAATAGCTTCTTAGCCAAGCGGTTATCCACTCTGCCTCTGAAAATCTTGCTAAGGAGCATTTGTCACACAAGTGGATGTGGTGATTTTTTTTTTAAAGGTTTCCTGCCATCTTGTTTAGATAAGGTGTTGAGAGAGCACCCCCTTGCTCCTGTGGTAGAACAGAGCCAGGGAGCTGAAAAACAAAGAAGAGGGAGCATCACATCTTCCAAGGTAGAAAACCTCAGGATCGCAAATAACATACCCAAGACTTTGGCTACTTTGTGGCCAACCTAGAACTTGAATCCTAGCTGTCCCAGCTGCAAATCTAGTGTTCATTCCATCACGAACTACTTCTGCAACAGGTTAAAATAAAGTTTAATATCAACCTCATGGCTATTCTGTTTAGCAGTTCCCATGAATTTGTACCCTTATCATTTTTCAGAGCAGGCGATTGATTTCTTTTTCTCTCTTGCAGGCAAGAGCCACTTGTTTTGTGTTTGCTGAATGGTTTTGTTTTATTCCTAATGCATTTCTACTATTTATCTACATCCGTTTTTCTTTTGCCTTCATTCCTGAAGCTATTTATTTTGCATTTTTTTCCCAGAAATTGTATGCAATTTTTTTGGTCAAATCCCCTTTGGTCCTTTGTGGTCTGAAGTGGAGAATCACTAAATACATGAATTAAATATCTCCCTTATCTGTGGAGGGTGGTCTTGTTGGAACTCTCATAAGCGCTGGAACTCTGTGTCTCAAGGGATACACTGTGCTCTATTTTTGTTTTTAGCATTGACTGTATGCCAGGTTCTATGCTAAGCAGAAGACACAGATTCTGCTATCTGGGAGGGTCAGCCCAGCAAGAGAGAAGGACATAATTCAAATAGTCGCATGAATAAGTGCATAGTTATAGACCAAGAGAAGCACTTCAAAAGAAGGATCAGGATCTGTTGAGTGTGTATAACAAAAAGAACCAACCCGATCTGGGAGATGAAGACTGAGAAGGAGCTGGGAAGGCTTCCACTTGGCCAAGAGTTGGAGTATGAGCCATGCTGGGCAGAGAGAGCCCATTCAATACAGAAAGAACAGCACATGCAAAGGCCCTGGGGTGGAAGGGGGTTTGTGGATCTGCTTTATTCCTTCTGGCTGCTCAGCTCCTGACCCAGACATTACTGAGCCTTGCCTTGTCCTGGGAACCATGTGCCTCTGGGTTCTGCCCACATCTTAGTTGGATCTCATCCCCTAACCTATTAGTTTTAGAAGAATGGCTTCACCATTCTTGGAACCCCTGTCCAAAGTGACCAAATGAAACACACCCAAGGAGACAAGCATCTACTTGGTTTTCCCACTCTGGTCCATGATCATCAACAATTCTCTACATCTTCCAATTAAGACAATTTCATGGAGTTCCATGACCTAGTGCCTCAAAGGATCGCCATGAAGATCTAGCAAGTTAAGACCCTTGAGCTGCGTGGAAGAGTCTCAGGTGCCACAGAGCCTTGCTAACATTTGCTTTTGGTGAAAAGTCCTCTTTGGAAGGTCAGAGATAGCTGCATTTCCCGAAGGGAGCTTGTGAGGAATTGACATCAGGGTTGGGTTCGAGGTGATGGGAAAGATACTTTTAACCTAATAAATGACCTCTTTTCTGCATTCTCTACCCGCTCCTTGCAGCAATCTGGTGGCTTAAAATTTTTGAAATTGTTTTAGCCACTATGAGGCAACATAATATTTTGGAGAAATAAACAATAACAGTAACAACAACAATAACAAAAATGATTGGAAAACTAGGGGGAGAATATTCCACATTGATTTCTCCATCCAGCCATGAACAAACCCAGAAGGGGTAGCCTCAGGCAGAAAATACCTACACTCTCCATGTTTGGAAATCCAAGGTGTATCTGAGGGTTCTCCAAAGCCCCCAACAGAACCCAACACAGCTCTGACTAAAGCTTCTTTTTCCTTGCAGAGGAAACAAAGGGATGTTGTCTCCACAATCCCCAGGTGGTCATAGAAAATGAATCTCACAGCTGTGGTGGGAGGCAGGATTCTGCCAAAACTTGCTATATATTTAGAACAAATATCTCCGGGAAAGCTAACCTATGTGGCTGCTTACCGTATTCCCTGTGGAACAACCCACATCCCTCTTCTCAAGCCCCCTCCAGCCAGCCATGCCCCTTCCTGCCTTAGAGGGCTGTATCCTTTAGTGGTCAAAGCCTGTCTCCCTGGGCTCTTCCCAAAGGGCTCAGCTCCCAAGTGGCCTCTTCCTCTTCTGCCTCCTCCCCATCCAAACTCCTGCTTTTCAGTAGGGTCAATCCTGAGAATGAAACAGTGACTTGAAATTGATCTTCCCTGAGGTTGGATGAGTGATGATCCCTGTTATTCTTGGAGAGGTATTTTCTTTTGGTTAAGTAGTAGATTAGCCCAAACGCGTCTCTATTCAGTGGCATCCCAGAAGATGTGAATGATATATTTTGAGATAGTGAGTTTCCCCTGAAAGCCCTAAAATAGGAACCCTGGTAACCTCTGCTTTTATGTATGTGCTTGGCTGGTCCTATTAACACTAGCTGGATCAGTGCATGCAGATTAAATCATTTTTTACCAGGTTTCCATTGATACACTCAACCACCCTTTCCCTCCCTCCCTCCTTCCCCTTCCCTCCCTCCCCGTCCCTCCCTCCTTCTCTCCCTCCCTCCCTCCCTCCCTGTCTCCCTCCCCTCCCTCTCTCCCTCCCTCCCTCCCTTCCTTTCTTCCTTCCTTCCTTCCTTCCTTCATCTCTCTCCCCTCTTCCCTCCCTCCCTCACATTCTCAATACCTATTCAGGGAAGTGTAGATTGCTGTGTTGTCTTGTCATCATTTGGGATTTTTCTCCCCATGTTCATTCAGAGCCCAGGTGAGAGGGCTGATGTTTCCTGGAGGTAAGAGCCTTTCTCCGGGCAGTGATCCACCCCTGTCATCTTAATTCAGCCCCTGGATCCAGTATGGCATGAGAGCAGTTAGGAGACAGCTCAAGCCAGCAATTTGTGTCACCATTTTTTAGTCTTTCCCATTAGCCCAAGATGGTTTTTTGTTTGTTTGTTTGTTTGTTTGTTTTTTTGCCTGCTTTGTTTTCTTACATCAAGATCCCTCTTTATTGCAGGAAGACCTAATTAAAGTAATTCCTCTCCCTGTCCTTTGCAACTCACATTTATGGGTAGGAAAGTAGCTGAGATGAACACATTTAAGGGACTAGGGGGACCTTAAGGAAGAACACCATATGGCGTGTGGCTCCACGTTCCAGTGTTGCAGTTCTCAGGTGGGTTTCCATACAAGGCCACCTCGGTTGAGCTCTTCAGTCTTCAGGAGTGTGAGATGTAGGGATGAGTCTACTTATGATGCTGCAGTGGAGATCCTATGAGATAGGGTGGGCGGAAGCTCCATTTTAACCAGATCATGGCACATAAACTCATGAGCTTTGTATGCTGGGTTGTGTGCCCCAGGGAAAGTGTGCTTATTGGTGACTTTACCAAGTGGGAAAGGAGAAGGTGATGACTGCTCAATTCTGTAGATGCAGCCTTGTCACCTGACTCCAAGAAACCTACCTGGCCCACCTTGTCACACTCCAGCTTTATGTACTTGAACCGGTAATTCCTCTGTGATTGTGCCTTAGTTTCCTCATCTACCAAGTGAGGGGATTGTGCAAGATTTCTAAGATCATCTCTCTGCTGAATTTCAGAATCTATCTATCCTTGAACAACTTCCAATTTACCCTCCACATTGCCCTGTTACCCTGCATTCTAGCCGTACTGGACCACGAGATGCTCTAGAAGCTTGCCGTGGCCTCCAGGTCACTGAGGATGCTTTTTTTGTACCCCAAACTCCTCCAGTCTCACCGCTCTTTCTACTGGTTACATCTTATTCACCTTCAGGTCTTTGCTTGAAAGTCATATTTTTCTAGGAAGCCTTCTCCCCACCTCCACCAAGCCAGGGGGAGGCTCATCTCAAGCATGTTTTGTGGCTCTCTCACAGCCCGTACTATAGAAGAGTATAGCTCCCTGTTTAGGGAAGAGTGTGTCTCTGCTGAATCGTAAGCTCCTTGAAGGATGGGGCTGTGTCCTGCTCTAATTGTGTCCAGTTCCTAACACAATGCCTGGCACATAGCAGACAAGTAATCAATATTTTTTACCTGAACTGTTTTTAAGAGGCTGTGCTGCTGCTCAAAACGTGGCATCGTGCCAGACAGATCTCCCTCCCAGGAGGCAGGTGGTGGGCCAGACTTGCAGTGCCCTCTGACAAATTGGCTCTGTTTCTAAATGATGGTCATTCCACTTTCCAAAATACCCAACTATCTCCCAGGGAGCAGAATTGGCCTCTATCTGTGCCTTGTCCTCTTACGTATCCCCAAAGTGACCCTTTATCTTTAGAACAAGCTGGGAACCGTGTGGACTTGCCCATTTGTTCCTTTTCTGAAGCATAACGTTAACACTCCCCCAAGCATGCACGTCCCATTTTAGATGCATTCTGGCAAGCCGATTTCCTGTTCCCATTCAGTCAATCATCTTCCATCCTTGGCAGGAAGGAGAACACACAGCTACGCCTGTGCCAACCCCAACATATTTCTAGTTCCATCATGGCTGGGTCTGTGCTGCCTATGCCATAGGATTTTAAGATGCTTTTAAAAAATCGTGTGTATGAGTGTTTCACAGCCAGGACTCAGAATGCACAGGCTGAGCTAGGACTGCAATGTGGCCGAGCTCGCATCTGTGAATCAGTCATAGCCCATGACCTTTACTTAAGGACCAAAGTCCTGTGTCATAGTAGGAAAGACACCGCATGACAGAGAGGTACTGCCTGGGTACCGAAGATTGTGGTGTGATGACTTAAGAGTGAAATGGAGCCAAGGACAACATCTAGCCTAGAGTGAGGTCATGAGAGTCAGCCAGGTGTTCCTAGTCCATTCTTTGTATGTTGCAATAGAGGACAAAGAGTATTTGCACAGGGGTGGGCCAGTAGCCCTTAGTATTGGCAATGATCCATTTATCCATTTCAAACTCTTATGATGCTATGAAAACTAACTCTCCTTCTGATGTTCCTTTGACCACAGGCAAGTATAGATCCACTTCTTGAGGACTTTGATGTATATCTGATGGCTGTGTGTGTGTGCATGTGTGTTGAAACCTCCTTTGTCTACTCTGAGTTCCTTAGCTTAGTTTGAAGTTTCAGTAGGTGCCTCCCTGGACTTATAACCTCACTCCTTTCTTGTCATTTATTCTCTGCTAAAATCTATAATGTCCTTTCTGCTATGTCAAGAGTGATTTTGGCCCTTACCCTTCTTTCTCCACGCTCTGATATTTTTCTTTCATTTCTTTTTGGAACATAAATTTGATTTCCCATTTGCACGGCCCAGCGTGAACCTGAGGGTAATTACTCTAATTTGCAGCTGCATCAAGAAGGCAAAGACTGGAGCCACCATTCCATTCAGCTTAAACTCTCCTCCATCAGGCCCCTCTCCTGAAAATGCCATTCCTTATCAAAACGATTTCAGCGTCAAGTAGGAGCTGTACTAAAAATTTATGTAAGTTTCCCTTTACTTTTCTGATAGCTGTAAAAATCTGTTCTAAAAGGATGGAGGCATTTTTTTCCCCTACCATTTCTCTATAGCCTATGTTAATTTTGCTCTTTTCTTGCCACCCAATTTTGTTCTCTTCAGTCCTGTTCTCAGCTGGATCCTGGTGTTTCACTCCACATATTGAATAAGCAAAGCAATAATATGTTGTGATTAATAAGTGGCTTGACAGGCAGGAAAAAAGAAAATCTTATTCATTGCATCAGTGGTGCTGTGCAAATGCACTGTTTTTGAAAAATGCATTTAGTCAGCAGGGTGGTTTTTGTCCACATCCTTGGCCCTGTGCTCTCCACTTCAGCTGGATGTTCCGTTTCCTTCACGTGCAAATTTCAGGCTTGCAGAACATGAGGGCATGGGTTCCAAGGATGCTTAAAGCCTTGCCAAACCTTAGGAACTCATTTTTGGAGGCCAAATCCCTCATTACATAAGATATATTAATACACATCCACATCCCACTTGCAATGCAATTTTGTATAACTCTCTAAGAATTTAGACTTGAGTTGCATTTGACCTGTTGATACAACTAAGTCCTCCTGTGCCACTGACCTTCTCCTGCGCCTGTATGGGTGTGACCCATACAACTTACAACAGTGCTATGGTTTAGGCACTCTTATTATCCAGATCATTTTGTAGTTTTTTGACTTCTATTGCATATCTATCTATTTCTCTTAGGAGGTTTTATTTGCATGACTTGGAATGATACATTATTTTTCAGATCTCAAGAAACTTTTCTCCTTTGAAAAGCTCACAGGCTCTGGATCTGCTTTCTCTAAGGTGGTAGCCACAAACCATCTGTGGCTACAAAACCCTTAAAATGTGGCTAGCCCAAGCTGTGCTTTGAGTGTAAAATACACCCTAGGTTTCAGGCTTAGTACAGGGAAAAAAAAGACACGTAAAATATCTCATTAATATCTTTTTATATTGACTACATGTTAAGATGACAATGACGATGTTTTGGCTGTGCTAAATAAAATATATATTACAATTAATTTTAACTTTTGTTTGTGTGTGTTTTTTACTTTTTAATGAGATTACTAGAAACTTTTAAATTGCATACACAATTTGCATTATATTTCTGCTGGACAGCATTGCTCTAGATAGCATGGGAAATGATGTGGGGGTTAAAATGGCCCTGGATGACTCCTGCCTTCAGTGGAAGTACATCAATGTCCTGAAGGAGGTGGAGGATTCATCAATATTCATCCACACAGCAGACATCCATTGAGGGTCTATGCTATGCCAGACATTAGGCAAAATGCTAGAGATAGGGGGACAGCAGGATAAATAGAGTTTCCACCCAGGGCCTCTGCATCAGGGCGCCTAGCCACAGCACACACGCGGGCTGCAGTCCAGGATATGCCGATCCACTAAGCTTGAAATTGCATGGGGATCCTGGCTGCTGAGCAAGGGGTGGGCAGGAAGGAAAGAGTGCCTCCTAGAGACAGATCTACACTGTAGAAATAAACAGTAAGACTTTGGAGGTTGCACATTGGAAAAGTGAAGGAACTACTGATCTCTATATGCCCTGTGCTTGGCACATAGAAAGCTGGTGATAATTGTGCACTGAGTACTAACGTCAGGCCCAGCAGAGTCCAAAAGGACTGGGGCAGCATTGCTGCACTTGAAGGAAATGGTTCGTTTTTCTCATTCATACGAAAGGGCTGTCTCTCTCCCAGCTGTGCTTTTTGAGGGTTGCATGTGCACCTTGTAAAAGAGCC
This sequence comes from Homo sapiens, assembly GCF_000001405.40. Lineage (NCBI taxonomy): Eukaryota > Metazoa > Chordata > Mammalia > Primates > Hominidae > Homo > Homo sapiens. The sequence goes on from NC_000001.11 coordinate 14,111,621, forward strand.
TCTGATTCCTCACCAGCCCTGTCTGTGCCCTTACAGAGCAGGGGCATTGAAAGTCCTGCACACCTGCGTTGTCTCTGGACTCCACACCTGATGCCCCAACCCTTTGCCTAGATTCTTTTCTTTTTTTTTTTTTTTTTGAGGTGGAGTCTCGCTCTGTCGCCCAGGCTGCAGTGCAGTGGCATGATCTTGGCTAACTGCAACCTCGGCTTCCTGGGTTCAAGCGATTCTCCTGCCTCAGCCTCCTGAGTAGCTGGGACTACAGCTGCGCACCACCACGCCCGGCTAATTTTTGTATTTTTAGTAGAGACGGGCTTTCACCATATTGGTCAGGCTGGTCTTGAACTCCTGACCTAGTGATCCACCCACCTCGGCCTCCCAAAATGCTGTGATTACAGACGTGAGCCACCACGCTCAGCCCCTTTGCCTAGATTCTAACTTCTGGCCTGGATTCCTGAGACTGCCACCCTCCAGGCTTAGAGGGTCTGCCGCAGCTTTGCCATATCTGACTGCTGACTTCTGACCCAAGGCTGGGTCTGACCTTACCTACTGGCTGTCCACATCAGGCAAGCCAGTGAGGTTTCTCCTTTGTCCTCTTCTTCTCTAAAAAAGTCCCACTTATTTGCTGTCTTCCTGACTCTCTCTGCTAGAAGGTGAGCTCCTGATCTGGTGTGTTCATTCGTGTATCTGCAGCACTGAGAACACTGCTAGCTCAGTCTGGATGCTGTGTGACCATATGGTAGTGAGGACAAACCCACCACCGTTACTTGGGTGAGGAGCTGCCTGCATCCCTCCCACTCCTCTTTGGCCACTGTGGGTTGTCAACAGTCTTGATTCCAAGAAGTGATGTCCTGGCTTTTAGGAGAAAGAACTTTGTTGGGAGCATGGCAGACACTCTCCTCTCACTCCCAGGGACCCTCACCCTTGTATGATCACTTCTCCATTCAGTGTCGGTGTAGGGGGAAACTGTGACTCTGATAAGATGTCACTCCCATGATTATGTTCCCTTACATGGAAAAAGGGAGATGGATGGAATGGGCCTGGTATAATCACATGAGTCCTTTCAAAGCAGGGAGTTGTCTTGGCTGGTAGTAGAAGAAGTCAGAGACATTGGAGGCATGAGAGAGTGCAGTCTTGGCACTGATGACTAGGCTGGCTGTGCTTCTTGTTCCTGCCATGCCCTTTGCCTTGGTTTTGTCTCTTGACCTTTTCCAAGCTGCCACACTCTTTACTGCATCCCAGCCTCCAGCCCTGTGCCTAGCACATAGAAAGCTCTAGATAACTGTTCAGCCCAGCAGAGTTCAAAGTGCTGTGCGGAAGAAAGGCAGTCTTGCCTGTCACTAACTGCATCCCTGGCTTTGATGGGCAAAGACTTTGCCCAAGTGTCTAAAGTGACACATCATTCCCCTGCTCATTAGAGATGAGGAGTTTCTTCACTTTTTCAATGTGCACCCTCCAAAGTCTTGTTTATTTCTACAGTGTAGATTTGTCTCTAGGAGGTGCTCCTTCCTTCCTGCCCACCCCTTCCTCAGCACTGGGGATCCCCATGCAATTTCAAGGCTGGGCAAGTCAGGTGACAGCAGTAAAGTCACTCATTTCTTGATTCTTTCTCTGGCATAAAAGCCATACAATCCCTGTCTCTTAGGGAGTTGGGGCTGGCAGAGAACAGAGATGTTCAGTGGCAAATACCCTGCCAACCTTGTGATGTGTGGCGAAAGGATGACTGGGTGGGAAGAGCCAGCGTCACACCACATTCTCAGCTGAGTTTTCCAAATTCTGTCTTTACATAGGTCGTGACAAGTAAAGCACTTTCCCCGAAAAATGCAGGCGTACAATTAGCCCAGGCCCTGAGATCTGAAAGAGAAGGAAGGTGACCGGAGACGTCATTTATTACGTCCTTCCCACGTACTTGGTATTTTTCCAAAAACTTCCATGTTTGAGTTGATTATCCTGTTTTACAGAAAAGGAAACTGACACTTAAAGAGGTTGAGTCACTTTCCCCAAATTGCACAGCTAAGAAATGAAAGATCTGGACAAGCACCCAAGTGTTCTGACTGCAGAGTATTAGCTCCTTCCTGACCACGGTGCTGGGGTGTCTGAGCTCTGTCCAAGCTCCATGACCTTGGAAAACCATTGAGCCTTCCTGAACTCAGTTTCTTGTCCTGTTCTATGAGGATTTACATGAAGACTCAATGACATTATTTATGCCAAGGGCTTTGCATGGTGGAAACTCTTGAACAACAGTAGAGCAAAGACGCCAGTGGGGCATCTACTGGCCAGTGACCTGTGTGTGGCCGTCTGAAATTAAGGGGTGTTTGCCTGGAGTCTGCCCCCTTGTTTGGGTAGGAAGGGAAAAGCTCAGTGGTGGTTTTGGTGGAGGCCACAAACTGGCAGCAAACGTCCAGGGGAGGGCACTCTTCTCTCACAGCTCAATGAGTCCTCCAAGGCCTTGCAGTGCAGCTTTTAAGAGGTGCAGTCAGCCTTTTAGAAACGCTGAGCCCCAGGCCAGCCATGGCGGTGGCAGAGCTGCATGGGAAGCATCCCTGGACCGATTCAGTGCCTGGTTCTTCAGGGCCACAGCAGCAGACGGCCCCATTATTTTCAGGCTACACAGACAAGTGCATGTGGGTGACCGAATATGTCATGTTTCAGCTGCTGCGTGGGGGGCCGGCATTGGGGGGATCAGTGCACTTTTGAGGCAGGACTTTGATGCTCCCCATGGCTCTCTTTTAACCCTGGGGATCCCTGGGGAGGCAGGATATGACTCTGGCGATTTGCAGAATCAGGAAGGAAGTGGTTTAGGTGTTTGAAACCACACTCTACTCTCCAGCCTGGAACTCTCTCGAGCCCCCTATTCCAGGCATCCAGATTGTGTCCTCTCTTTGCCCACCCCACCGTCGATGCCCCCCATATCCTCCATATCCAGGCCGACTGCCCCACATTTCACTCTGTATTTGAAAAGCCCTTCCTTCTTCCTCCCTTCCTTCTGCATTCCCCCATTCACCATTAACAATGATAATGGTTTGATAGATTTATCTTTTCACATATCAGGTTGGAAAACTGATTAGATGGAAACTTTCAATACCTTGATCTCTAAAAGTGATGACACACTGTCATTCTAGACACAGTGTCAGTATATTTTCTAATCTAATATTCATTGCAAGCTTGCTGCATACTAGAAATGCTGAGCCCTCTAACTCCATCCCCACAATGATTCCATAAGGCAGGTGCTGTTACCGTTCCCATTTATAAATGACACAACTACAACCATAGAGGGTACATTTTCCCAGAGAGGGTAAATTGGTTCACTTGCTTAGTGTTTGGAGGTGCTCAGTCTCTGACCCAGGTCTATTGTGTACAAACCCCACCTTCTTAGCCACTGCTCCTGTGCTGGCTCTGTTGATGTCTGCCTTAGTCAGCCCAGGCTGCCATAACAAAGTCCCACAGACTGAGTGGGTTAAAGAGCAGACATTGATCTTCCACAGTGCTGGAGGCTGCAAGTCCAAGAGCAAGGTACCTGCAGATTCACTTCCTGGTGAGGGCTCTCTTCCTGACTTGCAGACAGCCACTTTCTCACTGTGTCCTCACATGGCAGAGAGATACAACAATGTCTCTCACTTCTTATGCAGCCACAAATCACATCATGAAGAACTTACCCTTATGACCTCATCTAACCCTAATTACCTCCTGATATGGTTTGGCTGTGCCCCCACCCAAATCTCATCTTGAATTCCCACATGTTGTGGGAGGGACCCAGTGGGAGGTAATTGAATCATGGGGGCAGGTCTTTCCTGTGCTGTTCTCATGATAGTGAATAAGTCTTATGAGATCTAATGGTTCCAAAAAGGGAACTTTCCCTGCACAAGCTTCTTCTCTTTGCTGCTATGTGAGATGTGCCTTTTACCTTCCACCATGATTGTGAGGCCTCCTCAGCCATGTGGAACTGTAAGTCCATTAAAACCTTTTACTTCCCAGTCCTAAGCATGTCTTTATCAGCAGCATGAAAATGAATTAATATAGTAAATTGGTACCAATGGAGTGGGATGCCACTGAAAAAATACCCGAAAATGCGGAAGCGACTTTGGAATTGAGTAACAGGCAGGGGTTGGAACAATTTGGAGGGCTCAGAAGAAGACAGGAAAATGTGGAAAATTTGGAACTTCCTAGAGACTTGTTGAATAGCTTTGCCCAAAATGCTGATAGCGATACGGACAATAAAGTCCAGGCTGAGGTGGTCTCAGACGGAAATAAGGACCTTCTTGGGAACTAGAGCAAAGGTGAGTCTTGTTACGTTTTACCAAAGAGTCTGGCAGCATTTTGCCCTTGCCCTAGAGATTTGTGTAACTTTGAACTTGAGAGAAATGATTTAGGGTATCCGGAAGAATAAATTTCTAAGTAGCAAAGTATTCAAGATGTGACTTGAGTGCTGTTAAAGGCATTCAGTTTTATAAAGGAAGCGGAGCATAAAAGTTCAAAAATTTGCATCCTGACAATGCAATAGAAAAGGAAATCCCATTTCCTGAGGAGAAATCCAAGCTGACTTAAGAAATTTGCGTAAGTAACAAGGAACCAATTGTTAATCCCTGAGACAATGGGGAAATTGTCTCCAGGGCATGTCAGAGGTCTTCAAGGCAGTCTCTCCCATCACAGGCCCAGAGGCCTAGGAGAAAAAAGTGGTTTTGTGGAACAGGCCCAGGGTCCCCATGCTGTGTGCAGCCTAGGGATCTGGCATTCTCCATCCCAGCTGCTCCAGCCGTGGCTGACAGGGGCCAACATAGAGCTTGGGTCTTGGCTTCAGAGGGTGCAAGCCTCAAGCCATGGCAACTTCCATGTGATGTTGAGCCTGCCAGTGCACAGAAGTCAAGAGTTGAGGTTTGGGAACCTCTGCCTAGATTTCAGAGGATGTATGGAAACACCTGGATGTCCAGGCAGAAGTTTGCTGCAGGGGCAGGGTTTTCATAGAGAGCCTCTGCTAGGGCAGTGCAGAAGGGAAATGTGGGGTCAGAGCCCCCCACATGGAGTCCCTACTGGGATGCTGCTTAGTGGAGTTGTGAGAAGAGGGCCACTGTCCTCCAGACCCCAGAATGGTAGATCCACTGACAGCTCCCACCGTGTGCCTGGAAAAGCTGCAGACACTCAATGCCAGCCTGTGAAAGCAGCCAGGAGGGAGGCTGTACCCTGCAAAGCAACAGGGGTGGAGCTGCCCAAGACCATAAGAACCTACCTCTTTCATCAGTGTAACCTGAATATGAGACATGGAGTCAAAGGAGATCATTTTGGAATTATCAGATTTGACTGCCCTGCTGGATTTTGGACTTGCATGGAGCCTGTAGCCCCTTTGTTCTGGCCATTTTCTCCCATTTGTAATGGCTGTATTTACCCAATGCTTGGATTGTCTGTAGGAAGTAACTAACTTGCTTTTGATTTTACAGACTCATAGGTGCAAGGGACTTGCCTTGTCTTGGATGAGACTTCGGACTGTGGATTTTTAGTTAATGCTTGAAATGAGTTAAGACATTGGGGAACTGTTGGGAAGACATGATTGGTTTTGATATGTGAGGACATGAGATTTGGGAGGGGCCGAGGTGGAATGATATGGTTTGGCTGTGTCCCCATCCAAATCTCATCTTGAATTCTCATGTATTGTGGGAAGGATCTGGTGGGAGGTAATTGAATCATGGGGGCAGGTCTTTCCCGTGCTCTTCTTGTGATAGTGAATAAGTCTCATGGGAACTGATGATTTTAAAAAGGGGAATTTCCCTGCGCAAGCTTCTTCTGTTGACTGCTGCTATGTGAGACATGCCTTTCACCTTCCGCCATGATTGTGAGGCCTACCCAGCTACACTGAAGTGTAAGTTCATTAAAACCTCTTTTTCTTCCTGGTCTCAAGTATGTCTTTATCAGCAGCATGAAAGTGGACTAATACACCTCCCAAAGGCCCCACCTCCAAATACCATTACACTGGGGGTTGGGTCAGCAGGTCTGAAATCAGGGGGTGGGGAGGTAAAAGGAAAGATGGGCCCCTTCTAAAGACAGGCATAACCCAGATCTGAATCCCAGATCTGCCAGTTAGAGATGAGATGAGCCTGGCCATGTCACTTAGCCTCTCTGATCTTCTATATCCTCCCCTAGTAAGTAAGACTGGTGATGATGATGGTGGGTGCCTCACACTGTAAGGGGTTCTTGTTGCAGGTAAATCACTGACCACTGCCTGGCTCATGGTGAGGACTGAAATGTTAGCTCATGAACTACCCAAATGAGAAGGCCCAGTCTGGTTTCATTGGTCAGGTGGATGGTGTTAATGATTCATCATTGATGAGCACCCTTTGCTATTTACAGAAAGGTTTCCCACATGTGAGCTCAGCTGCAGTTGCACTGCTCACTCTTCTGCTGCCTCTGGAACCTAATCCCATGGTCCAGGGGCTTGAGACCGGGGCGTTGCATGGGGCAGCTCTATGGTGGGGTCACCATGGGAAAACCCAGCTTTGGAGGGCAGCTCACAGGTGACCACATTCTCCTTTGCAGTTTCTCAAAGAATGGTGAAAAGGCAAGATTTAGATTCAAATTCAACTTGTATTCTTACCTACCAGGTTCTGGATTCTGTGCTAAATACTTTACTTATACATAAAATGTTATTTAATCCTTTTAGAGAGAAACAAATCTATCAGTAGGGGCCAAGGCTCTAGAGGGTTTTTAAAACAAAATAGATCAAACCCTACCATCAAGCAGGAACATGTTATTCATTCTTCCCCCATCCCCTTTTCATCATCAGGGATTTGATAGTTATTCTCAAGATAAGGTGGTTTGAAGACCTGGATGCCAGCCTGCATCCAACTCTTTTACTTCTTTCTTTGTCTTGCTCAGTGAGTCTCAAATTTTGAAGTGTATAAAATTTACTGTACATTCCTGAAAAAACAAAACCCAAGGCCAGGGCACTGTATAGGCAATGGAAACCATGTAATGGGGTAATTTTTGCCTTACATGCTGACCACAGATACAAACCCTTTCTTTGAAACAGAACATCACAAGGATGTTCACCGAAGAGATCTCAGAATTCATCTGGTTGAATCATGAGGATGTTCACTGAGGAGATCTCAGAATTCATCTGGTTGAATCTTCCCATTTTACAGATGGGAAGACTGGGTGCCAGAAGGATCAATTGGATCATGGTGGATTGCAACACTAATTAGGGATAGAGCCGGGAATGTCTTACTGGAATTGGGTTGTCTGCTGACCAAACATCTGAGCTGTAATTTGACTCAAAACTGCCAAGGGTTTTAAAAGAATGCGACAGATTGGTTTCCTGGCTTCTCTCACTAGGTTGTCAGGAAAACAGTTGTTCCAGATTTGCCAGGATATCCAGAGAGGTAGCCCTGGCTGGGTAGCCTTAGAAAGCCTGTCATTGCAAAACAAACAAAAAAAACAAAAACAAAAACAAAAAAAACCCTTTGCTAGAGCCAGGATTCTGAATCTTTTTCAGAGACAACACTAGGTAAGAAGAGTCACCAATGAAAAACATTCAGCTCTAACCCCTTTTTAAAAAAATCTTCTTTCCCGCATGTTATCTGTGGGTTTTCACGATGAGAAGACCAGGCAGCCCATGGGTCTGTAGGGGAGCAGGCAGATTTTTCCTTGCTGGAGAGGCAGAGAGCCTTTCCTTCCCATCCGTAGACTTTTATCGGGACTCATAAGCTCAGCCCAGAAGCTCTGGGCAGATAAGAGACTTAAGTCAATTGTGTTAGGGCAATTATTTTTCCTGCTCAGACAGTTCGCTGTTGGATGCTAAGGGGCAGCAAGGGTTTGCAGCTGCTCAGGTGTGCCTGTGCCATCTTTTTGTCTTCAGGGTTACCACAATTGGAGCAAATGTTAGAACTCCTCTAGTGTCTCCAGCCCATTTGCCCTCAGGGATGAATCTTTTCCCATCTTCCACTTGGCTCATCTTAGACCACCATAAACTCAGCCATCTTTTTAATAGCTAGTAACAGACAAGGGCTAGAGGAATTTACTGATTAGATGGATTAACTCTTTAGCTAGAGAGAGTCCAACCCAGTGTGGGACATGCTGAAAAGTCTGTCTATAAGTGTCTCAATAGCTGACACTCAAGGAAAACATTCCTCTTGGGAAGATATAAAGGACTCTCAGGCCAAATAACACTGTGCACATCTGTCTCGTGTCACAAGGCTTAGTACTGTACTAAGTTGGTTACTGGTCCCTTGCTAATAATAGCAGGGACAATAATAATTGTTAACATTTAGCAGGTCTTTGCCATGTGCCAGGCACTGTTCTAAGGGCTTTATGTGTACGATCTATTTGGTGTGAAAAAGTAGGATGCCCATTTCAGATATGAGGAAACTGAGGCACAGATGGGGTAAGTACCTTGTTCACACTCTGCTAGACTAGGAAGTACAGGAGACAGATCATAAGGACGTGGTTTTCCTGTGTATATTGTATTAATCCGTTCTTGCATTGCTATAAAGAATACCTGACACTGGGTAATTTACATAGAAAAGAGGTTTAATTGGCTCATGGTTCTGCAGGCTGTACAGGAAGCATGATGCTGGCATCTGCTTGGCTTCTGGGGAGGCCTCAGGAAACTTATAATCATAGAAGAAGGCAAAGAGGAACGGCATCTCACATGGGCAGAGAAGGAGCAAGAGGGCGGGGGGAGGTGCCGTGCACTCTTTTAAACAACCAGGTCTCGTGAGAACTCATTCACTATCATGAGAACAGCACCAAGAGGATGATGCTAAACCATTCATGAGAAACCACCCCCACGATCAAATCACCTCCCACCAGGCCCCACCTCCAACACTGGGGACTACAATTGAACATGAGATTTGGGTGGGGACACAGATCCAACCCATATCACATATGTAGTTTTATTACAAGGGTTTGGGTTTCATCTTACCTCAAGGTTAAGTTTAACATCAGTAGATGGTAGATGCCCGTCTTCCTTCACTGGGCCCAGAGGTACCTGGTCCAAATATAACTGACTTTGAATTCTTATGGAAGGATGCTTCAGTGGATTGTGAAACCTAAAGGAGGTAGGGAGGGAAGATTCTTTGGAGGGGATTGGCAGTGTTCTCAGGACAGTGGACATGTGCTATCTCTGGCTTCTGGTACCCATGCATCCTTCTGCTGCTAACTGTGTCTGATCTTGCTTTCTCCAACCCCCTGTCTGTGTGTCCTGGGAGGGACTTCACCTCTGACTTAGGGAGAATTTGATGTAGGTTTTAGCTAATCAGAGCATCATATTTTTTTACTATAGTGATTGAGTCAAGGATGGGCATAGGAGCCAAAGGGAACAGAGCAAGAGACCCAGATGGGCAGTCTGGCAAAGGAGCTCTGTGCTCTTCTACTAGTCCACAGCCTATGAATGATATCTAGTCTGGAGCTGTGGCAGCCATCTTGGCACTATGAGGCAAGAGCTGACTGAGGATATTGCCCAACCCAGGGGAAGCAGAGGCGAGAGAAGGAGAGGGAGAACCCCATGAGTCAAGCTGTGCGTACCATGGATATTTGAGTTTGCTCACCCATGTTGCTTTATCAAGGAATTTTAATTGATATAGCTTGTCATATATGAGTATAGTATTAGCAGGCATTCAGAAAATGGTTAACCAGGGAAAGGTGTGATATGCAAACCTTCCCTTAAAAACCTCTTCTGTTGGTCAGCTAACTCATCACTACGGTGAATGAAGCCTGATATTCTGTTTTACCATATACCAACCTGAAGTGCAAGGAGCAATAATTCCACAAGAATTACTTCAATAGGGCAGTGGGGCGGCGGGGGTGTGTTCATTTTACAGAAGGAAAATCAGGCACAGAGAAATTATGTAAAGTATCCACAATTATACAGTTAGGAATTGGAAGAACCCAGATTCAAATGCAAGCAATCTGGATCATGAATCCAAGCTTTTAATCACTATGCCTAACAAACACGTTTTAAAAATCAAGAATATTTATTGAGGACCTACTATGGGTCCATTATGGAATACATCCATGAATAAGATGCCCAAAGATCCCTCCCTCATGATGTGAGCACTTAAATGCTTATGTATGTGTGCGAAAAGATAGAAAATAAAGAATAAAAATAGCAAATAATGTTAGAAGGTGTAAGTTCTGTGAAAAAGAACTAACACACAAGCTAAGGGAGATCAGGGTAGAGGGTTCCAGTTTTCAATAGGGAGGTGAGAATAAGCCTCTTTGAGAAGATGACTTGGAAGAGGTGAGGGAGTTACTTACAGGAATATCTGAGCAAAGAACATTCCAGATGCAGGAAATAGCCAGTGCAAGGCCCAGAGGCAGAAGGTGCCTGGTGTGCTCAAGGAGCAGCAGGGAAGCCAGCGAGGTTGGAACAGAGTGTGTAGAACACAGTAGATGAGGCTAGAGAAGTAATTCCTGATCTCAGAAAAGACTGGCCCCTGCAGGATTCTGAGCAAAGGAGAGATACAATCTGGCCGTGGCTGTGAAAGAGCCAGCTGTCAATTGGTGTAGACGGGAAGTGCTGCAACAGGGAGACCCAGGTGAGAGGTGATGAAAGCTGGGTGCCAGCAGTGGAGGGGGTAAGAGGTGGTCAGATTCTGAATATGTTTTAAAGAAGAAATAAAAGAATTTGTAATGATTTTAGATGTGCAGCAGAAAGTGAGGCATCAGAGATAACTGTAAAGTGTTTGAGCAAAACTTGAGTAATTCAATAAAACCCAATTCTTCTTTGAACTTCACTCCTGTGGCCAAGGAATCAATAACCTCTTCTGCCTGGAGCCACTTTTGGATCTCTTTTATCCAGAAGTGCCTTCTTGAATGAGCACACTGCTTTTTGACAGACAGTTCCTATGTGAATCATCCCATTTCATTCCCATCACAATCCTCTGAGATTCTACTCCCATGTGGTAACTAGGGAAACTGAGATTCAATGAGATAGTTGTTCACCTGACCCAGCTCACATAGTTGATGAGCTGACGTTCTCTATTCTGTTACAGTAGAACAATATTCTGTTATTATTAAGCCACAGTAGAAGCAATTGTCTCCCGGTTATAAAGTAGCTAATTGCACCTACCAGATCATTTTCATCATCCATGTAGTCTATTGCTTTTAGGCTGTGAGCATTGAAACAGATTGTTCTTCTGAAGGCTTATGTGTAAATACATTCTTTCCATTTGCTGTAGATTTCTACAACATCATGCCTTAAGATCTAACTTTTTTGTCCTTGTTTTTGGACAAAAATGTACCTGTATTATGTTCTACTAGATTAAAACACCTACCTTGGTTTTTGCTATTGTTTGTTTTTTGTCTATGGCTACTGCTCTGTGACATACTTGTTTTCCCTACTTTGTAGGGAGTAACTTGATAAGCAAGGCGACATTTGATAGCAAAGCGGAGGAATGGGTAGTTGGCAGAGATAATTTTAAAATCCAGAAAAGATGTAAAAATTACGTGGGAATGTAAATAATAGATCAAACCAGGTGTTGTCTGGAATTTCCACCAATATCTTGATGTCACTCCTTGGGCAGCCAGAGTCTCTTCCTGCTGGGACAATTCCATGGTTGTGTTTCCATTGCCATTTTCCTGCAGAGGCTGAAGCTCCACTTTTCTGCATTCTACCTGCTTTTTGAGTACATAAAATGAAACACACAGAGGCATGACTTTTTTTTTAAGCTGCATTCATGCTGTGTTGAGGTCACAGATTTTAACCAAGTCAAGCAATGTGGATGTTGAGGCTTCAGGGAGATGGTTGTCTCCAACAGCTGTCAGCCTTGTTGATGTGTATGTACCTTCTGCTGCATCTTCTGCAGGACCATTCCCTCCTAGCATCTCTGTGACTCCAGTTTTCCTCATTGGAAATGAGTGCTTTGTTGCAGAGAAGAGAATCACCTGGAGCAGGTGTGTAGTCAAATGAATTTTTAAGCGAGAATTCCAAATACAGAGAAGAGGAGAGGCAACAGGAGAGGCAAGGATGGAAAGGTGAAGAAGGTTTCTGCTTCTCATTATGAAATAAATAGGCAATTCCAATAGAGTCAACCATTTCATGCCTGGATGGCCGCAATCACCTGCAAATGGGACTGCAGCCTCCCTTCAAGTTCTCCTTCTTCCTGGCTATTCTATTTCTCTGAGATCAATCTTCCCAAATGACTTCTGAGGTGCCCTCCCTTACTGAAAGCCCCCAGTGGGCCTATATTATCTATGGGTCAAACACACACCCCTGGTCTCAGTGGTCAAGGACAGAAAGTGATGGAATCCAACCTAAACCCATCCATGCCGCCACCCTCTTTTGGGGCCTTTTCTTCACCAGCTCCCAAGTGGCCCAGGCTTCTCCCTTCATCTCTCAGTGATGACAAATGTGTGGCTGGCCCCTCGGAGGCTCCTTCCCAATAGGAGCCCTCCCCATTCATTCCGACCCAGGTAAGGGTCTACCTTTCTATGACGACTTTTCCCTCCATTTCCAAGATGCATTTCACATGTAACTCAGTTTCTTTCTTATATCACAAATCACCTTACGTGAATATTTTTGTGGTGCAAAATCACAATTTCAACATTTGGTGCCACCTGTTTTGCTTTGCCTCACACTGTTTCCTTGGAGCAAGTTCACTAAGGTGAAATGACTTTCCGAAGACTGAGCAAAACATGGGACGCTTCACGAATTGGTGTAACATTCTTACACGGGGGCTGTGCTAGTCTTCTCTGTACCATTCTCATTTTAATATGTACTGCCGAAGCTAGCCCCTGTGATGACGGCTTCACCACGCCACCCCCGTCCCTGCCTAGCCGCTGGCTCTCTCTAGCCTCATGCAGCCTGGCACCTAATCAGACACTGTTTTATCTGGGTTCAGTCTCATCTTAACCATAATCCAGGCTTGTTAAAGTCAGGGATCTTGCATTCAGCTTCATTGTTAATGTCACATCAGTTATCACCATCCTCGGCACAGAATAGACAATGGTGAAACCCACATTTTGATTTAAACTCACACAGAAAAAGAAGGAAAGATCTTTTCTTATTTATTGCTTAAGCTCTCTGGAAAAGGACATCTTGGTATATTCGCCAACGGCCTCTCTCAGTTCCTGAAGTCCCATCAGTCCCCTCGAGTGCTGGCAATGTTGGTGTGGACGTTGCCTCTGAGGCCCGCCCTCTTGCGGAATACTCACCTGTTCATTCATTCATTCTTCCATTCAGAAAGTGTGCACAGAGCACCTGCTCTGCTCTTGGCATGGAAATGTGGTTTGGAAAGAGACAAAATCCAGCTTTCACAAGAGCTTGTGGTCAGTCTCCTGTCGGGGGCAGCACTGGGGAGGGGAGAGAGGGAGACACAGCAAACAAGTAAGTGAATCAATAAGGGCTTCCCATTGAGACGCGGCTCTGAGGGAAATGAAACACAGATTGCAGTAGCGAGTGGATAGGGTAATGGGTGGTGAGGCCTCAGTAGCAAGATCGGATCATCCACGGGCATGTCTCCCAGGAAGAGGGAACAGCAGGTGCCAAAACTGGAAGGCAGGTCTTCTCCATCTCAGCACTATTGACATTTGGGGCTGGATAATCCTCTCTTGTAGAAGGGCATCCTGTGCTCTGTGGGATGTTTGGCAGCTTCTCTGGCCTCTACCCACTGGATGTCAGAAGCACCATCCTCCCCCTGCCCCTGTCCTGATCATGACTATCAAAAATGTCTTTTCCGACCTAGCAAAAATGTGTGGCAATGGGGCTTGGGGGTCAATGGTGGCCCCCAGAAAGATATGTCCATGTCCTAGCCAAACATTCCCCAGGAACTGTGATGGTGACCTTGATTGGAAAAAGGATCTTTGCAGAGGTCATTAAAAAGGGTCTCAAGGTGAAATCACCCTGGATCGTCCAGGTGGGCTTAAATCCAGTGACAGTGGAGACAGAGAGGGGAAGACAGAGATACAGAAGAGAAGGCAATGTGAAGACAGAGGCAGAGAGCTGGGGACTCTGCCACAGGGAAAGCCAAAGCCACCAGAAGCTGGGAGGGTCAAGGGACTATGGTTCCCTGGAGACTTTTGGGGGAGCGGGGCCCTGCTGACACCTTAGTTTTCAACTCCAGCCTTCAGAACTGGAAGATAGTAAACTTCTGTTAAGTCACCCAGTTTGGAGTGACTTCTTACAGCAGCCACAGGAAATGAATGCAGTGGAAAAAAGCATCCATGGAAGAAACATTACCCTGAGGCAACAAAGATCAGGGCAGGTTCCAGGAACCATTACCCTCGGGCAACAAGGTTCAGGGCAGATTTGCAGAACCGTTAGATTCAGGCAACAAAGATCAGGGCAGGATTGAGGAACCATGGGAAGGCAGGTGTAACTGCAGCCTCCGTCAGTAAGGCCAGTGGAGTGTGGTGCGGGGTGGGGTGGGGGGTGGGAGTTGCGGGCAGCTCTTACCTGGCCTTAGAGGCCCTAGTAAGGAATTTAGGGTTTGTTGTAAGTGGAAGGTGTATTAAGCACTGAGGGTTTCAGACTAGCCAGTGACATGATCTGGTTTATATATGTAGCAGCTTTTTCTCACTACTTATGTGGACTGTGTGTGTGGTGGAGCAAAGTGAAGCTAGGATTCCTTAGGACACAGTTGCAACTGAAACAGGTAGGACTTTCAGTCACGTGAGGCACAAACACCTTTCTCTCATTGTGGGTTTCCCTAGGGGAAGCAGCCAAAGATAGAAGTTTCCTCCTCTAGAATTCCAACAGGAAAAGGCCTCGCATCTCTATTCCATGTATCATAAAGGCAGAAGCTCTCCCCTCCCCCCCCCCGTCAAGATGCTTAATTTATTTATTACATTTTAAGACGAAGAAACGGAAGTGTAAAAGGAGAAAGTGATACCTCAGGCCCACAGACACAGAAGTATTCACTGGCAGACTGGGAATCTAAATCCAAGCTTCAGATGTTCTTTCCTGGTATGTTTCCTTTACTTGTACAGAGTGGTGCATTTTAGCAAAGGTCTCATTTGAATTTTACAATGACCTAATGACAGACATGGCATAAATATCACTTTTATTTTACAAATGCAAAAGTATGATAATAATAAAAAAAAATAAGGACAATCAGAGAGGTGAAGTGATTTCCCCAATGTCACACAGCTTTGAAGGGGTGGGGTTGTCAATCAACCTTGGGTCTTCTGACTCCTGATCTGATGTTCCTCCTTGGACTGCTCATGCTGGGTCTTGGAGAATGATGATGTAACTACCTAAATCTTAAAAGTCTCCCACCATTGGCCAGGTGCGGTGGGTCACGCCTGTAATCCCAGCACTTTGGGAGGCCAAGGTGGGCAGATCATTTGAGATCAGGAGTTCAAGACAAGCCTGGCCAACATGGTGAAACCCCGTCTCTACTAAAAATACAAAAATTAGCCAGGCATGGTGGTAGGCGCCTGTGATTCCAGCTACTCAGGAGGCTGAGGCAGGAGATTCGCTTGAACCCGGGAGGTGGAGGTTGCAGTGAGCCAAGCTCACACCACTGCACCCCAGCCTGGGTGACAGAATGCGACTCCATCTCAAACAAAACAAAACAAAAGTTTCCCATCATCTGTTTGCCTCCAGTGACTTCTTTCCAACTGAGAAGTTTTCAATTTATGATTATACGTTGTTTCTTGCCCTTTAGGCAAGTTCAATTTCATTGTCCAGATGCAAAAACTGTTTCACAATGAAGGCTGCACATAAAAAGAAAAATGAGGGAGCGATTTAACATAGGACAGGCCAGATCTGAAAACAATTTTAGAGGTAATGTAGGATCCATGAAGCCTATATATGTTTTCCAATAGCTGAGAAAAAGCATACCCCTTTACTGTTGTTTTTTTTTTTTTTTGGTCTGAGTGTGTGTTCTGTGCAATATAAAAATAAAGGTTCACCTAACACTGGAGCCGTGGTAAAGCCAGGAGGCCAGGAAATCCAACGCTAATGGGGACAGGGTATTTCCCACTTGGGAAATTAGCAGTGGCTCTGCCTTCCTCTATAGCTGTATGTGCTCAGAAGTGCTCCGGCGTCCTCCAACCTTCCCCCGTCATCCTTGATAACAGATAACACTCTAAATAAATCTAAAATGCTTTCACTTGATTCTGGAGTCTTGCTTTGAGAGAATGCATGGGGTTACGAGAGAAAGGCTGTTCCTTGTGTCTGTATCCAGTCTGCGAATTTGGTCACCAGAGGTATATGAAGCCCACACTGTGTGCCAGGCTTTGAGTTGGTGCTTTGAGTCGGTGCTAGGGACACCCTGGCAGAGAGGAGACGTGGGCACTTGGCTCGTGGGGTTGTTCTGTCTGGAGTGAAGAGAGATTTGAGGAAGTGTGGGAATGTTGTGAGGTCCCTGGGTCCACTCACGATGCTGGGAGGACCAGGTGGTCCTGGCAACACTGAATGGGATTTGAGGGCAAGAGGGAGTCAGAGTCCAAGTTTACAAGACGATGCCGAATGTCAAATCTGAAGGTCCCAGGAGGCTGAGTGGGATTGGAGTAGAAAAGTCCAAGGTTAGGCAGAGCTCAGTGAAGTGAGCCAGTGGGGCAGTGAGCTCAGTGCTCAGTCTGTGAAAATCAGGAGGCCAGGAGCTCCCTTTTTGTGTGCTTGGGGGCAAAGCAGTTTCTCAGGGGATAAGGTGGTACTGCACCATCTTTGTGCTTTGGTGCACAATGCCACCAAGGGGTGCTGGTGCCTGAGGCTGGCATGAAGGCCTCTCCATGGGCAGCCAAGTGGGGAGATCAGCTCAGTGAGTCATGCTGTGTTAGTTTGCTAAGAGGGAGTCATGCTGTGTTAGTTTGCTAGGACTGCCATAGTGATCCTACAGACTGGGTGGCTTAAACCATCAACATTTATTTTCTCTGGGTTCTGGAGGCTGGAAGTCCAAGATCAAGACACTTGCAGAGGGGTGGTTGCTCCTGTGGTCTCTCTCCTCGGCTTGCAGACAGCGGCCTTCTTGCTGCCTCTTCACATGGCTGTTTCTCTGTGTACCCCTGTGGTCTCTTTGTGTGCCCAAATTTCCTCTTCTCAGAAGTACGCCAATCATATTGGATTAGGGATCACCCAAACAGGCTTAATTTTCTCTTGAAAGCCCCTATCTCCAAATCTAGTCACATTATGAGATACTGGGGGTTAGGACTTGAACATATGAATTTGGGGGGTGAGGAGGGACATATTCCAGCCCATAATAGGTGTCCTCACTGTTTATTGTCTTTTTGTCTTTGGAGAGCTGAGACTGGAAGCCACCCCAGAATAGATGTCACACATTAACCATAGCGTCAGGAAATCTCCATTTTCATCTTCAACCCTTCAACCCATCTGATCATTAATTTGGTTCATAAAGCCCCGGTGCTAGAAGTACAATTTTTGAGAGATATGAATTGCCTTAACAGAAGCCATTCCATCTTTAAGGGAATTTTAACATAAGCCTAGCAGGTAATAAAGTGGATGCATTTGTTCTCTAATTATTTATTTATGGACTCACTTCCCTTGCTCAACCAAGGCCTCCTAAAAGGCACTGATTTTTCTTTGTTTATCTTGGTAGCCCACTGCTCAGAACAGAGTCCAGCACATAGGGACTCACATGGTACCCTATCAGTGGAGTTGAATTTATTGAAGTTGCTTCACAGTTGAATGGGTCTTTGTGCCTAGAGAGGAAGGCATGAAAGGGAATGTTTAGTTGGAGGCCAGATAATACAGAAGCCGGACACACTTTTGGTCTTTGGACCCCAGCTTTGTGCTCTTCTTTCCCTCTGATACTCGATCCCTGTGCCCCTATGGAGTGAACACTCTGCCAAGCCTAAAAGTCTAGCCCAAATATGTCAGCTTTTTCTTATCCATCAGCCAAGTTCAGGGATATTCCTTCAAGCATCAGGCCTAATTAAATGGGATGTGAAAGGCCAAACTGCCCTGTGCCTCCCACCCGATTCCTCCCCTGAATCCTCCACTTTCCAGTGGGAGAATTGGCAAGAGGGATGGGCTCCTGGTTGGCTGCCCATCTGTGGGGCTGTGCTGCGTCTTTGCAGAGCTCAGATGAGTCTTGGGGGAAGGCACCTTGTTGGGGCTCACTCAGTGCCACTCGTCCATATTCTCCATGTTCTTCTCGTGATGGGTGTTACACTTGTCCATTGTCCATTTTCCCAGCAGCCCACAGGAAAAGGGAGCCATCACATGGAAAAACAGGGCAGGGGATGTGGGAGAGAGAGAAGAGTGAGTGAGCGAGTGAGCGAGAGAGAGAGAGGTTATATGCACGTTCCTATCCATTTGTGAGTTTACTGAAACACTGGTATTTGTGTAAAGGAAATCATTTCACGATTCTGCTGCCTGATGGATGAAACTCGTTTGATCACAAGAGTAAATTAAAAGAAAAGCAGCCCTTGTCACATTTTCTGTATGCAGATAATTGAGAGAAGTGAACAAATATAGCCAGCAACCTGCATACATAATACAAGATAGAACATTTTAAAAAATGAATAAGATTCAGAAACCCTAATCAATTACATTTTACAACAGTCAGTAAGTCTGTCTCTTATTATCTTTCTGCTGACCATAAGTGAATTAGCGCTTTCTGATTAAAACCTTCTTTCCTTGGGCCAAAAATGTTAAGGGCTATCGCCTCTCTCCTCTTTCTTTTTTTCATTTATGTAGCTCTGAGCATGGTATTGTGGTCTCTCCTTCCAAATGTGTGGGGAGGGCAGGTGGCTGGGGGCCCCTCCATCCAGCCATCAGTGGGGACTTCACTCCCATCTGTAGTGTGTTCCCGCTAACCATGCCAGGCAGCTCCTTCTGTATGCAAGGTTGAACATCTTTCTTCAAAACAAGTGCCTGTTGGTATATTTTCACCATTAATAAGCTGATTTTTTTATTATTAAAAAAAATTCTGAGACCACTTACTTCCTGCTGCTTTATTCATTTTGTTAATGCATGCTGTTTCTGAAAAAATAAATATTAATGTAGCATGTCTTGTGGGAGCAGGTCTTTTGGGGTGGAGGGAGGAGATCTGTGAGCCTGTGGATAACATATCTGAACCTTCTGCCATCAAAATAATAATTAGGCTTGTCCTGAGTAAAAGTAGTCCTTATTTTAGTAACCAGAAAGCTGTGAATCCTTCTTGCTGCCTCTGGGGTTGACTGATTCCTCCTCAGTGAGAATGTCTCTTTTTGGGACCTGATATTACCACTGAGTGTGCTGATTGTCTTGTCAACCCTCTGATACAGGTAGAGAATGTAGCATTTAGGCAATTCTGAAAAGAAAAGCTTTAAATAAGTATCAGTGATCCAAATTGTCAGAGGGTAGGGAGATGGCAGGGGAAACAATGATTAATCATTAATCATATTAATGAAATGTGATTGTTTAATACTATGCAAGCAGTGTGTATTAGTCCGTTTTTGCACTGCTATGAAGACATACCTGAGACTAAGAAAAAAGGTTTAATCGGCTCCTGGTTTTGCAGGCTGTACAGGTTTCTGCTTCTAGGGAGGCCTCAGGAAACTTACAATCGTGGCAGAAGGTGAAGCGGAAGCAAAGCACATTTTCATATGGCCAGCAGGAGAGGGAGAGAGTGAAGGCGGAAGAGCTGTACACTTTCAAACAGCCAGATCTTGTGAGAACTCACTCGCTATCGCAGGAACAGCAAGGAGGAAATCTGCTCCCATGATTTAATTACCTCCCACTGTGTCCCTCCCTCTCAACACCGGGGATTACAAATTTAACATGAGATTTGAGTGGGGACACGTAGCCAAACCATATTACAGTGTGATGAGTAAGGCCAAAGTTGGAAACACTGTCACTGGTCACCTCTTAGCCAGAGAGGTGTTGAATCAATTTATTCATTTTTATTAGTCAATCCGATACGTTAGAGTTGAAATGGATCTTGGAATTTGTGTAGTTTGCCTCCTAAGCCCCTAAAACAAACTTAGTGTAGAAGGAGAAACCTTCTCCAGCACATTAGATATATGTTTTATTGTGTTCTGCTTGGATCTCTTCAATTATGGGGAGCTCAATACTTTTCAAGGCAACCTTATTGACTGTGAGGCGGCGCTAATGGTTGGAAACTTATTTCTTTGTGGTTTTAGTTCAGAATCTTTTGGTTGAAAGTGGAGTAGAAAAAATCCCCTCCACTTTCAGTTAATTGAGCTAAAAGAGGAATTTACTGGGTTACATAACTTTCAAGATTCCAGGTAAAGTAGGGTTCAGGTGAGGCTTGATTCAGGGCTCAAAGGATATCACCAAGCTTCATCTCAGCTCTGTTTCCTTCTACTTGGCTTTGTCCTCTGGATCTGCTTGGTGGTCTCTGGCAAATTCAGACTCATTTTTTTATGACACCACACCAATGGCTCCCTTCTAATTCTTGGGAGTTTTTGTTCTCTCACTGGCCCAAACTGGATAACATATCAATTCCCAATGACTTCATTTGGGTGCCACCTGCCACTCACCCACAGAGCCTGAGATTGAGATTTGAGTACAAGCAGTTAATGTGGAAGGTGAGCCCAGGGAAAGAGGGAAAGTCAATAAAAGATATATAATGAAACTGGTTACTGCTATGAACAAATGAGGCTCAGCCCTACCGGGGTCCCTCAGAAATTGTGTAGAATGCCCCCTAGAAGGACAAGATGTGATGGCTCATTGACACCCCATCTCCTGTCTCCACTGGTTGAAGATCATTTTTGGAGGCATTTGCTCCCTTCCACCTCCCCACTCTGGGCTGAATTCAGATGGGATGTGCTAGGGTCAGGGGGTAGGCTTCAGATAAAGGCCTGAGGCAGAAAAGCAGGGGGTCACAGCAGGTGCTTGAGCGTGATACTACCAGGGTCCTAGGAACTGGGTGCCCTGGCTCAGCAGAAACCACAGGTGGGCTGAGGGATACAGAAAGTGACTGCCACCACCAGCCAGGGCCTGTGGCCTGAGCATGCATTAAGCTGACTGGCTAAACCTCCATCACGGGCTACTTTCTTGAAGGTGGGTACGGAAGCTGCTCAAACTACATGAAATGAGAATGGAGAAAATGTCTCCGAAGAACAAAATCAGGGTGCCATTACCAGAAAAAGGAAGAATGCATGCTGGAGAGCAAAATCAACAAGCATTCACTATACCACTGTTGAGCCAAAACCTGCCTTCTGATAACTTCCACCCATTCGATGGAATGTTACCTCTAAATGGAATATTGAATTAACAATATGTTTCCCCCATACATGACAGCCCCTCACATATTAGGAGATAGTTAGCCTGTCTCCCTTTGGACTTTTCTCTAATCCAGTATGGGTTAGAGAACCCATGCTTGGGTTCTGTAACTATTGGAGGACTTTTCGTGGTGGTCCTAGTCACCACTGTCTCCAACACTTCCATCGTTATGGTCCTCTATGGACCACTCTTTCAGCTCATTACAATAGGAAAGATGGGATTAGGTTCATCACAGTAAGGATAGATGTGCACAAGGTTAACCCTCGGGTTAAGAAATTGGGGGCATCTTGTGATGTGACCCTTGAAGTCTACTTTATTACATTCTGGTGATTTGAAAATGGGGGATTTGGCTAGGCGCAGTGGCTCACGCCTGTAATCCCAGCACTTTGGGAGGCCAAGGTGGGCGGATCATGAGGTCAAGAGATTGAGACCATCCTGGCCAACATGGTGAAACCCCATCTCTACTACAAATACAAAAATTAGCTGGGCATGGTGGTGAGCACCTGTAATCCCAGCTACTTGGGAGGCTGAGGAAGGAGAATGGCTTGGACCTGGGAGGCAGAGGTTGCAGTGAGCTGAGATCGTGCCATTGCACTCCAGCCTGGTGACAGAGTGAGACTCCCTCTCAAAAAAAAAAAAAAAGAAAGAAAGAAAGAAAGAAAGAAAGAAAGAAAGAAAGAAAGAAAGAAAGAAAGAAAGAAAATAGGGGAATCTATGTGTAACTCTCAGTTAGCCAGAAAATAATTTTCTCCTCTATTATCTAGTAATGGGCAATTCCTCAGTGGACAAATGCTGACTTGGCTTGCCCAGTGTCTTTTCTTCTGGTAACAGAATCCTGAATGACCTCTGTGGAAGCAGCCCCACTTCTGTGCTCAGTGTGGTTGGGATGGATGCGTGGTGAAATGAGTGACCTGTTCTTGACCAAGCAGAGTCCTCACACCCTTCTCCAAGGGGTTTGTTGATGGTGACTTGTGACCTTGTCTTGGCTAATTGTCATAATCCCATCAAGCATGGACTCATGACCCCAAGGCAGGACTGAGCACAGGATGCCTCCTGAAACATAGGTTTGGGGATGCTGGAGGCTTTTCCAGCCATGTGCAGACTGAGGATGAAGCCACAAGAAAAGCATGAGATGACCAGAAACCAGATGTGTCGCATCCTTTTGACCTCTAAGTCCTGCCTCGAAGGAGCAGTCTAGAGTGGACGTTTCATCATAGGGGACGACACAGTTCTGATTCCTGCTTCTGCCACAAAATGAATCCTCATTAACACATTCATGACATTAAGACATTTAACAGATTGTATCAAATACTGGGAAAAGAAGTGGATTCAAGTCAGAAGTTCTAGGATTTAGCTGGATACTACATCTCTCCACTGGGAGACAGGGTCTGAGCCAATTTTCTCATCTGCATGCCTAGATTCTGCTTTCAAGAAGATTAAGCCTGGGTAACAGAAAGTGGTAAGATAAAGTGATGTGATGGACATATGGGTATTGTGGTCCATCTTTATTAAACTATATGGTTAAAAAAAACCATCCACTAGGTCAAAATGGTCAGATCAGTAGCTCCAAGAAGACATGGGCTGAAAGGATCCTCCCTAGATGTTGAAACAACTGTGGACTTTCACAGAACATTTACTGTGTGCAATGGACAAGGTATTTTTTAGAGAGGTGATCTCGTTTCATCTTGATGACTCTATGAGCCAGGTACTACTACTATTCTGAAATCAAATATGAGAAATTGAAGCTCAAAAGATTAAATGACCTGCCCAAACTCATGCGGCCATACAGGCTGACTCCAGGGCAGGTGCTCTTGGCTATTATCCTAGGACTTAGTAAAAGATCATTTTATTGGTAGCAGTAGAAATCTGTGTGGGCAAACATCATACAGCTACTAAATAAAGGTGCACAGTCATGAATTTGTTTTCAAAACAAAAGAGATATTAGCAGCATATTGTTTTCTAAATGATCCGCCTTGGGATTTCCAGCCTCCAGGCCTACACTTTCATGGTACTCTCGGAACACACTGGCCTTCACCTCCTCCCCATTTTTCTCTGCTTTATTATTATTAATCACATAAACAAGTTGCCAGCAATAAAGACGGAAAATGGAAAGACAGAAAAATTACCCATAGTTCTATCCATTCTTTATATCTCAGATTCAATGACATATTTTCCAACAAATTGTCCTTGGAGTGTACTGCCTCTCACAAGCATGCATGCATATGCACCCGCACACACACACACACACACACACACACACACACATGTGCACACATGCACACATACACTCACACATTCACACTTATTATTACATTGGTGGAAAAGTAATTGCAGTTTTTGTTATTAAAAGTAATGGCAAAAACTGCAATTACTTTTGCACCAACCTGCAACCTGATTGGTAGGATTGTATGTTCTTTGTTTTGCTGGACTGCAGTGGCAGCAGCCAGGCCTGCTCATCTCTGCTTCCTTCACAGCACCCTGTGAGGAGGCCTTGCCCACATCACCTGCTGAGTAATTATTTGTTGAATTACAAGCAGCATATAGTAAAATTTTATGTTCCTCTTCAAGGGACAGTGAGTAATGACACAGATTTAAAGTCAGCCGAATAGCTGGTATCTGGCTCTTAGTCTTAGCGAGGCTTTGACTAGTTCTTAAAAGTTGACATTCTTCCTGGACTTGCAGTCTGAGTGCATGAGGCTCTCCAGGGAATAAAAATTAGCCTGCTGTCTGAAATGTTTATGAAAACAGCTAAATTTAGATGATCAAAGATTTTGGGAATCCAGGGACCCTTGAGATTGAAGACTGTGATATCTTTAACAAGTATCTCGAACGGCAAAGGTTTTTTCTTCAGAAATTCCCCTTCAGAGGCATTTAAAGTTCTAGTTGGAAGCCGTTTTAATTTCTCTTTAATTGGTGGGATGGAGCGAGGTCTTGTTTAAGTAGACCACTTGAACATTTTCTTTTCCTCTGTTCATTGGCTCCAAGCTAACTTTTGAAGAGAGTGTTGCTTTTGACCAAACTGGAATTAATTCTAAAAGAGAAGGCAGGTCTGTCGCTCAAGTTTAACATGTGGATGAATTTGCCATCTCGAATTAAAATGGAGGCTGCTCAAAAGATTCCAAAAGGAACTATCCTCTATAATTTTGCTAAAAATGTAGGAAATATGTTAAAGTCACAGAGATGAGAAACTTGCTCTAAGTCTTGCTTTTCCCATCAGAAAGCCCCCACTTTACACTTGGTTCATGGAACAATAATTGGCATTCTTGTTACTGGCTCCCAAGCAGTGATTTGTTGTGGAGGTCTCTGAAGAATGGGGGAGAGAAAGGAGACCCTGGGGAAGAGGAGGGTCTTTGTGGAAAACCCATCAAGGCCTCAGAGAGCAAAGCTAAAGGATCACATCTTGGTGGGGAAGTCAACACTGTTGATTTCTGGGTGGCTATTTGGTTTGTACTGAATCTCCCATGGAGGGAGGCAGGACTGCAGAGTTTTGGGGAGCCCCGGCCTCAGTAGGGCACAAGCGGATGTCCTCTGGCTCACTCCATCTCCCTGTGACCTTGGGTAAACTATTTAGCCTCACGGGGCCTCAGATGCCCCCCTGTGAAGTAGGAAAGGTGATAGCCCTCACCTCACAGAGTGTCAGGGAACTAACCCAGGTATTGTGTGGAAAGCTTCATAAAGTGCTTAACCCAGAGCCTGGCACTTAAGTATTACTAAACAATTGCAAAGCAGGTGAAAGAAAATGCAAGCAGGACGCTTTGTTGAAATACAGGACATCAGTGGCAAAATCCTCCTCAGTCACGCAAATAAGACAGAATGCTGCAGAAAGGCATTCCGTAAATTCCAAAGAGCTTCCCAGCAGAGGTGACTGAGGGCCCAGGTGCACAGTACCCTGGAAAGAAGAGTGGGAGATAACTAACCCAGGAGGGAGGGGAAGGCCAGGGATGGGAATGTGGCTTCTCCCCAGCTGCTTGCTGCCTCCTGGCTTGACTTGATGAGGTTAGTTTGTTTGTAAACAGAATGCTCCAAATTGCAACTCTTTGCCAATCCTGTGCCCAAGTGGAAGAGCCTCTAATGAGCCAAAGCCTTAGTAATGACTGCAGTAAGCCCTGCTGGAGTGCATGGGGACTAGGACCAAGTGAGGAGGAGAGGTCATCAAGCTTTCAGTGGGGCTGGGGGCTTGGGGTTGAAGCCAGGAGTCACTAAAGGCCACCCAACGCCGAGGGAGAGAAAGACTTTGCCAGCCAGACCACTGCTTTTAGGGTTATGAAGTTTCCTTTGAAGCTCAGGAAGGATTTCTCCTCTTTGTCTTCTGAGGCAGGAGCTAACATGCCCTGGGTTTTCCCAACAAGTGAGGAAGGAAGGGCCGCTGCTGGGAAGTCAAAGGGAAACGCTTTCATTAAGGAACCATCCCAGCCAGAGCTCCGGGAATGGAGTCCAGCCCAGTCCTTAGGAATATGCTTGGGTGGGATCATTCACACCAGAGGTGATGGTCAGGCAGGTGCACACCCAGGGTTTGCCTTCTGGTCTTCAAAGCAACACCACTGAAATCTAGAAGTAAGTTTCTGTAAGAGGTAAGGTGTTCCCAGGTGCGTGGGTCAGGTGGCCCTACAGCCCTGGGCAGCTGCACTATACTTGCTCTTCCCAATATGGATCATCCATCTACTGACCAGAACCAGAGATTTCAGGCTGGCTGGGACTCACAGGGTTGACTCTGTGCCTTGAGGGCTCAACACATGAGCTTTGGAGCCACACTGCTTAGGCTCAAGTTCTATTGATACCACCTCTCAGCTGGGTGTCCTTCGGCAAGTTGCTTAAACCTCTGTGGCTTGGTTTCCTCATCTGCAAAATAAGAATGATAATAATATTCATTTCAGGGGATGACCACAGAGATTGGATCTGTTCAAACATGTAAACTGCTGACAACAGTATCTGGTGGTGAGTAAGCCTACAACAAATATAAGGCTTTTTTTTTTTTTTTTTTTTTTTTGAGACAGAGTTTTGCTCTTGTTGCCCAGGCTGGAGTGCAATGGGGCGATCTCAGCTCACTGCAACCTCCTCTTCCTGGGTTTAAGCGATTCTCCTGCCTCAGCCTCCTGAGTAGCTGGGATTACAGGCTTGTGCCACCACGCCCAGGCAGCCCATTCTATCTTTGATTAGGCCTATCAGTTAAGGAATTCTTCCAGGAGCTTCAGTGTGTATCTGAGCCAGACCACATAATAGATGAGTAATTCTCTTTTAAAGCTTTGATTTCCCATGTATGAAATGGGGATAATAGTACGGGCTTTGCAAAAATGTTGGAAAGATTAAATGTAGTGTAAAATGTTAGCATTAAATAAATGTTACAGTGTGTGTGTGTGTGTGTGTGTGTGTATACATATCCTATATGTTAAAATGCGTTCAGTTGCAACTACTAGAAAATCTGCCCACATCCAACAAACTATATAGAAATGTATTCTAGCACTTAACAGGAAGTCCTGAGGCAGGGTGAGCCTCAGGGCTGGTTGACTCGGAAGCTCAGTGATGTCATCAAGGACACAGGTTCTTTCCATTTCTCTGCCCTGCCATCATCAAGCTGGTAGCCACAGGGCTTAAGCAGATCTAGGAGTCACGTCCAGACTTGACCACATTCAGAAGGAAGAAAGACCTGTTCCTTCTATGGTTCACTCTTAGAAGTTAAGAAAGTTCCCTGGAAGTATCCCATTGGAACTTCTCTAATGTCTCATTGGTCACATGTATCTCCCACGCCTGCACCAGAACCAGTCACTGGAAGAGGAAATGGGATTCCCTCAGACCAATTCCCTCAGCCTCCCCTAGAGCCCCCACGAGATCGTCCTGGAAAGGGAAGGTGGACATCTCCGCATTGTTGGAATTCTGCTAGGAATGCAGAAGTGGGAGAAGATATCAGGTAGGCAATGGCGTACATCGCAGAGCCCAGGCTCGTTTCTCAATAGCTCCCCCATCGCACCATCTCCATCCATGCCAGGTTGCCTCCCCTTTCCAATTTTGGAAGCGTGTGTTCATGCTTTCTTTTCCAGGCATCTCGACTCCCACTAGTGGAATGAATGGGCAAGGCTGTGTGTTTCTAATGCTAACAGATGGTTCTGTGTTCCAAGGCAGGCATGGCTCTTCCAACACTAAGAATGGATCTAGTTTTACACATCACATGCCTGGTTCAGGGAGATTTAGAATCATACAAATTGTGCCAGGGCCGATGGATTCAAAGAGGCATGGCCAGCACATGTGGATGAAGTTAATGTCTGGGCTGGCCTTCCCAGAAAAGCGGCAGCCTTCTCTCCTTTCATTCTTTCATTCTTCATAGTAGTTGCCCATAGAGAGCACATTCGAGAAGGCTGTAGAAAACATTACAACCCCTTAATGCATTAATTGCTACCACTTCCCAAATACAGCCCACTGAGTTGTCCCACGCTAATTTCTCCTCTGTCCTGGACAGTGGCCACTCCTTTGCTCCTATCCAAATTTGCTTTGCCCATAGCCCATTGCTGCAAGATACTGAAGGGAGAAGGTAAGCTGATGTGGTACACCAAGCTTCTCGCTATGGTAATGGCTACTGTGTCATCATTCCGGCAAAACCTATTTGGAATTCAAGCACTTTTTGTGTTTGGTTTGGTTTACCTGAAATCCATGTCTTAAGCCTCCACTGCCGATGTCCTTCCCATCACATCACACGTATAGCTTACTAATCCTTCCAAGTCTAGCTCAGACACTGCCTCTTTCCTGAACACTTTGCTGGTTGCACGGCTAGGGAATTTTTGTTGTTGTTCTTCCTCCTGGAGCTCCCAGCCCCATTATTCTATTCCACTTTTGCTTCCTGCAATGTGCTTGACCTGATATTTTAGTTATTTATAAACTTGTATTTTCCCTCCTCTGGACAATTAGCTTCTGCAGAGGTGGCCAGTGGCCAGGGCTGATTGATATTAGCCTTCTACCCAGTGCCCAGCAGGGCATGGGCTGCAGGGCCGTAGAGGAGAGAATACTGTTCCAGAAAAAGGAATTCCAGATCCCTATTTGGCATCAGCCATGCTCTGGGCCTCAATTTTCTTTATCCATGAGATGAAAGGATCAGGTCAGATTTTCTCTAAAATTCTTTATGGTCAAATAGGCTTTTGATAAAGCATGGAGTAATTGATTTACTCAAGTGTGGGAGGAGGGAAAGGGGATTTGAGGTAAATGTGTGTGTGTGTGTGTGTGTGTGTGTGTGTGTGTGTGTGTGGTATGTATGTGTGTGTGTGTGTTAAGTAGGAAGGAGGAAAGTGGCCAGCTTTCTTGTTGACACACCATATAGGCATCCATGAAAGTCTTCAAAAATGAGTCTGGCTCTAGGAACTGTAGAGAGGCAGGTGTCAAACCCAACTCTCTTTCTCCTGAAAGAGGTGATGTACAGGGTAGTCCTTAAAGGGAAGGGCTTTATGATTAAACAGAGGCAGGTTTAAATCCTGGCCCCATCAGTTAGAAAGTGTGATTTTGGACAAGCTATCTAATCTTTCTAAGCCTCAATTTCCTTATCTGTAAAACTGGGATAATATGAGGATTTGATTCAATAAGACACATGGCTATGAGGATTAAATGAGATAATATATCTAAGGCACCCAGCACAAGGCCTGGCATACAGAAAGTGCTTCGCAGGTGTAATAATAATTATAATAATTATTAATGAAGATCTCGATAATTATAAGATGAAAACAGTTAAACGTTAAGTCCCCAGAAAACGTTTGCATGATCTGCATTCTCTTCTGATAATACAAAATACATTTAGAGGGAGGGAGGCCTTCCCACCCCCCTTTTCGCTATCCCATATTTTCTTTCCTCTTTTTCTTGACTTTTAAAAGAAAAAGAGCCCAATCATTCTTTTTAGCTTTTGAACACATTTTAGTTGTTTCCATAGCAAGTTTTAGACCTGCTTTGCCTGTAGTTCTTACACACGTGTAAGCTGCTCCACCACCCCCGCACCCCTGCCTCCCCCACGAACCCCGTCCAGAAGTTTCAGGCTTCTCTGGAAGGTTTATGTGTCACTCTTCATTATAACGACTTCTAAGGACAAGCAGCCTGAGTCTGTACCTGTCCAGGTGATGGGAGATCGGCTGGGAAGATGCCCTCATTCTCTGGGAAGAAAGACGTCCTGTCTAAACCTTGGCAGGCGGCAGAGGAGAGATGATGCTCACAGACCGATGCCTTCTGCATCTCGCCTGCCAAGAATGAGTGGCATGTGAACAACGCTCCGCTCAGAAGTTCTGGGCAGGTGCCCAGGCCCAACTAGGATGGTCCCTGTGGCCCTGGAGGAACCATGCCAAGAATCTGCACGCTGCCAAAAGCTTTCCTCCCTGGACGCCGTTCTGGCTGCCTAATTCTCCTGGCAAGCTGTTTCTAGATCATTCTTCTAAACTTCCCCAGAAAACCCCCAGAAAAGGAATGGGAAAACCTGGAAATTGTGGGGAAGCATTTGAATCTTCTCCATGACACTGTTGAAGTGATTACCATTTAAAAAAAAAAAAAAAAACAAAACTAAAAATAGCTGCTTGGAGAAAATGACATGCTTGCCCCAAGTGGTCACATGGGGACCTGGCCGCAGAAGCTATGTCTCTGCTTCCTGCCTCTGGGGCCTGAGAGCACAGAGGTTCCCGACGCCCACCTGTTGACATAGACCCTCTCCAAGGGTCAGCCCCATAGGTTTCTTCGGGGGGTAAAACTCATCCTTCGCTGATGGAACCAGATGTAACGAACGGCTCATTTACAGTAATAAAAAAAAAATTCCTCTGGTCTCTGTGGTGATGCCAGGACTCCAAGGAGAAATGGTGGTTGTAGGACCCATTTGCCATGTAAATCACTCCTTGGGCCTCAAAGAATTGAGATTAGAGGGGAAACAGCCTGAAAGCCAATTTGCTTTCAATAATTTGAGACCCTGTGGGGTCGGGTACCTGCCTGGACGATAAGTAGTTTTAGCCTAAGGCAAACTGAGTGAAAATAGGTAAAAAAATCAGCGAGTTTTGGCAGCATGTGCTACTGAATGCAATTTTTTTAAGGTCCTGGAGAAAAATCTCTGTGTTTGGAGGTTACATCTGTGCATGGATAATGGCGTGTTTTTGTTTGTTATTACTGCATGTTCCAATGTCTCGGCCATTACTGAAATTATGGGAAATGGCTGGATGCTATTCAGTTTGAGGTTGTAAGTGAAAATGTTAAGGCTTTGTGCTTATGAGAATTGATATTTTTTCCCCTCATTATTTGTTCTCATGTTGCTATAAAGAGTACATTTTTGATGGGAAATCCGTGTAAGTTTATTTATCTACTGTAGAAGCAAGGTTGTTCTCTTTGTTCCTGCCTTGCTATCTTCCTCTTTTCCTCCCTCCTTCCCTTTTTTTTTTTTTTTTTGGCTTGCCTTAAAACCAGATGGAGGTAGGTTTACAGGCTGAACCTAAGACCCCAATGTGTCCTTGTCATAAAGCATAATTCAGGAAAATTCTGTCTTCTACTGAGATGTCTAGCTGTGCCCGCTTGAAGTCTTTAAAACCTCCATTTTCAAAACCTCCTGGTGCATGCACAATTAGAAGCGTTTAAAATTCCAATAAAATACACAGTCTAAAAATGTCTTAGCTTTTAGCTACCAGGTTGTTCCTAACAGCAAATGTAAATGAATGGAGAGGCTGCTTCTTAGCTTTTGGAAATATGTCAATGTTATTGCACCTACCTGGGCGAGCATTTTCTTTTTAAGAGCTACAGTGAGTTTCACAAGATGTACAAAATACACACTTTACGTGCTATGTGGGATGGCCGCTACTCACAGGAGGAGGAGAATGTGCCAGATTTGTACATTCCTCGTATCCCTGCCAAGACTCCTGAGTGAAGGAAGTACTTGAGCCTGAAAGCGCTGTAGCCTTCAGCATTGGCTGTTAGCTCTTTAGAGACCAGAGGAGCCCTCTCAATGACATTTGTCTCACTTCATTTTCATGGACATGGTCACGTGAGGCAGATGGGCCCGCTGCAGCTGGAGGGCCTCTCCTCCTCATTTAAGATGGTACAATCCCTTCTCCACCCCTTGCCCCCTCTACTCAATTTTCTCAGGGAGCTGAATCACAGGAGTTGCCTCTACAATTAAGATTTGAAAAGAAGCCGCTCTGGCTGTGTTTTCATGCCCTTGGTGAGATGGGCCCAACTGTCTTCCCAAGTGTTTACTGGCTTCCTGCTGGACGGCCACCATGCCCTTATGCCCCTGAAAGGAAGGACCTGTCTAATTGAGGCCAGCATGAGCCAAAGTTTGCGGTAATTATCTCGGGGATGGAGCAGCTGGAGGAACATCACCTAATGAGGCCAGCATAGGTTCCAAGACAGCTCTCAGCATGGCCCCATAGTGGCAGGAGGGACTGCTCCCAGGGCCAGGAAACATTGCTTGGAACGACGGTTCCTAATTGTGATGCATCCAGAAGAAAGCATTGTTGCTCAGGGCATAACACCCCATGATTTTGAAATTTTTAAACTAGCTTTTGGTTTTATTTCTGTATACCTAGGCATACTTTTTAAAAGCCAAATAATCCCTGAGGCTTGACATGGAAAACACCAGCCTGTTAGGAAGTCCTCCTCCCCACTATTCCACTGCTCCCCTAGAAAACCCCTTTCATTCTGAGCTATTGTTTCGTGTATGTACCGCCCTATTTCTAATACTCTGGTTTTGTTATTTTCTGGTTTTATATGTCAACTTTAGATTTCCTACTGTGAAAGGTAAGGGTTTAGATCTTGTATTCTTCCTGCGCCCTCATACACAGGCACACACTTCTCCCCCACTTACTTCCACCAGTGTAATTGTGTCAGAATTTTTGTGAAATAATTATGTTGAGTTTCTGTTGATAAGACAGTATACATTTTACTAACAATTGAGTCACAATTATACCTCTTGTCTTGCACAAATTTTGCCCTCCCTGGACTTTGTAATTGCTCATCCTCCTTCCCCCACCAAAGTTTGCTCTGCTTTTTTTTTTCTTTTTTTTGAGACAGGATCTTGCTCTGTTGCCCAGGCTGGAGTACAGTGGTGTGATCTCGGCTCACCACAGCCTCGACCTCCTAGGCTCAAGCAGCTCTCCCACCTCAGCCTCTCAAATAGCTGGGAGCACAAGCCTGTGCCACCATGCCTGGCTATTGTTTAAGTTTTGTGCAGAGGCAGGGTATTACCACGTTGGCCAGGCTGGTATCAAACTCCTGGGCTCAAGTGATCCTCCTGTCTCAGCTTCTCAAAGTGCTGGGATTATGGGCATGAGTCACCGCACCTGGCCAACTAGTTTTCTATTAATCTATCAGCAGTTCATTCCCAAACTCTCCTCTGTAGTTATAAATCTGCTCCAGATTTATTTGAGCACATCAGGGAATCTCTTGTTTTTACTTTCCCTTCCTAAATGCAGAACTCTTTCCTCCTTCTCCTCAACTCGGATAAGCAGTTCTCTATCTCTGTTCCTTAACCACTGTCCTGGGATTTTCCTTCAGTGTCATTCCAGGAATTCCTTCATCTTTTTGCTCTGCGTTAGATCCCTTGTTTCCAGGATAGCATGTCTTCCCCTTGTCTTTGTTTATTGCCTGACTTTGGTGGACCACATCTTCCAGAACTTTCCTAGGGAAGGGTACCTGGGATGTAACTTTTATTTTGAGGCTCTGGATATAGGGATATAACAGTTATGTCATTTTTAGTTTCTCTCTTAGTTACTGTCTTAGTTTATTATTATTTTTTTTTGTAGAGTTGGCATCTTGCTATGTTGCCCAGGCTGGTCTTGAACTCCTGGGCTCAAGTGATCCTCCTGCCTCAGCCTCCCAAAGTGCTGGGATTACAGGCATGAGCTACCACACCCGGCCTTGTCTTAGTCCATTTTGTGTTGCTATAACAGAATACCTGAGACCAGGTAGTTTATAAAGAAAAGAGGTTACTTGGCTTATGATTCTGGTTGCTGAAAATTTCAAGATGGAGCATCTGCATCTGGTGAGGGCCTCACTCTGCTTTAACTCACAGTAGAAAGTGGAAGGAGAGCCCAGTGCAGAGATCACATGGCACGAAAGGAAGCAAGTGGGGGGAAGTTCCAGGCTCCTTTTAACAACCAGCACTCTTGCAGGAACTAACACAGTGAGAACACACTCACCCCACAGGAAAGGCATCTACTAATGAAGGATCCACTGGCATGACCCAATAGCCTTCCATCAGGCCCCACCTCCAACATTGCCACATTGGGGATCAAATTTCCACATGAGGATTGGAGGGAACAAATATCCAAACCATAGACGTTACCTTCATGCAATGTCTTTATTTCATTGTTTAATCAATTTTCAGACCATAGCTCTTCTAGGATAAGGTTCTTAGTACCTCTACCCTCCTTCCCTTCATTATTTACGACTCTCCCAGCTTCAATGTTCTCTTCCCTTACAATAGTCTTGGCTGGGTGCTGTGGCTCACATCTGTAATCCCAACACTTTGGGAGGCCAAGGTGGGAGAGTCACTTGAGCCCAGGAGCTTGAGACCAGCCTGGGCAACATAGTGAGACCCCATCTTTACAAAATAAATTTAAAAATTAGCCGGGCATGGTGGCATGTTCCTGTAGTCCCAGCTCTCAGGAGGCTGAGGTGGGAGGATCGCTTGAGTCAAGGAGGTCGAGGCTGCAGTGAGCTATGATTGCACTACTGCACTCCAGCCTGGGTGATAGAAAAAGACCATGTCTCTGAAAAAAAGACACACACACACACCCACACCCCCACACACACTATTCTTTGACTTTATTTTTACTTTTCCCATAAAAAATATTTGTCTATAAACATAATTAACTTTGCTTAGTATGTAGCTTAGCTTTATAAGACAGTATACCTTTTTTTTTTTTGAGACAGAGTTTTGCTCTGTCGTCCAGGCTGGAGTGCAGTGGTGTGATCTTGGCTCATTGCAACCTCTGTCTCCCAGATTCAAGTGATTCTCCTGCCTCATCCTCCCAAGTAGCTGGGATTACAGGCATGTGCTACCACACCTGGCTAATTTTTGTATTTTTAGTAGAGACAGGGTTTCGCCATGTTGGCTAGGCTGGTCTTGACCTCCTGACCTCAGATGATCCACTTGCCTTGGCGTCCCAAAGTGCTGGTGAGCCACTGTGCCTGGCCAAGACAGTCTACACTTGATTAACAACGGGGTCATGATTATACTTCCTGTCTTGCACATTATGACAAAGTTTACCTGATTTACATTTCCTTTTTTTTCTTTATCTGAATTTATGGTATTCTAATATTTTTTCTCAAACTGTCATATCACTTGATTCTCATTTATGTTTGGAGACCTTGTTCTGAGGATCTCTGTCCTCTTGTTCCCTGTGCTCTACCCTGAGTTGAGTGATGTCCCTGGGTCACCTGAACAGTCATGACTTCTATTTAATATTCTCCTTGGTGTAGTCACTGTTTCCTGAATCCCATGCATGTTTTTTTTTTCTCCTAATTTTCCTCCTTATTTACTGGAGGATTCCATAAATAACTTTTAATGAAAGATGTGGGGCCAGGCACGGTGGCTCATGCCTGTAATCCCAGCACTTTGGGAGGCCGAGGCAGGTGGATCGCCTGAGGTCAGGAGTTTGAGACCAGCCTGGCCAACATGGTGAAACCCTGTCTCTACTAAAAATACAAAAAATTAGCTGGGCATGGTGGTGGGCACCTGTAATCCCAGCTACTCGGGAGGCTGAGGCAGGAGAATTGTTTGAACCTGGGAGACGGAAGTTGCAGTAGGCCAAGATTGCGCCATTGCACTCCAGCCTGGGCAACAAGAGTGAAACTCCATCTCAAAAAAAAAAAAAAAAAAAAAGAAAAGAAAAGAAAGAAAGAAAGAAGATGTGGAGGTAAACTTTCTTAATCCTTGCAGGTGCAAAAAGACCTTTATTTTATCCTCAGAATTGATTGATAATTTGGCTGGGAATGAAATTCTAGGTCAAAACTCATTTTGATCATCTCAGAAAAAAAAAAAAAAAAAGAATGCTGGGAGTGACTTGATGACAGTTAAATTTGCTTCTTTTCTGGTAACCTTTCATTTTTTCCTTTGGAACATTTTAGGATATTTTTCTTATCCTCAGTCATCTTCAATTTCAGAAGAGTTTGTCAAAGTGAGGATGTTATGGGAGATATGGTTGATCCTTGAACAACATAGGTTGGAACTGTGTGGGTCCGCTTCTTCCACTTCTGTCACCCCCAAGACAGTGAGACCAACCTCTCCCCTTCTTTCTCATTCTCAGCCTACTCAATATGAAGACAGCAAGGATAAAGACCTTTATGATGACCCATTTCCATTTAATGAATAGTAAATATATTTTCTTTTCCTTTTGATTTTCTTAATAACACTTTCTTTTCTTCAGCTTACTTTATTGTAAAGGATACAATGCACAATATACATAACACAAAATATGTGTTAATAGATATTTATGTTATCATTAATAAATGATAACATTCTGTTCAACAGTAAGTTATTAGTAGTTAAGTTTCCATGTATTCGAAACAATTCAGATTTTCCACTGCAAGGGGGTTTTGTGCTGCTAACCCTCGTGTTGTTCAAGGGTCAACTGTATAATGTTGAAGAATGCAGGCCATGGACCCTACTTGGCTGAGTTTAAACCCTAGCTGTCTCATTTACTAGCTTGGGTTAAGTGTTTTAACCAGTAACAGTGTTGTCTCCATTTTCTCAGCTGCATTAATACA
Source organism: Homo sapiens (assembly GCF_000001405.40). Taxonomy (NCBI): domain Eukaryota; kingdom Metazoa; phylum Chordata; class Mammalia; order Primates; family Hominidae; genus Homo; species Homo sapiens. Next base: position 14,147,442 of record NC_000001.11, read on the forward strand.
ATTAATGAAACAGTGTTGATAATAGAAGCTACCTCTTAGATTTATTGGGAGGATTAAAACGTCACTGCAGGGCTGGGCGTGGTGGCTCATGCCTGTAATCCCAGCACTTTGGGAGGCCAAGGCGAGTGGATTACAAGGTCAAGAGATCAAGACCATCCTGGCCAACATGGTGAAACCCCATCTCTACTAAAAAAATATATAAAAATTAGCTGGGCATGGCGGCACGCACCTGTAGTCCCAGCTACTCGGCAGGCTGAGGCAGGAGAACCACTTGAACCTGGGAGGCAGAGGTTGCAGTGAGCCGAGATCGCGCCACTGCACTCCAGCCTGGCGACAGAGCAAGACTCCATCTCAAAAAAAAAAAACAACAAAAAAACTAAAGGTCACTACGTAGAAACCTTTCTAAAGTGGTGCCTGGTACATAAGAGGTTTTTAATGACCTTTAGCTATGACTACTATTATTGCTATTTATTGTAATAGTCCCTTTAAACGTAGGCACCAGGTGTGGTGGCTTAGTCCTGTAATCCCAGCACTTTAGGAGGCCGAGGTGGGAGGATCACTTGAGCCCAGGAGTTTGAGATCAGCCTGGCCAACATAGTGAGACCCTATCTCTACAAAAAAATTTAAAAATTAGCCGGGTGTGGTGGCGGGCACCTGTGGTCCCAGCAGATCACTTGAGCCCAGGAGGTTGAGGCTGCAGTGAGCCGTCATCATGCCACTGCACTCCAGCCTGGGCAACAAAGCAAGACCCTGTCTCAAAACAAAACAAAACACAAACTTGAGGTGCTATGATTTTCATTTCTAATAGAAACTTTAATTATTCTTTATTTTCATCCCCTGCTTCTCCTCTCATCCCTGTTCTCTTCTTTCTCTGTGACTTTTGGCATATTTTCTCTGTTGCTTGTTTTCACCTTCATCTTTTTCTGAACTTTTTGTTTTACTTGCCGGATGATACTCTCAAATTTAACAACTAGCCTCAATATTACATTTTTTATTTTTTATTTTGGTAATAGTAGATTCAATTTCTAAGAGTTTTCTCTTATTCTCTGACTGTTCCATTGCTACAGTACCCCTTTCTTGTTTTATGGATAAAATGTAGTCTGGAATCTTTATTTTGTTTACATGTTATTTCCTGTTCCTAAACTCATGGTTTTTCCAAAGCCATATTTTTGTTTTGTTTTGTTTATGTTTCTTTTGTGTTTGAGACTTTCCTTCAATGCCAGGAAATCCTTGGTGGTCTGTTTATACTCAAGAATGAGTTGATGCGAAAGCAGATGGGGAATTATGTACATGTGGATGGCAGGCTTTGCTTGATGGTGAACAGGTGGCACCAACCATTATGCTTGACTCCCCCAAAATGCCAGGATTTCTACATTTTTGCTCTAGGATGTCAACATCCGTATCAGCTGTCTTTATTTTCTTCAGAGAGTTCATTGTATGTGTTTGACAAAGAACACTCCACTTTTTGCTTGATTGGATTTTGTTTTGGCTTTTATATTTTGGTCTTGTCGGGTAAAGACTAGCTGTAGGGTGTTCTGTAGTTGAATTCTGTAGTTGAAGGTGGAGATCGGAGCCAGTGCTTCCACATACAGCCTGCCTGCCTGCCTGCCTGCCTTCCTGCCTTCCTTCCTTCCTTCCTTCCTTCCTTCCTTTCTTTCTTTCCTTTTTTTTTTTTTTTTTGACAGAGTCTTGCTCTGTTGCCCAGGCTGGAGTGCAGTGGCATGATCTTGGCTCCTTGCAACCTCCGCCTCCTGGGTTTAAGTGATTCTCCTGCCTCAGCCTCCCAAGTAGCTGGGACTACAGGCGTGTGCCACCACGCCCAGCTAATTTTTTGTATTTTTTTTTTTGGTAGAGATGAGGTTTCATAGCATTAGCCAGGATGGTCTCGATCTCCTGACCTCGTGATCCACCTGCCTCGGCCTCCCAAAGTGCTGGGATTACAGGCGTGAGCCACCATGCCTGGCCACAACCTTTCAATTAATCTCCTTCTTTTAGGTGCACAGTTCACTCTCTTTCTGGACATGATCTTGCCCAGTCCCAAGTCTTTCCGGAGTTCTGGGAACACGGGGCTCTTGCTTGAGCTCAGTTCCTCCCATCTCGTTTGGCCACCATTGCCTGGGCCTCTTCCCTGCCACACTTCCCTGGGCGTTTTCATCGGTCACCACTACGTCATCTGATTTATATCTCATGGAAATTTGCTGGAATCTCTGAGCTGCTGACAGCCTCCTTGTGGTGACTGTGGGTTTATGCTCATTTTATTTCCCTACCATCATTTTAAAGAGGAGAGCAAAAATATAAATAAGTATGAGTCCATCGTGTTAGTCAAATACCATGATTTTTTTAAAAGCCTAATTTTAAAGGCTAGATTATAACAGGGAATGGAACTGTATTGTTTTACAAGATGCATATTTTTGTGTGATTTGCATATGGAACAACTCACAGACTCAACAGAGGAAAACCGATCTCTCTAATGATGAAAATATTATATATTCTGAAAACTGCTGGCCTAAAAATTTCTCTGCAGATTCAGAAAATGGTGATACCGACAGTCATACTAGTCATAACGCAACAGCAGGGAATTTTATATTTTCCCAGACTTTATAGTTTCTCAGAGCACTTTCACAAGCATTGTCTCACCCTACAGATGACCTGTTTCCTGGAAGCATTATTACCCCCATTTTTCAGCTAAAGAAATAGAGGTTCCCAGAGACGAAGGACTTGCCAAAGGTTACACAACAAGCCTGTTGACTTTTTCTCTAGAGTGATGTCCATGTTATCACCACTCCAGTTTGCTGTTGGTTAATGGTTTGCACAGAATTCACTACCATGAATAGCTTAGCTTAAATGGGTGCCAACTATCTGGTAACTTTATACAGCCTGAAATCTTTGCTTCTCAGCTTAGTATCTCAGGAGCAATTTAATACCCCTTTATGGTAGAAGGGTTCCAGAAACAGTAAGAGTTGTCTCTGTGTGAACCAAGTCTACACCCTTTCACTTGGCCTGCAACAAAGAACCATCTGCCCCCAGAACTTCCAACTTCATTGTGCCATCGAAATCTGTACTTTCAAAGCTGTGTGTTTATGGTTTCCTTTGCTTTATCACCTGACAAACAGTTCTTACATCTTGCATGTGATACAAGAGGTGTATCCATTTGTATGTTAATTGAACTAGGCCTGGGAAAAGATGGTATCAACTAGGAGCCATGCATGAACCCATTGTTGTAATCCATGCCTGGAAAGAGACGATTTCACATTCCCATTGCTGATCCTCAAACCACCCAAATGCAACAACAGGCTTTTGACCTCACTTGGAGATAACCAAAATGATATCATCAAATATAGACATGCTTACTACACTCTTCCAAATAATTACTGGTATCAGCCCCATTTTTATTTTTAAATAATTGTAATCTAATTGAATAACTAATGTATATTTCAGTGTGGGAAATTTGGAAAATACACAGAAAAAAAGAAAAGTCATAGGTAATAACATCAAGTAGAGATAAACCCTGCTAACATTGTCATACACACACACACACACGTGTGGGTGTATATTCTCAATTATATATGTGAATGTACCTACATTATAAAACTATGTGAACAGTGTAGTCTCCATTCAGTTTGACTACTTATTGAGGTCACACTTTTAATGCAGTCTTATAAAAGTTTCACATGCTATACCGTCTTCATCTACAACATCATTTATAAGGCATCCTAGAGTTTCATAGGGTGTTTACTAATTCTGTTTCCAGATTGTAGAAAAAAAAGACAAAGATGGGCATATGAGTGACCAATGTAACATAATTTTGATGGTCTCAACTGTACTGTTAAAAAGACACTAAACTGGTAGTTTTGAACCATGCATTTTTTTTTCAGGACATAATCTATAAAATTTAGTGCCCCAGAAAGGCCATTTCTTAGCTGTTTTCCTCTTAAAATTCATTTTCTGAGAGCAAGCAATATGTTTCACTGCTTAGAAGCAATGAAAATGATCACTTTGATATTTTCGTGACTGCCTGTCAGGAATTGGCTATATTTCCCATATTGATGTTGTAATTAAGTTAAGGAATTGGTTGAACTACTATTTACTGTGTCTCCAGCTCTCATGCTAGGCACTCTGGAAACGGATAAAACAAATCAGCAGGCAAAACATGATTCCTCTCATCATGGAATTTCTAGTCTAGTGAACAAATCAACAGTGATATCTAAGGACCAGTGTTCCCAAACTCTTAGCACCCAGAGAAAGTGGGCATATTTTTATAGCAGTTTGTGATAAATAGACAAGGTTATTGGAAGAATGAGGTAAGCTTCCTGGGCCTTTGGCCATCCCTCATCACACCTGTAACCATTCCTATCACACCAGCTGCCCCAGCAGAGCAGTGGAAGAGCTCCCCAGTAGTAAATTTTATTTTGGAGGGCAAGAAGGAATTATGGTTGTGGTATGACATTATGTAATTACTTGTGGAAAGGAAAAAAAATGGAAGGATGATAAAATAACAAGAAAAGAGAATTTAATTCATTTATTTCCTGTTTTTTTGTTTAAGTTCTCTAATAAAGTTTTTGCCTTGCAGTACTTTTAAAAAATATTTTAATTTTAATTTTTGTGGGTACGTAGGAGGTGGATATATTTATGGGGTATGTGAGATATTTTGATACAGGCATGTAATGCACAATAACCATATATGGGTAAATGGGGCATCCATCATCTCAGACATTTATCCTTTGTGTTACAAACAATTCAATTATACTCTTTGAATTATTGTTAAATATACAATTAAATTATATTTGACTATAGTCATCCTGTTGTGCTAGCAAACAGTAGGTCTTATTCATTCTTTCAAGCCATTTTTTCTTTTTGGACTCATTAAGCATCCGTACCTCCCCCTGACCCTCCAACTACCCTTCTCAGCCTCTGGGAACCATCCTTCTACTCTTTACCTCCATGAGTTCAACTCTTTTGATTTTTAGATATTACAAATAAGTGAGAACATGCAATGTTTGTCTTTCTGTGCCTGGCTTACTTTATTTAGCATAATGATTTCCATCCAGTTCCATCCAAGTTCTTGCAAATGACAGGATCTCATTCTTTTTATGGCTAACTCGTACTCCATTGTATATAAGTACCAAATTTTCTTTATCCACTCATCTATTGATGGACACTTAAGTTGCTTCCAAATTTTGGCTATTGTGAAGATGGCTCCAACAAACACAGTAGTGCAGATATCTCTTTAACATAGAGATTTCCTTCCTTTTGGGTATGTACCTAGGAGTGGGATTGCTGGATTGTATAGTAGCTCTAATTTTAGTTTTTTGAGAAAACTCCAAACTATTCCCCATAGTGGTTGTACTAATTTATATTCCCATCAATAATGTACAAGGGTTCCCTTTTCTTCATATCCTTGCCAGCATTTGTTATTGCTGGACTTTTGGATAAAAGCCATTTTAACTGGAGTGAGATGATATCTCATTGTAGTTTTGATTTGCATTTATCTGATGATCAAGAATGTTGAGCATCTTTTCATATACCTGTTTGCCATTGGTAAGTTTTTTTAATTGAGAAATGTCTATTTAGATCTTTCGCCCACTTAAAAATCAGATTATTAGATATTTTTCCTACAGAGTTGTTTGAACTTCTTATAAAATCTAATTATGAATCCCTTGTCAGATGGGTAGTTTGTAAATATCGTCTCCCAATATTTGGGAGTTGTCTTGTCACTTTGTTAATTGTTTCCTTTGCCGTGCAGAAGCTTTTTAATTTGATGTGTTCACATATGTCCATATTTGCTTTGGCTGCCTATGCTTGTGGGGTATCATTCAAGAAATTTTTGCCCAGATCAATGCTCTGGAGAGTTTCCCCCAATGTTTTCTTTTAGTAGTTTCACAGTATGAGGTTTAGATTTAAGTCTTTAATCATTTTGATTCCATTTTCGTATATGTTGAGAGATAGGGATCTAGTTTCATTCTTTCGCATTTGGATATCCAACTTTCCCAGCTTCATTTATGTCTTTTTCTCAGTGTATGTTATTGGCACCTTTGTCAAAACTGAGTTTGCTGCCAGGTGCAGTGGCTCACGCCTGTAATCCCAGCACTTTGGGAGGCTGAGGCAGGCGGATCACCTGAGGTCAGGAGTTGGAGACCAGCCTGACCAACATGGAGAAACCCTGTCTCTACTAAAAATACAAAAAAATTAGCCAGGCATGGTGGTGCATGCCTGTAATCCCAGCTACTTGGGAAGGCTGAGACGGGAGAATTGCTTGAACCTGGGAGGCGGAGGTTGCAGTGAGCTGAGATTGTGCCATTGCACTCCAGCCTGGGCAATAAGAGCAAAACTCTGTCTCAAAAAAAAAAAAAAAAAAAAAAATGAGTTTGCTGGACGTCTTTGGATTTGTTTCTGGGTTCTCTATTCTGTTCCACTGGTCTACAGGTCTGTTTTTATGCCAGGACCATACCATTTTGGTTACTGTAGGTCTGTAGTATAATTTAAAGTCAGGTAATGTTATTCCTCCAGTTTTGTTCTTTTTGCTTATAATAGTTTTGGCCATTCTGGGTCTTTTGTGGTTACATATAAATTTTAGGATTTTTTTTCTACTTATGTGAAGAATGCCATTAGTATTCTGATAGGGATTGCATTGACCTGTAGATTGCTGTGAGTAGTGTGGGGATTTTAATAATATCGATTCTTCCAATCCATGAACATGAAATATCTTTCCATTGTTTTGATCCTCTTCAATTTCTTTCGTCAGTGTTCTGTAGTTTTCTTTCCAGAGATATTTCACTTTTTAAGTTAATTCCTAGGTATTTAATGTTCTTTGTTGCTATTATAAATGGGATTTTTAAAAAAAATTCTTTTTCAGATTGTTCACTGTAGGCATACAGAAATGCTACTGATTTTGTATGTTTATTTTGTATCCTGCAGCTTTACTGAATTTGTTTATCAATTCTAATGGTTTTTTTTGTGGAGTCTTTAGTTTTTTCCCAATATAAGATCATATCATCTACAAACAAAGATAATTTGGCTTCTTCCTTTCCCATTTGAATGCCCTTTATTTCTTTCTTGTCTGATTGCTCTAACTAGAATTTCCAGTACTATGTTGAGTAACAGTGATGAAAGTGGGCATCCTTGTTATGCTTCAGATCTTAGGGGAAAGGCTTTCTGCTTTTCCCCATTAAGTGTGATACTAGCTGTGAGTCTGTTGTACATGGCTTTAATTATGTTGAGGTATGTTCCTTCTATCCCCAGTTTTTGGAGGGTTTTTATCATGAAGGGATGTTAATTTTATCAAATGCTTTTTCAGCATCCATTGAAATAATTATATGGTTTTTGTCCTTCATTCTGGTGACATTATGCATCATATTGATTAATTTGCATTTGTTGAACCATCCTTGCATCCCAAAGATATATTCCACTTGGTCAGGATGAATGATCTTTTTCATATATTGTTGAATTTGGCTTGCTAGTATTTTATTGAGGATTTTTGCATCAATATTCATCAGAGATTGGCTTGTAGTTTTTCTTCCTTCCTTCCTTCCTTCCTTCCTTCCTTCCTTCCTTCCTTTTTCTGATGTGTCTTTGCCTGGTTTTGGAACATCGAGGTGATACTGGCCTCAAATAATGAGTTTGGAAGTATTCCCTCTTCCTCTAGGTTTTTCGAATAGTTGGAGTATGATTGCTATTAATTCTTTAAATGTTTGATAGAATTCAGCAGTGAAGTCATCAAGTCTGGGCTTTTCTTTACTGGGAGAATTTTTATTACAGCTTTGATCTCATTACTTGTTATTGGTCTGCTCAGGTTTTGGGTTTCATCATGGTTCAATCTTGGTAGGTTGTATGTGTCTAGGAATTTGTCCATGTCTTCTAGATTTTCCAATTTATTGGCATATAGTTGCTGAAAGTAGTCACTAATGATCCTTTAATTTTGTGGTATCAGTTGTAACATCTCCTTTTTAATCTCTGCATTTATTTATTTGGATCTTCTCTCTTTTTTTTCTTAGTCTTGCTAATGATTTGTCAATTTTGCTTATCTTTTCAAAAAACAAACTTTTTGGTTCATTGATCTTTCACATTGTTCTCTTTATTTCAATTTCATTTATTTCTCTTCTGATGTTTATTATTTATTTTCTTAGACTAATTTGGGGTTTGGTTTGCTCTTCCTTTTCCAGTTCTTTAAGATGCACTGTTAAGTTTATTTGGTATTTTTCTTCTTCTTCTTCTTCTTCTTCTTTTTTTGAGACAGGGTCTTGCTCTGTTACCCAGGCTGGAGTGCAGTGGCACCATCTTGGCTCACTACAACCTCTGCCTCCCAGATACAAGTGATTCTCATGTCTCAGCCTCCTGAGTATCTGGGATTACAGATATACACCACCATGTCCAGTTAATTTTTGTATTTTTAGTAGAGATGGGGTTTCACCATGTTGGCCAAGCTGATCTCGAACTCCTGGCCTCATGTGATCCACTCACCTTGGCCTCCTAAAGTGCTGGGATTACAGGCATGAGCCCAGATATTTTTCTTCTCTTTTGATGTTGGCACTTACAGCTTATAAACTTCCCTCTTAGTACTACTTTTACTGTGTCCCATAGGTTCTGATATATTGTGTTTCTATTATCATTTATTGCAAGAAATTTTTTAATTTTCTTCTTAATTTCTTCATTGACACATTGGTCATTCAGGACCATATTATTTAATTTCCATGTATTCGTATAGTTTCCAAAACTCCTCTTGTTATTGATTTCTAGTTTTATTCCATTGTGGTCAGAGAAGATGCTTGATATTATTTCAATTTTTTGAATGTTTTAAGATTTGTTTTGTGACCTAACATATGGCCTATTCTTGAGAGTGATTCATGTGCTGAGGAAAAGAATGAATATTCTGCGGCTGTTGCATGAGATGCTCTGTAAATATCCATGAAGCCCATTTGGTCTATAGTGGAGGTTAAATCCAATGTTTCTTTGTTGATTTTCTGTCTGGAAGATGTTTCTAATGCTGAAAGTGGGGTGTAGAAGTCTCCAGCTATTATTGTATTGGAGTCTATCTCTCTCTTTAGCTCTCATAATATTTGCTTTATATATCTGGGTCCTCCAGTGTTAGGTGCATATATTTAAAATTGTTATATCCTCTTGTTGAAATAACCCATTTATCATTACATAGTGACATTCTTTGTCTCTTCTTATAGTTTTTGTCTTGAAATCTATTTTGTCTGATATGAGTATAGTAACTCCGACTCTTTTTTGGTTTCCGTCGGCATGAAATATCTCTTTCCGTTCCTTTATTTTCAGCCTATGTGTGTCTTCATAGGTGAAGCATGTATCTTGAAGGCAACAAATCATTGGGTCTTGTTTTTTAGGCCATTCAGCCACTCTATTTCTTTTCATTGGAGAGTTTAGTCCATTTACATTCCATGCTATTATTGACAAGTAAGGATTTACTCCTGCCATTTAAAAATTTGTTTTCTGGTTGTTTTGTGGTCTTTTGTTTTTTTTTTTTTTTTCCTTGTCTTTTTTTGGTGAAGGTGATGTTTCTTTGGTGATATGATTTCATTTTTTGCTTTTTATTTTTCATGTATCCTTGTAGTTTTTTGATTTGAGGTTACCATGAGACTTGCAAGTACTATCTTATAACTCATTATTTTAAGCTGATAACAGCACCATTTGCATAAACAAACAAGCAAAAATACAGCTAATAAGAACTCTATGCTTTAACTTCATCCCTTCACTTTTTAACTTTTTATGGTTTCTATTTATATCTTATTGTACTGTCTATGTCTTGAAAAGTTGTTGCAGTTATTATTTTTGATTGTTTCATTATTTAGTCTTTCTAATTAAGGTAACAGTAATTTACATATCACAGTTACAGTGTTATAATACTCTGTGTTTTTCTGGGTACTTACTGTTAGCAGTGAGCTTTGGACCTTAAGATGAAGCCGACCTACTTTCTGATTGAAGTACTCTCTTTAACATTTCTTGTAGGACAGGTCTGGTGTTTATGAAATCCCCCAGCTTTTGTTTGTCTGAGAAAGTCTTTATTTCTCTTTCATGTTTGAAGGATATTTTTGCTGGATATACTATTCTAGGGTAAAAGTTTTTTCCTTCAGCGCTTTAAATATGTCTTGCCACTCTCTCCTGGCCTGTAAGGTTTCCACTGAAAAGTCTGCTGCCAGAGGTATTGGGGCCCCATTGTATGTTATTTATTTCTTTTCTCTGGCTAATTTTAGGAGGCTTTCTTTATCCTTGTCCTATTGGAGATTGATTATTAAATTCCTTGAGGTAGTGTATTAGTCCATTTTCCCACTGCTACAAAGATACTACTCAAGACTAGGTAATTTATAAACAAAAGAGGTTTAATTGACTCACACTTCTGCATGCTGGGGGGGCCTCAGGAAGCTTACAATCATGGAGGAAGGTGAAAGGGAAGCAAGGCATGTCTTACATGGCAGGATGCAAGAAAGAAGAGAAAGCGAAGGGGAAAGAGCCCTTATAAAACCATCAGATCTCATGAGAACTCACTCACTATCATGAGAACAGCATGGGGAAAACCACCCTCATGAGCCAATCACCTCCCACCAGGTCACTCCCTTGACACACGGGGATTACAGTTTGAGATGAGATTTGGATGGGGACATAGAGCCAAACCATATCAGGTAATCTTCTTCAGGTTGAGTCTTCTTGGTATTCTATAACCTTCTTGTACTTGGATATTGATATCTTTCCGTAGGTTTTGGAAGTTCTCTGTTATTATCCCTTTAAATAAACTTTCTACTCCTATCTCTTTCTCTACCTCCTCTTTAAGGCCAATAACTTACATTTGCTCTTTTGGGGCTATTTTCTAGATCTTATAGGTGTGCTTCATTGTTTTTTATTCTTTTTTCTTTTGTTTCCTCTGTCAGTGTATTTTCAAATAGCCTGTCTTGAAGCTCCCTAATCCTTTTTTCTGCTTGATCAATTCTGCTGTTAAAAGACTCTGATACATTTTTCAGTATGCCAATTGCATTATTCAGCTCCAAAATTTCTGCTTGATTTTTTAAGAATTATTTCAATCTCTTTGTTATATTTATTTGATAGAACTCTGAATTCCTTCTCTGTGTTATCTTGAATTTCTTTGAGTTTCCTCAACAAAGCTATTTTGAATTCTCTGTCTGAAAGGTCACATATCTGTTTCTTCAGGATTGGTTTCTGATGGTTCATTTGGTGAGATCATATTTTCCTGGATGCTGTTGTTGCTTATAGATGCTTTTCAATGTCTGGGCATTGAAGAGTTAGGTATTTATACATTATTGCAGTACTCTCAGTCTGGGCTTGTTTTTACCCGTCCTTCTTGGGAAGGCTTTCCAGATACTCCAAATGACTTAGGTGTTATGATCTAAGCTGTCTCTGCTTTATGGGTCACCCCAAGCCTAGTAATGCTGTGGCTCTTATGGACTCATAGAGGTACTGCCTTTATGGTCTTGGGTAATATCTGAAATAATTCTTGCATTACCAGAGAGACATTCTTTTTTTCTTCCCTTACTTTCTCCCCAGTGAATTGAGTCTCTTTCTCTATTCTGAGCCACCGGGAGCTGGGGGTGGTGTGACACAAGTACTCCTGTGGCCACCACCACTAAGATTGTGCTGGGTCAGACCTGAAGCCAACAAAGCACTGGATCTCACTCAAGGCCTGCTGTAACCACTCTCTGCCTATGGCTTATGTTTGCTCAAGGCCCTGGGACTCTACAATCTGAAGATAGCAAAGCCAACCAGGCATTGTCCTTCCCTTCAAGGTGATGAGTTCCCCCAGGCTCCAGGTATGTCCAGAAGTGCTGTCTGGGAGCCAAGGATGACAGTCAAAAACCTTAGAAGTCTATCTGGTATTCTATTGTACTGTAGCTGATCTGGCACTTGAACCACAAGACACAGTCCTTCCCACTCTTCTCTCCCCTTTCCAAGGGCAGAAGAGCCTTATTCTGTGGCTACCATCACCACAGGTCCATGCATAGTACTGCTAGACTACCGCTGATGTTCTCTTAAGGCTCAAGGACTCTTTCATCAGCTTGTGGTGAATGCTGCCTAGCCTGGGACTCACTTTTAGGGCAGTGGGCTCCCCTCTGGTCCAGGGCAGGCCCAGAAATGCGGTCCAAAAGCCAAGTTCTGGAACTGGGTCACCAAGAGCCTACTTGGTGCTCTACCCCTCAGTGGCCAAGCAGGTACCTAAGGTGCAAGACCAAGTCCCCTTAGCTTTTTCCTCTGCTTTTCTCAAGTGAAAGGAGTCTTGCCCCATTGCCACCACAGCTGGGAATGTGTTGAGTCTTACCTGAAACCAGCAAGTCTCAGGGTCTGACCCAAGGTCCTTGATGTAGTACTTGAGTATCACTGCTGGGCTCTTCAGTTAGCAGGTGATGAATCCTTCCAGGACTCCTTCCAGATGAGTCTTTCTTTTCAGAGCAGCAGGTTCCCTTCTGGCCTAGGGTGTGTCTGGAAATGTCATCCAGGAACTAGGGCCTGGAAAGGGGGTCTTATGACTCTGACTGGTACCTTATTTGCTGTGGCTGAGCTGGTATCCAAGATGCAAGACTCTTCCCTTTCCTCTCCTCAAGGAGAGGGAAGGGGTCTGTTTTGGAGCCATGAGCTGTGCAGCCTGGGGTTAAGAAATGGATGATGCCTGCACTCTTTTAGCTGTCATGTGACCTTCTGTCCACTGTCTCTGGGCCCAGTTCAGCACTAGGACTTGGCTAGGAGTTGCAGTCCTTTTGGCCTAGACTGCCTTTCAGGTTTATTTAAGGCCCCACAGCACTTTAGCCTGCAATAGCAAGGCTTTCAGGAACTCAAGTTCAGACCACTGACATAGGCAATTCCCTTCTGGCTAGGCTGGTTTTAATGTTCCCTCAGTGGGCAGGCATCAGCTGAGCTTGGCTTTGTTTTATTTTCTGTTATAAAAGGGCAGCACTGAGTTCAATGCCTCATAAATGCTGCAATCTCCCTCTCTCCAGCACACTAAGATGCTTTCCACACCTTGCTGCCACTGCTGCAGGGAGGAGGGTGAGGGGCTGGAAGGAGGGGGCTTGGGAGAGGAGTGATGTCAACAATTTAAGACTGTTTTTCCTACCTCTTTAGCACCTCTTTCAGTGATATGAAGTTAAAGCCAGCTACTCTGAGTGCTCACCTGAGTTTTGGCTCTTATGAAGGTGCTTTTTTTGTGTGTGGATAGTTGTTAACTTGGTGTCCTTATGGTGGGGCAAGAATCGGTGGAGTCTTCTATTGCACCATCTTGTTCTGCCCCCTGCCTTGCAGTTCTTGCTGAGCTAGAAGTAAGTGAATTTGGGGGTTCACTAAAAGCCTCCCATTTATTTTATCTCTCTATTCTCATGTAGGATGTATGCCTATATTATCCTTGGTAGGTGGGTGACTGTTCAACTGCTACTATTTTTTGAAGCTATGTTTTAGAAGATTGCATCTGATGACAAGGAAAAGGTTACATCTTTACCCAGTTCTATCAGTGGAAATAATTCGTTGCTGATAAGAGGACTTATCTTTGTGGTTTGATGGAATCTTAATGGTTGTGTTATGACTTATCCTTCAAGCACAGAAGTGCTGAAACTATTTCCCTGATGGGTGGAACCGTCTCTCTTTACTCTGGAAGAAGACCAAGAAAGCACAGACAGAATTAAATGTATCTTAAACACAAGTTTTTAAGAATAGAGTTGCATAGAAGATGGAGTCTTGTCAGGTTATTGGAGCAAAATCAAAGTGGTGGACTATAACAGAATTCAAATCTTCACCATATTAGCTATCTATTGCTGTATAAGAAATTACATCCAAACAGAGCAGCTTAAAACAATAACAGATCCTTATCTCACAATGTCTATGGGGCAGGAATTGTGGAGTGGCTTACCTAGTTGGTTCTGGCTCCCTGTCTCTCATGAAGATGCAGTCACAGTGTTGCCTGGCTTAACTGGAATCATTGAGAAGCTTGACTGCAACCGAAGGTTCTCCTTCCAAGATGGTGCACCCACATGGCTGGTGAGTTTGTGCTACTATTTAGTAAGATACCTCAATGCCTTACCATGTGGACCTTTTTACAAAGTTGCCGAAGTCTTCACAACTTCAGTTGACTTCCTTCAGAGTGAGTGATTGGAGAGAGAGCAAGATGAGAGCCACAGGGTCTTTTATGGCCTATCCCAGACGTCAAATGGACATTTCCACAATATCTTGTTGGTTACACAGGTTGGCCCTATCTAGTGTAGGAGAGGACTATCCAAGGGTGTGAATACCAGGAGGTGAGAATCATTGGGTTCTATTTTGGAATCTAGCTATAATTGTCCATTTTCTTCCCTTAACGATTCAAATGTAAAATATACTCCTTCCATCTCCAAACCCCCCAAAATCTCATCCAGTTATCACAAACTCAAAGTCTGGAATCTCATCATGTAAATCAGATCCAGGTGTAATTCCTTAAATGTTGTTTTGTGGGTACTATTTTTCTCAATCTAAAGACCTGTGATCTAAAGAGAGAAGTTACCTCCTTCTCACACGAACAGTGGTGCAACAAGCATAACTGCTATAGTTACACTTGTTCAAAAATGGGAAAATGAAAACCACACAGAAATTGCTGGACCATACAAGTTCTAAAACACCTCAGGCATGGGTCAACAGTTCCTTAATTAGGACTCAAGGATCAAGAATAATTCCTCATGGTTTTTGGATCCACCCTTTGAGCTCTTGGTTACACCCTCTCAGTCACTGTTCCTTTTATATAAAAGATCATGTTTGTAGCTGCAAAGTTTTCTTAATCTGCTTTTTGCTGGTAGAACTCTGGGGATCCATAGACCACTTTTCTTTCTATCTCTTTCAGACCGATTGATAGCATATCTGTCAATATAGTTCTCTTAAAAACATAGTGAGTATACTATAAATATTATTGGAGTATACTCCATTAGAGAAAACCACTTCCCAAATATCTCTGAGATAATCCTCTTTCTACCCTGAATTTTTGCTGAAACTACTGAGGGATGACATTAACTTTCTTAGAAACCCCAATTTTACTGTATTGTTCTTTGAGGCACCACCTTAAATATTTCTAAGGCCACAGCAAAAGATTTTATAGCTACACTCTTGGTTTTATCTTTTCTTTTCTTTTTTCTTTTTTTTTTTTTTTGAGACAGAGTCTCACTCTGTTGCCCAGGCTGGAGTGCAGTGGCACGGTCTGGGCTCACTGCAAGCTCCACCTCCAGGGTTCACGCCATTCTCCTGCCTCAGCCTCCCAAATAGCTGGGACTACAGGCATCCACCACCATGGCTGGCTAATTTTTTGTATTTTTAGTAGAGACGTGGTTTCACCGTGTTAGCCAGGATGGTCTCATTCTCCTGACCTTGGGATCCGCCTGCCTCAGCCTCCCAAAGTGCTGGGATTACAGGCGTGAGCCACCACGCTTGGCCGGCTTTATCTTTATACAGTGTTTTTCCAAGAAAGCTCTGAATCTACTTTTTGCCTAGGAACCATTTCCTAATTTTAGTCCTGTTTGCCATCTGCAGAGAATAAAATTTCTAAAACCAGTAAATCTTGGCTTTTTTTTTTAGTGGTCCTTCCTTTAGCTTATCTCTCTTCTCTTCCATTTTATTATTAGTAGCAAGAAGAAACTAGGTGGTATCTTCAACATTCTGGCTGCAAATCTTATCTAGATCTGTTAGCAGCAGTGAATCTGTATGGGTCTGCAGCAACTTGATTCTTCCCTCCTCAGAGGAAAGAATTTATCTGAGGGGCATAAGGCAGAGTGAGAGATCAAGGCAAATTTTAGAGCAGGAGTGAAAGTTTATTAAAAAGTTTTAGAGTGGGAGTGAAAGGAACTAAAGTACACTTGGAAGAGGGCCAAGCGGGTGACTTGAGAGACCCAAGTGCCCCATCTGACCTTTGACTTGAGGTTTTCATACATTGGCATAGTTCTGAAGTTTGTGTTTCTTCTCTCTTGATTTTTTTCCTGGGGTGAGCTGTCCACATGCACAGTGGCCTGCCAGCACTTGGGAGGGGCTGTATGTGCAGTGTGTTTACTGACATTGTGCATATCTTTCCCTTACCGGTCAAGTGTTCCTAGAGGAAGGTCATAGACCAGTTAAACCCCACCATTTTGCTTCTTAGTGCGCATGCTTCAGCCTACTTGCCCAGCTCCTGAGATCTTATTTGAAAACTGCTGATCACCAGCTTCAGGTGTTTTCTATGTATTGGGAGACTGCCGTTCCCTAGTGCCAGCTGTGACCAATTATTATTTTAGTGAGAGAGTTTAACAACCACATCACCATCACCTGATGGTTGCCTGACATTCCTGCGTGGAGGCCCTCTCCTGCCCTGCACGTGTCTGCCTAGCTGCCTACTTTAACAGATCATCCAGCTTATTCGATATATTTTCTACTTTCTGCATCACCACAGGCAATAGTATTGTTAAATTCTGCCGTTACGTAGCAAGAACCTTCTGTCCTCTACTTTACAGTCACATTTTCCTCGGTTTTCCTTATGCCCTCACCAGCAGCTTCTGTGAGGACCAACAGGATTCTGCTGGACATCTTCTGAGGGTACTTTAGGATTTTGCTGATACTCTTCTCTGACGTCCTCCAGCTTCTGCCCACTGCTCGGTTGAAAAGCCACCCAAATTTTTAGTGTTTTTTGTTATGGCAGAACTCTACTTCCAGGTATGAAAATCTGTATTTGTTATCTATTACTGCTCATAAATTACCTCCAATGCCTTTGGGTTAAAACAGCAATAACCTTTATTATCTTTTAGTTTCTGTGAGTTGGAAGAGTGGCCTGGCCAAATCATGCAAGCTTAGGGTTTCTCAGGTGATTACAGTCAAGTTGTCACCCTGGGCACATCCATCTGAGGGCTAGTCTGAGGCTAGAAGATATGCCTTTAGATGGCACATTCACATGGCTGGTGGGTTCATGCTGACTGTTGGCACAAGGTCTCAGTTCTTCATATGGCCTGCTTGAATATCCTTATGACATGGTGACCAACATCCCTCAGAGTGAGCATTTCAAGAGAGAAAACACTATGGCTTTGTGTGTGTGTGTGTGTGTGTGTGTGTTTGTAAATCTAGCCTCAAAAGTGATACTCCATTTCTGCAATGTGAGTTTCCTCTTTTTTTTTTTTTTTTTTTTTTTGAGATGGAGTTTTGCTCTTGTTGCCCAGACTGGAGTGCAATGGCACGATCTCGGCTCACCACAACCTCCGCTCCCTGGGTTCAAGCGATTCTCCTGCCTCAGCCTCCGAAGTAGCCAGGATTATAGGCATGCACCACCACGCCTGGCTCATTTTGTACTTTTAGTACAGATGGGGTTTCTCCATGTTGGTCAGGCTGGTCCCAAATCCTAACCTCAGGTGATCCGCCTGCCTCGGCCTCCCAAAGTGCTGGGATTACAGGCATGAGCCACCGTGCCCGGCCAAGTTTCCTCTTAAAGGAGGCGGACTCATTGTTGGGAATGATTTCACCTCTGAGCATATTCATTGTAATTTGGGGGAGAAGTAGCTGTGGCTAAAATAAAATACTGACATGGAAAGTTGCGGATCCTCTTTTCCAGGGTGTCGGTCTTTCTATGAGGCAATTCAATTGAAGCATGATTATATGTCAAATTACGGCAAAAGGATCATTTTTCCTCTTAAATTTTCTATCTCGATGACATCTGTGCAATTTTTAATTTGTCACAGAATAGGACCAGAATTGTGTGTCATGTGTACATAGCTAGTTTTATGTATTTCTGACAGTCCTAAAATGTGAGCTATGGCTTTCAACTTTCCTGCCTCTTTAGGACATTGGGAGCCTTGTATTTCTCGGTGGGCCCTCATCCTTTTGTCATGCTCTCATAGGTCAGATATGGGGCAGCAGGCCAGTCCTTCCCACTGGAAAGCCAGGTTTCCCATTCCCTCTGTGTCTACTCCACTCCCTGCCTTAGCCCCGTGTCTTCCTGTTAAAAGCAGGAATGACAAGGATCTATTTAAAATGCAGTTTCCTTTTCCACGTTTGGGCTCTTCACCTTAGCATGAACTGCTGGCAGTGAGCCTCCTGTCCGTGGCTCACCCAGGTCTCTGAGAATTTCTAATTCTCATTTGCATGCAGATTGTGTCCCTGAGCTCCACAAGGCTGCATCTGGTCTTGCATAATAAAATGTCAAAAGCCCATTGACACCAGGTGTTGAAGTTTTGCTGCCTCCAAAGCAAAGGAAGCTGTTCAGGGTGGTTTCTCCTTAGATGCTTTCTGAGAAGAAAAGAACAGTCTGTTGTCATCAGCACCCTCAGACTTGGAGCAGTTCTTCTTGTCCTCCTTCTCACCCCTGAGCAAGAACTGTTCCTTTGGCAGCTACTTGAAATCTTTGGCTCTGACTACAGTGTTCAAATAGCTTCATGTCTTAGGGGCAAACTCTTTGACAGAGATTCTGCATGTAGATCAGGCAAACAGTTGGTGCTACATAGAGTCCAGTCCTGTGACTGCCACACAAGGGCTTCATGAATGGTAACTATTGTCTTGTTTTAGGGTACTGAGTACTTTCCAGCAGATTCTCTCACGGTCATACAAAGAGCCGGCAGCAGTACGGAATATGCGTAAGGCCGGAAAGGGGCCACTCGGTATCTCAAAAGTAAATTAAAAAAACTAACATTCACGCCTATAATCCCAGCACTTCGGGAGGCAGAGGTGGGCAGATCACCTGAGGTCAGAAATTTGAGACCAGCCTGGCCAACGTGGCAAAACCCCATCTCTACTAAAAATACAAAAATTAGCTGGGCATGGTGGCGTGCGCCTGTAATCCCAGCTACCCAGGAGACTGAGGCAGGATAATTGCTGGAACCTGGGCGGCAGAGGCTGCAGTGAGCTGAGATTGTGCCACTGCACTCCAGCCTGAGCGACAGAGCAAGACTGTCTCAAAAATAAATAAATAAATAAATAACATGAAGTCATAGTGATTTCATGTGTGTAAGGGCCTTAGTTGGGCAAAACTTGGTTTGAATGCCAGTTCTGCCATTGATTGCCTGTGTGACCTTGGGTACCTCATGTCTTTGTCCTCAAGTTTCTCATCTATGAAATGCGGGTGATCAGATCACCATCATCTGACCGTTTTACAAGGACCATTACATTACACAAAATAAGCATAAATCCTGGAACACAGCAAATGTCGAAATAAGAGATGTTATTGCTGCTTTTGTTATAAATTTGGTACTATTGTGTTACTATGAGTAAATAAAAGTTATTGGTATAAGGGTTTTGGTAAATTTTGTACTATATATTTTAACAAATTTTGACTTTTTAAACATTCTTGGGCATTTTAGTTATACTTAAGTACAATTCACTTACTAATTGTAAATATTATCTATTAAAAGCCGTTCCTCTGGTTTTATTCACTTATATTTGATTATTTCCGTGTTTACATACTTGGAACATAATCACTTTTCAAATGTCATTAATTTAGATTTTTAAAAATTCAGACTACTCATTCTCCTCCAGGTACAATGAGTGAGGTTTTAGCTTTTACAGACTCAGTAAGGAAGTGAAGAATAAGTTGCAAATATCCCCTAACTCTGTATGAAGAACTGAAGGGCCACAGTCTGTCCTAAGGTGCGTGAGATAGCCAAAATGTTCTAGGGATCAAGGATCAAATCTCAAGCTTTGTCATCAAAAGATTTTCCTTAATGGAAAGGAAGGGGAACTGGACCCATCTAACTGGGTTAGAGCCCATCTAGGCAGGAATGCAGAGTGGTGCAGAGTTCTTTATGGAGTTCTGGGATTATGCCCATGTATTATCGTCAAGGTCAGGGGACAGAGCAGGAATCTTGTTTGAAAATGTGCATTTTATCCTAAAATTTGATGCCATTTTGCATTCCATTCCATATTTCATTGTGTCTTGTTTTATCCTAGAGAGAATCGCCTCCCCTCAACATCCCGAGCCTCTGAAGGGTCACTGGAAGAGAGCACAAGCATCTCTATCTGGCGTGGGTTACCAGTAGTCTAATTTAAAAATCAAGGCTAAGCCCTGTGGACTAAATACAAGGATGGAGGCAGGGCATGGTGGCTCATGTCTGTAATCCCAGTACTCTGGGAGGACGAGGCACGTGGATCACCTGAGGTCAGGAGTTCGAGACCAGCCTGGCCAACATGGGGAAACCCCATCTCTACTAAAAATCTAAACATTAGCCAGGCATCGTGGCAGACACCTACAATTCCAGCTACTAGAGAGGCTGAGGCAGGAGAGTTGCTTGCACCCTGGGGGTGGAGGTTGCAGCGAGCCGAGATCATGCCACTTCACTCCAGCCTGCGTAAAAGAGAGAAACTCTGTCAAAAAAACAAAAACAAAAACAAACAAGGAAGCACCTGAAAAATGGAATTTAGAGAAGTTAGGAAGGGCAGGGAGCAAGGAAGTAAAAGGCCTTGAGGTGGAGATAAAGACTGCAACAGTGGCATAGGAGGAAAAGTCCAGACAAAACTGGGGGCCAGATGACCCAGCCACTGGGTGCCTGTCAGGTCTGAACTGCACTCAGCCACCAAATGCCATGGCCTCTCAGCTTTTCTGGAAATTAATTGGTTCCAGGAGTCAAGTTAGTCTCCTTCCAATGGCAAGCACGTCCCATCAGGGCCGCAGTTAACACCACACAATCTTCTGTCACTGTAAGGTTGACATGTCCTTGGCGCCGCTTCCTCTTCCTTGAGCCAAAGCCCATTTCCTTGTTGCAGTCTTTACCGGACAACGACATTCAAATGAAAATTCGTGTATTATGCCCAGGCAAGTCGCTGGCTACATGATTTTGTCAGAATCTACTTCTCACAGGGCGACTTTATTGTAACGCATTTTCTTGCAGCTTCTGTTGGGTCAAAGTGGAGTTGGCCTTGGTAATGCTGGGAACCTACAAATAAAGAAAAGTGAAGCTGTTTGGAATGCCCGTGGAACAAGGCATGGTTAGATCCCATCTAGGCAGGAAGGCAGAGTGGTGCAGAGTTCTTTACGGAGTTCTGGGATGCGCAGAGGGAGACGCTGAATGTGAAAGCGTTTATTATCTCTGTGCAAATTGACACTTCTCTGCTCTTCAGTTGCATGATAGTGCTCAGGGCTGTGTTCCATTAGAGGTGGCCTTTTTTGCTGACTTTGAAGGATGTGGCGGGATTGACAAGCAGCCAGCTTCCTCATGGCAACAGTGGATGGAGATGATGCTACCCATTACAGGCTATAGGACTGTGTGACTTGAGTACAAAACTGGATCGTATATTCATAGATTTAGTGTAGCGATGAATTGTCATATTCTTCAGCCCAGCTAGAAGCTTCTGTTCAGTCCAGCAGGGAGAACCAGAGGGCCATAGAGCACTTCACAGGTACGAGGTTGTGTGGCTGTGGCCAAATTCCTGAAACCATCGAGACTCTGTTTCCTCAACAGAAGGACAGAGCCAGTAGTACCTAAACCTGGGTTGTGTGACAAGGAAATGCAATGATGCATGCAAGCCACTCAGCACAGTGCTTGATATTCAGTAAGTGCTTAATAAATAGCAGCTGCTGTTAGTAGTGGGGGTGTTGATGTTGTTACCATCACCTCCCTCTGAGCAAGGCATGGAAAATATTAACCTAAGTAAATAGCAGAGTTCATCTGTACTCTGGAAGTCTTGAGAAATAAAAGGCATTTGTCGTAAGTAGTAGAAAGACATCAGCTGTGGGACTCGTATTAAGTAGGGTTTACTCGGTATAGGTAACAGAAACCAAATGAAGCTGGCTTAAGGAGAAGAAGGGAATTTATCACAAGGGGTCAGGGCAGGAGACGGCTGGGTCTCACGGTGGACGGAAACCAAGGCCAAGAAAGAGGCTCTATCTCTGCTCTGTATTGCCCTCTGGGTCCTTACCATGTCATTCT
Source organism: Homo sapiens (assembly GCF_000001405.40). Taxonomy (NCBI): domain Eukaryota; kingdom Metazoa; phylum Chordata; class Mammalia; order Primates; family Hominidae; genus Homo; species Homo sapiens. The sequence continues at coordinate 14,169,278 of NC_000001.11, forward strand.
CTCTCTTCTATCTCCTCTTCTCTCCCCTCCCCTCCCCTTCCTTCCCTGCTCTTCTCTTGTTGTCTCTCCAGCTGTCTTTCCCACATCCAGACTGCCCATTAGAATGTGGCTGTCCATTCCAGCAGAGTTTCCATGTTATATGTCCAGCCGATTAGCCTCACTGGGTGCCTCAGCTCCAATTTCCTACCTCTGGACAGTTTGGTGGTGCCCAATCAACTGGAGTGGAGTGAAGAGGGTGCTGTCCTAGGTTGAGCACACACAGGGGTGTGAGAACAGGCAGGGGCTGATTCCCAGTGAGCCCCCAATGCTACCTAGGGTGTCCATCCCCGAGGACTGTCCCCTGCAGCAGGGTCACCCTGGTGGTCGTGTCACAACTAGACCTGCTGGAGGCTCATACGGGAATTAGGCAATGGCCATAAGTAATGATCGGGATAATGATAGCTGGGTGTCATCACTGAGTAACTCTGGGCCAGGCACTGTTTTGAGTACTTCAGTTATATTACTTAGGTTAATACTCATAACTATCAAGTAAATATGGCTTTGTCTCCATGTGACAGAGAGAAAAGTGATACCCAAGAAGATGAAGTCACTTCCCAACAGCTATTAGACACAGCTAATAGCAGATGGAGGCAGGGTTCAAACTCAGGAAATCTGACCCCAAAAGCTCAGGCCCTCAGCCACATCTCTTAAAGAGGCGCACTCTCTTCCACAGGCTGTGGCAGGCTGGACCTTCCCCAAGCTTCTTTCTGAACATGGGCTTGGCTTTCTAAAAATGGAGCCACATTGATCCTCCAAGGTGTGGATCTGAACCACATGCCTGCCTCACAACTCACTCTGGCCCCTCCTGGCTTTGCAGTTCATCAGCTCTCAAACCCCACAGGCTCAGTCAGAGCCCAATTCAGGCACCACGTGGCTGGGACTTCTAGCCACACATGGTGGTTTTATTCACAAATGTAACTCTGGTTCTCTTGCAAATCTATCTGTTTAAAAGGGTGGTAAATTGATTTTGAATCCGTGGTTCTAAGGGTTTGTTTCATTACCTACTTTTAAACCTGTCTAATCTTGTAAGTTATGACTCTTTCACTGGGTCAAGGTAAAAAGAAAAAAAAAAATAGGTCTGGCTTTGCCCTGATCCCACCAGAAGACAAATCCCAGTGGTAGGGTCAGCAGTGGCATCCTTACATGCCAGAGACCACTCCAGTGTCTGATTCTAGAAAGATGTTCCAGTATCAACTTAAAAAAAATTGCGGTAAAATGCACGTAGCTTGAAATTTACCAGGTTAACTGCTTTAAAGTGTATAATCCAGTGGCATTTAGTACCTTCACAGTGTTGTATAACCATCACCACTATCTAGTCCCAGAACCTTTTTATTGCCACAAAAGGAAACCCTGTACTCATTAAGCAGTTAATCCTATGTTCTGCTCCTAAGGATTTGCCTATTCTGTAATTATTTTTTTTTCTGAGACAGAGTCTCACTCTGTCACCCAGGCTACAGTGCAATGGCACAATCTCAGCTCACTGCAACCTCTACCTCCTGGGTTCAAGCGATTCTCCTGCCTCAGCCTCCTGAGTAGCTGGGAGTACAGGTGCCTGCCACCATGCCCAGCTGATTTTTCTGTTTTCAGTAGAGATGGGGTTTCGATGAGGCTGGTCTCAAACTCCTGACCTCGTGATCCACCCATCTCAGCCTCCCAAAGTGCTGGGATTACGGGTGTGAGCCACCGCTCCTGGCCCTCTGTACAGTTCTTAAAAATGGAATTACAAGGTGTGGTCTTTTGTGTCCGGTTTTCATTTAGCATAATGTTTTCTAGATTCATCCACATTCTAGCATGCAGCAGCACTTCATTCCTACTGTATAGCTGAATAGTATTCCATTGTATGGATATACCACATTTTGTTAGTCCATGTATCAGTTGATGGGAATTTGGGTTGTTTCCACCTTGGGCTGCTATGAATAGTGCTGTTGTGAATGCTCATGTGTGAGTGTTTGCTAGAACACTTGTTTTCAATTCTTTTGCTTATATACCTAAGAGTAAATTCCTGGCTCATAAGAAAATTCTGTGTTCAACTTACTGAGGAACTGCCAAGCTGTTTTCCACAGTGGATGGACCATTTTACATTCCCACCAGCAACCTATGAGGGTTCCCATTTCTCCACATCCTTGCCTCCAGCATCAACTTTTGACTTATAGGATGAGTTTTATTATAATAATGGGGGGAAAATCTGAATTATTTAGGCTTCATTTATTTAATGAGACCATATTAAAGCAAGAACTGGAAACCTGTGAGCATTTTAATGCAAAATACATCATAGAATTTGAGATACACGAAAGCAAAGGTTGTTTAACATGCAGAGATAAATTTGGTCATTAGTTCATATCTATGGACCATATAAATGACAAGATCATAAAATCCATGGAGCTTCTTGTGGCAAGGCTGTGCCCCATGATATGACTCATCTGGTATATTTTTCTATAAAAATGTATAATAGCCCATCTCAGTGACATCTGGACTCATCTACATAAAAAGAGTTTAGGGTCATATTATTATTATTTCATGGGCTATACTTCATCTGATCCATAAGACAGAAGCAAAGTACGGTAAGCTGTTATTTCTCTTCTGAAAACATTAAGAAATTGTATGTGTATCTTCTATTTTTGCTAATGACACAAAATGTCAAAGCGTGTCATTTTTTTCCTCTGCCAACTCATGAATGTACCACTTATCTGTAACCTAAATACTCATTAATGTACAGTGAAATTGAAATGAGCCCTTCGTATAAATAAGCCTACTACAGAAATACAAGTTGCTTTAAATTTGTAGACCAAAATAACATGGCATAAATTGAACATCATTTCACATTCAAAACAACCAACCAAATAAACTGGTTTTTATGACTCAATTTCCTAAACTCAGGTAGGTAAGAAAGCATATATATGGTTCTTCATTTTTGTAATCCATCATACATTTTAAGAACAGCACTGTTTAGTTGAAATGTCTATAGGCCAAATGGAGAAGAATGTGCATACCACACAATTCTAGGATGATGGGGCAGAGGGAGGGGATGAAGTGGAGTGGAGTTGGCTTTTTCCTTCATTTCTTCATTTATTTGTTCTTTTTTTGCCCTTTTGGGCAAATATTTGTTTGTTCGAGCACTATTATGTGCCAGGTCCTATGCTTAAATCAGGGGATACAATGATTAACCAAAAAAATATACTATTGGTGACCTCATGGAACTTACAACTTAAAATGTGTTCCATGAGGGTGATACAGTTATCTGTTATCTATTGCTGTGTAACAAACCACTCCAAAACTAAGCGATGGAAATCAATACCTTATTATGCTCTCAGCTTTGTGGGCCAGGAATTTGGGTATTGCACAGGGAGGAGCTCAGCTAGGCTCCACAGTGGCTGTGGCCTCATCTGGGATGACTTGAATCATTGAGATGGCTGGTGCCATGGCAAGGGCCTCCGTGATGGCGGATGGCTGGATTTCTTGGCCCTTCTCTATATTGCACCTTCTGGGATTGGAATATTCAAGATGGCTTTTTCACTCGTGTATCTGGCACCTGGGCTGGATGGTTAGAAAGCTGAGGATGGCTGGGCATCTCCTTCTCCATGCTGTGAGTGTGGGCTTCCTCCAAGTATGGCGGTCTCAGGTGCCTCAGACTTCTTATATGGCAGCTTCTCCCAGAAGGAGCATTCCAGGAATCATGGGCAGAAGCTGCAAGACCTCTTATGACCTAGCCTTAGAAATCCCAGGGCACCACTTCTGCCACTTACTGTGGGGACAACCTTGTCACTAAGGCCAGCCAGACTCACGAGGAGGGGATTCTGACCTTATTTCTCAAGGGGAGGAGTAGCAAAAAATTTAAGATTATCTTTAATGTGCAACAGAGGGAGACAGACATTCAAGAAATAACCACACCAATAACTGTTGCAGTGAAGAAAGAGTACAAGCATCTTTATAGTAATCAAGACTTCCTGATTGCAAATGATAGAAACCTAACTCAGATGGGCTAAAGAAAAGAAGGGCATTTACTGACCTACTTAACTGAGAAGTCTGTGGCTGAATCCTGTGCTGCAATGATGTCTTCAAGGACCACTTTCCCTGTCTCTCAGCTCCACTTACCTCCATTTACTCAATTGGTTTTATTCTCAGGCAAGAGTTCCTCAAGTGATGACTACAAAGCCCACCAGCTGCTCCACAGTCCTACCAGTCTACCAATCCCAATTGAAAAAGAGGCCACACAGCCAAGCAGATTGAATCCCAGGACTATCCGCCGGAACTATTGAGAAAGAGATAGCTAACCTCTCTTTTTCAGCTGGGAGTGGTAAATTGTTATAAATGTGAAGCAGCTGGTGGGCTTTGTAGTTCCCCTCCCCGCCCCGCCCCGCCCAACTTGAGGAGCCTATCTCTTTCTCAATAGTTCCATCAAATTGTCCTGAGATTAAACCTGTTTGGCTGCATTTGGTTCACATGTCCTTTGCTGAACCAACCACTGTTGCCAAAGAGATGAAACGCTTGGATTGGCCAGGCCTGGACCACGTGCCCACCTCAGGGACTTGGGAGTGGAATCAGCCCTAAATAAACCACACATGGAAAGAATGTTCCTACAAAATAAGAGAGCTGCTTTTATTAGAAGAGGGAAATAGATGCTAACCAGACAGAAATATAAAATGTCCATTACACAACCTAACACAGGGTGACCAGCATTGAATATTTGGTCTGTACATAGAAACAAATGGGAAAAGGCATTCCTCTTCGATATCATTACTTCCACATATTCAGCTTGCATTAATTATGTTTTCAATGGGTGTGAAGCACTGGACAGGTTGTAACTGAGGGTACACACTGAATAGACAAATGGGTGGTATAGGGAGGTCACAGGATTTGGGGGCTGGCGAAAAGGTGGTGGTAGCACACTCAAGCTTTGTTGGGGAATGCTTTGACCGGCTGGCAAGAAGGGAAGTTCCGCACGGTGGGAGACTGTCCAGAGGTGCAGGGGGTCCACACTCAGAAGGAAAGGAGGGCAAGGCAAACCCAGGGAGATGGGGAGTAGAGAGGGAACTTATGTGTCAACGTGATGTTGCTCAGTAGCTCCTTGAGAGCCTCCAGGACAGGAAGCATTGAAGAGCAGAAGTTTGGGGTCTTTATGGCTCAGGGTTTAGCCTATCTAAGGCTAACAGGTGTTGGGAGCAGTTTTGCGGATTATACAAGGCAGGCTCTAAATGGCTAAACATCTGCTTATTTGAGCTATGTTTAAAGCAATTAGATGTGGAAAATTTTGAGTTTGTTTCTGGTGGGCTTGTGAGCTAGCAGGGCTGAGCCTGCAAAGAAGAAATAAATAACCAAAGGGCCAATACACAGAGACCATCTTTGGCTCACTTATATAACAAGGAGTTAAAAATTAATCTCAATTATAATCAGAACAATTAGTTAATATCAGCATGTTAAAGATTTGAGGTACAAACTGGAATGATAATCTAATAGTTAACATTTTTTTACATGCTTATCATGTGGTAGGTACTGTGACACGTGCTTTATACAATCTGTCTCTAATTCTCAGAGCAACTCTGTACAGGTGGGAAAACTGAGGGGTAAGTAGGGGCCATGTGATGGCTGTTAAAGATTCAGCTTGGGCACGGTCTAGCTCGTGTCTGCTCATGTTTAATTAGCCAAAGCAAGTCATATGGCAAAACTTAACATCAGTGAAGGCAGGAAGAATGTTTCTCCCACGGGAGGGTCACTAGGGAGGACTGTAGGCATTGGTTTAGAGAGGGGCAGTTTTTGAACCAGTAATTCAATCTACCATGGATGGGTTTTGTTTTCGTTTTTGTTTTTGAAATGGAATCTCACTCTGTCACCCAGGCTGGAGTGCAGTGGCGCAATCTCGGCTCACTGCAAGCTCCGCCTCCCGGGTTCACCCCATTCTCCTGCCTCAGCCTCCAGAGTAGCTGGGACTACAGGCGCCTGCCACTACGCCTGGCTGATTTTTTGTATTTTTAGTAGAGACAGGGTTTCACCGTGTTAGCCAGGATGGTCTTGATCTCCTGATCTCGTGATCCGCCCACCTCGGCCTCCCGAAGTGCTGGGATTTCAGGCGTGAGCCACCGCGCCGGGCCCACGGATGGATTCTTAAGCAGTTGCCATACAATGTGGTAAGTTCTCTGATGGAATTTATTCTTTGAGCAGACAGGGAGGTGCTTAAATCTTTCAATTTGTCTTTTGTGTTTAGAACAAAGCGAAACTTAGGGCATGTTTTGGTGATTAAGCCTCAATTTTCTGGAACAAGGATAGAACGAGTTGTACTGTGTGTGAGTAGTGTACGCAAAAGAAAGAAACAAGTTGTAATAGATGCAGTTTGAGAACCCCAAATCCGCTAGCCTACTTAGAGTGAAAAGCAAGGACAGTAACTCCTGTCTTCCAAGAACTGGCATAAGGAGTTTTGTTAATAGTAATGTCTGTGCATGTGTAAGCAAAGGACGTGGGAACTGAGGTACTCTCAGAATGATTTGGGAAGAAGGTTTGTTAAGAACATGGAGTCTGTGTATTGGGAGTTTGGGGAAGGGAAGGCAGGATGGTAGAGGAAAATGAGGCATAAATTGAGCAAAGATTTGTCGTAGACCATGGGTAGGTTATTTTAATGCCCTTGCCAACTCTTCTCCTCATGGCTCAGCATGTCCTAACCTTCCTGTTTGCAGATAACATACAGGGGATATACACAGAAGTTTAAAATGTATAGTCATAATGCTAAAAAGTCAGGTGGTATTGTTTTTAACTTTGTATAATGGAACTCAATTTAGATCTGGAGCACCTATTTCCACTTAGGGTAACTCAGTCACTTCTGGTTTAAAAGTGAGTATCTTCTGAGTAAATATCAAATAAATTCAAATTGCTTCCCCTACCCTTTCTCTTCCCCTTCTGTTTGGGTTCTCAGGGAGCTTATGTATTATCTTGTCCTGGGATGTATAGCTTGTCCATGAATCTCTCTCTGGCCGTTTCTGGACTAGGTTGAGGTATCATCAACCCCAGTTGCTCAACACTAAGCAAGACGAGGTGGAGCGATGAGAGTGTAGGTGGTAGAGCTATCTCAGATTCTCTGTAACTTAAAATGCCACAGGGTCACCATTTCCACCCCAATATCAGCTGCCACAGCTGCCACAGCTGCCCAGGGCAGGGTATGAGACATGAGGGAACTTCTGTTTTCAGATCCCCAAATCTGTCTGGGTGTTTCTAACCCTCTGCAGTGGAGAACAGAATTCAGGCTAAGTGAGAATCAGGCCATATTCTTTCTAGTCCATCCTTCTCTGTTTTAGCCAAGCTCCCCTCTAGCCCAGGAAAGGATTGTGGAGTCTTCCCATGCAACGAGGCACAGCTCTGATGTCATATCCGGTATTCTCCCTACCCTATGGCCTATAGTTGCCACTGTATGCTCAGTCCTCCAAGTTTGATTCTCCATGATTCAAAACCCATCTTCTATTTATTTATTATTTGTTTAATTTTTTTAGGGATTAATCGAGGATTTACGATATCCATCTTTAACACAGTCTACCTTCAAATAACATTATACCACTTTAGGTATAAGATCTAAAACTTAGGTTGTTCGCAGTGGCTCATGCCTATAGTCCCAGCACTTTGGGAGGCCAAGGCGGGTGGATCACGAGGTCAGGAGTTCGAGACCAGCCTGGCCAATATGGTGAAACACCGTCTCTACTAAAAGTACAAAAATTAGCTGGGTGTGGTGGTGCGTGCCTGTAGTCCCAGCTACTCGGGAGGCTAAGGTAGAAGAATCACTTGGACCTAGAAGGCAGAGGTTGCAGTGAGCTGAGATCGAGCCACTGCACTCGAGCCTGGGTGACACAGCGAGACGCCATCTCAAAAAAAAAGACAATATGCTTACATTGGCACCTGCTTATTCTTTGTGCTGTTATTGTCATATATTTTACTCTATGTAAGTTATCAACCCCACAGGATATTATTATTGTTGTTGCTTTAAACCATCAATAATCTTTTAAATGAATTAAAAGATGAGAAAGAACATGTTTATGCTACTCAAACATTTCCCTTTGCAAGCATTCTTTTTTCATTTTTGTAAATAGAAGTTTCTACCTAATGTCATTTTCCTTCTGCCTCAAGTAACTTCTTTAACCTTTCTTTTAGTGCAAATCTGCTGGTGATGAGTTCTCTCAGCTTTTGTTTATCTAAAAAAGTCACCTTCATTTTTGAAAGATATTGATGGTTATAGAACTGTACATTGGCAATTTCGGTTGGCAAGTTTTTTGCTTTCAGTACTTTCGAAATGTCAATTTTTTTTTATCTCCTGGTTTGCATAGATTCCGATGAGAAGGCTGACATTGTTTTTTGGTCTCTAAATGTAACATGCCTTTTTTCTATGATCCTGTGTCTGGGCAGGATAAAACTCTACATGACTAGGCAAGAAAAACTTGCAGGAGAGAACAGTTACAGGGGAGCTGGTTGATTTTAAGATTTTCTCATTTTCACTGTGTGTGTGTGTTTTTTTTTTTTTTTTTAGTAATTTGATTATAATATGCCTTGTTGCAGCCTTCTCTGTGTTCATCCTGCTTACAGTTTATTGAGATTCTTATAGGTTTATAGTTTTTATCAAATATGGAAAAAAATTGTTCATTTTTGATAGCATTTGGCTGTGTCCCCACACAAATATCTTGAATTGTAGTTTCCATAATCTCCACGTGTCATAGGAGGGACTCTGTGGGAGGTAATTTAATCATGGGGGCGGTTACCTCCATGCTGTTCTTATGATAATGAGTGAGTCTCAGGAGATCTGATGGTTTTATAAGCATCTGGCATTTCCCCTGCTGGCACTCATTCTCTCTCCTGCCACCCAGTGAAGAGGTGCCTTCTGCCATGATTTTAAGTTTCCTGAGGCCTCCCCAGCCATGCGGAACTATGCGTCAATGAAACCTCTTTCCTTTATAAATTACCCAGTCTCTCCGATGTTTCTTCATGGCAGAATGAGAACAGACTAATACAATTTTAGTTCTTCAACTACTGTTTCTGTTTCCCTGTCCTCCCCACCTCTGCCAACGAGACTCCAATTAGATATACGTTAGCTTTATAGACTTACATTGTCACTAATTTTGGATAGTTTTATTGCTATGATTTCAGGTTCACCAATCTTTTCTTCTCCATTGTCTAATCTGCTATTAATCTCATCCAATGAGAATTCCATTTCAGATTTTGCATTTTTCATCCCTAGAGGTTCCATTTGGTTCTGATTTAAATATTCTACTTTTCTCTTTATTATATTCATGTTTGTTTTACAACCTTGAACAAGCAAAGCATATTTTTAGTAGCTGTCTGAATAGCCATGTTTGCTAATACTATCACTTCTGTTATTTCTGGGTTTGTTTCTGTATACTGATTTTTCTCCAAGCTATTAGTCACATTTTCTTGCTTTTTTGTATGTCTGGTAATTTTTTATGGAACCCTAAGCATTATGAATGTTACATTTTGGGGTACTATATTTTGTTCCACTTCTATAAAAATGCTAACTTTTTTGGCAGGTATTTTAGTTACTTGCAGATCAGTTCACCTCTTTCATGGCTTACTTTTAAGCTCTTTTTGGAAGGGCCTGGAATAGCCTTTATTCTAGGAATCATTTTGCTTAATTTCTACACCCTGGCCCTTCTGGAGTCTCTAATGAATGTGTCCCATATTCCACCCAAATTCCTCCTCTTTGGCTGGTGAGCATGTCAACAATTTATGGACACGTGATCTCTTGAAATTATTTGGCCTGCAGCTCCCCTGTAACTGTTCTTTCCTGCACGTTTTTCTTGCTGGTCATGTAGAGTTTTATCCTGCCCAGACACAGGATTGATATTCAGCCAGCAACTCAAAGGCAACCCCTTTGCAGATCTTTGGAGATCTAGGTGTAGCCCTCCTGCTCTTTTAGAACTTTGTCCTGGAAATCCTAGCTAACTTAGTCTTCCTGATCTCCAGCTCCTTAATTCAGTGACATTGCGGGGCTCTCTCTGGATTTCTCTTTTCTATGCTGGAGTCTGGAAATTCTGTCCTTGCAGAATGCATGGAGATATTAGGACTCAACTTGCTTTTTCATATTTTCTCAAGGATCACAATCCCATGTTGTCCAATGTCTAAAAATAGTTGATTCTAACATAGTGTTCAGTTTTATAGTTATTTACAGCAAGAGGATAATCTGGACCCTCATGGCCAAAGCCAGAAGTCTTCAAAGTCCCTCTATTGTATACTGGCTCCTTGATAATGACATTTTTCTTTTCATAATTGTGGCAAATGCAGTGGCTTTATGGAGAATGCCTAGAATTTACTTATTTGGGGTTTGAAAGGATAGATTTACCTGAAAATGATAGAAATTCCATGAGGAAAGAAATATTAATTCACAGAGATGTAAGGAATTAATTCAACAGTATTTATTAAGCACCTTCCATTTGCTAGGTGCTGTTCTAGTTTTTGGGGAGATGACAGTAAGCAAAGAGATTAAAAGAAGCCTCTCTGCTGTGATCAAGTCCATTGTAGAGAAAATAGAGAAAGAGGCAGCAACCATAATAAGTAAAATCTTAAAATCTATAACACATCAGATGGTAAGTGCTATGGGAATTATAGAGAAATAATAATCCTTTCAGCCCACATGTGGCACTGATTGGAAAACATGGCCACTGTCCCTTCATAAAATTTAATGACAGAGGCCATCTGCTTAGAGGTACAATAGCCAACTGTATTACCATAAATGTAAATCTAGTCTAGGGCTGTCCTCTCATGCCCCGTTAATTTCTGCAGTTTATAAACACTTACCACAAAGTCATATTCATGTATCTATTTAACACCTTGATTTTTTTTTTTAAGTTTCTGCAACAGGACTAGATACTCCATGAAGGTAGGTACCATGTCAGGCTTTGCTCACAAGTGTATCCCCAAGCACTCTATGTAGGCTTGGCATTTGAATGGTGTTCAATAAGTGTTTGTTAGTTACTGAACATGTTTGTTAATGGAATTTATAGATGTGTCAAGTTCTTGATACATGCCTGGCTTAGACCTTGTATGTACACCCTTACTTTTCTCTTCAAAATGGCTAGTCAATTTCTCTTTGAAAGTTACCAGTTGTGACTCTACTTTTCCTTCTTTTTCTTTCCACAGCTGTGCAATCATTGCACACCCTCAATGACCAGATTTCCCATTTTATTGTCACCAAGTCGAAGGCACTGGAGGAGGACAAAGACCCTTTTCTACCCACTGAGAAGGAGACTCTGAAGAGTTCCATGATATTGATGAGGCACCTCTTAATGGATGCTCAGGTACAAAGATCAATACAGAAATTCTCTATGGAGAAGGTGGAATCTTTTTTTCTTTTTGGCATAAGCTGTCCAAAAATGTTCAACTACCACACCTATTGAAACCTGTTTTTCTGATATAACAGATTGGATATGTTGAGTATTGGATTTCTGATTAGATCTTATTTGGAATTTAGTATTAAAATAGCTTTTTAAAAAGTCAAAGTAATACAGCTTAAGAACAGTATATTTGTTGTCTCTGAGAATTTAACAGATCTCCCATTAGCCTTGGAAAAGTGAAAATCCATTTACATACAAACTTGGCAGGCATCATAGCTGGCAAAGGCTTTGGAGTAGAGCAAATACTTGTCCCAAACAGCATAAGTAACTAATGAATATTTTGGTGCATTTGCTGTACTCCTCCCGCCCCGCCCCAGTAAGTACATCAGCACTGGTTTTGCTAGCGCTGAATTTATTGAGGAAGGTATTTAGCTCATTGTAGGCTATTGTTGAGATGTTATTCAAGGTGTCTCCTTGTGTACTATTTTATCGAAATATTTAAAAGTTATCTACTCCTTCTGGCTTTGTTGGTGGGTCTCTTCAGACGTGTTGATAGACAAACACCAAGTGTTTTAAGAGAATTGATAGTTTTCTGTGTTAGGGAAGCCAAACTGAGCTAGATCTAATTGTCATTCCTACCTCTTCAGTGTCGGGAAATGTTTCAGGAAATGTTCTGTGGGTTTGGTGATTTTTGTGTTCATTTGCCCCGGGGATTTCTTCCTGAGCTTGTTTTCTGTTCAGCATTGCTGAGGTCAGAATGGTTGGTGGTTTCTTTCATTCCGCTCTGTAGCAGAGATTTTGAACTGTGGTTTCTTTGCTTTTGTTTCTACGCTGGTAGTGGTTTATGTTTTATTTTTAAAATCAATCCCGAAGCCCGGGTCTTGTACCAATACGGCTTTAACTGGCTGTGCCTTTGTGCCTGTCTCACCTGTCAATGCCTGAAGCCGCCCCATGGGATTTTTGAGGCCCTCTGTTGAGATGGCCCAAATTATGCAAAGCCTTTCATTCCTATTCACGGTTCTCCTGCTCTCCTTCATTATAAACAGCCCATTCAGCTTCTCCTCTCTCCCCCAGCCTGTCTGGTGGAAAAAGGAAGGATTCTGAAGCTATGACAGCCAATTTTGAAACTCAGAAAAAAGGGAAATTTAGAAGAATTTACTGAATAAAAGAGAGCAAATTGTTCTTGAAAGGATTAGCTTTCCTCGAAATGCCTGGTCCCAATCCTGTAGCCAGCACCTCAGCCAAGGGAACTGCCTAAATGAATCCCAAAAGGCATTGTGTGTAAACTCCAGTTTGCAAAACCTAAGGTACTGAAAAAAGTGCATATTTTTCTTCTCCTTCACATCCGAGCTTACTAGTGCCTAGAACTGGATTTCAAAAATGTTTCATATTCCGGAAATGTTTGCTCCCACCGAGTGCCTAATTCATTAGAGAGCCTTCATCCTTTGTGGTGTTGACAATGAATTTTCCCTTTTTTATTTAAGGAGATTAAAATATCCCCTATCGTGTAGTCATCGTGTAGGAATATTTTCTTATCATATTTTCTCCTGATCCCAAATCGATGACTGCTAGAATGTTCTCCTTTAAATGGCCAGATAAAATGGAGTGGGATATGGTGGATATTCTCCTAAGTCATATGCTAAAAAGGAAGGTGGGTTACATCTTCTTCCTCTTTCCTGAAGGTAGGTGTCTACCTGGGTCAGGTAGAAACGTCATGTGGAAACCCCATTGTTTCTTTTGCCTCCTAACATTCCAAGATTCCTTGCTTCTGTCTTTTAAACTAACAAAGGATGAAGTGGGTTGTGATGAGTTTAGTATACCACTCTGATTGGTTTTCTTCTAAAACCGCTAACTTTTTGAAACAGTGTTTTGGTTATGATCCTCCGTTCCTTGCTGAAGTCAATTGGGATCATGTCACCTGCTAACCCCAGTCCTGTATCCTGCTAGTGTCTCAGATGAGTGTTGCCAAGCTTATAAAATGCCAAGGAATCCCAACGTTTTGGGGATGGCCAGGGATGATATGTGATTTTGAGTTTTGAAGTAGACACGTAAAAATATGTCATTTTTAAAAAAAGACTCTTTATTGGGCATTTCGGGGGCTAATTCACTTATTTTCCATCTGTGCTTTAACACTGCTTCTTCTCTCAATTCCAAAGACAAATGATTGTACTCATTTTCATACACTAAGTTCATCAAGAGTGGGAGGCCGATAGAATGTAGATATAACTTATCTGAACATCCTTTCGTTCAGTCTGCATTTTGTGATATTAATAGGCATCTCTTAGGTTTTTGTGTTGCAGGATGTAAGCCTTTCAAGGGTAGTAACCACATCCTTGAACTTGGTTGGTATAATAGCCCTCTCAGTTCCATACCCACAGGGCCCTTAATAGTATTAGATGATGATGAAACACTCTGACATCAGCTTGCAAGTCGAATGAAGTCAGGCAAAAAGTGTTCCACAGAACCTGGAGGCTGCTTGAGAGTGACTGCTTAAAATGCATAATCGATTCAAGTCACATCTGTTTGGAAGCAATAAATCCTGCTTAGGAGAACGTCAAAGGCAAAAGCATTGCCGGACTATGAAATTCCACCTCTGAGGATTATAAAACAATGTGCACAGAGCAAACACATCTCCCAAGTATAATGGGGAAGCCAGAGATGATTGGCAGGCCTGACAATCCATCCTGGAAAATGGAATCGCGAAGGGAGCACCTCACATGGGTAGCCCAGAAAGCCCGCAATTAGGTGTTCGTCCCCTAAACGTTTTGAGCATGGAGGTGTCTGAAGAGGCCTAGCACCTCTATTTGCATTCCATTTCCTTTTTAGTTTGCAGGCCCCCAAATTCAATGGAGTCTGCCATTCAGATCGCATTTGAAACCCGATCTTGTGGCTTTGATTCCTGAGAGCCCTGTCTAAACCCAAAATGCCGACTCAGCCTCCTAAGTGATTAGATTCGTAACACCGAAGAAGCGATTCTTTCTGGTAGAGATTAATTCTTTTACTCATACTGTGTGACTCCGCATGCTAAGAGGGGTTGATTACAGCAAATTAAATCTCTCCTTGGCAGTTCTCTCCCTTTACCCCCCAAAGACCTAATATCATTATTTATTAAGGGGAGAAAAATGCTTGGAAAAATAATAAGATTGCTTTGTTGGCAGGAAGGTCCCCCTCTTGAAGGCCGAGTGCTAAAGGGTAGAGAACTTTCTGTGCACCTAGGGGCTTCCTTCTGCAGGCCATGGAACAAAGGGTGGCTGAGGGAGAGTCTGTGCTCTGCTGACCTAAGGAGGCTGCCCTGGGTCTGGACAGGAAGTGGGTAGCCTCTTTGCCTAAAACTTGGCCTGTACTGGGACTAAAAGGAAGAGCTTGCTTTAAGGGAGGCTGAATCGTTGGTATACCCTTCCCAGAGGTCCATCTCTAGGGATGAAAGTAAACCCTTCAAAATAAAAATAAACCACACAACTGTCATCTCTAAACAAATCTCGAACAAAGTCCATCGTTAGGCGGAAAAGACCTGAAATTTGCTTTACTCTTCAAACTCTCCGTTTTTCCTTCTGCCCTTGTCTCCTCTTCCCTTTTCTTTTTGCTTTTCTTTGTCTTCTCCCTCTGCCCTTTTTCTCCCCACCCGACCCAGCATCTCTCCTCCTCCCCTCCTATTTTCTCCTTCTCTCAAATCTATTCCCCTCCTCCCTCCCTCGCCTTCTCTTCTTTTGGTTGGCAAAATAAATGTTAGCTGAGATGTGGAATTACATTCTGCATTTTTCACTTCCTTCTCTTCCTTCCCTTTCCTGTTCTTTCCTTGTCTGTCTTTCTTTCTGTTATTTGTGTTCGGGGAACTGGAAAGCACATTTGCCAAAAGCCTATATTCCCCCTTGCCAAGCAAGAGCGGAAGCAGCAGCAGGAGGGAAACCTGGCATTTAGGAGGCAGATCGGGAGCCCTGCCAGGATCAGACACTGCATAGGATTTGGGTGGCTTCGTTTTTCTTTTCTCTTTTTAAAAGAGCTGTCTAGCAAACTCTTCTAGATGATTGTGCTTTCCAATTGGTTTCTGGCAAAACTGGGCCGATTGAACATGATCAGCTATTTTAGCTGTCTGGACACTCCCTGGCCTCAGATGGGGAAGTGCAGTGTGGACCAGAGGAAACCTTGGCTCAGGTTCCTGGCAGATAGGGAGGGTTAGCGCCCCAAAGTCAACATCATCTTGCATTGGGAAGGATGCCTTGGGAACCGAGCAGTTCACACCTATTATAGAAGTGCATTTTAATTTGATTCTTCTGTTACTAGCACTTTCCATCCCTCCAGATTCTTTC
This sequence comes from Homo sapiens, assembly GCF_000001405.40. Classification (NCBI taxonomy): domain Eukaryota; kingdom Metazoa; phylum Chordata; class Mammalia; order Primates; family Hominidae; genus Homo; species Homo sapiens. The sequence continues at coordinate 14,184,936 of NC_000001.11, forward strand.
CGAAGTTGATACTGTGGTCAAGGTAGGTAGGCCTCTGTGGCTGTCACTGGTACAGTTATCTGGAGCTTTCTAGCTGCTGCCGGCTTTAGGGTTATGCCTATGAATGTGACCTGGTTAGCCCTAGAGAATGTCTTGCCCTCACTTTATACAAACTGAGACATCAGAAGGATCCTGGGCTTAAGAAGGTCACAGATGCTGGCTGCGGCTATGGATGGTACCGCACATGTGGGTTTTCCTTATCCTCTGGGATGTAACACCATGATGGAGAAAGAATTAGAACTCTCTCCCTAGGTTCTCTTCCTTAGCAAGCAGGGAAGAAACTCTGACATTAGAACCAGGGAAAACAGGCAAAGCTTTCATCCTAAGAAAGTTACCCTGGGATATCTTGAAGTCTACTCATCCCACCAGCTTTCCACCTTGTAAAAGTCATAGGAGAAAGAAATACTTATATGGATGCTGAAGAATTTAGTTCCCTTCACTAAAAAGCTACAATGATAAGCTGATTATTCAAAGGAGTCTTAGCACATCCCCTGAAATAATCCATGTGCTCCATTACGCATCCTTTCCTGCGAGTTTGCAAAAGCAATGCTTATTTTCCATTCTTAGTTGCAAAACTATCAAATCAGCAAGTCCAAAAGCTTGTAGTTTTTTACATAACTCTTACAAGCCCTCTTTCCATACTGCCACAATAGTTTTGATCTTTAAAAGGGTGTTTGTTTTGTTTTGTTTTTGTTTCAGATAAATAAACTTTAAGCCACAGGCATTGCCAGGCTTAGATGCAATCCCTTCAGTTACGGAACTTCTGTACTCACCCTTCCTGTTTAGAAGAAATGGAGGATAAGACATAAAATTGTAATACTCTTGTTCTGTTAAGCTTGTGTCTAGGGTTTTTTTAAATTGATAGAGAAAGTTAGACCCTCCTGAGACCTCTGTCATCGTTGTAAAATCCATAAAGCAAAATGTTCAGAGAATGCAAAGTTGTTTCAGTGTTTGGTGCGCCAAGACACAGGTCGAGTTGGAAATGAGACTCAGAAAAAAGATTGATTTCCATTCATTGTATTCTGAAGGAAAGTTGCACCTCTTACTTGGGGTGAGTGATGCTTGAATAGAATAGTGTCTATCAAACTGGTCCAACTTCCATAGATCTGTATAGTGCCAAAGGACAATTTGGGAATTTGTTGGTGCAAAACTTCAATTACTTTCGTACCAACTGAATATTTTGTACATCATAGAGCTTTTATGTTACATTTTTTGATCCTGAGTCATTAGTTTAATAACATTTAAAATGATAATAAAATGGAATTTATGCTGGTCTAATAAGTGATGGTTCCTGTTACAGTAAGCAGGATACGAAATAGTAACAAAATCATGTAAGGAAGGTTGGGGTGAGGATTCGGTTAGGATTCCTTGGTTGTCAGCAACAGAGACCAGCTCTGATAAACATTAACAGGGATACACTTAATAGAAACCCATGGGTAGCTCATAGGAAAAGATAAAGCATTACATCTCAGAAAAGATAGGAGAGAGGGTAGCTATGGAGATTTAGGTGTCAAAAGCTTAAAAGCAATTGTTTCAGCGTGCTGTGGTTAGGACAACTTGGCTCCAACCATTTTCTTTCTCTGTGTCACTTTGATCAAGATTCAAATTCTTGGAAAACTCTGAATGATCTGTCTTAGGTCACTGGGCCCTCCTCTCTTTGACCGTGGGCAGGTAGGCTTGTTGATGGATGGTCTCGCCATGACTGTGAGCAAGTGCAGACTGGTATTATTACCACAAGGAAGAGGAGTAGATGCTGGCAGACACCGCTGCAGATGGAGGCAATAATTAATTTACTCTGCCTGCTGCATGCGTGGACTTCATGCTTGGGTCTCAGTACACAGCTTGGCACTGCTCTAAGTTCTAGGGACAGAGAGGGACAGAACTTTACCCCTAACTCTCCTCCCCCACCAGAGGGGTTCAGGATTAGATGGATAACTGGACGTTGAAGTGCTCCATGATAAATACTGATGACAGCGTACATGGGGGCTGTGGAATCTCGGAGAAGGACCTAGCTGATATTTGCAGATCACTTTACTGTTTACAAAGTACTTTTGCCAGCATTTTCTCATCTTCTCAGCCATGAGAGGGACAGGAGGTTGGGTATTATTATCTCTATTTTGAAAACTAGGTATTAAGCTTGAATAAAATAGCCTTTTTTACATTGTTCCATCCAGCCCGTCGCAAAGAAGGAGTAATTGATTTCCTACTTGCAGATGGTGACTTGGAGTATTTGCTTCCTGAGGGGTTATTAAATAGATAGAAAGGGGGTATGTAATTTTGGGAAAGAAGAACATTAAAACCTGGCTTCAGATATAGAATACCTCACATAACTAAAAATATTTTGACAATTTTAATATGTTGATACATTCTTAAAGCTACACACTACCCTCTCAGACTCCTAGAAAGGTTCAGCTTCCAAGAATATGGTTTACAAAAGTATTTAAATAGAATAGGAAATATATTACAGCCCCCTACCTCACATATCTCATTTTCTTCATGATGTCTACTGTGATGTTGGCAAATACTTGGCTTCCAAAATAATACCCAATCCCACCATCACCCTTTAGATGAGAGGCTCCCAGCTGAGAAGGAAGCAGAGCAACTTTGCTTCCCTCCCACACCAGGTGACATCTGGCAATGTCTGGAGATATTTTCAGTTGTCCTGACTGGCAGGGGGTGAGTGTGCTGCTAGCATCCAGTAGGTAGAAGCCAAGGATGTTGCTAAACTCTCTACAATGCACAGGAGAGCTGCTCACAGCAAAGACTTATCCAACTTCAAATGTTAGGAGTGTCAAGATTGAGAAACCCTACTTTAGGTCCAAGGCTAACTTTTTAATTATTTATGGAACTCTTTTGATTTCGGAATTCTTTTATTTCAAGCCCTATAATTGATCATAATTGATTTTCCAGATACATCTTCGTTATCCATTCACTCACTTTCTCCTTTTTCTATTGAGCATCTGTTATGTGCCAGGGATGTTGCCAGCCTATGGGGGAAACACCGGTGAAGATGAAAGGAGTAATCCTTGCCCTCAAGGATCTGGGGTTTCACTGGGGGCAACTGACTATAAATATGGGAGTAAACAGATAACAGTGAGTTTTAATGTTTGTCTTAAAGAAACACTGTACCAGGACCCCATTTAGATAACAGTTCAAAGACATTCTCTTTGAACATGACATTTAAACTTAGATCTGGGGATGGAGAGAGAGAGAGAGGAGCGTGTGTGTGTGTGTGTGTGTGTGTGTGTGTGTGTGTGTGTGTGAAAGAGAAGCCTTGTCTCATGCTTTATTGCATATATTTGTACTTTAGTTTTGTGTGTTAAGCATTACCCCATGAGGTGATTGGAAATAGCTCCCCTGAGATGTTGCAAAAGATATATACAAATTATTTTTTCAGAAATTTACATTTAATTTAGGGAATATAACAATTCCAGCTGGTCCCTTGGGAACAGAGGATCCTTTAATCCTTTGCCTATTGGTGTCCACAGAGGAACCGGGATCTCAGGCTTTTCTAGCTAGATGCTGGGGACATAGAGACACACACAAAAGAAGGCTAGGGTAAGAGTTGTTCGAATTTCATGAGACATAGGAGTGGGATGGATGAAGGGGAAATGAGGAAAGTGTAGAGCTGTTCTGAACAAGAATATGAAGAATATGCAGTAACTTACCGGAAGAGCAGCCTCATAGAATCTAGCCAGTAGTCAGTTCTCAATTATGTACCCATAGATTATCCATGGGCAAAGCATTTCTTCCCTGGTGGCATGCACTCAGGAAATGTAAACCAGTGTTAGTCTGAATGAGACAAAATTAGGAAAGTAATTTCATTGCCAATATTTTTTTCCACCACAATTGAATTCAATATCAGACTTTTTTCTTATCCGTTATTTAGTATCTTTTTAAGGTTGTAGCTCCCATCCATTAGTCAGATGATAGAGAGCCAAATGTATGCCATATAATTATAATCTTAAAAAAATTGCACTTAGAACAGGAATCCTTATACACATTCATATTAAACTCAAACAGTCCCATAAGAGTAGCCAGGTAAATTGAGGCATGGTGTTGCTAAGTGTCGTCATTTAAATCTGACGTTGAACCTGGGAATACAGCCAGTAAGACTCCTTGGTGCCAACTCGAGCCAATAGCCCATGTTCCTTCATTCCTTGTCTTTGAGTAAATCACACTTAAAAGTAGTTTAATAATGAGATGGTGACCTGGCTATTTTAAGTACTCACTTATTCCTGTGGGACTTGAACCAAGGTCATTTGCTTTGGCCAGCTTAGTAGCCCAGAGACTTGCTTTCAGAATGGATGTTCTTGTATTGGATTACTGAGTCTGATCCCTCTTTTATTTTTCTCCTCCAAAAGTACAAAACAAAGAGGAGCTCATGATACAATTGATACTGAGAATCATGGCATAGATTTGTATCCGTGACTGCTGCCTTAAAAAACCATCCCAAAACAGTGGCTTTAAGCAACAGCTACTTCTATACTTCCTGTAAGTCTATGGATTGCCTGGGTAATTCTGCTAATACGGACAGGCTTGATTCATCTTGACTGGTGTCCCTCATACATTGTGCACTGGGGCCTGGCTCATCTTAGATGTCCTCAGCTGCAATGACTCACCTCTCTCACCCTCCTTAGCAGGCTAACTCCAGAATATTTCCATAGTGGTGATAGGGGTCCATCAAAAGAAAAAGTAGACAAAGCAATCACTTTTCCAGCCTCTGTTTGTATCAAGTTTGCTGCTATCCCATTGGCCAAAGCAAGTCGCATCACCGAGGCCAGAGTGAGTGTGAGAAGTTATCACCAAGAGGTATAAAATACGGGCCATTAATTCAATCTATCACACAAACAAATCAGCACAAGGTTTCTTAGGATAACTCTTGGCAATTTTTTATCTATTGGAAATGGGAGTTTAAACTGCCCTAAAGCAAGTTTTATGGACCTTCTGTTTTGGAAAGACTGCTCTAGTTGGTCTATTTAGAGGGCACGAACTGTGTTCTTATACCCCTATATGTGCACAGAGAACAGACTGTCTGAACAGCTGGAGGACATAATTTAAGAGGCCTCTACATCCAACTTGGGCAGGATGACTTCAAATGGGCTGGTGATGAACTGGGAGAAGTGTAGGCTTGTGACAGAGCTAGAAACACGATGAGCCATTAAAAGTACATCAATTCAGCTGGTCATTACAACAGGTGCATGGTTAATTTGTTCAACAAATACTTCCTGAGCTTATACCAACAACCTGAAAGTCACAGTGGTACACATTGCAGAGCGATGTGAAAAATAAAGGTAGTGAAAGATTATTGAGTACTTACTAGACGCCAAACACTCTGCTAAGGATTTTACCTCCATTATCTCATTTAATACCCCCGGTGACTTTGTGAGGGACGTGGGATTTTCTCTATTTTACAGGTGAGGAAACTGAGGCCCAAAGAGGAAATTTATTTAAAGCCACATAGCTAGTGAATACCTGTGCTAGTTTGATTGCAAAAATGGCTGTCATTCTTTACTTTCTTTCTTTGCAATGTGACTTTGCAGCCTTTCTCTATAAGAGGCATTTACTTGCCCTTTGATTCTGAACTGGCCTATACTTTTCTTTGGCTAAGATAATGCAGTAAAAAGGGTGGGTCGCTTTAGAGACTAGACACCAAGATACCTTGCATATTTCTGCTCTTTCTTGAAATTCTGTCTACCATGAGAACAAGCCTGAGCTAGCTGTCTGGAGGGTGAGGGATCACGTGGAGCCCAGGTGAGTCATCCTGCTGAGTCCCTCCTAGACTAGCCAGCTCCCAGCAAACCTACTGAAGTGACAATGTATGAGAAAGCCCAGCAGATTTCAGCTGGGCTCATCCCAGAACAGCATAACCACTAATCTGCACACTTATAAGAAATAATAAAGTTCCAAGGTGTTTTGTAACGTAGCAAGAGCTAGCTGACACAATTGCATATCCAATATTTGAATTCAGGTCTGACTTACTAAGACCTATAACTGAAAGGGGAGCTGGAAAGTGGTCTAGTCATGTTCTCAGGAGAAAGAGGAAAATAGATTTGGTGAGGTTTTAGCCAGTCTCTGCAGCATGTGCCCCCTGGTTTTACACCATTCATCCAGCTTGAGAACCACAGTAATGGTGATGGATTTAATGCATTTAAGCAAAAGGGTGCATTGAATGCATTTAAGCAAAGGGATGTTATGGTTATATTTGGCTATTTGAAATATTACTCTGGAGGAAGAGTGAAAAATGGATTGGCTGAGGTGAGACTGAGAACAGGAGGCAGTTTGTTTTGGCAATGGACTATAATGAGGGGCAGTAAGATTAAAGAGGAAAAAATATATTCAGGGAATGTTTAGCAAGTAGCAATTTCATTAATTGAAATTTGGAGGTGAAAGTGAGACATGGGTCTAGGATGAGCCTCAGATTATGGTTTAGTAACACCTCATAAAGGAAACAGAAGGAACAGCAGGCTTGAATGGGGAAGTAAGGAGCTTGATTTGGAGATTGAAAATCTAGGGACCCATGGTACATCTAGGTGTAGTTGTCTAAGAGACAGTCTTTTATCTGTCTTCAGCCTGAGAGAGAGTTCCGGGCTCAAGGAACACGTCTGGGAGTCATCAGTGTCTCTGCTGATCATTGGAGTTATGCTGTATCCGTCATAGTTTTTAACAGCAGACATCAGCAAACCCTCTAATTTAACTAGAAAGGACTTTTTAAGAGAGATTTTGGTAGCCTACAGAATCTCTAAGAGGTCTTGAAACTGGGTTTAGAGACTACATAGCCAGAAATAACAGTAGCCAGGAGAAACCATCCATAAGACTGTTAGTGGAAACTGCACAGCAGCTGCCTCACACAGGCAGGTGATGGGTGGCATCCATGACACCAAGGACAGAATGCTAGGACTCCCTCCAGAGCTATCCTAGAGAACCAAGTACTTCTGCCTCCAGTTTGCTAAAGGAGCCAATCTCCTCTCTCACCATGGCTGTCTCATTGGCCACCAGCATCTTACTCCTAGGTGCAGAACCTAGGCCACCTTGGGAAATGCAGCTGCAAGGGAATTTTTAGCTTTCCATTTTCTGTAGTTCAGGGAGGTGGGCTAGAGAGTGGTGGAATGTGTGTGGCCTGAGCCAATTCGTGGTACCCCCAAACATAGACATAGAGGAAACTCCACAGGGAAATTAAGACAGTGAGGAACAAAGGGGAAAAGAAACACTCTGTGGAGTAGGCAAGAAAATCCCCATTTCACTTCAACTAGATTGAGTTGGGCTTCTGTCACTTGCAACATGAGGAATTTTGAATGATAGGGTACCCAAACCTTATAGGAAATGTCATCCTTTATATGCAATACTGTCCCATTGATATTCCATACTTGGTTAGCCACAGGACAGGGTGGGAGCTCTCCCTGAGCAGAGGTGTCTGGTCACTTGAAATTAAGCTCCAGGGACCCACTCATTTCTACACTTGTGCAGTCAAGCACAGAGCTTGAATTCAAAGACCTGTATAAAGCTACAGTCATTTAAAACCATAACTTACTAAGAAGAAACTTGAATATATACGTGGAGGTGGCATAAGAAGTTTTATTCCTGGTCTGGAAAAAAACTTGTTCTAGAAGCACAAGCTGTACACTAGTGTTCGTAAGTGATGTGTACCATAGTTGAGTGTATGTGATGACTTTTAAATATATTTTCAAAGAAAATTTGAATCAGTGTTTTCAGAATCTTTGAAATACCTCTACAAAACACAGTTATGCAGAACACAGTTTGCAAATGGATGCCCTACACTGCATTTTCCCAGCTGCATCAAAAAGAAATAATTCCTTTGTTATGAGTTGAATTGCATCTTCAAGAATAGCTATGTTGAAGTCCTAGCTCCCAGAACCTAAGAATGTGACATTATTTGGACATTGGGTCTTTACAGAGTTAATCATGTTAAGGCCATTAGAGTGGGTGCTAATCCATTATGACTGATGTGATATGGTTAAGCTTTGTATCCCCACCCAAATCCCCATAATCCCTGTGTGTCAAAAGAGAGACCAGATGAAGGTGATTGGATCATGGGGGCAGTTCCCCCATGCTGTTCTCATGATAATGAGCGAGTTCTCAAAAGATCTGATGGTTTTATAAGGCGTTCTTCCCCCTGTACTTCTCCTTCCTGCCGCCTTGTGAAGAAGGTGCCTTGCTTCCGCTTCACCTTCCACCATGATTGTAAGTTTCCTGAGGCCTCCCCAGCCATGCTGAACTGTGAGTCAATTAACCTCTTTCTTTTATAAATTACCCAGGCTTGGGCAGTTCTTTACAGCAGTATGAAAACAGACTAATACACTGGTGTCTTTATAAAAAGGGGAAATTTGGAGACAGAGACAAATATGCACAGAGGTGAAACAATGTGAAGACACGTCTTGGAGAGCACCATATGAAAATGAGGGATTGGAGTGATGCGTCTGTAAGCCAAGACATGCATGGGGCTACCAGAAGCTGGGAGAGTGGCCTGGAACAGAGGCTCCCTTAGAGCCTTTAAAAGGAACTTACCCTGCTACCTTCTTGATTATGAGCTTCCAGCCTCCAGCACTGTAAGACTGTAAATTGCTGTTGTATCAGCCACCCAGTCTGTGCTACTTCCTTGTGTCAGCCACAGGAATCTAATACACCTCTCCTGATCAGAAGATCACAAACTAAGAAAGACTAAGGTGTTTTTTTTTTTTTTTTTTACCAGGTATAATTCAGTTCAATAGTAGTGCATTTCTTTTTTTCTTAGTTTAATGGAATAAAAATGGTTGCACTTTGAGGCCAACCTGTGTGTTTCCTTGATCTCCATAGAGTAACAGCCTTGAATGCTGGCCCTAGAGGTTTTTATTTTATCAAAGATAAGCCTAGGGTCCTCTAAGAGCCCAGGCTTGGCATAGCAGGCGGCTGTGTTTTAACAGCATTTGCTGTAGGTGGTATCGCTGTTGTTTATGCTGCTGATGCCAACATCACGCATAATTTGTTGATTCCCTATTATTGGCTTCCCTGGGTGACTGGAAGTTGTCACCTGGCTTATGGCTTTCTTTTCATCATCATTACTGCCTCCACTCTGTCATCCTTCCAACTCTAAATCAAAGGGAAACATGTCTTCCCTCATCTGGGAAGTATTCCAGATGCATATTATTAGAATGGAGGAGCACTTGACATTTCAGGTGATCTTTAGGGCTTCTTAATCAGTTTCAACCAAATCTTGATACTTTAGAGGACGCATGGGGGCAAACAAGCAAGTGGAATGGAGATTGAGCAAGGCTTACCAGCAGCTGTAGCTTGTGGACAGAGTCATGCTGCTACCCCAGGGGACAAGTTGAGTCTCCCAGGATCCAGAATTTGGCTCAGTGTGGCAAACCTGGTTGTCATCTTCTGTCCACCATCTTCTGCCTTTGGAGGGATTGTGGAGTGGATTAAATTCCTCTCCCAGGACTTTTCCAGTTCCCTGGACTGTTACTTGCTCTTTTGCATGAGGCTTCTGTTTCCCTGGTCCAGTTTCCTTGATATGCCCCCATTAGTCAGACTTGCCCTTTCCCCATCGTTGTCTGTGTCCCCAGACCCATCCTCTCCCAGCAGTCCTTGGGGAGGCAGTCTGTAAAGTATCTATTTGCATTTGGAGGGAGGAAAGACTCTGGGAAAGTACAGTGTTTTTCATGAAGGCTTCACTGAGTGCTATGTGCCAGACAGTGCAGTTGCCCTTTCTTTTTAGTTTTGTGGAGCAGCATGAGAGTATTTTGGGATAGGAGGGCATGGGCCCTTGAGGGAACGTAGCCAGCCTAAATCAGAGCAGCTGAAGGGAGGGGAGGGGGACATGAGCCACCACTTTCTAGAGGAGTGAATCTGGAGTAGTTTGTATAATTTGGGAGTCTGGCAAGGATAGAGATTTGAGATTGAGGAGCCTCAACCTGTTACGTGACTGCCTACTTGGTCTACCTGTGGGACAACCCTGTTTATCTTGTGCCAACCCCTCTCCAGATTTGGTTGGAGTATTCAAGTATAGTTCTCATTTTCAAGGAGGCACAATTAAGCTGCTTGCATAGTTGGCTGGAAAATGCTTTTCAGCCAACAATCAACCCTTCGAGGAAAGACCAATACATTCTCATAGAAATTTTCTATAGATACAACAGCTTATTATAGAAGAAAAAATATATTTTTTTAAATTCTATAAGCACATCTGAAATTTTCCCTTCATTAATGGAGTGTTTCTAATTCACTGATAAGGCTGTTCCTTCTTCAAGGCTGTTCCTTCTTCAGCAATATGGACAGGTTTACTCTTCCAGAGCCCAGGAATTGGCACTATTTTGTCACTTGTCCCTCCACCCTCCCTTCTTTATCTTCTAGGACCTCCGATACCTCCTCTTCATTCTGCGTTGCTGATAGCTTTTTCTCTATGTCCAAGTGTTTATTAGGATTGAGTCCCAGAAGCCCAGAGAGAATATGGTAGAGGGGTGTGTGAGCTTGTCCAGAGTGGGCCACCTAAACAAAACCAGAAAATCATCCATCAGGGATTCCAATTACAAAAACGGCTCACACACACACACACACACACACACACACACAATCACTAAACATTTGGAAACTACTGACAAAATGAGGCAGAAATGACAAAATTACAGACTCAATAAACTGGAAAACTTACATCTGAGAAAATAGTTAGCAGATAAATTGGAACAGGATTTTTAAATAAGTATAATTAATATCCTCGGAGAAATAAGAAAATGTTGCATCTGAAAAATCAGAACACAGGCCCTTCATTCATTCATTTGTTAATTCTGCCCCTACTGATTGAGTTCCTGCTGTATGCTAGGCATAGTTAAGGCACTAGGAAATCGAAAGTAAGTGAGGCAAAATCCCAGTCTTCCTGGAGCTTAAAGCCTAGGCGGGAGAGATAAAAACATAACTAGTAAAACAAATAAATTTATGTGTCAGGCGATGTATTGTAGAAGGAAATAAGGTAGAGTCAGAGGTTTAAGAGGTGTAGGAATTGAAGTAGGGGCATCCAATATATGTAGGGTGGTCCAAAAAGGCCTTAAAAAACTAAGAGAGTGGATAAACCAAGTGGATGTCAAGGGAGAGACCATTTCAGAGACAAGGAACAGCAGGTGTCAAGGCCCTGAGTCAGGAGGATGTCTCAACTTTTTGAGGAACAACCAAGAGACAACGGTGGTTGGAGGAGGGTGAGCAAGGGTGAGAGTTCCAGAGAATAAATCAGAGTAGAAGACAGGGCAAGGTAAGCCATTTATGGCTTTGAAGGAGTCTGGCTTTTATGCTGAACAAAAGGGGGAGCCTATGGGGGATTTCAAACAAAGGAATGATATAATTGGATTAAATATTCCAAAAGAGTAACCTGTACAATAGGGCCTAAGGAATGGAAACTAGGTGACCTATTAGGAGACAGTAACCCAGATATGAAATAATGTTACTTGGACCATTACCTCTCCAAGGTGGTGAGAAATGGACAACTTCTGGAATTCCTTTTAGATGATGCCAAGAAATTTTGTTGATATATAGGATGGGAGGTGAGAGAGAAAGAGAGGAGTCAAGGGCAACCCTGAGGATTTTGGCTTGGGCATCTGGAAGAATCGAGAAGGCTGGAGGGAAGGGAAGGCGAGTGAGAAGATCAAGGGGAGGTGATTAAAGGCAGAATCAAGAGTTTGGGTTGGGACATATGTTTAAGATGCTGGGAGACCTCCAAGTAGAGCTATTCAGTGAGAAGCCTGGGGTTCAGGGAAAGAATCAGATTGGAAATACAAAGTTATGTGATGGGGTAAGTTCCTCTAGGGAGTTAGTGTAAATGAGGAGAGGAGAAGTCCCAGGACTGAGCCCTGGGAAAGACTAGTTTCCAAAAGCTGGGAAGGCGAGGAAGAACCAGCACAAAGACTGAGATGGAGCAGCCAGTGAAAGTGAAGGAGGCTTCAAAGAGAGTGCTGCCACCATAGCAAGCTGAAGAAAGCATATTAAGAAGCTGAAAATGATCCTTTGTGAGCAATTCTGCTGATAGATGGGCCGGAATGAGGATGTTCATTGATCACTGGAGGCAGCAATGTGGAGGACATTGGTCCCTGTGATAAGGGAAAATTAGGTGGATTCTGGGGGCGTGAGCCCAGCTGGAATGAGTTCAGGAAAGAATGGGGAGGGGGGTAGAGATGACTTGTTAGTGTTTTACCAAGGGGCAGATCATGGGTCCAGTAGTTAGAGAAGAATATAGAGTTAAGAGAAACGGGGATTTTTTTGTTTTGTTTTTAAACAGAGCATATCATGTGTTGTTGAGAATGAGAGAAAGATTGTTGATGCAGGAGATAAGACAGTGCCTGCCATAATGCTCTTGCACAGGTTGTCAAGGTGGAAGGAATTTGAGAAAGAACCAATTAGAGATCTTTTAAATTAAAAAAAAAGTAAATGTTAAAAAAAAAAAAAAAAAAAGGCCAGTCAAGGTGGTACATGCCTGTAATCCCAGCACTTTGGGAGGTGAATCAGGTGGATCACCTGAGGTCAGGAGTTCTAGACCAGCCTGGCCAACATGGCAAAACCCTGTCTCTACTAAAAATACAAAAATTAGCCAGGCGTGGTGGCACGTGCCTGTAATCCCAGCTACTTGGGAGGCTGAGACAGGAGAATCGTTTAAACCCAGGAGGCAGAGGTTGCAGTGAGCCAAGATCACACCACTACACTTCAGCCTGTGTGACACAGCAAGACTCCATCTCAAACAAAACAATAACAACAACAAAAAAGAAAAACCACCACTACCAGAACCTTATTTTCTAAGTAGACTAGAAGAATGAACAAATACGAAGAGTGAGCAGGAAGGTCAGGCTGATAGATTCCCCCAGAAAAAGCATACAGGAATAAACATGAGCGTTCTAAAAAACAAGTTGATATGTGGAGTTGAGGAGCCAGGAGAAGCAGGAGAAAAATAGGGAGAATGAAGGGGATGACATTTGTGGTCATAATGGCTGGAGTGTTTGTAGAGCTGAATAAAGACATGTGTCCTCAGATTGAACAGGACCACCGGGTTCCACTCAGGGTTGAAAAATCATAGTAACAGAGTAGTAGTAGTAGTTGTTGTAGTCGTAGTAAAAACTTACACATTGAAATATCACAGTGGCATTTCGAGTTCTCAAGCATAAAGACAAAAATTGAAAAGCTGCCAGAGACAGGCTGTTATGAGTTAGGTCACAAAGGGGCTCTGAGATCAAGGAAAGAATTTTATTCCAAGAGCAATAGAAGCCACTAGAGGATCCTAAGAAGGGAGAAGGATGGTGATAAAAATCTGACTTTTTACAGATGTTTTAGGTTACTGAGGGAGAGTAGATGATGGCAAAAAGACTTGATGGGGTCAGGCATAGTGGCTCACACCTGTAATCCCAGCACTTTGGGAGGCTGAGGTGGGAGAATCACTTGAGGCCAGGAGTTCAAGACCAGCCTGGCTGACATGGCAAAACCCCATCTCTAATACAAATATAAAAATTAGCTGGGCATGGTGGCGCATGCCTGTAATCTCAGCTACTCAGGAGGCTGAGGCACAAGAATCAATTGAACTGGGGAGGTGGAGATTGCGGTGAGCTGAGATTGCGCCATTGCACTCTAGCCTGGGTGACAGAGCAAGACTCTATCTCCAAATAATAATAAGAAGAAGAAATTGATGGTTGGGGCAATTGCGGAAGCAGGGAGAGAAGGTAAGAAGATATCAGATTTGTGCCATCAAGAGGTGAATGTTTATAACTATTAATATGAAAGTGAGTATTGAGAACTTAAGTGTCCAGCACTAGTATAACCACTGTACATATGTTTATTTATTCCATATTCATTACAACCCTCTAAGGTAGGGTTGTCTATAATCTCCATATGACAGATGAGAAAAGGGATGCCCAGAGAGGTTAAATAAGTTACTGGAGGTCACCCAGCCAGTAGGTGGCAAAGCTAAGGTTTGAACCTGGGTAATCTGGCTTCAGAGCCCAGGCTTTAATCAATACACATTAGGGCTTTGCACTGGAGTATTAATAAAAAAGAATGGAGGAGTGGATGGGTTTGAGAGATAGTCTGGAAGCAGATGTGACAGGTCGATGATATGGGAATAAGGATAAGAAATGCATTAAAAATGATTCCTGTATTTTGACTTGGGCAATCTGGGGTACTCCTTACTGACATTGCAAGTCCCTGCTTAAATACAGTGTTTCCCATTGCATTTAGAATAAATCCACACTCTCCTCCATGACTTCTAAGCCCCTATGCTAATAGCCTGCTGAAAGTGACCAACCATCCAGTTTCCTCAGGATTGCTACTCTCCCACCCTCACCGCCCTTTTCTGCCCAGTCAGGCAGTGGGACTCTCCGATCTCCCACCTTTGAACATGTTTCTGTGAGTAGACGGCTCTCTGTCCACACTTTGCACAGATGGCTTCCATCACTCCTCAGGTCTCAGTTTAAATGTCACCTCTCGCAGGGCCCTTCCTGACTACACTATTGCATATAGTCCACCATCAATTCTCTATCTTACTCATTCCCCACCCTCCAAAACTGATCACAGGCTCAAGGACTTGTGGAATTCGTCGCTGGGTTGCACCCTCCTTGAGTGCAGGGCCCAGGTCTGTCTTGTTCACCTGCCTGAAGCAGGCACTTGCCATGCAGTTGTTGAAAGAAGGGCTCTGGGGATGAAGTAAGAAAAATTGACAATAGTTGCAGCAGGAGACATTTTACCAGCATATCAGGAAAGACTTCTCCACTGGAAGTTGCTAGGAAAGGTTACCAAGAGAGCTTGCAGCAAAGACATATTCAGAAATTAAGGCTTCTAATGATATCCTTAGCATTTTTTCCCTCTGCTTCTGCATCTCTGGCTTGCTCTAATCACAGTTAAGGAGTCAGCTGAGACCCACAGGGATCTTGGGCTTGCTGATAGGACAGATTATAAATTCTGCAAACTGTTTTCTACCTGACACCTTCCTTCTGCTTGGCCTTACTCTTAGAAAGAGCGCTACTGAAATTTAAGGAAGCCACAGCATTGACGTTATCAAACGACTGCTTCATTTCATTTGTATCACAGATAAAAGTAGTTAATATTTCTCTGCTGTTTAACTTTTCTTTGATGCATGCATATCCTATGTAGTCTTGTTTTTGTTGTTTTAAACCCTATCTCTTGCTCACAACAGTGAAAAATTGGAAACCAAATAAAAATCCAATAATATTTGATTGGGTAAATGAATTTGAGCTCATCCCTAGAGTAAAATACCCTAGAACCATTAAACGCAATTAGGTAGATCTATGTTTATTGACATGAAAACATGTCCATAATAAATTGGTAAATTTTAAAAAAGCTTAGAAGAAAGTACACAGAAATATTAACAGAAGTGATCTCTGAACAGTGAGATAATAGTTTTTATTTCATCCTTTCTTTTTTTTGAATTTCTATAGTATGTTATTTTCACAACTAGTAGGGGAAAACACTTCCCCATATGGAAAAAAATTTTAAAAACAAGTTTAGAAGAAATACATGTCTTACTTGCTAACATTTATTATTCTATGGAACTACCCCTAGTCTCCTAAAAGGGCAGCAAATTTGGATTGAGCCCAGTTTGTTTCTGCATATGCATATGTTATTTGTAATATATTGGTAACATATAGGCAAACACAGAAAGCCTACTGTTAAAATGTGTAATATGGCATGTGCTTTGTGAAGCAAGTGCAATTGTGTGTCTATATACATTTTGTATGCATATATCTTGTCCTGTATTCAGTATATTGTTTTTACTGAATTTATTTTTCTAAGCGAAGTACTTAATGCACAGCCTATTGAGATAACTGATTCATATTGCAATCCTCTCCACCACACCTGTGCTGGAAGTGAACACCCACCAAGAGTCTTGGTTACTTTTTTTTTTTTAATTTAATGATAATTTTTTGAAAGATAAAGCACCCAGCTGGCTGGCTCCATGGAGGACTATAGAGCTCCTGACAGCCTCATTAGTATTTGTTACTCAAACACAAACTTTCCTCAAGCGTTCCCAACACACCTGTGCTTCTTTCCTTTGATTGGCGCATGGCCTCTCCTGGTGCATGGCCTCTCCCGGCCCAATTTATCTTAGGGAGTGGTGTGCCTATTGGGTTAGATAATGAATGATGAGCAAAGATGGCCTTCAGAGATCTGGTTTTGCATCTCCACTGATAATGGTTCTCAGTTTTCACTGCCTGTGACAGACATTTCTTTTGAGCCATTTTTAATGTTCATTATTTTTTTCTTTAGCTAAACCTCTCGTCTTTCCTCTTTCCTTTTCTTCTTTTCCTCCACCTCTTTCCAACTCCAACTCAAAGTTTCTCTCTCACACAAGAAAGCACATGAGGTGTTTATCAGTTGATATTAGTAGTTGCAAATCTGCAGCGAGCTGTTAATGCACCCAGCACTCTAATTCCAGAGCATCGGACAGTCCCTGTGTCTCCAATGACATAGCTGACTGGCACTGGGCCCTGGCTGCCCCGGAGCAGCTGGTGGAGCCTGGCGGCTGCTCCCCAGGTCAAACCACCTACCCCCACTTTCATTCCCACCTCAGCCAGTCTGTCCTGCTCCTGAAAGGGACCTTTGTGTATGGACTCTGCAGACAAAGCCCCAGCATCAGTGCATCTCATCATTGGTTCATTTGGACTCCAACTCACTCAATCTAAGAAAGCCAGGTGAGATCCCCTGCCTTGGTACATTGTTCGTTTCTTTTCTTGAGGTGAAGTTTCGCTCTTGTTGCCCAGGCTGGAGTGCAATGGCAGGATCTCGGCTCACTGCAACCTCCGCATCCCAGGTTGAGGTGATTCTCCTGCCTTAGCCTCCCGAGTAGCTGGGATTACAGGCATGCACCACCACACCTGGCTAATTTTGTATTTTTAGTAGAGACAGGGTTTCTCCATGTTGGTCAGGCTGGTCTCAAATTCCCGACCTCAGGTGATCCGCCTGCCTCGGCCTCCCAAAGTGCTGGGATTACAGGCGTGAGCCACTGCGCCTGGCCCCTCGTTTTTTATTTTCTTTACTTATTTTATTTTCACAAACATGGAGTGCTTCTTAAATGCCAGATTCTGTGTAATCACTTTAATTTATGGAATCCTCTTAACCCAATGAGGTAAGTATCAACATCATTCCCATGTTTCAGATGGAAACTAGAGCAAGATGGGGGTCAGTAATCAACCCAAGACAACCACACAGGGTGAGTCCTGGAGGCAGGATTAGAACCAAGGCTGGCTCAGGAGCTCCTGCATTCAAGCTGCACACTATGTCCCTGGCTCTTCCTTGTCTGGGGTAGAACTGCAGGAGACACACGTGCGTTCTGCTACAGTTCAGGCTGCTTAGGAACAGCCATCAGTTTTCATCAGTTCCTCTTCTGAAGTTTTTAGGGAAGGCATTCTAAATATGTGACTAGCTGAGACAGCATTACCAACCTGGTCTCGCCTGGTGTGGGAATCACAGGAAAGCAGGCTTGTTCAGAAGGAAGCTTCTCCTGTATTGGAGGAGGGCTCTGTGATACCCCAGGTGCTGGGGTGCAGGGAAGAGAGCAGGGATGGTGTGGGGAGAACAAGTTCTGGATCCAGTGGAACTACTCACTTGCTAGGTGACTTTCTGAAATGTCCCTTAACTTCTGTGGGGAGTGTTTGGGTCTACAAGATGGGAACATTATTATTTTAGCTAGTGACCTCAGGAGTGTCAGAAAGGAGGCAGCTAGTATTCCAAAGGGCATATATTACAGGTAAGTCACTATGCTAGATATTTTCACATTTCCCCTATTGAAGCAATAACCATGGGAAGATAAAAATCATGATCAGGGAGGCTGAGGCAGGCAGATCACCTGAGATCAGGAGATCGAGACCAGCCTGGCCAACATGCCAAAATCCCGTCTCTACTAAACATATAAAAAGTTAGCTGGGCATGGTCGTGGGCGCCTGTAATCCCAGCTACTTGGAGGCTGAGGCAGGAGAATTGCTTGAACCTGGGAGGCAGAGCTTGCCGTGAGCCGAGATCGCACCACTGCACTCCAGCCTGGGCGACAAGAGCAAAACTCCGTCTCAAAAATCATCATAGATAGGAAAGTGTTTTAGAAAATTGGGTGCTTTGCAAATATAAGGAATTCTTATGATAAAAAGTATGTTGCATTATACTAGATAATAAATAATAAGAAGCCTATCGTGACGTATTTTAAGTGGTTATGGACTGTATTCCCAAAATGAGATAGACAGTGAAAAATGGATTCTGTATAATGCATCAAATAGATTTTGGAAGAGTGGAGTGCGAGAGGAAATATCCAGTGTCTGCATACAGTAGGGGATCAATAAATACTTCATTAGAAGTGGATAATAGAGAATGGCTTCAGGGCACAGCCATGAACCTAAGTCGTAAGCCCTTTTCCTCTCCCACGAGTGTGTACTTAGGACTGAAGGCTACACTACATTACCCAACAGTTGCTAGTCTTCACTCCTTAATCCTTTTCTTTTAAAATTGTATTAATTACTCACTTCTGGAATGTGTAATATGCTTCAGTCTTGGTTCTAGATATAAGAATATGTTTGAAAGTTTAAGAAATGATGGTATTTCAATTAGAGGAAAGAGATGGGGATTTCAGGCTGAAACAGAGATTCACATCCCTCGATTTGACAAAGTAATAATTGACTCGAGAGTCCAGGGCCTTCTGAAAAGGTGGCCTTCACTAAAAACAAAATGTTATCCCATAACCCAATAAACTTAGGTACAACTCAATGTGCGCTAAAGTAATTTTAGAAACCATCATTTCATTTCAGCAGTAAATGCAGCTCAAAGTGGTATGAATTCCCCATTAAGATGATATGGTAGGGAGAGTGAAAGAATCTTTCAGTACAATCCATTTATTTTAGTGTCCCAAATGTTCATAGCAACAGGAGCAAACGTGGTTGCAGCTGCCATTATGGTCAGCCTCCTGTCACCGTGGGAAATGGATGGCCTCTCCTTAGCCACCAACCTGCACTGCCTCCACAACAGAGGATTCATCAGTGTTCTCCAGAGAGTGGAATAGAAATCACATTTGGGTGTGTTGCAAATTAAACTTTTAATAGAAAACCCAAGAAAGAAGCTTTGCACATTTATTTTATGGGTTACTGCTTTTGGAGAAGGAAAAGAGATTGGAAGTAGGATAGTGCAGTTAAGACTGGTTGACCCGTTCTTTGAAAATCTTCCTTTTGGAATATTTGCATGCTTCCTGAAACTTGAGGTTTCTTTTCCATTTCACTCTGGTTTTCTCATTATTTTCCAAATAATCACCAGAAATGACTTCTTCACGATTATTCTTTCTCCTCACAAACACTTCTGAGGCTTCTGAGCCATACCTTGTATAGGACATGCCAGGATTCATTTGTTATTTCTGACCTTTGAAAAAGAAATCATGGAGCACAGACAAGGTAGTGCAGACAACCTTTTCTTCAAAGGAGAATGGTCCATTTATATGGCTACTAAACTGCTAATGTCTTTACTTTAAAATAGTAAATAAAACTGACATTAAGTTATGACAGATTAAAAATCAGGCAAAATAATTTGATCTTTATTTCTTCCACAAGGAGAAACAAATTTGTTTTATATTTTATTTAATCTTCCCTTTTCTCTGGCTATCCTATTTTTGTAAATGAAAAAGAAAATATTTAGTCATATGGCCTTAGAATTATTAAAAGGTGACAAATGTAAAGAATGGTTCAACTTCTGGGATTAAAAAAACCTTTTATTTATATCTATGGAATTACAGAATTAACAAGGCATGGACTAATTTCTGCCCAGGCATGTAGAGTCGCAAAGTTATGGCATATTTCAGCTGGCATAATTCATGTGATAGGTGACACCTAATTAGAAAAGATAATATTGGAACTCAGTTCTGCTAGCCTCTTGCAGACTTGCAAGAATGGAGAAGAGGGAAGTGTACTAGGGAATGCTAACTGCTGTCAGAGATAAACTGAAATCTCAGCAACTTAACTAATAAAATCTGATTTCTTGCCAATATGAAGTTCTAAGAAGGTGTTCTTGATTTCCTGGAAGTCCAAGACATTATGTGGCCTTCCATGCAGCTGGTCACTCAGGGAGCCAGGCTGCTTCTATCTCCAATTCTTCATTCAGGAGGCAGATGGGGAAGAGGCTGAAAGTTGCAGGTGGTAGGTTAATAAAGGCCATGACTGAGCAGCCATCACTTACACCTACATGTAATTCACTGGTACTTTAAGTCTCATGACTGTAATAAGCCCAAAGAAGGCTGGAAAATGTAATTCAGCTGTGTTCTCAGGAGAGCGAGGAAATGGGTTTAGTAGTCAGCTCACCTAGTCTCTGGCACAGGGAGCAAAGTCCCTGAGTATCAGGAATGATAAAGTAGAGCTTGAAGGAAGATTCAGGAGTTGGGTCAATTTACAGCAGAAGAGGAAGCTGTGAAGAGGTAATAAAAATGTTCACTATTGTCATGAACTAATGTATGGCAATTCCCATTGTTCCATGCCCTAGCCTGCATCATAATTGTTAGAAATTTCCAATTTAATTTATTGTAAAGATTTTTTAATGGAATTGATACACTGTGGCAGTGAAAACAGGATTTTCTGTATAGCCAGCATTGCGAAAACACATCCTGTTGGTGAACACATACATCAATTAAAATGTCACCCATGGCTCACACCTGTAATCTGAGCACTTTGGGAGGCCGAGGTGGGCAGATCACGAGGTCAGGAGATCAAGGCCATCCTGACCAACATGGTGAAACCCCGTGTCTACAAAAAATGCAAAATAAATTAGCTGGGTGTGGTGATGCATGCCTGTAATCCTAGCTACTTGGGAGGCTAAGGCAGGAGAATCGATTGAACCCAAGAGGCAGAGGTTGCAGTGAGCCAAGATTGCGCCACTGCACTCCAGCCAGGCGACAGAGCAAGACACTGTCTCAAAAAAAAAAAAAAAAAAAAAAGCTACCTAATGTTAAATGACGAGTTTAATGGGTGCAACACACCAACGTGGCGCATGTATACATATGTAAGAAGCCTGCATGTTGTGCACATGTACCCTAAAACTTAAAGTATAATAAATAAATTTTTTAAAAAAGCCACCCAAAGATAGGTAAACATTACTGCATGGGCAATGTATATTCCTACCTGTAAGTAATGAGTTATCAAGGGAATTATTACAGAATCAAATTTCTCATTTCCATTTTTAATTTTTCAGTAATATAACTATGTAAGAGAAAATTTAGAAAATACAACAGGTTAATATTTTCTTTAATCTGTGTTCTAGTCCACAAAGTCAGCTGACTTTTTGTTTTTTTCTTTTCTGATTTTTTAAAAAAGAAATATAGATGCATGCAGAACAGAAACAGAATAATTGTACTTATATTTCACCTGCAGTTTTGAATTTTGGTCAATAATAATTAGAAAAGTTATTCTTCCTGCTCAGTATTCATTGCAGTGGCCTCACCACACCAGTAGAAGAAAGAAAATCTTTGGTAAAATTGTCCTATTCTCAAAGTGGACTCTTTGGTGATTTGTTGTAGCCTCCCTCTCTCTGAATGTAATGGTAACAGCTTTAGAGTCTATGGTAACTAGACATCATCATCCTCTTAATCTTACCAAGAGGAAGTATAGTTAAAACAAGTGTTTTAAAAAAAATAAAATCTTTTAGTTTTTATAACATTTTTAAACAAAATTATAATTTTCCTTTTATGTATACCCAGTACCATCCCTTTTAAACCTAACTTCATGAGCATTTTCTTTTTTTTTTTTTCAAATTCCCTATTCTGAGAAGCACTCGTGAGCATTTTCCCATGCCATTAAACATTCTTCAAATTGAGTTGTTGATAGCTGTATAATATGCCATAACGTGGCCATGCCTGCATTGAATCAGCCATTCTCCTATAACCGAGCACTCAGGTTGCTTCCAGGTTTTTCTTTGCTCTAAATAACTCTGTGATAAATGGTAGAGTAAATGATTCTGTGCATTTCTACATCCTTTCTTTTCTTCTTCTTTTTCTTTCTTTCTTTTTTTTTTTGAGATGGAGTTTCACTCTTGTTGCCCAGGCTGGAGGGCAGTGGTGTAATCTCAGCTCACTGCAACTTCTGCCTCTCGGGTTCAAGTGATTCTCCTGCCTCAGCCTCTCAAGTAGCTGGGATTACAGGCACGTGGCATCATACCCAGCTAATTTTTGTATTTTTGGTAGAGATGGAGTTTTGCCATGTTGGCCAGGCTGGTCTCGAACTCCTGACCTCAGGTGATCTGCCCACCTCAGCCTCCCAAAGTGCTAGGATTACAAGTGTGAGCCACCATGCCTGGCCCATTTTTACATCCTTTTTTACCATAAATTGCTCGGGTGATGTTAGGAGGTTAAAGGAAATGAGTACTTCTCAAGGTTTTGTTGCTTATTGTCAGCTTCCTGACCTTTAGTATGCTGAACCCTTTTGCTGTAGTGATTCTGAATGTCCCCTCCCAACCCGAGCATCATGTTTTTCAAAGCTTTGCTGTGATGATCAAAATATCAAAACTTGAAATGAAGGCAGAATTTAACCCTACACTTGCACAATATGATCTCACTCACTCACTCACTCACCTATTTTGTCTTTATTTCAAATTTTGATATTTTGTACCTTGTGAACTATTTTTGCATTAATCAAAAATATATTGTTTTAAAATGTTATCTTGATTACCGAGTTTTTTGGCACCCCTTTAAATTTGGGGGCTGGGTGAGCGCCCCTTTCACTTCATCTGTATCCTGGCCATTTTAGAATCCTGGTGAGTTGGAACATTCTAGAATGCCCAGGGACATTCTAATATCTGAGAAAAAAACATCTTAGGACTTAGATTACTAAGCTTATGAAAGATCAAAGACGATCAAGAGCTAGAGGGCCACACAAGACCTGCTGTGGGGTGGTTCACAAATGGCTGAAAATGGACAGGCCAAGGAGGGCCCATGCTGGCTGATGGCAGATAATGGTGGTATCAGAACTTGCTTTGAAGCTTTTGCAACAAGACGTTCTATTCTCCTGATGCACATGCTTCACAAAGATTCCCCCTGAAACTGCCATTCCCCTCTCATTTGTTGAAAATATCGTTTACTGGAGCTGTGCACCCTATTACTTTTGGCTTTGATCTTTTTGAGTCTAATCACGGACTAAGAGTGTCCATGCTGTTTGGGCTGATTTAACACCAAAGCAAAGGAGGATTATCTCCTGTATTCATAATGATACTTCTCCATCCCCTAAGGTGGAGGAGACAAAGGCTAATGGTTCGCAGAAGGATGGTAACCGGACATAATGTACAGCTATCTGTGTTTAGAAATCAAGTTATCATTTTAATTCTAGAAGTATTTCTCATATAAACATATACATGGTTGTCAATAGTAAAGGTTATATAAAAAATAGCTCTTTAAAATTATCAAGGTAGTTTGCACAATGCTAAATATTAACTCTCATTCATTGACTCATTCATTCACTCGTTGACTCGTTCACTTATTTATTTACTGGGCATTTATTATGTGCCAGATATGGTAGGTAGCCTCTGAGTAGACAGAGTGAAAAAAAGCCGGTAGTCTCTACTCTCACAGAGTTGACAGTTGGGTGGGAGAGATAGATAATAAATGAAATAATCACTTTGTAATTACAAATAGCAATGAGTATAAGAAAAGAGTAAAGTGCCCTGAATGTCTTCTTAATGTCCTGCACTTTGCCAAGCTGAGCTTTTATTGTCTTTTCATCCTGAGAATAATGCTGCAGCATGGATATAATTTTCTGCATTTAACTGATGGTAAAATAAAGGGTAGTCTCAGCCAGCAACATGCTGAGGGTCTCCTAGAGATAGGTAGAAGTGGAGGTGGGTTTATAACTTGAGGGGTTGAGTCACGGCCTATGGTCTTACCTCTCCAAGAGTTGCTTCTTCAATCATTTGCTACCCAAACTCCATTCTCATGCCCCACAACCCCCTTGAGATTCTAAGAGGTTCATAGACATTCCTGCATTCTTACTTTGAGTTAGGAACTATGATGAGAATTGAACACAAGAGCCTCGCAGGACATCACAGTGTCTGTTTTAGAGAACATGTTGCTATGCAACTGAATGCTTGTACATTATCTCTGCTCCCCTATGCCCCCACCACTACCCTGCTCTAGAACTTGGGGAGGTCAAGCAAAGGAAAATTAGGATCTCGGCTGCTATGCCGAGTAGCCGTGGTTACCCAGATCCCTCCTTCGTGCTGACCCATCACAGCAAAGGAAAAAAAGAGAACCTTTCAGGAATACCTCAAGATTTTTCTATTAGTACATCAGCTCCATTCCATTGAGAAACCAGAACCAGAAACCACACTGTCACCCACCAGTTAGGTGACTTACTCGCTACTCCTTGGTGTGGCATGGGGGAGACTGGCCCAAGAGGCCTGGAGGTCCCTCCACGTGGAAATATAAGAACCAGGGGAGATGTTTTTTTCCAGCATACCCCATCTCCATTTCAGTAAGTAAAACCCTATGCCTTCTGGGCAGCTATAACCTTTGGAAAAATCTGCCTGCCCTTCACAAATACTTTTTAAATTTATATGCATTTTCTTTTATAGAGATAAGGATTATAATATTAATAAATTAAGGCATAAAAACACCAGTTTAAATAATCAAGGGAGTAGTGTAGATAACTATAGTGCAAATGTGGCACTAATAAATTTACTACTAACAATTTCTTATCTACAGACCTGGACCAAAGTTCCAATTATGTAGGCAGGTGAATATCAGGATAACAGTTCATGTATTTATAACTGGTAATTGTAATTGTTTGTATAGCAGTTCAATATTGGCTATTAATATGCACCTGGCTATGTATACCCATGCAAAGGTGGCCTACATCACTGTGTCCCCAATGATGACAATCTGGACATCAGCATACAGCCAGGCCTGTTATTGGTACCCACTGAGAGTTGCCCTTCCAGACGAGCTGCTACTGTTTGTGGGGCCTGGAACTGTGAATGACTGATCCTTGGGTTTTATGTCTCCCTCTGATGTAGCTTCATCCTGTCCCTGCCCAGATTCATTCCTTCAGCAGGCATTCATATGCCTGTTTGAGGCCAGCGGTGGTGCTGGTTTCTGTAGCATGATGAGAAAGGAAGATACTTGATATGGTTTGGCTGTGTCCCCACCCAAATCTCATCTTGAATTGTAGCTCCTATAATCCCCACATATCATGAGAGGGACACAGTGGGAGGTAATTGAATCATAGGGGTGGGTTTTTCCCATGCTGTTCTTGTGATGGTGAATAAGTCTCATGAGAGCTGATGGTTTTATAAAGGCCAGTTCCCCTGCACATGCTGTCTTGCCTGCTGCCATGTAAGATGTGCCTTTGCTCCTCCTTCGCCTTCTGCCATGATTGTGAGGCTTCCCCAGCCATGTGGAACTGTGAGTCCATTAAACCTCTTTTTCTTTATAAATTACCCAGTCTCGGGTATGTCTTTATTAGCAGTGTGAGAATGCACTAATACAACACTTACATAGTCATCCTGCAGTTGGATGCCTGCTACAGTGGAGGTGAAACAAATTGTGAACAATGGGGTCTAAACCTTCTCCCTAATGAATATATTAATTAAACATGCATATGGGCAGGCAAATTCTCAAACTTTTTGGTTAGAACTAACCCCATTGCACTCTTAAAAATTACTAAGGACCCCTAAGAATCTTGATCTATATGGGTTAAATCTATCAATATTTACCACAGGGCAATTAAAACTGAAGCATTTTTGAAATGTTTATTTATTTTAAAACAATAATAATAAACCCATTTTATGTTAACATAAATAGCATACTTATAAAAATTATTATACTAAACAAAATATTGAGAAGAATGTCATTATGGTATATTTCTGCAAATCTCTTTAATGTGAGGCTTCATAAGAGACACGTAGAATCTTAAATCTGCTCCTACAATTAATCTGTGACAATATCACACTGTTCATATGTCAATGTAGCCTCTGGAAAACTCCACTGTACACTCATTGGAGAATAAGAGTAAAAAGACAATTAATCTCTTAAAATTATAGATTATTATAATTATTATAAAAATAGTCTTTACCTCTTAGATGGAAGATTTGGGAGACACACAGGAGTTCCCATGTAACACTTTGAGAACCCCTGTTTTATGGTGTTCTATTCTAAGTGTGCACTCACTGAAGGCACTCATACACCCAAATTGCAGAGAAGTCTTTGGATTTGAATCACAGTGTTCAACTATTTGTCCACAATTCAAACCTATCTCTATTTGTTTATTTATTTTTATTTTATTTTTGAGATGTAGTCTTGCTCTGTCGCCCAGGCTGGAGTGCAGTGGCACAATCTCGACTCACTGCAAGTTCCGCCTCCCGGGTTCACACCATTCTCTCGCCTCAGCCTCCCGAGTAGCTGGGACTACAGGCACCCACCACCACACCCAGCTAATTTTGTTTTTGTATTTTTAGTAGAGACAGAGTTTCATTGTGTTAGCCAGGATGGTCTCGATCTTGTGACCTCGTGATCTGCCCGCCTCGGCCTCCCAAAGTGCTGGGGTTACAGGCGTGAGCCACCGTGCCGGGCCTATCTTTTTTTAATTTGTAATTTTTATTTCAAGAATAGGGAAGATAAGACTGGGAAATACATTGACGGCAGAGAACTAGGGTCAGTGGTCCTCTGGAGATGTCTTGTATGGGCTTGAGAGAGCTGATTAATTGAATGTTCCAGGATTTGACCTGTTGTTAAACTATTAATAGCTTAAAATTGGCCATGATGGGAATATTTACACCATGGAAATAAGCAAATGCTACAAATCGGGGCTTCTCTCCTACAAAATTTTCCAAATTTATCAGCTTACCACTTGTTATAGTTCTTAACCCCAAGCTTTTTTTTTTTCCTTGGTTTTGTTTTGGTTTTATTGTTTTAAACTGAGTGCATTCACATAGGCAGGCAAGCTCCTTGGTGCCATAGCCCCTTCACCCCGTTAATTTTGTCCTATCCCCCAGCCTGGTTCCCACATGTATACAGACAACTCTGCCACAAGCCCAGCCTTCTTAGGAATTTGTGTTTATCTCAGTGGTTTCTGGTTTTCTCTTGTGTGTGAGGGCTGGAACACCTCTTATGAATGGTCCACGGCTTTCACTCCTTCCATTGATAATGTTTGCTGCGAATGTTTTGGTGAAATCTTTCAAGAACCATGGCCATCCCCCTTCTTTTAAAGCCAAAACAGCACCAGTGCCTGGCACGGGTTATGCAGACGGTTGGCATCATCCCCTGCTAGGATTTACTATTATTTGGAAATTAATGATGGCTTCGTCTTTTCAGGAGTGGGGAGGGGAGCTGTGATTGACGAAACCTCTCTTTGACCATCTGTTTCTTTCCTTCAAGGCACTGCTTTTCACAGCCTTAAAATTTGAGAGAAATTATGCTAAGTGATCACAAATTTTCTTTAAAGTTTTACTTCAAAGGAAAACAAAAGAAAGCCTTTCAAAAAGACGACTAGCTCTTTTTCTGGAGGTCAATATACCACAGATTATAAGCCAGAAAAAAAAAAAAAAGGTAAAATGAGATTTTTGCTTGGATTTGTTTTTAATTAAGACCTAAATCATGATTCTCTTAGAATGGAATAGAAAGTGACAGTAGCTCTGAGACCTACTTGATCAATTTTGCAATATCCCAGCTGCCAGCAGGGAAATGAGAGGAGGTAGGTATATCCAGAAGAATTCCTTTATATCCAGTTGACAGCCACCAGCACCAGTGCAAGTCAGGACATCTTACTATTTCTAACCTCCCACCTCCAGAAACAAAGCTGATTATATTTGTCTGTTCCTTCCAGTAGGAAATTTTATGAATCTTGTCCTCAAAAGCTTTCTGAAAACCCACCTCTCCTCCTAGCCAATTCGAAGGCCTAAATGTCTTGATTTTATGCAATGCAAATACATGAAAATATAGTTTTATCCATGAAATTAAAGAGGATACCAATGATTCACTTTACACTGGGATTCTTATAGGATTTCTTTAATTAATAAATCCCTATAATGAATTCAAAATGACATCTGTTGTTCAGGAATTAAATGTACACTCCACTTTTCAGGAATGTGTTTATTTTACCAAACAGGATACATACCTGTATTTAGCATCCTCTACTTGGGAAGATTTTCTTATATGTAAATTTTCTGTATTTATTTAAAGGCTATTTTAGCATATTATTTCTTAAGTAGATATGGAAAATCATTTATGTTTTTCCAGCACTTGTATCCTTTTTCTTTTGAGAACATCAGGTACACGGGGTTGATTTCATCATGCCCCTTGGTTGCTGGCTCACTGTTCTCACTGGGTCATGCAGAGTCCTTCTCTCGTGCTACTAAGACTCCCTCTTCCTCCCATCCCCTCCGGCCTAAATAGGAAACTAGAACCAAGAAATATGATGGAATATGCCACTGGTGTTAGGAATGGCAATTTTACATAGGATGGCCTGTTTGTAGCACAGGCCTGAAGAGATGAAGTAGGGATTCATGGAGATGTATAGGGGAGGAGTATCCAAGACAGAGGAGGGCAAGTGCAAAGGTCTTAAGGTTAGAATGCACCTGCCATGTTTGCAGAGTGGCACAGAGGCCAGTATGGTTGAAACAGAGCCAGTGAGGGAGAGAAGTAGAGGTTAGTTGGTTAGAAAGGTCAGAAAGGTCACTTATAGGCTGTGATAAGGACTTTGGCTTTTACTTTCAAGAAACCAGTAGAGGGTTTGAAGCCAAAGAATTATGTGATTTGACTTACTTTTAAAAGGAACATTCTGACTATGTTGGGGGGAGACTAGTCTATGTGGGAGCAGGGAAGATTAGAAGCAGGGGGTCTAGTTATGAGGCTACCTGTGGTGGCCCAGAGGACAGCTGGTAGTGGCTCAGATTAGCACAGTAGCAGTAGAAGTGTCAGGAGCCTAGGCATATTTTTAAGAACCAACACGATTTACTGATGCATCATATGTGGGACACACAAGTGTGAAGAGCAAATGGGATGATGGAGGTGGCCACTTACCAAGAGTGAAGATGGTGGTCTGAGCAGATTTGGCGTGGGCTTAAGGAGTTGGGATTTGGAAATGCCAAGTTTGAGGTGCCTATTAGACATGCAAGAAGAGACATTGGAATAGGAAAATGGATATGCAAGTCTGGATTTCAATTTGGGGAATCATCTATGTATAATTGATTTTTAAAATCATGAGATTGGATGAGATCATCAAAGATGTGAATATAAGTAGAAGAAGAAATGATCCAAGGACCCGGTCTTACCTCACCTCACTCCGGCTTTCTTTGGAGTGTACATCGTTATCTGACATGATCACATACATGAATTTGCTTATCGGTTTGTTGTCTTTCTTTCCAAACTCAAGGCAAGATTATGCCAGTGGGGGCTGTGTTGGTTTTATGCACTGCTTTACTCAGCACCACAACCATGTCTGAAATAAGGTGTAGTCAATAAATATTTTTTAAATTAAAGAATTTAAAAATCTGCAGATAACCCCCAACTCAGCTTAATTGACAATCTCAACCTTCTTACTCTACAGCTTCCAATAAATGCTTATGGGACTTGAAAAATAAGTAGCAAAATATATGATTTTTCATTTACTTTCCTAATCCTTTCCTAGAAGGACATGAAAATAGTAGAATTATCTAAACACAATAAAGGGGAGAAAGAGGAGGAGGTGCTAAAGACATATTTTTCAAGAACCAACAAGATTTACTGATGGATTGTATATGAGATGTAAAAGAGCATGAAAAACAAATAGAATAGAGGTAGCCACTTACCAAGAGAATGAAGACTGTGGTACAAGATGATTTGGATAGTGGAGCTGGGGAGTTGACTTAATTTAGTCTGTGAGCACAATTGCAAGTGCATTGTGCCCAAGGCCGTGTGCTGAGCACAAGGAATGCAGAGTAGAAGACACAGCCCCTATCCTCAAGAACTTATGGTTGGGAAGGAATGATAGAAAACACAGGTAAGGTGATAAATTGTGCTGAGGTTGGAAAAGCTTAGTAAATCAAATGAAAAATTAAAAATAGCTTTAGGCTATGCAACATTTAGGTATGCAGAAAGACATGCCTGCATTTCTTTCATAAAGCTTTTTGGTAATCTCATGTTTCTAACTTAAGTGTTCTTGGAGTAATGTGTACATTAAGCATTTATCAAAAAAGTCATTTCTCACGTGGGGAGCTATGAAATTGACAAAGTTTGGATTTGAAGTGACAAAGCCCTTCAGGAAATTCTTCTAATAATTTTCTGTGTTTGACACCAATTCATTAGATAAGTATGATGTAGAAGGAATGAGAGCTGTGTGATTGTCATTACAGGTTATTCATTTTTTAGGCTGTGTCAGGAGAGTCCCCAGAGTGTGGCTTGTAGGATTTATTTAACCAAAATGATTGTATCATTGATCACCAAATTCCTTCCTGATGAACAGACTTGGAAGGAATGTGGGAAGGGCCTGCTGCTCTAGACCTTAGTCCCACCAGTGCTTACATATTCCCATTTATCCTAACAACTGGGGATTCAAAGGTCTACTAATATTCTGAGGCCAAAGCTGGGTAGTATTAGAGGGAATTTTGATATTTCATTTAAGTTGCAGTTGAATAGCCTTAACTTTCTGCACAACGATTGGTTCTTTTTGGTGAAGGTTTCCTTTTTGAAATGAAGAAAACTGCTATAGGTCTGGCGCTTTGGCTTTATAAAGGTACTGTTGTCTTTGCTTTTCAGGTAAAGAAACTGAAGCCTACAGAAAAGCTTATTCAAGCCCATGCAAATAATAATTGGTGAGGGTGGATTTGAACCCAGGTCTGATAGGCTCTAATCTATGTAAACCATATTATTCTGGCTCTCTCAAGGCTTGTGCTATAGAATCCAAGAACTAGAGATGAACTGAGAGGTCAGGGAGGCTAAGCTTCTCATTAATGTTCATCCAACTTCTACAGGAATAATGTCTTTAATTATATTTCTTTTTTCCCAGCTAAAACATACTATATTTCAATTTGTATTACTATATCAATAACATACAAAAATATAAATATCTTGGAATATTGTGGCAGTGGCAGAAGAAGTTTTAAATATCCTCAATTTTTTTAAAAAATAGAGCAAAAAGATAGCAAAACCAAAACACATGAATGTCATTAACAAATTAAATTGACAAAAATATGATTTTGGGGAGACAAATCATTAATAGCAACAAGGGCCCACATTATATCAGCCATAATTTAGCAGGAGGAAGCTAAGGGGAGAAACAAAGCAGTTGACATGCCTCAGGATCCCCAAATGTCCAACATGTACTCAATGGAAAGTAGCCAAAACTGGGAGAGGCTTTGTGTACTCTACTAGCAGGTGAATAAAAAGAGTTAACAGTAAGATCTAAAGGAGTGGAATGGTCTGGGTTTCTTGAACATTTGAAACTTCCTTCCAGGGTAGTCACTCACTGAGGACAAACTGTTGAGAGCAGGACCCAAACTGAGCAGTATAAAGACAAGGGAAAGAGAAGGTAAAGATAAAAGTGGAAGAAGTGCCTAGAGGTAAGAGATCTCAGAGAACAAGCTGCTGTATGTTTTGAAAACTGCATGAAAACGAAAGGAGAAGGTGCTGTAAAGCCTAAAGTTGGAAAAGTTAGTAAAACTATACTGAACTATATCCCGATTAAAAGTTGAAAAGATGCTGAGCGTGTTGGCTCATACCTGTAATCCCAGCACTTTGGGAGGCTGAGGCAGGTGGATGACCTGTCAGGATTTCAAGAACAGCCTGGTCAACATGGCAAAACCCCGTCTCTACTAAAAATACAAAAGATTAGCTGGGAGTGGTGGTGGGAGCCTGTAATCCCAGCTACTCAGGAGGCTGAGGCTGGAGAATTGCTTGAACCCAGGAGGCGGAGGCTTCAGTGAGCTGAGATCTCACCATTGCACTACAGCCTAGGTGACAAGAGTGGAACTCTGTCTCAAAAAATAAAAAAAGTTTAAAAGAGCAAATTTTACATAGAAATGGGCAACAGGAAAAGATCACAGTTGCTACGGTTTGAGTATTTGTCACTTCCAAAACTTGTGTTGAAACTAATTGCCATTATAACAATATTAAGTAGTAGGACCTTTAATAAATAACTCAATTTAAGGGGGACTATGCTCTTATAAAAGGGAAAGTTCAGCCTCCTTTCCCTCTCTCTTTGCTCTTCTACCATGTCAAGATGCAGCAAGAAGACTCTTGCCAGATGCTGACAACTTGATATTGGACTTTCCAGCCTTCAGAACTGTGGGCCAATAAATTTTTCTTCATTATAAATTATCCAGTCTGTGGTATTCTGTAACAGCAACACAAAATGTACTAAGACATAGGTATAATCTTATTTAAAAAATAATAAAGAGTAAAATAGCTTCACAAAAAATTTAAAAATGCTACTAATACAGGCCCATCCCCCTTCAAATAAAAACTACAACCCACTATTTCTAACAAGCTAAAAAAAAAACCTAAGAAAATGTCACATGATGTGGAAAAATACATAATTCCAAATTAGGAAGATTTATAAATGAAGTTATATCACTCAGAAAGGATAAAAATGGAAATTTTTTTAAGGATTTGAGGGAAAGTGACAAATTTAGAAGGCAGTCAAAGGAGATCCAACATACGTATAATAAGGGCTCCAAAGAAAATCAAAATGAGGGAACAAAAAAATACCCAAAACTATAATTTCAAAAGTTTCCCAAAACAATTGTTTAAATTACATATTGAAATTACACACCACATAACTAAGGAAACTGACCCAAAATAACCAACACTGAGAGAAAGTTAATAAAACTATTAGACTTTGAAGAAAAACAAAAATTTAGGCATCCAGGCAAAAAGATCAAATCACTTATAATAGACAATATCAGGCTTTCAGTAGACTTTCCTACAACATTGCTTTATACTGTAAGGAAATAGAATAATATATTTAAGATAATTAAGGAAAGATGTGTGAGCTAAAAATTTTATATCCAACTAAATTGACATTCACATGAAGGGCTCAGGCAAACTCAATGACTTGGAGAATATTTTTCCCATGAGCTTTTTCTGAGGAATTTAGTGAGAGTAAATTCCAATAAACCAAATTAACTAGAGAGTTATTAACATACAGCTTGATACTGAGTGCTATATATATTTATAGTAGAAGAATTGCTAATGCTGAGTCTGTTTCATATATAATGAAATAAATCACATGGGCAATTATGTGATTTTCTAATTCTTGAATCCCCTGTGTTCTCTAGAATCAGTATTCTGGCATGGAAGAAAGTAAATATAAATGCCAGGTAGAAAAGGTCAAGTAAAAATCCTGTGGTACTGAATTTAAATTGGAAGTATCATATACATTGTGAGTTCATACTCGTGTACTGAAAAGGCTTAGAAAGAGAAAGCAACCCAATAGCAATGACATCTCTAGGACCCAGATTATGATCTTGAAATACTATTTCCCACTAAAAGAAAACAGCTATTCTTGGGAAATTAGAGGATTCTAGGTCTGGGCAGAATTTGTACAAGATGAGCCTAGGAGATTGTGTCATACACATACCTCGTTAGCAAGGAAGCTAGAAAACTATTAGGATTATGTCAAAAGGACAAAGGAACTAATGATTTTCCCACTGGACAAAGATCAGACAATTTATGTTCAGTAAGGATAATATTTTCGGTGAACTGAAGCTCAATAAATATGTTTAAATTTATGAATTCATAAGGATAGAAAATAATTTGTCATTTTTGAAAATAATAACCACTTATTTTTTAAACTGGTAAATAATGAGGGCAAAAAATAATCTGTCTTTTCTATATGAGTTTCATCCCTGATAACCAAGCAGTAGATGAGTGAATTTTATCTTTATAGAATTATTTCAACTAATAACTAAATGAAGAATGATTAAATTAGAATATTACTATTTTGCAACTCAGATAAATTAATAGATCTAGGCATTGTACATTTGCTGTTATCATAAGTAAAGACACAACCGTACATCACATGGCTGTGATAGAAGAATACAATACTATTAATATCTCTATAGTTGTCTTGCCAAAAATTAAACCCAATGATCAATCCAGTAGATCCACAGAGATGCAATCAGCAAAATCCAGATAGTAAGAAACTCTATAGGACACACTTGTTTTCTTCAACAAATAAATTACATGAGAAACAAATGTGGAGAGACCAAAGGGTAACCTGTAGACTAATAGAGACATAAAAATAACAGGGGAAATGAAATATAGGGATGTATAATCAGGTGATAAAACTGTAAAGGAAAGCTCAGAAGCGATTGCCATAAAAGTGAGGACAAAGATTACTTTTGAGGGTGTAGGGAAGGGAATTGTTGTTAAAATGATTGTATAGAGGGTTTATGAGGTGTCTGGCAGATTTCTTTGTCTTGATTTGGGTCATGGTTACAAAGTGTTGACCTTATAATAGTTTATTAAACTAAGCATTTATTTAATGCAGTTTTTTGTATCTGTATTATTTTACAACTAATAAGCTTTTTAAAACATATATAATGTACCTTTTTATTAATTTCTCCAATAGGTTTCATGCAAAATAAGACTCACACCACATTGGACAGGCAGACCTGTAAACAAGTAGGTCTTCATTAATTCATTCTACAAATATTTCATGAATAACCAACTCTTTTGGGTAGGCATTGGAGGAGCACTGCACCTAAAATAAGAAAATTGTAGTATGAAGCAAAATATGATAGGTGCTATATGGACAAAGTATTATGATAGTATAGAGAAATGGAAATTTATTTCTGTCTGGGAGATTAGCAAAAACTTACCAGGGCAATAACATTTCAGTTGAATCTTCTAAGATGTGTAATATGTGCTCTTACTTTAAAAACCATCAATTCACATTAAAGGAATATTTAGAACCCACTGCCTCAATAACTACTCATCCTTAATCCATATGTTCTAGTTTGCATCACTCAACATGACTGAAACCCACTGTCTGAAGGCCATTGATCATCTCTTAGCAACATTTCTTCAGTCGTTGTCCGCATAAACTCTGCCCAATTCATTATTGTTGAGTATTGCCTTCTAGAAATTATTTTCTTCCTTTTCTTCTGAACAACCAGGGTGCCCTGATCTCCCTCCTGCCTTCCAACTGTCCCTTTGGTGTCTTTTGGCTGCTTTTATCACCTCTTTGGTCATGCCTTCTGTGCTCTCTGTGTTCTCCTGCCTTGGCATTACCTGAAGTCATATGCAGTTAACATGGAAGTATCTACGACACTCTTGCCTGTAGGAGCTCCAGACATGTATTTCTGACTCTCTGCTCATCATTTCTTTCTGTATGTCCATCTGTCACCACAAAATTGATATGCCCAAAATTGGACCCATTTTCTTCTTCCAACCAAATCCTTCTCGTGACCTTGCCAACCCAATTAATAGCTTCTCCGCTTCCTGGTCCTGACTTAGAATCTTTGAGTCATCCCTAACTACCCTGTGGATGTGTTTGTTGTCTTAAACTTGGACAGCTTCTATTTCTCTGTGTCGAGAGGACTTACATGCTCTTTGGAACTTTTCCTGTGTGCAAGGCTTTGAATGGACTTCATCCAAACCCAGTGATAAGGTTCCCTGTGATAGCTTAATTGGCAGGGTCTACCCTCATTCCCTAGTGGATCACACCATGTCTGCATCTGATTTGGTGATAGCACATTCAGGCTCCAGACCAGTACCAGGCACTTTATACTGCTAGCTTAGGTTATGAATATTAGAATTAATGCAGCCGTCAACACTATCTTACTAGCTTAACATGAACAAAGTACAAATGCTTCTTCTGTGGAGGGAGGAGCTCTCAAGCATAGATAGTCCCACATTTATCCTCCAGGGCTTTTATTCCCAACCATACTTATACTTGTCAGGTTATTTTTTTCTGCTGAGGAAATGGCCTTAATTTACATTGATTTTTAAGAAAAAAGATTTATTACAGGCACAGCATCTGCTGTTTGTGCCTAGAGGTAAAGGTTTAGGTTGAAGCAGCTTCCTCCGCTTATCCATCTGCTTGTTCATCCCACAAGCATTACTGAAAGCTGACTTTGATGCGGGATGCTGGCTAATCAGGTAGGTTGTGTAGTTCCTGCCCCCAAGGAGTTCACTGTCTAGGTCATAGTTACACTAACTCTGTCATCTTGCTTAGTGTTTATTAGCCCTGAGGATGTAATCACTCATTCCTTCACTAATTCACTTCCTTTTAATCTCTTCCTCTTTCATATCCTTAGTTACCATCCCTTTGTGGATGATTTTCAATATGTTTTAGACTCAGTGCTTGACCTTCACAACTATATTCGAAAGGTAAGTATTGAATTCTAAATATAATATAAGCATTGTGCTAGAGGTTTAGAATACACTAAGAAACCAACAGCATGGTCCCTGCCCCTGGAGTCTTCTGTTAACATTATACAGGTTTCCATACTATCCTCACCCTCTAGAAATTTATGTCTTAAAATCATGATGTTTGCAATCACGATCCATGTAGATTGTTTTCTTTGTCTTTTTCTTTCTACATAGATAAGTTGCCTCCGAGAAGGGAAATAATAAGTTGCATTAAAACTCCTTAAAAAGAGGAGCTTGAGGTGTGATTTCTGTAGGAAAATCACTGCAGAGCTTGCCAGCTAGAATTATTTTCTGGCTTATTATAATCCTGTTACGAGTCACCATTATTGCACCAATTTTGTAAACAATACAGCTATACCAACAAGGCTATAATCAACCACCACTGAATGTCATATCATTTCTCTACCTTTAAAGATCTGCAGGAAAAGGGGATGAGGTGGGAAGAAGACAAGAATTTTTTAAGTGATATGGATAATCAAGAATGCCTTTTAAAAAAATACCTCTTAAATATATGCCCATGTCCCCTTAAATCTGATGGTGAAACATCTCATTTTAGTTGATGTATGACAAGGAAGCAATCACCGTTAATCAGAATGACACATTTCCATTTACTTGATGAAAGGGAAGGTAGATGAAGGTCATGAATAAGAAAACAAAGCAGCTTGTGATTCGTGATGTTTGGGGTTTCTTTTGAAATTTGCTTCCTTAGGAAGTTTATAAGCTGGTTGCTTTCTTCTCTTGGCATCATTCATCCAAATTGCCAGAAGTCCTTGTCAGTGAAGATGGAAATATTTCATCTTCTCTCCTGAATAGAGAAATAGGTTAATTTGCTCCGGATTCTTTGACAAATTTGGGTTTTAAAGGTGTAAAATCTCAGAAGTTCTGACTCCAGATAGCTCTTTAAAAGTTACCAATTCCATTCTCTGGGTGATAAGATTATTCGTGGGGGATTAACCGTCCAGCTGGTCACGGCCATGCCCGTGGGGAACTGTGGGGGGAAATGGGCCAGAGGCTTAGTGATTTTATTAGAAGCAGAAATCAAGAGCCTCTTTCCACTCTCCCCTCTCTTGTATTATAAGACACTTAACCATTTAAATGCTGGCAATAACTAAGTGCTGGTTAAAGCTTCGCTTTTCTTGGATACCACTTTTTATAAAGGAGTCTATGTTTCTGCTTTTGTTCTGTGGTTGGAGAAGAGGAGTGGCTGTAATTTATGGTGCAAGCCTAGCTTTGGGGCCATTAGATCTGAATTTATGCCTAAACATTTTTAGAAACTTCCAGAAGTCACTATGAGACCCCATTGGGCTGTAGAATATTATCAGTGGGCTGTTATAGTCTCCATACCAAAAATTAAAATATAATTTGTGAAATACAGAGGAAATTTTGGCATTTGGGGATTCAGCACAGATCTCCCAAGAGGGATGAATGTAAGGCTATTTATTTCAAAATCTAAGGATGACGTTCTTTCACTACCAGAGTTGGTCTTTGAATCTACAAAGGTCATGATGTCCCAGTATTTTGAATCTGCAAATATTATGATGAATAGGTATCTCAGGATAATTTTAAAACTTAGTATTTATCATGCTCAAAGCCTTTTGTAACTATCATTATTATTATAGTCATCATCATCAACATCTTCATCATCATTATTTTAAATAGATAGGTTTAAATAAATAATTATTAAGCTATAGTAGGAGACTATAAAAATATAAAGAGAACTCTAAAGGTACTCTAGGGCTGAGGGAGCTTACCCAAGGAGAGGCAGACATGGAAGGTGCATCCCTCTTCAAAAGTTGGGTTCAGACTTTTTTGGAGCCAGTGTGGTTGCAGCTGTTGGATGGTGGAAGAG
This sequence comes from Homo sapiens, assembly GCF_000001405.40. Taxonomy (NCBI): domain Eukaryota; kingdom Metazoa; phylum Chordata; class Mammalia; order Primates; family Hominidae; genus Homo; species Homo sapiens. The sequence continues at coordinate 14,223,152 of NC_000001.11, forward strand.
CTCTCTGGATTGCCCAGGGAAGAGGTGGTCCACAGTCACAGGACAAAGCAAGAAACACCTTTTGGGGCACTGAACACCTGTTATCTTGCTGAAACAAAGATGGCAGCCTGAAATGGTTGTTAGCATCAAGTTCTTTTGAAAATGCTTATTTTCCTAAACTTTGCAAAAATCCAGCTATAGTAGGCTTTTTCCTGGCACAGGCTGTGATCCCAGTGCCAATGCCTAAGGAACTTATGTGCTGTCTATTTTGGGTCTGTGTAAAGCCAAGCTGTACAAACCCTGTCATCAGCAAGCCACTTAAGAGAGACCCCACTTTGTGCCATTTTATACTGGCTCACCCATAATGTACATTTCCTGCCCATGCTCCTTTTGGTGTGACAGAACTCCATAATCTATCATTATAATTTTCTCTTTGTGTCTTCTTCTTCCTTATGTTCTTTAGTCAGTCTTTTTAAAGCTCTCCCAAATTTCTATTGTTTTTGCAAATATTAGGCCAAATTTGACAAGAAATCCTGCATAAATTACAGTTAAGCTTCTTTAAACTGAATTTTCAGATGATACAAGACTCTCGACGATGAAACTGATACGAAAGGAGAAACACTGGATTAATTAAGAGTATTTGCACATGAGGGAAACCTCATCTATCTGGCTTGATTTGTCCACCCTGGGTCCAATCTGCTATGGTCAGAGGGGCAGTGGCATGTTTGTTACAGACAAAGCAGTTGGGAGTCCACATTGATGGGCAAAGGAGGTGATCAGCAAGGGCTAGGAAGACATCCCCAAAAGTATCTTCAACAAACACGAAGGGAGAACCATCCACCATTTAGAGTTCACGATCGTCAGGGCACAGGGCACTAGCTTCCTAAAATAAGACCTACAGTCTTTTTAATTTTTAGCAAGCTGGACCTTTCAACAATATACTTCCATGGAGAGAAATTTTTTAAAAACTTCAGGGGTGAACAACTGCCAAAAAGGAATGTCTCATACCCAACTGTCATTGATTTTTATGTGAAAGTCAGTAGTTATTTCGGTGTAATGCCCAGGATGCACATGAGAAGCTCAGATTTCATAAAGGCCAAAGGGGCAGGGTCTAGTCAAGGGCAAATGAAAGCCTGGAACCAGTGGGAAGAAGGACCAACGAAAGCAAAGCATAAGGAGTAGAACATGTCAGGAACAACCAAAGAGAAATATTCTTTGGATTTTAAAGGTTGTACCGAAGCTGACAATGAAGAGTAGAACATACTAAGATAAACTAAAAGAAATGTTATTTGGTGTTTAATGATTATATCAAGAGCAAAAAGACAAAAAAAGGAAGAGGATACCACCTCTTGGATCTGGGTGATGCCAACAGATGCCAGAGAAAACTTCAGTTTTGCTTAATCTCTTTGGGCTTCCATTTTCTCTTTCAAGGAAAAAGAAGAGCCCATACAGGTTAGTACTAAACTGGATGACCTAGTCAAGCCTCCTTAGTTTGAAAGAAGCTACCAGCTAAGAAATGACATAGTAGGGGATGGCTGTAGGGATGCCTCAAGAATCTCAGACAGCCAGGGTAATCAGAAAGATGTTAACAAAATAATTGTCCTCTCCAGGTCTCAGGGAAAAAATGCCTAGCTCGGTGGTTTTGGCATGTTGGACTCAACTCTTCCTTTTCATAATAAATATTTTGTAACATCCGTTTGCTCCCTTAAAATAAACTTCATAGATAATATAACCTACTTAAACATTTAATTTCAAAGCAAAGTGAATATATTACCCAAACTGAAATATAAAGGAGGCTTACAGAGAAAGTAATTTATCTAAAACAGAAAGTAAGCTGTAGTTTAATTAATAAATGTTCAAAGACAAGGATGCTCACTCTCACTACTCCTATTCAACATAGTACTAGAAGTCCTAGCCAGAGCAATCAGGCAAAAGAAAAAAATAAAATACATCCAAAGAGAAAGAAGAAAAGTCAAACTATCTCTGTTTGCAGACAATATAATTTTACACCTAGAAAACCCCAGTCTTTGCTAAAAAGCTCCTAGATCTGATAAATGACCTCAGCAAAGTTTCAGGATACAAAATCAATGTACAAAAATGAGCCACATTTCTATACATCACCAACATCCAAGCTGAGAGTCAAATCAGGACCATAATCCCATTCATAAAATACCTAGGAATTCAGCTAACCAGGGAGGTGAAAGATCCCTACAGTGAGAATTACAAAACACAGCTAAAGGAGATCAGAGATGACACAAACAAATGGAAAAACATTCCATGGTCATGGATAGAAAGAATCAATATCATGAAAATGGCCATACTGCCCAAAGCAATTTACAGATTCAATGCTATCCTTTTCAAACTACCAATGACATTTTTCACAAAATTAGAAAAAAATTCTAAAATTCATTTGAAACAAAAAAATAAGCCTGAATAGCCAAAGCAAGCCTAAGCAAAAAGAACAGAGGCATCATACTACCTTACTTCAAACTATATTACAGGGTATAGTAACTAAAACAGTATGTCCTGGTGCAGAAAACAGACACATAGGCCAATGGAACAGTAGTAAAGCTACATTCCTACAAGTATCTAATCCTTGATAAAGCCAATAATAACGAGCAATGGGGAAAGGAATGCCTATTCAATAAGTGGTACTGGAATAATTGGCCAGCCATATGCAGAGAATATTGAAACTGGACCCTGCATTTCACCATATGCAAAATTTAACTCAAGATGGATTAAGGACTTAAGTGTGAAACCTAAAACTGTAAAAACCCTGGAAGACAACCTAGGAATTACCATTTGAGACACAGGCCTTGGTGAAGACTTCATGATGAAGACTCCAAAAGCAATTGCAACAAAAACAAAAATTGACCATAGGACCTAATCAAACTAAAGAGCTTCTGCACAGCAAAAAACAAAAAAACAAAACAACAAACAACAAAACAAAACAAACAAAAAACCACCCTATCAACAGAGTAAACAGACAACCTACAGAATGGGAGAAAATATTTGCAAACTATGCATCTGACGAAGGTCGAATATCCAGAATCTATAAGGAACTTAAGCAAATTAACAAGCAAAACCCAAACAATCTCGTTAAAAAATGGGCAAAGGACATGAACAGACACTTCTCAAAAGAAGACATACATGTGGCCAACAAGCATATGAAAAAAATTTTCAATATCACTAATCATTAGAGAAATGCAAATCAAAATGCAAATCAAAACCACAATGAGATACCACCTCACACCAGTCAAATGGCTATTACTAAAAAGTGAAAAACAAAAAACAAAAAAACAGATTCTGGTAACGTTGCAGAGAAATGGGAAATAGTTCAGCCACTGTGGAAAGCAGTTTGGAGGTTTCTCAGAGAACTTAAAATAGAACTACGATTCAACCCAACAACCCTATTACTGGGTATACAGCCAAAGGAATATAAGTCATTCTACCATAAAGACACATGCACGTGAATGTTCATCGCAGCACTATTCAGAATAGCAAAGACATAGAATCAACCTGGATTCCCATCAACAGTGGACTGGATAAAGAGAACATGGTACATATACACCATGCAATACTACATAGCCATAAAAATGAGATTATGTCTTTTGCAATAACATGGATGGAGTTGGAGCCATTATCCTAAGTAAATTAATGCAGGAACAGAAAACCAAATACCACATGTTCTCACTTATAAGTGAGTGCTAAACATCGTGTACGCATGGACACAAAAAAAGGGAACAATAGATACTGGGGCCTACTTGAGGGTGGACAGTGGGAAAGTGTGAGGAATGTAAACCTACAGGTTGGGTACTACGCTGATAACCTAGGTGACAAAATTATCTATAAACCAAACCCCCACAACACACAATTTGCCCATGTAACAAACCTGCACATTTACCCCTTGAACCTAAAAGTTGGAAAGAAAAATAAATAAATGTTCAGACAGAAGAAGAAACAATGAAGTAGCCACAGATTTATTTGCACCTATATGTAGAATCTTTGTGAGTATGACAACCTCAAATACAGATTGATAAAGTCAGATTGTACTGGCAACCTGATTTTTCAAAGTGGTGGGTCTTTCAGTTATCTCTTGCTGTGTCACAAACTAGACCTCAGTGGCCTCAAACCATCATTTTATGATGCTTTTGGATCCTATGGGTCAGGAATTCAGAAGGAGCACAGTGAGAATGGTTCTTCTCTTCCCCGTGATGTCTGGGGCCTCTTTGGGGATGGGTCGAGTGCCAGGACCTGGAAGAGTTAAAGCTGAAGGAATCACTTCCAGGATGTCTCTGCTTCACTCACTCACCTGGCTCCTTGGCTGGAGGGTTGCAGACAGGACTCACTGTAGGTGGCCCTCCAGCCTGGTGATCTCAGGGTGCCTAAATTTCTTACAAGACAGGCAGAGTTCTAAGGACAAGTATCCCAGCAGAAGCTGCAAGATCTTTCATGACTTAGCCTCCAAAGTCACCAGTATCACTCTGACATACCCTCAGTCAAAGCAGTCACATGGGGCAGGAGGCAGAGAGGATGTGAGTATACAGAGCCCACCTCTTGATGAGAGGAGTGTCAGAGAATTTGTAGTCATGTTTGAAACCACCACAGTGACTGGCTCTCAGCAAATTTCCAACAAAACAGCGGTCTTTCTATGAATTACACAGTAGCTACCTTCCTGGAAAATTCAGTACGTATTAAAACCTTGTAAACAGTATGTTATGTATGTATGTAGTATGGAAGCTTAGACTATATACACACCGTTCAGCAGCATCTTTGAAAGTTGTGTGAGACTCAGGGTGCTGCTTTGTTGTATACTTACACTCCAGAACACTGCAGGATGCTTAGCAACTTTGGTCCATGCCCACTAAATGCCAGTGCTGCCCATCCTGGTTATTTATCTCTCATCTGTAGACTGACTTCTTCTGATTACTTGGTGCATTGCTTATAGATCAAAATGGCACCCTTAGTCCTCACTCTACACACTTTTCAGCTCACCTCTTCCACTCAGCTGAGTTCTGACAATGATAGTGATGATGATGATGTTGTTGATATTGGTAATGATGACTATAATGATGATGGCAATGACAGCAGCAGTGACCATTACCACTTTGCCAGGGGCTCTATTATGTTATGCACCATCTTACTTCAGGCTGACAACAACCTTACAGCAAATATTATTGTCCTTGCTTTTCAGATGAGGAAGCTGAGGCTTAGAAAGCTTAAATAATCTATATAGGATGATAAAATTAGAAACTGGGGAACCAAGAAGTTTGATTTTTCTCCTAGACCTCTGGATAGCTTTGAATGACAATGTGACCTCACCTAATTGTCTTTGGCTGAGGGGATAGAAGCAGTGTTCTGTAGATCACTGGGAGCCATTTGCTCAGAGAAGGGCCATGGGCAGGTGGGCACAATGATTAGCATCTCTGGCACAATGGAGAGGAGGAAATTGACATTCAAAATAGATGTGAAAATGGTAAAAGGGCATGAACCTACTCTTCCAGACTTCCCAGACTCTGGGAGAAGATGGCTGAATCTTCTGAATCTCATCTTCTTTGGGAAGGGTGGAGAATAAAGGCAAAGACAGTTCTAATGTTGAACAAAAGGAAGAAGGTGGAGCCTAGAAACATGAGCTGAATGTAAAATTCTAGATCATGTATTAAAAAGGACATCAGTCCGGGCCTACTCATTCTTGGCCAGCCAAGGAGGTATCTGCATTGTCATCTCCATGCCATTAGGTGGCCCAGGTATCCCAGCCTTGACCTCCCTCTTGGCTTGTCTTCTCTGGTCTGCATTCCCAGAACCATACTCAGTATGTTATCCACATGGCTCACACAGCCACACAGTGGCATGCTAACAGGAGAGCTTTGAAGATCTGTGATTCAACTGAAGCAAGTCCAAAGCCTTGGAAGTGTTTTATGCTTCTGTGTATCTACTAATGAGGTGCCTTCATTTAGCAAGAAAATAGATATTATAGGCTCTATTTTTATGATCTTTAAAAATGGGGAAAATAAAATTGCACCACGAACGGCAAAAAAGACAAGGAAGAAAAATAGCTTGTGGTTCTTTAATTCAATTGCAGCCAACTGGGTTTCTCTCTCCTTAGCTCTCTTAAAAAACAAAACAAATTTGTAATATAAATGCTGTTTTGGCACATAATATATTCGGCTTTAACATTGCCTATCTGTATTACAAAAGTGTGTTTATAAAAGCCTTCGAGTGCTTCGTGAAAATATAACATTTTTAGAATAAAAAGTGTTATTGAGGTGTTATTCTCTAAATTTTAAAAAAGTCTGAATATGAATATTTTATGTCTGTGTAACATATTTTATATAAAGGTATGATCATATTGGTGAGGAGAAATGCAAAAGATGAACAGATGTAAAGAAAATTCATATTCCTGTTTCCTTTCGGACCATTAATTCTATGGCAAACAACGTCTCTAATGTTTTATCTTTTCCTTGAATAGTATTTTCACAGCAAATACGAAAATCTTATTCATATAAGGGCCCTCTAAGGGTGTCCTTCACCTAACATCAGTCATCATTTGGACCCTTTCAGGGCCCAAGCCCTGGAGAGGAATCCGCACTTGAGGGACACCAGCCTTCATTTCTTAGATTTCTTGCCATGAGAAACCTGCTGTCATTATTCAAGAAATATCTACAGGAAGATGTTCTGAAAAATTGAGTCTCTCTCGCAGGAGCGTTAGATTCTCCTGGATGCAGAAGGAGCCCTGTGGCTCATTTGGTCCAGCAACCTGCCTCCAGCAGAGCCATATGCAAACCACCCTCTGCAGCGAATATGTTCCCTACATTATTTCAGGCTCTATTCTTCCTCCAGACCCACGTTCTCCGAGAGAACCTTCCACAGTGATGGAAATAGTCTACAGCTGTGCTGTCCCATATAGCAGCCACTAACGTCATGTGGGTATTGAACACTAGAAATGTGGCTTGCGTGACCAAGGAGCTGACTTTTTAATTTTAATTAATTTAAATATAAACAGCCTCATGTGACTAGTGGCTACCTTATTGCCTGAGCAGTTCTAGAGCCTCCAGGGATTTTGTGCAAAACAAAACACAACAAGACAAAGGTGAACATAATCAGAGTTTGGTCTGAGTTACATAAAATTTCCAAGGTGACTTGGGAAGTTGTTTCTTACAAAAAACTAATAACACTTGAAATAAACCCTTGCCATGTATTGGGCACTGTCTAACAGCCAGGCAAAGTGTACAATAAGTGCTTGAACAGTATTATTTTACTATTTTGCTGAACTCATAAGATCCTTATGAGGTAAGCATTATCTCCCCCACTCCTTTTTTATTTGGAGATGAAAAAATCTGTGATTTAGAAACATTAAGGGTCACAGCTTGTTCTTGGCAGAGGGAGGCTTTGAACTCGGGTCGGAGTCCAATCCCTGTGTGTAGTGCTTTATATTTTTCCTCTATAGCTTGTTGGAATTTACACTACCTTCTAACTAGAGATTTGGTTAATAATGGGATAGAACAAGTTTCTTAGTGCAAAGTTCTATTTCCACATGTGACTCCCCTGTAAGATTATAACCTGCCATGGAAGGTGACTCTATGACACTGAACTTGTGTCTGAATTGTCTATTCTCCCCCTTGGTGGCCATATTTTTTCAGTAAGAAGGTTATAAACAATGATTTATGACCTCTTGAGGTGCTAGAAAACATTGCATTTGCATTTATATGTAGTCACGAGACAGTTCAGTTTAGTGTTAAGATCATAAATGATGGTCTCAAAGAAGCCTAAGGTCTCCCGTGGGCACCATGCATCTTCAGACAGGTTACTTCATCCTGGAAACCTCTGCTTTGTCATCCTTAAAATGGGGTAATAATAGGTCCCCCTTCATGAGTTCCTTGCTGTGAATCAATGAATGAGTGTATTTGAAGTATTAGCATGGTGCCTACTATACAGTAAGTGCTCAATAAAAACTAGAGGCTATTGGTTCTATTATCACTCTATAGCCACTTCAGCTCATACCCATAAGGTTTATTATTAGTTTCTTATTTGGTTCTTATTAGTAGGGAAAAGAGATGTTGATCCTAGGAAATACATGGATCAAAGCCAATGAGATGACTGTCATCAAATGACTTTCTCTCTCTCCTGAGATATAAATGCAATCAAATGAGCCCCTGAATTGCTGGTTTGTACATAACAGAAAACAAACAAACAAACAAGAATGTGCTATCTTCCCCTCCCCTTGTAATTGATAAAGTGTAGCCAGAAGGGGGAGGCTCTATCTCATTTTTTTTTTTAGCATGGCCCAGGTTCTTAGCTATTCAATACTCACTTTGGGATTACAACGGCCCATGCCGCCAGCATAGGTAATATATAAAGGGATGTCAAATGGTGTGTTAGAAAGAGCCAATGACAGAATCAAAAATCCTGTATCTGAGTCCTAGCTTTGTGGTGACTTACTCTGTGGCCTCATACAAATCACTGAAGCCCTCAGCCGATGCATCTATGAGATGAAGAATTTAAACTTGAGGAATTCCTCAACACTACCTAGCAATAACTGGTTATCAGTATCCAGTGTACCAATTAGGACTCAGAAACTCACTTTATCAGTTGCCATTTATTACACCTGAATGAGTTAGGGTAATGCTAGCTACTATAATAGATAATTCTCCAAATCTCACCTGCTTAGTACAGCAAACATTTATTTCTCATTCATAGAAATTCTAAACAGGTGCTCCTGATCAGCAAATAACTTTCCTCCATGCAGTGACTCAGGGATCCAGGCTCCTTTCCCCTGGAGATACTACAGTCTTCAGTACTGGTCCCAAGGTTGTCAGCTTAAGGGAAGGGTCTGGGGGATGGCTTGGGAGGGGTTTATATGGGCCAGATCTGGGAGTGGCACACATCACTTCCATTCTCATTCCATGGGTGGAACTCAGGCTCACAAACACACCCAACTGCAAAGGGGCTGGGAAATGTAGTCTGGCTGGGTGTTCAGAAGGAAGAGGAAATGGGTGTAGTGAACATCTAGTCCCTTTGCCCCACCTCTCAGCAGTATTAGATGATTGCTGCTATCACACCAGGTGACTCTTATTATAGTCAAAAGCAAAGAAACAAAGTTTTAGGTAGTTTTGTGGCTGTGTGTGTGTGCGCATGTATGTGCCTATTGCAGAGGTGGGGGCAGCGCAGGCAGTGGGGGATATAACACTTCTGTTAAAATTTTTGAAATATTGAAAAAAGTTAGTAAATTATCCTCTCATTCCTTAGGTTTTAGACTCTTGCCAAAGCATGTAGAAGTTCCAGCCCCTATTGCCTAGTACCTGGTACCTAGGACAGGAAGACCCTACTCCATTTTCTAATTGATTCTTGGGGATCTGGAGAGGAAGTCTTGAGCTCTCCCTAGGGGCCGACAAGGTCCCCTTTGTCTATATTCTCACTTTGCCTTCTCTTAAGATTGCTTCTTCATAGCTCCTTATCCCAGCTGATACAGGGCTGAGATACAATGGTTTCTTCTCCACTGCATAAAACTAAAGCATTTCTCTCTGGCTTAGTAGAATGTTGCGTGATGTTCCAGTACTCTTGTGTATGTCTGCTAGATTGTCTTCATTGTCACTTTTCCCCTCTTATAATTAGTTTTATTAATCTTCCTTCACAGTACATCTAATTTTCATAAAACAACGGGCATTTTAAAATAAAGAAAAAATGAATATACAAACTTCTCAAGATATCTCAAGATGTCAATTGCAAAGAAAAACATCAGCTAACCAGATATCACATGAAAATGTGGCCACATTTTTTAGGGTAAAGAACTTTTAGAAAGGTAATTTAAAAGGATAAAAGAATGAAACTCCTATCATATTTAAAATGTTTTATTTTTCCATAATTTTAACAACATTGTAAGCATCATCAAATAGTGAAATGAGATCCAGGTTTGGGGTCACTCTTGAGTTCTGCAAGGCTATGCCTCTGCCTCTCAGTATCCTTATGTGTAAAATAGCAGTAGAGGCACTTAGTTGCTAAATTCTTTTATTTTTTTTTTTGAGACAAGGTCCCACTCTGTCACTCAGGCTGGAGTGCAGTGGCACGATCACACCTCACTGCAGCCTCGGTTTCCTGCGTTCAACTGATCCTTCTGCCTCAGCCTCCCAAGTAGCTGGGGCTACAGGCATGTGCCACCACACCCAGCTAATTTTTTCATTTTTATTTTTGTAGAGACAGTCTCACTATGTTCCCCAGGCTGTTCTTAAACTCCCAGGTTCAAGCAATCCTATTGCTGTGGCCTCCCAAAGCGCTGGGATTGCAGGTGTGAGCCACTGCACTCAGCTTAGTTGCTAAATTCTATATTGATTGCTTGGAAGATTGAATAAGGTAAATTATAAAGCATATAGCAAAAATGGCAAGCACCTGGTAAGTGCCTAATACAGGTTAGCTCCCTCAGGTAAGAATTATCCCCCGGAATATGAAAGCCAAAATCAGCTGACTCTCTGCTTTCAAAGGTTCTGCAATCTCCATAGAGCACCCAGGAAGCAGGAACCTCAGTCCTGTCAAACAGCTTTCTTAATAATGCAAATGCAGGGACACTGATGCAATGTACATACTTTTTAAAGTACTGGTCAGAAAACCTCCACAGTGTGTCTTTTGTATGCAGAGCCCTTCCCTACTGCCTCTGCCAAAAGAGGACATAAATTAAAGACATAGTACCTGACCTTAAGGATCTTGAAAATCAAAACCACAATGAGATACCATCTCACGCCAGTTAGAATGGTGATTATTAAAAAGTCAGGAAACAACAGATGCTGGAGGGGATGTAGAGAAATAGGAACGCTTTTACACTGTTAGTAGGAGTGTAAATTAGTTCAACCATTGTGCAAGACAGTGTGGTGATTCCTCAAGGATCTAGAACCAGAAATACCATTTGACCCAGCAATCCCATTATTGGGTATATACAGAGAGGATTATGAATCATTCTACTATAAAGACACATGCACACGTATGTTTATTGCAGCACTGTTCACAATAGCAAAGACCTGGAACCAACCCAAATGCCCATCAATGATAGACTGGATAAAGAAAATGTGGAACATATATACCATGGAATACTATACTATGCAGCCATAAAAAAGGATGAGTTCATGTTCTTTGCAGGGACATGGATGAAACTGGAAACCATCATTCTCAGCAAACTAACACAAGAACAGAAAACCAAACACTGCATGTTCTCACTCATAAGTGGGAGTTGAACAATGAGAACACATGGACACAGGGAGGGGAACATCACACACCGGGGCCTGTTAGGGGATGGGGGGCTAGGGGTGGGATAGCATTAGGAGAAATACCTAATGTAGATGACAGGTTGATGGGTGCAGCAAACCACCATGGCATGTGTATACCTATGTAACAAACCTGCACGTTCTGCACATGTACCCCAGAACTTAAAGTATAATAATAATAATAATAAAAGCACACATAGGTGAAGAGTGAGAACATTCCAAACTAATTTTCCAATTGAACATGAAGATCTGTGCAAGGTGTGGGGGTGGTGGAGGTGATGGTTGAAGTGGGTGGAGCATGGGTAGCAGAGTCAATGACAAGTTGGGATAAACCTTCCTGGACTAAATTTGTGCCAAATCTGGAAGGTGATGAATCTGAGTTAGCTAAAGCAAAGGAGAGCTTTTTGAAAAATTGCCTATGCAACCTTTTGGCAAAGCAGGTTGGCATATGTAGTAAGAACCTTTCAGATATGTATACTCAGGTTCTAGAATTCCACTGCTGCAATTCTATCTGGTTGAAGGAATCTTCAAAATGGAAAAAGCTTCACTGCTGGTGGAATTACAAAATGATGCAGCCACTTTGGAAAATAGTTTGGTAGCTCCTGAAAATGTTAAATAGCTAGTTACTGTATGACCCAGCAATTCCACCCACACATACATATCCCCAAAGAATTGCGGTGTATATCCGTGTGAAAACTTATGCACAGATGCTCACAGCAGCATTATTCATAATAGCCAAAAAGTGGAAACAAAAATGACATCAGCTGATGAATGGACATACAAAATGTAGTATAACGACACAATGAAATATTATTCATCCATAAACAAAATGTGGTATAACCACACAATGAAATATTATTCATCCATAAACAAAATGTGATATAACCACACAATGAAATATTATTCATCCATAAAAAAGGATGAACTACTATAACATGGATGAAGCTTGACAACATTACACAAAGTAAAAGAAGCAAGTCATATAAAGCCACGTATTATATGATTTCATTTATGCGAATGGTCTAGGATAGATAAATTCATAGTCAGAAAGCAGATTAGTGGTTGTCAGCGGAGGGGGGATGTAGGGAGTGACCACTATTAGGTAAGGGGTTTCTTTTGGGGATAGCAAAAAAGAAGCTTCTAAAATGGGATAGTGCTGATGGCCGCACAACTCTGAATACACTAAAAACGTCTGATTTGTCACTTTAAAAGGGTGAATTTTGTGGTACGTGAATTATATCTCAATAAAGCAGTTGTAAAAAATAGAAAAATGTTTTATGCATAAAGATGACATAGTGACATTCTTTCTAAGACTGAAGAATTGGAAACAATCTAGATGTCAGTCACAGTAAAGTCTGAAAATACTATGGCCACTGGATGGACTCTTAGGCATCCATTTAAATAATTGTTGATGCGAATGACAAGAGTCCCTTCTGGCTTTATTGCTGGAAACAGCACCCTTCTTAGCAATCCAGTCTCTTTTTGAGCAACTCTCCACGGTCTTGTACAGGCACAGGAGCAGCTTTTTGGGTTGTGTTTGTTTTGTCTCATGCAGGTTTCTCACCCCTACCCCACGTTGCCCTGACTGCTTTTCAATGAGCAAAGCTCTGTCATCATTACTCCTCCATTCTTAGGAGAGAAGACGCCTTATCTAATATCATCCTAAAAAACAACACAGCTCCTTCCCCTTAATTTCCAGAATACAAGAAAGATAAAAATCCTACTTTTAATGATATTTTCTTCAGATGTAGGGACAATGGGAAGAAAGTCCTATACAGATGATAATTTTCCTCTCCCACCCTGGGCCAGTCCACCCTAAGTGGCTTTAGGCTCCAGCTCCTGCCTGACTTCCCTTTTGCCTTCATCTGGTTTTATCTGGCAGAGGGAGGTGTGAAGGTTCTTTCAGGGTTGGGATTAAAGGCTCAGCTGACTCACAGATCCTGAGATGGAAGGGAGGGTTTCGCCCCTCTTCCTAGTCCAACATCTGCTGCCCAGGTCTTCCTCTTGTGCAGTAGGATTGACTTCTTCTGAAGATAACTCAGGGTAGGAAAATCCATTCTCTTCCTTTCATGGGACCACAGAGGCCTGGCCGGGGCTTCCCTCAGGCTGCTCCTCAAATGCAGGCTACTTCATGCACTGACCAGGAACAGACCAGAGCAAAGCTCTGTTCTGCTTCATCCAGCCCCTTTCAGGTACTTTCCCTCAAGGATGACTTGAAGCTAATTTCATCCATGATCATATTGCATAAAACGTATCGGCCAGGCACAGTGGCGCATGCCTGTAATCCCAGCACTCTGGGAGGCAAGGGTGGGTAGATTGCTTGAGCCCAGGAGTTTGAGACCAGCCTGGGCAACATGGAAAAACCTGGTCTCTATTAAAAAACAACAACAACAAAAGAGCCGGGTGTGGTGGTATGCACCTGTAGTCCCAGCTACATAGGTGGCTGAGGTGGCCAGATTGATTGAGCCCAGAAAGTCAAGGCTTCCATGAGCCATGATCACACCACTGCACTCCAGCCTGGGTGACGGAGCAAGACCCTGTCCCCCAAAATAAAGTATTAATAAAGAGAAGTGTTATTGAAATAACATTAAAGAAACAAAATCAACAATCACATATAAACAATGAAAATAAACTAACCTACAGGGGCATATGCCTGCATTCTATATACCAAAAGATGATCAGAAAATGCCTTTTTCTGTTTTGCAACATTGTCCTCACTAGTTAGGTACTAAGTGTGACCCTTTTAAGGTTCATCTTTAAGGGAGGAGGAGTGGCGAGTGTGAACACCTTTCAGCATCTCACTCTCTGATCTTCAGGGGTTGCTCTTATTCTTAACGTGAAAACTGTACTCAGTAGATAAGAAACAGACAAGGAGAATATTCCCGAATCTCAGGAGTGCTCTGGACTGAAGGGCCAGCGTATTTCCCCATTAACATGATTGTTAATAGCTGAGGAGTGAGCAAGGCCCAGCTGGCCCCTGAGTACCAATTGCTTAGGAAACAAATTGCAAAGAGATCAGACCTTGGCTTTCAATCATTGCCTCGTCACATGAAATCATTTCATGCATTCACTGGTCTCTGGACTGTTTCATTTCCAAACTCATTTGGAGAGTTTTAGTGTGCAGATACTCTTCTCTGAGTATCTTTCACTTAGGCACACCCTCTCCCTGGCAATGAGAGAGAATACTCTGTTATAATGCAGCATAAATCACCTGTGAACGTGCTAGAGAAAATCATTACAGAATAGGTTGGTGTAATCAATATAATGAAATAATTCAAGCAGATTATTGACGCAGCAAACATTTATTAAGGACCTACTGAGTGCAAGGCCATAGGGATATAAAGATGAATGTTACATCCTGGGATTCCCAGTAGCTCATAGTGGGTTGAACCAGAGCCCTGGCAGGTCACGGACTGTATCATGACAGTAAGAACAGAAACGACAAGGTCCAAGAAGCCCACATGGGAATTCAGCTGTGCCACATGCAGGCTGTGTGTCTCTGGCTATGGGAATCCATTCTACCCTAGAGAGTTCTTCTTCCAATTTATAAAATCAGGTACTAAGCTCATTAACTTTCGGCCTTTCTTCTTTTCTAATATGCAAAGTTAAGGCTATACATTTCTCTCTAGTAGCCTCCAATTTTTTTCAATGACATTTTTTAACAGCTTTATTGAGATAAAATTCACATACCATACAATTCAGCCATTTGAAGTGTACAATTCATGGTGTTGAGTATATTCACAGAGTTATGCAGCCATCACCACAGTCAATGTAGTACCTGCCTTGTAAGGCCATTTTTGAGGATTAAATGAGATAATCTAGGTAAGCAGTAGACCCAATGCCAGACACTTAGTGGGTGTTTCTCTGCTGGTTTTTGTTCATGCTGCTGTGGTTGGTGCTGGGGCTGGCATCATGGAAGGCTGGAAGGAGTAGGTGATGGGACCAAATGAGAAGGAAAAGAAACATGTGAGACCCACTGTCTGGGTGTCCTCTCCAGATGGGAGTGACAGACTGTCATTATTAGCTGCTAGTGGATTCTTTTCCGGCCCTCATATCGAGCCAAGTGAATTCAGTTAACAGGAGTCATTTGGGACTGGGTTGGGTGGGTTAAATTCAGAACTGATTATCATCAGGCCTGGTGGTCACATACCAACATGTTAACAAACAAACAAGCAACAACACGCTTATCCGATGAACAATAGCTATGCTAAATTTAGCTCCTCTTGGCCATCCGGGCTGGAGCCCATGAGAGGCCAGACATCTCTCTGGATGCTTATTTGCTAAAGCACTACAGCTGGCCCTCAGAGGGTACTTGGCCAAGCCCAATGAGCTGCTCCGGAGGGGTGTTGCAATCCTGATGGGGAAAGGATGGAGGACCTGGACTTTTCCAATTTCAGTAGAGCCACGGCATCACACACAGCACTGACGTGTGTTTGCATCACCAGCACAAACACCACCATTTCATTTATTTCATTTGTTACCCTGGGCAGAGGAACAATGCATTCTTAAGTCTGACTGTTTTAAATGGCAAACACGTTCTTGAAGCTGTCACTTCTATGTACACCCAGATAGCTGAGGACTGTGGTTTCATTTGTACTGGGATTGTGATGACTTTCATGTTGCATGAAAACTTTGGCTATAATATCACAGATTCTCTTGGAATTTCAAATTAATAGTTTCCTCTCTCTTTCTTTCTGGCACAAAATGGCTGAACTGCATGTTCTCCAGTCAAAAAGAAAGATTACGTAAGCCAAAAACCTCCCCTCATTTTCCGTAAGTCATGCTTTTGTTTTAATATAGCATTGATCATATGCTTTAGTGGACAAGGGCACACAGAGGTGATGCTTTGCCTCTAGTCTTCTGCAAAATTGCAATTTTAAATCATTCTTGTTTTTCTGTTATCACCCCAAAAGTTTTTTAAGAGGCTGGTTTACGTGGCATCATTTTCTCTGCATTATTGCTGTCAACTTACCAAGCTCTCTGAGTCTGGGGACCTGAAATCTAAAGAGGAAACTAAAGAGTTTGAGCTGACTTTTGTTTTACTTGGCAGTAAATTATACACATAAGTTGGGTTTCTTTTTTTTTTTTTTTTTTTTTTGAGGTGGAGTTTCACTCTTGTTGCCCAGGCTGGAGTGCAATGGCGCAATCTCGGCTCACTGCAACTTCTGCCTCCCGGGTTCAGGCGATTCTCCTGCCTCAGCCTCCCGAGTAGCTGGGATTACAGGCATGTGCCACCATGCCTGGCTAATTTTGTATTTTTAGTAGAGACAGGGTTTCTCCATGTTGGTCAGGCTGGTCTCGAACTCCCGACCTCAGGTGATCCATGTGTCTCAGCCTCCCAAAGTGCTGGGATTACAGGCATGAACCACCACACCCAGCAAGTTGGGGTTCTATAGATCATTCATTTTTAGACCAACTGAGTGTGATTTTGCCTGCTTGGAGACATTTTTGGTTGCCACAACCAACAATGGGTGGGAAGAGATGGTGCTGCTGGCATTTAATGGGTAGAGGCCAGTGACATTGCTAAGTGTGATACAATGCCCAGGACAGCAGCTCTCCCTTGCCTCAACAAAGATGTACCCAGCCCCAAATATTTGTAGTGCTGAGCTTTAGATTGAGTTGTGTATCAGACTAGAGGATGTCTACGGAGATTTGGGGCAAAGGCCTTGACTGTCTATTTGCTATCCTTTGTCTCAGAGCCTTAGCTTGATGAAATTTAGTCTTGTAGACAGGCTGTATGGTCCAATGTTCAGAGCATAGACTTTGAATCCAAGAGGCCTGGACCTAGGCTGAAAGATACCAGTGACAAAACTCACAGATCTCAGCCATTTTCTTATACACAAACTATATCAGCAGATAAAAGGAAACAAGGCCTGGGAAGACAGAGGGAACATGTGGTGAGGTCAGCTCCCTGGTACTTGGGACCTCCTGTGCCCACGCGACACCTCTGTGTGCCTAGACAGGGGAGCCCACACTGTCCATAGGCTCCAGGCATGTGCAGCCCCCATGGGGAAGACACCATTGCAGTAGGACAGCACCTGGATTTTGGTGCCACTTTCTGCTTCCACCAGGAGGTCACACCAGGGGGCCTTGCTCAGTTCCTCTTTCTGCTCCTCGTGGGTTGTGCCCAGGAAGGGGGATGATGACAACAGCCAGGCCCAAATATCCCCAAATTAAGGGGTAACTGGGCTTCAGCAGCATCTACTCCATCCCCCAAGATCCCCACTGCTGCTTCTGGGACCTGCTTATCAGCATCCACAAGCTCAGTCACTAAGTAAGGCTGTCACTCTGCTACTTGGAAAACCACATCTCTTGGGCCTTTTGTCCAAATCTGGGATCTCAAAATTCTTTCTGGGCCATAGCTGCACCGGGTCACTATTCTACACCTATGTCACAGGCTGTGAAATCTTCTATATTGGAGCCAGCTTTGTAGGATTTCAGAATGTTCCACTTCTGTTGGCTCAGGGGCTTTGCAGGGGCATGGGAGGGAGTTAGAGAGGTACCACCAAGTCCATTTCCTGAGTTTAAATACCCACCCCACCGAACTGGGGTTGTGACCTTCAGCAAGATTGTGTTCTATTTTAGTTTGTTTTAAACTTCTTCAAGTCTTCATTGTCTCATCTGTAAAGTGAGGATCACAATGGGATCCCACTTCTAAGGTAGGTATGAAAATTAAATGCAGTCCTGAATGCCACGTGCTTAGCTCAAGTCCCAGCTAAATGGAGGCTACAGAGGACATTGGGTGAAACCACACCTTTCTTATCTTGTTGATGGTCCCAACAACCTTGGGTGGGGCAGCCTCTTTTGTCTCCCTCATTGGGCAGTTACAGAAAGCTACACCTGAGAGGTCACACATCTAGGAAGTAGAAGAACCTGAACTAGAACCCAGGACTCTGGATCTTCCCAGGCTCTGGCCTCCACTGAAGGTGTGAAAGTCAATAGCAATTAGGTGGCTGCCCCATTCATTGACATCAGGGCACTGGAAGGTCTGACTCTCCTCCTCTTCCTTCACCAGACAAAAGAGTCTCCTCTCTCTCTCTCCTACTGGCCCTGAATAGCTCATATTGTCTCTTTTGGATTAAGACACTGGAGACAAATCTTAAATGCACATTTCATTTGGAAGCCAGAAACAGACATATAATAACAATAGTTGTTAATGAAAGGACTTAGCATTCATTTCTTCACTATTTCTGGCACACCTACTGTGAGCCAGCCACGGTGCTGTTCCCTACCCATGTTTTGGCTTACTGACTCCTTCCTGTCCTTGGTGGGTAATGCACATTGCCATCCTTCCCATTTCACAGATGAGGAGAGAGAGGCTCAAAGAGGTACTTGAGCAAGACCATAGTCAGGAGGAGATATGCTGTATTGAAGAGGACTCAACTGGCCTCTGAAAGAAACTTTGAATTGCTGACGTGTGTCAGAAAATAAAAGAAGTTGATTTTCATAATATCTGTCTCTTAAAAAAATTCCAACTTTCTGAGAGCAGAGTATGATGTTTGCTTTCTACTATCCTTTTCCTCGTACCCCACCCCCAAAGTGTGCCAAACCTCCTTACTTGCAGAAGACAATTTTGGATTCTTACAAAAAGCAGCTTCACAGAAGCCATGGGAGATTTTTGCACAAAGCATTTGCCTAATTGGACCCTGTTCTATTTTCTGACCTGTTGCTCCTTGAAGTATCATCTTAAAGATGCTCTCCAGAAAGTGTCCTGAGCCTACATTTTCCCTTGGCTGAAAGACTCAGGTTCTCTCTGAAGATATGTTATACTGCTATACTTAACATTTATTTTAAATAGTGGAGAAAGAAAGAAATCTGAAGACTGTAAACTGTCTAAATAAGAGGAGAATTACACAGATAAGCAGATAATACATCGGTTCCTAAATACCGGTTGCGAAAGATTATAATGAACAGAAAACATTTAATCCACCACATGAAGCAAGAGGGTGACCCCAGAGAGGTTGTCTGAGGTTTCCTTGGGGGGAAGCCCAGCCAGTGTTAAAAATGATGTCTATGAGAATGACAGACCTTCCAGCAAATGTGCTCACCACTTCTTAAGGTGAAAGAGAAAGAAAAACACTGAAAAAAATTACATATGTATTTGAACAACAAATATATATGGAATATCCACTCTGTACCAGCTAGGACTCAGGCAGTAAACAAAACAGACAAAGTCCCTGGCCTTATATTTGGGTGGGGGGATAAGGGAAAGAAAGACTAGAGAATAAAGCATACTATTGCAGGAGATGGCTTTGCTAAGAATGAAAATGAGCTATCAGCCCATAGACTTGTGTCTAATGCAACCATCTGACAAAGGAGGCACAAAGCTAACTTGAACTTTGACCTGTTGCTAGTCCACATTTTCCCCAGCCCCTGCTGTCTCAGAAAGCTCTGTTTCCCAGAATCAGTGTCCTTTGGCAATTCACCATCATTACAAACTCTTCTATATCAGAGCTGCCCAGTGTAGAATCCCGGCCCTTGTCCTTGATCTCTCAAAACGAATACAACAAAAACCAGCCACAGAAATGAATAAGTGAAACAAAACGTAAGAACAGGTCATACAAGGATACGTTTGTATGCATCAGTCTTCTCTGATGATTTCGAATGAAAATGAAGATTAAGTGAGAGCAGCATGTGACCACGAACCCCAAATGGGACATCAGACAGTTAAAAGCCCTTCAATCACATCTCCCATGGGCCACCCACCACATCACTCAAGAAACGTCCCTCCTTGCCCCTCCACCATGCCACTACACACACACATACTGTGTTTCTCTGTTTTCAGTTTTGTTCGCCATTATTCCTTCTCTTGGGCTCTCTCCAGAAACCCAGCATCTTTCTCTTTTCTTTGAGAGCAAATTCGACCTCTCTCCTGTCAGAGCCACCTGCATATACCTGAAGAATCAGGCTCTCTGATGACTAGCAGGTTTCTAGTCGGGCCCTACCCTTTTCTGCAGGCGGAAGGTAAATTTTCCTTTATCTTTTCTCCACCAGTCTCTGGGAGGTGGAGGAGGAGGGAAGAAGAGCAGAGTGATCTATTGTAACATCGACATATAAATAATGCCACTTCATTTAGAACATAAACGTGGCGATGGTCGGTTTTGGTTTAACGTAGCTCTTCAAAATAGCTCCTCTCTTCCTTCACATGAGTATCTGGGTGAAGGTAGGTGAGCAGGAAACAGTCAAGACTATGTTAAGAATTTGCATATGGCTAACAATACCGTACTGTGTATTTGTTAAGATGACCGATCTCATGTTAAGTGTTCTTACCACAATAAAAACATCCAAACAAATAAATAATAAAAGAATTTGCCTGCTCTATGAAACAGTTTGCAAGCTGTTGCTAGGGGCAGCCTTATTTATCTGTATGTAAATTTAAGATGGGGGTCTGCACTGGAACCAGAGGGGAAAGGAGTGTCTAATCTCACTCTGCAGAGAATGGGGAAAACATGTAATTATGCGTGTTTCAGACTAGATGGGATACAGAGCCCTAATGTCCGCATCTTACAGAGGGCCAGCGTAGTTTACCCATCATCACAAACCACAGAGCTACCCTGGGGGAGCCAAGGAAAACCAGGATTTCTGACCCTGGACTCAGTCCAAGAGAGACATGCAGAGTTGAGCGTCCCAATTTTGCACACTCAATCTATCTTCATAGATAAAGTAATAGAAACAACAATTAAACAGAGAAAAATTATCATTAAACATCACCCGCCATGTGGCTTCTGTTAAAACAAACAAACAAACAAAAAACTCTTGAGATATACCCTCTTTTCAGTTCCTTGAAAACTTTTGGATACTCTCTGCCTTGGGACACCTGTGTTTCCTGTTCCCTCCACTTGGATCATTTTTGCTCTGAGTCCTTGAGTGCAAGGCTGCTCCTTCTCATTGAGATATTGCTCAAATGCCACCTTTCAGAGAAGCCACCTCTGGCTACTTTCTCTACAGAAGAAGTAACCTGCCTGCCTGGCTCATACGAACTCTCTAACCCACTATTATGTTCACTTAATTTATTACACATTTCCCTGTTTGGAATCATCTTCTTCATTGGTTCATTTGTTCAGTAATTTATTCATTTGAGTGATGTTTTCCAAGCTCTATGCTAGGTTCTAGGGAAACAGCAGGGAGCAAAACCCTCTGGCCTCAAGGAGCTGAGGTTCTATTGGGACACGATAGACAATGCATCCTACGGACTACATAGAGGGTGATAAGTGCTTGGGGGAAATGAAAGCTGGGGGAGGTAGGGAGTGCTGGTGTGGAGTGGTTAAGGAAGGTGGTTTTGGGGATCTTGGGGGAGGAAGAACATTCCAGGCAGAGAGAACAGCAAGTACAAAGGCCCTGAGGCAGGGGCATGTGGGGTGAGGAGGTGAGAATTGATGGTGAACAGGAAAGCTAGAGTAGTTGGTCAGGGTGAGCAGGTGGGTAGGGGGTGTTGACAGAGAAAGCGTGTGCAGATTGTGTAGGGCCTTGTTAATCAGTGCAGACTGATGCTTTTATTCGGAGCGAGTTGAGGCAATTGTAGTATTCTGAGCAGAAGAGAGGCATGATCCAGCTTGTATTTTAGTTTTTCTGGGATTTTGTCTTGTTTTTTGTTTTTTGGAGATGGAGTCTTGCTCTGTCACCCAGGCTGGAGTGCAGTGGCGAGATCTCGGCTCACTACTGCCTCCACCTCCCAGCTTCAAGTAATTCTCCTGCCTCAGCCTCCCGAGTAGCTGAGATTACCAGTGCCCACCACCACGCCTGGCTGATTTTTGTATATTTTTTTACTAGAGTTGGGGTTTCACCGTGTTGGCCAGGCTGGTCTTGAACTCCGGACCTCAAGTCATCCTCCCACCTCGGCCTCAGGAAAACATGTAGGAGGCTCTGGCTTTTCCCCAGGCAGGAGAGGGCACAGGCAGGCATCAGGTTGGTAGTGTGTGTACACACACACATACATACTTACACAAAAGAGTGAATTTGTGTCCATGTATTCTGCTTGAGTACTGCTCCTCTGACTTGACAATATGTCAGCTGCATCTTTCCATATCAATAAATGGGGAGCTATATCATAATTTTAGTGTGCTCGTATTATTCCCTTGCATGGATGTACCATAATTTAGCTGGTCCTGAATTAAACACTTCGGCAGTTTCACATTTTTCACCGTGATAAAAAAAATCCTGCAGTGAACATTTTTGAACATATATCCCTGAGGACTTGCTTGTCCAAGTACATCTTTGAGATAGATTCCTAGAAATAGAATTGTTAGGTCACAGTCTATAAGGGGCTGAAGGATTTTGATGCATAATGCCAAATTGCCTGGGAGAAAATGTGTACCAAGCACATCCCCACCAGCTGTGTTCCTGTTTCCTTATCTCATTTTAAGTATCATCACTGTTTTTATTCATTGCTAAGTTGATAGATTAAAAAATATGGTATTTCTTCCATTTGACCCAGCAATCTCATTGCTGGGTATATACCCAAAGGAATAGAAATCATTTTATTATAAAGATACATGCATGCATATGTTCATGGCAGCACTATTCACAATAGCAAAGATATGGAATCAACCCAAATGCCCATCAATGATAGACTGAATTTTAAAAATGTGGTACATATGCACCATGGAGTATTAATGTAGCCATAAAAAGGAACAGGATCATATTCTTTGCAGGGGCATGGATAAAGCTGGAAGCCATTATCCTAAGCAAAGTAATGCAGGAACCAAACACCACATGTTCTTACTTATAAGTGAGAGCTGAACAATGAGAACATATGGACACAGGGAGGGGAACAACATACACTGGGTCCTGTTGGGGGAGATGTTGGGGATGGGAGGAGCATCAGGAAAAATAGCTAATGCATGCCGGGCTTAATACCTGGGTGATAGGTTGATGGGTGCAGCGGACCACCATGGCACACATTTACCTATGTGGCAAACCTGCACATCCTGAGCATGTACCCCAGAACTTAATTAAAAAATATATAGTATTTTTTGTTGTTATTTATTGCCATTTCATAGCTTTACCCATATTTTATTTGGGCTATTAGCCTTTTATTAGTATTTAAGAACACTTTATTAAAAACATATTACCATAAATGTTGCAAAATTGTAAGGATTTTTTCATATAATCTTTTTATTTTTTGTTTTGGGAAGCTATGAAATATTATATGCATATAAAAATATATAACACACTTATGAAAGATACAAAAAATAAACACCGTGTACTCCTGACCCAGCTCAAAGAATGGAACATTTCCAACACCCCGATTGCATTCTCTTTTCCCCCCAGCCAAACTAATTACTCGATGGTGATGATTCCCTTACTGTTCTTTATAGTTTTGCCTAAACTGTAAATCTTCATAAACAGCCTAGTTTTAGTTGTGCAATGTTTCGAGCTTTATGAAAATAAAATCGCACTTTATGTATTTGTCCATGACCTGCTTTTTTTTCAAACAATATTATGTGTGTGAGCTTCCTTCAGATGGAAGCCTAGCTGTGGGTCATCTCTCCCAGTGCAGCTTTGTAAAAATG
The DNA here is from genome assembly GCF_000001405.40 of Homo sapiens. NCBI lineage: Eukaryota > Metazoa > Chordata > Mammalia > Primates > Hominidae > Homo > Homo sapiens. The sequence continues at coordinate 14,246,892 of NC_000001.11, forward strand.
TCTCTAGAAGTGTGATTTCTGAGTCTCCAGAAATGCATATCTTAAAATAACCCAGCTCATGCCGAATTATTTTCCAAAGTGGTTTTTACCAGTCTATAGTTTGTTCGGTACTATATGAAGCTTCCAATTTTGTTCACATCCTTGCCAAGGCACGTTATTGTCTGACTTTTAATTACTTTCCTAATCTAGTGTATATGAACACTAGATTGTATGGGAGTAGATAAGGAACATTTCTTATTATAAAAAAAGGCAAGGTCTTAGAAGAAGTGGTTACATTTTTAAAAATACGGATTTTTAAAATATTTGTTTTACTCTTCCTAGAATACTAGGAAGGCAAACTAACTTTCTTTCATTAGGCTAGAAGTGAATAGAACTTCAGTTAAAAATCAAGGTAATTTTAAGGTCAGAAAAACAAGCTATCTGGGGGACAATGTGCCAGAAGAGATGGTTACACTATTAAAAAACCAAATGCTCTCCTCTTTGGGCTTGTGGATAAGATCGGTGTTAGAATGCGCTATCAAAACAAGTAAAAAGGATTCCTGAACTAATTTCTTCTGAATCAACATTTAAAAACATTCAATTTGCTCTCAATGTTCAATTCCCATTTATAAGTAAGAACATGAGGTGTTCGGTTTTCTGTTCCTGCATTAGTTTGCTGAGGATGATGGCTTCCAGCTTCATCCTTTGGTGCAGAAAGGAAATGGGTAGACCAATAGGTAAAGAAATGTGTTTTCTCACATTTTAGGAAGTGCTTCGTGATCGATACGCATCAAATGAGACCATTCAAGGTGTGCACATAGTCTAGATTGAGTATAGATTCTTTATATGTAGATTTCTTTGATAATGTCATTTTACTTTACACTTATGACAGGTTCATGAAAGTGAGAAACGTTCTAAGCACTGCAGAATAACTGCTCATCCTTTCCTTTTTGCTTTTTTTTTTGGGTGTGTGGCAATAATCTTCATGTACGCTGGCAGGCCAAACATCTGGCTCATGTGTGTGGGAAGCCAGTTGCTCTTGTACTACACATTTCAGCTGAGAAGTACTGAGCCTGCTGACAAAATGCATAACCTAATTAGGCGTGAACTCTAACGCAATCGGTGCTTGTTTTTGCAGGTGTAAAACGCCACTCTCAATCTATTGTGTTTTCTTCCCAGGTCTAAAAGCATCACAAATTAGTAGGTTTGGAAAGCCAGGGATTTCACAGGCAAAAGTTGATTGCATAGATGCTCCCGGGTTCATTAACACCGAACATAAGCCTTTCTGAGAGCAACCGTGGGCTTTGTGTTTGAAACAATATGGTGGTGTAGTCATAATAACACGGGAATTCCAGACAGGAGACATGGATTCTAAACTCCTATAAATGAGTTCTGTGACTTTAAACACGGCCCTTCCTGTCCAGGCTGGCATTTTCTCACTTGCAGAGTGAGGGAGTTGGACATTTTCACTAAACATATATTTGTTAGCATTTGCTGTGTACCAGGAGCCAAAGTAAAAATTATAAAGCATGGTGTCTGTTCCTTAGGATGTCCACAATTTGGAGAGGGGTGACAAAGAAGAATCGGACAGCTCCAATATGGTGAGACTAGCAGAGGGTGTGGATGCCACAGAGCAAAGCTGCTCCTAGCCCAGTTCAGAAGCTGGGAAATGCTTCTCATGGAGGTGGAACTGCTACAGGGCCATGGAGGATGAAGAGGGACTAGTTAGGAAGACTGGGAAGGGGAGAATGTTGTATGACAGAAGTATGTGCAAAGGCACAGCAGTGTGAGAATACAGTGCTACCTGTGTCATATCTGAGGTCCTGTGGTACTTTTAAAACATGTTCCCAAATTCTTTGACACTCTTCCCATGGACAGGTGGGAGTCATGTCCCCTCCCCTGAATCAAGGCAGTGTTGTAAAGAGGGTGAAACTGATGCTATGTGAGACTAGGTCATGAAAGGTTCAGCAGCTTCTACGTTGTTCATGGGGACATTCACACTTAGAGGCCAAGCAGCCATGTTAGAAATCCAGCTATCCCTAGTCCGCCATACTGGGAGGAAGCCCAAGCCAGTCACATGGAAAGGCCATGCGTAGGTGCTCTGTTTGGAAATCTCAGCTAAGCCCCCAGCCTTTGTATTGATTTTGCTCAGGCACCAGATATATGAGTAAAGAGACTCTCCATTATTTCAATGGCAAATGATTTACATCCTGCCTGCTAAAGCCCCTGACATAATGAAGCAGAGACAAACCATCCCCACTCTGCTGTTTCTAAATTCCTGACCGACAGGATCCATGAGCACCATGCAGCAGTTGTTGTTCTACACCATTAAACTTTGAGGTGGTTTGCTACACAGCAATGAAGGATGGGAATGGGTCTGTTTCAGCTCTAAAAGTTGATTATTCGGTAAAACTCCAAAACTAATTCCTGTTCTTCAAAAAGAAAGCTCTGATTATGTGAACTTTTGAATTAAAGAAAAACAGTTGCAGAAGGATCAAGACAGAGATTGAATTATTCAGAGAAATTATCGTCAACAAACCCAAACTGGTTGAAATTGCAAAATGAATTTATCGACCCACAAAATCAGGAAGTTCCAGGTGTGAATCTAGTACTACAAGATTCAAGCATTCAAGAGATGATTAGAAACCAGTCCTCTCCAATTCTGCATTCTGCTTTGCTCCGTGCTGTCTTCATTGTCAGGCAGGCACTCCCCAAGGGGAAGCCAGATGGCCAGACCAGCACCCACTGAGCCCCAGAAGAAAGGGAGTCTCTTTACGATCATTTCAGCACATGTCCCAGGCCTGTCTGCTGTTCCCTCACTTCCATATGTATGAATTCCATACCTATGGCTGTGGCCATGGGAAAAGAGGTCCCTGATTGGCCAGGTGGGGCTGCATTTCTACCTGTTGAGCCAGAAACAGTGTCTATGAATCCTGAATGTTGAAAGAAATGAGGTTCTCAGTCTTGTATTATCAGAAACAGAAATGAATACTAAGTGAAAAAAAAAACAGATACCCCTTAGGCAGAAACTTCTTCTTCTGCCCACAGCTGTCCGTTTGGCATAACCTGATACTACTCGGGCTTCCTAGAACTATCCCTTTTACAGGTTTAATTAACCCCAAAGCAGCAAAAAAGCAGTTATGCCTTCAGTACAGGTTCATGAAAGATATTTTCTAGACTTACAGAGTTTGGAGATTCCTAATATTTAACCATCCCTTCCATTATTCTCTTTTGCTGTTAATAAATATTTCTGAATTTTACTGATTAGTTCCTTTATACACATGTTTATTCAGTAATAAAAATGGAAATAGCATGCCCAAATTACCTTCAAAATAAGCCAATTGTTAAAAAGCAGGAAGTATTTAGTTTCATGGATCTTATGCTAATCATTACGTTTTACTCAAATAATACAATATAAAGCCCCCAAGCTCTATAAATACACTCATTTTCCACATGTTCTTTTGCTTCAGAATCTTAATGTTGAATCTCACCATCAACTTCGGGATTCTAAGACACATATATATGAGATCCGGGATTTTTTTCTTGGGGTCAATCAATAAAATGGAGCAGAAAGAAACAGAATCAGCAAGACATTCAAAACTTGCTTTTTACATGATAGATAAAAGATGGAAAAGAAACAGAGATCTAAGGAAGGAAAAAGACAACTAACATCACAGAAACAATATTATGAGAGTTAAAAAAAAAGTTGATGGTGAGATTCAACATTAAGACTTTGAAGCAAAAGAACATGTGGAAAATGAATATATTTATAGAGCTTGGGGGCTTTAGTTGTATTATTTGAGTAAAACATAATGATTAGCACAAGATCCATGAAACTAAATATTTCCTGCTTTTTAACAATTGACTTAGTTTGAAGGTAATTTGGGCATGGTATTTCAACTTTTATTACTGAATAAACATGTCTATAAAGGAACTAATCAGTAAAATTCAGAAATATTTATTAATAGCAAAAAAGAAGAAACTAAGGGATGATTAAATATTAGAAATATTTATTAACAGCAAAAAAGAAAAAAAAAATCGATGGTTAAATGTTAGGAATCTCCAAACTATAAGTCTAGGAAATATTTTTCATGAACCTGTACTAGAGGAGGCATAACCAAAACAACAACAACAAAAAACATGTTTCCCCTTCCAGAATGCCCCCTAGTGAACCCAAAATTACCAGCAGGAAAGAAAGGGCCTAACCCTGGAACTGAAACTATGTAATCTATGCTTGTGTGATTCCTCAGCCTAATTCTGGGGTCTTCCTCATTCCAGGGTTCTCAGAATTCCATCCACGGAATGGGGAACATTGACATTGCCAATGACATTGAAGGATCATCTGTTTACCCACTGTGACCACCATCACTTCTCTTACATGAGGAAGAGGCTCTTGTTCTCTTTAAAGATGATAAGGTTGATTGAGATAGAAGTCACTCAGTCTTAGAAAGCTCTCAACCATTCCCCTCCCCGGCATAGCCTTGTCCTTGCACCATCTCCAGGAAGGCAATGTCTCTCCCTTTCTTGTTGGGTTATCTCTTCTTTGTTGTGTTGTTGGATCCACCATCATTTGGGAAGAGAAGAGGGATAGGGTCAAAAGTTGCTGTCATCTTGCTCAGACTCCTTATTAAGACATTCTGGGAGGGAGGAAAGAGAGACTTCTATGCCTTTCTGGAAGTTTCCTTCAGCTGCCATCTGGGATGTCTCAGAAGATCAAGTTGTCACTGGGGTAGGTCCAGAAAAATCCAGGCACAGTGAAAAGTTCTCCCGGACTTTTTTTTTTTTTTTTTTTTTTTTTGACACAGGGTCTCACTCTGTCACCAGGCTAAGTGCAGTGGCATGATCATGGCTCACTGCAGCCTTGACCTCTTGGGCTCAAGCAATCCTCCTGCCTCAGCTTCCTGAGTAGCTGGGACTACAGATGCATGCAACCAAGCCCAGCTAATTTTTGTATTTTTTGTAGAGACGGGGTCTCACTATGTTGCCCAGGCTGGTCTTGAACTCCTGAGCTCAAGTGATCCACCTGCCTCGATCTCCCAAAGTGCTGGGATTACAGGTGTGAGCCACTGTGCCCGACCCTCCTTGGATCTTGTGGGGAGCTTGTGAAGGTGAATTTCTAGATTCTCCAAATGTTAGAAAGAGGCCAGGAAAGGGGGACACTGCAGTCTTGGAAGAGGAGCCCAGATTCAACAGATGCTCAGCAGTGAGAGGAAATAAATTAGCCCTTTCTTCTTGTTTATGTCATGTCTTTCTCTCTGTGCCTCCACTGTAGAATGCTTTTATCTATAAATGTGTTTTTCAAGTTAGAAATTACAGAGATCCAGATGTTCCTAAGGAGTCTTCTCCATTTGGTTTCTGTTTTGGTCACAAAGATGGATGTTTTATATTCAGATCTGTTTCCTTGCTAGTCATAAGCTGATGGATAAACTTGGAGTTCACACTACCCAGAATGACTTGTCTATGACAGCATCTTATTATCATGGCTTTAATTAGGGACTGGCATTTGTGTGGTGGTGAATTTTCTCCAGATCTTATTCCTGGAGATACCTTAATGATACCACTGCCCCATGAATTGCACTGGCTTCCTGTCTGTTTCTCAATCTTGCCAGGGCCTTTCCTACCCCAGGACCTTTCCTCATGTTGTTCCCTCTGCCTGGAACATTCCTGTCCAGCAACTCAGGCAACTCATGCTCTTCCTTCAAATATCAGTTCAGGGGCTGCCTACTGGGGTTGCTCTGTTGGTATACATTCCCTACTCCATCCTATTCCATATAGCTCTTAGGAGGATTCAAATGCTTAAACAAATCTTTAGACATACACTTGATGGGTATTAGCTCTAATAATGTTTGCTATATTATTAGTTAGGATAAGTGATGTTAGTTTCATCAACAAATAAATCCCCACGTCTCAAGGGCCTAACACAATAAATTTATTCTGCACTCATCTTACAATCCGTTGTTGGTTCAATGCAGGGGCTGTACTCCATGTAGACATCAGGGTTCCAGGCCCCTTCCACTGTGCGGTTCCATCATCTAGGCCCTCAGGGTGTACCATCAAACTGTTTGCATCAACTGGCAGTTGAGAGAAGAGAGGGTAGAAAATTCTGCAAGAGGTTTCACAGGCCAACCTGGAAGTAGTGGGTGTCCTGTCTTTCCTTCGGAAAAAGTTTAGCAGTTTGTTGTAAAAATAAATATACACTTACTATGTTACAAGTCAATCCCACTCTTGGCTACCTACTCCAGAAAAAAGAGAAAAAAAAAAAAAAACGGCCCCACCCGGTTACCGGGGTAGAGTTATATAGTCCAGCTGTTTGTCCAGGAAGAAGAGGAGGACCATGGTTGTTGGTGAAGCACTAAGCTTTTCTGCCATATTATTACGATTATAATAGTTATTCCCAAGTCCCATACAGCATTTTAACAACCCACCTAAAAAGTACCCTACCCTTGCAGATTCCCTTCTTGCTCATCAAGCTTCTCGGCCTAAGGTCATATTTCTTCAGAATTTTGAATCATAAAGCACAGTGAAGTGTTCATCACATAAGGTAATAGCTATTTCTTCTTAAGTCATTTTATCTGAGTTAATGGCTACTAATGGGTTAATATATAATTGTCCATAGGACTATTTGCATTTTGAAATAAGACTCATGGAGAAAAGAGAAACTGAGTTAGAGGGAGGAGATATTCGGGCTTTTGGCAGGTGGCAGCCTTGTCCTTTCAGGTAAAATCCAAGGAGAGGCCTTGGTGGCAATTTGTTCTTTCTTCTTTCCTTTCCAGGTGTAATGGTAACTTCTGGGTAGGGAAGGCTGCCTCTTTGCCTCCATGAACTGAGACTTTCTACTGCCCACACTGTAGCCTCCTTTATTCTCCCCTCTGCAGACTGCTAAGAGAGAGCTCTTTGGCATACAAAATAGGCCTCGGACTTCCTTATCAGGGTGCTTTCTTTCATTTCATAGAGCCCTCCCCGGCCAGATATTCATGTCGCAGATGTATGAGCTCCTGCAGTCATTATCAATCACTGAATGCTTAACAAATATTTAATGAATGGCTTCTATGAGCAAGCGAGACGTGACATTCTGTAATGGTGGTTGGGGCGGGGGGTGGGGGTGCATGCATTTTTGGTTTCGTTTATTTCATTTTTGGAGTTTATGAAATGTCTTAACTGTTAAGTCACAGAAAAGGTTTCCCACATAAAAAACATAAAAATCTGTTCTATCTGATCTGCTTTTATGCATTTTTCTAAGCCCCTGGTTTTCTAATTAGGGGGAAAGAAGAGGAAGTTTTATTCTCATACCCATTATGGCATGTGACCATGGTTCAATTATATTTTTCTTTTGGCTGGATAAGGGTAATGAATAGATCTTTATCAAATAATTTGATAGACATTGTTATATCCAGCAACTTTTGCTAATACAATGCACTTGGAATCTCATCTGTGTTTGAAGTTTGCACCGACATCTGCAGAAACTCAGAGAGAAGCTCCCTAGGGATCATCTCTGGTATTTATGACCTGCATCTCCACGTCGTTTTGCAGAAGTGAAAGCTGCACTCGACCATTCCTTTTGTTGGTAACTCAAGCCAACAGCCCCTAATGGCTGATTGGATGAAGGAGCAATAACAGCCTCAATATAGTGGGGTGAGGTTCTGAAATCAAAGACTGATGTAAAAGTGGCAAATGGTCAAAATACAGCCCCTTAAATTGTCCATGCAATAAATTATGATGTCCGCCCAGAATTGGAACAGCTCATTATTTTACGGCTAAGCACCAGATAAAATAGTAGGGGACTTGCAGGCTAGGTCATTCTTGCATTGCTATAAAGAAATACCTGAGACTGGGTAATTTATTTAAAAAAAAAAAGGTTTAATTGGCTTACGTTTCTGCAGGCTGCACAGGTATGACACCAACATCTACTGAGCTTCTGCGGGAAGCCTCAGGAAGCTTACAAGCATGGCAGAAGTTGAAAGGAGAAGCCAGGCTGGACACGGTGGCTCATGCCTGTAATCCCAGCACTTTGGGAGGCTGAGGCGGGTGGATCAGGAGGTCAGGAGTTCGAGACCAGCCTGACCAACATGGTGAAACCCCGTCTCTACTAAAAATACAAAAATTAGCCAGGTGTGGTGGCATGTGCCTGTAATCCCACCTACTCAGGAGGCTGAGGCAGGAGAATTGCTTGAACCGGGAGGCAGAGGTTGCAGTGAGCTGAGATTGCGCCACTGCACTCCAGTCTGGGCAACAGACCAAGACTCTGTCTCAAAAAAAAAAAAAAAAAAAAAGAAGAAGAAGAAGAAGAAAGGGGAGAAGAGGAGAAACCAGTGTCTCAAATAGTGAGAGAGGGAGTTGGGGGGCGGGTTGCCACACTTTTAAACAACCAGATCTCATGAAAACTCACTCACTATTGGGAGGATAGCACCAAGCCACAAGGGATCCATCCCTATCACCCAAACACCTCCACTAGGCCCTACCTCCCTCATTGGGGATTATAATTCAACATGAGATTTGGCAGGGACATATATTCAAACTAATCAAATGTGTTTCATGATCTTTTTTTAGATATATATTTTTATGTGTGTAGTCAAATATAGTCAGCCCAGCAAGACGGAGGCTCACAGAAACGGAGTTTCATAAAGGAATGGCATCTTCAGTTCTGTCGTCCAGTACTGGGTTTATGCATATTGAATGGAATTATGGGAAGAATGACTTGCACCAATCAGAATGTTCCATCCATCTACTGGTCTATGTCATAGTTTTATACAACTGACATCAGCCAAAATAAAAGTTGCACGGTGTGACTTCCACAATGGTCATGGGTGCAGTACTTACAACCTGTCTGACACTGGGCTAACCCCTTTACAAGTGTGACATCGTTTTATCTTCTAAAGAACCCAGTGACTGAGGTAGTATCATTATGTCCATTTTATAGATGAGTATTTTAAATCACTGTGAGATTAAATAATGTGTTTGGGTAAGTGGTGAGCAAAGTAACAATTTGAACCAAGGACTGGCTGCCTCCAAAGTGTGCACTGCTGTGTTATGCTGCCTGGTGAGTCATCCCTGGTAACCCACTCTAGGCAAGAAAATGGTTAGAACTGAGCTAAACCCAGAAAGGAAGTTTGATTTCCCTTTTCTTTTGTAAATTGGAGACTCTCTGTCGCAGCTTCTCTCCCTCCTAAGTGTCTGCTTTCAACAAGTCCTAAATAAAATGATTGTTACTCTTTAGATTTAGTTCCCAGAGCTGCTTTTTTGCTAATATCAAAACCTATTACTAAGTTCTTTTCCTAATCCTTCTATGCTGTTAACTCAGGAAAGATGAGCTCTCCAAACCTGTATTTCCCGGTGCGTTGGAGTTGCTGAGATTCTTGCAAATGGTATTGCAACTCACCCTGGTGCTTTCTTCTGTCCTCAAAGATGAGCCAAGTGTCTCTGGCCACACAATATTTAATATGCACACTGTTAGCAGAAATTAGACACCCCATATTACCCACCCCCGCAACTTCTACATTATGAAGTAATGGTCTTACTGAAATTCAAAGGAGAGAAGGAGAGAGGGAAAGGAAGGAAAGAAGGAAGGGAGAAAGTGAGGCAGAGGGGAAAGGAGTAGGAAGGAGAAAGGGAAGGAAGAGAGGGAAGGAGACAGAGAGAGGAAAGGAGGGAGGGAGGCAAGAGAGTACCCTGTTATTCACCTGTCCCCTGAGGTCTTTATTTAGAACATTCTAGAAAAAAATGGCAGAGGAAATTGCATTGGCTTTCCAGTTGGGTCTTCTCGGAGCCCATCCCTTCTTGGCTGTGTGATTGTGGCAACTGATTTAGGTTTCCCGAGCCTCAGTTCTGTCATATGTAAGGGGCAAAAATAACAGCATTTCACCCTAAAGAATTGTCAGCAGGATTAAATGGGATAACATATTTAATCAATATGGCACAGGATAGTAAACCTAAATTTACTCTCCCCATGAAGGGCTTTAGGGGTCTTTTCTACTCATGCCTATTGTGAATTTCTCATTCAGTTGCAAGATCTGTAAAGGCATCGATGATGCGTTCTATTTCTTTAGGAAGTGTTCCTCTCCCACTCCTGCCCCAAATGGCACACTCAGTCCTTGCTTGATTCCCACAATATGACAAAATAAGCATGTTTGACTGACTGATCCTCTGCTCAGAGGCTGTAACAATGTTTAATTACCCTTTTAATCAGAAAGTTCATCCTTATCTCTTAGGTCCCTTCTGCTATAATTTATCCTTATTTTTGCCTGTTCAGCCCTGGATGTAGTGTATGTCCTTATTTTTAAAGGCATCATTGAAAAGAAGGGGGAAGGGATGATATCTCATAGTGGTTTTGATTTGCATTTCTCTGATGGCCAGTGATGATGAGCATTTCTTCATGTGTTTTTTGGCTGCATAAATGTCTTCTTTTGAGAAGTGTCTGTTCATGTCCTTCGCCCACTTTTTGATGGGGTTGTTTGTTTTTTTCTTGTAAATTTGTTTGAGTTCATTGTAGATTCTGGATATTAGCCCTTTGTCAGATGAGTAGGTTGCGAAAATTTTCTCCCATGTTGTAGGTTGCCTGTTCACTCTAATGGTAGTTTCTTTTGCTGTGCAGAAGCTCTTTAGTTTAATTAGATCCCATTTGTCAATTTTGTCTTTTGTTGCCATTGCTTTTGGTGTTCTGGACATGAAGTCCTTGCCCATGCCTATGTCCTGAATGGTAATGCCTAGGTTTTCTTCTAGGGTTTTTATGGTTTTAGGTCTAACGTTTAAATCTTTAATCCATCTTGAATTGATTTTTGTATAAGATGTAAGGAAGGGATCCAGTTTCAGCTTTCTACATATGGCTAGCCAGTTTTCCCAGCACCATATTCTCACTCATAGGTGGGAATTGAACAATGAGATCCCATGGACACAGGAAGGGGAATATCACACTCTGGGGACTGTGGTGGGGTCGGGGGAGGGGGGAGGGATAGCATTGGGAGATATACCTAATGCTAGATGACACGTTAGTGGGTGCAGCGCACCAGCATGGCACATGTATACATATGTAACTAACCTGCACAATGTGCACATGTACCCTAAAACTTAGAGTATAATAAAAAAAAAAAACATTAAAAAAAAAAAAAGAGAAAAAAAAAAAAGAAAAGAAGGGGGAAGGGTAAGAATGGGGGAAAAATTAGACAATTTGATAGAAGCTCAGGCATTTATATGAAGTGCAAGAGACTGAACGGATGAAGAGAGAGAGGAGAGCCTGAGACCCTTCATCACGGTAGATCACAATGAACCCTCCACCGTCCCAAAACTGTCCCAAAACTGTCCCAAAACTGTATTTTGGGAAACATTTCAAGATTCTTTCTTTCTTTCTTTCTTTCTTTTTTTTTTTTTTTGAGACAGAGTCTTTCTCTTTGACCCAGGCTGGAGTGCAGTGGTGCAATCTTGGCTCACTGCAAGCTCTGCCTCCCGGGTTCACACCATTCTCCTGCCTCAGCCTCCCGAGTAGCTGGGACTACAAGTGCCCGCCACCACGCCTGGCTAAATTTTGTATTTTTTTTTTTTTTTTTGTATTTTTAGTAGACCACGGGGTTTCACCGTGTTAGCCAGGATGGTCTCGATCTCCTGACCTCGTGATCCACCTGCCTCGGCCTCCCAAAGTGCTGGGATTACAGGCGTGAGCCACTGCGCCTAAAAAAACACAGAGTTCAACTATAATTCTGGAAGAAAAGCTTCTTTTGCTATTCGTTTAATCTAGAATCTATACCAGGGAGAACCAAATGCATTGGCGAGTTAAGCTGCTTTGCTTCAGAATATTAAATTCATTTCTCAAATGTTTGACTTCATGTCAGTGGTGAGTTTGTCATCAGACCAGGCTGTGTTTAAGTCCCAGCTCTGCCTGCTACCTGTCTGTCAAGCCTCTGTGCAAGTTGCTTTTGTTCTTAGAATCTCACCTGGAATGCAGGTGACTACAACCTCGCAGGAATATGTAGAGATTAAATGATTTAATAGAAGTAAGAGAAGCTCACCTTGCTGTCTCCATGGTAAATGGTCAACACACGTTTATTGCATTGGCATCTCAATTTTGCAAAGTCCAAACAAAAGCAAAATGCAGAGTAGCTCCAAATTTGGAGGGATGGAAAGAGGAGAGGTAATCACGGGGCTGGGCGTCAGGTAGAGAGACTCAAAGGTCTGTCAGGTTATTGACATGTCCAACGAGCTGCGGGACAGATGAACAAAGGCACACTTTCAACTCGGAGTTGAAGTCACAAAGGCCGATGGTTTCTGCTTGGAGATGAGTGAAAGGTGGCTCACGTGGCTAGGCAGCATGCATGCCGGGCCCTCCTGGCTCCGCACTTGGTGTCGGATTCAGAGAGTATGCTGGGAGCACGTGTGCAACTCCACTGGGACAGTTTGTTCCAGATGTGCACAGCTGCGAGCCTCTGAGGGCTGAGGGCCAGGGCTTTCTGTAGGAAGTATATTGTGCTCCTTTCCCTTCCCCAATGGAGCTGACGGAGGCTTGCACAAGCTCCTGCTGTGCCGAGCTGGGACGGCGGCCATGGCACAGAGACAAGCACGTGATGTACCCAGGCGCTCCAAACATCAGCACCAAGACCTCCTTTTTAACAGTCCAACCCTCTGAGGCACGCCTTTGCCTTTCAGTCTTAGGAACATCCCAGCCTCACCCCCCAAGTGGCCTGGCAAGACCTCCGTCCATCACATTGGCCTGGCTGTGGTTCAGGAATCATCTGAAAGAGGCACATTCGTTGTGTTAGCCTGAGGTTCATCACCATTTCCAGAGGAGATGCTAGTAACCCCGGACATGAGACAAACTGCTTCCTTTGATGCATCCTCCTGTCTGGTTAGGAAATGGCAGAGGTAGGAATCTTTGATGCAGGGCTAGACACACAGCAGCTGCAGGGCCTTCAGAAGGCTTTGGAAAAACTAGAAGGTTTTCTCAATGACTTCATCCCACTTTACTTTGTGACAGTGACTTTGGGTGACCTTGTGCCTTTTGACTGGGTCCAGGAAATACCAGAGCTGCAGAGATATTGATCACTCTCCCCTTGAACATATAAATGGGCTGTTACCAAAGTGCAAGGTTTTATTAAAGCACAACGCAAGCGGATTTTTCTTTTGAAAATGGAACGGGGTTGTGGACTCTTTTATTCCCATTTATTTTCTGAGTTGGCTGTTATCACCGTTTTCAATTTCTACACTCCTGAAGTCGGTCTTCCTTGTGTCTTGACAAAAATTTCACGACCTCTTCCCCTTTCATTGTTTCCCCTATTTATTTATTCACTCAACAAATGTTTACTGAGGTCCTGTGATATGCCAGGCACTTTTCTAGATACCAAGGAGACAGCAGTGAGCAAAACAGACAGATATCCCTGCCCTCGTGGAACTGATATTCTAGTGTAGGAGGCACACGATAAACAAAAGAAACAAGTAAAACCTGCGGAATGTCCGATGGGGTAAGTGCTTGGAGAACAGGAAGACTTACAAGGGAGGGAGGATGGTCTGGACATTTGAGCAGAGGTTTGAAAGGGTGAAGTAACCACCCAGAGAGCACTGCAGATGGAGAGAACAGCAGGTGCAAAGGCCCTGGGACAGAGCATTTCGATGACCCGCATGGCTGGAGCAGGGTGAGCCCATGGGGACAATAGGAGAGAAGTCAGATAGGGGGATGTAGAGTTAGGTCCAAGGTTACAGCTGGATGGAGACATCATTAACTACGATCCACCTGAAAGACAGCCTGAGCCTGGAAATAGCTCCATTCTTTGTGAGCAATGCCACAAAGTCGTGAGTAAAGGACACGGGCCCGGCTGGCAGGCACCAGGCTGCTCAGCTGTGCACATTCCCACATCAAATTCTGTAGCAGTTCCTATTTGCCAGGCACTGTTTCTGCACTATGTATATAGTCGCTAATTTAACCCTCACCACACACTTGTCAGATGGGTACTGTTACTGCCCCATTTTCCAGATGAGGCTCAAAGCGGTTAAGTCGCCGTCACAGGTTTCACAGCTGGTAAAGTGAGGAGTTGGAATTGAAATGAGGCAGACGGCCTCCAGGGTGCATGCTCCCACTCATGGAGCCACATCTGCCTCCCTTGCTAACACGACAATGATACCTGTAGTAATACATACTCTTTACATGTGAACACACACAGCATGCTGTTATGTATAGTATGGGCTCTGATTTTAATACATGTCTTAGGAAGACAGAAGTTAAGACGGCAACTATTTGCAAGAAGTTGTGGAACTATTCAAAGGATCAGTTCTAAAGCTGTTTAAAAAAGTAGGGTGGGGAATTGGACTTCTTGGGTTCAAATCCTGGCTCAGCCCCTTACTATTGTGAGATCTTAGACAAGGAATCTTGCTGGTCTGAGACTCAGTTACTGCAGCTGTAAAACAGAGATAGACAAGTAGGTATTTCATGAAGATGCATTAAGGATAAATGAAATCATGTATCTCAAAGTCCTGGCACAGAGGAATAAATCAGGAAATTTCAGCTCTGATCATCGCCATCAATTTATGATTATTATTGTTGTAATCTAAAGTTTCCAGGACTCGGGTTAAGATACGCTGGGTCCTCAGGATGGAGCTGAATGGTCCCCGGGGGCCAGATCAGATTTCTGATCATGAGTGTGTTTGCCTAGCTATTGATTTTCTGCGTGGCCTTTTACCAAGTTGCTGCTTTACCTGCCTTTGTGCTCATTCTCCACCGACGAGGCACTTAACCCTTCCAGAAGGATGTGAGGAGGCGGAAAAATCGTTTGTAAAATCATGCTGACATTTGGGGGTGGAAGGTGCTGAGGAACTGTGAGGCAGAGTGTTTCCCTTCCAATCACCCTCCCAGTCCGATTGGTATTCATCTTGGAAAGGTCACTCTCTTGGCTTAAGAGTTTCCTGTGACACTCGAGCTGCAGCTTAAACGAATTGTTCCTGAAGTCTGTCTTGCGGTACTTGTCACTTCAGTCTTTCTCCTTGCTTCTGGAATTCAGTGGGGAAATTGCAAGGGCTCCATCTCAACTCCTGCTGTTAAGCTGAAGGAGGTCATCCGAGACCCACTTTACCTAAATGCCGTGGTCCCCAAATGGTGGTGGACAGATGACCACTGGCATACATCATGCTTTTAGGGGACACATAGAAGAACCCTGAGATTTTAATAGTCATGTATGTATTTAATCTATGTTGGAGAAATATAACTAGCATATCAAACCAATGATGCAAATTTTTAGAATTAAATTTGTATATGAAAAATAAAAGTGAGTTGTTTTTGAATATTAAGAAGTCTGGGTATGATGACTCACCCCTGTAATCCCAGCACTTTGGGAAGCTGAGACAGGAGGATTGCTTGAGCCCAGGAGTTTGAGACGAGCCCTAGCAATATAACAAGACTCTGTATCTATTAAAAATAAAAATTTAAAAAGAATATTAAGCAGACCATATAAGTGGTACATAGCTATGGCAGAAACCCCTCCTTGTGGCTCTTAGATGACTAAAATTGGTAAAAGCACATTCTGTAGATAACCTATGTGGAAACTTTTAAAAGCCGTAATTGCCAAAGCTGTAATTGCCAATAGCTTTGGCAATTGCCGCTTTTAAAAGTTTATAACTTTCTACATGTTGCTGGTCATGTTAGCCACTTCACCTCTACTTACTTTGCTGACTAAATTCTACGCTAGAGCCTTGTTTTAGCTCTCACATTCCACACTGTGGAATTCAGTAGCTTAAGATGGGTCACCTGCCTTGAACACTGTCCGATGTCATTTAATACTGGAAGGACCCCCATGATAAAACCACTTTAAATCTCTGTTCAAAAACCTTGTTAAGCCCTCTGTTCAAATTTATTGTTTCCACCAGTTCTGTAGTAAGAAATACAGGCTTTTCTGAGAGCCATTTCTCCAGCTATCTCCTGTAAGGCAGTTTGTACAAGTCGTAAATCATTCGGTCGTTGTTACAAGAAGCCATAATGAAATCTCCGGCAACACCAGGCTTGTAGCTAGAACTGAGAATAGCTGTTGAGAGAGGGGTGTTTTATTCCCCTTTAAAATCAGAGTGGAAATTTACTGCCTTCTCCACAACCTCTGTATAACACTCTGTAACTAATAAAATTCCTACCGTGTGATCCGTGGGTTTTATTTCTAAGTCAAATCATGTGGCGTGCATGCGTGTATATCCATTTTCCACTCTGAGCTGATTCAAGAACTGTTGATGACTATTTATGACTTTTACTATGTTACTCTGAGATTTTAGCGGGAACCCAAACCAAGTGTCTCCATGCAGTTTACCAAGTTTTTTGAAGATGCCTAGAGCTCAACTTTACTTCCCAGGGTTTCTTTAAGCCATGTTGAAAGCCATAGACCATAAACCACAAACCCCTAGGTCTATTGTATGTTGAGCAGAGAAGATAAACTGATGTAATACAAATGTCAGCTAATTACAAAAATCAGTTCTTGTAACAACTCGAAAGATGATCTGGGTTTAAATGAGATAAACAAGCAGGGTTGTGTGTTCCTCATTTTTAGATGGCAAGCTAAAATGTCACAGGGTGTGCTCTCAGCTGTCAGCCTCTAATCTAATTAGACAGGATAATTGGGGAGGCTGAGCTTGCTGATGGTTGACAAACATATTAGTCTAATTTCATTCTCTCTAATATGACTCTGGCAACCCTGAGCTTCTCTTGTCATCACGTCAGCCAGGAAGGATTCTGAATGCAAAGACAAAACTCTGGTTTGGTTTCAGCGATGATTTCTGGGTATAGAGATTGCTGCTAAAGGGAAAAAGTGTGGGAGCGGGGGCAGGGTGGGGCTGGGGTGCAATTCAAACTGTAAAAGCAAACTAACAGAAAGGATGGTTTGGGATTTGTATGAGGTAGAAATGTAAACTGAACTGCTAAATAGTTATCAAAGAATATCCCTTTTGCTATGTTTAAGGACACGCAGTGAACAGAGCTCAAGTTGACAGCATGCTGCCTCTTAGAGACCTACTGGCACAAATCGCTAAGAATGATTTATCACCATCTTTGAAGTTATGCATCTGCCAGGGGGATAGTCAGCCAGGATGCCCTGCCTTGGCCTTCTGGCCATCTGACTGGTGGGTCGTCAGCTCCTGGGCTATCTCAGCTATTAATTATTTTTAATATCTCCCCTGTTGCATTAATTTTTATTTTTAGTTTGCTGCTATAAACTACCACAAATTTAGTGGCTTAAAACAGCACACACTTGTTATCTTACAGTTCTGTAGGTCTGAAATCAGGGTACAGTGTGAGTCAGCTGGGTCCTCTCATGGAGTCTCACATAAACACGGCCAAAGTGGCAGCAGGACTGTGTTTCTTTCTGCAGGTTCTAAACCTAAGTCTGCTTCTGAGCTCATTCAGGTTGTTGGTCAAATTCAGTTCCTCGCAATTGTAGGACTGAAGTCTCCATTTCTTTGGTGACTGTCAGCCAGGAGTGGGTGTTTGCTAGAGGCCACTCACATTCCTTCTCATGCTTGACACAACTTCTCTTCCAGTCACATCAGCTGCTATGATTTTAATGTGTCCCCTAAAACTTAATCCTCAATGCAACAGCGTTGGAAGGTGGAACCTTTAAGAGGTAATGAGTTCATGAAGGTTCTGCCCTCACAAATAGATTAATGCTGTTATTCCAGAAGTGGGTTAGTTATCAACAGAGTGTGTTCTTGATAAAAGGATGAGTCCTACCCCCATCCTCTCTCTCTCCCACCCTCACCCTCTCTTGCCCTTCTACCATCTGCCATAGTATGATACAGCAAGAAGGTCCTTACAAGATGCTGGTACCTTGTTACTGGACTTCTCAGCCTTCAGCACTGTGAGAAGTAAATTTGTTTTCCTTATAAATTACCCATCTGTAGTATTCTGTTACAATAACACAAAACAGACTACGACAGTGGATTAAGTACCTTTCATGCTTCAAATCAATTTCCTCTTCTGCCACATCTCTCTGACTCCAAACAAATAAATTTCTCTGCTTTTAATGGTTCAGTAATTAGATTGGGACAGTATAGGTAGTCCAGGAAAATCTCTATATTTTAAGGTCTGTAACCTTTGTTACATCTGCAAAGTCTCTTATTCATGAGTGATTAGGGCATGGACATCTCTGGGGAAGGAAGGGATAAATTGAGTGACTTCCAGGTGATTTATACATACATGAAAGTATTTTATCTTCATATAGTTTAAACATTCTCTCCTAAGTCTTATTTATATCAATAATTTTAGTTTAACAAGTGTTTTATTTTCCATAACTAGCACA
Organism: Homo sapiens; assembly: GCF_000001405.40. Taxonomy (NCBI): domain Eukaryota; kingdom Metazoa; phylum Chordata; class Mammalia; order Primates; family Hominidae; genus Homo; species Homo sapiens. The sequence continues at coordinate 14,265,113 of NC_000001.11, forward strand.
AAGTTGAATTTTGGCCCAGATGGTATCCCAACTACCATTCATTATTCCAAATTAGTAGGTTTCTAAATAACGACATTCCACAAAGTAAAGAAGAAGGTCTAACACTATTGTGGCTGAAGAGATCTGTCAGGCCTCCTTGTAACCTCTCAGTCTTGTGGGCTCAGAGATGCTCATACTTTGGAGCTCTGGGCATTGGTTTAACTAATCAAACATGATAGTTTGGTTCTATGGAAAAGGCACCAAGATTGTTATACCACCTACGCATTATCACAACTCCAATAAGTATGGAGAGAGACCCCACAAACTTAAGGGTAAGGGACCACTTCAAGGTTGCTGGCTGCATGGTGAAATACGCAGCAATGATAAAAATGGGAAAAGCACTAGCCTTGAGCAGGGACTTTAGGGAACAGTCAAGTGACCACAAGTGTCATCTGGCATGCTTAGCAGAATGCTTCCTTACAGCGATGCTTAACCCCAGCAGATTGGAGAGGCAACTGTTTCACCCTAGTCCCTGCCAAGGAATCAGAAATCGAACCCTCAGTGTGGAAATTTTATTTCACATGCCCCCACAGCATCCTTGGGACTCAGGAAGGAACAGATGCAGAGAATGATTAAGTAATTCATCAAAGATGACATCATGGCAAAAACAGGTCCAGAACTCAGGACTCCTATTTGCAGATAGTGGAGGATGCTCTCTAGGGAGAGTTACCAGCAGGTGGTGATTTGCCCTTTTCCTTAATTTCCATTTCCATCTCTCATTGAACTAATTGGAGAGTAACTAACCTTACAAGATTCTGCAAAAAGAACAACTGCCAAGTGTTTCAGATTGGAATTTACCTAGATTGTCCTCTCCCTCGGGTGTTGTTTCTTTTAAACTGGAGATAAGTTTGAATCATGCCCCCTATCTGATGTGAACAGCTTTGTTTCTCTCATTGCCTGATGTCTGGCACTATGGATGGGAGGGTGAATGAATGGATGAATATATGGATGGATAGGTGGGTGGGTAGAGAAATAGGCAGATGGAGAGAGGGATATAATAAATTGTTATAACTCTATGTGTCTTTACCTGTGTCTGGATGGCACTTTCAACTTAACCACGCAGCCAGAATGTAATTACATCAGCATTGCTGTCATTGCTACTGCACTGTAAAGACACAGGTTAAAACCCAGCACTTTTGCTTCGAGAAGAAATATAACCAAATTCAGTTGGCTGTCTGTATCTCTCTATATCTCACATCCTCAGATTAGCCATCTGCAGATCAACAATATGCTAAAGTCCTCATTAAACATTGATGATGTATATGGAAACTAATTTTACCACACGCTAATTGATACAAACCAGGGTTAAATTACTATGGCATATTTGTACTCACAAAAGCATCACCAAACTTCTAAATGAAGACCCTGAAATGCTTTTAATACCAAATTGAAATAAATGTGAGTTTTACGCACACTTAAGAAAGCTTAATAAAAACACACAAGATAATAATTTACCCATTTATTCCAGTTCAGGGTCAATGGTAGTCACAGCCAACTCAGCAGGCGTGAGGTGGGGACCAGTCGTGAATGGGACACGATTCCATCGCAAGGGACACTCGCACCCCCCCACACTCACACTGGGACGTAGACATGCCAATTCACCTAACATGCACATCTTTGGGATGTGGGAGGAAACCGGAGGATGTGGAGAAAACCCAGGTGGACATTGGGAGAATATGCAAATTTCACACAGACAGTGGCCCTGGTGGGAACCAACTTTTTTTTCTTCTTTTTATTTTATTATTATTATTATACTTTAAATTTTAGGGTACATGTGCACAACATGCAGGTTTGCTACATATGTATACTTTTGCCATGTTGGTGTGCTGCACCCATTAACTCGTCATTTAGCATTAGGTATATTTCTTAATGCTATCCCTCCCCCCTCCCTCCACCCCACAACAGTCCCCGCTGGTGTGTGATGTTCCCAAATTTTTTTTTCTCATCAACATTATCACTAAACAACATTGAATGAAACAACATTGAGGATCTGCTATATTTGAAAATAAAAATATAACTAAAAATAATACAAATTTTAAAAATACAGTGTAACAACTATTTACATAGAATTTACATTGTATTAGGTATTGTAAGTAATCTAGAGTTGATTTAAAGGAGGGGTGTCCAAACTTTTGGCTTCCCTGGGCCACACTGGAAGAAGAATTGTCTTGGGCTACACATAAAATACACTAACAATAGCCGATAAGCAAAAAAAAAAAAAAAAAAAATCACAAAATATCTATGTTTTAAGAAGGTTTACAAATTTGTGTTGGGCCACATTCAAAGCAATCCCAGGCCTCATGCAGCCCATGGGCCAAGGATTGGACAAGTTTGACTTAAAGTACATGGGAGGATGTTCCTTGGTTATATACAAATACTATACCGTTTTTTATAAAAGAATTGAGCATCCTTGGATTTTAGTGTCCAAGGGAGGTCCAGGAACCAATCCCCCATGGATACAAAGGGAAAACTATAATATAACATATATGTAACCACGACTAAAAGAACGAATGAATCTATACCCAGAAAAGCTATAATGTGTGCAGGCACTCACGCCTGTAATCCCAGCACTTTGAGAGGCTGAGGCGGGCGGATCACTTGATGTCAGGACTAGCCTGGCCAACATGGAGAAACCCTGTCTCCACTAAAAATACAAAAATTAGCCAGGCATGGTGGTGCACACCTGTAATCCCAACTACTTGGGACGCTGAGGCAGGAGAATCACTTGAACCCAGGAGGCGGAGTTTGCAGTGAGCTGAGATCATGCCACTGCACTTGGGCCTGGGTGACAGAGCAAGACTCTGTCTCGAAAAGAAAAGAGAAAAGAAAAGCTGTTATGTATATATTCTCAAGTTTATTTTGATTCTGGTTAAATTGAATTGGCCAACAATTTTTTGAGCCCAGCCTCTGGCTCAATACCTCTGTGTGAGGTACTGCAAACCTTTCAGGTACCTGCAATCAAGCTAAGCCAATGCAGCTAGTTCCACTGCATAGTAGACACCTTGAGGTTAGTGGCTAGGTCTGACTCATCACAGAAGGTTGCAAGGCTTAAGGAAGTTAATATATGTGAAGATATTTGCACAGTGCCTGGTACATAGTGCTCTGTAAGAGCTAACTGTGGTGCTGACATTATTTTCATGATATTCCAAGGCCCGTTGCAGTGCCTAGCACATAGGGCCGACTCATATCCTCAGATGAATAGATTGAAGTTAATAAGGTGAAAGAAATCCTCAGAAGATATATCATCCAGTTTGAAAACAAGAAGATTTTTGTATAGAATGAGAAGGATGGCAATACAGTAATGGATTTGACACTGTGTTAAAAAAAAAAAAAAGGAAAAGAAACTCAACAGCACAGATTGAGAGGAAGGGGTTAACCAAGTGAGGCAGGATGGAGGGGAAGGAGAAAACCTTCCATTCTGCTCTCACCTCTGTTTTCAATGATGATGCATTACCTGTGGGTGATAATTTCCCTCTCCAGTTGGCTTTCAACTTGAAGTTTAATAGGTGATGATATATATGTATATATGCGACCATGAAACCAGAATTTGACCTGCTAGGTTAATAAACACTAGCAGTTATTGTAACTCACAAATTACAGGTCCCAATTTTCACAGCCAGGTTGCAGGCATTAATTAAAACTGGTGTTGCAAATCACAGCATTTTGGAATGCCTGCAATGTTTAAATTATCAGTGGTGTTGCCACCTTAATTTAAAAAAGCAACTTCCATCATTTTTCAAAGAGTACAGTAATCCAGGATAAGTCTATCTCTCACGCTTGCGGTCATTAATGTGCTGGGAGCAAATGAAAGTTTTTAATGTCTTTCAATATGTTTGAGTACAAATTACCAGATTTGCTACCGGAGCTAACTCTGCCCATTATAAAATACAGAATAATTAAGGAGATGTTACTGTGAGTAAGGCTTTTATTTGGCTGGGTTCTCTCTCTCTCTCTGTCTCTTAAGGGGAATTTTCAACAGGGATGATATTGCCCCCAAGGGGGTGAAAATTGCTTCTTGGAAGAGGGGATTTAGATATTACAATTTCATGGTTTTCCAAAGGGCCACGTATATAAACAGATACACAATGTATCTGTAGCATTAAAATTTCGTGGGATGGGTGGTGAATAGGAAAAAAGATGCCTAAAGGACTCCTTTGGG